>NT_113891.3:2400000-3600000 GCF_000001405.40 Homo sapiens
TCCAGAACCACCCCATGGTACTGCCCATCTGCAGGTAACCTCATTTTAACTCCTTTACTAAGGGCTACCCCAAAAGGGAATGTATGGAGCTTAAGGGTGACAATAGGATGGGCTCTGCACCCCTCCGTTAGAATACGAGCTCCGTGTCGGTTTTATTCGCTATTGTATCCTCAGTACCAAGGGCCTGGCATGGCATGGGGTCTTGTGCCCCTGGGAGAAGTCACAGGGCCGGAAGAGCAGTGGACTCACCCTGTCTCTCTTTCAGCCGTTCTGGGGATGTGATAGAATACCTGCTGAAGAACCAGTGGTTTGTCCGCTGCCAGGAAATGGGGGCCCGAGCTGCCAAGGTGAGGCTGCAGTGTAGGAAGGACTGGGGCCAGGGGTTGGGGGAGCTCCCTGAGAATTGGAATGAAGAAATGGGAAGCAGGAGACCTCCTGCCCTGAAGACCTCTCCAGCTGTGGTAACTGAGAGGATGTGTGGGATGGAGGCTGGGCGGCCCAGCAAGGGCTGGCTCATATCCTTACTCAAGCCCAGAATCTTGGCAAGAGGCTTGGGAGGTCCTTTCTGAGTTTTAAAATGACCTCAGAGGCCACTCGTCCTATCTGTGGAGGTGCGGCCGTGCAGGAAGGGCAACATTGTCTAAAGTCCCCTTTCTCTCCAGGCTGTGGAGTCGGGGGCCCTGGAGCTCAGTCCCTCCTTCCACCAGAAGAACTGGCAGCACTGGTTTTCCCATATTGGGTAAGGGTAGGGTAAGGGGAGCTCTTGTGGAGATGGGGAGGGGGGACTGACTGGTTATTCTAAGACTTCACGAATGTCCTCCCGGCAGGGACTGGTGTGTCTCCCGGCAGCTGTGGTGGGGCCATCAGATTCCAGCCTACCTGGTTGTAGAGGACCATGCGCAGGTGGGTAGGAAGAAGCACCCGGAGGGCCGAGTGTGGCACAGAGCACCTAGCCCAGGAGTCAGAGCTCCGCAGGGCCAAGTCCCGCTCCTGCCTGGTCATGTGCTTCATGCTCATAGTCATGTAACCTTCTGCGCGATCAAGGCTCCCTGAAGTGGCATTTCTTTATCTCACCCCTGGGGGAACCTGGCCACTCTAAGACCACATGAGGACGTGAAAACCAAGTGACATTTACACCTGTCAGCTGTTCTTCCTCACTCTCCCCAACCCCTTCCTACTTTTGCAGGGAGAAGAGGACTGTTGGGTGGTTGGGCGGTCAGAGGCTGAGGCCAGAGAGGTAGCAGCGGAACTGACAGGGAGGCCAGGGGCAGAGCTGACCCTGGAGAGGGGTGAGTGCCTGAGCTGGGGAGGGATGTACAGGGGAGCGGGGGCCTGGGCATCTGGGCCTTTGAGGGGAACAGATCCCAAGATACAGAAGGTAGGGTCAGGAAAGTTGGGAATGGAGCCAAAGGGGACAGCCCTGGTCTCTGGGGGTGGGGGTTGGCCTAGAATGGTGGCAGCAGTGGTCTGAGGTCCTAGAAGCCAAGGTTCCAACTGTCCCCATTCTTTTTCTGTTTCCCAGATCCTGATGTCCTAGACACATGGTTTTCTTCTGCCCTGTTCCCCTTTTCTGCCCTGGGCTGGCCCCAAGAGGTGAGGTGGGTTGAGAGGGCGAAAGTGAAGGGGAAACGATAAGGAAGGGATGGCTGGGCCCCCACAGAGGCTTGAGGGGGGCCTGGGGCCTGGGCCTCTTACTGCTCCTCTTCCCCCTAGACCCCAGACCTTGCTCGTTTCTACCCCCTGTCACTTTTGGAAACGGGCAGCGACCTTCTGCTGTTCTGGGTGGGCCGCATGGTCATGTTGGGGACCCAGCTCACAGGGCAGCTGCCCTTCAGCAAGGTAAGAGCCCTTCAGTGCCCTGCCGCTTTCTGTGACTCCAGTGTTCCCCAAACCTTGTCCTCCCTTCTAACCCCTAATGTGGTCCTTTCCACGTTGCTGATTCCTTTTTCCTAATTCACTTCCTACCCTACCCCCAAAAGTATGGAGGCCAGAGATCCCAAGGCACCTCCAAGGAAACCCCCCTCTGTTGACCCCTCCCTGCCCCCAGGTGCTTCTTCATCCCATGGTTCGGGACAGGCAGGGCCGGAAGATGAGCAAGTCCCTGGGGAATGTGCTGGACCCAAGAGACATCATCAGTGGGGTGGAGATGCAGGTGAGGACGAAGCACCCACTAGAGGGACAAGGTTTGCAGGGTTTGCAGGAGAGAGGAAGGCAGGCTGAGGGAGGAGTGAGGCCAGCAGGTGTGACCCTTGTAGAGGCAGGGCCTTCGACCTGGGTCGTGAATTGCCCCCTTCCATCCCCAGGTGCTGCAGGAAAAGCTGAGAAGCGGAAATTTGGACCCTGCAGAGCTGGCCATTGTGGCTGCAGCACAGGTGAGTCATCGCTGCCTGCCCCCCACCAGCTCTAGCTCACCACCTCTGGCTTCCTCTGCAACCCAGGTCCTGGCCCTGCAGCCACAAAGGCATCTGCCACCCTTCTTCTTCCTCTGGTTGCAGAAAAAGGACTTTCCTCACGGGATCCCTGAGTGTGGGACAGATGCCCTGAGATTCACACTCTGCTCCCATGGAGTTCAGGGTAAGCCTGGGCGAGGGGTGTCGGGGTGAGCAGAGGGCAGCGGGCACCTGTGCAGGGGCAGGGCAGGGGCAGGACTTCTGGTGCTGCTGCCACCTACATGCAGACTACCTCGATTCTTCCCTTCCAGCGGGCGACTTGCACCTGTCAGTCTCTGAGGTCCAGAGCTGCCGACATTTCTGCAACAAGATCTGGAATGCTCTTCGCTTTATCCTCAATGCTTTAGGGGAGAAATTTGTGCCACAGCCTGCTGAGGAGGTAAGAGAAAACAGAGGTGCTTGGGAGTAGGGTAGTCAGGTGTCAGAGGGCCAAGGTGGCATCTGGAAGGAAAGGAGGCAGGGGAGGGGGAGTCAGGCCATCCTGCCCCCTCTGCCTGCAGCTGTCTCCCTCCTCCCCGATGGATGCCTGGATCCTGAGCCGCCTTGCCCTGGCTGCCCAGGAGTGTGAGCGGGGCTTCCTCACCCGAGAGCTCTCGCTCGTCACTCATGCCCTGCACCACTTCTGGCTTCACAACCTCTGTGACGTCTACCTGGTGAGTGAGGCTGGGGGAGGCTTGGTATTCCCATGCCTGCTTCTAATTCCTCTGGAAATTTCCAAGGCAGAGAGCTCTGGAGTTAATAAGTTCCCAATTGTCCCCTCAGTTAGGAGAGGAGAGGAGACGAGGGAGTCTCAGTTCCCCTCTTCCTGGGACTGGTTTTGGCAGTGCAGCCCAGGCACTGTTGCCTGCCTGTCACCTGGGGAGAGGAGGAGGAGGGAGACTTCTAGAAATGTCTGACAAGTCGGTGTCAGAAGGCAGAGGGGAATTTTTTCAGTCCCTGTAGTTGCTGAGTTTGGCCCATGGGCAGGCTGCGTGCTGAGAGAGGCCTGGGAGGGACTAGCAGCGGTCTTTAGACCAGGGGTTCTCACGCTGTCCTACGTCCAAAGCACCTGGAGGGCTTGTTGACCGTGGATCCCCCCCGCTCCACTGCCACCCCAGAGTGGCTCCTTTAGCAGGTTGGGGTGGGGGTGGGTGGTGTAATGAATATTCATTTCTTGTCCCAAGTGGTGCTGCTGCTGCTGGCTGTGGACCACTGCCCTAGCTCAGCCTTTTAAAAACCTCTGTCCCCTGTTGATAAGCAAAAAACTCAATGATTTTTTTCCCTAAACTACATGTTTCCCTGGAAATCCTGTCCCTGTGTACTGCAGAGAATTGCTGTCCTGGAGTCCCCTTCTTTGTGCTGAGTGTGTCCTGGGACTGTGGATCATATCAGAAGTGCTAAGTGCTTCTGCCTGTCCCTCTCTCCCAGGACCCATGGCCTGCCCCGCTGGCGGGTAGCAGTGGCTGTAGGGAGGAGGGCTGTGGCCCTGGACCTGTCCTCTGACCATTGGCTTCCTCTCCAGGAGGCTGTGAAGCCCGTGCTGTGGCACTCGCCCCGCCCCCTGGGGCCCCCTCAGGTCCTGTTCTCCTGCGCTGACCTCGGCCTCCGCCTCCTGGCCCCACTGATGCCCTTCCTGGCTGAAGAGCTCTGGCAGAGGCTGCCCCCCAGGCCTGGTTGCCCCCCTGCCCCCAGCATCTCGGTTGCCCCCTACCCCAGCGCCTGCAGCTTGGTGAGTCCCAAGCACCTTGGAGTGGGTCTGTGGGTGAATGGGGGGGAGCACCTTCTGAAGGGGTTTGCTGCAGGGGGCTCATCTGCAGGAATGGTTCGTACTTTACTGTGGAGCCCTGGGGAAGATGGATTGTTCCTGCAGGGTTGCTGCGATGACCCTAGGGTCTTGAGGGACAGTATTAGCATAGTGCTCAAGAGCAGGACTCTGTTGCTAGACTGCTATTTTTGAGCTGTGTGATCGAGCCTCAGTTTCCCGCATGTTTAAACTAGGAACAGTAATAGTATATGTTATGGTTGTGATGAGGGTTGGATAAGTTAGTAATAGGGTGTCCCCAAAATCTCAGTGCAGCTTTAATAACTTCAGAAGGATAAATGCTATGAACTCACCCAAAAATTATTTTAAAATTTAACTATTTAAATTTATACTTATTTGGTTTTGAGTTTTGACTAATTCATTTTAAATTCTAATTTATTTTTGGTTGGCCATTTCAATCACAGCAACTAAACAGGCATCAAACACTGATCATCTAAAACCTCTTAAATGACGCCTCACTTTTTGTCATGTTCCTTGAGATAGTGGATTTTCTGTGGTGCTGAGGACAGATCTCATTGCCCTAAGGAGATGGGGTGGATGGGTCGAGAAGAGAGCCAGCAGGGTTGGTACTGAGTCTCCCAGGAGCCCCTTTGCCAATTCTGGGTCCCCCCCATTGCCAGGAGCACTGGCGCCAGCCAGAGCTGGAGCGGCGCTTCTCCCGGGTCCAAGAGGTCGTGCAGGTGCTAAGGGCTCTCCGAGCCACGTACCAGCTCACCAAAGCCCGGCCCCGAGGTGAGGCAAGGCGGGTCCTGGGCTCGGATCCCTGCAGGAAAAGGGGGCTGGTGGGGAAAAGAGCAGAGCCTGAAGGGCCAACCCCCCCGTTAGGAGGTGCAGGGTAGGAAGGGAGGCAGGAGCTGAGGCCTTGCCCCTGACAGTTTCTTTCTTTCCAGTGCTGCTGCAGAGCTCAGAGCCTGGGGACCAGGGCCTCTTCGAGGCCTTCTTGGAGCCCCTGGGCACCCTGGGCTACTGTGGGGCTGTGGGCCTGTTACCCCCAGGCGCAGCAGCTCCCTCCGGCTGGGCCCAGGCTCCACTCAGTGACACGGCTCAAGTCTACATGGAGCTGCAGGTGACCAGAGGGGATGGGGAGGGTTAGGGCAGGCTTGGGAAGCATGCTGGGAGGAAGGGAGGGGCTGGGCTCTATAAAGTAGGGGAAGGGACCTTCTAATGGAGGATGGAGGCCTGGCAGCAGGCGGATGTCTGAGCCTTTTCTCCCTGTTCTTCCCCAGGGCCTGGTGGACCCGCAGATCCAGCTACCTCTGTTAGCCGCCCGAAGGTACAAGTTGCAGAAGCAGCTTGATAGCCTCACAGCCAGGACCCCATCAGAAGGGGAGGCAGGGACTCAGAGGCAACAAAAGGTAAGGCTGAGGGAGGCCCCCAGAAGGCTCCACCCCTGAGGGAATGTGGGCCAGGAGGGGCCTCATTCCTGGATCCTCACCTCCTTTTCTCCTCGTCCAGCTTTCTTCCCTCCAGCTGGAATTGTCAAAACTGGACAAGGCAGCCTCTCACCTCCAGCAGCTGATGGATGAGCCTCCAGCCCCAGGGAGCCCGGAGCTCTAACTCATCATCCCCATCAGTTTTCCTCCCTCTCAGACCTGTCTTTGAGGACAAACAGATTTGTCAGCTGTCAGGGTGCAGTGGGACGTCAGAGACTATGTGGTCCATCGCCTTCATTGTGTAAATGAGGACACAGACTGGCTTGGTCGCAGTGACTGTGGTGTCCTTGAGATGCTCACATTACTGCCCGGCCTGCCTCCCACCTGGAAGTCTGGGAATGAGGAGATTGAGATAAACTTTTGAAATCCCAAACATGTCTGTTTATGGCTCTTTGGTCCCCTTTGCTCCCAGTGGTGACTTTTGTGCTTCTGAGTTGTCCCCTGAGAGCTTGGTCTGGGAAAAGAGGAGGAGGGGTCCTCGCTGGAGGAAGAGGAACTTTCTAGTCATGGGTAGGGTATGGGCACAGTGGTTCCGGTTCTACCTACTTTCTGGACTAACTGACAGTGCCCTGGCTTTTGCAGGCTCTTTCTCCTCCACTTCTCACTAAATGGAAGCTTCCCCGCTCCTTGGCTGTATCCCTAGAGGTGCTGAGAGAAGTAGGACTTCCTCCAGACCTGATGGGCTGCAGGCTGTGCTGCAGATGGTGTGCCCCCACCTTCTGTGCTCTGACACCTGAGTGCCCAGCCTCTGAGTTACACATTCACAGCACAGCCAGCCACCTTACCCACGCCAAACACCATCTCATCTCCATGGAATTCAAGGGCCTGGCCCTTCCACGCCCAGAGTACATTCTGTCCAGCAGCTCTGAGTAGCCTGTCCTGGGCTGGGTCCTCTGTGGTGCTAGATGTACAATGCCATTTAATCCTACTGAAAACCTCATGAGGCGGGTGTTAGCTCCATTTTGGAGATTTTTATTTTTACTTTATTTTTGGGACAGGGTCTCGCTCTGTTGCTCAGGCTGGAGTGCAGTGGCATAATCATGGCTCACTGTAGCCTCAACCTCCAGGGCTCTAGTGATCCTCCTGCCTCAGACTTCTGAGAAGCTGGGACCACAGGTGTGCACCACTGTGCCCTGCTACTTTTTTTTTTTTTTTTTTTTTTGGAAACGGAGTCTTGCTTTGTCACCTAGGCTGGAGTGCACTGGTGAGATCTTGGCTCACTGCAACCTCTACCTCTCTGGTACAAGTGATTCTCCTGCCTTAGCCTCTTGAGTAGCTGGGATTACAGTTGTCTGTCACCACGCCCAGCTAAATTTTTTTTGTATTTTTAGTAGAGACAAGGTTTCACCATGTTGGCCAGGCTGGTTTTGAACTCCTGACCTCAAGTGATCTGCCTGCCTCGGCCTCCCAAAATGCTTGGATTACAGGCATGAGCCACCATGCCCAGCCCTGCCCTGCTAATTTTTAAAATTGTTCTGTAGAGATAGGGTTTTGCCATGTTGGCCAGGGTGGTCTTGAACTTCTGGGCTCAAATAATCCACCTGCCTTGGCCTCCCAAGGTGTTGGGATTACAAGCATAAGCCACTGCGCCCAGCCCCCATTTTGGAGATGAAGACGTGTGCTCAGAGAAAAGTCTCCACTGGGACCTAACCCAATAAATTAGGTGCAGGCTCTTTCTGGCTGCTGTAACTAAACTTCAAATATAATGGTGGCTTAGATGAGGTGGATGTTTCTTCTGCTGGGCATAAGTAGTGCAGAGATCTGCAATAATGGGAGCCCACACCTCCTTCAATCTTATTTTCCTGCCATTCTGATGCATTGTCAAACTTCATGTCCAAGGTCTGCACCAGCTCCCATCACCGTGTCTGCATTTCCACCCAGAGGGAGGAGGGAAAGAAGGGGATGGGCAGTTTTCTTTTTCTTTTTACTCTGTTTCAGCAAGGTGTTTTTTTTTTTTTTTTTTTTTTTTTTTGAGCACCTGCTATGGATGGGCTGGGCCTTATTCTGGACACTTAGATTCATCAGTGAGTGAAACAAAATTCTGTGCCCTTGTAGTACTTTCCTTCTAGCAGGACAGTCAGAAATAACATACAAATGAGTGAACGATATACTATGTTTGAATGTCATGAATGCAGGGGAGGGAAAAAGGATAGAACAAGGTAAGGGGACTCTAATGTGTTTGTGTGGCGGGGGGCAGGTTGTACTTTTAAATAGTGGGTCAGGGCAGAACTCACTGTAAAGGTGAGGTTTAAGCAAAGGCTTGTAGGAGGTATAGGAAGAGCGTTCCAGACAAAGGGAAGGGCCAGAGGAAAACAGATAGAGGCATGGTCAGACAGCTCGAGGAGTAGCCTGGAGACCAGTGTGGTGGGGCAGAGTGAGAAGGGGAGGATGGTGGGAGGTGGAGAAACAGAGGTGAGGGTGGGGAATTGGTGGGGGGTAGGGAAGACTCAAGGCGGACAATCTGGGGCTTGTGTCCAAAATGGTAGCCAGTTGGCTACCTAAAGCATTAAATAAAATAAAAACGTTCAGTTTCTTAGTCGTACTTGCCATATTTCAAGTGTTTTGGTAGTTGCATGTGGCCAGTGGCTACTATGTTCGTCAGCACGGTTATAAAACATTTCCATCATCACAGAAAGTTCTATTGGAAAGCACTGATCTAAGACCTTATAGGCTGTTTCAAGAACTTTGCTTTTCCTCCTCTGAAATGGAAGCTCCTTTCTTTTCAAGGATACTACCAGAAAGTTGCCCACCTCCTTTCTACTTGCATCCTATTGGACAGAACGTGATCACATGGCCACAGCTAGCTGCAAGGGAGGCTGGGAAATGTAATGATCCACATGCTGAGTTGAAATCTACATGACTATCCAAAAGGAGGAGGATGGCTGTTAGGGGGGCCAGTTAGCAGTCTCTGCCACCCCCAGGTCTGGTGAACCCCAAAGCACTCTTCACTGCACTGCTCTGTTTTGAGCCTTGGGAGACAATTCTTTGAGAAAAATAATCTGGAAATCACATCCTGGTGATCTCAGGCCCTGAAGTCTAGGAACCAGGTTGAGGTGCATTTAGCTGTCTGCTCTACCAACCTCTTGGACATTCAGATATCCAGTCCCCCAACTTGTTTGGGGATCCTCACAGCTGCCCCATGGGCGTCACCTGCCCACTACTGCAGGCTAGGGGCAAGTCATAAAATACTAGTCTCCTTTGGAGCCCCCTGCTACCTCTCCTTGGGGGCTAATTGTCCCAGGACAGTTGTGAAGGAAGGTAGACCAATTTTTTAAGTGTTTTTTTTCCACCCTGCCATTTTCTATGCTCCCCTCATCTTCAGTGATGCTCCATACTGAACTCTTGTTGTCTTCTGTCTCCAAAGGAGTCAGTCTCCAATTTCATATGGAGATAATGGAGGGTTGTGTAGGTGTGGGGGGCAGAGTGGGTACCACAGAGGACAGAGAGCAATCCTATCAGTACCCCCCACTGCTCAAGTCTGAGCTGCAAGTTTGTGTTTTGAGAGCTGGTGAGAAGTCAATTTTTTTTTTTTTTTTTTTTTTGAGACAGAGTCTTGCTCTGTAGTCCAGGCTGGAGTGCATGGTCTTGGCTCACTACAGCCTCTGCTTCCCAGGTTCAAGCAATTCTGCCTCAGCTCCCCGAAGTAGCTGGGACTACAGGCACATGCCACCATGTCCAGCTAATTTTTGTGTTTTTAGTAGAGATGGCGTTTCACCATGTTGGCCAGGCTGGTCTTGAACTCCTGACCTCAGGTGATCCACCTGACTTGGCCTCCCAAAGTGCTGGGATTACAGGCGTGAGTGAGCCACTGCGCCTGGCCAAGATAATCTTGAGAAGGTGGTCAGGAGTGCCTGCCTCAGAAATCAGCATAAGGAGGACCCTGAACCCCAGGGGACTAGGAGTTATATGTTGGGACCAGGTTTCCATCCTAACAGCAATCCCTACCATCCTGCCGACGACCTATAAGACAGGCTGTGATATGTCCCTAAGTAGCTTCCCTGTGTGATCCTCACAACAACCTGATGGTGCAGGAATAATGAGAAAAACTCAGAATTGTGTAAAAACAAAACAAAACAACAACAACAAAAACCTTCCCCCAAACTGGGAGGGAGCTGAGAGGCCAAAAAGTGACTCAGACAAGTCCAGCTTGGTGAGTAGATGAGTTTTTTAGGACTTACATACAAGGCACTCCTGGATGGCAGCAGGACAGCTTTAGAGATCCGTGCTGCCTCCCATGCTAAAGCTGCTTTCAAGCTAATTTTCTGACTCTGCCGACTGTGTGTGTGCGAATGGACTGTTTTCCTTGGTGGGTTCCCAGATACTCTCCGGGATGTTTGGGTTCTCAGGGACACCTGCTCCTCGGCCAGGCACCGTGACCTTGGCTCGCCACCTGGCCTTCAGGATTCAGGCAGTGGCATACACCGTTAAGTAACCTGGTAGGGGACCTGTCACACTACAGCAGGTACCATCATTGTTCCCATTTTGCGAGTGAAGAAATGGAGGCTCCAAGAGGATAAGAAACATGCCCAGGAATTCACATGTGGGCTGGTGTCACCTCATACTCACATGGTTAACCAGGACAGGCTCAGCTTGCACCTGGCCTCTCCTCCCCAGCACTTGCGCCTGGCTGGGCATCCTCTCACAAGCTGAACCCGTCATCTCTCACCTGAGTGCCCACCCACCTCCCACCCCAATTACCTGTGTGGATCCATGGGCCAGGGGAACCATGTCCTGGGGGTGTTCTGCCTATGTCTCTTTCTTTGGTTTTTGAGCCCCTGGCCCCAATGCTTAAGCAAAGGGAAATGAAATAAAAATCTTGCTTAAACCAAGACCTCTGTCTAGTGCCTGACTTCTCCACTGCTATTAGATCTCAGGTGAGTGACTTGCCCTCTCTGAGCTTCAATTTCCTTATCTGTAAAATAGGATAATGATACCTAGTATGCCACATTCAAGACTGCTGCAAGCATCGAAATAGGGATGCAGGAGAAAAGCAGGACTTCAATAAATGTTGCTTCTCTTTATTCCCAGGTGTTCCAAAGATCTCAATTTGGTGTGTGTTCCTATGCATGCGTATATGTGTGTGGTGTGTGTGTCCCCAAACAACTCCCCAGATGCCTTGTAGGCCTGTGACACTGGTGTTGAGGGAGACATTGTCCATCCCTGGAACCCTCTGCTCAACAGGGCAACAGTCAGAGACTTGAGCATCCAACCCCCACTTCCTGCCAGCTCTGTGCTCAGGGACCCACAGAGTCAAGCAAGTTATTGAATTCAGCATACCGAATTTTATTTATTGCCACTCAGGAGGGTGGGGGCCTGCTGAAAGACAGAGTCGGGGCCTGCCTCCTGCATCCCCGGCCCAAAAGCCCGGGCCAAGAAGGACACAGGCTTCAATGGCTGTCATGTGTTGCAGACAACATGGTGTTGAGATCTTGCATGGTGGAGGGTGACGCTGGTCCCTGAAGGGAGATGGAGGAGGAGGCAGAGCTGGGAACAAAGGGTTAAAGGGCGCGATGTAAGAGAGCTCTCCATTCCCACCACGGAGACATCCAGACCCCAGCAGAGGCCCAAACTGACTCACAAACACACAGCCCCATCTTTCCCCTTCCAAAGAACTACCTTTTCAAGCAATTCCAGGAAGCTGGACTCATAGGAGGAACTTGTCAGAAAAGACTCCTTCAGCTTCAGTTGCAAAGTCATACCCGGCCCTGCGGATCCAGAAGTACAGCTTAGGACCCAGCAGTCAGGGCTGATTCCTCCGGAGACACAGAACCTTCCTGCTCACACTCCCCGGCACAGTTCCTCTTCCCCAGCAATGCCCCTCCAGAGCCTCTTGGAAGCTCAGGACTGGGGTGTCTCTGTCACTCTCAGGGACCATGAAGTCCCACCCCTTTTCTCTGGCCTCTTCTTGCCACAGGGACCCAGGAGTCCTGCCCTCTAGCCCTCACCTGTTCCATGTGAGCTGCCAAGGAGGGTCAAGAGGAGGACAAGGGGCAGCCCAGACCCCATAGTGGCCACTGCGCTCCTGGGATGGAGGAGACACTGAAGTCCCGGTGGCCTCTCCTTAACAGGCCTGTTTCTACACCCCACTCAAGCCTTAGCATAAGTGTTTGAGGGGAAATGGGAGGAGGAATCTGGTCAACTGGATTTTCCAGTTCTCCCAGTAAGAGAGGACCCAGGAGAGGACCATTCACTGTGCTTTTGGGGAAAATAGAAGGAAGTCCCCTCTCTTCCACTCTGTGTCCCACCCCTCCCTTGTGTCTCCAGGTTTGAGGGAGTGAGTGCTGGTCCTACAGACAGGGAAATGGAGAGGGAAGCGGGGACCAGGGAGGCGTCCCTCCTGCAGGTGTCTGGGCCCCCACCCATGCCCGGGCCTCCCAAGGATCTTTAGAGATTAATTATTAACTGCAGCTAATTTTCATCATTCTTGACACCGAAGGGCTCAGGAATGTGGGCCCAAAAGGGAGGGGTGGATTAAGCCAAGTTTCTTCCAGAACCCAGGTGTCCTGCTCCCTCAGGTTTTTTTTTTTTTAAACACTAGTCAAGTGCAGTAGTGAAAAGAGTAGGAGTAGAACAAGGAGTTGGGTCTATAATGGACTGTGAACACTGCTTCCCCAGCCTTGGTGGCTTTCTAGATGAGAAATCTGGTCATGGGAACTTCCATTGCTGAACATTCTGTTTTACTTGCTCTAACGCATCCTGGATTGTCAGGGGGAGACACGAGTTTCCTCAGACATCCTCTCACTCCTGCCTTGTGCACCCATGAAAAGGGGACACCCACCTACTCCCGGCCGAGATGCCTACAGGCAAGCGCTGGGACAGGCAAGCACAGGACAGATGTGCAGAGGGAGTTACTGACCCTCTTTAGAAACTAGGAAAGTAAGGCACAGAGAGGGTAAGTGACCTGCTAAGGTCACCCAGCCAACAAGTAGCAGAGAGATTAGAACCCATCCCTCTAGCCAGACAAAGAGACACACCAGCCATGGAAACTTGCTTGAACACACAAGGGCACAGGCCAGCATCTTCCTATCTGCCACTTCCCTATGCAGCCTCTCCACCTTCCCCAAAGCCAGCGGGACTGAGCACAGAGAGACAGAGGCAGAGAGAGCACTGGGCAGAGGTGGGGAGAGCAAAAGCAAGATGGGGAAACAGAGATAGAGGCCTGGTCTGCACTGTAAGTGTAAAGTGAGGCAACCAATGACTCCCAGACTTGCACAGGACAACAGGAAGACCACAGTGGGAAGAAAGCATGGAGGAGAAGAGCAGCAGGCACAGGAGGGACGAGCAGGAGGTAGAATTGGGAACACAGAGAGATCTTCCTCGGAGAAGAGTAAGGGCCCTCCCTCCCTCCCTCCCTCCCTCCCTTCCTCCCTCCCTCCCTCCCTCCTTTCCTTCCTTTTTTTTTTTTTTTTTTTGACAGCGTCTCATCCCTGTCGCCCAGGCTGGGGTGCAGTGGTGCAATCTTCTCCTGGCTCAGCCTCCCGAGTAGCTGGGATTACAGGCACCCGCCACCACAGCAGGCTAATTTTTGTATTTTTAGTAGAGACAAGGTTTCACCATGTTGGCCAGGCTGGTCTCCAACTCCTCACCTCAGGTGATCCACCCCCTCGGCCTCCCTGAGTGATGGAATCACAGGCGTGAGCCACCGCACCTGGCCTCCCCCACACTTTCTACAGCCATGTGCTAGGCTCATCACTAAGTATTCCTTTATAGCGCATAAGCGCCTGTGAAGTAGGTACTAGATTACCCCGATTTTAGAGGTGAAATTAAGACTTAGGCCTTGTGACTTGCCAGAGAATGCACAGCTCAGCAGTGGTGGATTCCAGTGCAGTGGACTCAGCCCTGGTACTGAGCTTCTGAGGATTCAGGGCTGTCTGGCTCCAGAGCTGGGGTCTGACCTTCCATATCACACTGTCCCCAAACATGACACGTGTCTTCCTTGGTGCCCCTTATCTCCCCTTTCCCCTTCCCTGTCAAAGGAATGGAAAGCTCTGTGAGCTGCAGCCATCTAGGTGAGAGACGGCTCAGGTATTGACCTTCCCAGCCCACTCTTAGGTTTCCAGAAGGTCAGATGCAGTCCTAGACCCTCATGGTTCCCCTACAACCCCAGCTTCCAAATCCTGCTTCCCTGAGGGACTCATACGTCCTGACTTCCAACGGTTGTACTTCTAGGAACAAGAGGATGACCTTGGGATAGGTCATTTGGGTCTCCCCTTTTAAAGGAGGGTCTGGGCTGTGAATTGACTCAGACCTGGGGGACAGGTCCCTAGTCCAGGAAGAGCCCAAGGGCCAGGTGGGGGAGCCCGCAGGCTCTTACTCACTCTCCCCCTCACCCTGTGCTTCCTGGGATCAGGCTGGGACAGGTTAATCCCCTGGGACAACTTGGCGACCTCTCTCTGGGGATGGAGATTCTGGTGTTGGTGGAGGCCCCGGCACAACTGGCTCTCCCGGGACTCATAATAGGCCCCAGAGCCTTTAAAGAGCCTGGGAGATGGGCCTGGCCAACACACTTCAACTGGTGCCATGGACACTGTGCTGGTGCTGCTCCTGGGCCTGCAGGCCTTGGCCGGACCCAGTGAGCACTTGGGCCCAGACAGGGGGTCTTGAGGAAGGACATGAATTTGGGACCCAGTGGGATGGCCAACTCTTCTAACCCCGTTCTATGGTTTATCTTCTTTTTTCAACAGTTCAGCTGACCCTACTGGGGACTTCTGACACAGTATCCCCAGGTCTCCCCTGTCTCTGGAAGTCTCCCCACTGTCTCTGGAAGTCTCTCCTCTGTCTCTGGAGCTCTCCCCGGTTTCTGGAAGTCTCCCACTGTTTCTGGAAGTCTTCCCACTATCTCTGGAGGTTTCCCCACTGTTTCTGCAACTGTCCCCACTATTTCCAAAAGTTTCCCTACTGTCTCTGAAATCTTCCCTCTGTCTCTGGAGGTCTCCCCACTATCTCTGCAACTGTCCCCACTATCTCTAGAAGTCTCCCTACTGCCTCTGGGAGTGTCTCAACAGTTTCTTCAAACTCTGGGAGTTTTCCCAGCAGTCCTCAGTCTTTAGCTCCAGCCGTTTCTGGGAGCACTTCAGGAACAGTCTCCACATCATCAGGTGATATTTCTGTTGCTCAACCCATCTCGGGAGAACCCTTCAGCTCGGTCTGTAGCTCTGGGGTGGGGCTTCCTGCAAGCCTGGCAGTTTTCCAGAACCTCAGTGGAAGCAGCTCCCTTGCCTTTGTGGCTATACAAGGGCCTCTCTTTCTGTTTTCCAATTCATCACCTTTTTCTGTCATGATTAGTTCCTGTTGTATCCTAAGACTTTTTTGGCTACTTCAAGGTCATGAAAATATTCTCCTCTGCATTCTTCCAGAAACGTTATTATTTTAGCTTTCAAATTTAAGTCTATTATCCATCTCAAGTTAATTTCTGTGTATGGAGCGAGGTGGAAGTCAAGATTCATTTTTTCTTCTTATGAATATCCAGAACCATTATTTCCAAGGACCCTCCCCTGTCCCTGCCATTGAACGGTGAGCACCTATCCTGAAAGTCAAGTGACTATTTGTGTGGGTTTTTCGGTAAGTTTTTTTTTTTTTTGAGGTGGAGTTTCACTCTTGTTGCCTAGGCTGGAGTGCAATGGCGCGATCTCGGCTCACTGCAACCTCCGCCTCCCGGGTTCAAGCAATTCTCCTGCCTCAGCCTCCGGAGTAGCTGGGATTACAGGCGCCTGCCACCACACCCAGCTAATTTTTTTGTATTTTTAGTAGAGACGGGATTTTACCATGTTGGCCAGGCTGGTGTCGAACTCCTGACGTCAGGTGATCTGCCTGTCTCAGCCTCCCAAAGTGCTGGGATTACAGGTGTGAGCCACTGCACCCGGCCTATCAGTCAGTTCTTACTCCAGGGCCACAGTGCTTAAGGACTACAGATTTGTAGCAAGTCTTGAGATCTCATAGTGTAAGTTCTCCCTTTTTTTTTTTAAGAGAGTGTCTTGGTTATTCTCAGTCTTGATTTTCATAACATTATTTCATCAGTTTATTCCAAAAACTTGCTGGAGTCTTGCCTGTGGGTGCATTTGATGTGACTTCTGCTTTGCTCTTGCTTGAATCTCTTCTGTTTTTTCCCTCTGCCCTCTTAGGACCTGCCTCATCCAGTGCTCCCGGAACAGCTCCAACTGTGCCTGGGACTTTAGCACTGAGTGTTGCTGTCTTAGGAGTTCCACTGCCACCATGGCTGGGTGGCCACCACGTCCTCTGGGCTCAGCATCCTGGCCAGTTAAGTCACTCTTCTAGGCACTGGGTCACTTACAGTAAAATGTTGGTGGGCCTATTCTCTCTCATTTCCCTGCAGCCACCCCTGGCTCCTTGGGAGGAGTTCAGGGAGAGTCATTAGCTCCTGCTTTCAACTGTGTTTTAAACCTGTCTGAGGATGTGTCTGTAGCTCAAAGGGGTTTTGGTGGCCTCTGGTCAGACCAACTGCCAGATGCCTGTTACCTGGCTGCTTTCTCGAAAGGTTTTCATCTTTCTTCCTCATGATCTAATCTCTCTGTTCAGGGCGAGAGGCATTCCTTCCAGAGATCACCCCTCCTTCTTCCATCATCCTCCTCCCCTCCCTTTCATTCCTAGAAGGGGAGCATAGGGAATACCACGCGGGAAGTCTGACGGCAGGAAACGAATGGAAGGAAGACAGGAGATCAGGCTCTGGTTCCCCTTAAGGACAAGAATCAGGGTGGAGTGGTGGGGAGAACTGGGGCTTGGAGGAAGGAGAGTGCCTACTGAGGACCCTCCCAGTGCAGAAGCATCACAGACCCAGGGATGCAGAAAATAGGGCCCGAGAAAGACAGTGAGGTGCGGACCTCAGTGATGAGTCTGGGACTGACAGACGTGTCCACAGGGAAGAGGCAATTGAGACTTGGATTGAAGCCCTTTAAACCCCCACCCCCACCCCTGCTGAGATTCTGCTCCCAAGGTGATAGGAGAAAACACCAGAGAGATGAGGTCTCAGAGTCAGAGACATCAGTCACAGAAAGAAAGATGGAAAGTCAGAGGGCAGTGGGGGTCTGGGGGGCTGGAGGCACCACTTACCTCAGTCACTGGCCCTGTCTTTGTGCCCCAGGTCCGAAGCCCCAGAAGGACTCTGTCTCAGACTGGGCCATTGTGTTGATCACTCTCACTTTGGTGGCAGCAATTGTCAGCCTAATGTACGGTATCAAGAAGGTGAGCAATGCCATGGTCCAATGTGTGGGATCCCTGTGCCAGTGGGGCTGGGACCTGGTGCCCCAGGATTCAGAGGAGAACAGGGCTTTGGGGAGGGGAATGACAGCTTGCAGGGCTTGTTGCAGGGAGGGCAAAGAGAGCCCTTGTCTCAGTGGCCGAGAAAAACACCGGTCTGGCAGGGATAGGGGGTTGGGGCCACTGAAAGAGGCGGGGGAGTGCTGGAGGCTGACTGGCGCGTGGAAGCACTCAACTCAGCTCTAGGCAATGAAGGACCAGTTCTGTGGAGCCACATTCACCTGGGCTTGAATCCTTGTGCAAGTTACTTAATCTGTCTGTGCTCCGGATTCTTCATTAATAATAATACTTAAATAATAATAATATTACATCGCACTGATTATGTGCTAGGTGTGCTAGGTGCTGTACATATTTTAGTTCACAGCAAGCCAGTGATATAGGAAATATTACTCCTCATTTTACAGATGAGGTAATTGAGTCCTGGATGAAATGAGAATGATGGCATCCATCTCAAAGGGTGGTTGGGAGGATCAAATAAGCTTATGCAAAGAGAGCACTAATGGTGCTTGGCATGTATTATAGTAAGTGCTCAATATACAGCCTTATTCATTATTATTGCTGTTTTTGCTCAAAGAGGAATGCTGAGTGCCTGGGTTGCCAAGAGGAAGCAGCAGTTCATGGGAAGAGCTGGGCTGAGCAGCAGGTTCCCGGGTCCCTAGATTAACCCATCGTACCCTCCCCTCATCTCACAGGCCTGCCAGTTCCGGAGGGAGATGAGTCTGGGGTGTGGCTGTGGCTCTGTGACCCCTTACAGCAGCCACCATGAGGGGGAGGCTGCCAGCCAGCGCTACTCTTGTCAAATGAAAGGTGGGGCTGGGGCAGCTGAGCGCCTACCCTTTGGCCTTCCTTCTTCCTCTCCCAGATAGTCTCATTCCCAGACTCCCCTATCCCATTCACCTTAGCTGGGACCATTTCCTGCAGGTAGATTCCTGGGGTCACTGGCCCCCCCAGGTCTCTTCCACCCACAGCGTAAGGAGGAGTCTACTGTCAGTCACAAGATTCTGCTCTCTGTCCTGCCGCCAGCCATGCAGACTGCGGGAAGGTGCCCAGCTTCTCCGAGGGCAGTTTTCTCATCTGTAGAAGGAAGGACCAGGGCTAAGTGGTCTGCAGGCACCTTCCAGCCCTCACGGAGCCCAGGTCTGGACAGCTGGAACCCCTGCCCCTCACCCTCTCTTCCTAGTCCCACCCTCCTCCCTGACGACCAGAGAAGCTCTTTAGCTGAGGACAGTCTGCTCACGGCTTCCCTTCTCACTTCCCTCCACAGGGAGCCCCCTCAGGCTGGCTCTTGAGCCCCCAAGGCCCTCTGATTCTCTCCCCTCAGGGCAGGTGCAGGACCCTCCTCTGTGGTGCCCCCTCGGTCTGCTATGGGAGGGTGGTGAACAAGTTATTGCTAAATAAAATGGCACTTCCTCCACTTGTCTCCCAGATGCTGTGGGTTTGCCCAAGTGCATGGGCTTTTGTGTCATGTGGGCCCGGAAGGGCCAAGTCTGGTCTCTGCCAGTTACCAGGGCAAGTCATTCCCTGATCCGAGGCTCATTTATCCTCATCTGTAAAGTGAGGGTGACAGGTGATAACTCATAGGTGAGGTGCTTAGTACATTCTTCAGTACATAGAAATGCCCAAACAATGGTAGTTGGCAGAGTTGTTTCGTGACTGGCCTCTCAGCCTCCAGCTCAGATGAAGCAACATAGACTGACTGTAAGAGACTGTTTTGGGCCTCCACCTACCTCCAGGTTTCTCCATCCCAGACATCAGCGTCCTTGGGGTGGAGTTGTAGCTCAGAGAGAAGGGAAGGGGGTGTTCATTCACAAACACTGGTTAGTGCTTATTCTAAAGCAGAGATCCTCCACTTCAGCACAATTGGTGTCCTGGGCTGGATAATTCTTTGCTGTGGAGACTGCTCTGGGCATTATAGGATGTCCCACAGCATCTCTGGCCTCTACCCCCTAGATGCCAGTAGCATCCCACTCCAAATTGTGACAAAAATGTCTCCAGAAATTTCCAAATGTTCCCTGATGTGGGCAAAATTACTCCTCCCTGTACAGAACCACCGTCCTAGAGGCTTGGGTCCCTGGGGAAAGGGGGGGGGGGGGAAGGGGACCAGTGAAAAGGGGGACTGTCAGTCACCCGAGTCTACATGGAGTTGCAGAGGACAGCCTGTGTCTGCCTTAGTTTCTCCATCCCGCAGGATATATTGCCTGGGAGGCAGGCTGCCCAGTTCTGAGTAGTCAGTCTTTGGCCTGACTCCACGGAGCCTCATTAATCTCCCATTAATCACATTAATAAGCAGTTGGCCTCCTCTCCTCTTCCCACCTATTCCAGCCCTGCCCAGGGCTTAGGGACAAGTCACACCAAGTAAGGAGAGGAACCCACATGTCCAGTTCTCTAGTCCTCTCATGAGCCCAAATGCCCTGAGGGCCTGGCCTCCTGCCCTCAGGTCCTGGACCTCTCTATGGCCTTTGCCTGCCCCCACTTCCCTCAGAAAGGC
The DNA here is from genome assembly GCF_000001405.40 of Homo sapiens. Taxonomy (NCBI): domain Eukaryota; kingdom Metazoa; phylum Chordata; class Mammalia; order Primates; family Hominidae; genus Homo; species Homo sapiens. The sequence continues at coordinate 2,419,447 of NT_113891.3, forward strand.
ATCCTCCGGCCCTGGCTTCCACTCCATCCAGGCGGAGTGGAAACATTTATTGATTGCCTACTGTGTGCCAGACACTGTCCTAGGCTCTGATGACACAGCAGGGATCCAAGGTGCTTACTTTCCATGGAGACCCACAGTGGGCAGAAAGGGGTTGTGACTTCTCTGTGCTAGAGACCCAGGGAGTCTGTCCTCCCCTACTCCAGCCCCAGGCACTGTCACTGGGGAGACAAGGGAGTCTCTGAGCTAATGCTTGCTTTAGGCAGGAAGTGAGGAAGGGAAGGGGGAGCTCTGGGGTGCTCCTAAAAATGAGATGTCTGCATTTCTGTATAGGAGTGAATGGGGACTTCGAGACAAAGAGACAGCCGCTGAGCTGAGGTGGGAGGGAAGAGGTAGAGTGAAAGCAGAAGCCCCTGTACACCGAGCATCTCTTGGCCAAAGATCTTGGCCTCGGTCCTTCTGGGTGGCCTGACCTGTCTGTGTCCCTGGTGAGGGGTGTGACATATGTCCCTGTGGTTCTGTGTCTTGTCTCTGTCACTGCCTCTGCACTCTCCACATATTGTTGTATGACCTCTGAACATCATGAAGCACCTTTCTCTGCAGCGAGGGTCATTCGAGGGCTTTCTCTCGCCTTTGCTCTTTCACCTGATCCTCGCGGACAGCTCCGCCCAAGGTGGCAAGAATGACCATGTGTGAATAAGGGGTGTGGAAGCTGGGCTGATGCGGGAGAGGTGGGAGGGTGCGCGTGAAGCTGGACACAGATCAGAACGTGAACCCCACCCCATCCTGCTCCCAGCCAGAGCTCAGTCCTTCTAGAACTGAGCCATCTGCTCCCCACTTCCCCAGAGCCCTGGAGGCGCCACCCTCACTTCCCTCCACTGGGGCTGGCTCAGGTGCCTGCTCCTTTCTGGTTCCTCTGCCCTGCCCCCAGATCCCACCCCTCGGCAGGCACCCAGGTGCCTGGCTCCATGACGCAGCAGCTGCGGTCTCCTCTTATCAGGGCTCCCCTGTGGGTTGGGGTGGCTCCATTTGTTTAAGACTTAGTCCTGAGGAGCCCCAGCCCCCATGACGTCAAGATTGGCTCCATATAAGGTGAGGGGTCCGCAGCCCATGGTCCCCAAGCAGCCACCCAGCTCCGACATGGCCCAGCCGGTCCACAGCCTCTGCTCCGCCTTTGGCCTCCAGTGCTGCCTCCTCTTCCTTCTAGCTTCTTGGGGGGCAGGTAAGATGCCCACAGGGGATACAGAAGACAGAAACAGCTTGTTTCTTAGTGTTCATAGCGTTGGACAACAAATAGAAATGAATGAAGGGGGCGGGCACGGGGCTGCTACAGACAGTTGTCTAGAGTGTTCTCTGCTCAAGTTTGCTGGCTAAGGGACATGTAGTAGGAGATGAAATCCAGCCTGTGCTCTGCTCTTTAAAACATGGCTCACAGGGCTGCACCCATCCAGAGGGGGTTTCTTCAAGTTTGCATAAAGACACTGTAGAGGCTGCCAGCCCTGGATGGTGGGGGTAGGCACCTGACATTCATTGAGCACCGTGCACGGAATTCACAGCTGCTCATGGTGATTTCTTTCTTCTTCTTCTTCTTCTTCTTTTTTTTTTTTTTTTTTGAGAAGGAGTCTTGCTCTGTTGCCTAGGCTGGAGTGCAGTGGCACAATCTTGGCTCACTGCAGCCTCTGCCTCCCGGGTTCAAGCGATTCTTCTGCCTCAGTCTCCTGGGTAACTGGGATTACAGGCACCACCACGCCTGGCTCATTTTTTTGTATTTTTAGTAGAGACAGGATTTCACCATGTTGGCCAGGCTGGTCTCAAATGCCTGGCCTCAAGTGATCCGCCTGCCTCGGCCTCCCAAAGTGCTGGTATTACAAGTGAGAGCCACCGTGCCCAGAGACTCATCTCATTTCATCTCAGCATCCCCTGAGGTGGCTAATAATATCCCATCTTATAGTTGAGGAGAGTGGATTCACAATGATTATGTCCCATATCTCACAGCTAGAGGGAGGTAAGCAGGGATTCCAGCTCCACTGCCCCCAGCCCTGGGGGGACAGGTGGAGCTTCTCTCCTGAGAGCTCTGTTTTGTGCAGACCTAGCTTCCAGTCCTGACTCTGACCCATTTGCCTACTCTGGCCTTCCACACCATCTGTAAAATGGGCTGGATGCTGCTGCCCAGCCGTACCAGTATTTGATGCCTACAGAGCATTTACACTGCACCAGGTGTTGCTCTAGGGACTTCATCCACATTTACTCATTTAATCCACATGGAGACTCAGAAAAGTGTGCGTCAAAGGCTCTGTCCCTGTCTTACAGTTGGGAAACATCTCAGGACTTTGATGGGAAAATGACTATGGACAAGTTCGACGAACAAAACATACCCTAAAGATAAGATGAAATTATGAAATTAGTTCACTTAGTCAAGAAACGGACTGCTACTGAACCCGGGGAGCAGAGATGCTGAACACAGGGGCGGTGTGGAGGGCCTGGGCAATTTGGAGGAGGGTCTCCACAAGGCAGATGTAGAACAGCAGATTCAGAGACACTATCTACCCACTGGACAGTCATCCAAGGACAGAGCCATCCACAGGGTGATATTAGAGGCAGTGCCCCTTCCCTGAGCACAGTCAGGTTGAGGCCAGGGGTGGAGGCAGGGGCAGGTGGGTGGTGAATGGCGATGACTGAGGAATCTTTGAGCTGCCTCTGAAAGGTCTCAGCAGTGCGTCCTGTCTGTGCCCTGACTTGATGTCTGTCTCCCCTACCTTGAGGGTCTGGAGACAGAGGTACCACAGCTGCCCAACACCTCCCGGCCCCATCTCTCCCGCCTTTCCTTCCCCTTCCTCTCAGGCGGATTGTCCACTGGCTGCTCTCTCCTCCTTCCATCTTGCAGCTTAAGGAAGAGGAACCTGCAGGGGGCGGAAGGGAATCCACTCCATACACAGTCGCTCTGAGATTTGCTTCAGGGCGGAGATCTGAATTCCTGAGATTCCGATGGGGCCATGTGGGCGTGGTCTCGGAGAGGAGATAGGCGTGGCTGGGCGGCATGGAGGGAGGGGTGGGGAGGACAAGGGGAGCTGGCTGCTCCCATTCTGCAGATTTTGAAGACAAGAGTGAGTGGGTTACAGGTGGGGAGGGCTTGAGGCTGGGCTCGGGTTGTGATGAGGTCGGGTGGAACTGGAGTGTGAATCAGAGCTGGTGCATGGCTGTGCCCAGCAGAGAGAGAGGCCAGGGCAGGAAGGGAAGAGGGACAACTGGGATGGATGAAGCCCTTTAGTCTACCATTCTGGTGAGGAGACCCTGACGTTTGTCCACAGGACCAGTCAACACCCAGACAGATAACTAGATCCTGGAACCCCAGAGTCTGCATCATGCAGTCACAGAACCACAGGTACAATCTAGATTAAATCATCCGAGGGCAGCACAGGTGCAGTCCAGATTAAATCATCACAGAGAGGCATAGGTGCAGTCCAGATTAAGTCACCAGAGGGAGGCACAGGTGCAGTCTAGATTAAAGCATCTGAGGGAGCACAGGTGCAGTCTAGATTAAATCATCTGAGGGAGCACAGGTGCAGTCTAGATTAAATTATCACAGGGAGGCACAGGTGCAGTCCAGATTAAATCATCACAGGGAGGCTCAAGCGCAGTCTAGATTAAATCATCTGAGGGAGGCTCAAGTGCAGTCTAGATGAAATCATCTGAGGGAGCACAGGTGCAGCCCAGATGAAATCATCTGAGGGAGCACAGGTGCAGTCTAGATGAAACCATCTGAGAGAGTACAGGTGAGGCAGGAGATGGGAATTGGGGCTGGGGTCCTTGGAAGAATCTAACAAGAACATTTTCCTATAACAAATGTTATTTGATTTAATTTCTATAACACAAATAATGTATGCTCATTGTAGAAAATGGAAAATAGAAAAAATAAGAAAGAAAAATAAAATCTCTGTATACTCCCTAGTCCCCAAGCAATCATTTGATTATATCTCCCTTTAGCTTTCCTTTTTTTTTTTTGTAGAGACAGGTCTCGCTATGTTGCCCAGACTGGTCTCAAACTGGTGATCCTCCTGCCTCAGACTCCCTAAATGCTAGGATTATAGGTGTGAACAACTGTGCCCACCAGCTTTTCTTTTTCTATGTCTGCATTTTAAGCCACTTATTGAACTCATACTGTATAGGTATTTTAACAAACATTTACCCACATTATTGCAAATGGAGCATGCCATTTATGGGGGTAAGGATACCAGGAAACACTAGAGATGCTCTTTTGGGACAGCGTGCCCTGACAGCGACTCCAAGGCATGAGTTGCTTAGCAAGATATTCTTTCTCCCTTCCTTCCTTCCCTTTCCTTTCCTTTCCCTTCCTTCCTTCCTTTTCTTTCTTTTCTTCCTTTTCTTTCCCTTTCTCTTTCTTTCTTTCTCTGTCTCTCTTTCTTTCTTCTTTCGACAGAGTCTCACTCTGTGGCCCAGGTTGGAGTGTAGTGGCATGATCTTGGCTCACTGCAGCCTCTGCCTCCCAGGTTCAACTGATTCTCCTGCCTCAGCCTCCTGAGTAGCTGGGATTACAGGGTCCTGCCAACACGCCTGGCTAATTTTCATATTTTTAGTAGAGACGGGGTTTCGCCATGTTGGCCAGGCTGGTCTCGAACTCCTGACCTCAGGCCCACAATGGCCTCCCAAAGTGTTGGGATTGCAGGTATAAGCCACTGTGCCCAGCCGATGTCCTCTCTTTCAAATGAGTGAACAAAGCAGATGGCGGGGACCTTTGGCACTGTGCATCGTTTTGATGTTGTGGGATTTGTTCTTATTCTTTTATCCCAGCTGAGCATCCACCTACAGTGTCTTGTGCTAAAGTTGGATTTTCCTCTCTGCACCTCCTGCCTATTCTTCAGTGACCAAAACAGTTCTTTTCGGGCTATGATGGTTGTACGTGGAATGAATATCTCCTGGTGAAAACTTACTAGGGAAATAAGTCACTACCAAAGTAGATCGTCTGGGGCAGAGATGCTCCTCTTGTCCTGGGGGTTTACACTGATTTGCCTCTTGGCTGTGTCAGGACCAAGGAATCCCTTGAGCTTTACCTCAGCTTTTTACAATCTATGGTTCCACAACTGTTTGATGCAGATCTAAAATTCTAAAATCTTGTTATCTGAGTCTAGTTATGGACTGTGATCCTGTGGTTTAATGACAACTGGTATCCCAGAATTGGTGGGCCAGAGGCCTTCTTTCAACGTCTTTTAATCTCAGAGCTCAATTACTGAACAGCGGAAGTCGCCCTTGGTCTTCCAGCCTGTGGAGGTCACAAATACATTTGGTTTTTACTTAACGTGCATGATGAAATGTTGTTGGCAAGGCTTTTAAGGAGTTTTCATCAGTCTTATTCTTTCATTCATTATTCAACAAATATTTACAAAGTGCCTCCTATGGATCAGACACTGTTCTAGGCTGGAGACAGCGATGAACAAAACAATAAAAATCCCTGCCAGGCCAGGCCAGGCCAGGCCAGGTGCAGTGGCTCACGCCTATAATCCTAATATTTTAGGAGGCTGAGATGAGAGGATCACTGAAGACCAGAGTTTGAGACCAGCCTGGCCAACATAGTGAGACCCTGCGTCTTAAAAAAAAAAAAAAAAAAAAGGTGAGGAGGGGGCATACTGGCTCACATTTGTAGTCCCAGCTGACAGGGAGGCTGAGGTGGGGGTACTGCTTGAGCCCAGGAGGTCAGGACTGCAGTGAGCTGTGACCATGCCACTGCACTCCAGCCTGGTGCAGAGTAAGACTCTATCTCAAACAACAACAACAACAACAAAAACCCCGGCCGGATACAATGGCTCATGCCTGTAATCCCAGCACTTTGGGAGGCTGAGGTGGGCAGATCATGAGGTCAGGAGATCGAGACCATCCTGGCTAACACAGTGAAACCCCATCTCTACTAAAAATACAAAAAATTAGCTGGGTGTGGTGGCATGTGCCTGTAGTCCCAGCTACTCAGGAGGCTGAAGCAGGAAAATCACTTGAACCCAGGAGGTGGAGGTTGCAGTGAGCCCAGATCGCACCACTGCACTCCAGCCTTGGCGACAGAGTGAGACTCCATCTCAAAAAACAAACAAACAAAAAAAGCCTTGCCATTGTGGAAATTTAATTGTATTTATCACATATCAGAAAGTGATGAGTGCTGTGTTATTAAAACACAGCAGAGAAAGTGGCCCAGGAATGCAGAGGCTGCTGTTTTCAAGAAGGTGGCCACAGCAGGTGAGAGGTGGATGGAGCAGGCAGGGGGGTAGGGCTACTGCTCAGGCTCCCCTTACTACCAGGAGAAGGACAGGGCAAAGCACGAGATTATTTCAGAGACTACAATGTGGATTCAACAAACATTTAAATAGCTTCTGTGCTCCAGAGTCTTCCATGGTCCATACTTCCTTTAATCCTCACATTAAGCTGGTGCAGTCAGCATCATGGTTATTTACAGTCGAGAACATGGAGCTTCAGAGCACTTAAGAGACCTGAGCAAGAATGCAAAACCGCTGAGGGACCGAGCCTGGATGTCAAACCTGTCCTCTGATTCTTTAAGGCCAGTGGAAAATGCCCTTTGCATTGCTGCCAGCTCCTTTATTCACTCAATAGATAGTCATTCATCCCTTATCATGTTTAAAAACATCTGGGGCACAGTGAAAAGTCTAATTTTGCCAATTACTTAACCTCTTTGCGTCTCCTTTCCCCACCTGTAAAACAGTAAGATCACACTCCTCACTTCACAGGTTCATAATTATTTGATTAAATAAACAAATATATGAACAGCACCTTTCAGGGAGTCCACACATGTCAGTGTCTTTCCTTCTTTAAAAGACTGGGCTGACCTATTGGCTGTGCACTGTGGTCTTAACCAGCAATGATCTGGGCCCGGGACCCCAGGATGTGCGTTCAGATTCTGTCTCGACCTCTTACTTGCTGGGTGTCCTTGAGAAGATTACTTAACCACTCAGAACCTTGTTTCTTCATCTATAAAGTTTGGAGAATAGGATAGTTCTCAACCTCAACAGGTTCTTGTGAAAAGTAAATAAGTTAATGTATGCCCTCACTTGTAGAACCTGCCTGTCTCATTGTAGAGCTCTAGAAATGTTGCCCATTGCTATTGTTGTGGGACTATGTACAGGTCACTTTTCCTCCGTGAAATGTAAATTTCTCAGATGTAAAATAGGGGAAGTTGACTGCTTCTAAAGAGCCTTATGGAGCATTGGGAGATCAATCACCATAGAAGAGAATCCAGAAAGAGAATGTCTGTGAGGCCACCAGCCACATCCTGGGGCCGGGGAAGGTGTCCAATAAACAATAGCTATTACTGGTATTGCTGCCAAGGAGATCAGGTAATGGGATTGGGACAGTGGAGTGCAGGCCTGATCATTCAGCCCCCTTCTCTCCCCTCATTCTCAATTCCTTTCAGAGACTTGGGCTTCTCTATTACCCTCACACCCTTCTTGTCCTGCCCATATTTCTTTCAAGGACTAAGCTCCCCAGGCCGATTCTGCCCATCAGCAGGCAGGTGGACTGTGGTTTCTTGTGATTGGGAATAGGTCCAGGTTCCGGTTGCCGCCTTGAGCTAACAGGGACCAGAAACCTCAGTTATGTAATGACACTATCTCTTTCACTCTTTGGTGATCTCTTGGCCTTCACTCTTTTGGCTAGGTATCAGAGACATCTCCTCTGTCTCCATCAGGTTGTTTTTCCATGGAATTAAGGCGTGTATCTGTCCACTGATAGGGGTGTTTTCTCTCACACCCTGTCCTTAAACATAGTCAGTCCCTACCACAATCTAGTTGCCTCGTTTACTCCTGTCAGGACCCCCAAGCAGATATCTTTTCCTTTCAGGATGGCCCCTTTCATCTATCCCCAGTTGGCTTTAAATGTGTGAAGAGGGGGACCCAGTGGGGTGACCATAAGGGTTGGGTCATCTCATCCATTCCCCTCATCCAACTTTATCACCGAAATGAAAGCTTCCCATCTCCTTACTCTACCCATCCTCCATTCTTCTTATACATCTCTCACTCACAATTTGTGTCTACCTGCTAATCCCTATGGGAAGTTCTGCCAGAGGTCTTACCTCAATTTCTCACACTGTTACATTTGGGATGGTGTTAGAATGTTATGGAAAGGTGAAGAGTCTAACGTTTACTCCTGGTCTTCTCAGCTATGCCATAGAAAGAAGACTCCATTCCATAAGTTACAGACCCTAAAGGGGCACCTGCACAGTAAAATGCTAGTCCATACATGCCCTCAAAACCTTACCATTGGATAGGCATGGCAGGGAGTGGAGGTCGGCAGGCACGCAAACAACTGTAACGTGAAGTTGAAGGTAACAGGACAGAATGGTGAATAAAGACCTTTTCAAGCACTGAAATGAAGCTGGATTTTATCTGCTTAGACGGATCAGAAAAGATGCCTTAAAGCCAGAAGGCCTTGAGATGGAGAGTTGAGGAGATGTGGAAGGGGATGAGGTGGCATGCTTGCTGAAGGCACAGCCTGAGCCTAGGGGCTGGAGGTGAGAATGGGGAATAGATATCATAGTATTCAGAGGAGACTGGCTGGGGAGTCATATCAGGGGGAACAAAGAGATCCCCTAGAGAAGGAGGTGGGAAGGGGGAGTTGGAGAAGAACATGGGGGAAGTTTCTTATTTGCCTCTCTCCCTCCACAGGTGCTACTACATTCCAAGAATATCAGAAAACTGGGGAACTCTCAACATCCGATCACATATTTCCCCTCACTCCAGGCCTTGTTTATAGTATCCCTTTTGATCACATTGTTCTGCATTCAGGACAAAGACCTCCAGAGCTCCCTAAATCTACAGAAATCCATGAGCAAAAACGCCACTGCAACACCACACGCCATTCTAAGCCAACTGACAAGCCTACAGGCAACTCCAAAACTATAGACCACAAAAGCTCTACAGATAATCATGAGGCTCCTCCCACTTCTGAAGAAAACTCCAGCAACCAAGGGAAAGACCCAATGATCCGGAACCAGCGCTCTGTTGATCCTGCTGACTCCACTACCACACATAAAGAATCCGCTGGAAAAAAACATATAACGCCAGCACCCAAGAGCAAAATAAACTGTCGTAAGTCCACAACAGGCAAATCAACGGTAACAAGAAAATCAGATAAAACTGGAAGACCTTTGGAAAAGTCCATGAGTACTTTGGATAAGACAAGTACCAGCTCACATAAGACTACAACTTCCTTCCACAACTCAGGCAATTCACAGACCAAGCAAAAAAGCACATCTTTTCCAGAAAAAATCACAGCAGCCTCAAAAACAACATACAAGACCACAGGAACCCCAGAAGAGTCAGAAAAAACTGAAGATTCCAGAACAACAGTTGCCTCAGACAAGCTCCTGACAAAAACTACAAAAAACATACAAGAGACCATATCAGCCAATGAGCTCACACAATCTCTAGCAGAGCCTACAGAACATGGAGGAAGGACAGCCAATGAGAACAACACACCATCCCCAGCAGAGCCTACAGAAAATAGAGAAAGGACAGCCAATGAGAACACCACACTATCCCCAGCAGAGCCTACAGAAAATAGAGAAAGGACAGCCAATGAGAACACCGCACCATTCCCAGCAGGGCCTACAGAAAATAGAGAAATGACAGCCAATGAGAATACCACACTATTCCCAGCAGAGCCTACAGAACATGGAGAAAGGACAGCCAATGAGAACACCACACCATCCCCAGCAGAGCCTACAGAACATGGAGAAAGGACAGCCAATGAGAACACTACACCATCCCCAGCAGAGCCTACAGAACATGGAGAAAGGACCCCATTTGCCAATGACAAAACCACATCATCCTCAGCAGAGTCTACAGAACATGGAGAAAGGACCCCACTGGCCAACGAGAACACCACACCATCCCCAGCAGAGCCTACAGAAAATAGAGAAAGGACAGCCAATGAGAACACCACACCATCCCCAGCAGGGCCTACAGAAAACAGAGAAACGACAGCCAACGAGAAGACCACACTATCCCCAGTAGAGCCTACAGAAAATAGAGAAACAACAGCCAATGAGAAGACCACACCATCCCCAGCAGAGCCTACAGAAAATGGACAAAGGACCCCATTTGCCAATGAGAAAACCACATCATCCTCAGCAGAGCCTACAGAACACGGAGAAAGGACCCCACTGGCCAATGAGAACACCACACCATCCCCAGCAGAGCCTACAGAAAATAGAGAAAGGACAGCCAATGAGAAGACCACACCATCCCCAGCAGAGCCTACAGAAAATGGAGACAGGACTCCTTTGGCCAATGAGAAGACCACGCCATCTCTAGCAGAGCCTACAGAAAATGGACAAAGGACCCCATTTGCCAATGAGAAGACCACATCATCCTCAGCAGAGCCTACAGAACACGAAGAAAGGACTCCACTGGCCAATGAGAACACCACACCATCCCCGGCAGAGCCTACAGAAAATAGAGAAAGGACAGCCAATGAGAACACCACACCATCCCCAGCAGGGCCTACAGAAAATAGAGAAATGACAGCCAACGAGAAGACCACACTATTCCCAGCAGAGCCTACAGAAAATAGAGAAAGGACAGCCAATGAGAAGACCACATCATCCCCAGCAGAGCCTACAGAAAATGGACAAAGGACCCCATTTGCCAATGAGAAAACCACATCATCCTCAGCAGAGCCTACAGAACACGGAGAAAGGACCCCACTGGCCAATGAGAACACCACACTATCCCCAGCAGAGCCTACAGAAAATAGAGAAAGGACAGCCAATGAGAAGACCACACCATTCCCAGCAGAGCCTACAGAAAATAGAGAAAGGACAGCCAATGAGAACACCACACCATCCCCAGCACAGCCTACAGAAAATGGAGACAGGACTCCATTGGCCAATGAGAAGACCACACCATCTCTAGCAGAGCCTACAGAAAATGGAAAAAGGACCCCATTTGCCAATGAGAAGACCACATCATCCTCAGCAGAGCCTACAGAACACGCAGAAAGGACTCCACTGGCCAATGAGAACACCACATCATCCCCAGCAGAGCCTACAGAAAATAGAGAAAGGACAGCCAATGAGAAGACCACACAATTCCCAGCAGAGCCTACAGAAAATAGAGAAAGCACAGCCAATGAGAAGACCACACCATTCCCAGCAGAGCCTACAGAAAATAGAGAATGGACAGCCAATGAGAACACCACACTATCCCCAGCAGAGCCTACAGAACATGAAGAAATGACCCCATTGGCCAATGAGAAGACCACACTATCCCCAGCAGAGCCTACAGAAAATGGAGAAAGGACCCCATTTACCAATGAGAAGACCACACCATCCTCAGCAGAGCCTACAGAACATGGAGAAAGGACCCCACTGGCCAATGAGATCACCACACCATCCCGAGCAGAGCCTACAGAACATGGAGAAAGGATAGCCAATGAGAAGGCCACACCATCCCCAGCAAAGCCTACAGAACATGGAGAAACGACAGTCAATGAGGACACCACACCATCCTCAGCAGAGCCTACAGAAAATGGAGAAAGGACCCCACTGGCCAATGAGAACACCACAACATCCCCAACAGAGTCTACAGAACATGGAGAAAGGACAGCCAATGAGAAGACCACACCATCCCCAGCAGAGCCTACAGAACATGGAGAAAGGACACCATCAGCCAATGAGAAGACCATACCATCTCCAGCAAAGCCTACAGAACACGAAGAAATGACCCCATCAGCCAATGAGAACACCACACCATCCCCAGTAAAGCCTACAGAACATGGAGAAAAGACTACATTGGCCAATGAGAAGATCACACTATCCCCAGAAGGGCCTACAGAACATGGAGCAAAAACTACGTCGGCCAATGAGAAGATCACACCATCCCTAGCAAAGCCTACAGAACATGGAGAAAGGACCACATCACCCAATGACAAGATCACCTCATCTGCAGCAGAGTCTACAGAACATAGAGATAGGGCTACATCAGCCAATGTGATCACACCAGCCCCAGCAGAGCCTATAAAACATGCAAAAAGGACCACATTGGCCCATGAGAAGATGACACAAGTCACAGAAAAGTCCACAGAACACCCAGAAAAGACCACGTCAACCACAGAGAAAACCACAAGAACCCCAGAAAAGCCTACGCTATACTCAGAGAAGACCATATGCACCAAAGGGAAAAACACACCAGTCCCAGAAAAGCCTACAGAAAACCTGGGGAACACCACACTGACCACTGAGACCATAAAAGCCCCAGTAAAGTCCACAGAAAACCCAGAAAAAACAGCAGCAGTCACAAAGACTATAAAACCTTCAGTCAAGGTCACAGGAGACAAATCTCTCACTACTACCTCTTCTCATCTAAATAAAACTGAAGTTACTCATCAGGTGCCCACTGGTTCTTTCACCCTCATTACATCTAGAACGAAGCTGAGTTCTATCACATCAGAAGCCACAGGAAACAAGAGCCATCCATACCTCAATAAAGATGGCTCACAGAAAGGTATCCACGCTGGACAGATGGGAGAGAATGATTCATTCCCTGCATGGGCCATAGTTATTGTGGTCCTGGTGGCTGTGATTCTCCTCCTGGTGTTCCTTGGCCTGATCTTCTTGGTAAGGGACAGATGTGCCCCACAGAAATCAACCTATGGGATAGGGAATTGAGGATACATTAGGGGTCAGAGTTACAGGGAATAATGAGTCTAGGAAAAGAGACATGGCAGAAGTGGGAGGAACAGTAATAGAGGGAGAGTTTTGGTGAAAACTAAGGAGAAAGACAATAAATACACAGGAGGTAAAAAGCTGGAATTGGGGACAAGGCTGTGGCTGAGAATGAAAGGGTGTGAAAGAGAAAGTGTGGGGGGTGGAGAGTCTGGGGTATGAGAATAGGAGGTGTAAAGACAAGGAGAATATGGTAGAGTGGGGAACTGGAGATGGAGCTGGGACTCATTGTATTGGACCTGGAGCTGGAATAAACATCAAGGTTTGGATGGAATCTTGAGAATAGAATCAAGACCTGAGGTGAGTGTTGTGGAAAACAAATCGCAGATGGTTCTCATTCCTCCTTTCTCATCCCAATCACAGGTCTCCTATATGATGCGGACACGCCGCACACTAACCCAGAACACCCAGTACAATGATGCAGAGGATGAGGGTGGCCCCAATTCCTACCCGGTCTACCTGATGGAGCAGCAGAATCTTGGCATGGGCCAGATCCCTTCCCCACGGTGATCTTGGAGTAGGCGCCCAGCCCTGGCTCTTCCATGCTCTGCCCCTTTCCTGGATGAGGAACCGGACTCACAATTTCTATTTCCGGGACTACAGGAAGGGCAGAGAATACTGACGGTTACCAGTATTAACCCTTCATCTGTTCTTGAAACTGGTTGGGGAATGAGGTGATAAGCAAGGAGGGTGTAAGTTTAGGGGACAAAGAAGAAAGAATGAATAATACGAGCAGACATTCTCTGTAGAAGGTAATGGTCTGAGAATGAAAAGGTGTTTGATGGACATGTTGTGGGGGCACCAATGCAGAACACTGCACTGAGTCCTAAAGGAAGGACAGGAGCCTTATAGGCAATGCCCCAGACTGACTTGTGAGTGGGGTTTATGGGGAAAGGGAGGGACTGAGGGCAGAGTCTCTGGGTTTCAGGACAGCATTATGTTATTTCCATTCACTATTACTTAAGAGTTTGTGTGTAAACAGGCTCATCTCTGAGTTCTCAGGACCCTTGCCCCCACCCCCATTTTTTTAATGAAAAAAAAAACAAAAAAAACGGATCCAAGAAGAAAAGAGAATTTATTTCCTTCTCCACTCTCTCCATGCCCTGGAGAAAAAAAAGTCCAGAAGAAATCATAAATATCTCTCATCTACATGGTTGCTTCCTCTTCCTCCCAAATCCCTTAGTTTTCCTAAATGTCTACAGTGGACGCCCTGTTGGTTTGGCTTGCTGGGTTGTGGGTGGACACGCAAGGAGGGGATTTTTATTTGGCCAGCAGTCTCACCCACTGATCTCCACCCCAGACCTTCCCTGATTGGTGTCTCAGCATTTATTTTCCTGTCTCTTCCACCAAAAGCCAGCTGTAGCTTTATCTCGTAAAAGTTACCCATCTTCTCTACTGTCCCCATTCTCTCTCCTCCCACCTTCACCCCAGATTCAAGTTTTCCTCCTTGTAGGCATTTCATCTGTGTGTGTTTTCTGGATTTTCTCTCTCTCTTCTTATGGCCATTTCACCTTATTACTGATTGGGTAGAGGGGGAAAAGGAGAATGATGATGATAGTTTCCTTCTGTCTATTGACCTTTTTTATAATAAAGTATAACATGTTTATAAAGGGCATCATAGTTATTAGACTATCCATTGGGAGAAAGTTCTGACTGGCGTTCCTGGCTCTGGCTGAGACCTTACAGAAGTGGAGGAGACAGAAGAGCTGGAGGGCAGGACTGGCAATCTATGGAGGGTCAAGAAAGGGGAGGCTGAATTTCTATTGCTCCAAAAATGGCTCCTTTCTGGGTTTAGGTAAGAGCCAGCCTCAGTCCAGGCTGGGTTTATTTGCATGGTGACAAAATGAGTAGAAAAACCTGTCAATTAATAAGCAAGTATTTTAAAGCAACTATTATATACTCTGTTGAGGATATAAAGAAGTATAAGACATAGTTCTCACCTGAGACACAAAGACAGGAAAATTAAAATTAAATAATTCAACAAGAGTTGTCACAAGTTAGGTGCTATATAGAATAAAACAACACCCTAATTCATTAAGCCCAACTCCGTGAGCATCTACTATGCCCCCTATTTATGTTAGGACACCAGCCCTGCTCCAAAACCGTTGTGTGCCCATGTCAGTCCCAACAGAAACCTCCCATCACCCATGCAGCCTTGGCTCTCTTACCAGAGTATGGCATCATCACTAATTGAACAGGTGCCCCAGTTTGCTGCCAGGCTCCTAAACGTAACTCCATCCAGAATCAAACAGCAGGGCCACAGGTCACTCGCTATCTGCTCCTTTGGGCATCCCCATTTGCTGAAAGCTGGAAACCTATCATGGTCAGTAATCCCAACCCTGACACTGATGTCACTGAACTATCTGGCCCTGGCTGGGCTGGGAAGGCCCTTATTACTGAATCTCCCACCAGAGACCCGCTCTGCTAAAGGCAAGATTGAAGCTTGACTCTCAGAAAGCAGACATGCCAGATGCCAGAGGGACCCAGACTTAGGCCCCTGGAGAAAGGAGGCAGAGGGACACCTGGGTTCTGGAAGGGGCTGGAGAGCCCTCGAGAAAAGGAGGAAGATGCCTGGATTTTAGTTGTCTGGGTAGACGGTGACTCAGCCTGTGGCATCTGCCAGGACAGGAGTGTCTCTCTGCCCTGGGAGGGATGCAGAAACCCCTAAACTCAGCCTGGACCCCAATTCAAAAACAAAACGAAATAAAAACATCTCTGCCTCTAGAGTCCTAAACATCCAACCGGACAGACCCCTCCCCTATCAAGACACCAAAATGCAGCACTGGAGGTCAAAGGGTGTATAAGGGGGATGGGGAGGTTCTTCGCCCGGCAAAGGCGGACTGTGGGCCCTGGGGCGCGGCGGGTGTCTCCCTCCCACTTTCCTCTCTATTCCCCGCTAATTATCACTTTGAAATCTAGGCGGAAATCCTTTAACAAGCTCCGGGGCTGGGCCCTCATTAGGGATAATTACTTAATCAGTAGGACGGGAGGGAATGCGCTCCCCCAGCCCTCGGGGAGTACACCTCGGGGGAGCGAGTGCCCCGAGGGCAGGAGGCTGCCGGGGCGCCGGAAGCTGCTGTCCCGGCGGAGTCGCAGCGGGGGCTCCGGTTCCCCGAGACTGCGGCCCTCCCTCGTTCCTCCAGGTTCCGCTTTGCGGGCGGCTTCTGATCTCTTGCGGACAGCTCAGATTAGTGGCTCGAGGCCGCCGCCCCCGCAGCGCCCCAGCCCTACTGCGCCGAATCCCCTCCTCCCAGCCCCCAGCCCCCAGGGAGGGGCCTGGACTGACGGGCCTGGGCGTAGCTCCTACCCCCGTGACATTGGCCATAAAACTGACACCCGTTTGTGCTGTGCTTTCACGTACATCGCACCTGTGATCCTCCGATCACCCTGCGAGTTACGAGGCCTGCTTTACAAGCCTTATAAGAAGTTACAGACCTTATAAGAGTTCTTATAAAGCTTGCTTTACAGATGAGAAAACCGAGGCTCAGAGAAGAGCCCTGTTCAAACCCACACGGCTCCTATGGAACAGAAGGCTTGCTTTATTTTCTCCAAGCCTCAATTTCACTTTGTTCCTCAGTGGAGCCAGGTTCTCTGACACCAAGGCAGCCCCACCTGGACGGGTGGGATGTTACAGGGACCACCTAAGGAACAGGGTGTAATTGAGATTTGCACGAGGGTGTCCAGCCCCTTCTTCCAGAGTCCAGGCCTCCCTTTCCAGCTCCTTGAACGTCCAGAGAGTCTTCTTCTGGCCTCACTGCCAGTATCCCAGGTCAGGGTTTTTTCTGCCAGCCTCTGTCCCCGGAGACACATTAACTGGCCTCATAGTCACAGGCTCTGCATCCTCCCCTCACAGTGCCCAGCTGTCCCTGGAGAGGTGCTGGCAAAGTAAGAAGATCCAATGATTTGGGACACAGTCACCTTCATTTTTCTCCCCTCTGCCTCCTACAAAGGCCTCTGTCCCAGAAATGAGACATCCCAGAGAAAACAGGTTTCTGCTGACCTCTGGCTGGGAGGGTGGGTCTCCTCTCCTCCCACAGATGTGATTCCCTTGTTCTCTCCCGCTCCCTCCTTCTTCCCTCATATTGTCATGGCCTTAAGATACCCCTCCCTGGAGAGGGAGCGTCCAGAAGTTACGGCCTCCCCTGCCTGGTGGCAACTATAAATGCCACAGCTATGGTCAAGTGAGAAAAGAAATTAAGCCAGACATATTGTGGGAGCAACCCTCAGAACCCAGGAATCCAGCATTCCCAGTCCCCACTCACCACTGTCTTGGAACCTACCCCAACTGATCTTACTCCTCCCAGAACCCTGCCCCTGGCAAGCTTTTAATTCTTCCTGCAACTTCATGTCCCATTGAGACACCAGGCATCAAGGCCCCCTCTGGAGCCCATCTGCCCTCTAGAACCCAGGCATTCTAGATAACAACTTCCCACATGGATTATTTCAAGATGAGGTGAGGGAAATTACCTCCCACCTCCTGCATCCAGGTGATGCTTCTCTTTGGAATCTTGAGACTGGTAAGTGAATTATCCATCAATCGGAGAAGACACTGAGGCCACAAAAAGTCTGAAGGAGACAAGGGTTCCTGTCCCAGGCATTCTGTTTGCTTTTCTTATTCTCATTCTTTTGCAAAAGCAAAAAGCAAGCAAAGATGATGAACTTCTTTTTTGCCCCTTTCTGCAAAAGCCAGTACTAACCTTAACCCCCACTAACCACGATTTTGACCCCCAACTTCACCTTGCAGCAAACCCACCTTCATCTTCCCCTTCCAATGCTCCGCTGTAAGCATGAACACAAATAATAGCTGTGTTGTATTTCCTTAGAATCCCGGGTTTAACGGCTGCTCAACAAATGCTTTGTATCTAACTTGAAAATTCTAGTTTCAATATCATCTTTAAATATTTATTAGAGCTAGGCTCCAAGTCTAAAGCCAAGTGAAATGAAAATATCACTTCCAGAAATACTGCCTAAATTAAAATCCTCAGTAGGGCTTTCATAATCCCCGGATAGAGACAGGGAGGGATCCTTCGGATCCCAGGGATACGGGAACTGTGGGTGATATTAGCCTGAAGAGAAGTACAATCCAAATTCCTGTCTTCCTAGCCATTTCACCTGACTTCTCTCCACCTGACTTCTCTCCTTGGTCCCTTCAATGTTTCAAGTTTCTCTGCCTAATGACTACAACCCAATGTCAGGCAGATTTATAAAGCCCCTTCGCTTCCACTGTAGGATGGAATGCCATAAAAAGGGAGCAAGGAGACAGTTGTGGAATTGGAATAAACAGAAACAGCCCTAGGCTGAATGAACAGGAGGCTGCTTTGTGGTGGCTTCTTTGATGTCTGTTTCCTGCATCCTCTCTCTGCTCTCTTATCCCAGGCACTCTCCTGGAGACCCTGCCTTGCACATCCTGTTCTTTTCCTCCTCCCTGCGTCTCTGTGAGCTTGTTCATTTTAAGAGGCCCAAATTATTACTGCAACAGGCAACTTCCAAACTCATATTAAGTCTACCTTGGCTCTGAAATCCAGTCCTTTATTTTCAATTTTTTTTCAATAATATCTTCACTTGGATGTCACATCATATCAAACGTGACATTCACGTGTTCATCTGGCAAACATTTTTTGAGCATCTACTCTGTGCTAGTTCTGAAGATAAATCAGTGAACAAAACAGCAACAGGCCCTGCCTTCAGGGAGCTCACAGTTCACTAGGAAAGGCAGAGATCACACAAAGAAGGCATATAATAAAAGAGAGGCACAAGTGTGCAAAATACTGTCAGGACCCACCTCGTCTTCCCACCATCAAGTCTAAAAAGCCGCCTTCATCAGCATCCATTCTCCCCTGCTAACATTGGAGTGTTCGTGCATCTTGGCTCTGGCTCCCCCATCCCACACCTCCTGCCTTCTTCATGGGCTTCTTCCCCTTCCAGTTTTTCCTTCTCCTTCTACAGGGTCCTTCCCAACACCAGCCAAATAAGCCCTAAGCAGTGTGCACAGGAAGCACCCAGAGGAGAGTATTTTTAAAAAGTAGATTTCTAAAGACCCGGCACGGTGGCTCATGCGTATAATCCCAGCACTTTGGGAGGCTGAGGTGGGCGGATCACGCCAGGAGTTTGAGACCAGCCTGGACAACATAGTGAAACCCCGTCTCTACTAAAAATACAAAACTTAGCCAGGTGTGGTGGTGCACACCTGTAATCTCAGCTACTTGGGAGGCTGAGGCAGGGGAATCACTTGAACCTGGGAGGCAGAGGTTGCAGTGAGCTGAGATCACACCAGTGCACCCCAGCCTGGGTGACAGAATGAGATGCTGTCTCAAAAAAATAAAAAATAAATAAATAAAATGGAGATGGCCACTGGATGCAGTGGTTCAGGCCTGTAATCCCAGCACTTTTGGAAGACAAGGTGGGAGGATTGCCCAAAGCTAGGAGTCAGAGACCTGCCTGGGCGACATTGCGAGACACTGTCTCTATTAAAAAAAAAAAAAAAAAATTAACAAGTTCCCCAGGCACTCCTGATGTGGTCCAGGGACACACTTTGGAAAGCTCTGCTCTGCTGGCAGCCATCTTCACAGACCCCCACCCACATCTTCTCAGCCTTGCCCCCATCAGCTCCCCTTCATCACCAAGCCTCTTGAAACAATCCCCTACAAACACTATCTTCATGTCCTTATCTCCTACTCTCTGTGTGTATGTATTTTCTCTGCAAGTTTTACCAGAGCAATCCATGTAAATAGTTTAAAGAGTCCAATAGTTCCATAGATTTATTGCAAAAACTAGCACGGATGCACCCTCCCCCTTTTCATGTCCAATTCCTGTTCTCCAGAGGAGACGACTTTTAACTTTTAGCTTTTTATCCCAGTATTTGCAAGTGCAGATTTAAACATCATGCCCATATTGTATTGCAATTCATAGATTTTTTTTAATGAGACCTTAAATTGCGTCTTTTATTGGACTAAAGAATATTGTAAGTCTCAAAATAGCTTCCTGTCCCAATCTCACCTCTGAAAGGACTTACTAATTTAAATATATCTACTATGAACTGAACAGTGTCCCCCCTAAATATGTTTAAGTCTTTTTTCTATTTTTTTTTTGAGACAGGGGCTTGCTCTGTCATCCAAGCTGGAGTGTAGTGGCACAATCATAGCTTGCTGCAGCCTTGACCTCCTGGGCTCAAGCGAGCCTCCCATCTCAGCACTCACCCCTCCCAGAGGCTGCCACCATGCCCAGCTAATTAGTTTTGTTTTAAATTTTAGTAGAGACCATATCTCACTATGTTGCCCAGGCTGGTCTTGAACCCCTGAGCTCAAGTGATCCTCCTGCCTTGGCCTCCCAAAGTGCTGGGATTATAGGCATGAGCCACCGTGCCCGGCTCATATGTTGAAGTCTTAATCATCAATGTGACTATATCTGAAGATAGGGTCTTTAGGAAGTAATTAAAGTTAATGGGGTCATAAGAGTGGTGCCCGAATTCAATGGGACTGTGGCCTTATCAAAGGAGAAAGAGAGTTCTTTCTGTCTTCACTATGTGAGGACACAGCAAGAAGGCAGCCATCTGCAATCCAGAAAGGAGCCCTGACAAGGAACCAAGTTGTCCAGTACCTTAACCTTGGACTTCCCAGCCTTCAGAACTGTGAGAAGACAAATTACCATTGTTTAAGCCACCCAGTTTGTGGTATTTGCTATAGCAGTCCAAGGTGATTAAGACAGTATCCAATATCATGGAGGGATAAATTTTCTTTTCAAAACAAAACTAAAAATATTTTTTAATTCTAATTTTTAAAAATCAGTAAACTTCATTTTAGCAGTAATCATAAAATAAAATGCAAAGGAAATTCTCTAAGTTACATGACTCGAGAGAAAATATCCATATCTATTGTTTCTGTTGTTTAAAACATAATTTATCTAGAATTTGGCTCATAAGTTTTAAAACAAACTGTATGAAAATATGACAGTGCATTTACTGTTAACTCCTGCTTATGTTTTAGAAAGCTCTTATGGAAAGAAAAAAAAAATGCTTTCCAGGTAGCAGACACAGATAGGTTATTTGGGGAATTGATAACTAAAAATTAGAGTCTTATTTTTTATTTTTTATTTTTTTGAGACGGAGTCTTGTTCTGTTGCCCAGGCTGGAGTGCAGTGGTGCGATCTTGGCTCACTGCAACCTCTGCCTCCCAGGTTCAGGCAATTCTTCTGCCTCAGCCTCCCGAGTAGCTGGGATTACAGGCATGCACCACCACACCTGGCTAATTTTTTTTATTTTTAGTAGAGACGGGGTTTCACCATGTTGGCCAGGCTGATCTTGAACTCCTGACCTCAGGTGATCCACCGACCTCGGCCTCCCAAAGTTCTGGGATTATAGGCATGAGCCACCATGCCCAGCCTTAGAGGCTTTATTAGCATTCAAAACCATGGATGCAATGAAGTGTGGAGTACTCTTAAACAAGCTCCAAGTCCATGAAATGCCGTGTCAGAATTTTTCCTTTCCTTTTTGCATAGCAAAGTACTTGCACAATCCCAAATATTTGTCTTCCTGAGCAGCAGCTACAAAGATGATGCCACCAGGCTTGGCCAGGGTAGCTGCTGATTTTCCCTTCTTCCTCCTCCTCTTCTCCTCCTCCTTTTTCTTCTAATTCTTCCTCCTCTTCCTCTTCTCTCTCCCTCTCTGCTTTCTCCTCCGCCTTCTTATTTTCTTAACCATGATAAAATATACATAACTTACAATACATCATTTTAGCCATTTATAAGAGTAAAGTTTAGTATCATTAAGTACATTCATGTGGTTGTGCAACCATCCCTGGTAATTTCTTCTTGATTCTCTGTCCCGGAACTACTAAACTCAGGCTGGGTTTAGCATAATCGTTGCCTGTGTACTTGAAAAGTGGAGAGTTGCTGACCTCTGATGGGTAGCTTGGTCTTGCTGGGCAAACCCTTCTGGAAGCTGTTCTAGCACAGCTCAGCCACCACTTGCACGGACTCCTGCTGTGCTGGAGCTCTCCTGACACAGCTTTCCCAGCTGCACAGTCGTTGCTATGTAGAGGAACTAATACTTGAGCGACTATTTTCTTATAGTTGGATAACTCTGTTTCCTTATAAATATTTTTCTTTATAAATAGAGAGTGCTGTCCCATCAATCCTGCATCCTTATACTAGCAGTCCTGAGGCTTTTCCTAACTGTTCAGCTGCCTGTTGAGGCATTCCACATTTTTAAATGCATTGCTGTTTGTTGGTATAACCGTACAGCCTTTTCTGGGTCTACATTTTCTCTGAGCTTTCCAGCTTGCTCCAATGCCTCTGAGGTTGCTGTGTCAGTGCTGCTGTTTTTTAGATCCATCAAAGGCTGGGATTTCTGCATTTCCTTCAACATTGTGTCAACTAGGTTGGGCGCGGTGGCTTACGCTTGTAATCCCAGCACTTCGGGAGACTGAGGTGGGCGGATCACTTGAGGTCAGGAGTTCATGGCTAACATGGTGAAACCATCTCTACTAAAAATATAAAAGTTAGCCGGGCGTGGTGACGTGTGCCTGTAGTCCCAGCTACTCAGGAGGCTGAGGCAGGAGAATCACTCAAACCCAGGAGGCGGAGGTTGCAGTGAGCCGAGATCACACCACTGCACTCCAGCCTGGGCAAAAAGAGTGAAACTCCATTTAAAAAAACAAAACAAAACAAAACAAAAACAAGAAAACATTGTGGCAATTTGCTCAGAAGCGCTACTTTTCCATATTCAGAAGGGCACTGTCACAGTACGGCTTCCATTTTGAAAAACCAGTCTGCAGGTATTTCTTTGCTTTGGGCCTCTCATTTCTTTTTTGGTCCTGCACATGGTCCTGCATGGAGGACAGGAGGGACTTTTCCTTTTGGCCCCTGAAAGAGTCCCAGTCAGCTATGCATAGGTTTTTCATTTCGGACATCATCCATTTACTTATTCATGGTCTCTCTCCCTTATTTGAATATAAGCTCTGTATCAACTTTTCAATCACTGTATCCCATGCCTGGCACATCATGTGGCCCACAGAAGGTTCTTAAGGAATATGTTTGAATAAATGAATGAGAAGGCCTGGATGCAGAGAGTGTATATCAGAGAGAAACCCAGACTAATCCCCCAGATTCTTCTCTAATCCATTCCCAGTGCTACCACTTAATCTAGTATGTTATACTAGAAGAGTAAATAAATGAAAGTAAGAAAGACAGGAAGGAAGGAGGGAAAGAAGGAAGGAAGGGAGGGAGGGAGGAAGAAGGAAGGAAGGAAGTAAAGAAGGGAGGAAGGAATTAAAGAAGAAAGGAAGGAAGAGAAAGAAAGAAAAAGAAAGAGAGAGAAAGAAAGAAAGAAGGAAAGAGAGAGAGAGAGAGAGGGAGGGGGGAGGGGAGGGGAGGGGAAAGGAGGGGAGGGGAAGAAATCTTCCCAAGGACTTTTCCCCCTAGTATCTCCTTGTGTCTCTTTACAAACTGCCTAACTCATCAACTTTCACCACCTGAAGAGGCTGGAAAAAAGCTGGCCTCCTGTGAATTTTACACCCCGGTGCTCTCAGATGGTGGATGAGAACCTGCAGGCTCCCTTCAGGCAGGGATCGTGTGCTGAACGTCCCAAAGAGTGATGGGGGACTTGCACCAGAGTGTCTCTGCTCAAGCTGCCCTCCTATGACCTCCTTGTCACTTCCACCCAGACAAGGGGATTCTTCTGATCAGTCCAGATGACCTGGATGAAGTTTTCTTTCTTTCTTTCTTTTTTTTTTTTTTTGAGACAGAGTTTTGCTCTTGTTGCCCAGGCTGGAGTGCAATGGCACGATCTCGGCTCACTGCAACCTCTGCCTCCTGGGTTCACGCAATTCTCTTCCCTCAGCATCCTGAGTAGCTGGGATTACAGGCATGCACCACCACACCTGGCTAATTTTGTATTTTTAGTAGAGACGGGGTTTCTCCATGTTGGTCAGGCTGGTCTCGAACTCCCAACCTCAGGTGATCTGCCCGCCTTGGCCTCCCAAAGTGTTGGGATTACAGGCGTGAGCCACTGTGCCTGGCCCTGGATGAGGTTTTCAAACAACACACTTTCCCCTAATCTGATGAGACCCAACTATCCTTAGTGTTATAACACACACAGAGATAATGTGGAGCCTCCTTAACATAGGTTAGATTTTATTTCACCTAGGCAAGTACAGTTCCAAAAAACATTATGGCAGAAAGGACAAGGTGCCAAGAAGATCGATCAAATGACTCATGCACTACAGAAGCACAGCTGAATCAGCAACCGGGCCCTTAGCTGCGGAGGAAACTGCAAATGCTGAGCCTCTGAAATACATGATTCCAAATAAAAGGTAACGACACCAGCAGTTCTGCTGATGTAAAGGAAACAAGAAAGACATATGCACGATGCTCCTAATTAAATATCAAAAATGTAAAGTAGGTGTCGTATTTGACTAAAAATTGATATTTTTCAGGAAGGACTATGCCCCCAGGGCCCACCGTAGCCTTTGAGACCATGGTGGAGTCTGTGTCCACAATGGCCTCAACCACAGGCTCTGAGAGTACCTCAACCTCTGAGATCATCGCCATCTCCACCATGGACTCTGAGACCTCCATAGGCT
Source organism: Homo sapiens (assembly GCF_000001405.40). NCBI lineage: Eukaryota > Metazoa > Chordata > Mammalia > Primates > Hominidae > Homo > Homo sapiens. Next base: position 2,443,759 of record NT_113891.3, read on the forward strand.
CAGAAGCCACCACAACTATTGTTGCAGCCTCTGAGGTTACCACACCCTCCACCACAGCATCTGTGCCACTGTGGCCTCAACCACCGGCTCTGAGAGCAGCACAGCCTCTGAGATCATCACGTCCTCTACAATGTCTGTGTCAGCCACAGCCTCCAGCACAGCCTCCAGCACAGCCTCTGAGATCACCATGAGCTCTGCAGCCATCCCAGTCTCCTCCACAGCTTATGAGACCATCAGGTTCTCCACTGCAGTGTCTGAGCCAGTGACAGCCTCTATCCTGGCCCTTGAGTCCACCCTGGCCTTCACCACGGTCTCTAACACCACCACATCTTCCACAGTAACATCTGTGCCCACCACAGCTTCCACCTCAGGCTCTAAGAACACAACAGCCTGTGAGGCCACCATGTCTGAAACTACCATTGCTGCCATCACAGCCTCCGAGGACACCACAGTCTCCACTCAAACCTCTGTGATAGCTGCAGAGTCTGTGCCCCACACAGCCACCAAAACACCTACTGACACCACCACAGCATCTGTGTCCGCCACAGTCCCCAAGAACAACACACTCTCTGTGATAACATCTACACCTTCCACAGCTCCCAACACAGCCTCTAAAACCATGACCACAGCTTCCAAGACCGCCACGACCTCTACGATAACATCTCTGCCCACCACAGTCTTCACCACAACCTCTAAAATCACCGCAGGCTCTGAGACCCCCACAGCCTCCACCACAGACTCTGCGACCACTGCAATCTCCACAAAAGCCTCTGGGACAACTGTAGAGTCTGCGCCCTCTACAGCCCCTCCAACACCTGCTGAGACCACCACAGCATCTGTGCCCACCACAACCTCTACCACAGGCTCTGAGAACACCGGACACCACACAGTATCATCTGTGCCCACCACAGTCTTCGCTACAGCCTCTGAAAGCAGCACAGGCTCTGAGACCACCAGAGCTTCCACCTCTGCCACTGAAGTGACTACAGCCATGACCACAGCCATGACCACAGGTTCTGAGACTGCTGTGGTCTCCACCAAAGCTCCTGTGACAACCACACAGTCTGGGTTCTCCACAGCCACCGTAATGCCTGCTAAGACCACTACAGCATCTGTGTCCACCACAGCCTCCACCACACTCTATCAGAATACTATAGACTCCGTGACCAAGTCTGTGCCCACCATGGACTCTACCATAGCCTCCAAGAGCACCACTCTCTCCAAGATAGTATCTGTGCCTACTGCAGTCTTTATCAAAGCGCCTGAAACCACCACAGGCTCTGAGATCACTCTGGCTTCCATCATAACCTCAGGAACCACTGCAGTCTGTGACTACATTGGCCTCTAGCAAAGATTCCGAGATCCCCACAGCCTGGATGATAACCTCTGTGCCTACTGTAGCTCCCACCTCAGCCTCTGAAACTACTGAGGCCTTCTCCACAGCCTCTGAGTCCACCACATCCTCTTTCAAAATATTTGTGTCCACCACATCCTAGCCTCCACTATGGCCTTTGAGGCCACATCAACCTCTGAGACCCCCACTACCTCCACAATAGTATCTGTGCCCACAACAACCTCCAAAATAACCTCTGAGAACACTGCAGGATTTTTATCCATGATGGGCTCTGAGACCACCACAGCCTCCACTACAAGATCTGAGACCACTACAGCCACTGAAACCTCCACGGCTTCCCTCACAGATTCTGAGACCCCCAGTGCCTCCATAATAGTATCTATGCCCACAACCGCCTCCTCCACAGACTCTGAGACCACCACAGCCTCCACTGCAATATCCACGAGCAACATGGCTGTGAGCACAGCCTCTGAGTTCACTTCAGGGTCTGGAAGCAGCATGGCTTCCACCACAGGCTCTGAGGCCACCATGCCATCCACAGCAGCATCTGTGACCTCCACAGCCTTCGCTTTGGCCTCATCGCCCTTCTTGGCCTCTACCACAGCCTCTGGGGCCACTGCAACCTCCACCACTGTCTCTGCCACTTTTGTGCCCAACAAGGTCACTGACATTTCTACTCAGACCATCACCAAAACAGTTGTGTCAGGTACTAACCCCCATGTCTTCTCTGATCACACACATTTTAATTCCAATGGCAACCACTAGCTCTTCACCTGTTTCTATCATCTCTGCCCTGTCTCAAGTCAAGCCTGTACACTGTTAGGTATCATTTCCTGGAGGGCCCCTAGAGGCGAGGTTGAGAGTGTGACCCATGAGGAGATGTACTACACTCGAAAAGAACTGCTTGAATTTTCTAATTTATATAAACAGAAATCTGGAGAACAGGCATTAGAATGGATATGAAGGGTGTGGGATAATGGTGGAAGGAACATAGAGTTAGGTCAGGCTGAATTTATTGATTTGGCCCCACTAAATAGGGACTCTGCATTTAATGTTGCAGCTTGGGGAGTTAAAAAGGGTTCTAATAGTTTATTTGCTTAGTTAGCTAAAATATGGATTAAAAGATGGCCCGCTGTGAGCAAGCTGATCTCCCTTGGTTTAATGTAAATGAAGGGATCCAAAGGCTTAGGGAGATTGGGATGGTGGAGTGGATTAGTCAATTTAGACCTACTCATCCCAGCTGGGAGGGTCCAGAAGATATACCCTTGATGATGCTTTGCAAAATACATTTGTGAGGGCAGCACCTGCATATCTGAAGAGCCCTATAATTGCTCTTCTCTGTATGTCAGATCTAACAGTGGGAACCGCCGTCAGTCAACTGCAAAATTTAAATACAATGGGAATAATTGGATCCAGAGGTGGCAGGGGCCAAGTGGTAGCACTCAAACATCGAAGGCAATGTGGGTGTAGGTACCATAATGGACAGCAGAGGCAAAGTGGCAATCAGAATAGTCCAACTCATGCAGAGCTCTGGCATTGGCTAATTAATCACAGTGTTCCTAGAAGTGAAATTGATAGGAAGCCTATTGCATTCCTATTTAATTTATACAAGCAGAGAACTTCTAGGCTGAATGGACAAAAGACTAATTTGAATTATAAAAACAGAATCACGGCCCCTCAACCAATTTCCAGACTTGAGCCAGTTCACAGACCCAGATCCCCTTGAATGAACGGGAGGCCGGGTCCCCTTGAGGAAGGACCCCACTACATTACCAACAATTTGTGCAGTGAATCTTTCTCCCATCCTTCCCCAAGACCTCTGGCCTTTTACCAGGGTAACTGTGTATTGGGGAAAGGGAAATGATTAGACATTTTGGGGACTACTGGACACTGGCTCTGAGCTGGCATTGATTCCAGGAGACCCAAAATGTCATTGTGGCCCTCCAGTTAAAGTATGGGCTTATGAGTCCGGGAGTGGTGGTTCATGCCTGTAATCCCAGCATTTTGGAAGGCCAAGGCAGGTGGATCACGAGGTCAGGAGTTCGAGACCAGCCTGGCCAAAATAGTGAAACCCTCTCTACTAAAAATACAAAAATTAGCCACGTATGGTGGTGCACGCCTGTAGTCCCAGCTACTTGGGAGGCTGAGGCAGGAGAATAGCTTGAACCTGGGAAGTGGAGGTTGTGGTGAGCCAAGATCTGCCACTGCACTCCAGCCTGAGCAACAGAGTGAGACTCCGTCTCAAAAAAAAAAAAAAAAAAAAAAAGTAGGCGTTTATAGAAGTCAGGTAATTAATGGAGTTTTAGCCCAGGTCTGACTTATAGTGGGTCCCGTGGGTCCCTGGACTCATCCTGTGATCATTTCCTCAGTGCCAGAATGCATAATTGGCATATACTTAGCAGCTGGCAGAACCCCTGCATTGGCTCCATGACTGGTAGGGTGAGGGTTACTATGGTGGAAAAGGCTGAATGGAAGCCATTAGAGCTGCCTCTACCTAGAAAAATAGTAAATAAAAAAAAAAAAATCACATCCCAGGAGGGACTGCGGAGATTAGTGCCACCATCAAGGACTTGAAAGACACAGGGGTGGTGATTCCCACCATATCCCCATTCAGTTCTCCCATTTGGCCTGTGCAGAAGACAGATGAATCTTGGAGAAGGACAGTGGATTATCGTAAGCCTAACCAAGTGGTGATTCCAATTACAGTTGCTGTACCCGATGTTGTTTCATTGCTTGAGCAAATTAACTCATCTCCTGGTACCTAGTATGCAGCCATTGACTTGGCAAATGCCTTTTTCTCCATTCCTGTCCATAGGCCCACCAGAAGTAATTTGCCTTCCGCTGGCAAGGCCAGCAATACAGCTTTACTGTCCTGTCTCAGGGGTATATCAACTCTCCGGCTTTGTGTCATAATCTTATTCAGAGAGAGCTTGATCACTTTTTGCTTCTGCAAGATATCATACTGGTCCATTACATTGATGATATTATGCTGATTGGGTCCAGTGAGCAAGAAGTAGCAAACACACTGGACTTATTGGTGAGATATTTGTGTGCCAGAGGATGGGAAATAAATCTGACTAAAATTCAGGGAGCTTCTACCTCAGTAAAATTTCTAGGGGTCCAGTGGTGTGGGGCCTGTCAAGATATCCCTTCTAAGGTGAAGAAGTTGCTACATTTGGCCCCTCCTACAACCAAGAAAGAAGCACAACGCCTAATGGGCTTACTTGGATTTTGGAAGCAACACATTCCACATTTGAGTGTGTTACTCCAGCTCATTTATTGAGTCACCCGAAAGGCTGACAGTTTTGAGTGGGATCCAGAACAGGAGAAGGCTCTGCAACACATCCAGGCTGCTATGCAAGCTGCTCTGCCACTTGGGCCATATGACCCAGCAGATCCAATGGTGCTTGAGGTGTCAGTGGCAGATAGGGATGCTGTTTGGAGCCTTCGGCAGGCCCACATAAGTGAATCACAGCAGAGGCCTCTAGGATTTTGGAACAAGTCCCTGCCATCTTCTGCAGATAACTACTCTCCTTTTGAGAGACAGCTCTTGGCCTATTACTGGGCTTTGGTGGAAACTGAACATTTGACTATCAGTCATCAAGTCACCATGTGACCTGAACTACCTATCATGAACTGGGTGCTTTCTGATCCATCTAGCTATAAAATGGGTCGGTGTGCGGCAGCATTCCATCATCAAATATAAGTGATATACACATGATCGGGCTCAAGCAGTTCCTGAAGGCACAAGTAAGTTACATGAGGAAGTGGCTCAAATGCCCATGGTCTCCACTCCTGCCACCCTGCTTTCTCTTCCCCAGCTTGTACCGATGACCTCATGGGGAGTTCCCTATGATCAGTTGACAGAGGAAGAGAAGACTAGGGCCTGGTTCACAGATGGTTCTGCACAATATGGAGCACTAACCGAAAGTGAACAGTTGCAGCACTACAGCCCCTCTCTAGGACATCCCTGAAGGACAGCGGTGGAGGGAAATATTCTCAGTGGGCAGAACTTCAAGCAGTGCACTTGGTTCTGCACTTTGCATGGAAGGAGAACTGTCAGATGTGTGATTATTTACTGATGCATAATCAGTAGGGGGTTTGGCTGGATGGTCAGGGACTTGGAAGAAGCACGATTGGAAAATTGGTGACAAAGAAATGTGGGAAAGAGTTATGTGGATGGACCTCTCTGAGTGGTCAAAAACTGTGAAGATATTTGTATCTCATGTGAGTGCTCACCAACAGATGACCTCAGCAGAGGAGGATTTTAATAATCAAGTGGATACGATGACCCGTTCTGTGGATACCATTCAGCCTCTTTCCCCAGCCAACCCTGTCATCACCCAATGGGCCCATGAGCAAAGTGGCCGTGGTGTCAGGGATGGAGGTTATGAATGGGCTCAGCAATATGGGCTTCCATTCACCAAGGCTGACCTGGCTATGGCCACTGCTGAATGCCCAATTTGCCAGCAGCAGAGACCAACACTGAGCCCTCAGTATAGCACCATTCCTCAGGATGATCAGCCAGCTGATTACTGGATTACTGGCTGGACTTCTTTCATCATGCAAAGGGCAGAGGTTTGTCCTCACTGGAATAGACACTTACTCCTGATATGGGTTTGCCTATCCTGCATGCAATGCTTCTGCCAAGACTACCATCGTGAAGTCACAGAATGCCTTATCCACCATCATGGTTCCACACAGCATTACCTCTGGCCAAGGCATTCACTTTACAGCTAAAGAAGGGTGGCAGTGGGCTCATGCTCATGGAATTTACTGGTCTTATGTTCCCCATTATCCTAAAGCAGCTGGATTGATAGAACGGTGGAATGGCCTTTTGAAGTCACAATTACGACATCAACTAGGTGACAATACTTTGCAGGGCTGGGGCAAAATTCTCTAGAAGGCTGTGTATGCTCTGAATCAGTGTCCATTGTATGGTACTGTTTCTCCCATAGCCAGCATTCCTGGGTCCAGGAAGCAAGGGATGGAAGTGGAAGTGGCACCACTCACCATCACCCCTAGTGATCCACTAGCAAAATTTTTGCTTCCTGTTCCTGTGACATTACATTCTGCTGGCCTAGAGGTCTTAGCTCCAGAGGGAGGAACGCTGCCACCAGGAGACACAACAACAATGCCATTAAACTGGAAGTTAAAATTGCCACCTGGACACTTTGGGCTCCTTCTACCTTTACGTTAACAGGCTTAGAAGGGAGTTACAGTGTTGGCTGCTGTGACTGACCTAGACTATCCTGATGAAGTCAGTCTACTACTCCACAACGGAGGTAAGGAAAAGTATGCATGGAATACTTGAGATCCATTAGGGCGTCTCTTAGCATTACCATGCCCTGTGATTAAGGTCAGTGGGAAACTACAACAGCCCAATCCAGGCAGGACTACAAATGACCCAGACCCTTCAGAAATGGAAGTTTGGGTCACTCCACCAGGAAAAAACCATGACCTGCTGAGATGCTTGCTAAAGGGAAAGGGAATACAGAATGGGTAGCAGAAGAAGGTAGCCATCAATACCAACTATGACTGCGTGACCAGCTGCAGAAAGAGCACTGTAATTGTCATGAGTATTTCCTCCTTCTTTTGTTAAAAACACGTTTGTACATGTATACACTTGTACTAAGAAAATATCTTCATTTTATTTCCTTTCTCCTTTATTATGTGATGTAAGATTTATTGACTTCACATCAGCATTTAAGTATTATTAACTTTGCGTAATAGCATATGGGCTGGGGATTGGTGCGTTTCCGGTTGTATGAAGGATAGTTGTATTATGTTGGGCATAATTATGACCTTATTATTGTCTTTATTTGAAGATTATGTATAATCTCAGGAGATGCGCATGGGTTCAAGTTGACAAGGGGTGGACTTATGATGGTTAATACTGAGTGTCAACCTGATTGGATTGAAGGACACAAAGTATTGATCGTGGGTGTGTCTGCGAGGGTGTTACCAAAGGAGATGAACATTTGAGTCAGTGGCCTCAGAAAGGCAGACCCACCCTTAATCTGGGTGGCACAATCTAATCAGCTGCCAGAGTGGCTAGAATTTAAGCAGGCAGAAAAATGTGAAAAGAGAGACTGGCCCAGCCTCCCAGCCTACATCTTCCTCCCGTGCTGGATGCTTCCTCAGTTTTGGAACTCGGACTGGCTCTCCTTTCTCCTCAGCCTGCAGACGGCCTATTGTGGGGCCTTGTGATCATGTGAGTTAATATTTAATAAACTCCGCTTTATATATATTCCATCAGTTCTGTCGCTGTAGAGAACCCTGACTAATACACCCCTCTTCCAACATTGGAGATTACAATTTGACATGAGATTTGGGCAGGGACACAAATCCAAATCATATCACCTTGCTCCAGTCTAAGACCAAACAATTATGTTCATTCTCTGGCACTTTCCATCAGCAAGCCGGTTGCATCTGATTCTATCCTCTTCGTTCTGAGCACCCTCACCTCTATTCTGGTGACTGGTGCTGTTTGGGATCCTATTTTCACCACTTCTGACCTAGGCACACCCATTGCTATCAAAGCCACCACCACTGCCTCTGCTGTGTTGATTCTCACTCGCACCTGTCTGAGCCCACCCTCTCCTGTCCCTGTGAGCAGCCTTCTCCACTTGGGTCAGGTCCTCCCACATCTGCCCAAGCACACTCACCCCACCTTTGCTGACCACCACAGTGTGGTAGATGATGTCACCTCCGTCCCAGCCACGGCCACTGGCATGCCCATGAATGAATCCAATTCTGTCATCTCCTCCTCCAGCTCCCTCCTTACACCCAGTGATCACAGTCACAAAAGAAGCAGGGCCTGCCACTTTGTATACAAGCCCGCCCTCTTCTATTTGGGTGGCCACTTCCGAAGTCAAATAGATCTTCCACTTCCATACCCATCACGGTCACGTTTCCTCAACCTTCTGCCTCCTCCATCACCAACTCCACCAGGTGACACATTCTACCTCCTCCTCTGTACGACACCCACCTCTATTGTGAGGACACAGCCACAGAGGAATGGCTTTCTACCATCTCTCCTCCCCCACCACCCCTCTCCTGAGCTACTCTCACCATAGACATGTTAGATTCACCCCGCTCTGCTCTAAGCGCTCCCACTCCCCTTTAATTATCTCTGCTATGAATGCATCATGTTGTGTGACCCCTGGAACCAGTCCTACCGCCCCTAGCTCTGTCACCATGGCCCCTGGAATGGACTCCATGGCCTCTGCTGCAGCCATCCTGTGACCGGAATAGTCTCAAACACCTCTGACCTGGGTACATCCACTATGGGAGCATCATCTACCACCTCAGCCCCCAGCTTCAGGACCACTACAGGATCCACCCGTGAGCCAACCAGCAACACCTCCCAGTAAACAGGCCCAATGTCCACAGGCACAAATACAGTTAGCGTGAGCCACACATCCAAACATGTGATCAAACTGAGTGGACATTTACAGCCCCAGGCCATCATGCTCATTTCCCTGGCTGTAGTCATGGTTGGTGTTGGATTGTCAGTAGGACTGAGGTTTTGCCTGTGAGTGACTGAGCATGGAAATGGGCAGAGCTTTCCTGAGAAGATAGATCACGAGGAGGATTAGAATTGACGGAAGAAGGGCCACTAGACTATTAGCATGGAGAGGGGTCTGGAGAGTCACTTGTACCCTAGCCCAATCGACCAAGAGTGCAGGAGCAAATGTATAGTCCCATGAAGTCAGATTTATCAGTTAGTTGCAAAATGGGAGGCTGTATACCAGGGAGCTGAGGAGCTTCTCACCAAACAACGGAAATGTCATTACAGTATTGGGGGAAATGTCATTATAGTATTGGGGGAAATGTCATTATAGTATTGGAGGAAAGTGTGGATTTTTGGTGAAATTTAAATGAAAGAATTTTAAAAGGCTCAAAAGAAAGCAGGGCTGTTTGTAAAGGGGTCACCGGCAGCTTGAAACTGTGAAATAGATTGTTTCCTTGGAAACTACAGTTAAAATGAACGTGGAATGTTGTATTCAGAGAAACCCCTTATCTGTACCCCAGTTGGAATTGGAGGCTGCTTCTCTGTGTCAAAGTCACTTAGAGTTTCCAGACAAGAATGGGATATTTCCTTCTCACTGATTTAGAATCAAACAGCAAATTTGTAATAGTCTGCGATTTTAGAGAATGAAATTTTTCATTGGCTAAATCACTGCAAGTGAGTAGGTCACTGGAAGTGAGTAAGGGCTGTGATACTTCACAGCTGCAGTGCGCCCTGGGGAAAAATATTCCTCTCAGTGCCCCTCACAGCTGGCCACCTATGCTGTTATGCATCTACCTCCTGATGGACAGCGGCCGACTGCTGCTTTCGCAGTCTGATTTTTACTGTCTCACATAGTGTAGTATAAAGACCAGGGAGAAGGAGAAAGACAGAAAATATAAACGATAGATATAGCAGGAAGAAAAAAAGAAGAAGAAGAAGAAGAAGAGGCCGGGCGTGGTGGCTCACACCTGTAATCCCAGCACTTTGGGAAGCCAAGGCAGGAGGATCACCTGAGGTCAGGAGTTCGAGAGAAGCCTGACCAAAATGGTGAAACTCCATCTCTACTAAAAATACAAAAATTAGCCGGTGTGGTGGTAGGCACCTGTAATCCCAACTACTCGGGAGGCTGAGGCAGGAGAACTTCTTGAACCCGGGAGACAGAGGTTGCAGTGAGCCGAGATCGCGCCACTGCACTCCAGCCTGGGCTATAAGAGTGAAACTCCATCTCAAAAAAAAAAAGAGGAAGGGGGCCCCAAGTGAGAGGAAAGTGTCTGGGTATGAATAGGAGAGCATTGAGAATATGATGGAAAATGTGTCTTATAAAATAGCTGGGAATGTAACACTAGAAAAAACATCTTTGGAAAGTGATGAACATTTAGGTCCTCAACAGGTTTTTCACTTTCAAGACAGACAAAATCATAAGCTCCTTCCAGGGTGAGAGTGGGGCATGTCCCACCTCATGCCTTTATGATTTTACCCAAGTGAAAACAAATTCACTTTTCTAGGTACCTCTTAGCACAACTCAAATAGGCTAGAGATTTCAAAACTTCATGAAACACTAAGGGAAGTTGACAAAGAAATGCCCTTCTGGAGAATGGAGGCTGTAGAAACGCTCCCCCTGGTGTAGGGGAGGGTTTGACGTTCCAGAGGCCCCAGCCCTCCGCAGTTCTTGGTGCCAATGTGACAGCCACTGGCCAGCAGCAGACTGTGTTCTATTGTCCATCCTGGTCTTAATCTTCTATTCAAATGTATTTCTCTTGTTCTATTTTAAGAAATAGAACATTTATATTTTCCCATTTTGGCTTTATGTATTCCTGTATGCAGTCTTGTAAATTTGTAGGAGGAGCCAGAGTGAGTACACAATACATAAATGAGAAATTCACACAAGCCACAAACAGTTAACATAATTTACAATCAACTTACCTGAGTTTCTTATTTCAGAGTCTCTGACCCCTCCCTAAGGGAAGAACAATATGTGACTCACCAGCCATGAGCAACCCCCTAAATGTTTAAGATAAAGATGTAATATTAGTTAACTAGCATTTTATTAGCTATCTACTAGGTATGAGGTCCAGGGCCCAGAGTGCTTAGAGGGCATCATCTCTCCTTTGCTCTGCTCAACCACCCTTGGGGATGCGTACTCCTATTATCCCATTTTATAGACTAGAAAACTGGAAGCAGAGACATAAGTAACTTGCTGAAGACCACAGGACAAGGCCACGCAGAGCTAGGCTCTAATTCTGGTCCGCTTGACAGCAGAGCCTGTGTTCTTAGCCAGAGTGTTTGTTTGTTTTTTTGAGCCGAAGCCTCACCCTGTTGCCCAGGCTGGAGTGCAATGGCACAATCTCGGCTCACTGCAACCTCCACCTCCCGGGTTCAAGCAATTCTCCTGCCTCAGCCTCCTGAGTAGCTGGGATTACAGGCATGTGCCACCATGCCCGGCTAATTTTTTGTATTTTTAGTAGAGATGGGGTGTCACCATGTTGGCCAGGCTGCTCTCGAACTCCTGACCTCATCATCTGTCCACATCGGCCTCCCAAAGTGCTGGGATTACAGGCGTGAACCACCGCACCTGGCCCACAGTGTTTTTTAGATAGTTCTCCAACCTTTAGCTCTTTATGGCCTGTCTCTTATTTTTCTTTATCTTTAAAAATTGAGGTGTAATTCTTACCAATAAAAAATGATAAGTATGCAAGGCAATAGATATGTTAATTTGATTTAATAATTTCAAAATGTATACATATATCAAAACATCACATTGTACACCATAAGTATATGCAATATTTATTCACCAGCTTTGAAAGTGGGAAAAACACAAACTGTGTTTCCTCTGCTCTCACACCACCACCAACACAAAACACTTCTGGTGACCAAATTAAGAGGGGAAGTTCTTCCCACACTAAGCAAGCAATCAGTTCTGCAGCAGACACCAGCTCGGTGTCCTCCGATTCAGTGCTGGCACTGCCTACCTGGAGATAGCATCAGATCCACAGACTAAGCGCGCAGTCCCTCAACACCAACCGCTCCTTCCCACAGGCTGCCAAGTCCAGGCCTCTGGAACTTCTGACCAACTGGAGCAAGTTGGAGTTGGCTACTCCTGTTTGGTTTCGATTAATTTGCAGGAGTGGCTGACTGAACTCAGGGAAACACCTTTACTGGTTTATTACAAAGGATATTACAAAGGATACAGGTGAAGAGGCGTGGAGGGAGAAGGAGCAGGGAGCTTCCATGCCCTCCCCAGCACTCCATCCTCCAGGAACCTCCATATGTTTTCTGAGCCCTGGCCTTTGGGGTTTTTACAGAGGCTTCATTATGTAGGTATACCTGATTAAACCATGGCCACTGGTAATCAACTTAACCTTCAGTCCCCTCTCCTCCCTGGAGGTTAAGGGTTAAGGGGTGGTGCTTTGGTCTTTCCGGTGATTAGCCCCCATCCTGTAGCCAACAGTTGACTCATTCGCATACAAAAAAAAAAATCACTTTTCAGTACCTAAGGATTTTAGGAGCTGCATGCCAGGAAATGTGCAGAAGTCCAAATATATGTTTCACGTATCAACTTAATACAGTTGGGAGAAAGGTTAAAAGTTAAATTACACTTAAAAATAAAAAGAACAGCCGGGCGCAGTTCTGTAACCTCAACACTTTGGGAGGCTGAGGCGGATGGATCATCTGAGGTAAGGAGTTCAAGACCAGCCTGGCCAACATGGGGAAACCCTGTCTCTACTAAAAATACAAAAATTAGTCGGGTATGGTGGCTTATGCATGTAATCCCAGCTATTCTGGAGGATGAGGCAGGAGAATTGCTTGAACCTGGGAGGCAGAGGTTGCAGTGAGCCGAGATCGTGCTACTGCACTCCAGCCTGGGTAGCAGAGCAAGACTCTGTCTCAAGAAATAAAAAAAAAATAAAAAGAACAATATTAATTGAAAAAAATAAATACTGTTCACAGATGAAAAAATTTTGAACTATAATTTACAAAAGTACACAAATATTATTTGTACAGCTTGATTAATTTCAAAATGTGTTAACACTTGTACAACCATTACCCAACTTAAAATGTAGAATATTTCTACCATCTGAGTAGTTTATTTTGTGGCCCTTCCCAGATAATACCCACTCCATCAAAGGTAAGCACTATTCTAGCTTCTATTTTATGAACTTTAAAAAAAATTTTTCATTTTAATTTTTGGATGGGGTCTCACTCTGTCACCCAGGCTGGAGTCCAGTGGTGCCGTCTTGGCTCACTGCAGCTTCTGTCTACCCAGAGATAGAGCTGGGTTCAAGTGATCCTCTCGCCTTGGCCTCCCAAAGTACTAGGATTACTGGCATGAGCCACTGTACCTGGCCTTATGAACTTTTATTTATTTTTACCTGACCTCATAGACATGCAACCTTTTTGGTTGATTTACACAATAAAAGATTCCCTACTCATAGCTGACTCTGTTCCCAGGTACAGGATGCAAATTTACCTTGTCTTGTTTTTTTTATTTTTGTAGAGATGGGGTTTCACCATGTTGCCCAGGCTGGTCTCTGGAATGCCTGGGCTCAAGCAATCCACCTACCTCAGCCTCCAAAAGTTTTGGGATTACAGGCACGAGCCACCATGCCCAGACTTATCTTGTCTTGAAAGTTGAGCAGCATAGATCCCTACCAAGGTACAAGTATACTAATTAGGAAGACTGTTTTCTCCAATAAATAAATAAATAAGAGGAAGAGAGTCCTAAATATCATCCACACACACACACACACACAGGAAGACTTGATGAGAAAATAGACAATATTGAAAAGTGAAAATTTATGAATTTTGATAATCCAAGGTTTAATGATAAGAAAGAAAAGGAGTTAACTACTAATATATATATTTTTCTCTTTTAGAAGGATCTTTCTTTACCCTGACAAATAGAGGCATTTATAACCTCCATGACAACAGCCTTGACCTTGGTTTATACCTGGACTCAGTCCTGGGCTCTGGGACATTCCACAGCCTGGGAAATGCACTCATTCATGGAGGGGGACTTGAGATGGGACACACAGGAACACATGGCTTTGGACATGGAGTGGGCCATGAGCTGAGCCACAGCCATGGAGATGGCTGTGGAGTGAATCATGGTGGGCGTTATGGACTTGGAGGAGGCTACAGCAATAATCATGAAATGCATCACAGAGAAGGTCGCCAAGGCAAAGGAGAGTATAGACATAGACTGGATAATGGAAGGTGCTATGGAAAAGAAAATCTTGGGGAAGAAGGGGGATCATGGAGGAGAAGGTAGTGACCATAAAATGGGTCAGGATGGGCTTCTCTGAGGTCTCCAAGGGATTGGCCATAGAGATGGTCATGATCAAAATCAAGAAAAGAACCAGAGAAAAGAGCACAGAGGGTTTGGCCAACGGGACAGTCAGAAAAATAGGGAGTGGTTCTGGAGGAGACCTGCAGCCTCACCAGCTTTGGGTGTGAGCTCAAGTGAAAATATCCCCTGAGCATAACCATGGTTCCAACTCTTGTGGGGAGGAGGGGTCACGATGATCAAGCTCAGAACAATTTCTCTTTGATCTCTCAACACACAAGTCAGAACTCTTTAGGCTTTGGCTTTCTATCGTTTCCTCAGGATGGAACCTGACCAGTAGGAGGAAGAATAAGATTATCACAGTTTATAATAATGGAGGGGGTAAAAAATTTCCCCTGAGAATTTGTAATTACACAACTTTCTTTATTTGGATTTGTAACTTCAAACTCTACAAACTGAGTAGATCAGAAAATCCTGTTAGACTCACTCAGTGCCCTCCAGTTCTTCATCTTTGGGAAGAGTCTCCCTCCCTACTTCTTTGCCTCTTTCAAATGCTATGTGATAAGTTAGAAGAAATTTACTGGGACAGTGCTACAAATTAAAATCTCAAAATACACCTGGCATCTATGTATTTATGTATTTATGTTTGTCTTTTTTATTTTCCCTTTGTCCTTTATTATTGCATGCTTATTAAGTGCCAAACACTATGCTAGTGCCTGTAAATACATCACCATTTATTTCTCAAAACAATCCAATGACAACTTAAACTTCTTGCTATATAATGGACTACGTGCCCTGACTGAAAATACACTGTAAAGCTAAGTTATGGACTTCAAAATCTTCTTAAAAGAGTCAGTGAATTGGCATGAAAGTATGGAATGCTAAAATTAAAGACTAAATAGGACCCAGGAGGTAAGGGAAGTACTGAAGCCAACTTTTGCAAAACCCAAAGAACTTAAGCTTCGGGTATTACAGCTTCAGCTGGATCAGCCCAAGGTCATGGGTGGGGAGGAATCACATAAATCTGTAACTTTCAGTGAGAATGTAAACTAAAAATAAACCTGCCCCTCCTCTAAGGAAATGTAAGCAAAATTGCCTGTCTCTAAATTTGGTGCAGAGGAGGGTAGAGGGAGTATCCCTTGAGAAATAAATTGTAACCACAACAACCAACAATACCTTACTTACATGGTTTGTAGCCACAAATCATGCAGTCTAGGTAATTCAAAAGACCGCAATCCTATAGTTTAGCTTAAAATAATCCTCAAATTATACAGCATATATATGTATTAAAACATTAAATTGTACCCCATAAGTATATACAGTAACAATGTTAATAAAATATTTTAATTAAAAATATAATAATAAAATAATCCTCAAATGGTAATGTCTCCTTATGCTTGGAAAAAACATGCAAATTCTCTGTGAAAGATCGTAGCTTAATCTGTAATTCCAGAAATTTGGGAGGCCGAGGCAGTAGGATTGCCTGAGCCCAGAAGGTCAAGGCTGCAGTGAGTTATGCTAGTGCCACTGCAGCCTTGATCTCGACAGATAACATTCCAAGAAAAATAAATTTATAGTCATGATTCTCAAATCATAAGTGAAAACAGACACCCTGAGTGAAAACCAGCAAGGAAGAAAACAAAACCAAAAAGCTAGACAGCAGTATCAGATCCTCAAAGACTTTAGGTATTGAAATTATTAAATACAGAATATAAGGTAAGTAGGTTTAAATGTACGTCCTGGCTTTATTTTTAATTTTTTTTATTTTTACTTTTTGTGGTACATAGTAGGTGTATATATTTATGGGGTACATGAGATGTTTTGATACAGGTATGCAATGTGAAATCAGCACATCGTGGAGAATGGGGTATCTATCCCCTCAAGCATTTATCCTTTGAGTTACAAAAAATCCAATTACACTCTTTATGTTATTTTAATATATACAATTAAGTTATTATTCACTATAGTTACCCTGTTGTGCTATCAAAGAGTAGGTCTTATTCATTCTTTTTAATTCATTTGTTTTTTTAAATTAATTTAATTCATTTAATTAATTCATTCATTAACCATCTCTACCTCCCCCAGTCCTCCCCACTACCTTTCCCAGCCTCTGGTAACCATTCTTCTAGACTCTATGTCCATGAGTTCAGTTGTTTTTGATTTTTAGATCCCACAAATAAATGAGAACATGCAATGTTTGTCTTTCTGTGCCGGGTTTTTCACTTAACATAATGATCTCCATGTCCAGCGATGTTGTTGCAAATGACTGGATCTCATTCTTTCTTTATGGCTGAATGATGCTCTACTATGTATATGTACCACGTTTTCTTTTCTTTTCTTTTTTTTTTTTTTTTTTTTTTTCCGAGATGGAGACTTGCTCTGTCATCCAGGCTGGAGTGCGGGCAGTGGCTCGATCTGGGTTCACTGCAACCGCTGCCTCCCAGGTTCAAGCAATTCTTCTGCCTCAGCCTCCCGAGTAGCTGGGATTACAGATGCCTGCCACCACGCCCGGCTAATTTTTGTATTTTTAGTGGAGATGGGGTTTCACCATGCTGGCCAGGCTGGTCTCGAACTCCTGACATCATGATCTGCCCACCTGTGCTTCCCAAAGTGCTGGGATTACAGGCATGACCGTGCCTGGCTCTTTTTTTTTTTTTTTTTTGAGATGGAGTCTCACTCTGTCGCCCAGGCTGGAGTGCAATGGCACAATCTTGGCTCACTGCAACCTCCGTCTCCCAGGTTCAAGCAATTCTCCTACCTCAGCTTCTCGAGTAGCTGGGATTACAGGCGCCCGTCACCACACTGGGCTAATTTTTGTATTTTTAGTGGAGATGGGATTTTGCCATGTTGGCCAGGCTGGTCTTGAATTCCTGACCTTATGATCCACCCACTTCGGCCTCCCAAAGTGCTGGGATTATAGGTGTGAGCCACTGCGCCCGGCCTGTACCACACTTTCTTTATTCATTCATCCATTAATAGACACTTCCAAATCTTAGCTATTGCAAACAGTGCTGCAACAAACGTTGGAGTGCGGATATTTCTTTGATACACTGATTTCTTTTCTTTTGGCTACCTCCTCAGCAGTGGGGTTGCTGGATCATGTCACGGCTTTATGGTTGTCTGCTAACACCCATTCTCCACCTTTAGCAACAGATCTCTCAAGTGTCAGCTGAGCACACGTCTACCCAGCTAGAGACAGTCTTTCTCAGTTTCTCTTGCAGCTTAACATGGCTGTGTGACTGCGTTCAGGCTGAGGGTGTGTAAGCAGACAACAATAATTTTTTTTTTACAATAATCTTTCATGAAGTTAACAAACAAGAAGGAATTAAAATACTTGATGATATTAGGGTATGATTTGGGAGATGGGTAATACGAATTAAAATGTTCTGAGGTCTTTGTGTTATTTTGATAGCGAGTAAAGATATTAATTACATTAGGCTCTGATAAGTATGCGCGCTACAATTTTCAGAGTACCCTCTAAAAGGTGAAATTTGGACTTGAATCCAGGATCTCAGTTTCTAAATAATTCTGGAAGAAGAAAATTCTTAGAGGGCTATTGGCTTTTCAGCTGCAGAATACTGGCACATCAGAAGAATTGCTGGGAGTCCAGGACCCAACCTGTCACTGAGCGTTCCCGCATACCTGACCCTCTGGAACTTCCCATCACAGCCACTAGGCAGACTCACTTCTGAGCCTTTCCCAGCACACCGCTGACCCTTTCTGTTTCTCCAGCTCACTCATTCAGAGCTCCTTCATGTCTTCAGCCACCTCCTGCTTGCCAGCTTCCTTCTAACAGAACTTGCATGTCAGGAAAGCTCGTTCGCCTACAAATAAACTATCTGAGAGACTGTGTCTTCCAGGAAGCTTCTCGTCATTGTTGGGGGAAATGCAGACAACTCACTTTGGTCATTGCAATGGTTTGGATGTGGTTGTTAAACCCTGCCAAGTCTCATGTTGAAATTTGATTCCCAATGTTGGAGGTGGAGCCTGGTGGGAGGAGTTTGGGTGGTTGAAACAGATCCCTCATGAACAGCTCGGTGCCATTCTCAACCAGTGAGTTCTCACTCTTAGTTCCCACAAGAACTGGTTGTTGAAAAGATCCTGTCACCTCCTCCATTCCTTCTTTCCAGCTTCCTCTCTCTCGCTATATGATCTGTGCAAACCGGCTCCCCTTCTCCTTCGGCCACGAGTGGAAGCTTTTTGAAGCCCTCACCAGTGCAGACGTTGGTGCCATGCTTCTCATACAGCCTGCAGAACCGTGAGGCAAATAAGCCTCTTTTCTCTATGTCACCCACAGTCAGGGATTCCTTTATAGCAACACCAATGGACTATGACAGAAAATACAGACTGTATATTGGAACCCCATCAGCCTGGTCACAGATGCCATCTCAGACCTCCCCAAACCCTCTGCTCATTTGGGTCTCTTCAGTCACGCTCTTTTAGCTGACTGTTTCCCCTCTGCTGGCCATACCCAAGTGTCCAGACCAAATTCAAGCCTCCTCCAGGACTTGGACTGTTGATCTCCCTCCTCCCATCAGACTGTGTCCCGATATGGCACTGTGTCTCTCCCTAAGGTGTGTACTCTCCTGAGAGACGCTTCCTTGGAACTGATGCTAAGGCACATCAGAAGGATCTCAGGGTGGAAAGGCTCCTATACAGCCGTCTGAAAACAAAAACAAAACAGAGGGGAGCTCCTATGGTTGAGGGTCAGAAGGAGACCCTACCTTCCTTCTCCTGCTATGAGTCTGACAGGGGGCGTATTCAATACTCTCCCACACCCTCAGTTCTCATGCCCCAGAGACCCCAAACATGTTTTCATTATCTCTCTTCATTATGTCTTCTGGATCTCTCTTCCCCTGTTCCTTCAATGTGCATTGTTGAGTGCTTACTGCATACTCAGTTATACTCCATTTGTCTTCTGCCCATAACCCAGGAGCCCAGAGTCCTAGTTACTGGTCTCTTTTGCGTCACCTATTACTGTTTGCTGTAGAGATGTGAGGTCCTACTCTCTTGGCTCAGTTCATTAGGGCTTCTTTCATGCTAAAGCAGGCCCACAGGACTTCCTGACCAGAAAACAAATTCTTGAGCTGCAACAGGTTTCTAACCCGATCCCTGCTTCAAAGGGTGGGTCCCTTCCACTCTGACAACCATGATCTCCTCATCCCATTCTACTTCCTGCTGCAACCCAGCCAAGCACCCTGCCTAGTGTGGTCATGTCATTCTCCTTTCTCACCTTCCTCTTGACCCCTGCTCTATTCCGTCCCAGGCTTGGTATCGTTCTCTCACCTGCCTGTAGTTGGCAGACTGTCAGGTCAACTGCCCCACCCCTCCTCAGACCATATGAAGCTATAAAGGCCCCTGCAGCTCTTTCACAACAGAGAAAGAGGCAACTACATTGCCTGGAGGAAGCCTAAGGAACCCAGGCATCCAGCTGCCCACGCCCGAGTCCAAGATTCTTCCCAGGAACACAAACGTAGGAGACCCACGCTCCTGGAAGCACCAGCCTTTATCTCTTCACCTTCAAGTCCCCTTTCTCAAGAATCCTCTGTTCTTTGCCCTCTAAAGTCTTGGTACATCTAGGACCCAGGCATCTTGCTTTCCAGCCACAAAGAGACAGATGAAGATGCAGAAAGGAAATGTTCTCCTTATGTTTGGTCTACTATTGCATTTAGAAGCTGGTGAGTGATTTTATTTAAAATCGGGTGGTCTGAGAACCTTTGAGGAGTTGGGAGAGAAATGTGACCACTACTGGGGCCAGCTCTGCTTCTCTTCCATAGAGTGAGGATCATCATTTTACTCGAATCACTTCAGCCTAACAAGGTATGTCATGCAGGAAGCAGTCAGACACAGTGGTTAAAATTGGGCTCTGGTCTCACATTGCCTACATTTGAATTATGGCTCCATCTATTAACTGTGTACTTTAGGTCAGTTGCTTCTCTGCGCCTCGATTTCTGCATCTGTAAAATGGTAACAACCTGTGTAATATGGTTGGGGTTTTAAATATTAAGAACAAGAAGAGTCGGCTGCTTTTAAAATGTCACTCTTCTGGCGGGGTGCGGTGGCTCATGCCTTTAATCCCAGCACTTTGGGAGGGTGAGGCAGGCAGGTCATTGAGGTCAGAAGTTCAAGACCAGCCTAGCTAACGTGGCAAAACCCTGTCTCTACTAAAAATACAAAAATTAGCTGAGTGTGTTGGCTTGTCCCTGTACTCCCAGCTACTCAGGAGGCTGAGGCAGGAAAATCGCTTGAACCCGGGAGGCGGAGGTTGCAGTGAGCCAAGATGGTGCCACTGCACTCCAGCCTGGGTGACGGAGTGAGACTCTGTCTCAAAAAAATAAAATAATAAAATAAGGCCAGGCTCAGTGGCTCACGCCTGTAATCTCAGCACTTTGGGAGGCCAAGGCGGGTGGATGTCTTGAGGCCAGGAGTTTCAGACCAGCCTGGCCAACATGGTGAAACTCCATCTCTACTAAAAGTACAAAAATTAGCCTGGCGGGGTGGCTTATGCCTGTAATCCTAGCTACTCAGGAGGCTGAGGCAGGAGAATCGCTTGAACGTGGGAGGCGGATGTTGCAGTGAGCTGAGATTGCTCCACTATACTCCAGCCTGGGCGGCAGAGCAAGACTCCGTCTCAAAAACAAATAAATAAATAAGCAATAAAATAAAATAAAATAAAATAAAATAAAATAAAATAAAATAAAATAAAATACCACTCTTCTATATTCTACAAACTCAATTTCTCTCCTACCCCTACACCTAATTCCTCGTCAGCTTCCCACGTACAGGCTGGGGAGGTTGAATGTCTTCATCCTTCTGGGAAATCAAGGGCAAAAATTTGACATAACCTTAACTCCAGCCAAGCCTCCAAGAAGTTAAAAGCCTTCCCTCTACCTTTAGACGTTGGTTTACAGCCCTTATTCCTGGGAGCTCTTATGTATTTGAGCTACATATAACTCGTTCTTCTCTAGCCTTGGCCATAGTGATCAAGGGCCCCTGGAACTTGAATGCATATAGTCACCTGGCTTCTTGTTGTACATGCAGACTCCTGGGCCCCATCTCAAATTCTAATTCATTTAGTCTGGAATGATTTGCTTAAGAATATTTTCAACATGCTCCCTTAAGTAATTCTGAAATAAGTGTGTTCTGAATATTATTCTGAGAAATATTTTCCAAGAAGGAAGCAATACTACTTAAGAAAAAAATTGATCAGTATATACTAGTTTCACCTAGTCCTATAATTCTTTTATAATACTTTATATCTGTATTGTATCTTGCATAGCAGAATGTGGAAAAAGGTTAGCTACCAGTGAAACTAGATGATGTAACTCTGGCATTGTGGGTGGGTGGTTGACTTAGCTTAGTCTCCACAAGTGCAGATTTAGTAGCCTGGGTTCAGTTTCCTGTTCCACCACTCACTAGCTGTGTAAACTTGGGCCAGTGTCAACTTTTTTTTATTTTTTATTTTTGAGACGGAGTTTTGCTCTTGGCACCCAGGCTGGAGTGCAATGGCTCGATCTCGACTCACCGCAACCTCTGCCTCCCGGGTTCAAGTGATTCTCCTGCCTCAGCCTCCCGAGTAGCTGGAATTAATGCCCGGCTAATTTTGTATTTTTAGTAGAGATGGGGTTTCTCCATGTTGGTCAGGCTGGTCTCGAACTCCCAACCTCAGGTGATCCGCCCACCTTGGCCTCCCAAAGTGCTGGGATTACAGGCGTGAGCCACCGTGCCCAGCCCAGTATCAACATTTTGAAGCCTCAATTTCTTCATCTCAGCTGGTGATAATAATAGCATCTATGTTATAGCACCATAGTGAGCATTAAATAAAATTATGTAATGAATTTAGCCAAGCAATAAGCAGAAAGTATATACACACAATATATATTTGTCATTATATGATTTCTTCAGCAACAAATTCCAATGAGACTAGCACCTCTGCCAACACTGGATCCAGTGTGATCTCCAGTGGAGCCAGCACAGCCACCAACTCTGGGTCCAGTGTGACCTCCAGTGGGGTCAGCACAGCCACCATCTCAGGGTCCAGCGTGACCTCCAATGGGGTCAGCATAGTCACCAACTCTGAGTTCCATACAACCTCCAGTGGGATCAGCACAGCCACCAACTCTGAGTTCAGCACAGCGTCCAGTGGGATCAGCATAGCCACCAACTCTGAGTCCAGCACAACCTCCAGTGGGGCCAGCACAGCCACCAACTCTGAGTCCAGCACACCCTCCAGTGGGGCCAGCACAGCCACCAACTCTGACTCCAGCACAACCTCCAGTGGGGCTAGCACAGCCACCAACTCTGACTCCAGCACAACCTCCAGTGAGGCCAGCACAGCCACCAACTCTGAGTCCAGCACAACCTCCAGTGGGGCCAGCACAGCCACCAACTCTGAGTCCAGCACAGTGTCCAGTAGGGCCAGCACTGCCACCAACTCTGAGTCCAGCACAACCTCCAGTGGGGCCAGCACAGCCACCAACTCTGAGTCCAGAACGACCTCCAATGGGGCTGGCACAGCCACCAACTCTGAGTCCAGCACGACCTCCAGTGGGGCCAGCACAGCCACCAACTCTGAGTCCAGCACACCCTCCAGTGGGGCCGGCACAGCCACCAACTCTGAGTCCAGCACGACCTCCAGTGGGGCCGGCACAGCCACCAACTCTGAGTCCAGCACAGTGTCCAGTGGGATCAGCACAGTCACCAATTCTGAGTCCAGCACACCCTCCAGTGGGGCCAACACAGCCACCAACTCTGAGTCCAGTACAACCTCCAGTGGGGCCAACACAGCCACCAACTCTGACTCCAGCACAACCTCCAGTGGGGCCAGCACAGCCACCAACTCTGAGTCCAGCACGACCTCCAGTGGGGCCAGCACAGCCACCAACTCTGAGTCCAGCACAACCTCCAGTGGGGCCAGCACAGCCACCAACTCTGGGTCCAGCACGACCTCCAGTGGGACCAGCACAGCCACCAACTCTGAGTCCAGCACAGTGTCCAGTGGGGCCAGCACAGCCACCACCTCTGAGTCCAGCACGACCTCCAGTGGGGCCAGCACAGCCACCAACTCTGAGTCCAGCACAGTGTCCAGTGGGGCCAGCACTGCCACCAATTCTGAGTCCAGCACAACCTCCAGTGGGGCCAACACAGCCACCAACTCTGGGTCCAGTGTGACCTCTGCAGGCTCTGGAACAGCAGCTCTGACTGGAATGCACACAACTTCCCATAGTGCATCTACTGCAGTGAGTGAGGCGAAGCCTGGTGGGTCCCTGGTGCCGTGGGAAATCTTCCTCATCACCCTGGTCTCGGTTGTGGCGGCCGTGGGGCTCTTTGCTGGGCTCTTCTTCTGTGTGGTGAGTGCCTAATATGTAAGAAAATGCCTGGGGGAAGGAGCAGCAGAAACACAAGGAAATGGGTGTGAATAGAAGGGGTCTCAAGTCAGGGGTGGGTAGGGAGGAAGGGAGATCAGGAAAGAGTAACACAGAGACATGGTAGGTCAATGCAGAGGAAGCTGCTGACCTGCGGGAAAAGGGGGCCACAGAAAGGACTGGAGAAAGGAGAACTAGGTAAAGAGTATGGTTGGAAGTGGGAGAAGATTCCAGAAGGCGTACGTGGTAAAGGCGTGGGAGACAGGGATGCAATTCTGAAACTATTGACTCTTCTTTTTTTAGAGAAACAGCCTGTCCCTGAGAAACACCTTTAACACAGCTGTCTACCACCCTCATGGCCTCAACCATGGCCTTGGTCCAGGCCCTGGAGGGAATCATGGAGCCCCCCACAGGCCCAGGTGGAGTCCTAACTGGTTCTGGAGGAGACCAGTATCCTCGATAGCCATGGAGATGAGCGGGAGGAACAGCGGGCCCTGAGCAGCCCCGGAAGCAAGTGCCGCATTCTTCAGGAAGGAAGAGACCTGGGCACCCAAGACCTGGTTTCCTTTCATTCATCCCAGGAGACCCCTCCCAGCTTTGTTTGAGATCCTGAAAATCTTGAAGAAGGTATTCCTCACCTTTCTTGCCTTTACCAGACACTGGAAAGAGAATACTATATTGCTCATTTAGCTAAGAAATAAATACATCTCATCTAACACACACGACAAAGAGAAGCTGTGCGTGCCCCGGGGTGGGTATCTAGCTCTGAGATGAACTCAGTTATAGGAGAAAACCTCCATGCTGGACTCCATCTGGCATTCAAAATCTCCACAGTAAAATCCAAAGACCTCATTCTTATCTGTGTGTCTGCATTTTCTAATCCTTTTTGCCCCAGGCAAGGTCCCTGTATCTCTGAGACACCCCGATTGGCTGGAGAATTGACTTGGGAGAGATAAGGAGGGAGGGCGGGTGCCAGCATGCTATGGGCTCCTGCGTGAGGCCTGTGGTACACAGAGATTAGGTTGTGATACATGAAGAGCCAAGAGCAGGATGAGGTGGAGGCGTTACAACTACCTGCTCTGTGTGTGGGGGGGGAGGGGGGAGGGGGGTACGCATATTCACTTGAAGTCGAGGTTCCCAGGGCATTTCCATGTGCTCCAGGCCTGACTACCCATCAGGGTGGAGGAGCTGGTGACACTCATCTCCCTGAGTGCTCCCTGGTTTCCCAAGGGAAAGACTTTCTGGCCTGCTGAGGTCGAATCTTCCAAGAGGCTCTTGCAAAGACCCGAGATTCTCATAAATCCCCGCCCAGAAGAGCTGCACGTATCCCTTTCATGAGTCCAGGGAAGAGGGTCCTCCAGGTCTTGGAAGACAGAGGGGAGCTGCTTTAGAGGCTAAGTTGCTTTGAGCCCACAAGGTAATGGAGGGCTCCTACTTGGGACAGAGCCCTCAGCAGAGAATTAGCAGTCTGTTGGTGGGTTCACCCCAACTCACAGCAGTAGAAACTGCTCCATCTTCCACCACTTATTGGGTTTCTCCAGTGTCAGCAAACCAAAGAATTGGATCTTACCAATGCGGCTATAGGAAAACAGCCTGTTGCATGGTAAGAGTGATACCATCTTGAAGTGAAACCACCACAATGGCCATTTTTTTTTTAGATGGAGTTTTGCAGTGGTGCAATCATAGCTCATTGCAGCCTTCAATTCCTGGGCTCAGGCAATCCTCCTGCCTCAGCCTCCTGAGTAGCTGGGACTACAGTTTCGTGTGCCACCATGCCTGGCTAATTTTTAGAATTTTTTGTAGGGACAGGGCCTCACTCTGTTGCACAAGCTGGTCTTGAACTCCTGGCCTCCTTGAACTCCTCCTGCCTTGGCCTCCCAAAATGCTGAGATTACAGGTGTGAGCCACTGCACCTCGCCAGATGTCCAATGTCTGACTCCTGCATACCAAGGTGTTCTGTATCAAGGGCTTTAAAACAATGCCTGTAGCGTAATTAACCTCTCACAAAGATGCTTATCTAACCTCCCCAGCAGTCATGGGTTTCAGCAAGAAAGTCTGTGATGTGACCAGTTGCACATGTTTTCCCCTAAAAGCTTACTCTAGAAAGGATATTTTTTGGAGAGGGAGTGTGGGAATCCACCATCCTGTGGCCACCTCAGACATCACTTCTCTTTGGAAGACTCCATTAAATATTTCTCTGTGAGAAACTGGATTTGTCAGTCTCTTTCTTTGATCTCTTTTCCCCTCAAAATTTAGGGGTAGGTTTGTGTAGACCTGTTCATGGTAGAACATTTGGTGATCCCCCAGCCAGTAGCTGGGAGAACAAGGAATGGGTAAGGAGAATGAAGCATCTGTAAGGAAACCCCAGGGCGGCAGCCACGTCTGTGTAGGGTTGGATGGCACAACTGTTCGATACCTGTGTACCTCTGTGTGAGTGCAGGGATGCCTTGAAAATGCCAGGTGGCCTAGAGCAGTTATTAACTGAAAGCCGCATAGTGCACTGGGGTACGGAAGGTCGGCCAATAGCCACTGCAGAGGGTTGGGTGCTTCTTTTGGCAATGAAGATCCGGCTAGCAGCAGAAGCCAAAATTAAATGTCTAGAGAAGGAATTGCAACTAGAAAAAGACGTGTACCTCTCCATGTCTCTCCTCACATCCAACTTAGCAAACAAAATTGAAGACCAAGAGACAAAAATTGAAATGTTAGCATGTAGATTTGTCCACCTAGGGCGAAAGATATGGAAATGACCAAAAATCAGAGCTCTCATGAGAAAGCCCAACCGGGATGTGAAAACTTGGAATCCCTGGGATTGTTATGAAGAGGAAGACTGATGACATAGAAGTCACAGGTGTGGAGGGGGATGGGGATCATTGGCAAGCTCGCTGTCTCATGCAAAGGAAAGTGAAACCTAACATTGGCAGCAAAACGGGGGTCAGCTGATACAGGAGACTCTCACTGTCAGGGAACCTACCGCTGCAGAACTCTTAGAGATTGCAAAGGCCTTTAAACAACTACCGAGGAAATCCCTGGCTGCTTGGATGGTCTGATTGTGGGACACAGGGGCTGATGATATTTCCTTAACAGGAGAAGCAGAAAAAATGAGTAACATCACCACCCATGCAGCCCTGCAGAAGCATCTTTGCTAAGGCAAGGCAGACGCAAGGGAGTCATAGCTTATGGACTGGCTCATTCTAGCTATGAGGGAGGCTTGACCTAATGAGGGAAATTTACCGGGAAGGATGACCTCCTGGCAGTCAACAGAAAAGGCCCAAGGGCTTCTCCAAGAATTAGGAATGAGTCAAGTCATCTATGTTTGGGTTCTCACAGGACTTAAAACAGTTTTTTCCTGCAGGGATGAAAAATAAATTGCTGAAGGGTGCACCAGGAGAATGGCACAACCCTTGGCTCATGTTATTGAGTCCTATAAATGGGACAAGAAGTATATGATGTGGGAAGGCCAGGCACAGGGGCTCACACCTGTAATTCCAGCAATTTGAGAGGCCGAGGCAGGCGGATTACTTGAGATCGGGAGTTCGAGACCAGCCTGGACAATATGGTGAAACCCCATCTCTACTAAAAATACAAAAATTAGCTAGGTGGTGTGCCTGTAACCCCAGCTACTTGGGAGGCTGAGGTAGGAGAATTGCTTGAACTCAGGAGGCAGAAGTTGCAGTCAGCTGAGATTGGGGCACTGCACTCCAGCCTGGGCAACAGAGTGAGACCCCGTCTCAAAAAAAAAAAAAAAAAAAAAAAAAGGGCTGGGCACGGTGGCTCATGCCTGTAATCCCAGCACTTTGGGAGGCCGAAGTGGATGGATCACCTGAGGTCAGGAGTTCAAGACCAGCCTGGTCAACATGGTGAAATTCCTTCTCTACTAAAAATACAAAATTAGCCGGGCATGGTGACAGGCGCCTGTAATCCCAGCTACTTGGGAGGCTGAGGCAGGAGAATAGCTTGAACGTGGGAGGCGGAGGTTGCAGTGAGCCGAGATCGTGCCATTGCACTCCAGCCTGAGCAACAACAGCGAAACTTCGTCTTAAAAAAAAAAAAAAAAGATGTATATGACGTAGGAGAAGCCATCACAGATTTGGGAGCTACTGAGAAAGCTAGGGACGGGGTGTGCTTTGTAACCCGGCAAGGGCTGACAAAGGGGAAAGATAATGCTCCACAGGAAGAAGGGGGAAAATAAGGGAAAGCGACCAACTAGAGTCAAGAACAGGCAAATGTGGCATGACTTATTGGGAGCAGAAAAATTCTGAGAAAAAAATATGTAAAAAATGTTAAAATATGGAAAATATGAAAAATGCTGTGTTAGTAGCCTTATGGAGGGAAGTACAGACTGAAGGGCTGTTTTGTCCCTTCATTTCTGCCCCTCTAGCAGAAGAGGAAGATGACTCAACCCCTCATTCTAATACTCCAGCCTATCAGAGGGGGATTCCATGCTGGGCCCAAGATTAGCAGTGGGACCAAGGTCAACCCCACGTTGCAGGTGACCAGAGGCCCCATATTGAGCTCACCATTTACTGTTCCTCTCAAAAAAATAAGGAGAAGACTATTTCCTTAGTAGATACTAGGGCAGAATATACTTTAATTCATGGAAATCCATAAATACACCCTGGTCAATGGTCTGCCATCACTGGTTATGGGGACAAACGATCTGGATGAGAAGGACTTTAATACATCTAGGTATTGGGGAAGCTCCCCTGCCCCATATGTGGTGTTTATTTTTCTTATTCCAGAAAACATTTTAGGCACAGGTATTCTGTTAGGAAAGACTTAGCAAACTTCAGTGGAAAAATTCAGATCGAAGGTGCATGTAGTGAAGACTGTTTTTTTTTTTTTTTTTTCTTTTTCTTCTTTCTTTTTATTTATTTATTTATTTATTTATTTATTTTTTATTGATCATTCTTGGGTGTTTCTCGCAGAGGGAGATTTGGCAGGGTCATAGGACAATAATGGAGGGAAGGTCAGCAGATAAACAAGTGAACAAAGGTCTCTGGTTTTCCTAGGCAGAGGACCCTGAGGCCTTCCGCAGTGTTTGTGTCCCTGGGTACTTGAGATTAGGGAGTGGTGATGACTCTTAACGAGCATGCTGCCTTCAAGCATCTGTTTAACAAAGCACATCTTGCACCGCCCTTAATCCATTTAACCCTGAGTGGACACAGCACTCGTTTCAGAGAGCACAGGGTTGGGGGTAAGGTCACAGATCAACAGGATCCCAAGGCAGAAGAATTTTTCTTAGTACAGAACAAAATGAAAAGTCTCCCATGTATACTTCTTTCTACACAGACACAGCAACCATCCGATTTCTCAATCTTTTCCCCACCTTTCCCCCCTTTCTATTCCACAAAACCGCCATCGTCATCATGGCCCATTCTCAATGAGCTGTTGGGTACACCTCCCAGACGGGGTGGTGGCCTGGCAGAGGGGCTCCTCACTTCCCAGTAGTGGCGGCCAGTCAGAGGCGCCCCTCACCTCCCGGACGGGGCAGCTGGCCGGGCGGGGGGCTGACCCCCCCACCTCCCTCCCGGACGGGTTGGCTGCCGGGCGGAGAGGCTCCTCACTTCCCAAACGGGGTGGCTGCCGGGCGGAGGGGCTCCTCACTTCTCAGACGGGGCGGCTGCCGGGCGGAGGGGCTCCTCACTTCTCAGACGGGGCGGTTGCCAGGCAGAGGGTCTCCTCACTTCTCAGACGGGGCGGCCGGGCAGAGACGCTCCTCACCTCCCAGACGGGGTCGCGGCCGGGCAGAGGCGCTCCTCACATCCCAGACGGGGCGGCGGGGCAGAGGCGGTCCCCACATCTCAGACGATGGGCGGCCGGGCAGAGACGCTCTTCACTTCCTAGATGTGATGGCGGCCAGGAAGAGGTGTTCCTCACTTCCTAGATGGGATGGCGGCCGGGCTGAGACGCTCCTCACTTTCCAGACTGGGCAGCCAGGCAGAGGGGCTCCTCACATCCCAGACGATGGGCGGCCAGGCGGAGACGCTCCTCACTTCCCAGACGGGGTGGCGGCCGGGCAGAGGCTGCAATCTCGGCATTTTGGGAGGCCAAGGCAGGCGGCTGGGAGGTGGAGGTTGTAGCGAGCCGAGATCACGCCACTGCACTCCAGCCTGGGCACCATTGAGCACTGAGTGAACGAGACTCCCGTCTGCAATCCCGGCACCTCGGGAGGCCGAGGCTGGCGGATCACTCGCGGTTAGGAGCTGGAGACCGGCCCGGCCAACACAGCGAAACCCCATCTCCACCAAAAAAAATACGAAAACCAGTCAGGCGTGGCGGCGCGTGCCTGCAATCGCAGGCACTCCGTGAAGACTGTTCTTGAGAGAGGAAGAAAATGGGAGCCCCTACAACTTCCTGCCCCTACATGGCGTTGTCAACATTAAATGATTCATATTGTCCAGGGGGTATGCTGAAATAAGTGCAATTATTATCCTCCCAATAAGTGCAACTATTATCCACCCAGCACAAAGCCCATGAAAGAGTCTTGTC
The DNA here is from genome assembly GCF_000001405.40 of Homo sapiens. Lineage (NCBI taxonomy): Eukaryota > Metazoa > Chordata > Mammalia > Primates > Hominidae > Homo > Homo sapiens. The sequence goes on from NT_113891.3 coordinate 2,473,767, forward strand.
TTTTTTCGCATTCCCGTCTTTTCTTCTAGTTTTGTTATCTTGTTGGCATTATGTCAGCCGCTGAAGCTTTTACTGTGCTGCAGCCATGGCTTTTCTTTTTTTAACTTTTATTTTAAGTTCGGGGGTTCATATGCAGGTTTGTTACATAAGTAAATGTGTGTCATGGGGGTTTTTTTGTACAGGTTATTTCGTCACCCAGCTATTAAGCCTAGTACCCATTAGTTATTTTTCCTGATCCTCTCCCTCCTCCCACCCTCCACCCTCTGATAGGCCCCAGTGGGTGTTGTTCCCCTCTATGTGTCCCTGTGTTCTCATCATTTAGCTTCTACTTATAAGCGAGAACATGCGGTATTTGGTTTTCTGTTCCTGCATTAGTTTGCTAAGAATAATGGCCTCCAGCTCCATCCATGTCCCTGCAAAGGACATGATCTTGTTCTTTTTGTATGACTGCATAGTAGTCCATGATGTATATATACCACATTTTCTTTATCCAGTCTATCGCTGATGGGCATCTAGGTTGATTCCATGTCTTTGCTATTGTGAATACCACTGCAATGAACACATGCATGCATTTTTTTTTTTTTTTGAGATGGAGTTTTGCTCTTGTTGCCGAGGCTAGAGTGCAATGGTGCGATCTCAGCTCACTGCAACCTCTGCCTCCCGGGATCAAGCGATTCTCCTGCCTCAGCCACCCCAGTAGCTGGGATTACAGGCATGTGGCGCCACGCCCATATAATCTTGTATTTTTAGTAGAGACAGGGGTTTCTCCATATTGGTCAGCCTGGTCTCGAACTCCTGACCTCAGGTGATCCACCTGCCTCAGCCTCCCAAAGTGATGGGATTACAGGCATGAGCCACCGTGCCTGGCCACGTCCATGTGCTTTTATAACAGAATGATTTATATTCCTTTGGGTATATACCCAGTAATGGGATTGCTGGATCAGATGGTATCTGTCTTTAAGTCTTTGAAGAATCACCACAGTGTCTTCCACAATGACTGAACTAATTTATACTCCCACCAACAGTGTATAAGCATTCTTTTTTCTCCACAACCTCGCCAGCATCTTTTATTTTTTGACTTTTTAATAATAGCTGTTCTGACTGGCGTGAGATGATATCTTATTGTGGGTTTTTGTTTGTTTGTTTTGAGATGGAGTTTCGCTCTTATTGCCCAGGCTGGAGTGCAATGGCACAATATCATTGTGGTTTTGATATGCGTTTCTCTAATAATCAATGATGTTTAGCTTTTTAAAATATGTTTGTTGGCCACATGTATGTCTTCTTTTGGGAAGTGTCTGTTCATGTCCTTTGTCCACTTTTTGATGGAATTGTTTGCTTTTTTAAAATAAATTTGTTTAAGTTCCTTATAGATGCTGAATATGAGCCCTTTGTCAGATGCATAGTTTGCAAAAATTTTCTCCCATTCTGTAGGTTGTCTGTTTACTCTGTTGATAGTTTCTTTTGCTGTGCAGAAGCTCTTTCGTTTAGTTAAATCCCATTTTCAATTTTTCCTTTTGTTGCAATTGCTTTCAGAATCTTCGTCATGAAATTTTTGCCCATGCCTATGTCCTGAATGGTATTACCTAGGTTGTCTTCCAGGGTTTTATAGTTTTGGGTTTTACATTTAAGTCTTTAATCCATCGTGAGTTAATTTTTGTGTAAGGTGTAAAGAAGGGGTCCAGTTTGAATTGTTTGCATATGGCTAGCCTGTTATCCCAGCACCGTTTATTGAACAGGGAATTCTTTCCCCATTGTTTGCTTTCGTCAGGTTTGTTGAAGATCAGATAGTCGTGGGTGCGTGGTCTTATTTCTGTGTTTTCTATTCTGTTCCACTGGTGTATGTGTCTGTTCTTGTACCAGTACCATGTTGTTTTGGTTTGCAGTAATGTCTTATGGTATTGGGTGCTCATCTATGGAATGGAGATGGGCCATCAATCCTCAGAAGATGCAAGGCCCAGAGCCCACAGTGAAGATTTTTTGTTTGTTTGTTTTGTTTTGTTTTGTTTTGTTTTGAGACGGAGTCTCGCTCTGTCACCCAGGCTGGATTGCAATGGTGCGACCTTGTCTCACTGCCACCTCCGCCTCCTGGGTTCAAGCGATTCTCCTGCCTCAGCCTCCCGAGTAACTGGGACTACAGGCACCTGCCACCATGCCCAGCTAACTTTTGTATTTTTAGTAGAGATGGGGTTTCACCATATTGGCCAGGCTGGTCTCGAACTCCTGACCTTGTGATCCGCCCACCTTGGCCTCCCAAAGTGTTAGGATTACAGGTGTGAGCCATTGCACCCGGCCCACAGTGAAGTTTTTAGGGGTTACATGGTTGGGTAACACTCCTTTGATACTGGGTGCAATAATTGACAAAGCCCAACAATGTCAACTCCAGAAACAGTCAAAGAAATCCAAACATTTGTGGGTCTTTTGGGTTATTGGAGAGTATGCATCCCATACTTAGCACAGTTTTTGAGATCCCTATACAGACTTATCAGAGAAAGGGCACATTGGGCCTGGGACACACCACAGCAGGAAGCTTTGAACAGGCTGAAGTGTTGGTACAGCAGGCACAGGCCTTAGGCACCCCTTTGGAGGGTACAGCTAGGACTTTGGATGTTACTGCTGCTCCTGAGGATATGAGTGGGGCCTTATGGCAACCGCAGTCTAGGGAATCAGTCCTTTTAAGAAAGGAGCCAAAACCAGATACTCTCCTGTTGAACAAGAAGTGCTAGTAGTAGAGAATGCTTTACAGCAGGTGGAATTGCTAACAAAGACCCTTCCCATGACTGTGAGAATAGGTCTACCAATCAAGGGATGGTTAGAAGGATTTTTAAACAACCCACCTCCGCTGTAGCCCCAACACCTACCTTGAATAAATGGCATGATTATTTGCAACAAGGAAGAATGCTAGCAATGAGTCCCTTAAGCCCAGAATTACATACTGCATTAGGCTCTGTTATGACGTGAACAAACAAAGGATACCACCTGACCCTCTCCAACTCCAGCACCTGACATGGTAAGCATCCAGATGATGCTTGGTGTACAGAGGACTCCAGCAGGGGAAACCGCTGTTCTTGGACCGCTGTTGCTACACAGCCACAAACTGATACAATCTGGTTTGATACAGGTGGGCATCAGAGGAGCCACTGGGATGAGTTGCAAGCAGCCTGGTTAATAGTCACATATGAGCCTGGCCCCTGGTTCTTTGCACTGATAGCTGAGCTGTATTCAAAGGCCTAATTATGTGGCTGGCTCAACAGGAACTAGAAAAGTGGATGATTATGCACAAACCTATATGGGGCATGAACATGTGGCAAGACATACGGAAAAAGCCGCAAAGCCTTGTGGCTGATTTAACTGTATTTCAGGTGACTGCACATAAAAACCACTCAGTTCCACAAAACATGGAAGCTAAAACCCTAAAAAAAATTAGAAGCATCATGCCAGCTCAGGCCTCTGAACTATTGACCTGGGTACATAACAAAAGTGGTCACAGAAGTGCAAGAGTAGGCTGGGAGACAGTCAAGGAAGCAGGATTACTCTTAAAATGTAGTGACCAGGCTGGGCACGGTGGCTCATGCCTGTAATCCCAGCACTTTGGGAGGCCGAGGCGGGCAAATCACCTGAGGTTGGGAGTTCGAGACCAGCTTGACCAACATGGAGAAACCTGTCTCTACTAAAAATACAAAATTAGCTGGGCGTGGTGGCATGCACCTGTAATCCCAGCTACTCAGGAGGCTGAGGCAGGAGAACTGCTTGAACCCGGGAGGTGGAGGTTGTAGTGAGCCGAGATCACGCCATTGCACTCCAGCCAGGGCAATAAGAGCAAAACTCCGTCTCAAAAAAAAAAAAAAAAAAAAAAAATATATATATATATATATATATATATATATATATAGTGACCTAGTCCTGGTACAGTGGCTCACACATGGGGAGGCCATGGTGGGACGATTGCTTGGGGCCAGGAGTTTGAGTCCAGCCTGGGCAACATATCGAGATCCCATCTCCACAACAACAACAAAAAATATATAGTGCCTTCCCAACAGCTCTTACAAATTGTTTACCATGTTCTCTATTGTAGATCATATTGAGCAGGACACATTCAGATATTCAGAAGGCTGTCCACCATGTAACAGATTGGCAAGTGGATTATTTAGATACTGTCCCTGTAAGCCAAGGAAATAAATACATGTTAACCTGCATGGACACCGCTACTGGACTGCTGCAAGATTCTCCCTATAAGCAAGCTAATCAAGCCAGTACTATTAAAGGCTTAGAGGCTCTCAGTACTATGTATGGATATATCTGGCACATTGACAGTGACCGAGGGACCCATTTCGCTGGATATGACATGCAGGACTGGGCCAGGAAACATGATACACTATGGCACTTTTATCTCCCATAGAACCTCCAAGCAGCAGGGTTAATTGAAAGAAATACCAGTCTGTTGAAAGCACAAATTCAAACTCTAATTTGGGAAACCTACCTTGCATAGGCAGATGAATGTGTTATCTCCAACCTTTATTTCTTTAAATTCAGCCAAAGCAGGGACGCCTGCCCCATGTGACCGTCTAGGACAACGGTCCCCCAAGCCTACCACTGTTCCCATAGGGGTAATTGAGACGACTGCTTTGCTTGCTCCCAGACCTCATTGACAACCAGTGTCTTTTGCACATGAAGATGCCAGCAGATATACTACCGAGGAGGAAACACACCGAGCTTGGAACGACAAATAGCCCCAGGCTGGATAGGCTATTTCCTGCTAGAGAGTGACAACACCCTAAATAAAGAACAAAACAACCTGATACCCAAAAACAGGCTGGGTTTATTTGGTTAATTCCGTCTTTTGGCCATGTTAGTCAACTTGCTCCTCAGTCTTGGGAACAAATGAATCATTCTAAAGATACTTGGCCAAATTGCACAAGGGATATGTGATGGATAGCAAGAGACTGATTTTTATATACTATGCTATAATATAATAAAATACTCATTGGGCATGTTACAGAACGGACACTGTGTGCAGGAATCTTTTGGTTGGCCCCAAATGGAACTTCCTGGATATGTGGTACCAATTTATGGCCTTGGTTACCCCCTGCATGTTTAGGAAGATGTTCTTTGGATTATACACGGGCACAGACTGAATAGTTCACACACTACAAAGCCTATCAATCTCCCTCATTTGAAATCCCACTGGTTCTGATCTGTTTTTTATTGGTATGATTGTTTGGCCTCCATTTGTCTTCCTCATCCGGTTATTGAAGATATTATCTGGCATATAGAAACTCTATAAAGCCTGTAATCCCTGCACTTTGGGAGGCCAAGGCAGGTGGATCAGTTGAGGTCGGGAGTTCGAGATCAGCCTGGCCAACACGGTGTAACCCCATCTCCACAAAAAATAACAAAATTAGCTGGGCGTGGTGGCGCATGCCTGTAATCCCAGTTACTTGGGAGGCTGAGGCAGGAAAATTGCTTGAACCTGGGAGGTGGAGGTTACAGTGAGCCAAGACCGTGCTACTGCACTCCTGCCCAGGTGATAGAGCGAGACTCTGACTCAAAAAATTAAAAAAACAAACTCTACAAAAAATAAAAAAAAAGAAAACTTTAAATGATAGCTGCATGGGAATCTCTCTTTTAAACATGGAAGTCACTGTCATGAGAAAGTCTGTCCTCCCAAATTACCAGGCTTTACATATACTCACGCTGCACAACGGGGCACTTGTGCAATTGGAAAAACTGCTGTGTTTATATTCCTGATGAATCAGTTAATATCGCTAAATTAATGACTGATATAAAAGCCCACATAACCAAGCTCTCAGACCCCTACTTTGAATAATTGGCTTCACAGCTGGTTTGGGTCCTGGGGCACCTGGTGGCATAAGCTGCTTCTTGGTTTAGGTGCTGTACTCGTACGTTCCTTACTGTCTTGTTTGAGCCTTTACTGCTGCTGTGTTATCTGCCTCCAGTGGAGCCAACGCACTGCTGCTAAAGCTATGCACTATCAAGGGTCCTCCCTTTAGGCCCAGGGACTATCATGGAAGAGATGAGCACGTGAAATTGTCAGGGCCAGTTTTGAGAGGTGGAGTGTAGGAATACAGCCTGTTGCACGGCAACAGGGACGCCATTTTGAAGCAAAGCTGCCATTGAGAGGTGACAGGGTGCTGGAAGTCCGCACAGCCCTTGCTCGCTCTCAGCGCCTCCTCTGCCTGGGCTCCCACTTTGGCGGCACTTGAGGAGCCCTTCAGCCCACCGCTGCACTGTGGAAGCCCCTTTCTGGGCTGGCCAAGGCCGGAGCCCACTCCCTCAGCTTGCAGGGAGGTGTGGAGGGAGAGGTGCGAGCGGGAACCGGGGCTGCACGCGGCGCTTGCGGGCCAGCTGGAGTTCCGGGTGGGCGTGGGCTTGGCTGGCCCTGCCGGTCCTGGGCAATGAAGGGCTTAGCACCCGGGCCAGCAGCTGCGGACGGTGTACTGGGTCCCCCAGCAGTGCCAGCCCGCCGGCGCTGCACTCGATTTCTCACCAGGCCTTAGCTGCCTTCCCGCGGGGCAGGGCTTGGGACCTGCAGCCCGCCATGCCTGAGCCTCCCACCCCCTCCATGGGCTCCTATGCGGCCCGAGCCTCCCCGACGAGTGCCACCCCCTGCTCCAGGGCGCCCAGTCCCATCGACCACCCAAGGGCTGAGGAGTGCAAGCGCACGGCGCAGGACTGGCAGGCAGCTCCACCTGCAGCCCCGGTGCGGGATCCACTGGGTGAAGCCAGCTGGGCTCCTGAGTCTGGTGGGGATGTGGAGAACCTTTATGTCTAGCTCAGGGATTGTAAATACACCAATCGGCACTCTGTATCTAGCTCAAGGTTTGTAAACACACCAATCAGCACCCTGAGTCTAGCTCAGGGTTCGTGAGTTCACCAATCGACACTCTGTATCTAGCTGCTCTGGTGGGGCCTTGAAGAACCTTCGTGTCCACACTCTGTATCTAGCTAATCTGGTGGGGACGTGGAGAACCTTTGTGTCTAGCTCAGGGATTGTAAACGCACCAATCAGCACCCTGTCAAAACAGACCACTTGGCTCTACCAATCAGCAGGATGTGGGTGGGGCCAGATAAGAGAATAAAAGCAGGCTGCCCCAGCCAGCAGTGGTAACCCGCTCTGGTCTTTTTCCTGACTGTGGAAGCTTTGTTCTTTTGCTCTTTGCAATAAATCTTGCTACTGCTCACTCTTTGGGTCCATGCTGCTTTTGTGAGCTGTAACACTCATCGTGAAGATCTGCAGCTTCATTCCTGAGCCAGCGAGACCACAAACCCACCAGAAGGAAGAAACTGTGAACGCATGCGAACATCGGAAAGAACAAGCTCCAGACGCGCCACCTTAAGTGCTGTAACAGTAACCGCGAGGGTCTGCGGCTTCATTCTTGAAGTCAGTGAGACCAAGAAGCCACCAATTCTGGACACATCATGATGACCAGTGGTCCACTTTTGCATAGCAAAGTGCACTGCAGCACAGTCTTCAAACAATGCCTGCTGCATAAATAACCCTTCACAAACATGCTTCTTTAACCTCCGGAGTGGTTATGGGTTTTGGCAAGAAAGTCTGAGATGTGACCAGCTGCATATATTTTACCCTAAGACCTTGCTATAGAAAGGATGTTTTCTGGAGTGTCCATCGTCTTGCAGCTCTCCCAGACGTGGCTTCTGTTGCTTAGTCCTTGTTCAAAATTTCTTTTGGAGAAACTGGATTTGTTAGCCACTTATTTCATTCAGCCTTTGTTCCATAAAAGGGTCATACATGTAAAGTGGCTCCCAAACGCTGAAGGAGCCAAGAAACCAAAAACAAGGCAGATAGATCCAGTTTGTCAGTAAATGGTGATTTGCTGGGGAATTTACAGACAGAAGTGTAGTCTTGGGTGGCAGCAAGTCAGGTAGATCTCCACACCTGTTACCCCCAGACCCAGGGCTTACCCCAGAAAGGGTGTATACTTCCTGTAGAGACAATTAAAAGCAACCTTTCAGAACAGGCAGGAATGCTATGTGCGTCGTAGCCTGTAATTTATGCCATAATATCAAGGTTGCTTTGATCTAAAGGCAGGGGCTGGATGTGGTGGCTAATGCCTGTAATCCCAGAGCTTTGGGAGGGAGAGGAGGGAGGATTGCTTGGGGGCAGGAGTTTGAGACCAGTCTGGGAAACAAAACAACACCTCATCTCTACAAAAAAGAAAACCAAAATTAGTTGGGAGTGGTAGCATGTGCCTGTGGTCCCAGCTACTTGGGAGGCTGAGGCAGGAGGATCATTACAGCCCAGGAGTTAGAGGCTGCAGTGGGCTGAGATTGCACCACTGAACTCCAGCCTAGGTGACAGAGCAAGACCCTGTCTCTAAAAACAAAACAACAAACAAAAAACGAAGACAGGATTTACAGTAAGTACATGTCCTTACCAAGAACAGTAAATAAAGTAGGAATGAGGCCCATGTGACTCATGGGACCTGGGTTAATCAGAAGTCAACATGGCAGATTAGCATCCAAGATGGAGTCACTTTGTCTCCACAGCCTCTCAGCTCCCTCAGTCTTTGGGGGAAGGTTTGCATGCCCCTGCTCACTGAGGAACAGAGAGGCCACGCTGAGCCATATGCAGGCAATCATCATCATCTGCTCACTTAAAGGGATCCAGAAACCAGAAGGGAAAGACAAGTTGAACACCCTGAAAAGGTGCCTCCCACTGATAGGAACTGTGGAAACCCTTATGTGGAAAAGCATGAAAAGAAATAAGATCAGGCAAGGGTGTCCAGCTAGATCATTTTTTAAAAAAATAGTAAAACATGTATTTTCAAATTTTAATAGACAAATTGAAAGAGGCTGGCCATTATAGAGAATTATGCTAGTAATCCGGAAGAGCAAGCGCGAAAAATAACTCAAACAGACACAATTATACAGGAATAAAAATCACCCGGCAAATATAATACATTTGGAGGATAGATCCAGGAAGACTAACGTGCAAGTAATAAGGCTCAAAACAGAGAAAAAGAGACGAAATGGAAGAGAAGAATTAGAAGGGAAAAAAGAAGAGCTGGAATAGAGAAAAAAGACTTGAGTCTGTCTATGAAAAGCTTCACCAAGTACAACTCTGTAAATATACTAAAAAACACTGGTTTATTTATTTATTTATTTTAGACGGAGTCTTGCTCTGTCGCCCAGGCTGGAGTGCAGTGGCGTGATCTCAGCTCACTGCAACCTCCACCTTCCAGGTTCAAGTGATTCTCCTGCTTCAGCCTCCCGAGTAGCTGGGATTACAGGTGCGTGCCACCACACCCAGCTAATTTGTGTGTGTGTGTGTATTTTTAGTAGAGATGGGGTTTCACAATGTTGGCCAGGCTGGTCTCGAACTCCTGACCTCAGGTGATCCACCCACCTTGGACTCCCAAAGTGCTGGGATTACAGGCATGAGCCACTGCACCCGGCCTAAAACCACTGGTTTATATACTTTATTTTATTCTTATTATTTTTTTAAATTTGAGATGGAATCTCACTCTGTCACCGAGGCTGGAGTGCAGTGGCGCAATCTCGGCTCACTGCAACCTCTGCTTCCTAGGTTTAAGAGATTCTCCTCCCTCAGCCTCCCAAGTAGCTGGGATTATAGGCGAGTGCCACCATGCCTGGCTAATTTTTGTATTTTTAGTAGAGATGGGGTTTCACCACTGTTGACCAGGCTAGTCTTGAACTCCTAACCTCAGGTGATCCACCCATCTCAGCCTCCCAAAGTGCTGGGATTAGAGGCATGACCCACCTTGCCCAGCCAGGTTTATATATTTTAAACAGGTGAACTATATGGTATGTAAATTGTAGCTCAATACAGCTCTTAAATTTTTACCAGGCACATTATGTAAATAAAAATTTTTATTTCCTGGCCGGACATGGTGGCTCACACCTGTGATCCCAGCATTCTGGGAGGCTGAGGCAGGCAGATCACTTGAGGCCAGGAGTTTGAGACCAGCCTGGCCAACATGGCAAAACCCTGTCTCTACTAAAAATACAAAAATTAGCCATGCGCGGTGGTGCGCGCCTGTAGTCCCAGCTACTTGGAAGGCTGAGGCAGGAGAATCACTTGAACCTGGGAGGTGGACGTTGCAGTGAGCTGAGATCATGTCACTGCACTCTAGCCTGGGTGACAGAGTGAGACTCTGTCTCAAATTTAAAAAAATTATTTCCAAAAATAAACAACAAATGACTCAAATGAATGGGCATTTTGAGCTAGAGGAAGGAGAAAAGGGGGGAGTCCCTGGTGAGCAATTTACCTTGTGATTGATTCACATAGTTGTGCTGTGAGTATCTCATTACTCCCAGCAACTGGGGTGTGCAGGTAGAGTTTGGAAGCATCATTACCCAGCTTTCGTCATGGAATACACCTACTCCTGTAATGTGACAAAGCCCCAGCCCACCAAGCATGCGTGACCCAAGCAAAAGTCCAGGAAGTGGACAGGGTTAAAGGGCTGCCCATCTAGACCTGTGCCTTTGCACTGTGGATTTAGCACAATGATCTTCACGTGGCATCTGTGCCCCCACATCTTGGGCGTACATAAAGACTTCCTGAAGAGTATTATGCAGGCGTGGGTTGTTTGATGGGAACCATTTTCCAGATCTTCAACTTCCGTATGTGCTTGTTGCCTAGAACTGATCTGTCTGAGGGCACCTCTGTGGTCAGGGCTACACTTTTCTGACTCTTCTTTGATGAACATCCAACATTTCCTCTGTAGCTCCCATATTATTATTACCACATTTCCGCAGGGTGTAGAACATTTCAGGGTGTCAAATAAAGCCTTTTAGTGAAGGGATACCTCAAAAACCACCTCTAATTTAGGGATCATATACCCAGAGTAGGACTTCCTGTTTTCTCCTGCCTCATATAAATTCCTGTGAAGGGCTACGTGGAGTGTAAGGGACTGGTAATTTTGGCATGTGTTAAGGTGTTATTTACGCAGATACACTGTAGAATGAAGTAACAGGAGTAATAAAAACTTCTTTTTTTCCTTTCTTTTTTTTTTTAACAATCTCTTCTCTTCCATCCACTCTTTAAAAATGCATCCCTCTTGAGGGAGTATCTCATGAGATTGGAGCAAGAGCAGAATCAGCAGAAAGAATAGAGGAGGCAGTGGCTTATTTAACCAAGGAGAAAAATCCCATGGCAGCCAACCCACCTTATCTGTCTGTCTGCCTATTTTAGAATATTCAAGATTTGTCAGCAACTTGCTGGGACAAAGCAATGTGCTATGAAGCACACTTCCCTGAATTGTACACCATTTTCTGTAAGGGGAAAGAGCTTCCTGTTCACTAGTTTCTTGGTTTAGGTAACAATTGTGTATTTGGCATGATTTCAAGGAGAAAGATGTTGTAAGCTCCAACTGATTAATGTTACACCTTAAGATAAAAGACACTTAGAGAGGCCATACGGCATGTCAGCTAAGAGCACAGATTGTGGAGCTCGAATTTCTGGTTTCAAATCCAATTTCATTGTGACTTTCCACAAATTCCTTAATTCTTCTGGGTCTCAGTTTCCATATTTGTAAACATGAGAGTGAAAATAGTACCCACTTCATGGGGTTATTGTGAAGCCTTAGAATAGTCCTGCATTTCGTAAGCGCTCTGTAAGTTGTGTTATTTTTAAAATGTTAGGTAAGTGGGCCAAGCGAGGTGGCTCATGCCTGTAATTTCAGCACTTTGGGAGGCGGAGGCGGGTGGATCACCTGAGGTCAGGCTTTTGAGACTAGCCTGACCAACATGGTGAAACCCCATCTCTACTAAAAATACAAAAACTAGCTGGCGTGGTGGCAGGCACCTGTAGTCCCAGCTACGTGGGAAGCTGAGGCAAGAGAATAGCTTGAACCTGGGAAGTGGAGGTTGCAGTGAGCCGAGATTGCACCACTGCACTCCAGCCTGGTCGACAGAGCGAGACTCCGTCTCAAAAAAATGAAAAATAAAAAATGTTAGGTAAGTTAATGATTCATATTTTCTTGAAAATATGGAAAGACGTATCATAAGAGAAGCATTTTTGCTTAATTCACCAAAAAGTTACTGGGGGCTATAAATTGAACACAGAGTCTTACAAGGCACAGGAAATTTTTTAGACGTTTATAAACATATCTTTTGATGCAGAGGAGTATGACAGGGTGATCAATAAAAGCTTTTCAAGCAAAAAATTATTACAGACCATATGACATCCCAGAAAAGACAAAACTATAAAGGCAGTCAAGAGTCAATGGTTGCCAGGGGTTACGAGGGTGGGGTGATGAATAGGTGGAGCACAGAGGATTCTTAGGGCGTGAAACTACTGTATATGATACTACAATGGTGGATGCCTGTCATTGTACATTTGTCAAAACCCATAGAATATACAAGAGTAAACCCTGACGTCAACGAGGTGGGGAGGTTGTGCTTGCGTAGGGGCAGGGAGTCTATGGGACCTCTGTACTTACCACTTAATTTTGCTGTGAACCCAAAACTGCTCTAAGAGATAAGGTTTATTAATTAGACATACTGTGATATATGTATAGCAGTAGAATATTTATGTTACTGGTATTTAATATGATATATGGAGAGAGACCAGTAGAATAATATGGGGAAAGTAAAATGGAACTATAAGTTCGTAGAGCAGGAGGAACCATTTAAAAACCTAGACTATTGAGGAAGAGCTTGCTTATATGTTATTCAAAAGGATAATGGAAGCTAGGTGCAGTGGCTCACGTCTGTAATCCCAGCACTTGGGGAGGCTGAGGCGGGAGGATTGCTTGAGCCCAAGAGTTCAACACCAGCCTGAGCAATATAGTGAGACCCCCCACATCTCTTAAAGTAAAATAAAATTTAAAAAAAGGATAATGATGAGTATTGAGATGCTGCTAGTGTTTAGAGTCTACTGGAAACATTTTAAAGAGTAGTAAAAACTTTTATTATTTCAATGTCTACATTTACAATATGGTAGAAATTACATTCTTTGCAATAATTAAATGTATGATAAAAAATTTAGATTAAACATAGACAGAGGAGGGAAAACAGCTTTTCAAAATTGTTTTTGAACGTATACACAACAGAAAATTTGAAGATGGGCACTCAAGCACATAGGACATTTCTACACAAATGGTGGCTCCAGATAGCTGAAGAAGCTTAAGCAGCTGTAGGAGAGATCTCCAAATCCAGGGACAGTGGCTGCCATCAGAGTGGTCCGTTTGTGGGAAAATGGGTCACAGACATAGACCATATCAGGCTATATTTCACAGAAAATCTTCTTCTTTTTGTTACTTTCTGATGAACTATATGCTATATGGAAGGTACCATTGAGACTCCTTGTGATGAAAATAACTCTACTTGAATTGGGGGTAAACTAAAATTAGAAGGGAAAGCAGACCCCTTGTCCAGCCAGGTTGAAGAAAATCTAAGCCGGTACAGGGTGAGGTTGAGAGAGATGGCAGCGAGAATCTGGAACACAGGCCTTTCCTAAATCAAACTTTCAGCACAGGTCATTCAAGGGCGAATTTCAAATCTATGCTATGTTTATAAATTGTGTACTCTACGTAATTGCCGGGTCCCTGGAATTCCCTACTCTGTGCGAAACTAATCTCTTACTCTCTAAAACAAACCCAAGTCCTAAGCCCACAACCCCTGTTTGCTCTTTCCTTCCTAGTCATCAGAACCCTCATGACTCAGACTCTCCAAGGAGGCATTTAAAAAAATGATCTCGGACCAGTCAGCTCCACTCGAGCAACCTGCTCTTAACTCATTAATTTTCCCGACATGTCCCTTATGATGACTCGTCCATCTGTTTTTCAAATTCCACATAGCTGGGCCTCTGTAGCTTTGTGGTTTTATATTCCGCATACTTTCTAACAGTGACAGCTCCAGAATTTCTATGTCAGATGAAGTTGGGAACAGGCAGTCTGGTTGGAGGAAGATATTCAGGGGCCAGACTCAAAGTCCTGTTTGGACATGACAACCTCCTTTTATAATGGCGAAGAGCACAGGCTCTGCAGCTGGACTGATAGTTTAATTCCTGACTCCATCACTTACTAACTTTGTGAGTTTGGCCAAATTACTTGACTTCTCCATGGTTTAGTTTCCTTATTTGTAAAATGAAGACAATGGTAGTACTGTGTCTCAGAGTCGTTGGATGCCAATGCAGGATCCCAGTGACCAGATGGAACGAGAGGGAGCTCAGGAGAGACCAGCTTGAAGGGCCGAAGTCTTGTTCCCACATTGCCAGTAGGAGGCATAAATTCCCCCTCAGAGGACGTGCAGGAAAGAAGTGGAGGGGAGAGCCCTTGAAATGGGGGGAAAACAGTCCTGAGAGGGGCATTAAATTTCATATGGCCAAGTATTTACCCAAAAGAGACCTGAAACATTGTTTTCTTTTTCTTTCTTTTTTTTTTTTTTGAGACGGAGTCTCACTCTGTCACCCGGGCTGGAGTGCAGTGGTGCGATCTTGGCTCACTACAACCTCTGCCTCCCGGGTTCAAGCAATTCTCCTGCCTCAGCCTCCCAAGTAGCTGGGATTACAGGCACCCGCCACTACGCCCAGCTAATTTATTTTTATTTTTATTTTTATTAGAGATGGGGTTTCACCATGTTGATCAGGCTGGTCTCAAACTCCTAACCCGCCCACCTTGGCTTCCCAAAGTGTTGGGATTACAGGCGTGAGCCACCAAAATTTTTTTCTTTCTTATTGTTTTTAATTCTCCCCCCAAGCTTACTGAGGTAAAATAGACAAAAATTATATGTTTTCAGCGTGTACAATGTGTTGATTTGATGAGTATACATTGTGAAATAATTACCACTATCAAACTAATGAACACATCACCAACACATATTTACCATTTCTTTTCTGTGTGTGTTAGCAAATTTCAGATAGACAATACAATATTGTTAATTATAGTCTCCATGTGATTAAAGTTCCAGAACTCATTCTTCTTATAACTGAAAGTTTGTACCCTTGACTGTTGTTTTTAATCTTTAAATTGAGGCTTAAAATATATGCAGTAAAATGTGCAGAGTGGACACATAAGTGCTCAAGTCGTTGAATTTTATTTAATTCTTTAATGTATTTATTTTAAAGAAATAGAGACAGGGTCTTGCTATGTTGCCTAGACTGCTCTTGAACTCCTGGGCTCACACAATCCTCCCACCTCAGCCTCTCAAGGTGTTGGGATTACAGGCATGAGCCACCGCACCCGGCCAATTGTTGAATCTTAACACATGCATACACTCACCTACCCACTTTCCAGATCAAGATGTGCCACATTCTTATCACCCCAGAAGCCTCCCCTGCCTCCTCCCCATCAGTGCCACCCTAGAGGTAGCCAGTATTTTGACTTTAATCATCATCAGTTGATTTTTCCATGTACTTGACTTTCATATAATTAGAACCATACAGTATGCCTTCCAAAAGAGACACTTTTAAAAGAAAATGAAATTTCATCACCAATATTTGGCAAGCTTATACCCGTATCCTCATTTCCAACCCCAGGCTTCCCTGCCATTGGTGGGAAAGAGAGTCTGGAAACTGAGTTGGGTGAGTTATAGCAAGCCAAACTACATTTTTCCTTGCATATCTGAATTACACGGGGTAAATTTCAATCAACTGCTAGTTGTGAGCCTAGAAATAGGGACGCAGGTGAGTCAGGGTCCCTGACCTATGCTTAAGAGCCATTGCCAAAGATTGACTCAGGGAAATGGGTAGTTCCGTGCCCCATCCTCTTCCCTACTCACTTCCACTTGATACTAGAAGTGAGACTCACTCAGTGTCCACTTTCCCCACCCTTGGAGAGCTCACAGGGAGTGGAGTGTATCACTCACGTAGCCATGTGCTGCTCTGCAGCTGGGAAGGAGCACTCTGGAGAAAGCCGGGCGTGTGTCCTGATGCTCTTATCACCCTCCAAATCCCCAGCTTCCCCTAGATAGACTGCTATTGACCTTTACCATCCATTTGTTTCCTTTTCTTCTCTTCTTCCTTCTTTCTTCTACAAAGGCCTCCTGCTTTGAAAATGAGGCATACCCAGGGAAAACAGGTTTCAGGTCAGCTCTGGTTCAAAGGGTGGGTCCCTTCCACTCCGACAAGTTTGATCCCCTCATTCTGCCTCCCTCCCTGCCCCTCCTCATGTGTGCGCCCTCTGGTCTTGCCGACTCTGCTCTCTCCTCCGCCTTGATTCCTGTAGGGTACATCTCTCCAAACGGCCCTGCAGAAAGCACAGCGCAGAAATGCCCCTCCCTGGGGAGGGAGGACCCAAAGTTCTGGCCTCCCCTACTCAGTATCAGCTATAAATGCCACAGACACGTTTGCGAGGAAAAAAGAAGAAAAATAAGAAGCCAAACTGTGGAGCAATTTGGGGGCTCCCCCCAACCATGCCATCTGCCTACAAGGCTTACCCTGGCACTGGCTGGCCTTTGGGTCTTTTTGTGCAACTTTATTTTCTATCAAGGCCCAGGGGGTTTGCCCCTTGTCTCTCTGCCTCTTTGACCTATCCTTCCTTTGGAACCCAGGCATCTAAATGACAACTTCTATGTGCATCATTTAGAGATGAGAAGAGGAAATATCTCTCCTGCTTTCTGGTTCCTGTGGCTGCTTCTCTTTGGACTTCTGGGACCCAGTAAGTGACTTAGCAGTTAAGGAGGGAGAGGGGCATGGAGGCCACATAAGCCCTGAAGGAGATGGGGAATCCCCTGCCCAGGCATGACTCTTCTTCCAGAAACAATGATGATTCATTTTTTTTTTTTTTTTGCCCATTTCTGCAAAAGCCAGTACTGATCCCAATTCCACTGACCATGATTCTGATGCTGTCTTAGAAGCAAATCTGTATTAGTCTCCCCCAGCTGTGGTTGTGAGCACATGTGGTGGGGCGGTGGGGCGGTGCTGGGGAAATGGAGGGGGGTGAGATTTTACTTTCCTTTGTATCTTGGATAAAAGTTTTTTTTTTTAACCGGAAAACTCTAGTTCCAATAGCATTCTTAATTCCAAATTAAAACCAGGATCTCAGTCTAAAGTCAAGTAAAAATCCTTCAATCCTTCTTTGTTTTTTTTTCCATAGGTTATTTGGGTACAGGTGATATTTGGTTATGTAAGTGCTTTATTGGTGAATTGTGAGACTTTGGTGCACCCGTCACCAAGCAGTGTACACTGCACCCACCCTATCTGTAGTCTTTTATCTCTCGTGCCTCCCCCGTCCTTCCTCCCTAGTGCCCAAAGTCCATTGTATCATTCTCATGCGTTTGAGTCCTCACAGCTTAGCTCCCACCTATCAGTGAGAACATACGATGTTTGGTTTTCCATTCCTGAGTAACTTCACTTAGAATAATAGTCTACAGTCTCATCCAGGTCACTGCAAATGCCATTAATTCATTCCTTTTTATGGCTGAGTAGTATTCCATCGTATATATATGCCAGTTTCTTTATCCACCGTTGATTGATGGGCATTTGGGTTCCATGACTTTGCAATTGTGAATTGTGCTGCTATAAACATGTGTGTGCAAGTGTCTTTTTTGTATAATGACTTCTTTTCCTCTGGGTAGATACCCAGTAGTGGGATTACTGGATCAAATGGTAGATCTACTTTTAGTTCTTTAAGAAATCTCCACACTGTTTTCCATAGTGATTGTACTAGTTTACATTCCCACTAGCAGTGTAGAAGTGTTCCCTGATCACTGCATCTACGCCAACATCTACTGTTTTTTGATTTTTTGCTTCAACCCTTCTTCGGATGCTGCCTGATTCCAAATCCATGTATAATCCCCTGAGAACTTCCCTGGTAGAAACAAACCGGAGTTCGGCCACTGAGGGGTTGGCTCTGACATTGGATCAGCAATGGCTGTGAAAGGAAACAGCCCAGGGGAGAAGTGAATTGGGCTCCGTGTGACTCCAATGGGCTGTCTGAGATAGTACTGTTCACTCCAGTCTTTGATTTCTTACATCAACATATCTTCCCTAATTATGAGACACCAGGTTAATTGGCTCATCCATTCCATTGCCTTTACTGTAGGATGGCTCGTCAAGAAGTGGGAGGTGCGGTTGAAAGAGAAGGTATAGGTTGGATGATGTGGAGGATTTGGAGTGCTTCCCCCTTCTTCCTCAGTATGCATCTGTTTCCTGCACCCCACTCTGGATTCGCTCCCTCGCCCGCTTCAGCACTTCCCTCGGCGTTCTTTTTCTTCTCTTTCCCCTTGCCTTCACCCTGAATGCTTCAACTGTTCTCTACCTACCCATGCCTTCCAGATCTGCCCGTCGCCTGTCCTAATCCTGAACTCCAGTCCTATCTGTCTGATTTTAAACAAGAGTCCCCTTACCTCAGAAGAAACTGTCATTCATGTAGTCATTCAACAAACATTTATAGAGCTCCTCCTCTGGGCCAGGCACTGCTGCGTGCTAGGCCATGGTGAGGAATGGAGTGGGAAATGCCATGGTCTTGACCCCCATGGAACACTTGGTCTACTGTAAAACATAGACTTAAATAATATTTCCTAACAAAAGGGAGCAAGTGTGCAAGGGCTGAAAGGCCCCTCCTCTTTTCCTACCACTAGATCTATAAAGTAACCAACAGTGTCTCCTGTAGCCCCATTACAGTGGATTAGCAAGGACCAACTCCTCCATCTGAATGCTGGGCGCCGTCTCACCCTCCTGCCGTCTCAGGGGCTTTGCTCAGTGCATTTCTCCTTCCCCTCCCATCTCACTTTACCTTTCTTGGGTCCTTTCCATCAGCATCCAAACAAGCTCAGTTCTGTATGCACAAGTATCATCCAAGGAGACGATTAAAAACTTGGGTTTCCAGGCCCTGACACCCCACCAAGCAAGATCTTGATTCAGTAAGCTTGGTGGGATGGCGTGGGTTCTTCAGACAGTGTGATCCCAGAGGTCCCTGGACCAAACACTGAATGATGTCCATCCTAACGTCCCCGCATCACTCCTCAGCCACCACCTCTCCCTCCACTCTCCTCCTCACCCCCATTCTTTTTTTTTTTTTTGGAGATGGAGTGTGGCTCTGTCGCCCAGGCTAGAGTGCAGTGCTGCAATCTCGGCTCACTGCAACCTCTGCCTCCCAGGTTCAAGCGATTCTCCTGCCTCAGCCTCCTGAGTAGCTGGGACTACAGGCGCACACCGCCACGCCCAGCTAATTTTTTGTATTTTAGTAGAGACGGGGTTTCATTGTGTTGCCCAGGCTGGACTCGAACTCCTGAGCTCAGACAATCTACCCACCTTGGCCTCCCAAAGTGCTGGGATTACGGGTGTGAGCTACCGGGCCTGGCCCCTCACCCCCATTCTTGAAGGACTTCCCCACACTTGCTATGTCACTTCTCACCTCCCACTCACTTGTTTATTTTATTTTATTGTATTAGGTAATGGATGTAAGCAGTTCTGAAAAAGAAATACTTGTAGTCCTACAAGGCTTCTCATAAAACTTCAGCCCCTGATTCCCTTGCCCCAATTGCTTCTTATTCTGAGTCCTGCTTCCCAGGGTTCCTGTTGGCATTTACGTTCATACTGCATTTATCTATTTATTTAGAGACAAGATCTCACTCTGTCACCCAGGCGGGAATGCAGAGACACCATCATAGCTCACTGCAGCCTGGTACTCCCGGGCTCAAGGGATCCTCTCACCTCAGCTTTCCAAAGCACTGGGATTACAGGCGTGAGCCATTGCACCCGGCCATAAATTCTCTTACTACCATTACTTCTTTGTTGGTTGAGGTTTTTTGGGTTTTTTTTCCTGCTTTGGGCATGATTTATTGTCTTCCTTCTAATGAAAAGAAAGATTTAGGTTAGACCACTCCCCCTACACACTTACTGTCTCACATTGCCGCTCACAATTCTCCCCAAATGACTGTATCAAATTTTTGGTGTTAAACTAGCATTTAGTGTTTACATTATGATAACTATAAATTTTACCTCTAGTAACATTTATAACTGGGTCATATAATTGCATTGTGATGACATTATAATAAGTATAAATGACCTCTAGTAACATTTATAACTGGGTCATATAATTGCATTGTGATGACCATCCGTTCTTGTAATTTTTGTTTTTCTAGATATTAATAATAGCCTCATTTTAAAAATGTCCATAGTTTTCTTCATATATGTAATTAATTCATCCCAAAACCTCCACCAGAAGTATCCCTGTCTTTTCCAAACACATGAGGCAATCTATCAGTTTCACTTTTTTCCCTTGAGCAATCCCATTTGGAAGCCTCTGTCCAACCAGAGCAATCCCATTTAGAAGCCTCTGTCCAACCAGTACTGGTTGCTTGCTAGATCTCTTGTCCTGCAATCTGTATTCAGCAACATTCTGGAAATTCCCTTTTTTCCCTTGTAAATTCTTATCTTTTTTCTGGCTTTATTTTTCCATCTTGGAGCATCACTTTCTCTAGAAGCTTCCTGAGAGAGAGAGTTTATGGTGGGAAATTATTTTAAAACCTTATGCACTGTTAGGGTAATGCTAAGCTGCTGTAACAAGGAGATCCCGAAAGTGGCTTTGAAAAACAAGTTTATTTTTCTCCCTTGTACCAGTCCTAAGGTAAGTATTATAGGATGGTGGGAGCTCTGCTCCATGCAGTCATTCAGGGATCCTGGGTGAATATGGTTCTTCCGTCTTCAACATATGGTTTCCAGTGTCATCATCATTTCAGCCCAAGGAGAGGGAAGAAAAACAGTATTTTGTATTATTTTATGATACAGTCAGTCAAAGTGCAGCCACAAGAGGAGAGGCTTACAGGCCCTAGAGACAGGAGGCATGGCACTGCCATGCGGGACCACCTGAGAAAGACATCAAGGTAGTCAGGAGGCAGAAGACAGGAGTGAAGGAAAGATTTATGTCTTTCCTTTTATTGGGTTTCTGTGGGAAAGGCAAGGAAAGGCAGGGTGAACAGTTTAGGATTGGCTGGTTTGAATAATTCCTGTGTTCTTTGAGCTATATGGCTGATTACCACCTAGTTGCCTAGTACTTGACTTTGGAATGACTAAGGCAGATAAATATTGTTTCCTGGAGTATATGGGCCAGATAGAGGAGCTATGGCTCTGGAATGGTTAGTCTGCATATCAGCTCATGCTCCTGGCTGGACCCTTTGCTACTTTTAAGAATTGGCTAGCCCTGGAAGGTCCTGTCTCTCCCTAGCTAGAAAAGTTTGTTAAGATGTCAAAACATGATAATATACAGAAATTAAAAATATATATACAAGCAGAAATCAAGGAATAGGTATTTACTCTTAAAGAAATGAAGTGGAAATTAATATGTATTCCTTCCCTTCAGGGGCCTCTGACTAGGGCTTAGACATGTAGCCCTACCTAGCTACAAGAGAGGTTGACAAATGTAACTTAGCCATGTGCCCAGGAAGAAGAGAAAAATGGGCCCAGCTGTCCATAGACCTTATACGTCTGAAAATGTCTTATTCCACCCTCACATTTGACTCATAGTTTAGCTGGTTATAGAATTCTAGGATGGATATGATTTTTCTCAGGATTTTAAAGGCGTTGATCCACTATTCCTAGATTCTAGATTGTGAAGTCTGATATTTAGATTACTGACCTCTTGTAAAAGACCCATTCTTTTTATTCTGGAGGATTTCAGATTTTTAAAACTACTGTTCTAAAATCTCATGATATGGTGTCATAGTATGGATTCTTTCATTGTGTTAGGAATTTGCACAGTAGAAAGTTGTATCAGTCAGTTCTGGGAAATTTTATTGCATTTTTTTCTTTGATAATTGCCTCTCGTCCATTTTCTCTGTTCTGTCTTTCTGAAAAAATCTTATAATTTGGATGTTTGACCTCCTGGGCTGACACTCTAATTTTCTTATATTTCTTCTTCTGTCTTCCAACTCTGTCGTTTTATTTTTCTTCTGGGGAGATTTCCTCAGCTTCTAAAGTCTTCAAATCCTTCTAGTGAATTTTGAGGTTTTTTTTTTTCAAAGAGATCTTTTTTTTCTCTACAACCATTTTTAAGATGGCATCTCTTACTTTTTTTTTTTTTGTGGGTGCTATACTTTCTCTTATATTGCTGAGGACATTTGAAGTTGGTTTTGCTGTTTGCATTGTCTCAGTTCTCTCTGGCTTTGCTTCATAGGGATATTTGTTTTGGTCTCTATATTTCAAGCTAGAGATTTTTCTCAAATATCTGGTAATCCCAGAATGTCCTTTGCATTTGAGTGAGGCACTAATATGATGCCTGGAAGCTCTGTGAGCAGGGGTAGGGCCTGTCAACTGGTGGACTTAGCTTTAGGGTAATTTAGCAGAGACGTGGCAGTTTAGATTGGGAAGATCCTCAAAATGTCAGTATCTAGTGTTGGCTAATTTCTTTCCACAAGAAGAATTCTCCAGATCCTGTCTAGAGCATACTAGCATAGCTGCTGAAGTGCTGGAAGCTGAGCAAGGGAATAGGTAATGTGGGTTTTACATTTCAGGGTGTAAGCATTTCCTTAATTGCATAGTTTCAGTAAAACCTTTTGAGAGGTGACAGGGTGCTGGCAGCCCTCGCTCAGTCTCGGAGCCTCCTCGGCCTCGCCACCCATTCTGGCTGCGCTTGAGGGGCCCTTCAGCCCCCCGCTGCACTGTGGGAGACCCTCTCTGGGCTGGCCGAGGCCGGAGCCAGCTCCCTCAGCTTTCAGGGAGGTGTGGAGGGAGAGGCACGGGCGGGAACCCGGGCTGCCTGCGGCACTTGCGGGCCAGCACTAGTTCCAGGTGGGCGTGGCCTCGGGGGGCCCCACACTCTGAGCCTCGGGCTGGCGTGGCCAGCACAGCTGGCCCCAGGCAGTGAGGAACTTAGCACCCGGGCCAGCAGCTGCGGAGGGTGCGCCAGGTTCCCCAGCAGTGCCAGCGGGTGCTGCGCTCCAATTCTCGCCGGACCTCAGCTGCCTCCCTGAGGGGCACGGCTTGGGACCTGCAGCCCGCCATGCCTGAGCCTCCCCCACGCCGCCATGGGCTCCTGTGCAGCCAGAACCTCCCAGACGAGCGCTGCCCCTTGCTTTGCGGCACCCGGTCCCATAGACTGCCCAAGGGCTGAGGAGTACTGGCGCACGGCGTGGGACTGACGGGCAGCTCCATCTGCGGCCCAGGTGCGGGATCCACTAGGTGAGGCCAGCTGGGCTCCTGAGTGTAGTGGGGACTTGGAGAACCTTTATGTCTAGCTAAGGGATTGTAAATACACCAATCAGCACTCTGTGTCTAGCTCAAGGTTTGCAAATGCACCAATCAGCACCCTGTGTCTAGCTAATCTGGTGGGGACTCGGAGAATCTTTATGTCTAGCTAAGGGATTGTAAATACACCAATCAGCACTCTGTGTCTAGCTCAAGGTTTGTAAACACACCAGTAAGCACCCTGTGTCTAGCTAATCTGGTGGGGACTTGGAGAATCTTTATGTCTAGCTAAGGGATTGTAAATACACCAATCAGCACCCTGTGTCTCGCTCAAGGTTTGTAAACATACCAATCAGCACCCTGTGTATAGCTCAAGGTTTGTAAATGCACCAATCAGTGCTCTGTGGGGACTTGGAGAACTTTTGTGTCTAGCTCAGGGATTGTAAACACACCAATCAGCACCTTGTCAAAACAGACCAATCAGCTCTCTGTAAAACCAATCGGCGCTCTGTAAAATGGACCAATCAGTAGGATGTGGGTGCCACCAGATAAGGGAATAAAAGCAGGCTGCCCTGAGCCAGCAGTGGCAATCCGCTTGGGTACTCTTCTATAGTGTGGAAACTTTGTTCTTTCACTCTTTGTGATAAATATTGCTGCTGCTCACTCTTTGAGTCCACACTGCGTTTATGAGTTGTAACACTCACTGCGAAAATCTGCAGTTTCACTCCTGAGGCCAGTGAGATCACGAACCCACCAGAAGAAACGCCGAACACATCTGAACATCAGAAGGAACAAACTCAGAACACACCACTTGTAAGAACTGTGACACTCACGGCGAGAGTCCACGGCTTCATTGTTGAAGTCAGACCAAGAACCCACCAATTCTGGATACACTTTCACTCCTGCCTTCAGCAGTGCCTGGGATTACTGATCTAGAGTTTCTTTGGTTTCAGTATCTCCAGAGATAAAACCCTAAGCTGTTAAAAGGAAGAGAGGTGTATTCATCCAAGTGCTTGAGTGGAAGGAGTGATCTGGAGCTGAGAGACAGTTCCTAGCTACATTGTATTTCAACTATCCTTCCTGTATTTAGTCACATGCCACACCCAAATCTTTAGAGGAACCCAGTTGCAATTCCCGAATCTTTCCAGGATTCCACAGAATTAATAATCTACCAGTAGTTGACTTACTCTCACCCCCAATGGAGGCCTGTATGTTGAAGCTTTCTCTGTTGTGTTGGAGAGTTACCACTCATCTGCCTATTACCTTCAAAAAAACAAAAATATCTTCTCTGCTGTTATCTCTCCATCGTTTGTCCTTGTGGAGGTATGTGTTTTGTTATTTCTCTACTTTTTATTCTTCTATGAAATCCGTAAGCCTCCATATATACTTATTCTTTTATTCATTCCAATTGGGGTCTACCCCATCATGCAAATCTGTTTTCAATAAACTAAACTCACTTCCATATTGTCTCTGAATCCAATGGACATGGCCCAGGCCATATCTTACTTGATCTCTCTGCAAAAATCAATTCAGTTAACTGCCATATTTTTCTAGAGCCTCTCTATTCTCTTGACTTCCTTGATTCACTTTTTAGAGTTTTCTTTCTGCCTTAGTGGATGCTCCTTCTCAGTCTCATTCATTTGCGTCTCCTCCTCTATCTGAGTGATGCAGTGGCCAGAGCTTGGTCCAGCGCCCTATTCTCCAACATACTCTCCCAGACAAGCGATCTCAGTCAGCTTCATGGCTTTAAATACAATGTATATTTAAATGACTTCCAGTTTCACGTCTTTTGATCTGATTTCTCCTCTAAGAACTAAGTGCAGGTTTCCAACTGCCAACAGTCTCCTGGATATCTAATGGGCACAAAAAGTTCAAAGTCTAATATTTCCAACTTCCACTTCATCCCTATTCATTCAGATAAATAGAACTAATTTCCAACTCTGCGTAAGCCCCAAAGCTAGAAGTTGTTCTTGACTTCTTTTCGTGTCATCCACCACATGCAGCCTTTCAACACTTCCTATTGGTTCTACTTTTCTAATTTCAAAACATAGCTTGTATTCATCCACTGAAAGGTATCTCCCCTGCTACCATCCTAGTTCAAGCAATAATTACTGCTCTTAATTTTTTCACTCTTGCCCTCCTACATGCCCGTTTTCACACAGCATCTTTTAAAAACATAAATCAATTTTGTTTTCTACTTTCTCTTCCCTTCCTGAATGATTAAGCCCCAGATCATTAGGTGAGGCAGAGCAAAGCAGATATCAGGGTTGGACAGGAGGGGAGACAGCAGTGGCCCAGAGAAGGATATAAGAAACTGAACTGGGCCGGGTGCGGTGGCTCACGCCTGTAATCCTAGCACTTTGGGAGGCTGAGGTGGGCAGATCACCTGAGGTCAGGAGTTCGAGGGCAGCCTGGCCAACATGGCAAAACTCTGTTTCTACTAGAAATACAAAAATTAGCTGGGTGTGGTAGCGCATGTCTGTATTTCCAGCTACTCAGGAGGCTGAGGCAGGAGAATCCCTTGAACCCGGGAGGTGGAAGTTGCAATGAGCTGAGATAGCACCACTGCACTCCAGCCTGGGTGACAGAGCAAGAAACTAAATTGGATGAAGTGGACTTCTCCACAGAGTGGCAGCCTGGCATGTTTTGTCAGAATCTTGTGAGGGTGAGAGGGAGTATGGGGTGGAGGGAGTATGGGCTGAAAATGAATGAATAGAATACCAGTGATTTTGTGAGACAATGTTTTGTCTGCAATATGTATTATTGAAGTTCCAGAAAAAAAGGGAACCGAAAACATGTTTAAAGAAATAGTAGCTGAAAAAATTAAATTTGATGAAAACTATAAACTCACAGATCCCAAGAACTCAACAAATATCAAGCAAAATAAACTTTAAAAAATCATACCAAAGTACAACGTAATCAAATAACTAAAAATCAGTGATAAAAGGGAAATCCTAGAACGAGCTAGAAAAGACACATTGTATAGAGAGGAGCAAAGACAAGCATAACAGACTTCCTGTGAAAAACCATGACAACCAGAAGATAAAGAAGCAACATCATTAAAATACTGAAAGAAAAAAATACTTTATCAACCTAGAATTACACGGAGTAAGAATATTTTCAATATGAAGATGAAATGAAGGCTTTTCTAGACAAGCAAAAACTGGAAGACCTTGCCTCCTGGAAATTGACTTTTTTTTTTTTTTTTTTTTGATACGGAGTTTCGCTCTTGTTGCCCCAGGCTGGAGCGTAATGGCACGATCTTGGCTCACTGCAACCTCTGCCTCCCGGTGAGAGGTGACAGCGTGCTGGCAGTCCTCAGAGCCCTCGCTTGCTCTCAGCACCTCCTCTGCCTGGGCTCCCACTTTGGCGGCACTTGAGGAGCCCTTCAGCCCACCGCTGCACTGTGGGAGTCCCTTTCTGGGCTGGCCGAGGCCAGAGCCGGCTCCCTCAGCTTGCAGGGAGGTGTGGAGGGAGAGGTGCGAGCAGGAACCGGGACTGTGCGCGGCGCTTGCGGGCCAGCTGCAGTTCCAGGTAGGCGTGGGCTTGGCGGCCCCGCACTCGAAGCAGCCAGCGGGCCCTGCAGGCCCCGGGCAGTGAGGGGCTTAGCACCCGGGCCAGTGGCTGCGGAGGGTGTACTAGGTCCCCCAGCAGTGCCGGCCCACTGGCGCTGCACTGGATTTCTCACTGGGCCTTAGCTGCCTTCCCATGGGGCAGGGCTGGGGACCTGCAGCCCGCCATGCCTGAGCCTCCCACCCCCTCCATGGGCTTCTGTGCGGCCGGAGCCTCCCCGATGAGCACCGCCCCCTGCTCCAGGGCGCCCAGTCCCACCGACCGCCCACGGGCTGAGGACTGTGAGCGCATGGCGTAGGACTGGCAGGCAGCTCCACCTGCGGCCCCGGGGCGGGATCCACTGGGTGAAGCCAGCTGGGCTCCTGAGTCTGGTGAGGACGTGGAGAGTCTTTATGTCTAGCTTAGGGATTGTAAATACACCAATCAGCACCCTGTGTGTAGCTCAGGATTTGTGAGTACACCAATGGACACTCTGTATCTAGCTGCTCTGGTAGGGCCTTGGAGAACCTTTATGTCTAGCTCAGGGATTGTAAATACACCAATCGGCACTCTGTATCTAGCTCAAGGTTTGTAAACACACCAATCAGCACCCTGTGTCTAGCTCAGGGATTGTAAATACACCAATCGGCACTCTGTATCTAGCTCAAGGTTTGTAAACACACCAATCAGCACCCTGTGTCTAGCTCAGGGTTTGTGAGTGCACCAATCAACACTCTGTATCTAGCTGCTCTCGTGGGGCCTTGGAGAACCTTTATGTCTAGCTCAGGGATTGTAAATACACCAATCGGCACTCTGTATCTAGCTCAAGGTTTGTAAACACACCAATCAGCACCCTGTGTTTAGCTCAAAGTTTGTGAGTGCACCAATCGACACTCTGTATCTAGCTGCTCTGGAGGGGCCTTGGAGGACCTCTGTGTCCATATTCTGTATCTAACTAATCTGATGGGGACGTGGAGAACCTTTGTATGTAGCTCAGGGATTGTAAACGCACCAATCAGCACCCTGTCAAAACAGACCACTCGGCTCTACCAATCAGCAGGATGTGGGTGGGGCCAGATAAGAGAATAAAAGCAGGCTGCCCGAGCCAGCAGTGGCAACCTGCTTGGGTCGTTTTCCACACTGTGGAAACTTTGTTCTTTTGCTCTTTGCAATAGATTTTGCTACTGCTCACTTTTTGGGTCTACACTGTTTTTATGATCTGTAACACTCACCGTAAAGGTCTGCAGCTTCACTCCTGAAGCCAGCGAGCCCACGAGCCCACTGAGAGGAAGGAACAATTCCACACGCATGGCCTTAAGAGTTGCTAACACTCACTGTGAAGGTTTGCAGCTTCACTCATGAGCCAGCGAGAGCACAAACCCACCAGAAGGAAGAAACTCCGAACACATCTGAACATCAGAAGGAGCAAACTCCAGACATGCCACCTTAAGAGCTGTAACACTCACTGTGAGGGTCTGTGGCTTCATTCTTGAAGTCAGTGAGACCAAGAACCCACCAATTCCAGACACACTGGGTTCAAGCGATTTTCCTGCCTCAGCCTCTCGAGTAGCTGGGATTACAGGCATGTAATTAGCCACACCATGCCTGGCTAATTTTGTATTTTTAGTACAGATGGGGGTTCTCAATTTTGGTTAGGCTGGTATCGAACTCCTGGTGATCTGCCTGCCTCTGCTTCCCAAAATGCTGGGATTACAGGCGTGAATCGACAGGCAAGACTGACATTTTTTTTTAAATGTAAAAGTTCTTCAGGAAGAAAAAATTTAGATCTATGCAAAAAAGAATGAAGTGTACTGGAAATGATAAATATATGGGTAAAAATAAAATTTTTTTCATTTAAATTTTAAAAGATAATATACTTGAGTAATAATGAATTATGAGGCTTATATGTAGACATAAAATGTATGACAACAGTGGTACAAGGGATAGAAAAAGGAAATGGAAGTGTACTGTGTTGAGACTCTCATGCCTTTACAGGAAGAGGAATGAGCTCACTGGGAGGTAGACAGTGATAAAGGTGTATATCGTAAATCCTAGAGCAAAGGCACACAAATAAGAATGATATTTAATAAGCTAATGGTGGAAATAAAATGGGGTCAAAAATGACTCAGGTCATGGTGCAGCGGTTTATGCCTGTAATCCTAGCCCTTTGGGAGGCTGAGGCAGGTGGATCACTTGAGGCCAGGAGTTAGAGACCAGCCTGGGCAACGTGGTGAAACCCTGTCTCTACTAAAAATACAAAAATTAGCTGGGCGTGGTGGCGCATGCCTGTGGTTCCAGCTACTCAGGAGGCCGAGGCAGGAGAATCACTTGAACCTGGGAAGTGGAATTGGCAGTGAGCTGAGATCCCATCACTGCACTCCAGCCTGAGTGACAGATCAAGACGCTCAAAAAACAAAACAAAACAAAAAACAAAATACTGGGTTAATTAAAAAAAAAAAGCGAAAAATGGAGGAAAAGGTAAGAAGATCAGACGAGAAAAATAGAAAACAAATATGAAGACTATTAAATTCAGGGCCAGCTACAGTGGTTCACACTTGTAATTCCAGCACTTTTTGGGGCTGAGGCAGGAAGATTACTTGAGCCCAGGAGTTCGAGACAAGCCCAGGCAACATAGGGAGACCCCATCTTTACAAGAAATAAAAATTAAAAAGTAATTAGCCAGGCATCATGACTCGTGCCTGTGATCCTAGATAGTTCGGAGGCTGAGGCAGGAGGATTTCTTGAGCTTAGAAAGTCAAGGCTGCAGTCAGCCGTGATTGTGCCACTGCATTATAGCCTGAGTGACAGAGCAAGACTCTGTCTCTAAAAAAGAATCAGACCCAACGTATTTATAATTACATTAAATGTATATGGTCCAGACACCACAATTAAAAGGCAGAGATTGACACATTGGTTAAAAAAGAAAGCCCCAAATAAATAATATTCAACCAAGAAATACATTTTAACTAACTATAACTACAAATAGGGTAAACAATAGGATAAAAATAAGAGGAAGAAAGATACGGCCATACTGTATGTTAGCCATGCTAACATCAATTTAGAAAAAAATTGAGTGACTATTTCAAAATCAGACAAAATAGGCTTAAGAAGAGGTATATTATTAGGGATAAAGAGAGACATTTCATAATTATAATCACAACACAATATTTACTAACTACAAAGGGAGAAAAACCAGCCTGGATACACCTTCTTAATCAAGTAATCCAAGAGAACATCATCAATGATGGGACACATTGATATTATCTGTCACCTGATAGTATGCAAAGAGAAGAATACAGCATCACTTCAGTGGTTTTCCTGGCAAAGATTAATAACATGAGCCTAATCATGATGAAACATTACAAAAACTCAGTTTAAGGAAAATTCTATAAAATAATTGACCTGTAATCTTCAAAGGTTAAAAGTTATGAAGATCAAAGGAAGACTGAAGAACTGCACCAGACTGAAGAAGACTAAAGAGACAGAACAACGAAAAACAACACACGATTCTGAATTGAACTGGTTTACTATTAAAGACATTATTAGAACAACTAACAAAACTTGAAAGGGATCTAAGGATCAGGTGGCAGCAATATATTCATGTGAATTTCTTGATCTTGATGGCTGTATTATGGTTGCGTATGAGAATATATAAAGTATTGAAGGATAATGAGACATCAGGTTACCAAGTAACTCCCAAATGATTCAGGGAAAAGGGTTCTTTGTGTTATACTTGTTACAAAAGAATTTGTGATTTTTTTTTCAAAATAAAAACAAAGAGAAATTAACCAGAGTATGTTATTCCAGTGGGTCTTCATTGTATTTGAGATGAAATTTAACCTTTCTACCATGGTATTTTGCTAAACTCTGAGTATACCCCTGTCAGCAAAAGAAATGTGGGCTTATGTTCTTGTAAAGAAGAGTTTAGAATATAAAGAATGTAAATACACCTTTGGGTTATGTGTTGTTAAAAAGGCAGGGGTCCTGCTTCAGAGATTATGGTTAGAAAAGGTCTCTCTACCGCCTCGTTTTCTCCTTCAGTAACTACATTCCAGCCACCCTGGTCTCCTATTTATTCATGAATCACATCGAGCTCATTAACAACTCAGGGTATTTGTACTTATGCTATCAATCTGTGATGTCCTTCTCCTGGCCTTTCAAATTGCTGCCTTCTTTTTTTTTTTTTTTTTTAAGATGGAGTTTTGCCCTTGTTGGCCAGGCTGGAGTGCAGTGGTGCAATCTTGGCTCACCGCAACCTCCGCCTTCCGGTTCAAGTGATTCTCCTGCCTCAGCCTCCTGAATAGCTGGGATTATAGGCATGCGCCACCATGCCTGGCTAATTTTGTATTTTTAGTAGAGATGGGGTTTCTCCATATTGGTCAGGCTGGTCTTGAACTCCCGGCCTCAGGTGATCCGCCTGGGATTACAGGCTTGAGCCACTGCGCCCAGCCCAAATGGCTGCCTTCTTATCCTTCAGATCTCAGTTCATATGTCAGTTCCTCAGAGAGACCTTTTCTGACTCCAGTATCTAAAGCAGCACCACTGCTTTCTTTAACAGCACTTAAGCCAATGTGTATTTATATTTTATGTTGTAGCTCTCTTCTTTACTAAATTATAAGCCCATATCCCTTTTGCTGACAGGAGTATGCCCAGAGTTTAGTAAAATACCAGGTACATGTTAAGCCCTCAATAACTGAATAAATAAATGAATAAGAAGTACTGAGTATATGTGAAAGTAACACTATACTAAACCTGCAAATTCATCTTTAACCCATTCCCACCACCTTATTTGTTCTCCACCTCAGGCTCTGAGAATACCACAGCCTTCACAAAAGGCTCTGACACCACCACAGCCTCCATCACAGGCTCTGAGACCACCATGGCCTCCACCATGGCCTCTACTACGGCCTTAACTACAGGCTCTAAGATCACCACAGACTCTACCACAGGCTCTGAGACAACCTCAGCCTCCACCATGGCTTCTACTGCAGCCTTCACCACAGGCTCTGAGACCAACACGGCCTCTACCACAGACTCAGGGACTACTATAGCCTCCACTGGGACCTTCACCACAGGCTCTGACACAACCACAGGCTCCACTGCAGGCTCTGAAACTATCGTGGCCTCCACCACAGTCTCTGGGACCACAACAACCTTTACTATAGCCTCCACTACAGTCCCTGAGACTACCATGGCCTCCAGCACAACCTCCACTGCAGGCTCTGAGAAAACGATGGCCTCCTCCATAATTTCTGAGACCACCATGGCCTCCACCACAGGCTCTGAGACTGCCACAGTCTCTACCACAGGCTCTGAGACCACCACCACCTCCACTGCAAGCTCTGAGGCCACTAAAGTCTCTACCACAGGCTCTGAAACCACCACAGCATCTACTGCAGGTTCTGAGACCACCACTACCTCCACCTCCATGGCAGGCTCTGAGGCCACCACAACCTCAACTGCAGACTCCAAGGTGATCACGGCGTCCAGCATGAGCTCTGAGACCACTGTGGCCCCCGCTGCAGGCTCTAACACCACCACAGCCTCTACCACAGGCTCTGAGACCACTACAATCCTGATTAAAGCCTCTGAGACCACCACAGCCTCTACAGCAGGTTCTGAGACCACCACCCCCTCCCCCACAGGCTCTCAGACCACCATAGTCTCTATTTCAGGTTCTGAGATCACCACCACCTCTACGGCAGGATCCGAGAACACCACAGTCTCTAGTGCAGGCTCTGGGACCACCACAGCTTCTATGGCAGGCTCTGAGACCACCGTCTCCACTGCAGGCTCTGAGACCACTACAGTCTCTATCACAGGCACTGAGACCACCATGGTCTCTGCCATGGGCTCAGAGACCACCACAAACTCTACTACAAGCTCTGAGACCACCGTCACCTCTACTGCAGGCTCTGAGACCACCACAGTCTCCACCGTGGGCTCTGAGACCACCACAGCCTATACTGCAGATTCTGAGACCACTGCAGCCTCTACCACAGGCTCTGAGATGACCACAGTCTTCACTGCAGGCTCGGAAACCATCACACCCTCTACTGCAGGCTCAGAGACCACCACAGTCTCTACTGCAGGCTCTGAGACCACTACAGTCTCCACCACAGGCTCTGAGACCACAACAGCCTCTACTGCACATTCTGAGACGACTGCAGCCTCCACCATGGGCTCTGAGACCACCAAAGTCTCAACTGCAGGCTCTGAGACCACAGTCTCCACTGCAGGCTCTGAGACCACTGCAGCCTCTACTGAAGATTCTGAAACCAACACAGCATTTACTGAAGATTCTAAGACTACCACAGCCTCTACTACAGGGTTTGAGACAACCGCAGCCTCTACTACAGGCTCTGAGCCTACCATGGCATCCACCATGGGCTCTGAGACCACTATGGCCTCTACCATAGGCCCTGAGACCACCAAGGTCTCCACTGCAAGCTCTGAGGTGACCACAGTCTTTGCTGCAGGCTCTGAGACAATCAGAGCCTCTACCGTAGGCTCTGAGACCACCACAGTCTCTACCACAGGCTCTGAGACCACCACAGCCTCCATCATGGGCTCTGAGACCAGCACAGATTCTACCACAGGCTCTGAGACCACCACAGCCTCTACTGAAGGCTCTGAGACCACCACAGCTTCCACTGAAGGCTCTGAGGCCACTACAGTCTCCACCACAGGCTCTGAGACCACTACAGTTTCTATCACAGACTCAGAGACCACCACCACCTGTACTGAAGGCTCTGAGATGACTGCAGTCTCCACCACAGTCTTTGAGACCACTACAGCCTCTACTGAAGGCTCTGAGATCACAATAGCCTCTACTTCAGACTCTGAGACCACCACAGCTTCTACTGAAGGTTCTGAGACCACTACAGTCACTACCGCAGGCTCTGAGACCAAAACAGCCTATACTACAGGCTCTGAGACCACCACAGCCTCTAATACAGGCTTGGAGACCACCACAGTCTTTACCATAGGCTCTGACACCACCACAGCCTCTACTGAAGGCTCTGAGACCACTGCAGTCTCTGCCACAGGCTCTGAGATGACCACAGTCTCTACTGAAGGCTCTGAGAACACTACAGTCTCCACCACAGGCTCTGAGACCACTACAGTTTCCACCACAGGCTTGGAGACCACCACCACTTCCACTGAAGGCTCTGAGATGACTACAGTCTCCACCACAGGTGCTGAGACCACCACAGACTCTACTGAAGGCTCTGGGACCACTGCAGCCTCCACTGCAGGCTCTGAGACCACCACAGTCTCTACTGCAGATTCTGAGAACACCACAGCATCTACTGCAGATTCTGAGACCACCTCAGCCTCTACTACAGGCTCTGAGACCACCACAGCCTCTACTACAAGCTCTGAGACCACCACAGCCTCTACTGAAGGCTCTGAGACCACTACAGTCTCCACCACAGACTCTGAGACCACCATGGTCTCTACCACAGGCTCTGAGAGGACCATCACCTCTACTGAAGGCTCTGAGACCACTACAGTATCTGCCACAGGCTCTGAGACCACAGTCTCTACTGAAGGCTCTGGGACCACTACAGTCTCCATCACAGGCTCTGAGACCACTAAAGTTTCTACCACAGGTTCAGAGACCACCACCACTTCTACTGAAGGCTCTGAGATTACTACAGCCTCCATCACAGGCTCTGAGACCACCACAGCCTCTACTGAAGGCTCCGAGACCACCACAGCCTCTACTGAAGGCTCCGAGACCACCTCAGCCTCTACTACAGGCTCTGAGACCACCACAGCCTCTACTACAAGCTCTGAGACCACCATGGCATCCATCATGGGCTCTGAGACCACTATGGCCTCTACCATAGGCTCTGAGACCACCAAGGTCTCCACTGCAAGCTCTAAAATGACCACAGTCTTCACTGAAAACTCTGAGACCACCATAGCCTCTACCACAGCCTCTGAGACCACCACAGTCTCCACTGCAGGCTCTGAGACCATCCCAGCCTCTACAGCAGGCTCTGAGACCACCACCACCACCTCTACTGAAGGCTCTGAGACCACTACAGCCTCTACTGAAGGCTCTGAGACCACCACAGCCTCTACTGAAAGCTCTGAGACCACTACAGCCACTACCATAGGCTCTGAGACCACCACAGCCTCTACTGAAGGCTCTGAGACTACCACCACCTCTACTGAAGGCTCTGAGACCACCACAGCCTCTACTGAAGGCTCTGAGATCACTACAGTTTCTACCACAGGCTCTGAGACCACCACAGCCTCTACTGAAGGCTCTGAGACCACCACAGCCTCTACTGAAGGCTCTGAGCTCACTACAGTTTCTACCACAGGCTCTGAGACCATCACAGTCTCTGCTGAAGGCTCTGAGACCACTACAGTCACTACTATGGGCTCTGAGACCACCACGGCCTCTACTGCAGGCTCAGAGACCACCACAGTCTCTACTGCAGGCTCTGAGACCACCACAGCCTCTATTGAAGGCTCTGAGACCACTACAGTCTCCTCCACAGGCTCTGAGACCACCACAGTCTCTACCACAGGCACTGAGACTACCATCACCTCTACTGAAGGTTCAGAGACCACTACAGTCACTACTGCAGGTTCTGAGACCACAGCAGTCTATACCACAGGCTCTGAGACTACCACCACCTCTACTGAAGGCTCTGAGACAACCACAGTCTCTACCACGGGCTCTGAGACCACCACAGCCTCTACCGCAGATTTGGAGACCACCACAGTCTCCACCTCAGGCTCTGGGACCACCACAGCCTCTACCGCAGGCTCTGAGACCACAACAGTCTATATCACAGGCTCTAAGACTACCACCGCCTCTACTGAAGGCTCTGAGGCCACTACAGTTTCTACCACTAGCTCTGAGACCACCACAGCCTCTACCACAGGCTCTGAGATGACTACAGTCTTTACCACAGTCTCTGAGACCACCACAGTCTCTACCATAGGCTCTGAGGCCACCACATCCTCTGCTGCAGGCTCTGAGGCCACCACCACCTCTACTGAAGGCTCTGAGACCACCACAGCCTCCACTGCAGGCTCTGAGACCACCACAGCCTCCACTGCAGGCTCTGAGACCACCACAGCCTCCACTTCAGGCTCTGAGACCAACACAGCCTGTACCACAGGTTCTGAGACCTCCACACCCTCCAGTGCAGGCTCTGAGACCAACACTGCCTTCATCATAGGCTCTGAGAGCACCATAGCTTCCACTGCAAGCTTGGAGCCCACTGCAACTTCCCTCACAGGCTCTGAGACCACCACAGTCTCTATCACAGCTTCTGGGGCCACTGCAGCCTCCACCACTGTCTCTTCCACCACGTTTGTACTCACCAAGGCCACTGACGTTTCTATCCAGCCCATCACCAACACACCTATGTCAGGTACTAACCCCCATGTCTTCTTTGAGCCCACACATTTTAACTCCAGTGGCAACCACCAGCTGTTCACCTGTTTCTATCATCTCTGCCCTGGTTCAAGTCAAGCCAGCACACAGTTAGATATAATTTCCTCTTCTAGGCTGGGCGCGGTGGCTCATGCCTGTAATCCCAGCACATTGGAAGGCTGAGGCGAGCGAATCACGAGATCAGGAGATTGAGACCATCCTGGCTAACACGGTGAAATCCAGTCTCTACTAAAAATACAAAAAATTAGCTGGGCGTGGTGGCGGGCACCTGTAGTCCCAGCTACTCGGAAGGCTGAGGCAGGAGAATGATGTGAATCCGGGAGGTGGAGCTTGCAGTGAGCAGAGATCGCGCCATTGCATTCCAGCCTGGGCGACAGAGCGAGACTCCGTCTCAAAAAAAAAAAAAAAAAATGTCCTCTTCTGGAATCCTAATTGCCTCTACTCTGGTCTCACCTCTTTTTTTTTAAGTGCCCACCACTTCCATTGCAATCAGAACCACAATATAGTAAACCACAAGTGCATCATATCTGTCACATCTTCCTCCAGCAAGCCCGCCTCAACTCTACTGGCCCATCACAGTTTTGTGAAATGCTCCCACTTCGGTGCCAAGTAGATTATCTCTATTCAACCAACCATCTGTGACACTGCCACCTCCTATCAATGTATTGACTCTAGACCAGAGGCTGGCAGACCACATTTCATGGGTCAAGTCTCACCTGTTACCTGGTTTTGTAAAGTTTTACTGGAACATAGTCATGCCCATTCATTTATGGTTTGTCTCCAGCTGCTTTTCTGCTTTTCCGTGTATTTGCAACAGAGACAGCCTGGCCCAAAAGCCTAAATTATTTGCTGTTTGGACCTTTACAGAAAAAATTTGGCAACCTTTGCTCCAGTCTGAGACCAAACAATTTTGTTCATTCTCTGGCACTTGCCATCAGCAAGCCGGTTACATCTGATTCTATCCTCTTGGTTCTAAGCATACTCACTTCTATTCTCATGACTGGTGCTGTTTGTGATCCCATTTTAACCACTTCTGACCTAGGCACACCCATCGCTACCTAAGCCGCCACCACCGCCTCTGCTGTGTTGATTCGTGCTCACACCTGTCTGAGCCCACCCTCTCCTATCCCTGTGAGCAGCCTTCTCCACTTGGGTCAGGTCCTCCTACATCTGCCCAAGCACACTCACCTCACCTTTGCTGATCACCACAGTGTGGTAGATGATGTCACCTCTGTCCCAGCCACGGCCACTGGCATGCCCATGAGTGAATCCAATTCTACCATCTCCTCCTCCAGCTCCCTCCTTACACCCAGTGATCACAGTCACAAAAGAAGCAGGGCCTGCCGCTTTGTATACCAGCCCACCCACTTATTTGATCTGCTTTGATTTATTTATTTTCAATTTTTTCCATAAGTTATTGGGATGCAGGTGGTATTTGGTTATATGAATAAGTTCTTTAGTGGTGATTTGTGAGATTTTGGTGCACCCATCACCCTAGTAGTATACACTGCACCATATTTGAAGTCTTTTATCCCTCGCCCCCTCCCACTCTTCCCCCAAAGTCCCCAAAGTCCATTGCATCATTCTTATGTCTTCGTATTTCCATAGCTTAGCTCCCACATATCAGTGAGAACATACGATGTTCGGTTTTCCATTCCTGAGTTACTTCACTTAGAAGAATAGTCTAAAATCTCATCCAGGTCACTGCAAATGCTGTTAATTCATTCATTTTTATCAGCCCACCCTCTTCTATTTGGGTGGCCACTTCTGAAGTCAAATAGATCTTCCACTTCTGAACCCATCGCGATAACGTTTCCTCAAACTTCTGCCTCCTCCATCACCAACTCCACCAGGTGACACATTCTACCTCCTTCTCTGTATGACACCCACCTGCATTCTGGGGACATGGCCACAGCAGAATCGCTTTCTACCATCTCTCCTCCCCCACCACACCTCTCCTGAGCCACCTCCACCATAGGTTTGTTAGATTCACCCTCCTCTGGTCTAAGCACCCCCATTCCCCTTTAATCATCTCTGCTACAAATGCATCATCTTGTGTGACCTGTTTCATAGGCACCAGAACCACTGGAACCAGACTCACTGCCTCCAGCTCTGTCACCATGGCCCCTGGAATGGACTTCACGGCCTCTGCTGCCAGCCATACTGTGCCAGGAATAGTCTTAAACACCTCTGGCCTGGGTACATCCACTATGGGAGCATCATCTACCACCTCAGCCCACGGCGTCAGGACCACCACAGGATCCACCCGTGAGCCAACCAGCAGCACCTTCCAGGAAACAGGCCCGGTGTCCATGGGCACAAACACAGTTAGCATGAGCCACACACCCACAAACGTGATCAAACCAAGTGGATATTTACAGCCCTGGGCTATCATCCTCATTTCCCTGGCTGCAGTTGTGGCTGCTGTTGGATTGTCAGTAGGACTGAGTTTTTGTCTGGTGAGTACCCAGGGTGGGTTCATAGGGGAGCCTGGCAAGAAGGCAGGGGGGAATCATGTCAGCAGTGCTTTGGAAAAATCCAGAATGAGAAAGGGGAGTAAGTTGGTGCGCTCAGAAGGAAAGAATCACCTAGCCTGATATAAGGACCAGAGAGAATGCTTAAGTCAGAGAAAGTGAGAAGCAAAGTAGAAAAAGAGGAGGGAAAAGATGGAGTTGGGGCCAAAGTGAAGGGAAATACTGACAGAACAAGGGAAATACTGAGAGAGAACAAGGAGGACATAAACATAAAGAAAGCAAGAAGCAGCTGGGCGCAGTGGCTCACCCCTGTAATTCCAGCACTTTGGAAGGCCAAGGAGGGCGGATCACTTGAGTCCAGGCATTTGAGACCAGCCTGGCCAACATGGTGAAACTTGTCTTTACTAAAAATACAAAAATTAGTCGAGAGTGGTAGCATGGACCTGTAGTCCCAGCTACTTTGGAGGCTGAGGCACGAGAATTGCTTGAACCTGGGAGATGGAGGTTGCAGTGAGCAGAGATCGTGCCACTGCACTCCAGCCTGAGTGACAGAGCAAGATCCTGTCTCGAAAGGAAGGAAGAAAGAAAAGAAAGGTAGGAAGGAAGGAAGGAGAGAGAGAGAGAAAAAGAGAAAGAATGAGGAAGAAAGGAAGAAAGCAAGAAAGAGAAAGAAAGGAAGAAAGAAAGAAAGAAACTGAGAGAGAAAGAGAAAGAAAAAAGAAAGAAGGAAAGAAAGAGAGAGAGAAATAGAGAAAAGAAAGAAGCATAAAAATGTTCAGCCATCCAAAATGCGGGCTTCCGATTGTCTCATGTATGACAAATTTCTGGTCCTCACAGCAATTCCTTGTGTGGCCTGTGACTGTTACTCTCTGACCTCCCACTCCATCTCTGCTCTCTGGTCTTGATTGTTCTTTGAATACATATTTTTCTTACATCGATTTCACATTTATTGATGTTCTTCCTGTTTTCTTGTGATCCTGCGGGTAAGTTACCATTTGAGGAGTGAAGCAGAGTATAAATCAGTGGTGTGCTGGAGCTGGCTCATCCTGGCCCACAAGAGATTGTGCAGTTCTTCCCAATTCTGAGCTGAGTGATGTGACACTGGTAGCTTAAAATATGCTGGGTTGGAAATACTTACACCACAGCAATTGTCAAACACTACAAATCAGCACTTTTCCCTCGGAGAGCCTGTTATTAAGTGTTGGACAGCATACCACTGGTAAAAATGGACAAAATGAAAAATACGGAAGTCACAAAAGATTTGGATAATATAGTCAATTTGCTGAGGTTCTTTGTTTTAGAATTCTCAGCCTCTCTCCGTATGTGGACTACATAATAAATACCAGCATCTAAGAATTACTCCCTAAATTACTTTATTATTTCATTTGCAAGATCAAGAGAGAATAACGAAAGTGAACATTGAGTTTTTACTGCCTGCTAGGCTCAAGGCTGAATGTTTAAAATGCATAATGTTATTTAATCTGGCCTACAATCCCGTGGCCATATTATATTCATCTTACAAGTAAGGGATCTGGAGCTTCATGATCTTAGCTATTTGCCCCAGCACATGTAGTGAGTGGCAGATATAAGACTCTAACTCAGGTTAGTTGGATTCTGGAGTTCATGCCTATAATCTCAAGGCTCTGTGTAGACAGCTTTCTAGAGCTCTCAATTCCACGTACCTGTTCTGAGCTTTCTTAGCTGACTAACAAAGAGAAAGACTGTCTGTAAAGTGAGTCTCTGTGCCTTTCACATAGGGGTATGGATTTACCTTTGTCTTGGAAGTCCAAAAACACATAACCTTATGATCTGCAGAGCTAGGGCCTGAGTACGCACATAAAGATGATATGTTAATAAGGTAACAAGGAAGCTTATTTTGTCAGACGGAGAAAGAGTAAAAGAACAAGGAAAAAGAGAGACAGAGACAGAGATCATAGTAAGGATGGTGGTAAAGAGAAGAGAACATGGGCAGTTTGGAAAAGTGAAAATCTGACATTGGTGAAACAGGCATGTATGGTGATTAGGGAGAGGAGACTTAATTTTCATTTATCAATGTATTTATTTTTTTCTTTTAGAGAAACCTTTTCTTCCCCCTGAGATATTGTGGTATTTATTACCCCCATGGCCACAGCCACAGCCTTGGTCTGGACCTGAACTTGGGCCTGGGCTCTGGGACATTCCACAGCCTGGGAAATGCACTGGTTCATGGAGGAGAACTTGAAATGGGACATGGAGGAACACACGGCTTTGGATATGGAGTGGGCCATGGACTGAGCCACATCCATGGAGATGGCTACGGAGTGAATCATGGCGGGCATTATGGACATGGAGGAGGCCACTGAGGACACCATGGAGTGGATCACAGAGGGAGCCACCAAGGAGGCCACGGCAGGACAAGATGGCTGTGGCCATAGATTGGGTATCAAAACATATTATGGGTGGGAGGGGGTCATGGAGGAGAAAAAAATAATGATCATGAAATAATTAAAATGGAGCATAGGAAGCTTCCCAGGATGTGATCCATGGAGATGGACATGGACTAGGTCAAGAAAAGAACCAGCAAAAGGACCTCAGAGACTTTGACTGGCTTGGAGGGGACTTCAAGTCAAAGCTTCTGTGAGTTTTTCCTGAGTCTCAGCCTCTGTTGTGGGGAGTCACGACAACCACCCTCAGGACATCTTCTCTCCCATTTCCCGCCACATCAGGGTCAACGTTTCTCATCCCTGTGTTTCCTCATGGTGCTATAAATATTACCAAGACATGTCTAAGAAACAAAAGCACATAATGAATGTATTATCAGGGCCACACACGTATTCGTTTTCCTGTTTGTTCTTTCAGGTTTTGTTTTTTTTTTTTTTTTTGAGTGCTTATTATGTA
This sequence comes from Homo sapiens, assembly GCF_000001405.40. NCBI lineage: Eukaryota > Metazoa > Chordata > Mammalia > Primates > Hominidae > Homo > Homo sapiens. The sequence goes on from NT_113891.3 coordinate 2,515,168, forward strand.
CCAATCACTATCCCAGGAGCCTTTAAATACGTCATCATTTGGCTGGGTGTGGTGGCTCACGCCTGTAATCCCAGCACTTTGGGAGGCCAATGCGGGTGGATCACTTGAGGTCAGGAGTTCGAGACCAGCCTGGCCAACATGGTGAAACCCCGTCTCTACTAAATAAATACAAAAATCAGCCAGGAGTGGTGGCGAGTGCCTATAATCCCAGCTACTCGGGATGCTGAGGCAGGAGAATCGGTTGAATCTGGGAGGTGGAGGTTGCAGTGAGCCGAGATTGTGCCACTGCACTCCAGCCTGGGCGACAGAGGAAGACTCTGTCTCAAAAAAAAAAAAAAGGTCATCATTTAATCCTCAGAAAATATCTTGGTGACCTTGAGGTAGGCAAAGATACTTAGATACTTAAGCAAGACACAAAAAGCACTAGCTATTAAAAGAAAGTGTGATGATTTGGACTTCATTAAAGCCTAGTATCAGCATATACCTTTAAGAGGTATATTCTTAACTATAAAAGGAAAGTCAAAGATGGGAGAAGATATTGCAACACATATAGCTAACAAACGACTCATATCCAGAATGCAGAAAGAGCTACAATAAGAAAAAGATGATGCAATTTTAAATTGGGCAAAATATTTGATAAATAGTTAGCAAAAGAGGATATCAAAACAGCCGGTGAACATTTGAAAAGGTACCCAATATCACTGCTTATCAGAAGTGGAATGTAAAACCGCAATGAGATACCACTACATACACACACTGTAATGACTAGCATTTGAAAGACTGCCAGTACCAAGTATTGGAAAGGACATTGAACAACTGGAACTCTCACACATTGTTAGTGGGAGTGTAAATTGATACAATTATCTTGGGAAAATGTTTGGCAATGCTAAAATTAAACACATACCCTATGACTCGGTACTTCCACTCCTGAGAGTAAATATCCAGCAGAAATGAATACCTGTGTCCACCAAAAGACATGTACCATGCCAGCTTCATTCATACCACTGCAGGGTGGAAATTTAACCCCAAAGTCCACTAACATTAGAACAGGTAAGTAAATTGTGACATATTCATGCAGTGGAATGCTACCCAGTAGTGAAAAAAAAAACCTATGAAATCACACAATAACATTAATGAATCTCATAGTCAGTGTTGAGTAAAAGAAGTCAAAACAAAAGTGTACCTACTGTATAATTCCATTCACATGCAGTTCAAGGCCATGTGACATTAACCTGTTGTAATAAAGGTCAGAGTTGAGGATGCCTTGGGGGAAAAGGCTGACCGGGAGAAGGCATGAGAAAGCCTTCTTGCAGGGGCAGACAGGGGAAGCTGAGAATGTTCTGTGTATGATCTGGGTGGTGATTACAAGGGTGTATAGATATGTAAAACTTCATTAAAATGTGCACATGAGATCTGTGCACTTTATGGTATGTAAGTTATGTCTCAATTTGAAAAATGAAAAAGATATTCTGAGGCTATTTTCTCAGCATATTATGATTTCCTTGGTCAGAGAATGTGGTTGGAGACACATGACGATAAATGAGGCATTTGGTAAGCCCAAAGACAGTGGTGCTGCAGGAAGCATTGTGTGCAAGGGAGGCAAGCAGCTATTTTCAATGAGGACAAATCACCTCTCTCTTTAGGTTGAAATAGGTCTGATATAATTAATCTGCCATTCTCTCTGGAGAATGGTGCCACATAACGGGGCCAACACTGATCTCTGCTGTTAGCAGTTGAGGCACTCAGCCATGGATTATCTGTCCAGCTTGGCCTTGGTGAGGGGAAGGCCAGCTCACTGAGCCTTGCATACGCTTCATCCCTGCCAGCCTGTCTGCTTTGTCCATGTCCCTGCTGAGCGAGCACTAGAGCAGCTGGAAAAAGAGATTGACTGACGTCTGCAGAATGGATCGCTTGGTCAACCTCATCATGGAAGATTTCCTCTGTAGTGAACGCCCATTGGTGAACAGTCACATGGGATGCACATACTCTCACCATCTGTGCCCTTCCCAAGAGACTCGTCCACCTTCCTCTTTCCCAGACTTCCTTGTCATCAATTCACCATGTCTTTCCTCACCCTGAGTTATCTAGCCAAACTGTTAGCCACTGCCTATTGATCAGGGTTAACTGTAACTGGTCATCTCTTTGCCCAGGCAAAGTAAACAAAGCAGATGCATTCTTTACAATTCGGATCACTGGGAGAATTTTCCTTCCCCACTGTCCTGCAGGGCTGCCGTGAGTGGGGTGGTAATGCTGCAGCAGCCTGCTCTCTGTGGTGTTAGAATAGCATGCAGAACCACCCACACACCAGAGGAAACCAAATCTTTCCTTTCTCAGTCAACTAGACATAGGAAACCCTTCATGTGACTGTGATTATGGAGAGAGAGGTTAGGAATGTAGCTGGAGATGCCACTGGAGTTACAGCTGCCTACTCATGCCTCTTACTTGTGCCTTGAGGAACTAACTCAGCCAAATTCACAGGCACCACTTCCATTCAAGGAGGTGAGCACTGCTAAGTATGCCCAGTCTAGTGTGGTGGTGCAGACAACACCCAGTTCATAAAGGGCAGCTCATGTTTCATGAACCCTCGCATGCTGAGGACCCAAGATTAAGTCAGATGCTAGGATGTGGAAGAGGGCTTGCTTTTGCTCCAAAACTCTGGGGACCTGTGCCGTGGCTCTTCTACTAGCTACCCAGTGTCTCCACACAGCTTTCTGATGTACCACAGACATTTTAGGCAACATTGGATCTAGTCAGCAATGTCTCAAGCAGCCTTATGGCCTTGCTTTGGTTCCCACTTGAAAGTGGGGAAATATGCGCAGACGGAGCCTAGAGATGAACTTCGAGTAAGATGTTATTTATGTTCTTTTTTTTTTGAGATGGAGTCTTGCTCTGTCGCCCAGGCTGGAATAGTGGCACGATCTTGGCTCACTGCAACCTCCGCCTCCCGCCTCCCGGGTTCAAGCGATTCTCCTGTCTCAACCTCTCGAGTAGGTGGGACTACAGGCGCCTGCCACCATGCCTGGCTAATTTTCGTATCTTTAGTAGAGCCAGGTTTTTACCTTGTTGGTCAGGCTGGTCTCAAACTTCTGACCTCAAGTAATCCACCTGCCTTGGCCCCACAAAGTGCTAGGATTGCCGGCATGAACCACTGTGCCCGGCCACGTCATTTATGTTCTAAGCCCCATAAGCTCCACCCTGACTTGTAGATCGCAATGATGTCTTGTATGTTACCCTAAAGGTTTGGGTGTTTTCATTTCCCCATTGCACTGTCACGATGATAAATGGCTGAGATTCCTTTTGAAAGCTAGGAGGAAGATTCGCGGCACATCCTGGTGGTGGTGGTGGATCTTGCTGCCTTCCCTTCATTTCTAGGTCTGTGAACAGGTTCGGGCCTGGGAATTAGGTGAGAGTCTGTGGCAACTCAAGTCAGCTCTCTGTTCAACCACCTGGATATTTTCACTTATATAGATCAAGTAAGATTTTAGTGGTTAATTGATTAATGATTAATTAGCCATAGCCAAAGAGCCCTGATTACAGCTCTGGTCGTGATGCCCACATCGATAATCATGCCTGTCTTGTCTCTGGAGGGAAAGCCCTACCACCCACCTACTGTTTCCTGAAGATTCCACCATGCCCACTGAAATCAGGAAGCTCATTTCAATGGTCAGATCATCCACCATTGCATTTAGCAAAGAGCTGCTACAGAGCTTTTCAACGATGCTGGTCCTCTCCCTTCTAATGCCTTGATGAAGACAGTTTCAATGGAACCTTCTGGGAGGACGTAATGAAAGAGTGAGTGAGCAAGTTGCACATATTAAATCCATTCCAACATAACTCTCTTCCTAAGTCTTTTGATTTTTTTCTTCCGCTTATACTAATGAAATACTGGGATCTCAACTTTATTTAGTGTAGGCCACCACTAAGTCCACATTTCAAGCAACCGAGAGAACTATTAGTGCAACTCACACCTACTTGAGCTAATGTTTTGAATCTAGAACATGTGATAAGTTCACCCATGTATTTGTTTTCTATCAGTGATAACTTACTACAAATGCAGCAGCTTAAACCAACACCCATTTATCAGACCACAGTTCTATGAGGCGGGTCTGGGGCCAGCATGACTGACTCCTTTGCTCAGTCTCACAGGTTAAAATGAAGGTGTTAGTTGAGCTGCATCCTCATCTGGAGGCTGGCATCTCTTTCAAGCTCACGTGGTTGTGGCAGAGTCCAGTTCCTTGTGTTTAGAGTTGAGGCCCCTGTTTCCTTGCTCACTGTCATCTATGGTTGTTTTCAGCCCCTAGATCTGACTCAACGCATGGAGCTGGAGGCCACGAGGGGTATTGTAATAGGGCCTGTGGTAGGCAGAATAACAGCCCCTCAAAAACATCCACGTTTCAATTCCCAGAACCTGGAAATATGTTACTTTATATGGCAAAAGGGACTCTGCATGCATGATCGCATTAAGGATCTTGTAATGGGGAGATTATCCTGGATTATCTGTATGGGCCCAATGTGATCACAAAGGTCCTTATAAGAGGGAGATGAGAGGCCGGGCGCAGTGACTCACACCTGTAATCTCAGCACTTAGGGAGGCTGAGGAGGGTAGATCACGAGATCAGGAGTTCGAGACCAGCCTGGTCAAGATGATGAAACCCTGTCTCTACTAAAAATACAAAATGTAGCCGGGTGTAGTGGTGGGTGCCTGTAATCCCAGCCACTCAGGGGGCTGAGGCAGGAGAATGGCTTGAACCCAGGAGGTGGAGGTTGCAGTGAGCCAAGATTGCGCCCCTGCACTCTAGCCTGGGCAACAGGGCAAGACTCAATCTCAAAAAAAAAAAAAAAAAAGAGGGAGACAGGAGTCAGAGTCAGAGAGATTTGAAGATGCTGCGATGCAAGCTTTGAAGATGGAAGAAGGGGCCACAAACCAAGGAGTGCTGGAAGCCTCTAGCGGTGGAAAAGGTGAGTAAACAGATTCTTCTCTAGAGCCTCCAGAAGGACCACAGACCAGCTGACACCTTGACTTTAGCCCAGTAAAACCTATTTTAAACTTCCGATCTCCAGAACTGCAAGATAATATATTTGTGCTATCTTCAGCCTGAATTTGTGGTAATTTGTCATGCAGCAATAAGAAACTAATACAGGGCCTGAGGAAAATCTGTGTCCCCTTGCCAAGGGAGTGCTGTGAGGGCGTCACTATAGGGTCTTCAGGCAAGAGAAAGTGACTTCCTCACAGAGGGGAGGAGGGGCTACTTCTGCTGGCAAGGAAAGCTCTGCGGGATTTGGAGGTTCAAAGTTTTTCAGACTCATCAAAATCTACCCAGGTGTCTCCACTCCAATTCTGGGCTTCAGTTAACAAATATTCCAAATGTCACACACGAGACTGGCAAAGATATAAATGCAAGTTGAATATAATTCTCCAATCTGCAGAATCAAACTGTGGGTCTGGTTTTTTCATACATAGTCCCTGTGGCTTTGAGAGATAAGCATGTCTTTTAGAATATTCAGAGAAAGCTCTGTGTTCGCTGGCAATGCCTTGACTGAGGATGCAGCAGAGGGGTCATTTTTTTTCTGTAATCTCCCAGTGCAGCCACCCACAGTCCCGGCAGTCAACACTCCCAGCTTCACGATCTGTCACAGCGACCACCTGGGCTCCCGGCCCTTCCCTTCAACAATTGCTTTATTCCAGGCACCACCACAGGTGATAACTTAAGTCACTTTTTCTATCTTTTGCTGTGTAATACAAAGACTTCATTTTATACTAGCATGAGGTCGCCCCTGCCCTCAAGCCTAATGGGTCAGGGAACTAATCCCAGATTGCCACCTTTGAACGTCAATTTTCTGAAACCTCTTGTTATACCAAATACTGTAACAGTCAGAGTTCACTTACGAAAACAGAAACCACTTTGGATATTTCAAGCATAAAAGGATTTAGTACAAGAAGTAGGTGCTTATAAAACCGCTCGAAAAGGTGGAGGAGTGAAAGTCAGGATGACAGCCAATAGCTTTCAGGTTCACTGCCACCGAGAGCAGAGATCTGCGGTCACCGGAGGCAGGGACGTGCAGGCAACTGCTGAGGCTCCTCCACTCCTCCACAGCCCCACAGTGTGCCAGAGGCAGGGAAATGCGGAGGCCACCGCAAAATCCTCCCCCAGGAAGCCATGCACGCATGCAGCCATTACTGCCACAGAACTGAGTCTCATGAGAGTTTGTTTCACTGGAGGAAGGTAAAATGTGCCTGGAGCCTCCTGGCAAGGGAGCCTGGAAAAGGTAGTTCCCAGGATCGGGGTCCCTGCCATCCAGGGGAGAGAGTGGAAACACGTTAAATGTGCTAAGTGCACATTAAGCTTGGCAGTCTGGAGGGCTGCAGTGGAACTGGAGATCGGAGATGAAAACTAGGAAGAGAAAGCAGACGACCTGTCTAGACGTCTGAAAGCGATCTGAATTAGGACATGCTAAAATTAAAGGACAGGGCAGAGAGAATCTGGAGTTCAGGCAATTCCTAAATAGGACTCCACCTTTCTCTTCTTTTTTTTTTTTCCCTAGGTTAGACTAATACAATTCCAAAATTACTCTGTGTCTTTGTGATTTTTCTGTTTGTATGCAACTGTTTGCATCCTAACATTTCTAATACTGAGGTAAATTAATCTGTCATTCTCTAAACAAGACAGAAGTTCTAAGCTCTTAGCCTCTGCATCCTGTCCCTTCACGGTTGTCAGCACTGACCCTCCAAACATGTATCAAAATACGATCTCTTTCAGTCAGCTTTGCCTGGAGAACCTGCTTCTAACTTACTCATTCTAATGGAATGTCCCTTCTGATAAATATTGCGTCTGTTTTATTTTAAACTTAACCTGGCTGAACCTTTGCTGCTTCTGTGGAAGCTCCAGAATTTCTCTGGGGGAGGGGTTTAGGTACATGCAATATTTTCAAGGGGGCAGCTGGGACCAATGTTTGTAATTGATGCCTTCTTTTTATAGTGATTAAGAACATGGCAGGCCGGGCACAGTGACTCACGCCTGTCATCCCAGCACTTTGAGAGGCCAAGGCAGGTGGATCACCTGAGTTCAGGAGTTCGAGACCAGCCTGACCAACAAAGTGAAACCCCATCTCTACTAAAAATACAAAAATTAGCTGGGTGTGGCGGCATGCACCTGTAATCCCAGCTACTCAGGAGACTGAGGCAGGAGAATAGCTTGAACCTGGGCAGCAGAGATTGCAGTGAGCCGAGATCATGCCACTGCACTCCAGCCTGGGTGACGGAGCGAGACTCCATCTCAAAAAAAAAGAAAGAACGTGGCACAGGAGTCAGACTGCCTGAGTATGAATCCTGATTCTGCCACTTGTTAGCTTTACAAGTCTGGGCAAGATGAACTGAGGCATCTTAAATTTGTAAAACAGAGATTGTGGCACCTAAGCATAGAGTAATATAAATACTAAATAAACTAATATCTGTAAAACACTTTGAATAATGTCTGGCACATGGAATACTCAATAAAAGCTAACTATTATTAGGTATCATTAGATTGTTCATTTGTGGATATCTTACAAAGGAGGGAAGGAAATACTTTTTAGGGGTCTTTTATAAAAGCTGTATTTGTATAGCAACCATATTGTTTCAAATTAGGTTTTATGTATATTCAGGTGGCTTTGAAGGGGCCAGATGGAGATTGGAGGAGGTAGGGCAAATCCCTTTTTAGCCCCTCCAAGTGCTGCTGTCCTTTCCCAAAAATGTTGTATCAGGGCCATTTAAACATTTTTGTAGATATAAGTAATTAGGATCATATTGTTAGAACATACTCCAATATATTTTCCCCTCTAGATAATTTGACGTTTTTCTCCTGCAACTTTTCCAAATTCAAACTTAGCCAAAAGCTGGAAGGAAATGATTTGATGCTTAAGAAGTCCCCTGGTGGCCAGGTGCAGTGGCTCACACCTGTAATCCCAGCACTTTGGGAGGCTGAGGCAGGAGGATTACTTGAGCCCAGGAGTTTGAGACCAGCATGAACAACATAGTGAAAACCCAGCTCTACAAAAGAGTACAAAAATTAGCCAAGCGTGGTGACACATGCCTATAGTCCCAGCTACTTGGGAGGCTGAGGTAAGAGGATCACTTGAGCCTGGGAGGTTGCAGTGAGTCAAGATTGTGCCACTGCACTCCAGCCTGGGCAACAGAGCAAGACCCTGTCTCAAAAAAACAGAAAACAGGCCGGGCACGGTGGCTCGCGCCTGTAATCCCAGCACTTTGGGAGGCTGAGGCGGGTGGATCACAAGGTCAGGAGATCGAGACCATCCTGGCTAACACAGTGAAACCCTGTCTCTACTAAAAATACAAAACAATTAGCAGGGCGTGGTGGCGGGCGCCTGTAGTCCCAGCTACTCGGGAGGCTGAGGCAGGAGAATGGCGTGAACCTGGGAAGCGGAGCTTGTAGTGAGCCGAGATCGCGCCACTGCACTCCAGCCTGGGTGACAGAGCGAGACTCAGTCTCAAACAAACAAACAGACAAACAAAACAGAAAACAAAAAAACTCTCATGGAGTCTAGCCCCAGGTTTTTTTCATGACCTGCGAATGAAGGAACTGGAAGCCAATTACCCCGTTCCCATCTTTGTTTTCTGCCGCTCCTTCAGTTGTCTTTGGGCTCTCTCTGTTGGCCTCAGCCAGAGTTGAAGCAAGCTTGGACTGTAAGCTCTCAGTCCCCAGGCAAACTGACAGTGTCCAAAGTGTAGGTACTTCCTTGATCATCTCGCTTGTCTGGCACACAGCACTGATGAGAAGACCTAGCTGAAGCTCCCCGGTGGAAAAGCTTCTATAAATTCTTCAAAAACAAAAGGGGAGCGCCTCTATCAAGGAGGATTAGAAGCAGGAGCATTCCTCTTTCCAGTGCCATCACTCTCCTTAGGTCCCCTGCAGCGTGTGTGCTGGTAAATGTTTAACAACTCACTTCTCGTGGCGCAAATGCACCCGCCAGAGCTGACTGCGTGTGACCAGCGTGAATCACTGTGTATAGAATGGGAAGCGATGGGCGGCACACCATTCCATACCATTCCCACCAGGCAGATGTGATAGGCGTACGTAACTCCGTGCGCAGAGATAATAGTAAAATGTGGTAAAGCAATTAGAAAGTAATGAGTTTGGAACATTTTTACCTTTGTTTTAAATATAATTTAGTTCACTGTAAGTTAATACACGTTAATTTTTAATGATGGCTGTGTTGCCAAAAATCCTGAAAATTCAGCAATGAGCTCTAGCACACAGGCATGCACTGACCCAGTACACCATTGGTTCCATCTCCTCAACAGCTCACACCACCACCCCCAACTCTCCCACCCCCAGCTCCCACGCTGCGGAGACCCCAGAGTCTATTTCCCTCCCCCGGGTCTCTCTTCCCCACCTCATTCAAGGTATGCTTTGCAGGCTTACTAATTATTCAGCAATGCCCAGAGGTCCAGTCTCCAGTGCCTATTCACAGGGATCTCACTTCCTGTGCCCTACCTGCTAAGCTCTGTTTGCAGGGGCTTCCTTCTCACACACCTGCTCCTGCCCAGCTATACTGGGTTCTCAGGACTTCTTGTCCAGGAAAGGAGGCCTCCAACTAGAGCAGGTTTTCTGCCCCATCCCTGCCTCAGAGGGTGGAGCCCCTCCACTTTGACAGCCTTGATCCCCTTGAACTATTCCACTTCCCACTCCTCCCCAGGCCCTTCCTAATGGGACTAAGTCATCCTCCACCCTCACCTACCTTCTGGCTGCTGTACCCTCCTCTCTAAACTTGGGGATTCTGCCACTGCTCACAGCTGGAAGAACAACAGCCTACATGTCCAGGCCTTGCCCAGTCCAGATGATGCTTTAAAGGCCTTCTTCTTCTTCCTTTTTTTTTTTTTTTTTTTTTTGAGATGGAGTCTCACTCTGTTGCCCAGGCTGGAGTGCAATGGCGTGGTCTCAGCTCACTGCAACCTCTGCCTCCTGGGCTCAAGCGATTCTCCCGCCTCAGCCTCCCAAGCAACTGGGACTACAGGCATGTGCCACCACACCAAGCTAATTTTTGTATTTTTAGTAGTGATGGCGTTTCACTATGTTGGCCAGGCTGGTCTCGAACTACTGACCTCGTAATCTGCCTATCTTGGCCTCCCAAAGTTCTGGGATTACAGGCATGAGCCACTGTACCCGCCCTAAAGGCCTTCTTTGAAAGAGAAAAAGAAGAGGTGGCATTCTGTGAAGGAACATCAAGGACCAGACATCCAGCTTCCCCTGTAGCCCAGGTCCCCCTAGCGGTGCTTCTCTTCAGATTGAGGACCTATTCTTTGGAGTTCCGAATTCCTAGTAGTCCAGCCCTCAGATCTCCACCTTGAGACTCCACCCTCAAGATTCTCATTTTCTGCCTTTCCCTTCTAAGGCTTAATCCCATCGGGACTAAGGGAGGAGCCTTCCCTTCCAGCCTCACACAGGCAGACTATCTCAAAAGAAAGAGAAAGCAATTTTCCCTTGCATGCTGGCTGTTTCACTTCCTTCTACTTTTAGGAAATGGTGAGTGATTTTGTTTAAAAGAGAATAATCTTGGAGTTTGAGTAGAGTTTGGGGAAAATGTTGACAACTTCTGGGACACACACTCTGTCCTTGTTGCCCCCATTCTCTTCAAGGCAGGAGGGATGATTATTTTGCTTCTTTCTCTCCAATGCAACCCAGCATCTGTCCTCCGTTCTGTTCTCAGTGGCAACTCTTCTGCCCAGAAGATGGACCTATTTACTCTATAATACATCATTCCCAGATATAGGCGCATTAGAGTTGGAAGAGAACTTGAATTAGTGTCTGACCACCTGTAATAGGCAGGGATCTATTTCCAGCGTCTCTGACAGCAGTCATCTAGCCTCTAATTAAACACTTCATGAGACATTGCTGTTCCACACTCACGCAGATTTAATTCTCTCTAGAATCTGCCCCAGCATGGCTTTGACTCTTGTGTTTTATGCCCCTGACCAACACAAAACCAGTCTATTCCCTCTCCACAGGCCAGCTTTTCATCTCAACTTCTCACTTAGTTTCTCTCTTGGCTCTGACCCTAACCTAAGGCATCGACACACAGTTTTGGGATTCTTCCCTCAAATCTAAATTGGCAATCCTTATGTTAGTCCAGACAACACCAAGGCAAGAACATATGTGGAGGGTGAAGGGCAGCACCTACATCCAGGGAGAGAACAGGGCCATCGATGAGGAGAGGGTCTATAGGGATCTGGGAGGTCAAGGGCTTGGTTGTTAATGGGATGGAAAATCAGAACAGGGTAGAAAATAGGCATGACAGGGAAAGAAGCTCAGTCTCACCTTAACTCTAACTGATCCAACAAGAAAGCTGAGCCACTTTCCTGAATCCCAGAAGATCTTATTTCTTCAAGCTGACATGACTGATTCTTTACTAGTCCATGTGTCAAGACCATCTGGGGTCCCTTAAACCAGTGGCTCCCAAACAATTTTTTTTTTTTTTTGAGACAGAGTCTTGCTCCGTCGCCCAGGCTGGAGTGCAGTGGCGTGCTCTCAGCTCATTGCAACCTCCACCTTCCAGGCTCAAGCGATTCTCGTGCCTCAACCTCCCGAGTAGCTGGGATTACAGGCTTGCACCACCATGCTTGGCTAATTTTTTTGTATGTGTAGTAGAGACAGGGTTTCTCCATGTTGTCCAGGCTGGTCGAGACTCCTGGCCTCAAGTGATCCTCCTGCCTTGGCCTCCCAAAGTGCTGGGATTACAGGTGTGAGCCACTGCGCCCAGCCCCAAACTTTTGTGTTCAGAAGAATTACCCGATGTAGTAAAAATGCACATCATGGTCCCCTCCCAAACCGATTCCCCTTGATTATCTGCCCCCTAGAGGAAGGGCACAATACTGTTTGGAGAGGAGCTTGATGGGCCTTCAACTTTTCTCTTACGTTCTTTAGTCGGAGAGTATCATGAATAGTTAAAAGAATAACACCATCCCCTGTAAACCCTGGTCTTGTAACTCCCCCATACCTGGGATATGGAATAATGCATGGGTTAAGGGCTTTAGGGGCTAGCTCTGGGGTCAGACTGCCTTGATTTAAATCGTTGTTCCACTACCTACTAACTGTCTGACCTGGAACTAGCTGCTTAACTTCTCTAAACCTCAATTTACCTATCTATAAAATGGGGGTAATATTAGTTTCTATCTCAAGGAGGTATTGTAAGGATTTTAGTACTAATTTATATGTGGCACTTAGCACAGTGCCTGGAATATAGTGAGCATTCTTAAATGACAGCCACTATTATTATCACTAGTATTACTCATAGTAGCGGTAGCGGTGAACAAAACCAAATTTCCAGTGGAGCCAACCAGCCACCCTTTCTTAACCAGCTGTAACTTCCAGTGAAATCACCACGATCATCCCCCCAGATTAACCCCACCTTCCAGTGGAATCACTGTGACCACCCCTCCAGGATCAACCACATTATCCAGCAGAATCACCGTGACCACGCCCCCTGGACCAACCACACCTCCCAGTGGAATCACTACAACCCCCCTGCCCTGGGTCCACTATATCTTCCAGTGGAACTAACACAACAACTGCAACCTCCAGTGTCACCAGCACAAGTGCAGCCCCTCCAGGGAATGAGGGAAGGTCTAATGGATGCCTGAGGCTGTGGGAAGTCATCCTAGTCACTCTGGCCTTGGTTGCAATGGCTGTGATTCTCTTCACAGGGCTCTTTTATTTCATGAGTGCCTGATGTGTGGGAAATCCTTTTTCTGAGGGAGGGAGTGCAGGGAACTGAGGAGGGAAGCAGGGTAGAGAGAGTAGGGTCATTGTGTGGCTAATAGGGAATGAGAAATCAGGAGAGGGACAAAGCAAGACAGAGACAGCAGGTGAGAACCAGCAAGAGAGAGGGCTAGAAAAGCTGGTACATGTTCAGAGGAAATTGATGAGGAGAGAAGGGGCCAAAGGAGTACTGAGGCTGGGGAGGCCGAATGGGGAGTGGGGACACGTGGGATGGGAGAGCACTGGAAGAGGGGCATAACTCTGAACGATCCATCCTTTTGTTTTCTAGAGAAACTCTCTGTGCCTAAGAAACCTCTTCACCAAAGATCTTCACATCCCAAACCTTGGTCCATGTCCTCAAGGATATCATGGAGTCCAAGATGGGTCAAGTGAGACTGAAACGGATTTTAGAGACCAGTGTTCTCCCACAGGCATGGAGCTGATGAGGAGACACAGTGTCCCTAAAGGCAGGCACTTCACTGTCCTCAGGGTGGGGAGGACCAGCGGTCTCGGTTTTCCTCACTTGCCCCCAGGGCTGCTCCTCCCAGCTCTGCTCCAGCCCCTGACACTCCTACCTTCTGTTTAGTTCTCCCAGACCTGAAACAGGAGGCTATCGCTAGTGCTGAATGATTAAATAAGTGCATCTGCTCTATGTGACAGCCAGACTGTGGGTGTGTGCTTGTATATTGCTGTGAAGAGAGGTTTCCTATATCATGAGGACACTCTTTCGCTGTGTACTCCCAGTTCTCAAATCCTAGCATGAAATCCAGAGACCTCACATCTGTCCCATTTTCTTCCCCACTCCTTCCCTGCTCCCCGAGGCCTCTGGGTCGATGGAAGAATGGAGTCAGGAGAGATGGGGGAAGGCAGGTGCTGGTCTTTACAGACGTGTGTTGCATGGCAGGAAAACAGCCTCTGCGTGAGCCTAGAACATGAACTGGAGGAAAGTGATCCTGTTTTCATGTTGTGAGGTAGGAAAGAGCTTGCTACTGGGGCCACCCTTAGACATGGCCACTTTTCCTGGCCACTCACGTCTGCTCTGGGCTGCAGGTGTGAGTTGCCACCTTTCTCTCCTGTGGGCTCCCAGCCCAGCAACTGTCCTGGGCAGGGAGAATGTGCTCCCAGTTTTTGCAAGGGCAGGACTGGCTTGCCCTGCTACGGTCTAGATCCTCAGCAGCTCCCCCAAAACCAGGCCTCAGAGGGCACACATGCCAGTGTCAGCACCATGCTCAGGCCTGGTCCCACCCAGGCTTCTGGTGCAACTTGCTCTCGCACACGCACCCCACTGATTCTTCCTCCCTGTGAATCACTCGCCTCTGCTTTATCAGTTTCACCCTCTGCTAAGTCTCTTCAGCTTCTGGGATTCTCCTGGGTCTTTGGGAGAGCCTTAACAGGACCAAGCTGTTTCTCTAAGAACATTTTACAATATGATGAACAAAACTGTTTTTAGGCTGGGTGCGGTGGCTCATGATGCCTGTAATCTTAGCATTTTGGGAGGCTGAGGCGGGCGGATCGCCTGAGGTCAGGAGTTCAAAACCAGCCCAGCCAACATGGCAAAACCCCGTCTCTACTAAAAATACAAAAATTAGCCGGGTGTGGTGGCACATGCCTGTAGTTTCAGCTACTCGGGAAGCTGAGGTGGGAGGATTGCTTGAACCTGGGAGGCGGAGGTTGCAGTGAGCAGAGATTGCGCTACTGCACTCCACTGTGGGCAACAGAGAAAGACTCTGTCTCCAAAACAAAACAAACAAAAAACATAACAACAACAACAAAATCTATTTTTAACAGATGCAAGAGAGTATCTACTGTACAATTTATTTGCATGAAATTCAACAATAGGCAAAACTAATCTATGGTGGCAGAGATCAGATCTCCTATGAGGGTGAGGGTTTTTAGGAAGGGAGCACTTTCTGGGTGATAGGAATGTTTTCTATATCAACTGGTCTGTTGGTTACACAGGTAAATACACTTGTCAAAACTCAGCTAACAGCTGGGTGTGGTGGCTGACGCTTGTAATTCCAGCACTTTGGGAGGCTGAGGTGAAAGGATTGCTTCAGCCCAAGAGTTTGAGACCAGCCTGGGCAACATGGCAAGACCTCATCTCTACAAAACATACAAATATTAGTCGGGTATAGTAATGCACACCTGTAGTTCTAGCTACTTGGGAGGCTGAGGTGGGATGATTGCTTGAGCCCAGGAGGTCAAGGCTGCAGTGAGCCGTGATGGTGCCACTGCACTCCAACCCGGGCAACAGAGTGAGACCCTGTCTCAAAAAAACAAAACAAAACAAGAAACCTCCACTAACTGAATTCTTAAGATCTGTGCATTTCACTTTTTGTAAATTTTACCTCAATAGGAAGAAAAAATGTATATTCGGGTTTTTTATTTTGGGATTTTTTAATTTTTATTTTTATATTAGGGTTTTAAAATAATACCTTGAAGATATTTATCAGTGTATCCATTATCTCCTCTTCAGTTTTAAGAGCCCCCAGACCTTTTCGTAAAATAATTATCATCTTTTGCACTCATTTTTTCATTCATTCATTCACCATATTTACTGGACACCTGCTTGGCATGAGGTCTCAAGGAGCTGGGGCAGCTAGGATGACCCTGTAGGTCACAGTTGGGTGAGGGAGGTACATAAGTTACAGGCCAACGCATCAAGTAGTATGAATGGAAGCACCACAGGAGGAAACATCTAACTTGATGAGGGGAGGAGAGGCTGACTCACATAGAAGGTGACATTTGGATTTTGAGGAGTTAGCAGGCATTTACGAGGAGCAGAAGAGGAAATGCCAGGCAAGCAAGCAGCTTGTGCAAGACTGGGCATGGCACGGCCAGTGAAGGTCAGAAGACCTGTGGGGCTAGAGAGCACAGCAGAGGGAGCTGGGGCTGGGGGCTAATGCGTGGCTTTGAACACCACTCCAAGGAGGCCAGATTTCATCCTTTAACAGCACAAAGCCCACAGATCACTTTAAGGTGTAGTGGGACACAATTTTTTCCCCAATAAGAACACTTCAATCAGCTGAGTGAGTAGAAAATAGAGGCTGGAAACCAGCAAAAATGGTGTTGTAATGCCCCTGCAAAGAAAGAAGCAAATAGACAAATCTAAGACCACAAAACATGGAAATGGGAAAGAAGAAAAGAAGTGGAGGCTGGGCACAGTAGCTCATGCCTGTAATCCTAACACTTTGGGAGGCCAAAGTGGGAAAACTGTTTGAGCCCAGGAGTTTGAGACCAGCCTGGGCAACAGAGTGAGGTCCTGTCTCTGCAAAAAGTTAAAAAGATTAGCCAGGTGTGGTGGTGCACACCTGTAGTCCCAGCTGAGGTGGGAGGATAACTTGAGCCCAGGGGGTCAAGCCTTCACTGAGCTGTGATTGTGCCACTCACTCCAGCCTGGGTAACAGAGTGAGACCCTGTCTCAAAAAAAAAAAAAAAAAAAAAAAACGAGAAGAAATGTGAATTTCAAGAGATTTCTGCCTAGCACTTTTTTAAAAATCCCCAACTCCAGAATTTATGGTGACTTTTGTTAAAAGTCCTGTTTTAGGGAGGTCTTCATCTAACGAGCTCTAGGCAATTTTCTTAAAACTAATTCATCAAATGACTAATTCTTTGAATTTTTAAATTTTCTTTAAATCCTATTCAGTGTGATTCCCTCCTGCTGCAGGCTGGAGGCTGGGAGACAGAGGGAGAATGGGGAATGTCTTCTTGATTTATAGCATGTTTTCTAGTTAAGAAAATACTCAAGATAAATATATTTATTTATAACAATTTTCACATGAAAGACTTTATTCAAAAATATGTGCAAGAAAAAATTATTTATTCTTGACTCTGATGAATAATTGCAAATATGATTCCTATGAATAGTATATAAATTATATCTAAAACTATAAGGCTACAGACTATACGATTCCCTTCATATGACATTCTGAAAATGGCAAAATTATAGGGAAAGAAACAAGATCCATGTTGCCAGGGTTTGGGAAGTGGGAGAAGGGTTGGCTCTAAAGGAACGGCATGGGGGGAGATTGAGGAGGATGAAGGGATTCGGTGCGCCGAATACGTGACTCTACCATTTATCAAAATCCATAGAACTGTACACTACAAAAAGTGATTTTTAGGGTATGGAAATTCAGCAAATCAACCAGGATGTGGAGGGAAAGATGGAAAGCAGACTCTGACAAATGACTCATGTAAGCACAGTGAAACGGATGGAGAAGAAGGAGCTGGCCTAAGTAACTTTGAAAAACTGTTTTGAGTCAGGCATGATGGCTCATGCCTGTAATCCTACCACTTTGGGAGGCCAAGGCAGGAGGCTTGTTTGAGTCCAGGAGCTTGAGATCAGCCTCGGCAACACAGCGAGAACCCCGCCTCTACAAAAAGTTAAAAAAATTAGCTGGGCATGATGGTGTGCCTGTAGTCCTAGCTGCTCAGGAGGCTAGGATGGAGGGATCGCTTGAGTCCAGGAGATCAAGGCTGCAGTGCTACTGCACCCCAGACTGGGTGACAGAGCAAGACCCTGTCTCAAATTTAAAAAAGAAAAAGAAAAGAAAAACTGTGTTTTGACCATAAAGCTAAAGACAAAAAAAAAAAAAAAATACAGAAACACTGTACTGTAGTTGGTAAATGTGTTTCTGGCAAGGGTATGAATTAGCAGTTCTGAAACCACTATTTGTTTATTAGGGTTGAAAAAATAAGTAAAAAAATATGTTTATAGACATTCGTAGCCATGTCAGAGAAAGGAGTTACAAATAAAGAAAAGGGAGAGACTAGAATGAACCCCATGTTGCTGGATTAAAGCTGGAGGTGTCAAAATGCACCCATGCTTGTGTTTAAAACACAGGTTGAGCAACCCTCATCTGAAAATCCAAAATGCTCCAAAATCCAAAACTTGCTGAGCACCAACATGACACCACAAGTCAACATACACAAACTTTGTTTCATGCACAAAATTATTTAAAATATCACGTAAAGTTACCTTCAGGCTACATGTATAAGATATATATAAAACATAAACAAATTTCATGTTTAGACTTGGGTCTCATCCACAAGATATCTCATTGTGTATATACAAATATTTCGAAATCCAAGAAATTGAAAATCCAAAACACTTACGGTCTCAAGCATTTCAGATAAGGGATTCAATCTGTATATGCAGACAGGTCATTGCAGAAATAAATACAGACCTGTGTTTATGCATGAGTTAGTTTACATACATACGTTTCCTAGCTCTAACTTCCGTGGGGGCAAGAAGCAGTGACATCCACTATGAATGAGCACACCTAGTACCCAAATCTTGGTTTCTAAATATTATTCTCTAATACAAAGAGGAGCCAGAGCTCTGTGGAGAAATAGTTGATTCCAGGGCCTGGATGGACAAAATAAAAAATGAGCATGAAGCATCTTGTAATACCAGAATGCAAGAAAGTGTTTTAAAAAGGGATGGAGAGGGCCATGCACAGTGTCTCATGCCTGTAATCCCAGCACTTTGGGAGGCCCAGGCTGGGGGATCACCTGAGGTTCGTGAGTTGGAGACCAGCCTGACCAACTTGGAGAAACCTCTCCCTACTAAAATAATACAGAATTAGTTGGGCATGGTGGTGCATGCCTGTAATCCCAGCTACGTGGGAGGCTGAGGCAGGAGAATCACTTGAACCCAGGAAGCAGAGGTTGCAGTGAGCCGAGATTGCACCATTGCGCTCCAGTCTAGGCAACGAGAACGAAATTCCATCTCACACACAAAAAAAACAAAAAAACAAAATACCACGGATGGAGAGGCTGGGCACAGTGGCTTGAGCCTGTAATCCCAGCACTTTGGGAGGCCAAGACAAGTGGATTGCTTGAGCCCAGGAGTTTAAGACCAGCCTGAGCAATATGACAAAACTTTGTCTCTACAAAAAAAAAAAAAGTTAGCTGGGTGTGGTGGCGCACACTTGTTGTCCCAGCTACTTGGAAGGCTGTGGTGGGAGGATTAGTTGAGCTCAGGATACGGAGATTACAGTGAGCCAATATTGCACCACTGCACTCTAGCATGGGCAACAAAGTGAGACCCTGTCTCAAAAAACAAAACAAAATAGCAATGGAGATATCAGCTGGGTGTGCTGGTGCATGCCTGTAGTCCTAGCTACTTGTAGGAGGCTGAGGCAGGAGGATCCCTTGAGCCCAGGAGTTTGAGGCTGTATGATGATGCCACCGCAATTCAGCCTAGGAAACACAGTGAAGTCTTGTCTCATAAGTAAAACAAAACAAAAAAAGGATGGAGGACATTAAAACGGCACTGGAGCCCATCTGAAAGAGCTCCCAGTGGCCAAAGTTTGAGCAACAAAATAAATAGTGATAGTATTGGATCATAACTCACAGAACAAAATAAACATTTATGAGTCCATTCTGATATAAACAAATAGTTGAATAAATAAAATGGGGAGAGGGCACGACTTTTTCTTACAGAAGAATTTCAATTAATAAATGTAGAAGGAATCTAATCTATCACCATTAGGATTACACACCTGTAATCCCGGGTGCTCAGGAGGCTGAGGCAGGAGAATTACTTGAACCTGGGAGGGGAAGGTTGCTGTGGGCTGAGATCGTGCCATTGCACTCCAGCCTGGGCAGCAAGAGTGAAACTCTGTCTCAAAAAAATATATATAGTATTGTACCAACAATAACTTCTTAGCTTCTATAATTGTATATATAATCTCTCAGTTTCTATAATTGTACTATGTAAGATATTGACATGAGGAAAAGCTAGGGGAAAAATATACGGGAACTCTGTTAACTATTTTTGTAATTCTCTGTAAGTCTAAAATTATCTCAAAATGAAGTTTTAAAAATTCTAAAACAAAGCCAAACCAAAAAAATTCTATTGACCTGCACATGAAAAAGGGTGAATTTTATCATATGCAAATTATACCTCTTGACTTAGAAAATCAGATATTTTCCTTACTATACTCTTTTGAAATCTATTCATTAGTTATACTAAATACATACAAATTCTTTTGAGTGTGTTTAAATACTATGTTTGAAAATGTTGCTGGGTGATGTGGCTCACACCTGTAATCCCAGCACTTTGGGAGGCTGACGAGGGAGGATCTCTTGAGCTCAGGAGTTCGAGACCAGCCTGGGCAACATAGTGAGACCTTGTCTCTACTAAAAATAAAAAAACAATCAGCTGGGCATGGTGGTGCATGCATATAGTCCCAGCTACTCCGGAGGCTGAGGTGGAAGGATCACTTGAGCCTGGGAGATCGAGGCTGCAGTGAGCCGTGATAGCACCACTGCACTCCAACCTGGGCAATACAGCAAGACCCTGTCAAAAAGAAAGAAAGAGAGAGAAAGAGAAAGAAAGAAAGAAAGAAAGAAAGAAAGAAAGGAAGGAAGGAAAAGAGAAAATATTTAATACATTCAAATAATACTAGTAGTTAACATAGTCAGTTACATGTGGTAAACTAGCCATTCATTAAATTGATTTTCAGGAAATCAGCTGCCTTCTAAGAGAGGAACAGTTCCCGGCCCACCTGCAATTTCACACTCCTCTTTTAGTTAGAAGGACACTGGGAAAGAGAGAGGCCCCACAAATGGTGAGAGACATCTCTGAATGAAGATGGGAACCAACAATGATCTTCTAAAGAGTGGGCAAGGCAGGGATAAGGGTCAGAGAAGGAGGAAAAGATGTGGGTATTCTCATTCAGGCCTGACCTCACCACAAGTGGACTAATTTTGTGCAGTGATATGGCTTGGCTCTGTCCCCACAGAAATCTCGACTTGAATTGTAGCTCCCACAATTCCCCTCATGCTGTGGGGAGTTTTTCTCTTTTCGCCAATCATCTTTCTCTTGCTATTCTCATGACTGTGAATAAGTCTCATGAGATTTGATGGGTTTATCAGGGGTTTCCGCTTTTGCTTCTTTCTCATTTTCTCTTGCCGCCACTGTGTAAGAAGTGCCTTTTGTCTCCCTCCGTGATTCTGAGGCCTCCCCAGCCATGTGGAACTGTAAGTCCAATTAAACCTCTTTTTCTTCCCAGTCTTGGGTATGTCTTTATCAGCAGCGTGAAAACAGACTAATACATGCAGTAATTGAGAAAGCTCACTGGGGTGAGGGCACTCGAGCAGGGGGAGCAAGGAGAGAGATCCGTGGGCTGGAGAGAAGCCAAGGAAGAGGATTTGGGTGGATGATTGAGCAAAGAGCGAGGTTTTAAGAGACAGAGAGATTGGGTGTTTTAGCCCCCTCGTGAGTGTTCCTCTCCTTCTGTTGGAGGACCTTCTCTTGGTCCTTACCAAATGTCCTCTACCCTCTGACACCCAGCTCTCCTCTTGCCAAGCATCATCCCCCAGGCAGGCCTGGCCTATGCCCTCCTTGGTCATCCTGACTTTACTGTGGCCACCTGTGGGAAGGAAGGCCGAGGCCCTCCCTGAGCACTGAAACACCGGGTGGAGGATGGTTTTCAACTAGGCTCCACATCAGAAAGCAGTGCACTCACGCTGACAGGCTTGATCCCCTGTGGCTGCTCGACTCTGGGCTCTGGTCCAAAGCTGAGAGCCCCCCTTCCCCTCATGACAGCCTCTTCTGCCCTGCCCGGCCACTCCTTTGAGTGACAGGGGGTAATTGAGAAGCTGCTCCTCCCTCCAGGAAGGAAGACCCGGAGCTCTGGCTTCCCTCGGCAAAGCACATATAAACCCACAGCCACTGCGGGTGGAAGGAGAAGGGCAGGGTGGAAAAAGTTTGAGAGAAGGAGGGAGGAAAAGGTGTCCTGGCTAGCACCATGTGGATTCTCTTGAGATGAGAAGAAAATGCCCCGCTACGTCCCCCTTCTGCTGCTCCTGCTTCTCCTGAGGTGTTCAGAACGGGGTGGAGGAGTTAATTTTGGTGAGAAGGATGCAAAAGTCCCCGGGACCTGGAGAGATGGAGTCAGGGTCCCTGGAGAAGGAGCCTCTTGGGACTCAGACAGGGCCAGTCCCGAGCGAAGGTACGGAATAGGTGAGTGAACCTTGGGAACTCCGGACCCTGTTATCTACCCTCAATCACCTGCCACAGGGAAGCAGGGACCCCAGCGTCTTTCTCATATCCCCTTTTAAGGAAATGCTCTGCTTTTGATTTTGTGCATTTTATTTAAGTTTCTTTGTTTCAACTTTCCTGGAGAAATGAAAAATTTGGCACTCCTCTAATCCCAGCGCTTTGGGAGGATGAGAAGGAGTGGGATCCCTTGAGCCCAGGAGTTTGAGACAAGCCTGGGCGACATAGTGAGACACCATCTCTACAAAAACCAAAAAAATCAGCCAGGCGTGGTAGCCCATGCCTGTAGTCTAATCTACTCGGGAGGCTGAGGTGGGAGGATCACTTGAGGCCAGGAGGCCAAGGCTGCATTGAGCCATGATTGTGCTACTGAACTCTAGCCTGAATCACAGAACAAGACCCTGTGTCAAAAGAGAGAAAGAAAAAGAGAAAGAAAAGAAAGAAACGGTCAGGTGCAGTGGCTCATGCCTGTAATCTTAGCACTTTGGGAGGCTGAGGCGGGTGGGTCATCTGAGGTCAGGTGTTTGAGACCAGCCTGGCCAGCATGGTGAAACCCAGTCTCTAGTAAAAATACAAAAATTAGCTGGGTCTGGTGGCGCACGCCTGTAATCCCAAATACTTGAGAAGCTGAGGCAGGAGAATCGCTTGAACCTGGGAGGTGGAGGTTGCAGTGAGTGGAGATCGCGCTATTGCATTCCAGCCTGGATGACAGAGGGAGACTCCGTCTCAAAGAAAAAAAAAAAAAAGAGAGAGAGAGAGGGAAAGGAAGGAAGGAAGGAAGGAAGGAAGACTTGAACCCTATTAGAAAAATGTGGAGCGTCAGCAGTAGGGAGGGATGACTAGATTTGGGCAGAGTACCAAAAGTTCAAAATTTATGCCATGTAAGCTACATGTATTCCTAAGAATAAGAATACTCCCAAGTCCTGACGGCTGCCTGGGGCAGTGAGGGCTGGAGACGAAGAGGACTCATCTCTTCTTTGTACTTATACCTGACTCAGTGTTGCCCTCAGTCCAACTAGATCACACCCACACCCCTCATGACTCCTCCCCTAAGCCTGCCCCCATACCACCTTGAATCTTCCCTGCCTCCAAGCCTACCACGTTAGCCCCAGATCTGACCCAGAAGCTGTCTCATGCTTTTTTTTTCCTTTTTTGAGATGGAGCACCTGGCCAGCTGTCTCATTTTAAATCATATACCAAGCATGACCTGAGTGTAATCTCTAACATGAATCACAGCTTCTGCCTCATTGGTTTGCCAGAACCGCAGGCACAAATGGATGAGAGGAGACACCTATGAACATGGAGCCAGAATACCCCAATTGCTGAAACACCAGTTCAGAGAGGAGTGAGCTTGAGAAAGAGTCAGGTTTAGTGTCCCACGGAAAGAGACCAGACCTGGAAAAGACAGAGTCAAAGCTGGGTGAGCAGGCCTTCGAAGGGCGTGGCTCAGCAAAGATAATCCATATTGTAGTGCAAGAGGATTCTTTGTGGAATATGTTTTACCAGAATTAAACCAAAAATGCCAAATGATCCCTAACTGGAATAAATCTCACCACATTACCTGGGGAGAGGTGTCATTTGGATGTGAGGATAGTTATGAAAATACTGAGCAGAGCAGATGAGGATAGGCCATCAACAATTCACATTAAATGAGATTACTTTTTAGTAGGACTAAGCCAAAGCATTTCCACTAAGCACCCAGAGACCAGCCCTAAAGACTCAAGAATAAGAGAAAATGATGTAACTGCAGATGGAAGGACCACTGAGGACCACATCACTGCAGACCCAGGGACCACCGAGGACTCTGTCACTGCAGACCCAGGGACCACTGAGGACAATGTGACTGTGGACCCAGGGACCACCGAGGGCTCTGTCACTGCAGACCCAGCGACCACCAAGGACTATGTGTCTGCAGACCCAGGGACCACCAAGGATTCTGTCACTGCAGACCCAGGGACCACTCACTGAGAACTTTGTCACTGCAGACCCAGGGACCACCAAGGACTCCATCACTGCAGACCCAAGGACCACAGAGGACTCCGTCACTGCAGACCCAGGGACCACCAAACACTCCATCACTGTAGACCCAGGGACCACTGAGGACTCTGTCACTGCAGACCCAGGGACCACCAAACACTCCATCACTGCAGACCCAGGGACCACCGAGGACTCCGTCACTGCAGACCCAGGGACCACAGAAGATGAAACCACTAAACATGGTGACACTCACCTTCTGTGAACTACTTCAGTCACAGCAGTGAAACCCACCAGGCTCCTGACACCCATGGGAATTATCCTCATATCCCTGGCTGCAACCACAGTCACTGTTGTGCTCTTTGTTGGATTGGGCTTCATTGTGGTGAGTATTTGGTCTGGGAATATTCAGGGCATCAGGGGAACGAGGCCAACTGAGGATAAGCGGTGGGCATGGAGAGCTGAGGTACAGAGGCCCAAGAAATCGTCAGGCATGAGGAAGCCTACATAGAGAGAGCTCTGCAAAGACTCCTGGAAAGACAGAGGTGGAGAGAAAGGAAAAGAGCACCTGGCACAAAAGATGCAGAAAGCATTGGGGACAGAGGAAGCTGTGAGAGACAGGAAGGAGAGAAAGGGAAGAGAGGCTGAGAGTGAGAAACATAAGAACACAAACATGGTAAGACACAGCGGGAGTCAGGGCAAAGCATGAACCGTTAGGTACAGATGGATGTAAAAGAGGAAATTTTCCTAAGAAGACAAGGAACTGGGGACCAGAGGAGTGGATGAATTAGAAACATTCTGGGTGGTCCACTCATATCAGAAATTACATATTCTTGTGTTAATTACTACCTACTCTGAAGTTCTGAAGAAGATTTTTTTAAAACCAAAATTGAGTGGGTTTTTATGAGCCACCACTACCCTGCACCAAAGAGACAGTTTGTACCAGCTCTCAAAGAGGAGCTCTGGGTATTTTTCTGTCTCTGAGGGTCCCTGTTGTTTCTACAAGAGGAGACAAAAGAATTCCATGCCAGCCCTGCATGTTTCATCTCACCAAACTCCCAGCTGGAATCATCCCAAAAGCAGCAGCAGGGAAATTCCCACAGGGAGTGGCCCAAACCCTCCAGAGATGGGGCCAATTGGGATTCCAAAGAAAGAAGCCCAGATGTCAGGGTGATCAATTCAAAGCATTTATTAGGGGAACTTACAGAGGACTGCAGCAATCCTCCCTGCCGACAGGGAGGGAAAAGGGATGTTCTGCCTAAGCATGTCTGTAGCAAGGGGGTCAGGGTATGGAGTTTATATGAGGGTTTAGGGAATTTGACTCAGGGCTGGAGCCAGTTTCTTTCAACGTTTTGGGCAACAACCTAGATACCTTTATTAGTGCCTGGGAGTGTTCAAGGCCCTGGTTTGCGTTCAAGCCTGCTGGGGAAAACCTGCAGCTGGCTGGGTCACAGAACGGTCAAGGCAATCTGTGATTTTTGGTCAGTCTGATCAGAAAGAAAAGGAGGTGATCTGGGGGACCCCACATTGTGGCTTCCTCTCGCTAACATTTGATCTAAAACCCAAGCCTCCTGCTTCTGGCCTGCTGCTTGAGGGGGAAGGGCTGGTCCTTTTTGGCCATCCTGACCTACGGATTAAGTGCATGTCGAAATTTTAACAAGTGGCGGCTTGCAGGATTAGCCAACTCGGGCAGGTCATTAAAGCCTCGTTAATTCTTGCGGTCATTGATGCCATTGTGCACTGACCCCTGCTCCAAGATGCAAATCCACAGCTTTGGATCAGTTTGTAAGTGTGAGTAAAGCCGAAAGTAATGCATGATACAGATGAGGTGTTCACATTTAATTCTGCTAAAATGACACCATGAAACTAGAGCATTCTGAAGGATGCTGACAAGAGGAAAATGGAATGAAAGCGTCCATATGTACCTGACTCATGCATGAGTCATGTTCAGTATTCACCAGTAGAGGGAGGACCTTCTGGACTTCGCTGTTACCATAAACAATTGGATTTCTGATCATGTGGATCACCATGAAAAGTTGGACACTCTTGCTCTAGAACAAAAGATGCTTTCCTTCCTCCAAACCAGGCATTGGCCCAGAGAGGTCACTAGCATTAGCACCTTCTTAATTTCATGTAGAGACTAAAAACAAGAGATGGCTCAAAAGGCTCAGGGTGTGGGAAGTAAGAGGAAAGTCTATGCTCCCAAACTTGCTAAATTTTTGACTTTTAAACCTTTAACTCGAAAAGTTTTAAAAATAAGAACTATATTACCATTCCTCCCAAGTTTCATTTGTCAAAATGCTTTTTTCTTTAAACTTTAATGGTTTAAGTTTTTTTTAAGTTGTTTTAAAAAAAACAAAAAAGGTTTAAGTTTTTTTTGGCAGGGTGCGGTGGCTCACGCCTGTAATCCCAGCACTTTGGGAGGCCGAGGTGGGTGGATCACGAGGTCAGGACTTTAAGGCCAGCCTGGCCAATATGGTGAAACCCCATCTCTACTAAAACTACAAAAAAGTTAGCCAGCCATAGTGGTGGGCACCTGTAATCCCAGCTACTTGAGAGACTGAGGCAGAGAATTGCTTGAACCCGGGAGGCAGAGGTTGCAGTGAGCTGAGATCGTGCCATTGCACTCCAGCGTGGGCAACAGAGCGAGACTCCATCTAAAAAAAAAAAAAAACAAAAGGCTTTTTTTTCCCCCTAAATGTCGTCCACATTTTTGGCAAGTATTGATCTCTAGTAGTCAGTGTCAGGATCTGAAGAAAACAGTGACATCTAGCAGACTCCCAGAGCCAGGGAAACAGGCTGGGCAGAAGTGATAAATTACAAACCACCAGGGTTAAGAGAAGAACAGAGTGTTAAAACCAAACCATTTTCTTCCTCCCTAGAAAGAGTGTTTCCTGCCTCCATTAAATCCATCCACCAGGGTTATTTATCATCCCCATGTCATGGACTACAGTACACCATAAAGAGGACCCCAGCAGTGACTACAGTTGGTTCTAGAAAAAGGAGACCCCTCATCCGCCTCTGCAAGACTATGCAGCATGATGTGTATCCTCAGGCCTCCACTCCTCCGCCCTAGTCTGGAGCCCTGGGACCACCACATGAGGAAGGCAGCTGGCCCCTGGAATAAGCATGTGGAGGACACTCAGAAGGATGCCCATCTGCTCTGAGTGTCTCCTAATTCTGCCTGACCTTGGTTACTTCCTCTGGACAATCGCCTTTACCTATCTACCAGGTTTTGAGGAATTACACACAGCTCAGGTATAAGAGATATTCGGTAAGTCTGATCAAATCAATAAAGCAAATTTTATCTGTTTTTGTCTGGGACATATCTCTACATTCATTCATTTAACCAAAAAAAAAAAAAATGTTTTTTTTGAGACGAAGTTTTGCTCTTTTGCCCCGGCTGGAGTGAAGTGGCGCGATCTCAGCTCACTGCAACCTCTGCCCCCCAGGTTCAAGTGATTCTCCTGCCTCAGCCTCCCTAGTAGCTGGGATTACAGGCGCATGCCACCACGCCTGGCTAATTTTTGTATTTATAGTAGAGACAAGGGTTTCACCATGTTGGCCAGGCTGGTCCCGAACTCTTGACCTCAGGTGATCCACCCGCCTTGGCCTCCCAAAGTGCTAGGATTACAGGCATGAGCCACCGCACCTGGCCTTAACAAAATATTTATTCAGTGCCTAGCATGAGCTCAACACTCTACGTCTCCCAGTCTGTCTATCTCAGTCTACCTGTAAGCTGAAGGATACAACTTATCTCTTAAGAGGACTATGCCCGCGTTCTCCTACCACCCAGGCCAAAGGGTCACATTTACAGGATGTAGTCAACTGGTCATTCAGCAAGTATGTATGAGCACCTGTGTGGGACTGGCCACCGTAGCAAATAAATGAGTCTCATCTTAGTCAATCGCGGTGTGAAATGAGGACACGAAGTCCAGACCTAACCTCTAAGAGAAAAGCCCTGCCTGATAGAAGAAGAGATTTGTCCTTACTTAATGCAAATGCACCATATTCATGCACCTATGAATGATGGCTAAGACCACAGACAAGGCCGGGGCATTGGATATAACAGCTCTGTGAGGAGCTCAGGACAAAAACCAAAGAATCAAAGATATGTGAAGACAGTTGATTATTGTTTGCTCACTACTGATGCCACTATGAGCAGCATCACCACCAGTGTTAAATAATGGAATTGTAGTATTATGATACAGAGTCGGAAACACGGAATAATAAATTAAAATACTAAAGTGAAAAAATTGGATTGATTAAATAAATATTAAACCAATATTTCTCAGACTTATGTGATAAACACCTTTAAAGGAAAAGATACATATATATTTTTGAGACAGAGTCTCATTCTGTTGCCCAGGTTGGAGTCCAGTGGTGCGATCTTGGCTCACTGCAACCTCCACTTCCTGGGTTCAAGCGATTCTCCTTCCTCAGCCTCCGAGTAGCTGGGATTACAGGCGTGCACCACCATGCCTGGCTAATTTTTGTATTTTTAGTAGAGATGGAGTTTCACCATGTTGCCCAGGCTGGTCTTGAACTCCTGACCTCAGGTGATCCACCCGCCTTGGCCTCCCAAAGTGCTGGGATTACAGTGTGGGCCACCGTGCCTGGCTGGAAAAGAGATTTTTTGAGAACTCGCCATGTTGGCTTAAACGTAAATATATATGAAACAGAAAATGAAGTATAAACTCCTTATGCTTATAGCTCTACTGTTCCAATAACGTTAGAAGTAACAGCAGTAGTTTAATGTAATGCATGATATTTCTTTACTGAAGAATTCTTCGCTCCAACATTAATATTGTAGTGATTGCTACAGCCTAGTTTCTCAAATCTCATTTGCCACTTGATGTTTTCCTTCTTTCATGGATCGTCTCTGTACAAGCTCTCTCAAGACCTTCAGTCTCTCAGTCAGCTGCGGGATTATTGGGCCCTTAATGCAAATGCACCGTTTAAATTTTAAGACAGTTCTCGTTCTACTCTTGTTAGGCTGTGCAATTGTAAAGACTAATCATTTCTATTAGCTTTATGTTGGTTTTATATTGGTCATCAATAGAATCCAGGAAATGCTTATATTATGGGGATTTTCAAGATTATTACCTGAAGGAAAACGTGACAGAAACAGCTCTAGTCTCCCCTTCCCTTACACTTGGAGAACCTGAGTTTTGGGGGTGATGGTAATGTGCCCAGCTGAAGAAAACCATTTCCCAAATCCCCAATTTCCCGGTCCCCCTTGCAGCCAGTGCAGTGAGGAGATACAGCTCTGGCCAATGTGATAAAGGCATAAGTTCCTGGGGATGGTGTCCCTTCCAGATGAAAAGGCCAAAGCTCATGAGGAGAAAGCCCTTTGCCCCTTCCCCTTCGTTCCTCTTCCTACCTGGAATGCAGATATGAGACCTGGGGCTCAGCAATGCTGAGGTCAGGGGGAGACCCACAGCAGGGTGAAGGCTTCAAGCTGAGAGTGGAGCAGAGGGAAGAAATCACTTGGGTGCCCGATGGCAATACTGAGCCCTGGGCTGCTCCTCTCGGACATTTCGTATATGAGATGAGCAGTGTGCCGGAGCTCAGTGAGGTGAGCTTCTTGTGATTCCAGCTAAATGGGATCCTAAATGATATGACACATAAACATCATCTAGAACATGCAGACTTCTGCGAATATCTCCATGACACATTTGGGAAGACACAGTGCTCAGGATTTTAAGAATGTGGGAGCTACACATAGTGGGGAATGGGAGAATAATAAAATGATCTCCCTCTTCTGCCCCCATGGAGGCAGCAAGTGGCCAAGGGAGAATTTTGTGATTAGAGATACTTGCATGAATATCAGTTTATTGCAGGAAAAAAGAGTGACAGAAGAGTCTCTTGGTTAATATACAGGCAGGAAAAGTCCAATGTGTTTCTATAAAATCTTCCTCCTGAAGTTCAGGCTGGGGTTTGGGGCTGGGCATTTGTCAAAGGGTATTGGCAAGCACAAGGAATTCCAGAATCTGCCTTGGTCTTCAAGGGGGCAGAACTTTTGGTCTCGGTACAAGCTAGGTTTGTGCAATAAACAAAGGAATTGCTAGAGCTACAAATTCTAGCTGAGAAGTCTGTGTGCTTGAGTTTCTGCACCTCAAGGACAACTTAGAGCAATTGAAGAGACCATGAAATCTCTGTAAATGGCATAGAAACTTTAGCATGCAAAAGCATGCATGCAAAAACGCTAGCATATCAAAAGCTTTTCTTTTCTTTCAATCAAGTTAATTTCTGGCCAGGCAGGATGACACACCTGTAATCGCAGCACTTTGGCAGACCGAGGTAGGAAGATCACTTGAGCTCAGAAGATCTACACCAGCCTGGGCAACATGGTGAGACCTTGTCTCTACTAAAAATAAAAAAAAAATTAGCCGAGTGTGGTGGCACATGCCTGTAGGCTCAGATACTTGGGAGGCTAAGGCAAGAGGCTCGCTTGAGCCCAGGAGGTGGAGGCTGCAGTGAGCCATGACTGTGCCACTGTACTCCAGCCCGGGCGACAGAGCAAGATCCTGTCTCAAAAAAAAAAGAAAAAAAGAAAGAAAGAAAGAAAAAGGCTGGGCACAGTGGCTCACGCTTGTAATCCCAACACTTTGGGAGGCTGAGGCAGGAGGATTGCTTGAGGCCTGGAGTTCAAGACCAGCCTGGGCAACATAGTGAGACCTCGTCTCTACAAAAAAATTAAAAATTAGCTGGGTATGGTAGTGTATGCCTGTAGTCCCAGCTACTTGGGAGGCTGAGGTGAGAGGATTGCTTGAGCCCAGGAGGTCGAGGCAGCAGTGAGCTGTGATCATGTCACTGCCCTCCATCTTGGGCAACAGAGAGAGACCTTGTCTCGAAGAGAAAAATAAAAGAAAGAAAATGTTAATTTCTGCTCCTGTCAGATTAGAGGGAAATTCAATCTCAGTCTTTTTGCTGCTCTCCAAAGATCCCAGAGTTGTACATAGGATTGAAGCATAAGGAACATCCTTAAAGTCAGTAGCAACTGGCCTGTACTAATTATTCCCAGGATACGCATATCCCTTTGTGGCAGCAGTTCTGCCAGAGGCACAGGGGCTTTACCCAGTCAGTCTCCTTCAACTTGCCACGTAGCTTTCTCCAGAATAAGTCCACCCCCTCAGGGTGCTACCGTGAAGGAGAGTATGGTTTTGGCATTTGAGAGCCCAGAGAGATATACATGAAGATCTGGTCTCTGGAGAGTATTGAAGGTAGAAAAGACAAGGAGAAGATGCTGCAGAACACCCATAAGGGAAGAAAAAAAAAATGAAGCCTCAATGAATAAGGGAAATACCTTTCTAACCACTCCTGGGACCTGAACTACAAGATTTGGTAGTTGACTCTCAAACCATAATATACTCATACTCAGATGACACTTATAAGTTGTCGCACATATCTGTGCATTCCATGCCTTTGGTAAATGCATACAGTTAATCATACAGCTAATCCTCCTTTTCTCTTTATGAAGTCCAGTGTTTAAAGGACCTCTTCAGGTGTCATCAAGGAGTCATACCAGGTCCAGCTGAACCCAACTTGCACAAGTCCAGATTGAGGACACCAGGCAAGTAAGCACACCCCTCTAGATTGTGCCTGAACAGGATTTATGCCTTTTGGGGAGTGTCACCTCTCATTAAAACGTCTGCGAATGCACACTCTGGTCCAGTCCCCTGTCTTTCTAAACAAGAATGTTTGGTGAAGCAACAGTGATTCAACACTCTCCCTTAGCGAGGTATTGTTTGACACCTTAGAAAACACGTAGTTATTTTTCAGATCTATTCAGGACCTTTCTTGTGATTCATCTAAAACAAACCCCTCTCTTCAGTCTCTACAGATTACCATATTTATTTTCTTTATGGAGCTGACGACAATCTGAACTTATGCTTATTTACGTGTTAACTTATTTGTTTTATGTCTGTCTCCTTCCACTAGAATGTCAGTTCCTTGAGAATAGGGGTTTTGAGGACAATATATGAGATAGATTAGATATTTAATAATCATATGCTTCATTGAGCCTCTGATGCACATCTTCCCCATTGGATCGTAATCTAAAATTGAGATGTCGGATGGGCGTAGTGGCTCACACCTGTAACCCCAGCACTTTGGGAGGCTGAGGCAGGTGGATCACTTGACGTCAGGAGTTGGAGACCAGCCTGGCCAACATAGTGAAACCCCGTCTCTACTAAAAATACAAAAATTAGCTGGGCGCTGGTGGCACACACCTGTAGTCCCAGCTACTCAGGAGGCTGAGGCAAGAGAATCACTTGAACCTGGGAGGTGGAGGTTGCAGTGAGCCGAGATTGCACCACTGCACTCCAGCCTGGGTGACAGAGTGAGATGCTGTCTTAAAAAAATAATAATAAAAATAAAATGGAGATGTCCACTGGCTGCAGTGGTTCAGGCCTGTAATCCCAGGACTTTTGGAGGACAAGGTGGGAGGATTGCCCAGAGCTAGGAGTTAGAGACCTGCCTGGGCAACATCGCAAGACACTGCCTAAAAAAAAAAACCAAGAAACGTTTAAAAATGGAAAAGTGTCTTACACTTGATAGCACATCATGAACCAGTCAGTAGCACTCTTTCTTCCTTAGTGGGGCATAAGTAATGCTGCATCTTGCATTCAACGTCATCTTAGATGGGATGAAATACACATTTTGGAATAAACGAATAAATGTATGCTTTCTTTTGGTGCTATTTCTTCTGTTTTGGTCTTATTTGTAAACACAAGGAAATTAGGATTCCTTTTTTTTTTTTTTTGAGACAGAGTCTCACTCTGTCACCCAGGCTGGATTGCAATGGTGTGGTCTCAGCTCACTGCAACCTCCGCCTCCCAGGCTCAAGCAATTCTCCTGCCTCAGCCTCCTGAGTAGCTGGGACTACAGGCGCGTGCCACCACACCCGGCTAATTTTTGTATTTTTAGTAGAGACAGGGTTTCACTATGATGGCCAGGCTGATCTCGAACTCCTGACCTTGTGATCCACCCACCTTGGCCTCCCAGAGTGCTGGGATTACAGGTATGAGCCACTGCACCTGGCCTAGGATTCCTTTAGTAACTGTCTAGTATGGTGCTGGGAATTCTTTTGGGAACAGAGGCAGCCAACCAACAGAAGTGAATGACATAGTTCTTACCCTCAAGGACAAGAAAACCAGCAATTACAGTGCAACATGCTAAGTGCTACAATAAAGGAATGCTTTCGGGCAGAGTCCAGAGAAGGGATCTCATTCAGCCTGTGCAGATCCTGGAAAGCTTCCCAAGGGATAGGGTAACTGACCGGAGACTTGTGACATATTTGTGGGGCACTTTGAGCTGCTGTCACATATGTGGATTCTTTTGATCTTCACATCACCTCTGTGAGGTAGGAGAACCATCCTGTCTTAGAAATGCAAAGACTGAAGTTCAGAGAAGTTAAATAAATTGTCCCCAAACCTCCTTAACGGTAAGTGGCAGGGAGGGGTGGGGGGTGAGGGAGTTAAACTCAGGTTTCCTGGCTCCAGGATTACTCACTTTTTATCTCATTTGGACTGAATCTCAAGTGATGAACTGTTCTGCACTGTCTCTACAAAAATCACTCACAGGTATGAACACTTTTATCCTTCAGTCTTCTCTTCTTTAGGCTTGCAATGGCAGGCTCTCGGATCTTTCCTCCAATCTGTATTGGGTTTTGAGCCAAGCAAGAAAAACCAGACACAGTCCCTATTCTTGAGGAGCCCCCAGTCTGAAAACAAGTCGTGGATACACAGAAAAAACATTCTTGTGTGTGTGATGGATGGTAGGGAACGTGTCATCAATTGTGACATTTATGGCATTTATTTGCCTTTACTAGTGAGTTCTGCTTTTTAAGATGTTTGCGACTTCTCAGGCCTCACCCTCAAAAGAATTTGAAAATTGAACACAAGCAGAGATGTTTTGTTTTCAACTCAGGACCTCACCCAGAGTTTTTTAGGCAGCAACCCTGAACCAAGTTGGCCTCGAGGTATTCGTGAGTTTCCATACCCAGAAGACTTTTTCAGCTTCTACCTTCTACCCATGAAAGGAGGTGGCATGGATGTTTCCTTTTTCTTTTTCTTTTTTTTTTTTTTTAGTATTTATTGATCATTCTTGGGTGTTTCTCGGAGAGGGGGATTTGGCAGGGTCATAGGACAATAGTGGAGGGAAGGTCAGCAGATAAACAAGTGAACAAGGGTCTCTGGTTTTCCTAGGCAGAGGACCCCGCGGCCTTCCGCAGTGTTTGTGTCCCTGGGTACTTGAGATTAGGGAGTGGTGATGACTCTTAACGAGCACGCTGCCTTCAAGCATCTGTTTAACAAAGCACATGGTGCACCGCCCTTAATCCATTTAACCCTGAGTGGACACAGCACATGTTTCAGAGAGCACGGGGTTGGGGGTAAGGTTATAGATTAACAGCATCCCAAGGCAGAAGAATTTTTCTTAGTACAGAACAAAATGGAGTCTCCCCTGTCTACTTCCCTCTACACAGACACAGCAACAATCTGATTTCTCTATCTTTTCCCCACATTTCCCCCTTTCTATTCGACAAAACCGCCATCGTCATCATGGCCGGTTCTCAATGAGCTGTTGGGTTCACCTCCCAGACGGGGTGGCTGCCGGGCAGAGGGGCTCCTCACTTCCCAGTCGGGGCTGCCGGGCGGAGGTGCCCCTCACCTCCCGGACAGGGCGGCTGGCCGGGCGGGGGCTGCCCCCCCACCTCCCTCCCTGACGGGGCGGCTGCCGGGCGGAGATGCTCCTCACTTCCCAGACGGGGCGGCTGCCGGGCGGAGGGGCTCTTCACTTCTCAGACGGGGCGGCCGGGCAGAGACGCTCCTCACCTCCCAGACGGGGTCGCGGCTGGGCAGAGGCGCTCCTCACATCCCAGACGGGGCGGCGGGGCAGAGGCGCTCCCCACATCTCAGACGATGGGCGGCCCGGCAGAGATGCTCCTCACTTCCTAGATGGGATGGCGGCCGGGAAGAGGCGCTCCTCACTTCCCAGACTGGGCGGCCAGGCAGAGGGGCTCCTCACATCCCAGACAATGGGCGGCCAGGCAGAGACGCTCCTCACTTCCCAGACGGGGTGGCATCCGGGCAGAGGCTGCAATCTCGGCACTTTGGGAGGCCAAGGCAGGCAGCTGGAAGGTGGAGGTTGTAGCCAGCCGAGATCACGCCACTGCACTCCAGCCTGGGCAACATTGAGCACTGAGTGATTGAGACTCCGTCTGCAATCCCAGCACCTCGGGAGGCCGAGGCTGGCAGATCACTCGCGGTTAGGAGCTGGAGACCAGCCCGGCCAACACAGCGAAACCCCGTCTCCACCAAAAAAATACGAAAACCAATCAGGCGTGGCGGCGCGCGCCTGCAATCCTAGGCACTGGGCAGGCTGAGACAGGAGAATCAGGCAGGGAGGTTGCAGTGAGCTGAGATGGTGGCAGTACAGTCCAGCTTCGGCTCGGCATCAGAGGGAGACCGTGGAGAGAGAGGGAGAGGGAGAGGGAGAGGGAGACAGTGGGGAAAGGGAGAGGGAGACCGTGGGGAGAGGGAGGGGGAGAGGGAGACCGCGGGGAGAGGGAGAGGGAGAGGGAGGGGGAGAGGGAGACCGTGGGGAGAGGGAGAGGGAGGGGGAGAGGGAGACCGTGGGGAGAGGGAGAGGGAGAGGGAGGAGAGGGAGAGGGAGGGGAGGGAGAGGGAGGAGAGGGAGGAGAGGGAGAGGGAGGAGAGGGAGAGGGAGGAGAGGGAGAGGGGGAGGGGGAGGAGAGGGAGGGGGAGGGGGAGGGAGAGGGAGAGGGAGGAGACTGGATGTTTCCTTTGATCATCTATCACATCTTTGCAGAGGACATATAAGCCTGTGCATGGCTATGAGAACACAGTGGAGAGCCATGTAAATAGCTTTTGCCTTCAAGGTGCCTGGCAGAAGCGAATGAATATTGCTGTCATGTACATGCAAACGTTGTGAAATGCTTCAATGTTCCACATCTTCTTTGGAGACCTTTAAGAAATTCATGGAACTTTCAGCAGTGATATTTACCACCAACAATGTAATCAAATGGGGCAGCAAGCAAAATGAGCTACTACTAATGCACCATGGAGCAGAGGAATTTTCTCTTGCGCTAACACCACAACAGACCCATTCTTTCATTTGGATTAGTATTCACTACTTGTGCTTAGTTGCTTGCAGTGGATACCCAATTTGTGAAGTGAGCTGAGGTATAATGCAGTATTGTATACTGGAACACAGGGGCTGCAAAAGCAGAACTCACTAACAAAGTCAAATGCCATGAACGTCACAATTGATGAAAACTGGCCATTTGAAAAATCTAGATATGATAAAATTGTTAAATTGATGAGGATGAAGATTGGATTATAGTATATATTCAGCATGCAAAAACAGATAATCAGGGGAAATGCAGTGACAGTCAAAGCAACTATGGAAACAATATCCATGGCAACAAATGGCCTGGTCGGAAGAGAGGCCCAAAGACTGCCTGTGTCTTCCTGATGAAATGTCTGGTAGCCCCCTAGTGGCAATGACCGGGTAGTGGCCCTCTGCGAGATGGGCGCCTCTCTGGAGATTGAGCGCCACTTCTGAGGGCCTGGAGAAGTTGACTTGTTTTGCATCCCACGGGGTCACCCCCACCTCCCCCTTTCCTTGCACTCACTGACATGAGACACAACGTATGTCCACAAACAACTGCTGCTCCTCATTGCATCTAAAGCTCCGTTGCCGGAAAACATACCATTATTTCATGCAGCACTAAGAGGAAAACACAGCGGGTTAAACTATGACACGCCATTGATTGTAAGACGCATCCCTATTCAAGAGATGATAAATGGGAAAATAAATATATGTCTTACAACCTATAAAATATAAATGACTTTCGGCATTTATATTATATTACAGGGTGAGGTGGCTCACACCTGTAATCCCAGCACTTTGGGAGGCCGAGGCGAGTGGTTTGCTTGAGCTCAGGAGTTGGAGACCAGCTCGGATAACATAGCAAGACTCTGTATTTAAAAAATATATATATATATATGTATATATATACACACACACATATATATAAATGACTTTCAGTGATTCATTTAACATTTTCAGATACTTGTTCCCTCACAAACTAAACAACTAAACCATTAATTAATTAATTCACTCATTCTACTCACATTTATTAAGTGTGGATTATTGGACAAGCACACTGACGTCAACACTGAGGATACAGCAGTGAGCTGGTGTCCTGTCTTTAGGGGGCTTTTGTTACAGTGACTTGGTTTCTGATTATCTTTGTCACACTGAATCTGTGAGTCAGTGAGTCCGTGACCCTAAGTGAGTTTCAGAGTGAAAACAGACACCAGATAAGAAGCCAGAAAACCTGGGTTCTAGTCTAGTTCTTCCCCTTAATAGTTTATTTAATCTGTCTCAACCTTATTTTATCTACTTATAGTCTATCACGGTTAAATTGAGAAATAGTTATATTTTTCTCATAGCAGAGTCTTTCAAACAATACGCAATGACAATCAAAATAGCAAAGTAGCTGTGGAAACAGTGTCCATGGCGACCAATGGTCCCATCTTTTCTTTCTTTTTTTCTTTCTTTCTTTCTTTCTTTCTTCTTCTTTTTCTTTCTTTTTCAAGGTCTCTGAGTTTCAAGTCAAGCCTAAAAAAAATTTTAAGTTTTTTTAATTTGCTGGAATGCAGTGGCATGATCATGGCTCATAGAAGCCTTAATCTCACTGGCTCAAGTAATCTTCTCACCTCAGCTTCCCAAATAGCTGGGATCATAGGCATGCACCACCATGCCCTGCTACGTTTTATTTTTATTTTTTCAATAAAGATTAGGTCTCACCATGTTGCCCAGGCTGGCCTTGAACTCCTGGACTCAAGGTATCTTCCAGCCTCAGCCTCCCAAAGTGCTGGGATTATAGGCATGAGCCACAGCACATGGACCTCATCTTTCTTTCATGTCACTAGATCAAGAAAGCTCCAGAGTTTTTCTTGTTCCCTTCAGGTGTCAAGCAATATCATTTTATGTATATAAACATCTAATTCAGAATAGTTTCACTCTTTTTTCCTATTGTCCTGCATAAAGCTTCCCCCTCCCCAGTGGACAGACTGCAATGGGCTGGCATCTGACATTTGTCTGCAGACCTCATGGTAGGAGACAGGCTGGTTTTCTGCCCTGGGAGTGGGAGTGTAGGAAAGGAGGAGGCACTGGGGACCTGTATCCCAGGTTTTCAGGGCAAGGCTGTGTAAGTATTTCCAGCAGACTAGTGTGAGGCATGCTAGGAAGCGAGCTGATGTGGAGCCGAGCTAATCCTGTCTGATGTGGCCACCTACAGGCATCAACAGGCCTCAGCAGAGAGAAGCTGAAGTGATTACTGCATTCCTATGAGCTGTGGGAGGAATAAATCGTGGAAAGAAATCCTCATTTGCAACTGTATGGCATTAGGGGTGAGGGGTCTCGGAAGAAGCACCCAAGGAGGAGGAATCCCCTGTAAGCCCCTACCAGTCCCAGAGAATGCAAAGCCCTCTTGCAAACCGTGCCTGCTCCACGCCCCAGACCACTCCTTCCCCCAACCCTTCCCCATTCTACTCAACCTTGGAGGGTTAGAAACCACCATTAGCAAGACAGGAGAAGAAGGATAGATGCATAATGTTGAGGACCTGTTTCCCCATTTCTCATCTTCCCATCCTTGCAAAGCCCTTGCTGGAGGAAAGGAGACTTACCTTTGGAACTAAACGTTGAGTTTCTGAATTGGCATTGTGTTTGGTAATATAAAATAACTACAGGACCTAAGAGAGATCAGAACAGTCTTAGTACTGTCCATATTTTCATCTTGGAATGGGGAAAACTGGCTCCACTGAGCAAGTTAAGGACGTCATAGACTGATCTGTAGATGTTCAATGAAATCTGTAATTCAAGACTAAATAACGTATTCTTGGCTGGGCACAGTGGCTCACGCCTGTAATCCCAGCACTTTGGGAGGCCGAGGAGGCGGGCGGAGGGCAGATCACCCGAGGGCAGGAGTTTGAGATCAGCCTGGCCAAAGTGGTGAAACCCCATCTCTATTAAAAATACAAAAATTAGCCAGGCGTGGTGGTGTGCACCTGTAATCTCAGCCACTCGGGAGGCTGAGGCAGGAGAATCACTTGAACCCACGAGACAGAGGTTACAGTGAGCCAAGATCATGCCACTGCACTCCAGCCTGGGCTACAAGAGCAAGACTCCATCTCAAGGAAAAAAAACTAATTAATAATAATAACTTATTCTTGAGACACATGCGATGCAAGACAAGTATTTATTGCTAGGATCTCCTCAGGTAAGCTGTGCAGTAAGTCTGTGCTGTCCTACATGGTAGCCATTAGCCACATGTAGCAACTGAGCACATGAAGTGTGGCTAGTCCAAATACAAATGTGCTCTTAAGTGCAAGACACACATGAGATTTCAAAGACTTAGTACAAAAACAGTAAAATATCTCACTAATAATTTTTATGTTTATTACTTGTCAAAATCACAATATTTTGGATATGCTGTGTTAAATAAAATTTACTATTAGAATTAATTTCACCTGTTGTTTTTTACCTTTTTGATGTGACTACTAGAACTTTGTAAATTACACGGAGCTCGCTTTCTGTGGACATGTAGTCTCTCTCACAGAGAAATACATGTATATTTCTGCTGGACATGTAGTCTCTCTCACAGGTCATAAGGCACTGAGGTCACAGGCCATAGGTTGGGATGTTTCTCCTCCAGAGAGTAGCTCATTCTCACTTTAAATCATCCTAAAGAACACAGGTACTGGTAGGTAGGTGGGCCGCAAGCTGGATTGAGTGGGGAAACTTCCTGCTGTCTTTGAACCAGAACAAGAACAGAGTTGGGAGCCTGTATTTTGCATAGTGAAGGCACACTCAAGGGAGCCACCTATCTTGGGGAGTTATGCTGGCCCCCAAAACTCAGAGCGTGCTAAAGGTGAGGCAGAGAAGCCTCCTGTAGCAAGTGCATACAGGGAGGGGCGTGGGCCTCTGAAATCTGAAAGCACCATGTCTCATTTCCAGTTTTAAGTGTACCTGGAATTCTCTTCTGTTATCCCTAGGTCTTTAGTGGAGCCTGATTAAACATGAGGCTGAGGGCAGCTGTGGGAGCTGAGGGTGGATTCTGTGCCCACTCGTGGCCCCCCCACTGGCCATGGCTTCCTCCCCAGCAGGCCTCGACAGCAGTCTCTGGAGCCTCTGGCCCAGCTTGCTGCGGGTCGCTGCTGTTCTCTTTGTGTCTCTTAGCCTGTGACTTCAATGCAGTCATCTCATTTCTGGGAATCTATCCAATTCTCAATTGTGTAAAAAGCTTTATAAACAAAAAAAGTGCATTACAGTTTACTATCTTAACAAAATATTGGAAGCAGCAGAAACATTTAGCAGTAAAAACTATAAATTATAGACTATGTACTTTGTGCATCATTGGGAAGCCACTTAAGTGACTTTTATTAAAACTTATATTAACAAAGAAGACAATAGTGTCATAATAATTTATTTAAAAAGAATTAAAGGCCAGGCACAGTGGCTCATGCTGTAATCCCAGCACTTTGGGAGGCCGAGGCTGGCGGATCACTTGAGGTCATGGCAAAACCCCATCTCTACTAAAAATACAAAAATTAGCCAGGCGTGGTTGGTGGGTGCCTGTAATTCCAGCTACTTGGGAGGCTGAGGCACGAGAATCTCTTGAACCCGGCAGGCAGAGGTTGCAGTGAACAGAGATCACGCCACTTTACTCCATCCTGGGTGACAGAACTAGACTGTCTCAAAAATAAATAAATAAATAAATATAAGGAATTAAGGAACACACAATTATATATGCAATTGGTGACAATAAAATACAACCCCTCAAAAAGAACAAAAACAAAAACCTAAACAACAACAACCACCTAGGTATAAAGAAAAGACTAGAAAAAAATGTTTTAAAATGAAACCATAACTGTATTAGGGTTCTCCAGAGAAACAGAACTAAAACCTCTCTCTCTCTGTCTCTCTCTCTCTCTCATATAGATGAGAAGACACACTCAAAGGAGCTCATATAGGTGAGAGAGAGATTTTAAGGAATTGGCTCACACGATTGTGGAGATTGGCAAGTCCAAAATTTGCAGGGAAAACTGGCAGGCTTGGAGACAAAAGTTAATGTCACAGTTCAGGCCTAAGGGCAACCTGGAGGCAGAATTCCCTCTTCCTTGGGGGATGTCAGACCCACTCACATACGGGAGGGTAATTTGCTTTATTCAAAGTCCATCCATTTAAATGTTGATTTCATCTACAAAATACCTTAGTAGAAACATCTAGAATAATGTTTGACCAAATATTTGGGTACCATGGCTTAAGCATACTGACACATGAAATTAACCTTTGGCTGGGCACAGCAGCTCATCCCTGTAATCTCAGCACTTTGGGAGGTTTAGATGGGTGGATTGCTTGAGCCCAGGAGTTCAAGACCAGCCTGGGGAATATAGTGAGACTCTGTCCCTACAAAAAACAACGAGAAAAAATTAGCTAGGCATGGTGGCGAGTGCCTGTGGTCCCAGCTGCTCGGGAGGCTGAGGTGGGAGGATCTCTTGAGCCTGAGAAGTTGAGGCTGCAGTGAGCCGTGATTGTGCCACTGCACTCCAGCCCGAGTGACAGAGTAAGACCATGCCTCAAAAAATTAATTAATTCATTAAATTTAATAAATATTTTTAAAAATTAACTTTCACAATGATCTAAGGCTTACTACTTTAGGATTTGCTTTTGAAATACTTTTCTGTGTTTTCCAAAATACATAAAATAATAAAGATGTACTTATGATGGAAAAGGCCTGTGTAAACACATTTTAAAACACAGCCTCCTTGGGGTAGCCCCAGAGTCCCAGGGCTCTCCATGGCCCCTTGGACACCTTTCACAGCATTCCTCACCTCTGTCTTCTACCATTATTATGCATGTCTGAATATGTCTTCCTTTGCTAAACATCAAACAGAGTTTTAGGACTGGGATTCTAGAAAGTGAGAGAAGGCAGGCGCAGAGGAGGCAGTGGGAGCCTGCCTGAGGGCATTAACGTCAGTCCTGGGCTATGTGCTGGCTCCTCAGGACCGCCCTTCTGAGGGGCACAGACACGTGAGTGGAGGGAGCTCATGTTCCAGTTTCTTTGCAAAAATCAACTTGATAAAGTTTTTCCTGTTTTGTTAAAATTGCCTAAAATTTTTTAGCAATACTTCATTTGATTTTCTCTAATGGTTTCTGTCATTTCTTTGAGTTTTAATTTATTGCTCATGCTTTAACATCCCAGTTTATGTCTTGCTTAATTTAATGTCCATATAGTTGACCCTTGAGCAACATGGATTTGAACTGCATAGGTCCACTTAGGTCCACTTATGCATGGGTTATTTTCAATCAAATGCAGATCACAAACACAGTAATGGTGACATGTGAAACCCATGTATACAAAGGCCCAACTTTACATATATTTGGGACCCAAAGGGCTGACTGTGGGACTTGAATATGTGTAGGTTTTGGTATACACAGGAGTCTTGGAACCAATCCCCCTCATATACCAAGGGACTACTGTATATCTGCTTTGTTTATTTCTTTTTTTTTTTTTTTGAGGTGGAGTCTCACTCTGTTGTCCAGGCTGGAGTGCAGTGGCGCCATCTCGGCTCACTGCAACCTCCGGCTCCCGGGTTCAAGTGATTCTCCTGCCTCAGACTCTCAAGCATCTGGGACTCCAGTCACCCGCCACGCCCAGCTAATTTTTTGTATTTTTAGTAGAGACGGGGATTCACCATGTCGGCCAGGTTGATCTCCAACTCCTGACCTCAAGTGATCCGCCAGCCTCAGCCTCCCAAAGTGCTGGGATTACAGTCGTGAGCCACGGTGGCCAGTCTCATTACCATTTGTTAAGAACTCATTTGGGCGGGCAACAGGTATACATCGCCTCATGAAAACTGAGTCACTCAGCCTGTGCTCCCACCTGGACAGAACACCATGCAGCCTCTGCTTAGAGATGCTCCACAGGAGCCAGTGTGGAAACACCAGGGCCAGGCATCCTTTAGAAAACCATTTTGGGATTGCTCCAGCTCATGAACCAGCAGTTAACTGAGTCACCAGCCATATCATAAAGCATGACTACAACTACGCAGGCCTGGTCCCTAACCCCATGTTGTTACAGCAAAATATAACCCATTCTTATTTCAGAAAAAGAAAAAAAGCTAGATGTGATGGCACATGCCTGTAGTCCTGGCTACTTGGGGGGCTGAGTCAGAGGATCAGTTGAGCCCAGGAGTTCAAGGTCACAGTCAGCTGATTGTACCACTGCACCCCAGCCTGGGCAACAGAGGGAGACCATCTCTAAATAAAATAAGACAAAAACAACAACAAAAAAAAAACAGAAGAAGAAAATATACCAAAATGTTAACAATGTCTTCTATCTTTATTTATTGGGGTTAGAAATTACTTTTGTTTTCTTATATTATGTATATTTTATTTCAAACCTGATAATTTTTTTTTCCTTTTTGAGACAGGATCTCGCTCTGTTGCCCAGGGTGGAGGGCAGTGGTGCGATCTCGGCTCATTGCAGCCTCAGCCTCCCAGGCTCAGGCAATCCTCCCACCTCAGCTCCCTGAGTAGCTGGGGCTACAAGAACACGCCACCATGCCTGGCTAATTTTGTTCGCTTTTTGTAGAGATGGAGATCTCACTACGTTGTCCAGGCTGGTTGCAAACTCCTGGACTCAAGCCCTCCTGCCTCGGCCTCCCAAAGTGCTGGGATTACAGGCGTGAGCCACCATGTCCAGCCAATGTTATTTAATTTATTTATTTTTATTTATTTATTTTTTTGAGACAGGGTCTCATTCTGTTGTCCAGACTAGAGTGCAGTGGTGCAATCATGGCTTATCGCAACCTCAACTTCCCTGGGCTGAGGTGATCCTCCTACCTTAGCCTCCCAAGCAGCTGGGACTACAGGTGTGAGCCACCACACCTGGCTAATTTTTGTATTTTTTGTAGAGATGGGGGTCTTACTATGTTGCTCAGGCTGGTCTTGAACTCCTGGACTCAAGTTATCCTCCCACCTCGGTGTCCCAAAGTGCTGGTATTACAGATGTGAGCCACCATGTCCAGCCTTATTTTTAAAAGAAGGAGAAAATTACTGAGCAAGAGAGTCTCTCTGCAGTTCTTAAGATTGCTGTCAGAACCACCTCAATACTCTTTCTGCAGTCTGTGCTTTGAGCAGCAATATAAAAATGCAGCATTTTATGAGCATTAATAGCAGGGAATGTAAATTAGCCTATTT
The DNA here is from genome assembly GCF_000001405.40 of Homo sapiens. Taxonomy (NCBI): domain Eukaryota; kingdom Metazoa; phylum Chordata; class Mammalia; order Primates; family Hominidae; genus Homo; species Homo sapiens. The sequence goes on from NT_113891.3 coordinate 2,559,205, forward strand.
GTTTTGGCTCTGCTTTGCTTCTGATCATTAGAGGCCAGCAAAAATAGAATGAGAACTGCAAACTCCCTCTTGTTCCCGGAAGATCTCTCCACAGCATGGCATATCAGTCAGATTTCTGGGCTGTCTCATCTCCGTCTCCGTAAGAAAGGATCTTGTTGGAAATACATTGAGGCATACACTGAAGCAGAGGCCCCAGTGCCACCTGGGCAGAGGCAAGCCAGAGAAAACAGAGGGAAATGAAAAGAAAGACTTCCTGGTATTCACTTCTACATACTGCCAGCTAAGCTGCGCTGGGTACCCAGAGCCCACCCACCACATCTACACCACAAATTCAACTGGGACTTCGGGCTTTTTTTTTTTTTTTTTGAGTCTGAGTTTCGCTCTTGGTTCCCAGGCTGGAGTACAGTGGCAGGATCTTGGCTCACCACAACCTCCGCCTCCTGGGTTCAAGTGATTCTCCTGCCTCAGCCTTCCTGAGTAGCTGGGATTACAGGCATGCACCACTACGGCTGGCTAAGTTTTTTGTTTTTTTTTTTTTAGTATAGACGGGGTTTCTCCATGTTGGTTAGGCTGGTCTTGAACTCCTAACCTCAGATGATCCGCCCACCTTGGCCTCCCAAAGTGCTGGGATTACAGGCCTGAGCCACTGTGCCTGGCCGGGCCTTCAGGCTTTATGTAGCTGATTGAACACAACCATCTCTGCTCCCAGCAGAAATCCCACCAAAATGTGATAAAGGGGTTTTAAAAGGCAAGGACTGACAAGAACAAAAGGCGGGGGGAGAGGAGAGAGAGAGAGAGAGAGAGAGAAACTGACTACACAATCTAAATAAATAGAGAATAATGATCTGGATAACAAATAGACAAAGGTCTTAGCAGATAAGAGAAATTTAAAGGTAAAATGTCAGTGGGAGAATCCCAGAAGCAGGCTGATTTCACATAGCAGAACCCCAGTAAGGAATGGAGAAACGAAGTATCCCAAACGTGAGTGTGCAAGAGGCCTGGAACCAGAGGCTGATGGTCTATGTAAGAAGCCACTAGAACCCTAGATCTCCTAACTCAACGCACATGGCAGAGTGACCCCCTATATTCCACCCTAATGAGTGGTTTGCTCGCTGGAGGCGTTGAACCATGCCACATCCTGGGAACCACAATGAAAATCATTTAAGGCTGGGCGTGATAGCTCATGCTTATAATCCTAGCACTTTGGGAGGCCAAGGCAGGAGGATCACTTGAGTCCAGGAATTCAAGACCAGCCTAGGCAACAGAGCAAGATCCCCAGCTCTACCAAAAAAAAAAAAATTACATATATATATATATAGCCTATGGCCTTCTGGCTTTATGTGGCCAGAAGAAAACAAAATAAAATAATTTAAAAAATAGAAAATAAGTAATAATAAAAGAAATAAAATAAGAGAAGCAATAAAAGAAAAGAAAAAGTCATTTAGGATTATGTAAAAGCCTGCCTATCGAACAGTAAGGCTTCCTGGTCCCCTCCATGAAGTTGGTTCTGAGAACTCCAGCAGCCAGACTTGCCCCAGGCCGATTAATAGAGAAACCTTCTCTGGAGAAACTGACCAGACAAGGAAAAACACCTAGGAACACAGGAGTAAGGGGGTTCTGACGGATATTAAGCTACTGTCACTTGACTTCAAAACCCTCTTCCACTCTCTCCTTCCCAGCTGGCTCCCTCTTAGGTGTAGAGGGAGGTGTCAGCACTGGAGGAAGAAGGGATCCCTTCCCTTGTTGGCCTCCCAATCCTGCCGGCATCACCACAGCCGAGGATCTTCAGCCCTGTAGCAACAGCTGGTCCAGCAGCAGTAGCAAGTCCCAAACTGTGGTTCTTCCTCACTCCCGGCAAAGGCCTCTTCCCGTGGCCTCAGTGATACCGGCTCACTGGCCAGGCTCCTCCTTAGGAAACTGAATTCTAGCTCCGTGGGGCCATCCTCCCAGATTCTCCCATTGAATAATACTGACCTCTTCCCTCAGTTCCCCAAGACTGAGGGAGAGGCAGTTGCCCCATTCCTGATTCCCACGCGTTCTACCTCTGCGGTATCTCAGTGCTCTTTTTGTCTTTTTAGATCTCAATATGTGGTTAACAATCCTTTATATAAAATTACCTCTGTCTGGGCGCGGAGGCTCACGCTTGCAATCCCAGCACTTTGGGAGGCCGAGGCAGGTGGATCACCTGAGGTCAGGAGTTTGAGACCAGCCTGGCCAATATGGTGAAACCCTGTCTCTACTAAAAATACAAAACTTAGCTGGGTGTGGTGGCAGGTGCCTGTAATCCCACTACTTGGGAGGCTGAGGCAGGAGAATCATTTGAACCCGGGAGACCGAGGTTGCAGTGAGCCGAGATTGTGCCACTGCACTCCAGCCTGGGCAACAGAGTGAAATTCCTTTTCAAATAGAATAAAATAAAACAAAATTACCTCTGTTTAAATATTTGGATTTTTTTCTTTCACCTGACTAGACCCTAATACAAGGGTCTTCTGGAGAAACAGTTCAGCCCATTTGCACTATGGTGAAGCCCACTGAAACCTCCCCCCATCCCCAACACACACACCTGGAGTTTCCAAACAGCTTAAGATCTAACTAAGCCAAGGATTACTGTATCATTCACAAAGCCCAAGCCCCAATTTGAGCAGAGAAAGTTTATTATTAGAAAGAATTATTGGCTGTAACAGGCTAAAAAGACGTGCAGAGAACTCCAAAGAATGCTGTAGGGCCGCGGGAGAGTACCCAAAGAAGGACACACGTGGAAGCATCCCCACCCCAAAGCTGGATTCAGAACTCAAGGCAGAAAGTGTGCATGTGCCCACCAGGTACCAGATTATTTCCCTGGGATGCCCAGGCCAAAGCCTGTGAACAGTCATGAGCAAGCAGGAAACTGGGGGGGTCGCGGCATCGGGAGCCCACTCACTGCATGCAAGGCCTGGGGCATGCAGGGTCCACGTCAGGGCCAGCTCGCTGGGGGAACGCATGCTGTCAGCACGCAGCTAGGACAGAGACCACCAGATGTTCCCACCTGGCCACTGATGGGCCCTGCCGCAGGAGCAACAAGAATCACAAACCATAGCTCCCGGAACCAGAGATAAAAGAAATTCTTTCCTCTGGCAGTGTCCCTCCGGCGCCCTCTACTGAGAAAGCTTAATATTGTGCTGGCTGCGAAGGAGAACCGCTTAATTCAATACAGATCAGTTAAGAGGATGGATTTACGGTTGAGAGGCAATACATTGATAAGAAACTAGTCATTATGGGATGAAAACCACTGACATGAAAGACAGGTATTGAAAACACAAGAATTAAGGAATATAAAGCCAGGCGCGGTGGCTCACGCCTGTAATCTCAGTGCCTTCGCAAGCCAAGCTGGGCGGATCGCTTGAGCCCAAGAGTTCAAGAACAGCCTGAGCAAAATGGCGAGATTCTGTGTCTACAAAAAGTACAAAAATTAGCCGGGCGCGGTGGCGTGCACCTGTAGTCTCAGCTGCTCAGGAGGCTGAGATGGGAGGATCACTTGAGTCCGGGAGGTCGAGGCTTCATTGAGCTGTGATTAAGCCATTGCCCTGGACCACAACAGAGAGACCCTGTCAAAAAAAAAAAAAAAAAAAAAAGAAGAAGAAGAAGAAGAGGAAATTTAGAGAATGCAAAGAGCCAAATAATAAAATCCACTGCAATTAATATTTTCATAAACATAAGAGACGATATTTTCTCCATGGTAAAAGAACACATTATTAAATAAAAAATTTAAAGTTGAAGAAATCTTCTAAAAAGAAGCAAAGGGTAAAGAAATGTAGATGGGACCGGGCACAGTAGCTCAGGCCTGTAATCCCAGCACTTTGAGTTGCGGAAGTGGGTGGATCACTTGAGATTAGGAGTTCGAGACCAGCCTTACCAACATAGTGAAACCCCGTCTCTACTAAAAATACAAAAATTAGCCAGGCGTGGTGGCATACGCCTGTAATCCCAGCTACTTGGGAGGCTAAGGCAGGAGAATCGCTTGAACCCGAGAGAGGTGGAGATTGGAGTGAGCCGAGATAGTGCCACTACACTCCAACCTGGGTGACTCCATCTCAAAAGAAAAAAAAAAAGGAAAAGAAATGTAGATGGTATAGAAAATATATGAAAATTAGATCATCTGGATGAATAGGAGGATTTCTAGAAAGAATAGACAGAGGGAACAGAAGGGATGAAATTATCAAAGAAATAATTCAAGAACTTTTCTCAGAACTGAGAGATATGGTTCCAAAGTGAGATAGACCTCAAGTGTCTAACAGAAGTGTCTAACAAAAGGAATGAAATCCAAGGCATACTACCATAATTTTAAAAATACTGAGGACAAAAAGAAAAATCCCAAAATTGGACAAAAAGAAAAAAACAGGTCACATAAAAAAGATCAAAACTCAAATGGTATAGGGTTTTCTCTTTTTTTCTTTCTCTTTTCCTTTTTTTTTTTTTTTTTTTTTGAGACAGGATCTCACTCTGTCACCCAGGCTGGAGCGTAGTGATACAATCATGGATCACTGCAGCCTTGAACTCCTGGGCTCAAGGGATCGTCCCCTCTCAGCCTTCTGAAAACTACAGACACGTACCACCATGCCCAGCTAATTTTTAAATTTAATTTTATTTTTTGTAGAGACGAAATCTTACTACGTTGCCCAGGCTGGTCTTGAACTCCTGGGCTCAAGCAATCCTCCCACTTTGGCTTCCCAAAGTGCTGGTATTACAGGTGCGCACCATAACACCTAGCTGAGGACTTTTCAACAGTAGCACTGGAAGCTGGAAGATAGTGGAGCAGTGCTTTCCTAATTTAGGTGTAAATTTTACAACTTGGAATTTTATTTTCAGTAAAACTATTAATCAGATGTAATCATAATATAAAAGACATTTTCAGACAAAATTTCAAAAATTGCCCTCCCTTGCCCCTTTCCTTAGGAAGTTCCATCAAAGTAAGGGATTAGATCAGGAGAGATAAAGATGTGGGATCCTCCAAAGAGTGAGGAGAATGAAAATCCCAGGAGGTTGCTGTGTAGGAGAACTAGGGATCCGCAGGTCCAGATTAAAATGGTTTGGAGGCCGGGCATGGTGGCTCCTGCTTGTAATCCCAGCACTTTGTGAAGCCAAGGCGGGTGGATCACCTGAGGCTAGGAGTTTGAGACCAGCCCGGCCAACATAGTGAAACCCCGTCTCTACCAAAAACACACAAAAGAATTAGCTGGGCATGGTGGCACATGCCTGTAATTCCAACTACTCAAGAGGCGGAGGCAGAGAATTTCTTGAACCCAGAAGGCAGAAGTTGCAGTGAGCCAAGATTTCACCACTGCACTTCTGCCTGGGTGACAGAGTGGATCTCAAAAAGAAAAAAGAAAAAAAAAAAAGGCTTGGGGCCAAAACCTCAGGGATTAAGAAAATTCCTTTACCTGGTTACAGAAAGATATTACCAAGAAAAAGAGGGAATTGATTAATTGTAATACATTAGACTGCAGAGAAAAAATAGACTTCTATAGAATCTGCTGACAAATTTGTGATAAATTCATAGACAAATGATCAAAAGAAAACCTAGTAGATCTGTATAATTCTGGATATCATTCCATAAAGCCCAGCTTAGAACCTGTGCCCTCAGCCCTTATAAAGATTTCAAAAGCTCTTAATACCCTTTGTAAAATGTCTTCCTGTTAATTTACCTAGCGTAATCTCTAGTTGCTGCACTGAACCCTGACTGATATAACTTGTTATTAAGAAACAGGAAGATAAAAACTAATTGAGCATCGAAGTGCTTTTACTTCTAGGAAGAGAGAATTAGGGGTTGGTACCGGACTATAGCTTTTGTTCTGTCTTTGGCTTTTTAAATTACATATCTGTAATTTATATACACACACATATATATTTGGCTTTTAAAATTACATATCTGTATAAATCTGATAAAAATTTTAAATAGTTAAATAAAAACTTATTTAGGAGATAATATATTAGAATACTAAGATGAGTGCTGAGTTTAAAAAACAAAAAGGCCAGGAGCGGTGGCTCACACCTGTAATCCCAGCATTTTGGGAGGCCAAGGTGGGTGGATCACCTGAGGTCAGGAGTTTGAGACCAGCCTGACCAACATGGTGAAACCCTGTCTCTACTAAAAATACAAAAAAATCAGCTGGGGATGGTGGCAGGTGCCTGGGTAACAGAGTGAGACTCCGTCTAAAAATGAAAGTGGCATCTGATACAGAGAAGATTAGCATGGCCCCTGCTCAAGGATGACACACAAATTTGTGAAGGGTTCCATTTAAAAAAAAAAAAAAGTCTGAGCGAGGTGGCTCAGTCCTGTAATCCCAGCACTTCGGGAGGCCAAGGCGGGAGGATCACTTGAGGTCAGGGGTTCAAGTCCAGCCTGGCCAACATGGCGAAACTCCGTCTGTACTAAAGTACAGAAAAATTAGCTGGGCATGGTGGTGCATGCCTGTAGTCCCAGCCCCAGCTACTCCGGAGGCTGAGGCAGCAGAATTGCTTGAACTCAGGAGGCGGAGGTTGCAGTGAGCTGAGATCATGCCATTGCACTCCAGCCTGGGCAAGAAGAGCAAAATTCCATCTCAAAAAAAAAAAAAGGGCATCTGAATATATACAATTACAATGTCAATAAAAATAGATAAATGAATAAATACAGTTAGTCTTTTTTTTTTTAATGGCATCTGGACATTCCTACATTCTGGAAGATTTACAAATACATAGTGGGGATACCTCTCATAAATGTATAAGCCTCTCAGTTTTTCCTTCCAATGCATTGCAGATTGTCCTTATTTAGCCCTTTCCCCTGGGAACCTGAGACTGAGAGCAGTGCAAGCTATGCTTTTTTTGTAAACACAGCACCTCACATTTCTAGAAGACAACCCTAAGTAAACTTCAGGGCCCTACGTCGGTCACCATTCCATCTGCTCTTCTCTGCTCTGATTCTTCCTATCCCTCAGAAACCCAAGGCCTCCTTAGCCAAACGGAGCTGCTGTGGTCGCAAATAGCCTTGTGCCCCTGGGAACCTGTGAGATGCAATATGTCGTCAGTCTCCCTCAATCTTGGCCTGAGTCCGAGAGAAAGGCAGCTGCTCTGAGGTTCGAGACTCTCCAGTGACTCAGCTCTCTAATTCCCAGTACTCTGTGCATATGCCCTCCTCAATTCCATCTCCTAGACTTGCCAGATGTAGGTCGAGTCCTCAAAGATGAGATAACCAAGATGCAAAATCCTAAAATCCTCCATTAAGCACCTACCAGCTGCAGAGGCCCTGCTGGGGCCCTGAGGGAGATGTGTGTGGCAGACTGCAGGCCAAGTAAGTCCTTCTTTAAGGCTGGTGTCATGAGAATTACTCAATGCCGCCTCCTGCTGGGGAAGGACACTTCACCCCTTTTATGGAAGCCCAACGGGAAGGACTCATGGGACAGGGCAGGCTGCCCTGTCTCTTTTTTAGGCAGTCACTGCAATCACACATGCTCACTAATCCAGTTCACTAAGGTACGAAGCCACAATAAAGTTTGGAGCCAAAACTGTAGATATAAAGAGAGTTCCTTTATCTGGAATGGCCTCGATTTTTGAATAAGGAGTTTTTTGTTGTTGTTTTGTTTTGTTTTGTTTTGTTTTTGAGACAGAGTTTCACTCTTTTGCCCAGGCCGGAGTGAAGTGGCAAGATCTCTGCTCACTGCAGCCTCCGCCTCCCGGGTTCAAGCAATTCTCCTGCCTCAGCCTCCTGAGTAGCTGGGATTACAGGCGCCTGCCACCACGCCTGGCTAATTTTTGTACTTTTAGTAGAGATGGGGTTTCGCCATGATGGCTAGGCTGGTCTCGAACTCCTGCCCTCACGTGATCCGCCGGCCTCGGCCTCCCAAAATGCTGGGATTACAGACGTGAGCCACCAAGCCCATCCATAAGGTTATATTTTTTAATGTCCTGCCTCCTCCTCTTTTTTTTTCTTCTCTTTTTGTTTTCAAATAACTAAAGATGCACAGAAAGTTGCAAAATTAGTACCGAGATGTCCTGTGCACTCTTCACGCAGCTTCCCCAGTGGTAAGCTCTTACATACTACAGTACATTATCAGAACAAGCAATTGATGCATATTTTCTCAATGCATTGCAGTAGGTGGATTTGGTACTTGAGACCCTCAACAATCTCTTTCCGCATATCATGACTAACAGTATAGGCTCATGGTTTTTAAAGGACTGCCCTTTGAAGGAACTGGATGGAATTTTGTTTGCAAAGAGCTGAGAATCACTGGAGAGGCAATAAATGGAAATGTTCCTGTAGATTGTCACTATAGAGAGCAGGGCTGATGGATGTCAAAGGATATCCAGGGATATAAGCCCTCAGCAGGGAGGAGAGCAAAAAGGCCAGTGTGGTTGGTTATTGGAGAAGTTATTTGGATAGTTTTTAATTAGAGACATCTCTTGCATGAATGGATTTCCTAATGAAATCAAATTTTGATTGTGGAAAGCATAATTAACATGTAGGAAACATCAGTATATTCTAGGACCTGAGAGTAAAGGATGAAGTCCCTTTTAGAGAGATACACTGTTCTCTTTTAGGAAGATGGGCATAGAAGTGCAGGAAGTCAACTAGACGTGTTAAAATATAAATTTTTGGCTGCTTGTAACAGAGACACAAATGCCACTGGTTTAAATTCGGTAGAAAATGTTTTCCCACCCTTGGATCCAAGCACATGAGGACCCTGCCCGGGCTCCATGATCTAGAGGGACCTGCTCTATCATTCCCCCAACTTATAGGACAAAAAGTCCGAGAAGCCAAAGGGATAGACCTACCCATGGAGGTTGCATCTCTTCTACAAGTACTACAGTCTAGGTACTTGGAACCCCTGAATTCCTGGCACTAATGGCCCCCAAGCCTGCTTCCAAGTTTGCATGGGCCTCCTCCTGGGGCCATCGTCCCAGGGGTTATGCCTCGCTGCTGTCGTGCATGCTCTGAGACCCCAAAATGTGGCTGTTTTCAGAGAAGGATATGGGTCTGGAGATTTTAGGGACTTGAATTTTCAGGAAAAGAAAGTAGGGCAGATGCAGGTAGAGGACCCAGAGCTAGTTTTCCTCACTCAGCCATATTCTGCCATGGAACCTAGGGGAGTCTCAGAATTCTAAATTCCAGCCTGGCTGTCCTAGCCTGGATTCCCCAGAAAACAGATTCTCAGATAGATTTATCTGCAGAAGTTTTATTGGGGAACAATCTTGGGACAAACACCTTTAAAAGCTGAGAGAAACGGGACAGGGAAAGGGAGCAGTTGAACTGTAATGAAGCCGTAAAGAGTACTGAGCTGATCTCATGGGTTGTGGAGGCCTCTGGCACTGGAAAAGTCCTTTAAATTTGGCCAAACTCGGCCGGGCGCGGTGACTCACGCCTGTAATCCCAGCACTTTGGGAGGCCGAGTGGGGGAGGATTATCTGAGGTCAGCAGTTCAAGACCAGCCTAGTTAACATGGTGAAACCCCGTTTCTACTAAAAATACAAAAAATTAGCCGGGCATGGTGGCATGCGCCTGTAATCCCAGCTACTCAGGAGGCTGAGGCTGGAGAATCACTTGAACCCAGGAGGCGGAGGTTGCAGTGAGCAGAGATTGTGCCATTGCACTCCAGCTCGGGCAACAAGAGCGAAAGTCCATCTCAAACAAACAAACAAACAAACAAACAAAAAGGTGGCCAAACTTGAAGCAAGGTAACCAGGACTTTGTATGTTCTTATCTTATCTATCAGTCATTGGATGTGGCTGCCCCCAGGGAGGGGAGGTGTAACCTTGGGCAAGACAGCTCTTTTCAGCTAAGGGCAATTCCCAGAGACAGAGCTGTCACAACCAACACCCCTGGCAGCTGGGGAATAAGTGACAATGTTGAAGGTAGGATTTGGGTGGCACACAACAGTATCTGCTACACTAGACTTCAAGATCAGTATGAAGGTATATTTATCAAGACAAAAGCTGGAACATGTTTTATTCAATAATTTATTTGTTTGACTTATAACAATAAACCATCTCTAACACACATTTCCCTTCCTGATATCAGACAGCTGCTCTGAGGGATACCCGAGACCCACATTCAGGAAGTAAGATAGATATCAGCCTGGACTGCTGAATAGATGCCCTGTGATTTATCTTCAGACATGACTCAGTGGAAATGCAGTTGACTCCATTCTAAAACCTCTCTTGAGAATATTTCCAGGCCCAGTCAACTTATCTTGGTCTCACTATAAGGAAAGGAACTGAGATCAGCTGCACCCTGAGAGGCTAAGATCCTGATAGGGAGCAGGTGAAATCAGGTTGGAAAATAGACAAGACAAAGGCAGGCAGATGTAAGAGGTATTCAAAAGCCCAGTTGTGCTCTATTTTTGCCTTCCACGAGGAATCTTACGGGGAGCTTCCACATTACCCGGTTATTGGTCACGGCGGTGAGTTAAGGCTGTTTTATTGAATGAAATCATCAACCCCCCTCCTTTTCCTGCTAAAACGCAATCTGTTTCCAAGACTTTCCTAATGTAGAGTGATTTTATTGAGCCTAGACCATGGATTTCCCATCTGATAACTCTTTAAGAGGGATGAGATAGAACATAATGTGAGAAAATAACATTGTTCCAAGATTTGTAAATGCTAATAATTGTTGAAGTCCCATGGTAGGTAAATAGAGGTATTTTCTTTATTTTTGTGTAAGTTTGAAAATTTCCATAATAAAAAGTGTTATAAATTGTCTTAGCAGGTCACATAACTAATAATAAAGGTAAAATTTTTGTTGGTCTTAATGAGAGAGAATTTGGAAAGTGGAGATAAGCGGGGCTTTGGAGCTCCTAAACTATTCAGGCTGTGTTTTGACTCAGCGAGCTCAAAGTGGGAGGGCAGGAGAGCTCGCTTTTTAAAAGATCGACAGCGCCATCTACCGGTAAGAGCGCCCAACTCCCTTGCTAAGGATGATATTATGCTAGGGTGATAGTAGCAAGCCTCATTGTTAGTCACCTAAGAAGTTAAGACAATAAGAAATCATTCAAAAAATAAAATGATGGCAGGGCGAGGTGGCTCACGCCTGTAATCCCAGCATTTTGGGAGGCCGAGAGGGGAGGATCGCTTGAGCCCAGGAGTTTGAGACCAGCCTGGGCAACATAGTGAGGTCCAAATCGCTACCAAAAAAAAAAAAAAAGAGAGAGAGAGAAAAAGGCGTTAAAATTAATTTAAAGATACACAATAATGAAAATATTACAAAGTACTATTATTCAGCCATAAAAAAGAAATTACATTCTATTTATTTATTTTATTTTATTTTATTTTGCAGACAGAGTCTTGCTCTGTCACCCAGGCTGGAGCGCAGTGGCGCAATCTTGGCTCACTGCAACGTCCGCCTCCCCGGTTCAAGGGTTTCTCCTGTCTCAGCCTCCTGAGTAGCTGGGATTACAGGCACGCGCCATCACGCCCAGCTAATTTTTGTATTTTTTTTAGTAGAGACGGGGTTTCACCATGCTGGCCAGGCGGGTCTCCAACTCCTGACCTCAGGTGATCTGCCCGCCTCGGCCTCCCAAAGTGCTGGGATTACAGGCATGAGCCACCGCGCCCAGCAGAAATTACATTCTGATACATGCTACAACATGGATGAACATTGAAAAAATTATGTAAAATGAAATAAGCCAGACACAAAAGGACAAATATTGTATGATTTCACTTACGTTAGATATTTAAAATGGGGAAATCTGGTTTGCCAGCACAGCAGGAAAAAAAATAAAGTAAAATACGAAAATCATAGAGGTGAAAAGTCAATTTGGCCAGGTGCCGTGGCTCATGCCTGTAATCCCAGCACTCTGAGAGGCTGAGGCAGGAGAACTGTTTGAGGCCAAGAGTTCGAGACCAACCTGGGCAACATGGTGAGACACCCACCCCCACCACCTCTAAAAAAAAAAAAAAGAAAAGAAAATAAGTCGATTAGAGGTTACCAGGGGCTGGGCGGAAAGGAGAATGGGGAGTTATTGCTTAATGGGTAATGAGTTTCTGTTTGGAGTAATGAAAAAAAATTGGAAACAGATAGTGGTTGACAGCTGCACAACAACGTCAAATGTAATTAATGCCAATGAATTATACATTTAAAATGGTTAGGCTGGGTGCAGTGGCTCAGGCCTGTAATCCCAGCACTTTGGGAGGCCGAGGTGGGAGGATCACCTGAGGTCAGGAGTTCAAGACCAGCCTGGCCAACATGGTGAAACCCCATCTGTACTAAAAATACAAAAATTAGCCAGGCATAGTGGCAGGCACCTGTAATCCCAGCTACTCAGGAGTCTGAGGCAGGAGAATTGCTTGAACCTAGGAGGTGGAGGTTGCAGTGAGCCGAGATCATGCCACTGCACTCAAGCGTGGGCAACAGAACGAGACTCCGTCTTGAGAAAATAAAATAAAATAAAATAAAATGGTTAAATGGGAAATCTTACCTTATATACATTTTCATATATATAACATACACACACACACACACACACACACACATATATATATACACACACCACACACACATACAAGTATGAGCCACCACACCTGGCTAAATTGACTTTTCACCTCTATGATTTTCCTATTTTATTTTTATTTATTTTTTTCCCTGCTGTGCTGACAAACCAGATTTCCCCATTTTAAATATCTGATGTAAGTGAAATCATGCAATATTTGTCCTTTTGTTTCTGGCTCATTTCATTTTGCATAATTTTTTTTCAATATTCATCCATGTTGTAGCATGTATCAGAATGTAATTCCTCGTTTATAGCTGAATTATATATATGTTTATTTTTACCACAGTAAAAGAAATTTTAGGCCAGGCATGGTGGCTCATGCCTATAATCCCAGCACTTTGGGAGGCCAAGGCAGGTGGATCACTTGAGCTCAGGAGTTTGAGACCAACCTGGGCAACATGGCGAAACCCTGTCTGTACTAAAAATACAAAAATTAGCCGGGCGTGTTGGTGCACGTATCCATTTCAGCTACTTGGGAGGCTGAGGTGGGAGGATCGTTTGAGCCAGCGAAGTCCAGGCTGCAGTGAGCTGTGATTGTGCCACTGCACTCCAGCCTGGGTGATAGAGCCAGACCTTGTCTCATAATAATAATAATAATGATTAATTAATTTAATTAATTATTTTTTTAAATTTTTTATTTTTTGAGGCGCAGTTTCAGTCTTGTTGCCCAGGCTGGAGTACAATGGCATGATCTCGGCTCACCACAACCTCCACCTCCCAGGTTCAAGTGGTTGTCCTGCCTCAGCCTCCCTAGTAGCTGGTATTACAGGCATGTGTCACCACACCCGGCTAATTTTTGTATTTTTAGTAGAGACAGGGTTTCTCCAGGTTGGTCAGGCTGGTCTCGAACTCCCGACCTCTGGTGATCTGCCCACCTCGGCCTCCCAAAGTGCTGGGATTACAGGTGTGAGCCACTGCACCTGGCTAAAAAAAGAAATTTGTAATGAAATTGACTTCAAAATAATTTAAAAGTTAAGAAAAAAACCACATTACACAAATATGATATAAACTTAAAAGAATGACATAAAAAAAAACACACAAGAGCAAAAAAGGACGCAATGAAATATGGAAACTAGTGAATGGAAACAGTGAAATGACAAAATAACTAAATAAACTAGTAGCAAGATACCTGAAAGGAAAAGTTGACTGCCAATCAAAATACGTTGCTGGGTGACCAAGAAATCAAAGTTAAGAGAGGTAGATATTTTAGGAGTATTTCATACAGGTCATAGTAAAACCCAGTCCAGGAATAAAACATTGTATGTATCTATACCAGCCTTGTTTTAAACAAAATCTAAAATAGCTTAAACACAATACAACAGAATTAAAAATTACAACTAAGGCTGAGCCTGGTGGTGCCTGCCTGTAACCCCACCTACTCTGGAGGCTGAGGCAGGAGGATTGCTTGAGGCCAGGAGTTTGAGACTGCCCAGCCTGGACAACATAGCCAGATCTCATCTCTAAAAAAGCAATAAAATGAATTAGCCAGGCTGTTGGGGCACATGCCTGTAGTCCTAGCTACTTCCTCAGAAGGCTGAGGCTGGAGGATCACTTGAGCCCAGGAGTTTGAAGCTGCAGTGAGCTATGAGTGAGACCCCAAAATCTCTAAGAAAAAGAAAGAAAAATACGAAGGCAAGTAAAGAGTTAGAAAAATCAGATAAAACCAGTAAGATTAGTATAAACATCATGCTGTGCTGGGGGTGGGGGTCGCAGGTTTGGAACTGAGCTCTCTAGAAGCCAATTCAAAGAGGGAAACACAATCATCACATGGCTTCCAGTGTCCAAAGTCTCAGAAGTAGTGAGACAGCCAGGTGGGAGGGGTTCCCTGGAGAAATGCCAACCAGCCTGCCCACTGAGGTGGAGCCTCAGGAAGTTTGTGCCCTTTGCAGCGGGGAGCAGCCTGGCCCCTCTTCTTAGTGTGTGGATCCTGGGATTTGAATGGCGGGTGGGAAGCGCTCTAGTAGGGACTCTGGCCTAGCGACAGTCCCTGTTTCTCCGTTTTCTTCCTTTTCATCCAATAAAACCCGTCTCATTCACCATTCAGATTGTCTGTGAGCCTGAATTTTCGTGGCTGTGGGACAAAGAACCCGTCTTTAGCTGAACTAAGGAAAAGTCCCGCAATAGTAGCACAACTATTCCTTTCCCTGAGACCAGGAAGCAGTTTTCTTCTGGTCTCCCTTGACCAGAAGGGGTGTGATAAAGTGAAAAACATCTCAACCACACCACTACCATAAATACAAGTTTTCATAGGATTTATTCATTTCTTCAGTGTTCCTGTTACAGCTGGTGGCACCATGTTCCGGCAGAATCAGTCAGATCAGTGCAGTCCCATGCTGTGTGTCCATGCCACTGGTCTGGCTTAATCCAGGGATGAATTCTAGTGTACATGAAACAGATGGCACACATATTCTTCCATCAAACTGACAGAAGAAGTCTCTCTCCACCCATCTTTTGATATGTAGAGCATGACTGTGAGTTCAGTGTTATTATACACTTGATGTCACAGCCATTTTGAAGCTGCTGATTAAAAGTAGGTTATGGCTGGGCGTGGTGGCTCATGCCTGCAATCTCTTAGGGAGGCTGAGGTGGGAGAATCGCTTGAGCCCAGGAGATCAGCCTGGGTAACATACCAGACCCTGTCTCTATTAAAGAAAATTAAGAAAATAAAATTAAAATAGGTTACAACAGAATACTCATGGCCAGAACATACCTGTCTTCATGTTCCCCTGCAGGGAACAATGACTAAACAGCTCATGATTCTTGTCCCTTGAGCCCCGCTTTCCTAGATTCCATAAAGGCCACCCTCTTCTGCATCCACATTCTTTCTTCAGTTGGCGCCTAGTACCATGGATTTGATTTTTGCTTCCTTAGGTCTAGTCTTTATCCATGCATACTTCCCCTTGGCTCCCTTTGATTGGATTTATTTACTCCCCAATTTCCTTAGCACCATCTACAGTGTCTTTTCCAGTTAGTGCCTCTCATTCACTGTGCACAGATTCCCCACAACTTTCATTCGTAGGTGATTAACTTTCATGTAATGTCCCAGGAAACCCTTTACTAGCTGTGTGACTTTAGGCAAATTACTTAACCTCTCTGAGCCGTATTTTCATCATTTATAAAGCTCATAATGCCTACCTTGGAAGGATGTTTGGAATTAAAGTAAGTTAGAGGCTGGGTGCAGTGGCTCACACCTGTAATCCTAGCACTTTTGGAGGCCAAGGTGGGCAGATCACCTGAGATCAGGAGTTCTAGACCAGCCTGGTCAACATGGTGAGACCCCCGTCTCTTCTAAAAATACAAAAATTAGGCTGGGCACGGTGGCTCACACCTGTAATCCCAACACTTTGGGAGGCTGAGGTGGGCTGATCACCTGAAGTCAGGAGTTCAAGACCAGCCTGGCCAGCATGGTGAAACCCCATCTCTACCAAAAATACAAAAATTAGTTGGGCATGATGGCGGGTGCCTGTAATCCCAGCTATTCGGGAGTCTGAGGCAGGAGAATCGCTTGAACTTGGGAGGCGTATGTTGCAGTGAGCCGAGATCGCACCACTGCACTCTAGACTAGGTGACAGAGCGAGTCTCAAAAAAAAAAAAAAAAAAAAAAAAATTAGCCGGGGGCGTATTCCCAGCTACTCAGGAGGCTAAGGCAGGAGAATCCTTTGAAGCCAGCAGGTGGAGGTTGCAGTCAGCCAAGATCGTGCCACTGCACTCCAGCCTGGGGGACAGAGTGACACTCTGTCACTCAAAAAATAACATAAAATAAATTATAATAATAATGGTAACAACAGCAAATTGTTATTGAGTTCTTATCGTGCCAGACACGATGCTAAGAATTTCGTATACAAATATTTGGTTGAGTCATCTCAACAAGCCTATCACATGGGAACTCTGACTATCCCCACTTTACAGATAAGGAAGATGAGGCTTAGAGAGCTTAGTGCTGGGCCCATTAGTTACAGTAGTTATAACTATAATTATTCAATGTCCTTCAATGTCATGAGAAAGTCACCATCAGCCTGGGAGTTCAGTGGGAGGGTCAGGAAAGACTTGAACAATGAGTTGTTTGCAGATGAATGGGCTTTTGTGTTTGTTTTGTTTTTATTATAAACCCAGTACTATACAGGTCTTTGTAAAAGTACAAAGTACAAAGTTGAAAAGTCCTGAAAAGCTTCTACCACCAAGGAATAACCGCCGAAATATATCTCATCAGAACTTTCTCCATGAATACACTTTTTAAAAATTATCACCAGCAGTTTCATGGAACACGAATACTCTGTTTAAAAAAGAGATAAGCTTTTATGTCTATATTACTTTATTTTTTCTGAGTATTATTTTTTCCCCTGATTTTCACCGAAAGGGTTGCTCTCTATGTTGTTGTTTCAGCCCTTCCAGTAGTTTAAAACATGCATCTTTAGTTCTAGTCTAATTCATGATTTCCCTTACATCTATTCAAAGTTATAATTTTATTTAACATCAAAGGTTATTCAGTAGCTTTAGTCTTTCCCCTGAACCAAACACACTATTTATTTATTTATTTATTTATTTATTTATTTATTTATTTATTTTTGGAATTGGAGTCTCACTCTGTCACCCAGGCTGGAGTGCAGTAGTGCGATCTCAGCTCACTGCAACCTCTGCCTCTGGGGTTCAAGTGATTCTCGTGCCTCAGCTTTCCGAGTAGCTAGGATTACAGTTGCCCGCCACTACGCCCAGCTAATTTTTATATTTTTAGTAGAGATGGGGTTTTGCCATGTTGACCAGGCTGGTCTTGAATTCCTGATCTCAAGTGATCCGCCCGCCTCGGCCTCCCAAAGTGCTGGGATTACAGCCATGAGCCACTGCGTCTGGCCACCAAATACATTTTAACTTCTTTCCTCTTTCCATTCCTCTTACTGTACCCTTCTAGGATTCCCTGGGTTTTGTTAAAAGCTTCTGGAACTGGAATGTAGCAAATGAATGTTCCATTTAACAGGCAGAGAAAGAGGAGGTGGGCAAATCACAGAACCAAAGTGCAGAGTGGTGAAGAGCTCCAGTTGCGTGCAGGGTGGGGTGGCTGCCAGGGCCCTGGTGCCTTCAGTCATTAGTTCTGCAAATGTTCATGAGTTCCACCAGTGGTGTCTGCCCAGCAGAGAGCAGGAGCAGGGGTGAGGGTGAGGACAAGAGACAGACAGAGCCTGGAGGGGCAGTCAGCTGCACAGGAACGACCTTCTGTGCAAGCTGCAGGCTCTGCACCCAGCCAGTACCTGAGCAGGGTAGAGGTCTGATGAGCTGACTTATAGGATGGGCTGGAGGACGCAGAGCCTGTGGGTATGAGGCCAATTAGGAGAGTGCTGTCACCACCCAGGCAGGAGGCCATGAACATCCCCATATGAGAAAGAAGGGCATAAACAGGAAACAAATTTAACAATTAAATAAAAGCACCTCCCTCATGCAGGAAACTCGCCCTGTGCCAGGCCCTGCAGAACCATCTGCAGAGTCATTTCCTCTCTTGGCAACTTGGCAGCCCCTAGCAAACACAATGCATCTTGGCTTGCCATCAGTGCAACCCTTGTTCTTCAGATACAGGTAAAACGCCAAATCCCTAAGAAGGCCTAGAAGGCTCTGCAGTGTCAGCACCAGCACCCCCACCCCTTGGCCCCTCTCTGTGGTCACTTTCTTGGGTCCTGCAGATGCTCCAGGCTCCACTCAAATTCTATTGGATTAAGGCTCACCCTAATGACCTCATTTTAACTTGATGACCTCTATAAAGACCCTATTTCCTAATCAGATCACATTCTGAGGTACCAGGGATTAAGATTTCAGCATATCTTTTGGGGGTGGGGGACACATGGTCACATCCTGAATGACTATAGCTCAAACAGGTCTTTGTTAGGTGAAAATAACAGGTGGAAAAATCACTGAGCACTTCACCTTATCTCAAACTTATGACTTCAAAATCTCTACAGTGGACTGGTTTCCCAGCTGACCTCACCTTACGTGGAGTGTTGCCCAATTCACACTCTCCAGCCTTCCCCACACTGACTTTAACTTCCACATGTTCCTTCACTTCATTCCTGCATAAACCTGGGTATGGTCCCTTCATTGTCTCTCAGTGATGTGGAAAGTTTTCATGATGAGTCTACCCTGCTCTCTCTAATACAAGTAGGATACAACAAACAGCATGTTAAGTTAGCAAATTTGACATTAACGTCTATCTTAAAAAGTGGCCAACTATGGGCCAGGCACAGTGGATTACACTTGTAATCCCAGCATTTTGGGAGGCTGAGATGGGCAGATGGCTTCAGCCCAGGAGTTTGAGACCAGCCTGGGCAACATGGCGAAACCCTGTCTCTATTTAAAAAAAAAAAAAAAAAAAAAATTAGCCAGGCATGGTGGTGCACTTGTAGTCCTAGCTACTTGGGAGGCTGAGGTGGGAGGATTGCTTGAGCCTGGGAGGTTGAGGTTGCATTAAGCCAAGATGGCACCACTGCACTCCAGCCTGGCAACACAGCAAGACTCTGTCTCAAACAAACAAACAAACAAACAAAAAAGTGGCCAACAGAGGAGGTAGTAGTTTTGTCACTAGCTGTCATGTGGAACCCCAGGACCTAGCCTTTGGTTTCAAATACTGTTTTTCATTTATAGAAACTAGGACCCCTTAGAATGCAAGGCTTAGGTGACAACTGATTCCATGTCTCAGAGAAGGAAAGAATCAGGACAGGACTTGAATGTTCTGTTGTTGCCATAGAGCAAGGATGACTTCAAGAATGTGAAGGACAGGCTGGGCACGTGGCTCATGCCTGTAATCCCAGCACTTTGGGAGGCCAAGACGGACAGATCACTTGAGCAGAGGGGTTCAAGACCAGCCTGGGCAACGTGGCGAAACCCCATCTCTACAAAAAATACAAAAAGTAGCTGGGCATGGTGATGCATGCATGTAGTCCCAGCTACGTGGGAGGCTGAAATGGGAGGATCATCTGATGCTGGGAAGGTCAAGACTGCAGTGAGCTGCGACTGTGCCACTCCAACCTGGGCAACAGTGAGACCCTGTCGCAAAAAAGAAAGAAAAGAAAGAAAGAGAGAGAGAGAGAAGGAAGGAAGGAAAGAAGGAAGGAAGGAGGGAAGGAAGGAAGGAAAGTAAGTCAAGGACAGTGCTTAAAAAGACAAAGGAGCCAATTTCAAAGAGCTCCCATTGTTCAAGTTGACAGTCGGGCATGAAAGAAAGAAGATGGGGGGAGGAATGATAATTATGGTTAATTGAAGTAAATTGAATCTGTGGCAGGCCATGAAATCACGATAATAACAGATAAAAATTCACATAAAGGGCACAAAAGATGACTGTAATAGAGAAGAATTGAGTTTTAAAATTTTATTTTAATAAAAAGGGAACTATTCATTTTGTCTCTTCTATTAATTATGTGTCTGTTTATAAAGCAAAGATAGGTGCTTGCTTTTGTCTGTGTAAGCAGAAAACCCACAGAGAATGCTGAGAAAGCCAAGTAGCCCTGTTATAGTAGGCAGCTAGTCAGGCACGAGCAGAGCAGGAGAGGGCTTCCTACCACACACACCCACCAGGAATGCCAGGCGAGCATCAGGTGATGGCCAGGCGGTTATTAACTGTTTCTCTAAAATAATAACTGGTAGCAGCTGGCGCCAGGGACAGGCAGCTCCCAATAGATAGAAAAAACCTGAAACTGGTGATCAGCAGCTTCCTGATAAGATCTCAGGAGTTGGGCGAGTGGACTCAAGCATGCTTACTAAGAGGCAAAACTGTGGAGTTTAACTGGTGTATGTCCTTCCTCTACGAATTTTAGACTGGCAAGGGAAGAACGCCTCAAGTGAGCATGCGTACAACTCCAGTAAACACACTGTGCATGCAGCCCTTTCCAAGGGCTAGCAGACCACTGCACATATGGACAGCCCAGCCCAAGGGAAGAATCAAGGGAGAAGGAACACCAAGACCCCCGAAGCATGCAATGTATAAAACCTCAAGTCAGGCTGGGTGCAGTGGCACACCTGTAATCTCAGCACTTTGGGAGGCCAAGGTGGGCAGATCACCTGAGATTAGGAGTTTGAGATCAGCCTGGCCAACATGGTGAAACCCCGTCTCTACTAAAAATACAAAAATTAGCCAGGCTTGGTGGTGCACACCTGTAATCCCAGCTACTTGGGAGGCTGAGGCAGGAGAATCGCTTGAACCCGGGAGGCGGAGGTTGCAGTGAGCCAAGATTGCACCGCTGTACTCCAGCCTGGGTGACAGGGAGAGACTCCATCTCAAAAAAAAAAAAAACAAAAAACAAACAAAAAAAGACCCAAGTCAAAAGATCAAACCACACACTTGATCTCTAAAGTCGTCCACTTGGCCCTCTTCCAAATGTACTTTCCTTCCTGCTCTAAAGCCTTTTAATAAACTTTCACTCCTGCTCTAAAACTTGCCTCGTTGTCTCCTTCTGCCTTATGCCCCTCAGTCAAATTCTTTCTTCTGAGGAGGTAGGAATTGAGGTTGCTGCAGACACCTACGGATTCACCGCCAGTAACAGCCCTGCTGTAAGTATGAACGTTAGCAGAAATAAGAACGTCTGACATGAGATGATGTCAGAGGCAATAATGAAAGAGAAGGGAGTTTCAATAGTAGGTACCAAGACAATAAATTAACCAAAAATATCACTAAAAAGAAGAGCTAACCAAGTCAACCCAATTCTTCATCTTCTAGAATATTGAATATTTAAATTGCCCTACTAGTTATAATAAAATACAAATAAGATATGCATAAGATTTAATACTGCTAACAGATCAAGTCAGTATATCATAATGAGAGAAAAATTCATTATGTAATAATGGTCAAGAGAGATTATTGAAGTGTGTTATATTAGGGGGAGAAAATATGTTGTGAGATTCTTGTTTGTTTTTTTGTTTTTGTTTTTTGATACGAAGTCTCGCTCTGTCACCCAGGTTGGAGTGCAATGGAGTGATCTCGGCTCACTGCAACCTCCGCCTCCTGGGTTCAAGCGATTCTCATGCCTCAACCTTCCGACTAGCTGGGATTACAGGCATGTGCCACCACGCCCGGCTAATTTTTGTTTTTTCAGTAGAGACAGGGTTTTGCCATGTTGGCCAGACTGGTCTTGAACTCCTGACCTCAGGTGATCCATTCTCCTCAGCCTACCAAAGTGCTGGGATTACAGGTGTGAGCCACCGTGCTTGGCCCGCAAAATTCTAAAATTTATGTAAAAGATGTGTACCTAACTAAAAGCAGTTATATTCCTCAGTGAGATATAATTTCACACCCACTAGGCTGGCTATAGTAAAAAGAGAGATAATAAGTGTTGGCAAGGGTGTGGAAAAATTGGCACTCTCATGCACAGCTGTTGGACAGTGAAATGGTACAGCACTTTGGAAAACAGTCTGACCATTCCTCCAAAGGTTGAACATGGAGTTACTGTATGACTCAGCAATCCTACTTCTAGGTTTATAGCCCAGAAAAATGAAAATCTATGTCTACACAAGAACTTGTTCACCAATGTTCATAGCAGCATTATTCATAATAGCCAAACAACAACGACGACAACAACAATAAAAAATGGAAATGGCCTAAATGTCCCTCAACGGATGAATGGAAAATAAAATGTGATATATACAGCCATACGCTAGAATAAAAATGAATTTGAAATAAAAAGAAATAAAGTACTGATATGTGCTACAACATGGATGAACCTTGAACACATTGTGCTAAATGAAAGAAGCCAGTCAAAACGACCCCATGTTGTATTATTCCATTTATATGAAATGTACAGAATAGGTAAGTCCTTAGAGACGAAAAGTAGATGAGTGGCTGCTTAGGGCTGGGGTGGAGTAGGGGAGGGTTGCGAGGAGATTGGGAGTGACTGCTCATGGGTTTGGGCTTTCTTTTGGGGTTGATGAAAATGTTCTGAAATTGATTACGGTGTTGGTTTTGTAACTCCATGAGTATACTAAAAACTACTCCCTGGTTTTGTACATTTATTTATTTTTATTATTATTTATTTATTTATTTATTTATTTATTTATTTTGAGACAGAGTTTCTCTCTTGTCGCCCAGGCTGGAGTGCAATGGCACAATCTTGGCTCACCACAACCTTCCGCCTCCTGGCTTCAAGCGATTCTCCTGCCTCAGCCTCCTGAGTAGCTGGGACTATAGGCATGCACCACCATGCCCGGCTAATTTTGTATTTTTAGTAGAGATGGGGTTTCTGCATGTTGGTCAGACTGGTCTTGAACTCCCAACCTCAGGTGATCCGCCTGCCTCGGCCTCCCAAAGTGCTGGGATTACAGGAGTGAGCCACCACGCCTGGCCTCATTTTATTATTTTATTAATGATTTTTTAATTTTGTGAGTACGTTGTAGGTATGTATGTTTATGGGGTACATGAGATATTTTGGTGCAGGCATGCAGTGTGTCATAATCACATCATGGAAAATTGGGTATCCATCCTTTCAAACATTTATCCTTTGCATTACAAACAATGCAATTATACTCTTGTAGTTATTTTTAAATGTACAATTAAGTTATTACCAGCTGGGCGCAGTGGCTCATGCCTATACTCCTAACACTTTGAGAGGCCGAGGCGGGCAGATCACCTGAGGTCCAGAGTTTGAGACTAGCCTGGCCAACATGGTGAAACCCCATCATTCCAAAAAATACAAAAGTTAGCCAGGGGTGTTGGTGCGTGCCTGTAATCCCAGCTACCCGGGAGGCTGAGGCAGGAGAATCATTGGAGCCCAGGAAGTGGAGGCTGCAGTGAGCTGAGAAGGTGCCACTATACTCCAGCCTGGGCAACAGAGGGAGATTCCATCTGAAAAAAAAGAAAAAAAAAGTTATTATTGACTGTAGTCCTCCTGTTGTGCTATCAAATACCAGGTCTTATTCATGCTTTCTAACTATTTTTTTTGTCCCATTAACCATCCCCACGTGTCCCCCATAGCTCTACTCTTCCCAGCCTTTGGTAACCATCCTTCTACTGTCTCTGTCCATGAGTTCAATTGTTTTGAATTTAGATCCCACAAATAAGTGAGAACATGTGATGTTTGTCTTTCTATGCCTGGCTTATTTCATCTAACATAATGACCTCCAATTCCATCCATATTGTTGCAAATGACAAGACACCATTCTTTTTATGGCTGAATAGTACTCCATTATGTATATGTACATTTTCTTTATCCATTCATCTGTTGATGGACACTTTAGTTGCTTCCAAATCTTGGCTATTGTGAACAGTGCTGCAGTAAACTATAGTTATTATTTTCTATTGGTTGATCATTTAGTCTTTCTACTTTAAGACAGGAGTAGTTTACCTACCACCATTAAATTGTTATACTATTCTGTGTTTTTCTGTATACTTGCTATTACCAGTGAGTTTTGTAATGAGATTTATTCTCATTCATTAACATCCTTTTCTTTCAGATTAAAGAGCTCCCTTTAGCATTTCTTGTCAGACAGTTCTGGTGTTGATGAAATCCCTCAGCTTTTGTTTGTCTGGAAAAGTCTTTATTTCTCCTTTATGCTTGAAGGATATTTTCACTGGATATACTATTGTAGGGTAAAAGTTTTTTTCCTTCAGCACTTGAAATATGTCATGCCACTGTCTCCTGGCCTGTAAGCCTTCCACTGAAAAATCTGCTGCCAGACTTATTGACGCTTTGGGAGTTTGATCATTAAATGCCTTGAGGTAGTCTTTGAGTTTAATCTGCCTGGCATTCTATAACCTTCTTGTATTTGAATGTTGATATCTTTCCATAGGTTTGGGAAATTCTGTTATTTCTCTGAATAAACTTTCTATCTCTATCTCTTCTGTACCTCCTCTTTAAAGCCAATAACTCTTAGATTTGCCCTTTTGAGGCTGTTTTCTAGATCTTGTAGGCATGCTTCATTGTTTTTTATTATTTTTTCTTTTGTCTCCTCTGACTCTGTATTTTCAAGGAACCTGTCTTCAGGTTCACTAATTCTTCTGCTTGATTAATTCTACAATTCAGAGATTCTGTCTTTTCTGAAAGATTAAAATAAATAAAATTTTAAAAAGGCTGGGCACAGTGGGTCACACCTGAAATCCAAGCACTTTGAAAGGCCAAGGCAGGCGGATCAACTGAGATCAGGAGTTCGAAACCAGCCTGGCCAACCCAGCAAAACCCTATCTCTACTAAAAATACAAAAATTAGCCAGGCGTGGTGGTGGGCATCTGTAATCCCAGCTACTTGGGAGGCGGAGGCAGGAGAACCTCTTGAACCCAGGAGACGGAGGTTGCAGTGAACTGAAATTGTGCCACTGCACTCCAGCCTGGGTAACAGAGTAAGACTCTGTCCCCACCACAGAAAAAAAGAAAGAAAGAAAAGGAAAAAGAAAAAAGAAAAAAAATTTTCAAAAGAGTCTTACATTCTTCAGCGTGTCCATTGTATTTTTCAACTATAGAATTTCTGCCTGATTCTTTTTAATTATTTCAATCTCCTTGTTAAATTTATCTGATAGAATTCTGAATTCTTTCTCTATGCTATCTTAAATTTTTTTTTTTTTTTTTTTTTTGAGATGGAGTCTCATTCTGTCACCCAAGCTGGAGTGCGGTAGTGTGATCTCGGCTCACTGCAACCCCCGCCTCCTGGGTTCAAGCGATTCTCCTGCCTCAGCCTCCTGAGTAGCTGGGACTGCAGGCACGTGCCACCACGCCCAGCTAATTTTTTGTATTTTTAGTAGAAATGGGGTTTCACCATGTTAGCCAGGATGGTCTCGATCCCCTGAACTCGCGATCCACCCTCCTCGGCCTCCCAAAGTGCTGGGATTTCAGGCATGAGCCACCATACCCGGCCCTTGAATTTCTTTTAGTTTCCTCAAAACATCTATTTTGAATGATCTATCTGAAAGATCATATATCTCTTTTTCTCCAGGATTGGTCCCTGATAGCCTATCTAGTTCATTTGATGAGGTCATGATGGTATTGATGCTTATAGGCGTTTGTCGGTATCTGGGCATTGAAGAATTAGGTATTTATTGTAGCCTTCACAGCCCTGGGCTTGTTTGTGCCTGTCCTTCTTGGGAAACCCAATAATGCTGTGGTTTTGCAGACTCTTAGAAGTACTGCCTTGGTGGTCTTGGATAAGAGCTGGAAGAATTTTCTGGATTATCAGGCATAGACTCTTGTTCTTTTTGCTTACTTTCTCCCAAACATACAGTCTCTCTCTCTTGCTGAGCCACCTGGAGCTGGGGGTGTGGTGACACAAGCACCCCTGTGGCCGTCACTGGGACTGCACTGGGTCAGATCTGAAGCCAGCACAGCACTGGGTCTTTGCCAGGGCCTTCCCTTCAGGGCAACTAGTTCCTCTAGGCTAAGAGCTTCTCCAGAGATGCTGTCTGGGAGCCAGGGATTGGAGTCAAAAACTTTGGTAATTTACCTGATGTTCTGTTCTACTGTGGCTAAGCGGGCGCTGACACCACAATACAAAGTCCCTCCCACTCATCCCTCCCCTTTCCTTAGGCAGAGGAGCCTCTCCCTATGGCAACCACCACCACCAGTCCACAGCAATTCTGCCAGTCCACCACCAATGTTCACTTAAAGCCCAAAGGTGGCCGGCTGTGGTGGCTCACACCTGTAATCCCAGCACTTTGGGAGGCCGAGGCAGGTGGATCACTTGAGGTCAGGAGGTCAAGACCAGCCTGACCAACATGGTGAAACACTGTGTCTACTAAAAATACAAAAATTAGCCAGGTGTGGTGGTGGGTGCCTGTAAGCTCAGCTTCTTGGGAGGCTGAGGCAGGAGAACCTCTTGAACCCAGGAGACGGAGGTTACAGTGAGCCCAGATGGTACCACTGCACTCCAGTCAGGGTGACAGCAAGACTCCGTCTCGAAAAAATAAAAATAAAAATTAAAGCCCAAGAACTCTTCCATCAGCTTGTGGTGAATGTTGCCAAGCCTGGGACTTACCTTTCAGGGCAGCAGGCTCCCCTCTGGACCTGCCCTGAGCCAGAGGGGCAGGTCCAGGACAGAATCTACACCTAGACTTGGGGACTCCAAGAGACTGCTTGTTGCTCTGCCCTACCATGGCTGAGCTGGTGCCTAAGGTACAAGACAAAGTCCCCTTTACTTTTCCCTCTGCTTTTCTCAAACTGCAGGAGTCTTTCACCATAGCCACCATAGCTGGGAATGTGCTGGGTCACTGCTGAAGACAGCACGTCTCAGAGTCTCACCCAAGGCCCACAGTGTACTACCTGGTTATTGCTGCTAGTTATTCAGGGCCCAAGGGCTCTTTAGTCAGCAGGTGATGAATCCTGCAAGTACTGGCCCCTTCTCTTCAAGGCAGCAGCTTCCCTTTTGGCCCAGGTGTGTCTAAAAATGACATCTGGGAGTTAGGGCCTGGAATGGGGGCCTCA
Organism: Homo sapiens; assembly: GCF_000001405.40. Taxonomy (NCBI): domain Eukaryota; kingdom Metazoa; phylum Chordata; class Mammalia; order Primates; family Hominidae; genus Homo; species Homo sapiens. The sequence goes on from NT_113891.3 coordinate 2,586,073, forward strand.
TGACTCGGCCCAGTGCCCTATCCTACTGTGGCTGAGCTGGTATCCAAGATGCAAGACCAAGTCCTCTTTACCCGTTGCTCGTCTCTCCTTAAGCAGAGCGAAGGAGTCACTTTCATTGCTAGGAGCTGCACTGCCTGGGATTGGAGAAGGGGTGGCACAAGCCCTCCCTTAGCCATACCGGCTGGTGTCTACCTAGGTCAAGTGCAACCCTAGTCCATTGGCTGTAAGTCCAGCCGAGCACTAGGAGTTGTCTAGGAATTGCAGTCCTTGGGTCCTAGACTGCCTTTTCTTCTTTTTCTTTTGTAGAAATATGGCCTTTTTATGTTGCCCAGGCTGGTCTCAGACTCCTGGGCTCAAGTGTCCCTCCTGCCTCAGCTTCCCCAAGTGCTGGGATTATAGGTGTGAGCCACCGCACCCAGCCTAGACTGCCTTTCAAGTTTACCTAGGACACCAGAGCACTTTGGCCCATGGTGGTGAGGCTTGCAGAGAAACTCAAGTTCCAACCACTGGGAGAGGTGATTTCCCTCTGGCTAGGGCTGGCCCAGATGCCCCCTCCACATGCAGGTGCCGGTCGATCCCAGCATGACTTTGCTCTCCGCTATGACAGTGCAGCAGTGAGTTCAATATAAAGTCCCCCACCCCATGCCCTCCCTCCCCAAAATGCAAAGACTCTCTTTCCACGCTGCAGGGACACTGCCAGGGAGGACGGAAGGGGCGTCACAATTCAAGACTGTCTCTCCTGCCCTCCTCAATGTTTCCTTTAGTGATATGAAGTTAAATCCAGTTACTGTGATTGCTCACCTGATTTTTGGTTCTTGTGATGATGCTTCTCCGTGTGCAGATAGTTGTTAAAAGTTAGTGTTCCAGGCTGGGCACAGTGGCTCATGCCTGTAATCCCAGCACTTTAGGAGGCTGAGGTGGGAGGATCATTCCAGGAGTTCAAGATCAGTCTGAGCAACATAGTGGGACCCCATCTCTATAAAAATTTAAAAATTACCCAGGTGCAGTGGTGCAGGCCTGTTGTCCCAGCTACTTGGAAGGCTGAGGTGGGAGGACTCCTTGGGCTCAGGAGGTTGAGGCTGCAGTGAGCCCTGATGGTGCCACTACACTTCAGCCTGGGTGATAGAGGAAGACTCTGTCTCCAAAAAATAAAAATAAAATAATAATAATAATTGCATTCTTAGGCTGGGTGCAGTGGCTCACACCTGTAATCTCAGCAGTTCGGGAGGCCAAGGCGGGTGGATGACCTGAGGTCAGGAGTTCAAAACCAGCCTGACCAACATGGTGAAACCCCATCTCTACTAAAAATAAAAAATTAGCCGGGCATGGTAGTGCACACCTGTAATCCCAGCTACTTGGGAGGCTGAGGCAGAAGAATTGCTTGAACCCGGGAGGCAGAGGTTGCAGTGAGCTGACATCGTGCCATTGCACTACAGCCTGGGCAACAAGAGCGAAAATCCATCTCAAAAAAAAAAATGCATTTGCTTCTTAGGGGGTTTCAGACATATAAGAGAATCCTATGTATTAAATGCAATATTTTTTTTTTTTTTTTAAGATGGAGTCTTGCTCTTGTCGCCCAGGCTGGAGTGCAATGGCGCGATTTCGGCTCACTGCAACCTCCGCCTCCTGGGTTCAAGCGATTCTGCTGCCTCAGTCTCCTGAGTAGCTGGGATTATAGGCGCTTGCCACCATGCCCAGCTAATTTGTATATTTTTAGTAGAGACAGGGTTTCACCATGTTGGTCAGCCTGTTCTCGAACTCCTGACCTCAGGTGATCCACCCGCCTCGGCCTCCTAAAGTGCTGGGATTACAGGTATGAGCCACTGTGCCCAGCTAAATGAAAGATTTTAATTAAATGCTTAAATGAGTTTAAGTCTAAAATCAATATTTAGGCCGGGCGCAGTGGCTCACGCCTGTAATCCCAGCACTTTGGGAGGCCGAGGTGGGTGGATCACAAGGTCAGGAGATCGAGACCATCCTGGCTAACACGGTGAAACCCCATCTCTACTAAAAATACAGAAAAATTAGCCAAGCGTGGTGGTGGGCACCTGTAGTCCCACCTACTCAGGAGGCTGAGGCAGGAGAATGGCGTGAACCTGGGAGGCAGAGGTTGCAGTGAGCCGAGATCACGCCACTGCACTCCAGCCTGGGTGACAGAGAAGACTCCGTCTCAAAAAAATAAATAAATAAATAAATAAATAAATAAATAAATAAATAAATAAAATCAATAATGTGTTTTAATCAGTTTGGATTATTAAATCCATAAATGTCTATGTATTAGTTGTGTACATAGTGTATAAATAGAAGAATATTATTTAATGCTTAAATGCTATTTGTTTAATAAATTCATAAGAGAAACAAAATTACATTAAGTAGAAATACCTTAACGACCTTTAGACACTGAGAGGGTGTCCCAGGAAAAGAGAGGGGCACCTGAGCTTGAAGGCTGGTGACAGATGTTTAAGGGGCCACTAACATACCAGATAGATTTTATCTTCCTAGACTCATCATCTTTGCACCTATTAATCATGAACAGAGTTAGTTCTCCTGAATTCATCATATGACAATGTCACAGTGGACAGAGAGACTCAAGAGAAGTGAGTTTTGACTGGGTGAGTCAAGAGGGATTATGGTCTTGAGTAGCCAGGGAGTGATTTAAGTACAGGATTCAGAGAAAGGAGGGACAGAGGAAGAGGTGCTAAAGAAACAACCCTCTGGCCGGGCGGGGTGGCTCACGCGTGTAATCCCAGCACTTTGGGAGGCTGAGGCGGGCGGATCACAAGGTCAGGAGACCAGACCATCCTGGCCAACATGGGGAAACCCCGTCTCTACTGAAAAATACAAAAATTAGCTGGGGATGGTGGCACATGCCTGTAATCCCAGCTACTCGGGAGGCTGAGGCAGGGGAATCGCTTGAACCAGGGAGTCGGAGGTTGTGGTAAGCAGAGATCACGCCACTGCACTCCAGCCTGGCAACAGAGCGAGACTCCGTCTCAAGAAAAAAAAAAAAAGAAAGAAAGAAAGAGAAAAAAAAACACCTGCTGCATCAGTCACAACTGCCATCCTGAGGCCAAGAAGAACTAAATGGTCTCAAAATTATTTCACAACTTGTTGCTACCACCTTTCCACAGTGGGGCTTGTCTAGCCAGAGAATCAAACATTAATTCACTTTAGGCTGGTCATGGTGGCTCATACCTGTAATCCCAGCACTTTGGAAGGCCGAGGCAGGAGGATCACTTGAGGCCAGGAGTTCAAGACCAACCTGGGCAACAAGCGAGAACCCCATCTCTACAAACAAACAAACAAACAAAAGAGTAAGCACGTCATACACATCATAGAATTCTAAGAACTGAAGTAACCTTGTAACATTTAGTTCATGGTAAATACATAAAGGAAACTATTATTATTATCACCCAACAGTGTGTGTGTAAGTGAAAAATGTCTTTTTTACTGACAAATGGCTAAGTGAATGCTGTTTGTTTGAGGGATGAAATATTTAAATGAGAAGCCAACTCAACTCTTCCTCTTGATCTTAGAGTCATTCTCTCAAGTGTAACTCCCAGTGCAAAGCATCACATCAACTTATCAATCGACTGTGATGTCAACTACAGCCTCTGCACCAGACCAGCCCTCCTCTGTGGGACTAAGAACTATCCTGTGGTCCTGCCAGGACTGCCTCACTGGGACAACGCACTGCATTAGGATCTATCCCTTACGATGGCTCAGGGTTTTCCAGTCTCTAAGGCACCTTATCATTATCTTACCTAAACTTCCTAATAATCCTGTGAGGGAGGCTGGACATCTGCTTTCATCCCATGTTACAGATGAGAAAACGAAGGTCCACAGAGGTCAATGACTTGCCTAAGGTGACCTGGCACAGAAAGTTGTGTGGCAGAAGGGGAACCTCTGTTTCCTAACTTCTGGATAAGCGCCCTCCTAGGATAGGAGAAATGAATGACTCTTGCTACTCCAGCCACCACTTCCACTAATTAACCACTAATAAAAATGTAGAAATCAGTATGCCAGCAGTAGTCCCTGTTGCAAACATTAGGACCTTTCTCATATCACAGATTACTGAAGACATTCCCTCTCTTTTTGTTGTAGTTGTTGTTGTTTGGTTTTTGGGTGTTGTTGTTGTTGTTGTTGTTCTTCTGAGATGGAGTTTCCCTCTTGTCACCTAGGCTGGAGTGCAATGGTGCAATCTCAGCTCACTGCAACCTCTGCCTCCCAGGTTCAAGCGATTCTCCTGCCTCAGTCTCCCGAGTAGCTGGGATTACAGGCGCCCACCACCACACCTGGCTAACTTTTTATTTTTAGTAGAGACGGGGTAGCACCATGTTGGCCAGGCTGGTCTTGAACTCCTAATCTCAGGTGATCCACCCTCCTTAGCCTCCCAAAGTGCTGGGATTACAGGTGTAAGCCGCCTTTCTTTTCTTTTCTTTTTTTTTTCTTTTTAGTCTTGCCCTGTCACCCAGGCTAGAGTGCGGTGGAATGATCATGGCTCACTGCGGCCTCAACCTCCCAGGCTCGGGTGATCCTCCCACCTCAGCCTCCCAAGTAGCTGGTACCACAGGCATAACACCATGCCAAGCTAATATTTTATTTTTTTTAAAGTTTATTTTTGCTCTTATGATGATGATTTTTTTTTTGAGACAGAGTCTCACTCTGTTGCCCAGGCTGGAGTGCAGTGGCACAATCTCAGCTCACTGCAACCTCCATCTCCCAAGTTCAAGCAATTCTTATACCTCAGCCTTCCCTCTAGCTGGGATTACAGGCGTGCAACACCATGCCTGGCTAATTTTTGTATTTTTAGTAGAGATGGGGTTTCACCACATTGGCCAGGCTGGTCTCCGCCTGCCTTGGCCTCCCAAAGTGTTGGGATTACAGGTGTGAGCCACCATGCCCGGCCTACTCTTAATTTTTTTTTTAAGTGCTCAAGCTAATTTTTTAATTACTATTTGTAGAGATGAGGTCTCCCTATGTTGCCCAGGCTGGTCTAGAATTCCTGGGCTCAAGTAATCCTCCTGCCTCAGCTCCCAAAGTGCTGAAATTACAGACATGAGCCACCATGCCCAGTTCCACCATTTTTTAAGCAACAACTAACGTTAATCCAAAGACCACCCTGAGGGGACTGGCCACATCCCCCTGGGACCCTCCACTGTTAAAGTCCATCTTCCCTGAGCCATCAGCACCAAGCATCAGATGAACTTCACTGCCCTGGCTCAGTGTTGCCTGTGTGTGAGCCTCAGCTCCCCATCCTCTCTGGGCCTCAGTGTCTTCCCTGTGCAGTGTGCCCCGCAGTGCCCACCCAATGGGGTTGTTGTGAGGATTTGCTGGAAGGGTGTGTGTGCAAGCCCCTTGTCCAGGACCTGGCCTATATGTAAATATAATAAAAGTTCGTTGTTATTTCTGTTAATTGCATATTGTACTTGAATACTCCCTGGACAGATAATGAGAAAAATGAGGTTTGAGTCACCACCCCTGTCACTTGTAACCCTGTGTGAGTTGCTTAATCCCTCTAAATCTCAGTTCCTCCATCTGTAAAAATTTTTTTTTTTTTTGAGACAGAGTCTCGCTCTGTCACCCAGGCTGGAGTGCAGTGGCGCGATCTCGGCTCACTACAACCTCCAACTCCCGGGTTCAAGCGATTCTCCAGCCTCAGCCTCCTAAGTAGCTGGCATTACAGGCACCATGCCTGGCTAATTTTTGTGTTTTTAGTAGAGATGAGGTTTCACCATGTTCCCCATGTTGGACTAGGCTGTCTCGAACTCCTCAGGTGATCCGCCTGCCTCGTTCTCCCAAAGTGCTGGGATTACAGGTGTGAGCCACCGTGCCTGGCCGCAAAAATCTTATAATGCCTTCCTCACAGAGAATAATGAAGGTTAAATGATGAAACGCACAGAGCATTTTAATGCTGAGAAGGGCTTCATGAGGTTGTTGAAAAATGTCAGTGAGGCTCTGGGAGGGCTACAGCCGGAGTGTAGATTAGACTCTGGGTGTAGCCGCATGGCTCAGGAATTGAGTGGAAGAAGAGAGATGATGAGAGAGGGGGAGGGACAGAGAGAGAGGATCAGCCATTCCTTCGTGCCTGCTGAGTGCCTGCCCTGGTCCAGACCCTGTTCTTTTTGCTGGGGGTGCAGCAGTGAACTAAAGAGACAAAGCCCCTGTCCTCGTGGTGCTTATGCTCTAGTGAGTCTGTGGAACAGAGCAGGGGACTGTTGACACCAAATTTAAATGTGCGAATAGGAATGACTATGGAGAAGAGGCCACCAGGAAGAGGGACAGAGAGAAATGAGACTCCAGGCTTGATAGAATGACCTTGGGCTGGTGGAAGAGGCAGGTGCTGAAAACAGGCATGGAACCCCTTGCCCTAGGGCAGGGAGAAACCAAGAGAGTCCAAGCTGGGAAAAGAATCAGGTGAGGAGGTTGAGGTGTTGACGAAGGGAGTGTGCTTGGTGATGGGGAAGGTGGGCTCTGAGGAAGGTGTTCCAGGAAGGACTTCTCAGTGTAGGATGGAGCCTTATGGCAGATGCTGGGACCGGGCATCTTCTCCAGAAATGCCCATCTGCCACTCAGGCAGGCAGGCAGGCAGCTCCCTACCCCTTGAGTTCTGGTGTTTTTCCTACTCCTTTCTCCCCTCCCACAAGCTGCCCAACTCCCAGGGACCTGACTGGATGGAGAGTACATACACCTGGACCACTGCAGGCATGGCACAGGGAAGAGAGAATCCAGACCCAAATCACCTCCAACCCACACCTGCTGATTCTTCCGTGCTTTTGTAGACTGACCCTTCGCTGCCCTCACTCCAACTCCTGTGTGAGGATGTTGAGCTCCTGGGAAAACCGAAGGGAGGGCAGGAGAGACAATACTGTGACCAAAGGCTGAGACTGTGTCATCACTTGGGAATGAAAGCATCAAATGCCACCCCAGGTGGGATTGTTGGCTTCAAGGTTTTTTTCTCCCTTTCCTTTCTCCCTTTTCTCTTTTCCTTTATCGAGGTCTGCTATTTACTCAGCAACTGTTCAAAGTCTGTGGTTCTGTGGGACACAATGTGCTAAATGATGCCTGTAAGGGAGGAGGTCAATGTACCTCCACTTCCAAGAAGCTTGACTTTCCGGGGAAGAAAAGACAAGTGAAGCGCAGACATTGCGACTTTTGGCTTCCTGTTTCTGTGAATTGCAAGGAATCCTGTCCACCTGGCCCTGGAGCCGCCTTCTGGGACCTCATCCTTGCCCCCTGCTGCAGGTGCCATCTCAATTAGTCCTGCTGTCCCTCCTCCCCCTTTCAGATTCCAGCACAATTCTGGAACAGCTCTCCCACCTGGCCGGGGTGAGTCTGAGGCTCCACCCTCAAGCACTTGGGCACTGATCCTTTGTGAAGGATGGGGATAGCAAGACAGCGTCTGCAGGGGCCCCTAGAGGGCCTTGGGGATGGCTAGAAAACAGGAATGAACAGACTCACTTCAGCTTATGCCCAGACTCACTTCAGCTTATGCCCAGAAACAAAGAAACCAAGGAGAAGCAAATTCCATAAGTGCTTTTATTTTATTGGAGATGAGCAGGGGAGGCACTGAAAAGTGGGGATAGTGCTGGAAACATGTTAACAGGGCCTGGATTGAGCCCACACAGCAAGGGGCGGGAGCAGGACTCTAACTCCCAATGTTGGGTTTCCCTCTATCGTGCTCTAGCCCCACTGCAACCTAGGGCTTGGAGGATTAGGGAAGCCAGCTGGGATGTTCCAAGAAGAGCCAGGAGGGCGGAGAACTCCAGGAGGAAATGGGTTATTGATACCTGGGTATAGATGAATATTCCCCCAGCTGCCTCCTGGATACCGATTAATATTCCCCCAGCTGCCTCCTGGATACCGATTAATATTTCCCCAGCTGCCTCCTGGATACCGATTAATATTTCCCCAGCTGGTACCTGGGGGTTGATTATTGATACCCCAGATTCCCTCAGGGTGTGGCATGGGCCTCGTTCCCCAACCAGTCCCAGGGCCTCCACCTCCCCAGGACACACTGGGATTCAGGGTACCCCAGGGGTGATCAGGCAGAACCCTGTGGATGAGAGACCAGGGAGGGCGTTGGGAAAGGATTTTTCCCCCGGCTCCCAGTGAATTAGAACGGGGCAGTCGTCTGGACTCCGAGTCCTGGTGGAGGAGTGAAGCCTCAGGTGAGAGGCCTGTGGCATCGGGAGAAGACTCCCCAGGCAAAGGGCCACTGCCCGGAGCGAGGGCCGCAGCACTGGAGAGGTAAGAGAGTTCTTCAGGCAGCGCTTCCCCCAGGCGGTCCTCAGCCGCAGCAGCCATCATCTGCCAAGGATCCTCAGGGGGCCAGGAATCCATGGCAGGCAGCCCCCACGATGGAGGCCACCTCTGCACTGCAGAACCTCCTGCAGGTGGGAAGCCATCTGATGGAGGCACGCTGAGCTTCAGAGGAACCCTTGCCAAGTCATTAGACCTAGGGTCCAGAGCGGGCTGCGGATGTTCAGAGTTAGAGGGGCCAGTGGAGGAAGGTTGTCCGAGCTGAGGCAAGTTGGTCCCGAAGTTTTGGGAAACTTTCTCCTCCACAACACCGATGCTCCGGGCAAAGAGGCCTGAGGGAAAGGGAAGATAAAGCAACCAGTGGTCTCCAGTCCCCGAGTCCCCAGTTCCCTTTGCTTCCCCTATGCCTATTCTTCCTTTTCCCTCAGGGACCTAAATGTGTACCCTCCTGCCTTTACCCCTTTCCTTAATTCCTGTTTCCTGGGGGACCTCCAGTCCCTCCTGCCCAAGGGCATCACGGCCTCCATACCTGGGAGATGAAGACAGACCAGGAGCAGGCCCAGAGGAGCGCAGCTCCCTGCCACGCGGCCCTGCATCCTGCTCAGCACCCGATCTCCCTCAGCCCCAAGACAGCCAGCCCTTTATCCTGGTAGTGGGGTGGGGGACAGCAGAAACAGGCTGGGCTAGTGGTTGTGAAGACAATAAACCTCCACATTCCACCCTCATTCCTAATGCGGTCTGTGGCAACAGGTGTCACTTGAATGAATGTCCCAGAGGAAGCTGGGTGTCTCCCGCCCTGGCTCCTTTCCTTGACCTCCCTGCCCCTTCTTGGCCCAGGTGTCCTGGCTCACAGCTCATCCCTGGTTGCCAGCCTCCCCAGCCCTGCTTCTCTATACACAAGGACCTCCACCCTGGGGTCCCACTCTCTTAATTGCCTCTCTCAGCAACAGAAACACTTGTTTCTTTTTGGGAGCTGGATTGTTTCCTCCCAGCACCCCTTTCTCGTGCATCCTCATATCTCCTTCACCTTGGCCCCAACCTGCAGGAGGTTCTGGGGTGCAGAAGTGGCCCCATCTGAGGAGCTGCTCCTACATGAGACCCTGGATCTAGCTAGGGAAATGGGCCTGGATGCCATCCTTATGAGATACTGACTAATTCCTGCTGCTGCAGTGACAAATTACCATGAACCGAATGGCTTACAACAACATGGATTTATTACTTTACAGTTTTGGAGATCAGAAGTCTAAAACAGGTCTCAGTGGATTAAAATAAAGGTGTCAGCAGGGCTGTGATTCTTTCTGGGGGCCTCAGGGGAAAATCCCTTTCCCCGCTTTTTCACCTTCTAGAGGCATCCTGTGTTCTTTGGCTCATGGTCCCCTTCCTCCATCTCCAAAGCCAAAATCAGCCATTTCTTACACTGTATCACTCAGACTTCCTCTTCTGCCTCCCATGTCCACATTAAGGGACCCGGTGACTACACTGGACCCACCTGAATAATCCATGATAATCTCTGTGAAGTCAGCCGAATAGCAACCTTAATCCCATCTGGAACCTTAATTTCCCTTTGCCATGTAACCTAATTCCTACGTTCCAGGGATTAGGATGTGGACATCTTTGATGGTGTTGGGGTTGAAGACATCATTCTGCCTGCTACTGGTGGTCAGATGTGCCATAGAGTATAAGAAACCTTGGGAGAAGGTGGCTATTTCCAAGTAACAGTAGAGGAGGGCCTTTAAATGCTGCTGTCAAATGGCCAGGACTTGATCCTTGTTGAAGCTGGGCGATGAGAATGTAGAGATTCATTAACAGTTTGTTGGCTTTTAAATATGTTTGCAAATTTTATTATAAAAATGCAATGGCTTTGTTCTCTCCATGGCTTCCGGGAGGCCCCAGGAGTAGGCTTCCCTGGCTGCCCAAGGTCTAAACATGAGCTGTTGGCTGATTCTACTGCTGTGTCCTCCCCGCCTGCCCCTGCTGGCTTAACCACTGGAGGAGTGAAGAGCTCCTCTCCAGAACTGGCAGTGGATGGAGCCCAGAGGCCTTTTTGGATGACATGCATGAGTTTTACACAAGCTTTTAATTTGGAGCACAGCAGGAGACTTGAGGAAACACCACATCAGAGAGCCTTCTCTCCCTGCAATTCCCATTCATGAAGCATCTGAGGACCTCGATTCCTGCCATTGGCTGCAGATCAGGGGCCAGACGCTGGACCAAGGGTGATTCAATCCCTTTCTGGTCAATGTAATACATTTCTGCTGATTCCAGACTTGGAGTTTCAACAGTTCTAAATTCAGGACCAGACAGCACCACCCTGATAGGAGGGAATGGGTTAAGTGCTACAGTAGGGGTGAATTCCTTTGCAGCCAAGCAGAGGCTCTGAGAGGTGGCCTAGGGTGGGGGGTGGGGCTCCTACAGGGACAAGCACAATCCACTCTGCCCTCCTTGGGATGCAGGAACTTCCTCCGCCTCAGCCTCTCCCTGCCTGTCTCAGGACTTAAGTCGCATGGACCCCACCACACACTCCACTTTCTCTCTCTTCTCCAGTGGAGGCGACTCCTCTTTCCCACGGGGGCACTCTGCCTTCTCAGCCCTCACCTGAGAGCCATGTTGCTCACACTCTCACTCTGGACCCCAGCAGAGCAGGGAGTGTGAAGATGGAGAGACCACCGGCAGCTCTGTTCTGCCACAGGCTGGGCCTCTTGATCTAGGCCAGTGAGTCACCCTGCTTGGCTGCACTCCTTGCCCGGCTCCCATCCTCTCAGTCCTTTACTCTCTCCACCCCCAGCTCCAGGAACAACGCCCAACTGGCCTCCTACTCAGCTGACAGGAATCTGGTTGGAGTTGTTGTGTCCCAGCCTTCCCAAGCTTCCAGGTGTCCCAGAAACCCAGGAAATCGAGACTCATGACTCCCAGAGAGGATGGCATCTAGAAGGTGAGGAATGCTAATGGTGGAAGAAAAGGAGTTTGGGTGGGGAGGGGAGGGGAGGGGAGGGAGAGGAAACACTGAGGGCCCTAAATAAGGGGAAGGGGGACCCCACGGTGAATGAGGAATGGGAAGAGAATGGATTTCCTGGAGCAATGAGAGAGGAGGGAAATGGCGGAAGGATCTGGGAGGCCAGGCAATCTCTGCTTTCAGTTCAACAAATATTTATTGTCTTCCTCCTCTGTGGGAGGAGCTGGAAGGTAGAAGAGAAATACAGCCCGCTTTTGAAGGAAAATGAGGAACACAGAGACCTCTAGAGGCGTAGGAGGAGCACCACCCAGACTCTCAGAGGAGACCCAGGACTCCAAGAAGGCAAAAAGTCTGCACCTAGTCCCCACAGTTTACTGAGCCATCTGTCCAGGATCCAGGGACAGCAGGGAGCCTGCTCCAACCTCTGAGGGTGCCCCAGTGTCTCCCTCACCCAGGGAATCATCTGAGCACTGAGGGAAGTGGCCACAGGAAGGGGCTGAGATAAGGGCCTTGAGAGGCAATGGGTGTGTTGGGGACGGTGATCTAGGAGGGCGTGGTGAGCTCTGTAATGGAGGGTGGGGTGGAATTGGGAGCGAGAGCCCAGTGGCATATTGGGTGGGTTGACTAGATGTCGAAGAAAGGTCAGTGAAAAGTGGCCACTGTTTCCAGATGATGGTTTGACTTTGCTTTATTTGGTAAAGGGGAAGAGGAAGGTATAACTTCTTCAGGCGTCAGAGGTGCTCTGAGAGCATTTCAGGGGTTTCCCAGTTGAGAAGCTGATGGGGGTGTTACTCAATGGACCATTTCCACACAGTAGAGGGAATTGTAAGGGGTGGTGATCTGGCTGAGGGGCACTGTGGTGGAATGGGAATTTAAACAGTAGGAGAGAATCAAGAGAGGAGCTTTGAATCTACCATTTTGAGAAGAGGAAGGAGGAAGGGGTGATAAGAGAGAGTCTGCAACCTTGGGGTAGTGGAGAAAGCAGAACCACTCTTTTGGGAAGGAGGGAAACTGAGCTAACCCTATGCCTGGGCACTGGACTTCTCCCATATGGGATATAGTGTATGTGCTTGTTTGTGCCCAAGGCATGCACACACACAACAGTTGACTTCTTATGGACTGTCGAGTAACTCTCCTTGGGGTAGGAAAACTTCAGGGTCAGCTAGCTGGGGCCCCAGAGGCTTCACTTGGGCTAGGATATCCCGGATGGAGCGGCAGGGGATCTTTCCAGCACTGCTGGAGCCACAGGGCTTGGCACCAGCGGAGGGATCAGGATGGGGAGAGCCATCGGGGCCCCCAGTCAGTGTCAAGGAGGAGACAGACATGCAAGGGTGACCAGAAGAGCTGGACTTGCTGCCGCAAGGCTGAAGGATGATTTTGCCACTGGATTGGGAACTGGAGCTGCTGCTGAAGGAGCCGGTGCCTGGTGGGGAGCAGGGGCTCTGGGAAGCACTGCCGCAGGGATGGTAGGGTAAACCGGAGCTGCTGGAAATGCTAGAACTGCTGGGGACTCGAGAACTGGAGGGAGAGCAGGGTCCCTTGGAGCCCGTGGAGCCGCCTCCACAGAGCTGGACCCCACCAGTCCCCACTGGCTGGAATGCAATGGCCGAGGAAGCTGCCGACTGGCTGGGGATGATGGGGTTGCTGGAGAAGTATTTGCCCTCAGAGATGGGGGGCCCAGCTGCAAAGGAAGGGACCCCTGGAGAGCCTTTCACAGGGTTCTCTTTGGTGAAGTAGCCCACAGGGTAGATTTTACCCTTACTGTAGGTCATGCCTGGAACCAGATAACTGTCAGAGGAGCCACCCACCACCTCGTAGCCACCATAGGATTTGTCTACAGAGGTGATTGGGGGACAGGGCTTGCCTGGAAGGCCACCATTGCTACAGGGGGGACCTTGAACCACTCCAGGGGCACCAGAACCGTGCTGGTCCACCACCACCACCACAGGCCTCTGACCCCCTGACACAGAGTGGGAGCTGGGGATGTAGGGGCCGGAGTGCGAGACGATGGGCCCTCCACTGCAGGGAGAGTCGGGGATGTCCGAACTACAGGGACGCTGGTTGGAGCTGACGCTTTGGCCACTGCTGGATACCCCAAAGGTCTGGGAAGAGGAAGAGCTTTGTCCAGGCTGGGAAGGGTTTAGTATTCCGCGGTAAGAGTTGTCATTGGTTGGCAGAGCAGAGCCATTCCCTACTTGGAAGCTGCTGCTGCTGAACTGAAAGCTGCTGCTGCTGCTCGAATGAGAGCTGCTGCCCGAGTGAGAGCCGCTGCTTCCCGAGTGAGAGCTGCTGCTCCCCAGCTGGGAGGAACCGGATGCACCTTGTAGACTAGAGCCAGATCCGGAGGAGTAGCTGACCTGGGAATACCCCGTTCCTGGCTTAAAAGATCCTGCAGAACCACCCTGGGCAATGCTGGATCCGCTGGAGCTACCACTGGAGCCACCACCAGAGCTTCTGGCACTGGAAATGGAGCTGCCAGAACTGCTGGAGCCACTGTAGCTACTGAAGCCGCTGGAGTCACCCTTCCCAGTGAGGCAGGGGTCGTTAGGGGAGGTGATACGCGTGGGGTCCTTACAGGGGTCTGAGAAGGTGCCAATGCTCTTAGCCAAGGTCCCTGTGGAGGAAAGCAGTGGTTAGTAAGGGCCAAGGAGGCTTGGCTTCCTTCCTCACCTTTCTGCCTTATCTCAGTCATCGGCCTCTCGGGTTTCTCCCAAGCAGAGCGCAGGGAGAGTTTAGGGATGGAGAAAGGAGGAAGAACTGGCTATTGTCTCTAAAGGATATTGAGGTGGCCGAATAAAGGCATTTCTTTGTTTGGGAAGGGTGGGCAAACACCAACCAGAAAAATAGAAAATTAGGTGCCAAAGTGAGTGGCCTCAAAGGAATACATTGAATATAAGAGGGGGCTGGGCACAGTGGCTCACGCCGGTAATCCCAGCACTTTGGGAGGCCGAGGTGGGAGGATTGCATGCGCCCCAGAGTTCAAGACCAGCCTGGGCAACATAGACCCTGTCTGTATTTTGTTTTTTAATTAAAATTTTTTTTAAAAAGAAGAGGGAATGGAGAAGGGGCAGGAACAAGTAGGTCTAAAAGAAAGGACCCTGAAGAGACAGAGAATTGGGGAAACTGAGGCTCTGAGGAGTCCAGGCGTAAATTCTTAGGGGAAAAATCCTGGGCCAGACAGTGGGACCAGAGGGAAGAAGACAAAAGGCAAAACAATGGAGGGCTGAGAAGTGGAGACACATATAGAAGGAGACACTGGAAAAAGACAAAGCTGGGGGCAGAGGGGCTGAAATAAAGGAAAGGGCACTCGAGGACTAAGATTTGGTCACCAGCTTCTTCGTGAGAGCCCAGGCTGAGGTCAGGAATGGAAACCCTATTTCCTATCTCAGCACTGGCCATGCCAGTAAAGCTGGGTGGGGGCCAGGATGTGGGGTCACTACCTGTTGCTTCAGAACCTGCTGGTACCAGTGTGTCAGGACACCGCACCCTGAGCCAGCCCTGCTCTCGCTGGCCCAGCCCAGGGAACCAGGACGAAACCCCACGAACCTCCGAGGCTCCTGGCCACAATCAGCTTCCCTCTCTGAGCACACCTGCCTCTGTCCAGCCCCTCATCTGACTTCTGCTGCCTTGACTTCCCTCAGGGATGTGGAGCCACATCTTTCCTTATCTTTCCTTTCCTTTGCTGAAAACCCCAGGCCCAACTTACCCCATGGTTCCTCCATGACTCTTTCACCTGCGTTCCTTCTGCCTTCCCTAGCCCCTCCAGGTCCCACGTGTTACAAACAGAGCCACATACTAGCAAGTTACTGAACCTCTCTGAGCTTTAGTTTATACATTCAGAGGGGCCAAATTTTCCCTGCCTTCCCACAGCATTACTATGAAGAAAACTAAATGAGATCATCCACCTGGAAGTTTTTTCTTCTTTTTTTTTTTTTTTTTTTTTTTTTTTTGTGAGATGGAGTTTCTTGTTGCCCAGGCTAAAGTGCAATAACACGGTCTCAGCTCACTGTAACCTCTGCCTCCTTGGTGCAAGCGATTCTCCTGCCTCAGCCTCCCAAGTAGCTGGGACCACAGGTGCCCGCCACCACACCCAGCTAATTTTTTGTATTTTTAGTAGAGAGGGGGTTTCACCATCTTGGCCAGGCTGGTCTTGAACTCCTGACCTCAGGCGATTCACCTGCCTTGGCCTCCTGAAGTGTTGGGATTACAGGCACAAGCTATCATGTGCGGCCAGATGTTTTAGAAAGTGTAAAGCATTATATATTATGAATTATTACTGCCACTCATCCTGATCCCTCCACCAACAACTAGACTGCCATCCTCTGTGATGTCCCTGTTCTCTCCTCAGAAAGAAATTCTCTGCATGCACCTCCACGCCGAACCCCAGCTGTGCCAATTCCCTTCAGTCCTCTGCACGAATCCACCATGCATTGCCTCTCTCTTTTGCTATTCCCTCAGACACCAACCACCCACTAGACCATGGGAAGGTCGCAGAAATTCCTCAAGGGCTATAAGTACCCGGTGGTCAACAACACAGGTCCAGGGGTTGCCTGGCCTGGGGTTGAAATCTTGGCTTTGCTGCCTTCTAATGCATGATCTTGAGCTAGTTTCCTAACCTCTCCGAGCCTCAGTGTCCTCATCTGTAGAGTGGAAATAGCAAATCTCCTTTCATACCGTTCTTGTAATGATCAAAAGTGCTAATATAGGCCGGGTGTGGTGGCTCATGCCTGTAATCCCAGCACCTTGGGAGGCCGAGGCGAGCGGATCACTTGAGTCAGGAGTTCAAGACCAGCTTGACCAAAATGGTAAAACCCTGTTTCTACTAAAAATACAAAAAAAAAGAAAATTAGCCAGGTGTGGTGATGGGCACCTGTAGTCCCAGCTACTCTAGAGGCTGAGGCATGAGAGTCACTTGAACCTGAGAGGTGGAAGTTGCAGTGAGCCGAGATTACGCCACTGCACTCCAGCCTTGGAGACAGAGTGGGACTCCATCTCACAAAAAAAATAAAAATAAAAGTTCTAATATATAATCCAAATGTGCTTAAAACAGAGTCTAGCATATAAAAAGGCTCTAAAAATGATATTATTACTATTAAATGTCCAATCATTATCTTGTAGTGGTCCCATAATAAAAATCACCACCACCATTTATATAAACCTCTAGAATTTCCAAAGTACATATCACATACATTATTTAATTTGAGACACACAGACTAGAGGTAGGTGTCATTAACCCCACTTCAGAATTTCAGAAACTGGGGCTCAGGAAGTTTAAGAAACTTACCTGAGGCGACCATACAGTGAGGAGCAACCCCCAGACTCAAAAGGCAGATTCCAGAGCCCCTGCCCGTCCCCTTCGCTGGGTCCTCTCCCGGAGTCTCCCTCCCGCCTCCCTCCTGTTCCCAGGGCCCCCAGCCTCCTACCTGGCAGGAGGAGACCAGCCAGCAGCAGTGCCAACATCCCGTGCCCACCCACACGCCCCATCCAGGGTGCCCGAGACGAGCCCATCTCGGACTGCACGGCCTCCTGACTGATGGCAGCTCGAGGACACCTGGGTCCTTTATGCCAGAGCTGGACATTCCCTGGGCAGGAGTCACTGTGGGGAGAGGAGGAGAGGTGGAGGGGGTGGGTGCCCCGGGGGAAGTTGGTGTGGCCGGGAGGAGCGTGGTAATCAGCCCGGTGCATCTGCCTACTCAGCAGCAGCAGTGGCTGCAGTGTGGGGTACCCATGGCCACGGGGCTCTAACGATCCTGCCACCTGACAGGCCTGGCCCCGGCTCCTCATTGCCTAACCCGGAACCAGGCGCTCTGCCCCACGGCCACCCACTCTGGGGCGGCCACTCTTGCCACGGGACCCAGCTGCCTGGCTCCTTAACTCTCCTGCCTACCGTGGCTTGGCCTGTCTCTCCATCTGCCCTCCACTCGCAGTCGTGGGTGTTTCAGCTTTTTCTTCCACACTTGGGTGCCCGCTCCAGCCCCACCCGCCCAACCCCAATGAGGTCCCATTCACAGCCCCTGATCTGCTCCTTCCTTAGGACCCCATCACTCCACCTCCACTTTCCTCCTTCAAATATGAGTTCTGCCCCCATCCCCCAGGCTCCCCCTCCCACCACTCCCCAAGTACCAGGCCAGCCACATACCTATTACGTGTTCCATCACCTGGGGAACCTTCTCCTTCTCAGAAATGGGGCACCACATTCCCAAAACCAACTCCCTGACCTGTCGCTTCTGGGGACCTCTGGGGACGGCATGGTGGCGGGGGTGGGGGGGTGCTGGGAGCCAGGGCTCAGCCAGGGGAGGGGCCTGGGCTGATGACCTCTGTCAAAGCTGGGCCTTGGTTACTCACAGGGCACTCACAGCCCCTCCCCATGGCTGGTAACCCAGACCTCAAGGGTGAGCAAGAGGCTAAGAAGGCTAATTGGGAAGGTGGTGGCCCCGTAGCCCATCTGCTGGCCCTGGGCTGGATGAGCGAGCAGGAAGCAGCAGCCAGCTCTGGGCAGGTCGAGGAGGGCCAGGTAGGCTCCCGGGTCCTCAAAGGATGAAAGGAGGCCAGGAGAACCGGAGCCCTGCCATCTGCTGAGAGGGTGGTGGCTTCTCCTCCATTGCGTTGGCCTCCCTCCTGCTCTGGCCCCTGCCCCGCCCCAGCCAATTAATTGCTCACTAGTATTGCGGGAGTATCAGTATCGGAGGGAGGTGCCTGGGAGTCCAGCAAGCTGCCCTCTCCTCCCCCCAGGCCTCAGACACCCCTGCTCCCCTCACCCAAACTCACTTCCCAAACCTCATCTCCTCACAAAGGCAGCTCTGTCCCTGGGCCCCTTGGGCTGGTCTCTCCCATTCCCTCTACCTCCTGACCGCCCTTTAAGTTCAGACCAGCAGGAGGATGGAAATGTTTCCTGTCTGTGCTGTCCGATACGGTAGCCACTGGCCACATGGAGCAAGTTTAATCACCAAAGATTTGGAGCTTTAATTTTAATTAATTGTAATGATGTGGTTGGCCACGTGCAGCTAGTGGCTGCCATCTAGTCTTGCTCTTGACTTGCTAGTGACACTCAGAATGGGAGTGGGAGGAAAGAGGGGCTGAGGGAGCTGTGGAGAGAGGAAGGGATAGGACAGGGTCCCCTGAAGGGGGCTAATGCCTTGGGAAAAACAAACAAACAAAAAACACTGGCTTCAGAATGAAGATGACGTGGGTTCAAGTCCCAGCTAACCTCTTGGCTTTGGGCGGCTCTTCAAACCTTTCTGAACTTCCATCTCCTCATCTGTGAAATGGGGGTATTTTAAATAACACTTATTTCGCAAGGTTTTTGTGAACATCAAATGGGAAATTATCAAAAAGGTTAAATGGGACAAGGGGTGCAGTCCCCCAGTAGGAAGCCCAGCAAATGGAGCCCTGCAGGTGCTCCTGTCTTCATCCTTCCACTGGGGGAGACAAATAGGCCAGCTTCACCCCCACAGCCCCAGGCTCCCTTTCCTGAGTCTCCAGCCCAGCCAATGCTAGCAGAGTGTCTTCTGCTCCCTTCCTGCCTTGTATAGAGGTGCAGGCACAAATGTGAGACAGAGATACCATTTAAAGTGATGCTGCTCGGCTGGGCACGGTGGCTTATGCTTGTAATCCCAGCACTATGGGAGGCCGATGCGGGCGGATCACTTGAGGCCAGGAGTTCGAGATCAGCCTGGCCAACATGGCGAAACCCCGTCTCTACCAAAAATACAAAAAAAATTAGCCAGGCGTGGTGGTGGGCGCCTGTAATCCCTGCTACTCGGGAGGCTGAGGCAGGAGAATCACTTGAACCCTGGAGGCAGAGGTTGCAGTGAGCCAAGATTGCACCATTGCACTCCAGCCTGGGTGACAAAAGGGAAACTCCGTCTCAAAAAATAAAGTGATGCTGCTCTTTCCGAACATCATTTCCTCCTGTGGGCCTCCCTAGACTCTCAGGCTTGGCTCCCTGGAGGACCTGGGCAAGGAGGGAGGGGGCACTGGGGTAATGAGGGGAGTGGCAGAGGGCAGGGAGGAGTGGACTAGAAGGTGCTGGGCCGTCCCAGGGTGTGAGGGGAGAAGGCAGCGGAACAGTGGAATCTGTGGCTTCTTCTTTTCCAACACAAACTTCCCCTGACCAGCCAGAGGTAGCAAAGTTTGTCTTGTTTTCTTTGTCACATTCCTCCTGGCTGCCGTCAGAACTTGGCCAAGACAGCCAGGCTGGAGGAGGCACAGTCTCTCCTGGCCTCCTGCCAGGTCTCCAGCCGCCCACGTGGACTGGCGGTGCAGCCACGTCCCTCCTCCTGGCTACTCTCTCCTGTCCACTCCTGTCCACCCCATCCTGCCACCCTGGGCTGCCCAGTTCCTCTACTGTCCTGCCCACCTGTGGGCCCTTGAGCTCTAATCCGCCGTGCTTTTGGTTTTTTACTGAAACCCTGCCTTCTGTGCTAGATTTTACTCTGGTGCTCACCATTAATCTTTCTCTCAGTGCAGGTGGTGGAGACCTAAAGCTAATGGGGCTTAGGAGGGAAGAAAAGGGCATCAGCTGAGTGCCCACACAGGCCAGGGTCACCTTCAGTGAAGCTGCCAGTTTGGTGACGTCCACAGTAGTGCAGGCAGCTCTGCTGTGTTCTACAGCAACAGATTCTGGCCCTGCCCCTGCCCGTGCCCGTGCATTGGACCGGGTGAGAAAGTGTGGGTGGCGTAGACACTCTACACCCGAGAAAATCAAGCTCAAAGCACATGCCTTCCATAGGCAAAAGGTGGGGCTCCCAGCCATGTATCATGAAGCAGGCAGGTCACTGTCCCCTCCGGTCCCCTCCACCCCTCCAGCAGCCCTGTGCTGCTGTGTTTGCTGTGCCAGCCTTGGCCCCCAGTGCACGCTCCTCTGCTGTGTTTTGGAAGTTGCACTGAGAAAGAAGAGAAATTGTTCCTTGCCCTGAGGAGCTGCCATCCAGCTGGGGACACACAGCGTAAGACAGCAGCCTAGAGTGGAGAAGCGGGTAGGCACTTGGCTTCAGGGAGGTGGCAGGACTTTCCCCGGGCCTTGAGGAATGATGAGAGAAGCACAGAGCAGGCAGCCAGACGTGGGGCCTTGTGGTGCTTCAGGTGTATTTAGAACCAGCGGATGGCGTGGGTTGGTGTGGGACATGCATGTGGAGGACAGTGGTGTGGGAGAAGGGACAGGCTGCTTGGATCAGGATTGTAGATGACCTACAACACCAGGTTAAAAGAATTTGGATTCTATAGGAATTGCAGTAAATGTGAGAGGGTGCAGGGAACCAAACGGCTTTGAATGATCACAAAGGGGGCTGAAGCATGGCGTGCTATAGTCCCAGCTACCCAGGAGGTGGAGGTGGGAGGAATCCGAGGCCAGCTGGGGCAAGTTGAGGGACTCCATAAAGAGGAGGCTTGGGGCACGAGATCCACCATGTACTGACTGCCTGCTGCAGGCGGACACGGTGCCTGGGTATTTAACATGAGTTGTCTTGTTCAATCTTCACAACAGCCCTACAGGGTAAGTGCTTTTTCCCCCTGTTTCACAGATGAGAAAACTAAGTTGAAATTATTTGTCCAAACCAGCTGCTAACAAGCAAAAATGTTTGAAAAAGATTCAAACCCAGGCCTGTTGGACTTCCAGGCCCACATAGATCCTATTACTCTGCAGCTGACACCATGCTATAAATGAATGGCAGAGGTTCATGGACAGGCTTAAGAGGCTCCCTAAACCCTGTAAGGATGTGTGCAAAATTCCTTATGTATATGAATATTTCTAGAGAGAAGATTTCTGCTGTCAAAGCTGGCCAGGTATGGTGGCTCACGCCTGTAATCCCAGCACTCTGGGAGGCCAAGGCAGGTGGATCACTTGAGCTCAGGAATTTGAAACCAGCCTGGCCAACATGGCAAAACCATCTCTACTAAAAATACAAAAATTAGCCGGGTGCGGGGGCAGGCACCTGTAATCCCAGCTACTCAGGAGGCTGAGGCAGGAGAATCATTTGAACCGGCGAGGCGGAGGCTGCAGTGAGCCGATTTCATGCCACTGCACTCCAGCCTGGGTGACAGAGTGAGACTCCGTCTCAAAAAAAAAAAAGTGAAGAATTCCTAAGTGAAGGTTACTGGCTCATGAGGTCCCTCCTCCACAGCTTTCCTCCTCTGGGGGCCTGAGAGTCAGGACAGAAGTTCTAGCACAAGTGTTTCACATAGGGGTCCTTGGTAGACCAGGGCTTAGGCTTGGAAGAAGGAAAATGGAGTGAGCACGAGGAAGAGAAAAAGCCTGGAAAAGCAGCTTATTTTGTGCTGAGGAGAGAAGGAAAGGGGCCACCCAGAGCTGCTCTGGGGCTCCAGGGCCTGTGGGCTCCTCCCCTCCTTTGTTCCTCTCTGCTTGGCTCCAGCGAGAGGCCGTTTCCTCTCCTCTCTCTTTCTCCATGACACCCACGCTTCCCTGTGGACTCACCTCTGCAGCCACAACAACACCCTCCTCTCCTTGGCGTGGAAGCCAGCGCTCCTGGCCCACTCCCAGTAGGGGATGTCCTCTGAGTTGTTTTTCCTGTGCGGGGAGGGGTGGACTGAGTCATCCACACTCTTCACCTGGTTCCTCTGGTGACCAAGAACATAGAAGGAGAGGGCACATCCCCAATCAGGTGTTCCGAACATCTCTGCGGAGACTGACCCTCCTCAGCCCAGGTGCTCCTATGGGACTGGCTACACTTCTTGACTCAGTTTTAATCTCTCCTTCTCTGCCTTCCTGTTGGGAATACCCCCTCACTTCTGTGGCTTCTTTCCTGTAGTAGACGATCAAGGGTGGAATCTACAGTCCGTGGGCCCTGACTTCTTGCCTTCGTCTCAAATAGACTCTGCAGCCAGCCATCTATGCAGCGCCCCAGTGGCTTTGAAATGCAACAGAAACCATCACCCCCGGACCGTGGGCTCCATGCCAGTGGGCAAAGCACAGGTGCGTTCACTGAGTTCCCAGCACATAGCTGTGGCAGGCACTTGGTGATATTTTGAAATAAAAGAATGGAAGAATGTGTCCAGGCTGTGCTTCCCCTTTCTACCTTACTCAGGGACATGGTGCCCTCCTCTCTGGTTTCCTGCCCTGTGCCCACCCCCCACCCCCTGCAAGCACAGCTCTTATGTGCAAAGCCCCTGTAGGTGCTGGAGGGATTCACTGATGGCCTTGGCGGAGGTGGCAGTGGGCATGTGCACTTGGCTCTGACACAGCCACTCATGCAACACCCTGTGCAATCTCGGCCTGGGCCTGTGTGTCCTGCCCTCATTCCTCACGGGTGACTGTCTCCCCTGAGCCACTCTTCTCTCTATTGGATTAGCTCCTTTTATTTCCCCCTAGGGATGCAACACATTTTTATGAACAAACAGCAGTGTTCACATGGCTGTGATGAGGACGTACTGGGGTTTCCCCTGGACATGGCATTCATCTGATGCCAGTGGTGGGCAGGACCGTGCTGTATACTTTAAAAAAACCCTAGGGGGTTCTGTTAGGTGCCCCCACTGCAGCATAACGAGTTGCCCCTAGCTGAGAAGCCCTGTCCTGGGGCCTGTCCACACCATCCTCTTCCTGAGATTATTCCTGGTGTGGGCGGTGCTCGGCTCTACCTTTCCTTCCTTCTTCCCTGCTTGGCTCCTGGTCCAATGGCTCTCTCCTCTATGGAATGGCCTCCTGGAGCTTGGCTGGGTCAGCCCCCACTTTCCACTCTTCCCATGCCTGTCCTCACCCTCCCAGCAGCCCTGCCAGCCTCCGACGGGCCCAGGGCACTGCAGCCGGCACTTGGGAGTGAAGACTGGGGCCAGAGCCAGGCTCACCTTTGGCCACTGAATCCTGAAAGAGGAGGAATTTGGCAAGTGGGGTTCTGCCCACCAAGCTTTCTTCCCCCCGCTCCCCTGAGTCTTTTCCCTTCACCCCCACTTCCCAAAAGCAGCAGGGAGTCAGCTGTAGGGCAGTCGCTCCCTGGCTGAAGCCTTCCTGGCTGTTTCCGTCACACCCTGAGGCCACCCCTCTTATCTTGCGAGGAGGGAGGCATACAGAGGCTGTGATTAGCTGTCACAGTAGCAAGACTGTTCCCCTCTCTGTCCTGCGGAGTGAGTGTGAGGGAAAAGAGCTCTCCTTGTCTGCTCATTATGTGCACCTGTTAAATAGTCATTCTTTCCACTAGGGCTATTAGTGGTTTTTATTGTTACTGGTCACCCAGAATTAGAGTCACAGCTTCCTCGACAGGGTGAAAGAGAGCGCCAGGGTGCAGTCTGAACGTGCTCTCGGGAGAGGAGAGGCCGGAAAGACTTGTACCAGGAGGGACTTCTAGGCTGGGCTGGCCCTTGGAGCGCCTAGGAATGGGACTGTGGTGGCCCATCTTCCCTCCTGTGTTCTGGGCTGTCTGAGTGCCTCTGGGTGAGAGTCCTCACAGGAGGGAGCTTCTCCTACTGCCCAGTGTCTCCCTGGCACCTGAGGCATCACCCAGCACACAGAGGTGACCAGGAAACACAGACTCCTGTTAGAGAGGCATCTCGTGTCCCGCTCTGTTCTCTTGGGCCCTGGGACTAGAACATCTTCACCAGAGACCGGCGCCGACTCCTTGGCAGTGTGTAACATCCAGCTCGGTGCCGAGGTCTGCCCGTGCAGGACTGATCTCCATTCTCTCAATGACCCTAGGAGACAGGAATTATTATTATTATTATTATTATTATTATTATTATTATTATTTTGAGATGGAGTTTCGCTCGTAGCCCAGCCTGGCCAACATGATGAAACCCCATCTCTACTAAAAATACAAAAATTAGCCGGGTGTGGTGGTGAACACTTGTAATCCCAGCTACCCGGGAGGCTGAGACAGGAGAATCACTTGAACCCGGGAGGTAGAGGTTGCAGTGAGCTGAGATCGCACCACTGCACTCCAGCCTGGGCGACAAGAGCGAAACTCTGTCTCAAAAAAACACACATACACACACACGTTTGGGACCATCCCTATTTCCTCGCTCTGCCTAAGCTGCGTCACACCATTCATCACTAGGTGACATCCTACTACAGATACCTTGTAAGCATCTGTGTATCTCTCTCCTCCCTCACTGGAAGGCAGCTCCCTGAGGGCAGGGCCCTGATCCCTTTGACTGGCTGTGGTATCCTCTCCTGTAGACCGCTGGCTCATGAAATAATCAGGGAGAGAATGTGTAAATGATGATCGTGAGGTCCACTTGGACAAGCAGCCTGTGCCTGAATTTTCCTGAGGGCTTCAGAGCCTGTCTCGCCTCGCCTCACATGCCTGGCTCACCTTAGAACGGTCACCTTGACGGCTAAAGGGACACCTGTGTGCCTTGATGGTGGACCCAGGGAGTGGATGACATTAGTGAGGGAAAGAGCAAAGGCTCTGGAGGAAAACACCTGAGAGGAGTCTCTAGGCTGCCCTCTGGTGGCAGTTCTTGGAACAAGACCTGAGAGCCGCTACCTTGGCTCTCAGCATTGCACGGGAGTTTAGAGGTTATTAAAGAAATCCCCCTAAAGTCCCATCCCAAGGTCACATAGAGAACGAATGGCTAAGTAGCGACAAGAACCCAAGTCACAGTCTGTTGATCTCACTACCATGCTATCCTGCCTGCCCCCATCACAGGAGTTGAGATTATACTGCAAAAGGAAAGGTGGGGATGGGGTGGGGACTGGGGAATTTGGGGAGGGAATTGATTACTGCCTCTGAGGATATTAGGGGGAAAAACCCACAGGAGGTGCATTTGGCTTAATTCAGCAAGTTTTTTGAGTTTTGATTCAGTGCCAGGCACCTGGTGGGCACTTAATTAAAGATTAGCAGGAGAAGAAAAATGTACAGTAAGAGAGCTTAAGTTTATACCAAAGCGAGTCTTGGGTCTAATAATTTTGAAACATGAAATTGGCAGAGAAGTTAGGAGTCCCTCCTGGGCTCCTACGTCAGGGTTTGCCCCCTCTCTAATTTAACTTTTTATCAAATTTTATTGTCATGATGTATATGTTTGTCCTCCCTAAACACAGAGCCCCTTGAGGGCAGGGAGGACTGAAACTGCTTCCTGGGACTGTCACCATCACATAGCACCCCACAGAGCAGATGCTCAATGAATGTTGATTGTGTGGGCAAATGGATGAACAAATGAATGGTTTGGAGTTTCCCTGGCCAGAGAGCTTCAAAGCAGGGCAGACAACCATCTCTTCTGTCTAGTCCAAAGACATCATTCGCTGCCCAAGGCTCAGGGCTGTGCCTGGTGCTTTCTCAAGGTAACTTAGCTTGTATAATTAGATTTTACCGTGATACTAGTTCTAGGTTCTTTTTTTTTCATTGGCCAAGCATTTAATAACTATCTGTCATGTCCAAGGTTCTGGGCTATTGTTCTGTAAATCTGTGATCCTATTCTGTTATTTAATTCCGTGACTCTGTGTTGACATAGACGTGACGGTGTCCCTGGGGCATTTACTCCTAGGTGAGCTTAGCCAAGGCAGGTAGAGAGGAACCAGCATTGTCTAATCTGAATGGATAAGCCAGCACAATGGGTTTCCCTGTGCAAATACCTCCATACCATCCAGGCCCACTCAGTCTCCTCCCCAGCTAATGAAGACAGCCTGTTTGAGTGCCAAAATCCACTGCCTATTAATAGGTACTAAAATCTCCAATTGCCTCATGCCTCCCCCTTCTCTTTCCCACTCACCTACCTGCCATGTCAGCCTGGGAAGAATTGGTTTGCAGCCAGGCAGTCCTCCATCCAGTCTTGACTTTGGCACTTGTGATATGACTTGCACAGGTGAGTTACCTCTCTCAGTGTTGGTTCCTCGTCTGTGAAATGGGGCTAATCATTTGCTTTATTGAGTGCCTTCTAGGCTGGGTACTAGGAGAGAAGGAAGGGATACAAAGAAAGACAAGGCACAGTTGCTGTCTTCAAGAAGCTCATACTTTCCAAGGAAATAAAGGCATGGAAACCCACATAGTGCTGTGGAATTAAAGAAGGCAGCATGCTGTAAAGAGCCCCAGCTTTTTCCCTAGACAACATCAGGGGCTCAGTTCCTTTCCCTCCTTTCTCTCTTCTTTAAGAATTTCTCTTAGCTGGACATGGTGGCACATGCCTGTGGTCCCAGCTACTCAGGACGCTGTGGTAGGAGGATCCCTTGAGCCCAGGAGGTCAAGGCTGCAGTGAGCTGTAACTGCACCTCTGCACTGTCCAGCCTGGGCGACAGAGCAAGAACCTGTCTCAAAAAATAAAAAATTAATTAATTAATTAATTTTTTTTCCTCCTAACTAATTCCACGTTATTGGCTTGAGGGTCAGTTTGAGGGGTCCAGACCTCCTTCTTCCTTTCTATCCTTAGCTTCCTGCCACAGTATACCCAGAGATGTATGTGTTTCTCCCCACCCTAGGCACAATTTTTTTTTTTTTTCTGAGACAGCTCTGTCATCCAAGCTGGAGTGCAGTGGTGCAATCATATCTCACTCCAGCTTCAACCTCTCATGCTCAGGTGTTCTTCCTGCTGAGTAGCTGGGACTACAGGCATGCACTACCATGGCCTGGCTAATTGTTTGTTTTTTTTTTTGAGATGGAGTCTCACTCTGTCGTCCAGGCTGGAGTGCAGTGGTGCGACCTCGGCTCACTGCAACGTCCGCCTCCCGGGTTCACGCCATTCTCCTACCTCAGCCTCCCGAGTAGCTGGGACTACAGGCGCCCGCCACCTCTCCCGGCTAATTTTTTTTGTATTTTTAGTAGAGACGGGGTTTCACCGTGGTCTCGATCTCCTGACCTCGCGATCCGCCCACCTCGGCCTCCCAAAGTGCTGGGATTACAAGCGTGAGCCACTGCGCCTGGCAACCTGGCCAAATGTTAAACATTTTTTTTGTAGAGGTGAGGTCACACTATGTTGCCCACACTGGTATCAAACTCCTGAGCTCAAGCGATCCTCCTGCCTTGGCCTCCCAAAGTGCTAGGATTACAGGTGTGAGCCACTGTGCCTGGCCCTTTTTTAATTTTAATTTTTTTTTTTTTTAGAGATGGGGTCTTGCTGTGTTGCCCAGGCTGGCTTTGACCTCCTGAGCTCAAGCAATCTTCCACCTCAGCCTCTGGAATCGCTGGGATTACAGGTGCGCCCTACCATGTTCAGCTAACTTATTTTGTTTGTTCAGAGACAGGGTCTTGTTATGTTGCCCAGGCCCAGGCACAGTTCTAATAGAGGAGAGAGACTTTCAGATATGAGCTCCTGCACTTGGCACCAAGATCTTCCCTAATTTTCCCCCGACCTGTCTCTCCAACATGTCTCTCTCTTCTTCGGGTTATTTTACTCCAATCATTCCGATCTACTCTTTGTTAATTGGGCCCTTCATTAAATAATTTAGCCTTTCACAAAACACACATTAAGTGTGCATGACGGCCCAGGCACTGTATTCTCTGTCAGGGTTACACAGATGAATAAAGAGCTGGGATGGGCCAGGCGCGGTGGCTTATGCTTGTAATCCCAGCACTTTGGGAAGCCAAGGCTGGTGGATCACGAGGTCGGGAGTTCAAGACCAGCCTGGCCAACATGGTGAAACCCCGTGTCTACTAAAAAAAAACTACAAAAATTAGCCAGGTATGGTGGCGGGTGCCTGTAATCCCAGCCATGTGGGAGGCTGAGGCAGGAGAATTGCTTTAACCCAGGAGGCGGAGGTTGCAGTGAGCCAAGATCGTGCCATTGCACTCTAGCCTGGGTGAAAAGAGCAAGACTCCGTCTCAAAAAAAAAAAAAAAAAAAAAAAAAGAGCTGGGATGATGTAGTGGTTAAAATCAGTGTTGTTAGCATAGCACAGACCTAAATTGAAATCCCAGTTCTGCCATTTGTCCCCTGTGTGACCTTGCATGGGTCACTGTACCTCTCTAGGCCTGTTTCTGTCTTCTGTGAAATGATCATGATAGCATTGTTATGCAAATTAAACGAGAGCTTAAGCTGTAGAGCATTTACCAACAGTGCCCTATGGCACATGCGCAGTAGAAAGTAGTTGCAATAGTGTGTAGCAAATACTTTGCATCCTAGGTTGGATTCCCCAGAAGCAGGCCCTGAGACAAAGATTCAAGTAAAAGAGATTTATTTAAAACTAATGAGAAGTTGGGCAGGGTGGCTCACGCCTATAATCCCAACACTTTGAGAGGCGGAGGCAGGAGGGTTTCTTGAGCTCAGGAGTTTGAGACCAGGTTGGGCAATATAGTAAGACCCAATCTCTACAAAAAAAATTAGCCAGACGTGGTGGCATGCGCCTGTGATCCAGCTACTTGGGAGGCTTAGGTGGGAGGATCGCTTGGGTCCAGGCTTCAGTGAGCTGTGATCGTGCCACTGTACTCCAGCCTGGGCAACAGAGTGAGAACTGTCTCAAAAATAAATAGGCCAGGCACAGTGGCTCATGCCTGTAATCTCGACACTTTGGGAGGCCAAGGCGGGCAGATCACCTGAGGTCAGGAGTTTGAGACCAGCCTGGCCAACATGGTGAAACCCTGTTTCTACTAAAAATACAAAAATTAGCTGGGCATAGTGGCGCATGCCTGTAATCCCAGCTACTCAGGAAGCAGAGGCAGGAGAATCGCTTGAACTCAGGAGGCGGAGATTGCAGTGGGCTGAGATCACACCACTGCATTCCAGTCTGGGCAACGAGAGGGAGACTCCGTCTCAAAAATTGAATAAATAAATAAATAAATAAATAAAAGTAATGAGGGGACTGGGCATGATGGCTCACACCTGTAATCCCAGTGCTTTGGGAGGCCAAGGCAGGAAGATTGCTTGAGTCCAGGAGTTCCAGACCAGCCTGGGCAACATGGCAAGACATCATTTCTGCAAGAAATTAAAAAATTAGCCCAGTGAGTGGAGTGCATCTATAGTACCAGCTACTCAGAAGGCTGAGGCAGGAGGACCACTTGAGCCCAGGAGGTTGAGACTGCAATGAGTTATGATTGTGCCACTGCACTTTAGCCTGGGTGACAGAGTGAGACCCTGTCTTAAAAAAAAAAAAAAAAGTAATGAGGGTGGGGAGGAGTGGAAAGGGAGTGGGAAAGTGGGACCCAAGCACATGAGTGGAACCAAGCTAAGTCTCATGGAGGGCTGGGGTACTGACACCTTCATATTTGTCCACCGTTGGTTAAGGCCTGGGGGCGGGCTGGGGGAGTGGGAGGGTGGTGGCATGTGAGGATGTGGGAGAGAAAAATTTCCAAGTGCTTCCAGCTCTCTGCCCCTGGAAAAGGTCCCGGCAGAGGCATAGGCGGGGCTGTTGGGAGTGATTTAGCACTCTGGGAGTCCGTAGGCACAAAAATGGTAAAGGGGTTCAAGAAGAAATGCGTAGAACACAGTCCCCGCCCCACAAGGTTCATGGCCTGGGAAGGGAAGACAGACATGAATAAATCATTGCCATAGGGTGACTGGGGTGAAGGGCGTTGGGGGTCGGGTGGGGTGCGGGAAGGAGTGGTGTAGGCAGAGGCATCCCTGAGGAGAAATGCAGCTGGTTTGGGAGAGGACGGCCATTCCAGACATAGGGAACAGCACACACGAAGGCTGATGCACATACGCGCAAGGGCTGGTCCCTAGAGCTGGTGGTTCTGGCCACGAGAGCTCATCACCTGGGGGCAGCTTCTGTACCTGCACCCTGTATGAGGCTCCGGGTCTGCCCTTCCTGGTCCATCCTCCAGACACACTGCCTGTTCTTCTCTCAGGTCCCGCTCCGGGCCCTCCTCCCAGAAGCCTCCCCTGACTAGTCCAGCTCACCGTGACTCTTCTGAACTCACGGCGTTTACTGCCAAGGCTATTACGTTGGCGCTCGCTCATGTCATTATTAGGAAATATGCATTTTTACTGTCTTTGATGTTATTTAAACTTGCCTGTAAATTCTGTCTCTCTCAATTTTAAGTTCTGAGTAGAAACTACATATTTTTATTATTTATATTCTTATATTCTCCCATGGCACCCGGCATTCGTGGACACATTGAGGAAGTAAGATAATGAATGAATGAATGGGTGAATCCAGTCCAGCTTGGGGCCTATTTAATTCTACTAGGCTTAACCTACAATTCTTATGTGTTCTCAGATTATTCCTAAACCCTAAGCTTAGTTTTGTTTCATTCGGACCACATGTAGTTTTTTTTTGTTTTTTGTTTTCTGAGACGGGGTCTTGCTCTGTCGCCCAGGCTGCAGTGCAGTGGCACGATCTTGGCTCACCGCAACCTCTGCCTCCCAGGTTCAATGGATTCTCCTGCCTCAGCCTCCTGAGAAGCTGGGATTACAGGCGCCCGCCACCATGCCCGGCTAATTTTTTTGTATTTTTAGTAGAGACAGGGATTCACCATGTTGGTGAGGCTGGTCTCGAACTCCTGACCTCAGGTAATCCACCCGCCTCAGCCTCCCAAAGTGCTAGGATTACAGGTGTGAGCCACCACGCCTGATCTCATGTGTAGTTTTTTGGTTTTTTATTTGTTTGTTTTTTTGAGATGGAGTCTCGCTCTGTCGCCCAGGCTGGAGTGCAGTGGCACGATCTCGGCTCACTGCAAGCTCCACCTCCCAGGTTCACGCCATTCTCCTGTCTCAGCCTCCCGAGTAGCTGGGACTACAGGCGCCGGCCACCATGCCCGGCTAATTTTTTTTGTATTTTTTAGTAGAGACTGGGTTTCACCATGTTAGCCAGGATGGTCTCGATCTCCTGACCTCGTGATTCGCCCGCCTTGGCCTCCCGAAGTGCTGGGATTACAGGCGTGAGCCACCGCGCCTGGCCTCTCATATGTAGTTTTTAATGAGAGTTACCACATAAGCAAACTGGGTTCTAAGTGGTGAAATTTAAGGTTATGCAACCTCAGTTTCTTTTAACCCCTCTTCATCCCTAACCCTGGTCGGATACTTGATTGACAGTAGACCATTGGGATCTCTGAGCTCCTGTCCTTCTAACCTGATTGCCTCTTTAAAGGATTTTGAAAAACTATGTCCCTTGCACATTTGTATTGTTTTGAGACAGGGTCTCACTCTGTTGCCCAGACTGGAGTGCAGTGGTGCCATCTTGGCTCACTATAGCCTCAACCTCCCAGGGTCAAGCAATCTTCCCACCTCAGCCTCCTGAGTAGCTGGGACTACAGGTGCGGGCCACCACATCTGGCTAATTTCTTAAATTTTCTGTAGAAACAGTTTTTCCATGTTGCCTAGGCTGGTCTCAAACTCCTGGCCACAAGCAATCCACCCGATTCGGCCTCCCGAAGTGCTGGTATTACAGGCATGAGCCACCTCGCCCAGCCCCTTGCACATTTTTAAGTCAACATTTAACATTTGTAATAATTTAATAGCATTCCAAAGGGTATGCTTTTCAGGGAATTGCAAATACATGTTAAAAATCACATCACTATTTATGTATTTATTTATTTATTTATTATTTTTGAGATGGAGTCTCACTCTGTCTCCCAGGCTGGAGTGCAGTGGTGCGATCTCGGCTCACTGCAACCTCTGCCTCCCAGGTTCAAGCAATTCTCATGCCCTAGCTTCCCGAGTAGCTGGGATGCCCAGCTAAGTTTTTTGTATTTTTAGTAGAGACAGAGTTTCAGCATTGTCCAGGCTGGTCTTGAATTGCTGACCTCAAGTGATCTGCCTACCTCAGCCTCCCAAATGCTGGGATTACAGGCGTGAGCCACCATGCCTGGCCATGTCAGTTTTTAAAATTAAAAACAATTTGTTGTGCTCAGTCTGTCGGAGACTGCACGTCACTCTAAGTGTAGCAAATTGAATATAATGCCATAGAACTTTCATATCTGTTAGCATCCTTTTAAAAAATACGTGAACAAGCCCTTGAACAAGTGTTAGAAACAGTTATTCTATTTGTATTGCAATTATTGCAGTTAACCAAAACTAGGAATATTCACAAGGATTAAACATAAAAAGTTGGTCAGGCGCGGTGGCTCGTGCCTGTAATCTCAGCACTTTGGGAGGCCAAGATGGGCCGATCACTTGAGCTCCGGAGTTTGAGACAAGCCCGGGCAACACGGTAAAACCCCATCTCTAAAAACAAAACAAAACTAAACTAAACAAATACAAAAAATTAGTCAGGGGTGGTGCACCTGTAGTCTCAGCTACGCCAGAGGCTGAGATAGGAGGATTGCTTGAGCCCAGGAGGTTGAAGCTATACGAGCCATGATCGTGCCACTGCACTCCAGCCTGGATGACAGATGGAGACCCTGTCTCAAACAAACACACAAAAAGACATGAAAAGTAACTTATTGAAAATGCATCTCTTGGCCAGGCGTGGTGGTTTACACCTGTAATCCTAGCACTTTGGGAGGCCAGGGCAAGCAGATCCCATGAGATCAGGAATTCGAGACCAGCCTGGCCAACATGGCAAAATCCCATCTCTACTAAAAATAGAAAACTTATCTGGGTGTGGTGGCACACACCTGTAATCCCAGCTACTCGGGAGGTTGAGGCAGGAGAATCACTTGAATCCAGGAGGCGAAGGTTGCAGTGAGCTGATATCTGTCGTGCCACTGCACTCCAGCCTGGGCGACAGAGAGATAATACGTCTCAAAAAAAAAAAAAAAGAAAAGAAAGAAAATGAATCTCTTAATGAGATGGGAAAGGTTGATTTGTTTCCTATTGACCTTTGGCGGCTCTGGGAAGGGCACTCTGGTCAGGCCCAGGACAAGCAGGAGATTCATTCTAGCGGGGGGCACATATTAATCTGGAAACTGATTCCCTTAAAACTGGTCCTGCCGACACACCCCTGGGAAGGTTTGCATATACCACTAGGGGTATCCAAGCCATAGGCCATTAAACAGAGATGAAACTTGCCTTCCCATTCTTTAATATAGTGTTCTCAGAAAGGGAGAAATGTGGGCCTGAATGTTATTGTGACTTGCATAGTGACATTTCCAACCCTCCTCCTGCTAAGCCCCAGAGCCTTACATGCTGGACATGGGCAAGATAGGAACTCAAGTTACTTCCAGGTCTCCGTAAGTTTAGGACTGTGAAGAGGGCATCCTAATAGTCAAAAACATAAGTGTTGGCCGGGCACGGTGGCTCACGCCTGTAATCCCAGCCCTTTGGGAGGCCGAGGCGGGCAGATCACGATGTCAGGAGTTCGAGACCAGCCTGGCCAACATGGTGAAACCCCATCTCTACTAAAATACAAAAATTAGCCGGGCATGGTGGTGCGCACCTGTAATCCCAGCTACTCAGAAGGCTGAGGCAGGAGAATGGCTTGAACCCGGGAGGCGGAGGTTGCAGTGAGCCGAGATCGTGCCATTGCACTCCAGCCTGGGCATAGAGTGAGACTCCGTCTAAAAAAAAAAGAAAGAAAAAGAAGAAAGAGGCCGGGCGCTGTGGCTCACGCGTGTAATCCCAGCACTTTGGGAGGCCCAGGCGGGCAGATCACGAGGTCAGGAGATCGAGACCACTCTGGCTAACACGGTGAAACCCCGCCTCTACTAAAAAATACAAAAAATTAGCCTGGCGTGGTGGCGGGCGCCTGTAGTCCCAGCTACTCGGGAGGCTGAGGCAGAATAGTGTGAACCCGGGAGGCGGAGCTTGCAGTGAGCCGAGATCGTGCCACTGTACTCCAGCCTGGGCGACAGAGCGAGACTTCGTCTCAAAAAAAGAAAAAAACAAATAAATAAAAATAAATAAAAAAGACCCTAAGTGTTAGTTAAAGCAGCAGCCTAGATTCAGAATTAAGAAAACATGATTTTTATTTTTCCGTTTCATGGAAGCAGCAGCTGTCTACTGATAGTTCCTGCCGCCGGCCACCAGGTGGCAGAAGGGAACACAGTACCGTAGCCCTGCCCCAGCGATCGCGCGGGCAGGAAGACCGGGTGGGAGGTAGGTGGGGCCGAGGCCTGGAGGCGAGGTAGGAGAGTAGGCTTAGGCTGTCAGAGGAAAAAACGGGCGATGTGAGGACTAAGTATGGATCTCAGGAGGGGACAGGAAATATTGAGAACACCACCTTACGGGTTCAGAATAAAACCGAGGGAATGAGGAAGAGGTTTAAGGAGATAGGCTAAATTGGGAAGAATTCACGGGGAATCAGAGGGTGGAGAGGGCGTGGGTGCCTGGAGATGCCTGGGAACAGAACGGCTGAGGGGACTCCATTATCTGTACTCTTCCCGGGGTGGGTCTAGGTCTGGCTCCTCCTGAGGTCGGTTGTCCACCTCAGGGGCAGGAGGCCAGGGGTTTTCTGGGGGCTGGGGTCCTGCCGGCCAAGGGTCGTCAGGCCGGGGAGGTTGAGGAGGATCCGTTCTAGGCGGTTCAGGGGGCCAGACTCCAGTTTCAGGCAGGTCTCTCCAGGGACGACTGGGGCGGGTAGGCGGAGGATCTTCAAAGAGAGGGGGTGCCCCTGGCCAAGGGTCACCGGGGACTGGGGGGCCCTGAGGCAATGTTGGGGAGCCTGCCTCCTCTCGGTCCTCTGCGGGTGGGTGAGAGGGGTGGCCCTCGCTGCCTGAGATGCCTGTAAAGGAGGAAGGAGAAAGGTAAGAGGTGGTGAGGGCTTCTCTCCCCAGCCCCACCCAGCCCCAGCCCCAGGAGGAGGAGCCTGTCTGGATGGACGCAGCCTGAACTGACCCACAAACAGACCAAAAAAGTCACTCTCAAAGAGCTCTCGGTAGGTTTGTAAATACTTAACTGATGGTAAAGTGTCATGAACCCCTACCCCCGATGGATCTGAACCGTTCACTTGACCCACTTTAAACTGACCAGACTTCTCCAAATAAGCTCCATCCACCCCTGGTTGGGGTACCCCACTAGCTTTGTCCTCAGGCCAACCTGCAACCCAAGGTGGGTTACACCTTGGCCCCCAGGCACACAGACCCCAGCTTTACAAGGACCCCAGCTCCTTAACACAGATCCCAGCTCCGAGGAAACTCGTCCCCCCCACGTTAATCCTGACCGACTTTGCCACATGGAGCCAGCAAACCATTTCTGGTGAGAGCCAAATGCACCTTCTGCACCATGTCCCCCACCCAATGTGTCCAGAAAGCCATTTCTGGTGAGCCAGATGCACCTTCTGCATCCCCTGAATTCCTGTCCCCAACCCCATGCGTCCAGTTCACCTCCGCCATCTTGAGTATCCCTCATCACCCCAAACTGCAGTCCCTGCCTCTGTTCCCACCTCACCTCTGGTGTGCAGGCAAAGGACCAGGATCCCCAGGAGCTTCCAGTTGAGGATCATGGCTATGTACTGGCCCCCAAAGCTGGGGTGGGCTGAGTCTGGGTGCCTGGGAACCCCAAGAGGCTTTATAGGGGAGGAGTGGAGGAGGGGCCAGCCCAGTGGCACAGGAATACCATCAGAACAGAACTGGTCAAACCCGTTGGGAAGGCCTGGGCTGATGTGTCACCCCTGAAGGTGGCGTCCCTTATTTTAGTCCTCCAGCCCAGGACCCAGCTGCCTGCTCTCCCTATCATGACCCAGAGCCTGCGTCACCCCACCCTGGTTTTCACACCCTCCATCCACACCCTGGAGCAGTCAATACCCACTTGGCATCTCCGTAATCACAGAGATGTCCACCTTCATCCCTTGCAACTATTGGAAGCCAAAGAATGGGAGCAAACCACGCGATGGGCGTTGGGAAGCACCGTAATTACAGGGTTGGGAGGCAGGATGCCTGCGCTGGGGGAGGAGGTGCCTTTCAAACCTGGGATGCAGCTGGGACAGTGTCAGCTACTACCCCAGCCTCCCCACTCATCCCCGCACTGAAAGCTCCCCCTGGGGCTTCGTGCTTTCCTGGGCACTTCCCTTCCCCCATGGGATCCAGGCATCCTGCTCTCCACCATGTCCTTCTTCAGGCATGCAGGGGACCTCCAAGCAATGATATCCAAGGAATTCCATCTGGCAGCCACCCAGGATGACTGCAGAAAAGGAAGGACACAGGAGGATATCCTGGTTCCCTCTTCCCACCCAGAGCTGTTTGCATCAGTCCTGCCAATGGCTCCGGAAGAAGCTGCCAGGCTCCAGCAACCTCAGCCCCTTCCTCCTCCCTCAGGAATCCACCTATCCGCCTCTAGGACCTTGGCTCCAACTCTATTGTACTCGTCTCCTCCCTCCCATTCTCCTTTTGGTCTCAGCTCCTTGATCTAAGCCTCCCAGAGAGACCCCTAGAACGTTTCCCTCAAGGACCTTTCTGCCTGGAAGTCTGTTAGCCTTTCAGAAGTAACATGTCCAAAATAAAATTTGATTCCTCCCAGGTTGTTCCCTGCCTGGTCCGCTACCCCACAGTAAGGAACACCTTATTATGCAATGGCGTGATCTCATCTGTTCCCTCCAGGGCTCACGCAGAAACCTTCGTTACACTCCTCCACCATCCACCTGCAAGCCCCTCCACACCCTGTCCAAACCCAGCCCATCATCCTGAGCCACCATCTCCCCTGAGCCTCCCCAACACCCTTCTAATTGGCCCCCTTGCTCCCACTGTTTATCCCTCCCCCTCACACAAAGCCTGTCCTCCACCAGCAAAAGAGGTCTTAAAATATACATCACGCGGGCCTGGTGTGGTGGCTCGCGCCTGTAATCCCAGCACTTTGGGAGGCCGAAGCGGGCGGATCACCTGAGGTCGGGAGTTCAAGACCAGCCTGACCAACATGGAGAAACCCCGTCTCTACTAAAAATACAAAAATATTAGCCGGACATGGTGGCACATGCCTCTTGGTAATCCCAGCTACTCAAGAGGCTGAGGCAGGAGAATCGCTTGAACCCAGGAGGCAGAGGTTGTGGTGAGCTGAGATCACACCATTGCACTCCAGCCTGGGCAACGAGTGAAATTCCGTCTCAAAAAAAAAAAAACATATATATATATATCAGGCCAGGCGTAGTGGCTCATGCCAGCACTTTGGGAAGCTGACACAGGAGGACCACTTGAGCTCAGGAGTTGTGTGCGCTGCTTCACCTGCAGCAAGACTGTGGGCAACACGTGGGAGGCCTACCTGGGGCTGCTGCAGTCCAAGTACGCTGATGGGGACGCCCTGGGCCTGAAGCGCCACAGCCGCTGCCTGCCGCATGCTGCTGGCCCACGTGGACCTGATGCGGAAACTGCTCAATTATGCCCTCCTGGGGAAGTGACCTGGTTAGACCCACCCATCTGCTGCGCTGGGTGCCGGGAGCAATCGCTGACCACAGTGCGTGGATATGTGTACCTCACTCTGGAAGGGACCATCCAGTAAGTCCCTCAGGAAAAAAAATGTACACCAAATCATGTTGCGTCTTCCCTTTGTTTGGGGAGTGAGGACAGGTTCTCGCTCTCTTAGGCTGGGGTGCAGTGGTGCGATCACAGCTCATTGCAGCCTCAACCTCTTGGGCTCAAACAATCCTCCCAACTCAGCCTCTGGAGTAACTAGGACCATGGGTGCACGCCACCATGCCCTCCAATGTTTTTTATTTTTATTTTTTATATAGATGGAGTCTCCCTATGTTGGCTGGTCTCAAACTCCTGGGCTCAAGCGATCCGCTCACCTCGGCCTCCCAAAAAAGTGCTGGGATTCAGCTACTCCGGAGGCTGAGGCAGGAGAATTGCTTGAACCTGGGAGGTGGAGGTTGCAGTGAGCTGAGATTGTGCCACTGCACTCCAGCCTGGCAACAAGAGCAAAACTGTCTCAAAAAAAAAAAAGTGCTGGGATTACAGGCGGGAGCCACAACACCGGGCCCCCTTCCCTGGTTTTTTTTTTTTTCTTCTTCTTCTTTTTTTGAGGCTGAGTCTCGCTCTGTCACCCAGGCTGGAGTGCAGTGGCATGATCACGGCTCACTGCAACCTCCACCTCCCGTGTCCAAGCAATTCTCCTGTGTCAGCCTCCTGAGTAGCTGGGACTACAGGCTCACACCACCACACCCGGCTAATTTTTTGTATTTTAGTAGAGACGAAGTTTCACCATGTTGCCCAGGCTGGTCTCAAACTCCTGAGCTCAGGTGATCCGCGTGCCTCAGCCTCCCAAAGTGTCAGGATTACAGGCGTGAGCCACCACACCTGGCTTTCTTCCCCGTTTTTAAAGAAGTACTCCAATGGCTTTCTATTGACTTACAGTAAAATCCAAACTTGGCCACATCTCGGCCTCGCAGCAGCATCCTTGAGCATTCTCTACAGAGACCTCCTGGCCTCCACAGGAGCCCACTTCAGGCAGGCCTCTGCACAAGGTCCCCTGCTCAGAGGCCTCTCCCCAGAGTCAGTTTCTATCATATCATCATACTGTACTTTCTCTTCAAGCACTTATTTGAAACGATCTCGTTCATCTGTTTAGGTCCCATCTGCTCACTTATTTGAAACGATCTCGTTCATCTGTTTAGGTCCCATCTGCTCGCTCTCTCTCCCACTAGGATGTAGGCTCTCAGGGTCCAAGTGGCCCCCAGGCTAATACAGTGCCTGGCATTGACATTCCTGTTGAACGAGTGAATGTTTCATCTTCCCCACTCCTAGCATTTATCATCTTCCAGAAGAAAAGAGTTTTAAAACAAAAGTTGAGAATAAAGAAAAGCAGGAGCTTCCCAAACATTTCCAAAGCTGCCTAGAAAAAGGATTTGAAAAGGTGCCACCCATAGAGAGAGCTATGGGTGGGACCACTTCTCACAATCTCCAAGAGAGATGGCTGCAGGGAGAATTCCCACAGATTCCCAGAAATAACATTTCCAAACAATGGCTCCTTCTGTAGTCGTCTTTATTTAGAGCAGAATTCAGACTCAGCTGGTATCCCCCAGGGCAACCCCAGGATGGGGAAGGGCTGGTCTGTCCCCACCCACTTCTCCAGGATCCTCCCAGCCCCCAGGCTGGCTTTCCCTCCAACTGTCAGCTGCTTAGCTGCTCATCTGGGGATTGCAGCTGGAGCATCTGTCAAGGTTGTCTCCTTGACAAACAGCTTCCTCTTTGGAAATGGCTTCACTCAGGTCCTGCAGGTCATCGAGCAGGACAGAGAGGGACCCTGGGAAGGAAGACAGCAGATGAGCACCAGACAAGGGAAGGTGCTCGTGGTTACAGAGGAAACAGGGCTGGCACAGGAAATGAGGAATGGGAGAGAGGAGGCTCTTTGGTCCAAGCTGGGCATCGCTAAAAGAGGCTAAGGGCCTCGAAGGACCGCAGAGAACAACACTCATCATGCGAGAGTCTGAAGAGGAGATTCCTGAAGTGCGCGCATTTGTCCCTTGTCCCTTTGTGCTTGGCCCAAGACCTTTTATGGACTCCCTGGTGGGCACTGCTGCTGCTACAGGTGCAGATGCTGAACACTCTGGAGGCCTGGGGCTGGACACCACAGATTTCTTCTTATCCAGTAGGGAAGGAAGAACTGTCAACAGTCGCTGCTGCTTGTAACGGGAGAGGAGACCTTCCTGCTGCAAGGTGGCCTGGGAAGGAGAGGGTTAAACCTAGCCCGGATAGAGCCTCCCTCACCATCCTCTTTCCACACCTCTAGCCCAGGAACCAGCCCAGGATGGGCCCTAGTGTCTGCCTGTCTGCCCTCCTGTCTCCTACCAGCATGAGGTTCTTATCCCTCTCTAGCTCCTGCAAGCGCCGGGCCAGTCGCTGCCCCTCCTCCTTCCGGGCCTCCTCCTGCAGACGCCTGAGTTCCTGGCTCCGCTCCTTTTCCTGGGCGGCTCTGCGCTGAATCTGGCGCAAGGAGACCACTACAGAGAGGCCAAGGCACAGAGGAGGCAGGTGTGAGTCAGGCCAGAGGCAGCCAGGCACCATGAAGACAGGAACAAACGCTGGGTCACCAACTCTGTGGCTTGGGGAGGCTGTTCTGCTCTGTGGATCTGTCTCTTCTGTACAGTTGGAGGGGTGGGCTGATGCTCTAGGAGCCTGGGAATCTGAACCTAAGTATCTTCCTCATCCCTGAACCATCCTGGAGTTCCTCAGGGGAAATCTGAACATGAACTGGGTTAGATTTTGTGCAATTAGTGTTCACTGTCTTAAAGTGTGATGATTGCAGCTATATAGGAGAATTTACTGGCTTTGGGAGATGCGGCTGAACAACTTATGTTTACAACTTACTTAGGCGTGGTGGCTCACGCCTATAATCCCAGCACTTTGGGATGCCAAGGCGGGCGGATCACGAGGTCAGGAGCTCGAGACCATCCTGGCCAACATGGTGTAATCCCGTCTCTACTGAAAATACAAAAACTAGCTGGGCATGGTGGTGGGCGCCTGTAATCCCAGCTACTTGGGAGGCTGAGCCAGGAGAATGGCTTGAACCCGGGAGGCAGAGGTCACAGTGAGCCAAGATCATGCCACTGCACTCCAGCTGGTGACAGAGGAAGACTCTGTCTCAAACAACAACAACAACAAAACATTAAATGATTACAACTTAAAGTGATTCAAAAGATGTACAAATATGTGTGTATATAGATAAGAGACCAAATGTGGCAAATGTTAACTGCTATATTTAGTTAGAGAAGATACATTCATTACACAATTCTTTTTTTGACACATGGTCTTTCTCTATCACCCAGGCTTGAGTGCAGTGGCACAATCTTGGCTCACTGCAGCCTCGACCTCCCGGGTTCATGTAATCTTCCCACATCAGCCTCACAAGTAAGCTTGGTGTACAGGTGCCCACCACCAGGCCTAGCTAATTTTTGTATTTTTAGTCGAGACAGGGTTTCGCCATGTTGTCCAGGCTGGCCTCAAACTCCTGACCTCAGGTGATACACCCACCTCGGCCTCCCAAAGTGCTTGGATTACAGGCATAAGCCACCGCGACCGGCCATATGCTGTTTCTTAATCTGGTGCTGGCTACATGGGTGTGTTCACGATGTGATAATTCATCTGTGCTACTCCTGGATACCTTCATTACTTCCTGTAATGAAGCTTTGAACACACTTTGAGGGGAAAATAATAACCTTATGTCTTAACACTTCCTTCTTCCTGGAAGGCCCTATCCACCCTGGCAAGGCTCACCGGCCTTGGCATGCTCCCTCCGAGCCTCGTTCAGCCTCCTCTCTGTGTCTGAGAGTTGCTCCCGCAGCCGAGTTTCCACTTCAGCCACCTTTTCTTGCAGGGCTGGGGTGAAAGTGCAGACGGGGCATATCAGCAGGACCTTTGATTCGCAGTTCCCACCCCACCCTCCAAGGGAAGCACCCATTTCCCTCTCGACACCTTGCCCGTAGAGTTCCTGCTGCTGGGTCAGCTCCTGCCGCAGACTGGCAGCCTCCTCTGTGCTCTCCTGCTGGCACTGGCGTGCTACCTCCAGCTGCAGCCCCAAGCTAGCCAGGGACTCCTGGGTCTGCTGCAGCTCCTGCTCCAGCTGCTGGGCCACCTTGCTCAGCTGCTGCCGCTCTGCCTCCCCTAAAAGGAGGGGGTGCTGGGTCAGGCCTCTCCCAGCACCCTAGACACTGGGTTTTTCCTCATCCTCTCCACCCTCTGGCA
This sequence comes from Homo sapiens, assembly GCF_000001405.40. Classification (NCBI taxonomy): domain Eukaryota; kingdom Metazoa; phylum Chordata; class Mammalia; order Primates; family Hominidae; genus Homo; species Homo sapiens. Next base: position 2,627,586 of record NT_113891.3, read on the forward strand.
ACCAGGTGTACCTTGCTCCCGAGCCCGGCCCACCTCCTGCTGGATGAGGCGGGCACTCAGCTGCAGTTCTGCATCCAGGCGGTTCCGTTCTTCCCGCAGCTGCTGCAACTCAAGGCTCACATCTGTGACCGGTGGTGGTAGGGGACAGCTGAGACGGGGAAGAGAAAGAGTCAGGAGAAATCACCCAGCTGCCTGATCCCAAAGCCCCCATCCCACCTCAGTCCTCATGGTTTTGGGGGTCCCAGCAGCCAATGCCCTAAAGCCCCATCCACCTCAAAGTGCCCAAACTTCACCTCTCCTGGCGCAGCTGAGCAAGGGCAAGCTTTCGAGCAATCAGGCCTGGGAGGGAAAAAGCAGGGAGAAAAAGAGATGAAGTTTGCATGGGAGAAAGTGGGGACAGGGAGTAAGGGAAAAAGAGATGCAAGGACTGGTGAAAGGAGGAAGGTGAATGGATGTGGGATCAGAGAGAGCTGGGTCAGGAAGAAGAAAGTCCGAGCTGGTGGGGTGGGGGCAGGACGTGGCTCGCAGTTGTCCTACGCACCCCGAATGGTGTGGACCTTGCGGACAGCATAGCTGAGTCGGTTGTTGAGGCTGGGAAGCTGGGCGGCAGCCCCTTCCACCTTAGCCATGGTGGTCTCGAGCCAGATCTGAGAGCTGGAGAGGGCACAAGTCACTGATCCTCCATGCCTCCCCTCATTCCCAAAGGACTTGCTGTGCCTTGTATAGACAACTCCCTCTAATCCTGTCCCATTATACAAGTACAGAACGCACAGCTTCCGTCAATTATCTAAAGGACCCTTGCCCCAAGAATGCATTAAATGACTATCTTTTTAAGCAACCTGTTAAGCTTATTTCTCACAACTGTGTTTTGCTCACTATCGTGTATCAAAGAGTAAAGTTATCCTCTCTGGTCAGGGGCAGTGGCTCCTGCCTGTAATCCCAGCACTTTGGGAGGCCGAGGCGGGCGGATCACCTGAAGTCAGGAATTGGAGACTAGCCTGGCCAACACGGTGAAACTCTCTCTACTTAAAAACACAAAAATTAGCCGGGCATGGTGGCTCATGCCTGTAATCCCAGCTACTCCAGAGGCTGAGGCACGAGAATCACTTGAACCTAGGAGGTGGAGGTTCCAGTGAGCCAAGATCGCACCCCTGCCCTCAAGACTGGGTGACAGAGCGAGACTCCATCTCAAAAAAACAAAAGAAAACAAAGTTATCCTCTCCAAGCCCAGGAGTGTCGATCTAGCACCAGTGACGGGCAGGTCCACATGCTTTACCAGCTGGCTGTGCCAGAAGTAGGACCAACCTGGCTCATGAAAACTGAGCAGCTTAAACAGGCCCCAGGAGGAGGCCAAGGAGTGTCTGGGGCCGGGCTGGGGTTTCCTCAGGAGAGTCCAGGTCTGCACCCACAGAAAAACACATGATGATGAAGGCTTGCAGCTGCATCCCCAGCAGCACAGCAAAGTTCACTTTGATCTGGAAATTGTTCCAGTAGATGCTTCCAACACCTACCACAGCTCTTATTAAAGTCTCCAATTACCTAGAGACAATCTAATAAACCCAGCAACAATCAGAGTTTGGACTGCTTTAAGCCTGGAGGACTTTCGGCAAATGCATCATTACACAGACCATTTCTGTGATCACCTGGTACCAAAGTCAAACCCTGTCCACAGTGCATCTTTCTGTTCTCCTGGAGGTAGGGGGCACCCGCGATGGATTGAACCTGGGTGGTAGGTCATTATAACTAGTTTAATTCCGTGCAAGTTTGAAATTTTTCATAATTTTTAAAGCTAAATTAGTCCCTAAGGTACAAACCCAAGAGAAGGAAGTGGTGGGCAAGGACTCATCCTGCATCTTAATTTCGCTAAACCAAAAATTATCTTTATCTAAATTAACCCATCAAGAAGAGCCTCACGATAACAATCAACATTTACAAGCCAGAGACTGTGCTAAGAACTACCTGCCGGCCGGGCACGGTGGCTCAAGCCTGTAATCCCAGCACTTTGGGAGGCCGAGGCGGGCGGATCACGAGGTCAGAAGTTTGAGACCAGCCTGGCCAACACAGTGAAACCCTGTCTCTACTAAAAATACAAAAAAGTAGCCGGGTGTGGTGGTGTGCACCTGTAATCCCAGCTACTCAGGAGGCTGAGGCAGGAAAATCGTGTGAACCCGGGAGGCAGAGGTTGCAGTGAGCTGAGATCGTGCCATTGCACTCCAGCCTGGGTGACAGTGCGAGACTCTGTCTCAAAAAAAAAAGAACTACCTGCCTTGGGTACCTCAGTGTCTAAGGCTGAGGGGAAGTCATCACCAGCACAAAGAAGCTTTGCTGTTTTCTTAGAGGTTTTTCTGAAGGTCATACAACAATTGTAGGTAATGAAACAACTAGGAAGTTGGTAGGAGAGACAAAGGCTGGCAATTGATTTAGAAGGAAACTAACTGGCTTACATTTTAGATGGAATAGTAAGCAAGTTAAGTATATAATAAGCAAGTAAGTATACAGCTTTAAATAAATAGACTAGGCCAGGTGCAGTGGCTCACACCTATAATTCCAGCACTTTGGGAGGCTGAGGTGGGTGGATCACCTGAGGTCAGGAGTTCAAGACCAGCCTGGCCAACATGGTGAAACCCCGTCCCTACTAAAAATGCAAAAATTAGCCGGGCGTAGTGGAGGACACTGGTGGAGGATGCCTGTAATCCAGCTACTCGGGAGGCTGAGGCAGGAGAATCACTTGAACCAGGGAGGTGAGGTTGCAGTGGGCCAAGATTGCGCCATTGCACTCCAGCCTGGGTGACAGAGCGAGACTTTGTCTCAAAATAAATAAATAAATAGACTAAATTTTTCTCCAGTGAAACGGATTGCCCGTAAAATTTTAGAAAAAAAAAGGAAGATGAAGTGTCTACACTCTCCATCCTTGAACAATACTGCAAGTGAAGATCCTCCCGGGTGCTCTATTTAGCTCAAGCCATTACTAGACTGAACTGCAGGAGGAAGCAAGGCCTCACCTCCAGCCAAACATGCAACGGGAAATTCATAACAAGCAATCAGGTATGAATGCAGAAGGGGCTTCCCCAGGAAAAGAAACGAACACAGGAACATTGATAGAGCTAAATCTGCCCAGCCCTGTAGCCTCCAGTGGCCACTTTCCAGCCCCTCTTGCCTGAGGATCCTCAGCAACAAGGTGCCCAGGAACCTGAGGTAGCAGAAACACTACTCCACCCACCCCTCCATCCCTGATACCTGCTGACAGCATTGACCACAAGCCTCAACTGCTCCTCGGCTGAGGCTGTCTGCTGCTGCCACCAACGCCTGGCCTCCTGAGCACGGCTCAGCTCCAACTGCAGGCCCTGGGGAGGATGCAGCAAAGGACAGGGTCCCTCCCTAAGTCCTGGCTGCAGCCCCGGAACAGGGGCTCCCTTGCCCTCCCCGAGTCTCTAGTAGGCTGACACCAACCTTGGCACCCATACGCTCCACCTCCACCTCTGCGGCTTTGTCCTGCAGGGATCGCTGCAGGATGGCCTGCTCCTGGCTCTGGGATGTCACTTTTTCCTGGAGTGAGGCCACCTGGGGGAGGAGAGAGAGCTGGGCAGGGCCCTCTAGAGCTAAAAGATGAGGGGGGCACTGGAAGCAAAGTGGCAGGTGCAGAGATCTCTGTAAGAATGCCATGCAGGGGCTGGGGGGAGGGGGGGCGGGCAACGGGGGTGGGTCGCAGCACGGTGGCTCACACCTGTAATCCCAGCACTTTGGGAGGCCGAGGCAGATGGATCACTTGAGGTCAGGGGTTCAAGATCAGCCTGGCCAACATGGTGAAAGCCTGTCTCTACTAAAAATACAAAAATTAGCTGAGCGTGATGGCATGTGCCTGTAATCCCAGCTACTCGGGAGGCTGAGGCAGGAGAATCACTTGAACCTGGGAGGCGGAGGTTGCAGTGAGCTGAGATCAGGCCACTGCACTCCAGCCTGGGTGACAAGAACAAGACTCCTTCTCAAAAAAAAAAAAAAAGAAAAGAAAAGAAAAAGAATGAATGCCACGCAGGGAGACAGAAGCTTAGGTTCTGAGGATGGAATCTGAGCCCAGTGTTCCATGTTCCACATTCCATGTGCCCACTCGAAGATGGGAATAGCCCTTGACCCACCCCACAAGACCCACCAACTGACCATGCCACTCTCCTCAGATGCTGTCACCTCCTCAGAGAGGCTGTCTCTGAGCATCCTACCTGAGGCTGACTCACCCCACAGTCTCTCTGTCACATTATCTTTTGAATTTTTCTTACTACTTTCTTTTTTTTTGAGAAAAGATCTCGCTTTGTCACCCAGGCTAGAGTGCAGTGATGGGATCACAGTTCACTGTGGCCTCGCCTCGACCTCCCAGCCTCAGGTGATCCTCCCACCTCATCCTCCAGAGTAGCTGGGACTACAGGAATGAGCCACTATGCCCGGCTAATTTTTTGTATTTTTAGTAGAGACGGGATTTCACATGTTGCCCAGGCTGGTCTCGAACTCCTGACCTCCAGTGATCCACCTGCCTCGGTCTCCCAAACTGTTGGCATTACTTGACTGGGCACGGTGGCTCACACCTGTAATCCCATCACTTTGGGAGGCTGAGGCAGGTGAATCACCTGAGGTCAGGAGTTCGAGACCAAAGTGATCGCATTATAGGTGTGAGCCACTGCACCCGGCTTCAATCTTTCTATCGCACATATAATTACCCAACATTATCTGTTTACTTGCGTGTTCTGTGTCTCTGTTCTAGAATGCAAGCTCCACATTTTAGTTTTGTTCAGGGCTGTGTGCCCAGCATGTGGCAACCACTCAATAAACACTGGTTGAATGGATGCCACCTTCATGGAAGGAGCAAGGTGCTGGGAGGGAATACCGGGAGAAAAGAGAGTGCAGTGACCTGTCCCTTCAGCTGCTTAACAGAGTCACTGTGTTCCAGCTCCTGGGCCTTTAGCTGCACCATGAGGGCAAACACCTTCTCCCGCCAGCGGTTCAGCAGGGACTGGCACTTCCTGGTAAACTCAGGCTCCAGGGAATCTGAAGGTTGAACCTGAGGGAGAAGGAGTGGGAGAAAAGCGTGGGCTCCTGGGGGAGGAGAGGAAGGAGGTGGCATCTTTGTTTCTCCTCTGTCCTGCCTGGGCAACATGAGCTACAGCAAGAGGAGTTCACAGGAAGGAGATCTAAGCAGGTTCTGGGGCACATTGACCCCTCCTGCCCACAGGGAGGGAGGCAGGGGACAGTAGATGCAGGATGCGGCTGAGGGTGAGGGGTCTGGGGGTTGGGCTGTACCTTCCTGGTCAGCTCCTCCTCCTGCAGGGCGAGGATGTGTGTGAGGCTCTGCACCCGCACCTGCAGCAGCTCCGCGGTGGCATGCAGGCTGTCCCGGTCCTCCTGCAAGTGCTGCGGGCAGAGGAAAGCAGCCCCTCTGTAGGGCCTCCATGCCGCCTTAGGTACCACCTTCTCTCCCGGAGGCTGTGCTCTACACGCTCCTCCAAGGGCCACGCTTGCCTCCCAACCTGATCCCTAAGTCTGCACACAGATACATTCCTGCACCCTCACCTGCATGGTTTCCAGAAGCTTCTGTCGCTCCAGTTCCCATGTCTGGCTGTGGACCTCAGAAGGGACTTGTTCCCCAACATATTTTCTTAGATTCTCAACCAGGGTCACCTGAGCCTCCAAGTCTTCCTGGGTCTTGCTAGGGTTGGGGTGGGAATGGGACAGCCATCAGTGGGGCGCCCTGCAGATCCACCACATCACTAATTGCTGGGCTCCCGTCGGCGTCCGCCCACCTACCTCAGCTGCTTCCGAAGCAGCTCGGCCTCCCTCTGAGCCTCGGCCAGCTCCTTGGCTTCCCCTGCTCTTCTGGTTTCCAGACTACTCAGAGACTTCTCCAAGCCCTCAGCCTTGCTGGTCAAACTGGAAAGAGCCTCCTCGTGAGCCTGTGTCAAAGAGGACAGCTGCGGAAAGAAGAGGGGGCTCAGCAGAGGCTCGACCCCACACGGAGGCCTTCCTTGTTCCCTTCACTCCCACTTTCTGTGACCTTAGAGAATGACCCAACCAATCAGCCAACTGTGCACAGCAAATGGAGAGCTGGCAACTCACTCTCCGCAGCTGCCCCACAACCCATCAGGAGTTCTTGTCCGATCTCCCCCAAAACATATCTTCACCTCTCTGTCTCCGTCTCCACTGCCACCAACCCTCATCTTTTGCCTGGGCAACAGCGACCATCTCCTAACTAGTCTTTACAAACCCTCAGTGGCTTCTCACAGCATTCACAACAAAACCCAGGTGTCTCTCCACACCTGCAGGCCAGGGGACCCGGCCTCTGCCTACCTCCTGAGCTCACCCTGGAGGCTCTCCCACTGCTCCCCGCTCCGGCCACGGGGAGTCTGCTGAGAACCAGACAGCGGCCCCTCCTTGCTCCACAGACCCCAGGCAATAGCCCCTCCTCAGGGTGGCTTCACTGGGCCCTCTAATACCGTCCCTCCCCACCCTACTCTGCCCCATCAGCTGTTCACGTCCTCCTGAGCACTTAGCACTGACCATATCTTGCTTATGTGTATGTGTTACTATCTGTCGGACCACACTGGAAGGAAAGCTCCAGGAAAGGAGGAATTTTGTGTCTTTTGCTCATGGCACCTCAAAGGGTTGCAGGGGTGTCAGAGCCACCAAGAGTCATGGGATGGACTGGAAAGGAGGGCAAAGTGCCCACCCTGCTTCCTGGTCTGCCTCCTCTAGCCCTGTCTCCATACAACAATAAAATTAATTTGGGGGACATAAATGACAAAATTTTTTAGACATAAAATACAAATCTAATCATGTTATTTCCCTGCTTAAAACCTTTCAACAGGCCGGGCGCAGTGGCTCATTCCTGTAATTCCAGCACTTTGGGAGGCCGAGGTGGGTGGATCACAAGGTCAGGAGATCGAGATCATCCTGGCTAACACGGTGAAACCCCGTCTCTATTAAAATACAAAAAATTAGCTGGGCGTGGTGGCGGGCGCCTGTAGTCCCAGCTACTCGGAAGAATGACATGAACCCGGGAGGCGGAGCTTGCAGTGAGCCAAGATCGCGCCACTGCACTCCAGCCTGGGCGACAGAGCGAGACTCCATCTCAAAAAAAAAAAAAAAAAACAACCTTTCAACGGTTGCTTATTACTTGAAAAAACAATTTTTTTTTGTTTGTTTTTTTGGAGATGGAGTTTCACTTTGTTGCCTAGACTGGAGTGCAATGGCACGATCTCAGCTCACTGCAAACGCTGCCTCCCAGGTTCAAGCGATTCTCCTGCCTCACCCTCCCGAGTAGCTGAGATTACAGGCATGAGCCACCACGCCCAGCTAATTTTTGTATTTTTAGTAGAGATGAGGTTTTACCATGTTGGCCAGGCTGGTCTCGAACTCCTGACCTCAAGTGATCCACCCGCCTCAGCTTCCCAAAGTGCTAGGATTACACATGTGAGCAACCATGCCCAGCCCTAATTTCTTCCATAAAATAGAGATGGGGGTCTCGCTTTGTTGCCCAGGCTGGTCTCAAACTCCTGGGCTCAAATGATCCTTCCACCTTGGCCTCCCAAAGTGCTAGGATTACAGGTATGAGCCACTGTGCCCAGCCTGCTCATTGCTCTTATGGGAAAGTAGCAAGTTCTGAAGTGGCCAAAGCCTTGTGCCCTGGGTCCTGGGCTCTGCAGCACACTCAGTGCCCCTCATCTCTGTGCCCCAGCCTTCTGGCCTCCTGTCCCCGCCTTCACCTGTTGTCCCACCAAGTGTCTTCCAGCTACCACTGGACTTCACACGCCTCTTCACTGGCCAACTCCTATTCAGCACAAACGGTAGCTTGTTGTTTTTTTAGTCTCGCTCTGCTGCCCAGGCTGGAGTGTGATGTCAGCTCACTGTAACCTCTGTCTCCCAGGTTCAAGCAATTCTCCTGCCTCAGCCTCCCAAGAAGCTGGGGGATTACAGGCGCCCACGACTATACCCGGCTAATTTTTGTATTTTTTTGTAGAGTTCTTCATGTTGGCCAGGTTGGTCTTTAACTCCTGGCCTCAAGTGATCCGCCCACCTCGGCCTCCCAAAGTGCTGGGATTACAGGCATGAGCCACTGTGCCTGGCCTAGCTTCTTGTTTCTAAGTTTCTTTCATAAATCTCCTTTGTCCATTTTCTGATTGGATTGCTGGTCTTTCCCTTACCAATTTCTAGGCACACATTTTATATTAGGGATATTACCCTTTTCTTGTGATCTGAGCTATAAATATAGCTTTTTTTTTTCTTTTTGGCTATTCCTAATGTTCATGTTATAAAGTCAATGGATCAATTTTTTCCTTTATGGCTTCTAGATTTTGGATTTTGACTCACAGGTAGAAAGGCCTTGCCCACTACAAGGTTATAAAGGAATTCTCCCTTGTTTTCTCCCAGTTCCTTTTTTATTTTTTGAGACAGAGTCTTGCTCTGTCGCCCAGGCTGGAGTGCAATGGCACAGTCTCGGCTCACTGCAACCTCCACTGCCCAGGTTCAAGTGATTCTCCTGCCTCGGCCTCCCAAGTAGCTGGGATTACAGGTGCGCACCACCATGCCTGGTGAATTTTTGTATTTTTAGTAGAGACAGGGTTTCGCCATGTTGGCCAGGCTGGTCTTGAACTCCTGACCTTGTGATCTGCCTGCTTCGGCCTCCCAAAATGCTGGGATTACAGGCGTGAGCCACTGCGCCCAGGGCTATGGTTTCTTTCCTTGACATGTCAACTGGTTACAGTGGCCTTCCCTGAACCCCAGACTAAGTTAGTGCTTTCTAGTCCTTCTCCTTCAAGGCATTCCTCCTGATTGCAATTAATTATGATTAAATTAAATGTGGATGTGTATATCCCCCACGAGGCTGTCAGTTCCATCCACGAAGGCAGGACTCAGGCTAATTTGGTCACTGAGTCTTAGAGATGGCAGAGTAAGTACTGAGTTTGAGGACTGAATAATCTCTCTCTCCCAGTCCACCATAGCCCCCTTATACCCCCCTTCCTCACTGCCCTCCACAATACCCCTGATGAATTGGTACCTGGAGTAAAGTAGGGAGGCAAACTATTTCCTACTAGAAAGGGAAGCAGGGCTTCAAGTGGTGGGAGGCCACCTGAGTCTTGGGGGAAAAGTGCAACCTGAATTAAGATAAAAGTACCCAAATTCTCCATCTTTCTAGCCCATGTGTGTTTATTTTCACCAAAGGTCTCATCACTCTACTACTCACTACTCATGGAGGGTCTTTTCTGCAATACCTGTTCTTTGCTTGGAAGCTACTGCCCAGCTCTCCGTTATGAATTTGAATCCTTTCTACCCCTGCATTCACCTGCTCTTGGTGCAGCCTCTGAACCTCTTCCAGCTCCCGCTGCCTCCCCTCTTCCAAGTTCTTCCGGACAACCTCAGCCCCAGCCAAAGCAGCACGCAGGCCCTCAGCCTCAGCTCGGCCGGCCTTCTCCGCCCGTGCCAGAGCCTCTAGCTCCATGGCCTGGGCCTCTAGCCTCATCTTCTGCTGCAGCGAGGTCTCCCGCAGGAGCCAGACCTCCTCCTCCAGCCACCGCAGCTCTTGCAGCTGCCGAACGATCACCTCAGCCTGCTGGCTCAGGGCCTGTGACCCCTCCAGCCCCCAGGACCTTCAAAGACAGGTTAGTGCAGGTGAGACTTGTCTCCAGTGCTGGAAGGATAGTTGAGGGCATAAACATAGCCAGGAGAAGGAAAAGAGGACCCCTCTGCTTCCGTGTGGGGAGGTGAAGGGGGTGCTGAAGCTGGGGTATGGGGATGTCTGCATTGACATCATCATCATTCATCAAAGCCCTATTGAGCATGTTGAGTCCAGTGCCTGGACTCACAGGACCTAAAGTCTGGCTGAGATCGTGGAACATGATCTCCCTAGAGAGAGCTACATACAGGAGGATTCAACATCAAATGTGTATATCATTAGGCCACACATTCTTTTTGTTTTTTGGTGGTTTTTTTGTCTTATTTATTTTTTTATTTTTAGGCCACACATTTTAAGTGGAAAGGTTGGAAGAACACACAGGGACTTCTCAATTCTAATTTAAGGGCAAGAAGTTTGAGGGAGGAATGGGCATAGAGAGGTCGTAAGCTTCCAGTATCAATATGGTGAGGCCAGGTGCTAGTTAAAAGGCATTTATTGGCTGGGCGCGGTGGCTCATGCCTGTAATCCCAGCACTTTGGGAGGCCGAGGCGGGCGGATCACGAGGTCAGGAGATCGAGATCATCCTGGTTAACACGGTGAAACCCCATCTCTACTAAAAATATAAAAAACTAGCTGGGCGTGGTGGCAGGTGCCTGTAGTCCCAGCTGCTTGGGAGGCTGAGGCAGGAGAATGGCGTCAACCTGGGAGGCGGAGCTTGCAGTGAGCCAAGATCTCCCCAGTGCACTCCAGCCTGGGCGACAGAGTGAGACTCCATCTCAAAAAAAAAAAAAAAAAAAAGGCATTTATTGAGTGTTAGGTATACTTTATGAGGAGTCTGAGAGAACAGTACATAAATAACACAGTGCCAGCCTTTAGAGAAATCGTCTACCAATGTCACGTGAAGTTTAATCCAGCTTGGAACATGGCTCCTGAGGCAGCTCTCTGAGACCCAGGACTATAAGAGATTGTTGTTGTTGTCGTTTTTAGAGACAGGGTATCACTGTGTCACCCAGGCCTCAATGCAGTGGCTGGATCATAGGTCACTGCAGTCTTCAACTTCTGAGCTCAAGGGGTCCTACCACCTTAGCCTCCTGAGTAGCTAGGACTACAAATGCATGCCACCACAGCCAGCTAATTATTTTCTGTGGAGACGGAGTCTCGCTTTGTTGCCCACGCTGGTCATGAACTCCTGGGCTCAAGTGATCCTCCTGCCTCAGCTCCCAAAGTGCTAGGATTATAGGTGTGAGCCGCCATATCTGGCTCGCTCTTTCTTTCTTTCTTTAGTAGCAGCGATCTGTAGGCTAGGGAAATTAAGTGACTTGCCAAATGTCCTCTAGCTGGTAGCCAAACTAGAAATAGAGTCTCTGTCTCCTGACACCCAGTCTAGTATTCCTTCTTCATCATGCTGCTTCTTCTAATGTAATCCTATTCTGGAGCAAAATGGCAGAATGATATCCCAGTACATCTGGGAAAAGACACATGAAACAAGAATAAGAATGTTTACAGATAATACGACAGCATGGCCAGCTCCCACAGCATGTCCTCTGTAAAGGCTTTCTTCCATCAGAATGAACCCACACTGCCACAGTGCTGGGTCTCTACCTCTAGTTTGCACTTCTTCATCTTGCCTCATACCATGCTTTACCATCAGCTGGTGGTCAATCTATCTCCCCTCTTAGGATTTTAGATTCCTTATTAATTACAAATTTAAGTCAGGATTTGTCTTATTCACTATTGTTATCCTCATCCCTAGCACTTAGCACACTGCTTTATTATTTATGCACTGTAGGAACTAATTGCTTACATAAAAATGAGTACGTTCTGGAAACTAGGGCCGAAATAGGGTAAGGAGTTTATTCCAGTGAGGAAGGGTCACTAGCAAGCAAGCCTGAGAAAACGGCGTGGATGGATCCCTACCTGCCTCTCCGCCCTGGCTCCTGCCTGTCACTGGAAACATCCCGTTCCCACATGGTCACTTGAGGTCTCTGGGTGTCTAGCCGCCTCTCTGAGACATCTTGATGGCCTGGGGGTTGGACCAGGGGAATGTCTGAGAGCCAGGTGGGAGCCATTCTTGGCAGAGTTGAAAGGGGCCGAGCTTGAAAGTGGGAGGGGGGAATCAGCCCAGTGGAACCTGAAGAATTACAAAAACAAAGATGGTCAGTTTCCCAGGCAGAGACAACCACCACTCCCCTTGTCTGGTCCCACTGACCTGAAGGTGGAAACATCTCCACATTATTTGAAGGCTCTAGATTCTGTCTTCAGCCATCTATGTTCCCCTGGACAAGAGGAGAAACAAAGACACTCCAATTCAATTTTCAGGCCACCTTCCAAAGAGAAAGCCCCTACAATAACAAAGTCATAATCCTTGAATTATAGCCAGGTCCACCCGATGCTTAGCTCTTTTCCTACTTCCCCAAAGTAGGAGATACCCCAAATTCACTTGCTTGTCTCAACCTGGTTCCTCATGGAACCCAAGCAACTAACTATCAAGTGGAGAGAATTTACTGAAAGAGACAGACTGAGAGGGGCTCTGAGGCTTTACTCATACTTTCAGGATTCTGGGCAGTGCCTTTACCCTCCTCCTTAAGTTTCTATGGTCCCTGCTGCTCCTGGCCAGAGGTGAGAAAGGAGGTACACAGTGCAGGGGTCTTGAGCGCCATCTCCAGAGTTCTCTCCATGGCTCAGCAAGGCCTGAGGGAAGCCCATCCAGACACCAGCAGGCCATGACTCTTGGGTCCTTCCCTGTTAAAGTGCTGGCCCAAGGCCTGGCCCCAGCTGAATGTGGCCACATGCAGGGCTAGACCCTCCCCAAGACCTTGGGAATCCAGGCCGCCTAGATCCCCAGGCAGAAAAGCCAGCGTCCTGACATCTTATTCAAATCTTTCCTGCGGCTGTTCTCTCAGCTTCTCTCTACTATCCCCTTAGCTTCCATGCCTGCTGCCCGCCTCCTCTTTCTCGAGTCCTAACACATAGTGGGCACTTGAAGATCTTCCTCCCACCCTCCCACCCTCATTAATCTATTTTTTACCCGAATCTGGGATCCCTACTCCCGTCCCTTTTTACAACCTAATCTACCTTTTTCTGAAGGAATTATTCTGGTCCTGACCCTCACCCCCATGTCTCAATAGCCTGCCCTCGCCCCCTGTACGCTAGCCGGCTCTACTCTCCCACCACTGCTCCCCTAGATACCAGAGGCTTCACCCAGTTAGCCCGTGAGCTCTAAGGCTGTTCTGATCTCTTCATCTGTCCCTTCACCTGGCCCCTGTACCCCCTTCCCCTTTGGACCCCTTGAACCCTCCCAGGACCCCCGCTCAGCCCCTTCCCGCCCCCAACCGACTCTTCCCGAACGTCCCTTACCAACCGCGAGAGCCCCCTACTGCGCTTTGGCCACTCCCCCTACGCCTCGCTCCCGGCCCCGCCTCTGCCCCTGACCGCGCCTGCGCAAGGCGGGCGCCCTAAAGTCCTATTTCACTCTGTTGGGAGGAGGGGGAAAGGTGTACGCAGGCGCAGTGGCGTCTAAATTTGGGCCCACTAAATGCGTCGGAGCATCTCCGCGCCCAGGCGGCTCCTCCTCACTGCGGCAACCCGGGAAAACTTGTGAACTAATCAGAAAAAGTGGAAGGCGGGAGATCTTGGGGCGCTGTCCAATGGCGCGGAAGAGAACAAATGAGCTGGCCAATCGGGAACGGCACGGGGGCGGGCTCGCTCGGCGCGAAGTTCGGGCCCGGGAATTCCGAAGGAGGGGTAGGCGCTGCCCGCGCGCAGAGGCCGCGCCCCTCCTGGCCCCGGCTTCTTGGCTGTCAAACAGATGCAGCAACGTCGGCTCCTGCCGAGGAGCCCAAGGGGTCCCGGGATCCGCCGCACAGGCTGGCACTGCTTGAAGAGGAGGCTACTCGGAGACTGCGCCGCGCGGGTAGATCCGAAACGGGGCTGGGGCGGAGTGGGAAAAGGCCGGGTATGCCTTGCATGATCGCGGGGAGCTCCTTCCTGTTTTTATCCCACCTAGAGAAGCCGGGAAGTAGGGGTTTAGGTCCAATTTGTTGGAGTACTTAAGGACTCGTTTGCACTTTCTTTTGGGGGATGACAGTGGATTCATTGCCCTCGGAGGTTCAACCAGTTATGAGTGAGGGATTGGCCAGAAGATCGGGGCGCAGGCAAGCAGGAGTGCTCTATTAGGATAAGCAAGTTTGACAGGAAGAAGCTGCTCTTCTCCGAATTACACAGAGGTGATGTGTTCGTATTGCACGTAGACGTGTGTATAACAGGACCTCCTTCCCCGCGCCCCGCCACCCCGACACACACAGGAGCTGCCTAAAGTATCCTTGCCTTGCAGATTGGAGGCTCCCCAAATATTTTGTGATCTGAGGATCCAGCTCAAGTGAGGTGCCATAGGACGTGTTCCTGAGTTTGCATTGCACGGAGACCTTCCTGGAATTTTTCATTTGCAAGTCGGCTTAACCAATTTTGCATTGAGTCCTAGGCTGCTTGCACTCTGAATTTGGGCTATTCAGGTAGTGTGCTCAAAGTTGAAACCGCATACAGCACAACTCAAGTTTGCATCAGACTGGGAAGCGAACTTAAGCCAGCGGTGCGTGGCCCAGGAGTGGGAAAGGAAATGGATGCCTGAAGTGGAAGAGGTGGTGCAGAGGGGGCACCGCCCATGCTGCCCTGCTTCCAACTGCTGCGCATAGGGGGCGGCAGGGGCGGTGATCTCTACACCTTCCACCCCCCCGCCGGGGCTGGCTGCACCTATCGCTTGGGCCACAGGGCCGACCTGTGTGATGTGGCCCTGCGGCCCCAGCAGGAGCCTGGCCTCATCTCTGGGATCCACGCCGAACTGCATGCCGAGCCCCGGGGTGATGACTGGAGGGTCAGCCTGGAAGACCACAGCAGCCAAGGTGAGCATTAAGCAGGGCAGCTTTGCCCCTGGGTGGTTGAAGCGCCAGGCTGGAATGAGTAAGGTCTCCACAAGACCTTGCTGCCTGCCTCCCATACTCCCATCAGATTGGATGGATAGTCGTGGTCCAGACCTTCATCTTCCCACCAGAAGTGTGCACAGTCAGAAGCTCTCTGCCAGACTGACCCTTTTTGGTCCCGTTTAGCTCATACAGGACCTGGGATATCATCAGAAAGATATCACAGTGGGGATGTTCTGAGGCCACTAGAGGCCAAGTTTAGACTTGATTCAGTTTCCAGCTTTGCTGAGGCACTCTGTTCCTGGGTTAGGGCAGTTCTATGTTGAATAATGTTTTTAATAATCTGGGCATGTCTTTCTCCGTGACTTGAGGCAGTTAGCCTCAGAAAGCCTAGATTCACATTTGAGTTTTGCCACTGCCTCTTGGTAAAGTCAGCTGTAGGAGTGTTATGGTTATTAGACTATAGTAGCCAACATTCATCTAGTGCTTACTGTTATGAGCCAGGCCCTATTTTAAGTGTATTGAATGTAGGTGGTACTAATATTATCCTCATTTACAGTAAAGGAAAATGAGGCACAAAGAGGTTAAGGAACTTGTCCAGGGCTGGGCATGGTGGTTTACACCTATAATCCAGCACTTTGGGAGGCTAAGGCAGGGTGGATCACTTGAGCTCAGGAGTTCGAGACCAGCCTGGGCAACATGGTGAAAACCTGTCTCTACCAAAAAATTAATTAATTTTTTAAAAAAAGCCTGGGCGCGGTGGCTCACGCCTGTAATCCCAGCACTTTGGGAGGCCGAGATGGGCAGATCACGAGGTCAGGAGTTCGAGACCATCCTGACCAACATGTTGAAACCCCATCTGTGCTGAAAAAAAAATACAAAAATTAGCCAGGTGTGGTGGCGTGCACCTGTAACCCCAGCTACTCAGGAGGCTGAAGCAGCAGAATCACTTGAACCCGGGAGGCGGAGGTTGCAGTGAGCTGAGATCGCACCACTGCACTCCAGCTTGGGCGACAGAGCGAGACTCCATCTCAAACAAACAAACAAACCAAAAGCTTGCCCAGGGTCACATAACTGGTAAGTGGTAGAGCTAGGATCTGAACGAGCTGGAGCTGGGGGAGAGTGAGCATGTTTGAAAACTGGACCTTAGGGCGGGGCACGGTGGCTCACGCCTGTAATCCCAGCACTTTGGGAGGCTGAGGCGGGCAGATCAGGAGGTCAGGAGTATGAGACCAGCCTGGCCAACATGGTAAAACCCTGTCTCTGCTAAAAATAAAAAAATTAGCCAGACGTGGTGGCACATGCCTGTAATCCCAGCTACTCAGGAGGCTGAGGCAGGAGAATTGCTTGAACCTGGGAGGCGGAGTGCAGTGAGCT
The DNA here is from genome assembly GCF_000001405.40 of Homo sapiens. Classification (NCBI taxonomy): domain Eukaryota; kingdom Metazoa; phylum Chordata; class Mammalia; order Primates; family Hominidae; genus Homo; species Homo sapiens. The sequence goes on from NT_113891.3 coordinate 2,643,531, forward strand.
GAGATTGCACTACTGCACTCCAGCTTGGGCAATAGAGCAAAACTCCATCTCAAAAAAAAAAAAAAGAAAGAAAAAAAAAGAAGAAAGAAAGAAAATTGGACCTTAGGACAGTGAGGGCAGGGATCCTTTGTAGGAAAGCACAAGAAACACAGACTTGTTCCTAGCTGACAAGGAGTGTACTGCCTGGTACCTGTCACCTGCTGAGGGGCTTAGGATGTGAGGGAGAATCTGACTACAGTTTCATATTCTTCCCCAGAAATCATACAGATTTCTCCACTCCTGACTCTGGTCATTTCTGTTTTTGTCCTCCATATTTGCCTGGTGCCCCACCATCAACAGGTACTTTGGTCAATAATGTCCGACTCCCAAGAGGTCACAGGCTGGAATTGAGTGATGGAGACCTCCTGACCTTTGGCCCTGAAGGGTCCCCAGGAACCAGCCCCTCGGAGTTCTACTTCATGTTCCAACAAGTACGAGTCAAGCCTCAGGACTTTGCTGCCATTACCATCCCACGGTCTAGGGGAGAAGCCCGGGTTGGGGCTGGTTTCCGGCCTATGCTGCCCTCCCAGGGGGCTCCACAGCGGCCTCTCAGCACCTTCTCCCCTGCCCCCAAGGCCACACTGATCCTAAACTCCATAGGCAGCCTCAGCAAGCTCCGGCCCCAGCCCCTCACCTTCTCCCCTAGTTGGGGTGGACCAAAGAGCCTGCCTGTTCCCGCCCCACCTGGGGAAGTGGGGACCACGCCTTCTGCTCCACCCCAACGCAATCGGAGGAAATCTGTTCACCGAGTGTTGGCGGAACTGGATGATGAGAGTGAGCCTCCTGAGAACCCGCCACCGGTCCTTATGGAGCCCAGGAAGAAACTCCGTGTAGACAAAGCCCCACTGACTCCCACTGGGTAAGTGGAGTCCTCACTTGGCCCTCTCAGTGTTTTACTGCTTTTCGATTCCTTGTATCCCTAGGCTGTGAGGAGGTCCCCCTGCCTGGGGGGATGGGCACGGGAGGTGGAATAGATGGAATGGCAAGACCTGGGTTAGCTCTGATAGGAAAAGAAAAATATGTGCAGGAGAACATGAGAGGTGGGGTGGGGCAGTGCTTATAAAACAACCGGAGTGAGCATGTCCTGCTTTTTACATTCATATGGCTTTAACCCCATTCTTCTAGTGCCTAAGGATGGGGAACTTTCAGGCTCACACTAGAGGTTTTTAGGCCCACCCTATGTGTTTTTAAGGACAGAGTCCAGGCTCACCTTAGTTCTCAGACCACTGTGCCTCTGTGGCCTCACCCTATGACCAGCCATAGGGTGGCAAGGTCTAGGCCTTCTCCTACAGGTTTCCGGTGACCCTTGTGTCTGTGTCACTTCCTTCAGAAATCGACGTGGCCGTCCTCGGAAGTACCCAGTGAGCGCTCCCATGGCTCCCCCTGCAGTTGGGGGCGGGGAGCCCTGTGCAGCTCCTTGTTGCTGCCTGCCCCAGGAAGAGACAGTGGCCTGGGTTCAGTGTGATGGCTGTGACGTCTGGTTCCATGTGGCCTGTGTTGGCTGCAGCATCCAGGCTGCCAGGGAGGCCGACTTCCGATGCCCAGGGTGCCGGGCTGGCATTCAGACCTAAGGTCCACCGCCAAGGCACCATCGGACACACCTGCCCATGAGTAGACACAGCAGCGAGCAAATAGGTCTGATAAATACCCCCCTTCCCTTCCCTCCCCAAGAGGGAATGACTACAGGGAAGAAGGATGGATTGATGTGGACTCATTCAGGGCCTGGAGCAGACCCTGGTGGCCAAGACAGAAGAGATGGTTTCCTGCCAAAGATATTGCCACCTCCAGGAAATTGCCAGTGAGCTGGAAGTTCCCACTATTACAAGCCATAAGGCCATGTTGCCATGGACACCAGAATATCTGTAGTCAGAGCACCTATCAGTTGCAAAAGCCATGCCTGCAACCGATGGAAAATGTAAGAGGGAGTTCTTAAGGTTCTTGGTGGCATCACCCAAGGCATTCTGGGAAAACCTAGGGCCTGGCCCCAAAACTTCCCTACTCTGTGGCTAGTCCTGCTGCCAACAAAATCGTAGCGACCTGGCTTTTCACAGCTTTGCTTTTATTTCCAAGTCAAGGACAAGCCGCTTCATTCACTCCTGGGCATTTACTCTTCTTGTGGGTCTGTGATATTCCTTGCTTTCCAGGGAGAATGTGCTTGGCAAGGTCTGGAGAACTAATTCAGAATCTTAGGGGAAGGGGAGAGATGGAAATACAAACCTGCTTACTGGAAAGGTGCAAATATATGGGTTGAGCTGGAGGTAGGAATACAGGTAATTAAGGTTTCTAGTTTAAGGGAAAACAGATCTATTGCCATTTAAATAAGGTAACTGGGATTTGGTTAAGTTCACAAAGATAGCAGAAGATTTATTTACAGGCTTCACCTGTACTGTCAGGGCAAGAGAAAGCCTGGTAAACCAGCTACAGCAGTTTACCAGTGTGATGGCTGTGACACAGCTCCACTCCACGGGTGGACACAGCAGAGGGCAACTGGGCTGGCCTGGTTCAGTGTGAATCAAACCGCTTAACCCACACATGGTACATGTGATTTTCTTTTGTGAGCCTTACACCAAGCCAAACTATTGTCAAAGCATCATTTCTATAGAAATAAAGCCTTATCTTGACCTGTTCTATTAAAACCTGCCACATCCGCCCTTTCCTACCTAGATTTAATGAGCCCAAGTTTTTTTACATGGAAGAAATGACTCTGGGGCAAAGACCCCTAATGAACTAGTGGCAGAGCCAGGAATAAAACTTGAGTAACTAATGAGTCACTTATGGGCAGAGTATGCAAAAACCTTAAGTGGAAACCAAATAGACCCTGGTATCAAGAAAGCACAAAGTATTAATAGAAGTTTCTGGTTGGGGTGATCTAGGTTCAACAGAAATAAGATGATTTCTAAGTATAAAGCCATTTAAGAATTCCAGAGTAGGGTGGGAAAGCAAAAAGCCAGCTCTGAACAGGTAACAGCTACATGGTGACTGAGTCTATGGGCAAAAGTTCTTGCATCACAGGCTTTTGGGAACTAGCCTATCACAGGGCCCTGTACAAATAAACTTGGCTGCAATCCCAGCTCTCCCTCTGATGTTGTGTGACCTTAAGGAGTGTAAATGGCACCTTAGTTTCAGGGTCACTTGGGTATGAGCATTGGATATTCCCATCCCCACCTCAGTAACTGAAGGACAAACCAAGATAAGTGTGTCTATCTACTGTGTCCCAAGCTTCTTTATTTAAGAAAAAAGTGATACATGATGTGGGATTAAAATCAAGAGCATCATTGAACTTCACCTTCCCTCCAACCAGTTGCCCCAAACTCCCCTGCCCCCACCCTTTGTGTTCCCAATTCCTTCCTTAGTGAATGAAGAACTTAATCCCAAAAACCCTGGCACAAACTCCAGGTTTTCTTTCCCTAGCTCCTCCCCTCCCCCTGTCCCCCATTCCTAGAAGGGCAGGCACCTCAGTTTGAATGCATGGGAGAGCCCAGAGTGGTGACAGAGACAGGGGGAAAGGCTTCCCCCTCAGGGAAAGGGACCGAGGAGTACAGTGCAGTGAAGTGAGGGCTCCCATAGCCTGGGGTACCAAAATGGGGCCCTGGGGCCAGAGGAAAGGACACTGGTCCCCCTGAGAAAGGAGACCCAGCAGCCTCAAAATCCTCTCGTTGTGCATAGTCGCTGCTTGATCGCTTGCCCTTCTGGCGCCGGTTACAGAACCACACTCGGACCACCTGCCAGTGAATGACAGAAAGGAGAATGACATTAGACAATGAGCTGAGAGACGGGCCTGACTCTGCTTGGACATTCTATCCAAAGCCAACAGCCCTAGAGCAGTTAGAGGAGGACATTAGAGAATGAGCTGAGACAGGCCTGACTGCTTGGACATTCTGTCCAAAGCCAACAGCCCTAGAGCAGTTGGAGGAGCCAGAGCTAGGGAAAGCGAGGTGGTGACAGGGGAAAGAGATGGAGCCCGCAGAGAGACATGGCACTCACATCCTTCTCGAGCCCAAGCTGCTGGGCGATGTGGCTGATCTGCTGCAGTGTGGGTTTCGGGCACTGCAGGAACAAATTCTCCAGGTTGCCTCTCACTCGGTTCTCGATACTGGTTCGCTTTCTCTTTCGGGCCTGCACGAGGGTTTCTGCTTTGCATATCTGTGCAGGTGGGAAGGGGGTGACAAGGGCAAGCTTTGGACTTGCTGAGTAACAGCATCACAGGGGTCTGTGACTAGATGTGTCAGCAGAGCCAGGTGGTGGTGTGAAAAGGCAGGATCCTGGAAGGGTTGGCTCTGGACCTTATCCCAGCAGAACTGAGGAATTTCACTCCATCCCACTGAGAACCACTGCACCAAAGACGGAGAGCTACGAGCCAGTGATGGAAGCAATGGAAATTAGGCCAAGAAAGGGAAGGTCCCCGGGTATCCCCCTCCCACCCTTACCTCCTGAAGATTTTCATTGTTGTCAGCTTCCTCCACCCACTTCTGCAGCAAGGGCCGCAGCTTACACATGTTCTTGAAGCTAAGCTGCAGAGCCTCAAAGCGGCAGATGGTCGTTTGGCTGAATACCTTCCCTGGGGGAGGCCAGTCAAAAGAGAAGCAAAATGAGGGAGCACGCAGGGCCCTTGTGACCCTGAGATCCAAGCTTACCACCTCTTCCCAGAGGGAGCTCAAAGCCCAAGCATCTTCTCCCTCTCCCTACTCCTCTTCATGGGTGAGGGTAGAGTCTGCCCCTGCCCCTCCCCACTAGGTTCAGGGATACTCCTTAGAGGGGAGATGCGGTCAGAATCTGCAGAGGGGAACCCACCAAATAGAACCCCCAGGGTGAGCCCCACATCGGCCTGTGTATATCCCAGGGTGATCCTCTTCTGCTTCAGGAGCTTGGCAAATTGCTCGAGTTCTTTCTGCAGAGCTTTGATGTCCTGGGACTGGATTTTAAAAGGCAGAAGACTTGTAAGAACATAAACACACCAGTTATCAATCTCCCCTTTCCATTCGGGATTCAAGAACCTACGTGTGGCCCCAAGGAATAGTCTGTAGAAGTGCATCTGCCTTCCAAGCTGCCCACCTAACTTCTAGAAATAACCTACCCACAAATGTCATTCACCCATTCCCTGTTCACTGACTCATGCATGTAACAAAGGACTACTCTTCCCCCAGAAACTGGCACATCCAAGGGATGCAGAGCATCGTGAAAGGACAGAAAGAGAGACCCTGGCCTCGAGGAGAACACCTGTCAGGTTATGAAGGTTAGAAGTTCTTTGCTGGGCGCGGTGGCTCATGCCTATAATTCCAGCACTTTGGGAGGCCGAGGTGGGCAGATCACGAGGTCAGGAGTTCAAGACCAGCATGGCCAACATGGTGAAACCCCGTCTCTACTAAAAACACAAAAATTAGCTGGGCACGGTGGCACGCACCTGTAATCCCAGCTACTCAGGAGGCTGAGGCAGGAGAATCACTTGAACCCGGGAGGCGGAGGTTGCAGTGAGCTGAGATCACGCCACTGCACTCCAGCCTGGGTGACAGAGCAAGACTCTGTCTCAAAGAAAAAAAAAAAGAAGATAGTTCATTTAATACCTGCAAAATTCTCTCACTCAAGTATCACCCCCAGTTTAAGGATGTTTTGAGATTAGAGAAATAGATAAGCTGCTAAGTTCTGGGTTAATTAAAAAGGAAGAGCATCATGTCTCAGAAGCTAAATTCAGTATATACTCTCCCCAGCTTGCTTTGAGGGTCCCACAAACTATAACATGGCATGCATACACACAAACACAGCAAAAAAGTAACAGGTGTCATAAGAATGGATAAAGTGCTTTGTGTGTACTTACTCCTCATTTTTTAAATTGATTATCCCTCATCTTTACTGTATCTTTTTCACTATAGAGGCATCCTAATTGATTTTTAAATTCAAGAGATTTATCGAGCACCTTCTATAAGCCAGCGGCTATACAAAGTGGACAAAGAGCCCTGACATCCAGCATGACAGAAGTGCTATTCGGCACTTGTTCTTCAAGTTGCCCACTTGGATCTCTTCCAAGTGCACTTTCCTTTTTTCCCTGCCCTATAACTTTTTAATAATAAACTTCCACTCCTGCTCTGAAAAATAAAAAAGTAAATAAAATAAAAAATGGCCAGGCACAGTGGCTCATGTCTGTAAATCCTAGCACTTTGGGAGGCCAAGGTGGGCAGACTGCTTGAGCCCAAGAGTTAGAAAGCAGCCTGGGTAACATAGTGAGACCCGTGCCGCCCCTTCTCCCACCCCTGCTGCCTCTATTTAAAAAATATATATATATTATGGAAAAAAGCAAAGCAGTCCGGGCGCAGTGGTCATGCCTGTAATCCCTTCACTTTGGGAGGCCAAGGTGGGTAGATCACTTGAGGTCAGGAGTTCAAGACTAGCCTGGTCAACATAGTGAGACTCTGTCTCTACTAAAAATACAAAAATTAGCTGGGCATCATGGCGCTCCCCTATAATCCCAGCTACTCAGGAGGCTGGGGCAGGAGAATTGCTTGAACCTAGGAGGTGGAGTTTGCAGTGAGCCAAGATCGCACCACTGCACTCCAGCCTGAGGGACAGAGTGAGACTCCATCTCAAAAATTAAAAAAAAAATAAAGCAGTCTATAGGAGTAGGGTAAAGGAGGGAAGGAGATTATGGAGGAGGGTGACACTTTTAAAGACAGAGAAGGTGATTGTTTGAGCAAAGGACAAGAGTCTAATGTGGCAAGGCCCTGAAGTGGGCCTTCCAGAGCCCAAAGCTGGTCTGGTGGCTAGGTAGATCCTGTTGCAGACATAGTGACTTTGTTTTAGTCCAAGTGAAATGATCTCTCACCCTTTTTCTCCCCCCCCAAGACGGAATCTCGTTCTATCGCCCAGGCTGGAGTGCTGTGGCGTGATCTTGGCTCACTGCAATCTCCGCCTTCTGGGTTCAAGCTATTCTGCCTCAGCCGCCTGAGTAGCTGGGACTACAGGCACCCACCACCATGCCCGGCTAATTTTTGTATTTTTAGTAGATATGGGGTTTCACCATGTTGGCCAGGCTGGTCAGGAGACCTCAAGTGATCTGTCCACCTTGGCTTCCCAAAGTGCTGGGATTACAGGTGTGAACCACCGCACCTAGCCTCACCTTTTTTTTTTTTTTTTGAGAGTTTCGCTTTTGTTGCCTAGGCTGGAGTGCACTGGCGCGATCTCGGCTCACCGCAACCTACATCTCCCAGGTTCAAGCGATTCTCCTGCCTCAGCTTCCTGAGTAGCTGAGATTACAGGCATGCGTCACCACGCCCAGCTAATTTTGTATTTTTAGTAGAGATGGGGTTTCGCCATGTTGGTCAGGCTGGACTCGAACTCCCAACCTCAGGTGATTCGCCTGCCTCGGCCTCCCAAAGTGCCTGGCCACACCTTTTAAAACACTGACTCTAGTTGACGTGTTGGCCACAGACAGTAGGGAGGAAGCAGTATAATTTGAGAAGCTACTGCGGTAATCCCAGCAGAGATGATGGTGGCTGAGGCCAGGGTTAGGTTGTGATTGATTCAGGATGTTTCTTAAGGATAGGATGTAGGACGTGAAAGAAACTGAGGATGACTGGGTTTGGCCTTGAGCAACTGGGTGATCAGGGTGGAGCAGTTCAGGGAGCCATCACAAGAGACAGAAAACGCGGTAGTCATCTGGTGTCTAAATGGCATTTAAGCCTTGAGGGTGGGTGAGAGGAAGGAAGGGTAGATAGAGCAGAGGTTGAAGGACTGAGCCCTGGGGCATGCCATATGAGGCTGCCGGCGGACAGAGGTGCACAGCTAGTGAGAAAAAAACAAGGCCTTTTTGTAGTCCTGAAGCCTCAAGGAAGTGTTTCAATGGTGCTTGATCATATCAATTTCAAATAGGCTGTTTTCATCCCCAACTTCTGCTCAGCCAATAACTCAAACTGATAAATGCCCTCTGCTATCCTGGATTTTCCAAATTCTGTTTTGGGGTTTTGGAATAAACACTGGTCCAAATCCTCGCTTCATCATTTAGCAGTTAAAACCCGTTAAATAGGATAATAATACCTCCCCCTAGGAGATTTTGTGCTGGTTAATGAGATAATGATGTATAAACGGAGCACACAGCCAGGCACTTAGGAAGTGGACCACAATTGCCAGCCATTATCATTCAAGGCTCAGCAGTGACCTCCTGCGAAGAGGTTGGGGCTTCTCGGTCACTCCAGAAACCAGTCACACCTTTCTGTGAGGTCTCAAGGCTTAGTATTTAATCTCTAATTGCTTACACTTGTCGCCTTGGAGGACTGGAAGATACATCTTTAATAGTCCTCAGCAGGGCTGGATGCCTTCAATCCCGCAGCAGCTCTATATTTGCAAATGGCCTGGAGAAATCTCTCACCATTTTTCTTGTTTACAACTTTGGAACTGAGGCTGAAGTCAATCAAAATCCAGCTTTCTACAAGGGGTGCCAGGGTGTGCACCTTAACACAGTGGCCAGTCATTGGCCTGAGGCAGAGATCCGGGGAAGACAAGCCCTATACTTGACTGGAGGTAAACCCAGCTCACAACGCGCACACACACAGCCCAAACAGGAGATCCTATCAGAAACGAGTCACACCCTAGACTTTCAGGAACAATAATCCTGGAATGAGCACTGTTTTTACCCTCAGGCTATGCTTAACCCTAAGGCCAAAATCTTGGGTCTGATAAGGGTCAAATTTTCAAGCAGGACTAAGGGTGGGAAAAGGGGCTCAAACCAACCCCAAGCTGGGTCTGGTGCTGGGCCAGTAATGAGTGACCAGACCCTGGGCAGGCCTAGGAGATGTGAGAGACCCTGACAAGGGCTGGGCCAGACAGAGCAAAGGCCAGCCTGGGCCAGCTTCCGACTCTCCCAGGCCGCTCTGCCCTCACCTGCAGTTGTCTCTTCGAAATCCAGCTTCCAGTTCCCACCTGGCCCCTGCCTGCCAGGGCTGCCTGCAGTTGATACACACCCCTCCCTGGCCAGGGCAGCTGACCCTGCCTGCTCCTCTCCTGGGTGCCAGGTCTGGGCAGCTGCAGGTGACCACTTCCCCATCAGGCTGCCCTGTCATGACCACCTCCCCACACCCCAACCCCGTCGAAGCTCACTTGCCTCCTCCGGGTTTTGCTCCAGCTTCTCCTTCTCCAGCTTCACGGCACCAGGGGTGACGGTGCAGGGCTCCGGGGAGGCCCCATCGGAGTTGCTCTCCACCCCGACTCCTGCTTCACCCTCAGGCTGAGAGGTCTCCAAGCCGCCTTGGGGCACTAGCCCCACTCCAACCTGGGGCCCACAGTACGCCATCCCCCCACAGAACTCATACGGCGGGGGGCATGGGGGAATCCCCCACACCTCAGAGCCTGGCCCAACCCCCGGCCCGATTCCTGGCCCTCCAGGAGGGCCTTGGAAGCTTAGCCAGGTCCGAGGATCAACCCAGCCCGGCTCCGGCCCCCCTGGCCCATCACCTCCACCACCTGGAGGGGGCGAGAAGGCGAAATCTGAAGCCAGGTGTCCCGCCATGGGGAAGGAAGGCGCCCCAAGCCGGGGGCCTGGTGAAATGAGGGCTTGCGAAGGGACTACTCAACCCCTCTCTCCCTCCCCAGTCCCACCCACTAGCCTTGACCTCTGGCCCCGCCCCCTGGATGGGTGGAGGAGAGGGAGGTGGGGGGAGAAACTGAGGCGAAGGATGTTTGCCTAATGGTGGTGGCAATGGTGTCTGTGGAAGGGGAAAACCGGGAGACACAACTGGCGCCCCTCCAGGACCTCAGTGCAGGTCCCCCACAGAAACTTTTTTTATTTTTATTTTTTAAGACAGGGTCTCACTTTGTTGCCCAGACTGGAGTGCAGTGGAGTACAATGATGGCTCAATGTAGCCTCGATCTACTGGGCCAAAGCAATCCTTCTGCTCCAGCCTCCTAAGTGGCTGGGACTACAGGCTTGGACCACTGTGCCCTGTTAGTTTTTTTATTTTTAGTAGAGATGGGGCCTTGCTATGTTACCCAGGCTGGTCTTGAATTCCTGTCCTCAAGAAACCCTCCCGCCTCTGCCGCCCAGTGTCATGATTAAAGGCGTGAGCCACCACACCCAACTTTCAACTCCCAACCCGCTCCCTGGCACTCTCTCAGGCTCTGCACATCCCAGCTGTCTGGAATCACTCCCACACCTCCATGTTCTTCAGGAACCCAGGTGCTTGACCCCCTCTCCACAGACCTCTGGCACTGTGCCTTCAGGGGCCAGTCACCCTCTCAGCTCCTCAAATTTATTGAATGTGTGTGTGGCGCTATCCCTCAATGCATCAACAGCCATAAGCACAATGGCCAGCTGCTCCCTTATGCCTTCCCCCGATCCATCCAGAATCCTAGGCATTCCCATCCCGATACTGGCCAAATCCAGCCACCCCGCAGCCTGGGTGCCTGGCACCATCTGCCCAGCCTGCCAAATTTCACCCCATCTTCAAGAGTAGACTGCCAGACAAGGCCTCCGTGCTATATCCCCCCACCCCCCATCCCCCCACCCCTCCGTCTTCCAGAATCAGACTCCAGACTCTCCTCATCTAACAGACTAAGGGGTTGGCCCCTACTTCCCCTTCAAGGGACCAGACTTTGGACTGATTGGGCCTCAGTTTCCCAACCTTTGCTGAAACAGAGTGATAAGACACCCGCTTTGGGCCCCCTCCACTATGGAACCTGCACATCAGGTTCCTTGCTCCCCTCTCAACCAAAACTCAGACATCTAATACCACGGTAGGCCCCGTTCTCCCTCCCCCACCTCCCTGGCCCAGGCCTCCAGCCCTAGGCCCTGGGTGGGGAAAACCAGGGGGTGGGGGGTGTGGAGAAAAAATATCTGACTTCAGGTTCAAAGAAGCCTGGGAGGGACTGGGGGAAGGGGGCAGGACAATGGCCTTGGCTGGACAATCCCGGTCCCCAGAGGGGGCAGCTCTAACCCTAAACAAGTGCTCAACCCTTGAATGGGCCTGGATGGCTCCCCTGGGGACTGCTTCCTGCTCCCCAACCCCCCAGTCCCAATCCCCTCACACAGAATCCCCTTCAGAGACGCTAAAAGGAGCTCCAGCAACCCCCCTCTGCAATCCCCTCAAAGACTGAGCCTCAGACGGGCACCAAGGGCCCCCTACAGGGACCTAGGTATCTAGTTCCTCCTTCCTCTGGGGAACTCAGGCGTCCAGCTTCATCGTGCATCCCTCCCCGAGCCCGGAAGATTGAGGGATGTGCTTTGTTTAGTGGGGCTGGCTGGCAGAAAGACGCAGAGGAGGTGGCGAGTGATTTGTGGAGGGGTGCAGGAAGGCTGCCCTAAGCTCCCCTTCAGGGTCTGTTTTTCTGGGCCTGGCCTGAGTATCCTGAGGCTCATGCTGCTGGTCTAGTGCTTGATTCTGTTTGCAAGAGAATAGCCAACGGAATGCCTGTCTGTGAGGGATGATGTTTGTCTGTCTGCTCCCAAAACTTGATCTCAGTGGAGGGCCTGGGGTAAGTCTGGGGGCTCCAGAGGGGGCTCTGGGCCAGGGCTCCCCACAGCTTCGAAGGCCAGAAGGCCAGGTCTGGACTGGGCACGCTGACCTCTGTCGACTTAAGTAAGGCTTCTCATTGCAGGCTCCAGGCTCAGCCCTGCCTGGGCTTGTCTGCTGGGGTCAGTGGCTCTGTCTGCCTTCTAAGGGGATGGGTGTCCCGTGGCCAGCTGTCTTCATCTTGGTGGCATCCGTGAGTCTTTTGAGACTTTTCCCCCACTCTTATGTTGCCTCTGTTCGTGTGCCCATCTCCTGTCTGTGTAGACTTTTTGAGCCTAATTGTATGCGTGCATTTCAATACCTGCCACAGGTCTGCCGGAAGGTCTACAAGGCAGTGGGGTTGGAGCTGTGTTCACTTCTCGGCCTTTAACTGCCCAAAAGGCAGGTAGATTATGGGGCCTGGTGGGGGTGGGAGGAACATGCTTCGGAACAGGAGGAGGCCCCTCCCCAGCCATCTCAATCCCCAGGACAGAACCATCACGGCACCTTTGTCATGCATCTCTCTGCTGTCTGCCAAGAAGACGGCCTCTCAGAGGAGGGGGAGGGGCAGGCCTGGGATTTGGCTGGAATCTCCACACCAGTGTTTCTCAGCTTGCCATCCTCCAGGTTCCCCAAAAGCGCTCTTCCCAAGCCAGTCCAGAGAGTCCCTGCTGCCCATTTTCCTAGTGGCTCCTAAAACACCTTCCCCAATTTCCCCACTCAACACCACCCTCTTGTTTTTAGATTATAATTTGTACTGTAGGTGGTGTATTTCTGGCCTGGGCAAGAGGCCCATTCCCGAGAGGGACGCAGACAAGGGGTGGGTGCCTGGGTCCCTGGCTGCCTTGTGGCTGGATATGAGCCCAGTCAGGGGTCAGCCTCCTGCATGCCTAGACTCCTAGCCGGCCCCCTTCTGGGGTGCTCAGGGCTGATGGGAGGTTGAGGCAGGCTTTCCTTCCTTCTCACTGTCCTGTTATGCCTGAAGGGTAGGTGGCTTCACTTCAGCCAAGGCCAGCTCTCCCAGGCCCCAACCAGTGCTGGGGGCCACCGTTGGGCCTGGAGGAGACTGGAAGCCAGGCTGAGTCATCAGAACTGGTCCCATGATTCCCTGGGTTTTAGAAAGTCACCATAAAAAGATACTTCACATACACCTTTATTATTACAGTGCAATGTCAAGACCCTTCACAGAGCACTGCCAGGGGACCCAGGTGAGGCCCACCTCTCCCCACCAGGTGTGGCGGCTGGCATGGCTGGGTGGGGAGAGGTGAGATGAGCAGCCTTGCTGCTGTCAGCCCAGCCTTCCCTTCCCCTCACTGGGAGATGAGGTGCTGTTTGGTTGAAAAACCAGCTGAAAAAACTCAGTTGGGACCAATAGAGACTTGCTCTCGACCCGGTCTAGGAAACCACTTATTTTGACTTCCGAGGCCTGTCAATCTGAAGGCAAAAGAAAGGGAAGAAATGGAGGGCTGAGGGTTCAGGCTTGGCCCACCTTGGGAGATGATCTCCCTTAATAGCAATTTAGACAAATTCCTTTGCTCACTGTGGACCAAGTCCCCTCTTCTCAACAAAGGACCCTCTGATCTCCCCCATGAGACCTGCAAACTGAGGTCACCTTATCCCAAATCCAGACACTCTTACCTCAAATAGAGGAGTCAACTCTCTAGCTGTAGCCTGTAGGGAGTCAGAGGTGAGAGCAAAAGGAGTGGGTGAGCTGGGAGGATTGGTCAGGAACAAACTAGGAGGCATGGACCAGGTTCTAAGTCCTGGCTCTGACTCCCTGGCTAATGGCACCTCCCCCTCCTGTGCCTCAGTTTCCTCACCTAGTAAAGAGGATTTGGACTCAATGAACTCTAAACTTCCTTCCAACTAAGACATAAAATTGCTGCCCGGCTCTCATATGCCCTCCCATCTACCCACCCCCCTTACTTGACATGGGAATGTAGACTTCTCTGCACACCTGTGAAGAGAAATGGGGGTAGGAAAGCTGGGAGTGGTGTTCAATGAGAAGTTGGCATAGGCCTCCCTGTACCCTGCCACCTACCTCCAAGCATCCTTCCTGGGGAATCTGGCAGGTTTTCCCCTGAAGTTTGATCAAGAGATATAGGAGGAGGCCGGGAGCGGTGGCTCATGCCTATAATCCCAGCACTTTAGGAGGCTGAGGCGGGCGGATCACTTCAGATCAGCAGTTCGAGACCAGCCTGGCCAACATGGTGAAACCCTGTCTCTACTAAAAATACCAAAAGGTGGTTTTTTTGTTTGTTTGTTTTGTTTTTTTTGCATGTGGTGGTGCATGCCTGTAATCCCAGCTACTCAGGAGGCTGAGAAACAAAAATCGCTTGAACTCAGGCAGCAGAGGGTGCAGTGAGCTGAGATCGAGCCACCGCACTCGGCAACTGCATTGCTACATGCCTCCAAACCCCAGCTGCTCATCTGAGGTTGCACAGAGACTCAGCATCAGCCTGGTGCATCACCAGACAGGAGAGCCTATGCTCACGTCAAAGGGATCACAGCAGACTGCTGGCTCTGGGCATCTGAGCAGCGCCATGCAAGGGGGCAAGTGGCTTAGGGTTCCAGGGACTCAGGGGCTGGGGCAGCCCATCCCTCAGCTAAGTTAGCTGGACACTGGAGGATAGAAGTCAAGGGCCTAGCATGTTGGGATGGCTCCTCTCCAGGGGCTTTGCAGAGAGTCCCATGCACCAAGGGGGCTAGCGGGACAGGGAAAAGTGGTGGCAAAGACCTCCCAGACAAACTGGCTGCCTCTGGTCCTATCAAGCTGCCGTACATCCTCCACACCAGGGCTTTAGGCACCATTCCACTGTGTTCCATGGTGACTGTAGGTGATGCCCCACCTTGAGAGCCCTTGGGTGCTCAGCCCTGGGTCAGAACTTGAACACCAAGTGGGAAAAGGGCTGACCAAGCACGGGAGAGGGAAGGAAAGCAGAGTGGCTAGGACGGTCAGCAACAGAGCTGTGTTCATTTAGGACATGGGTATTGAAATGGAGTTTTGAAGGCTGGCTGAGGGGCCTGCACTCCATCCCTCCCACAGTGCCCTCAGCTCCTCCACCTTCCCCACATGAACCAGTCCGCACCTATCACACCTACGGTGGGCCGTGGTCCCACCCCAGCTTTCAGGTGTTTCCGGAGAGGGTAGACGCAGCTCTAGGTCAGGAAGGATTGTTTCCTTCCCTTCTCTCCTTCTGCAGCTCTGCTTGGTTCTGGCTGGCTTTTGCTGGAGTTGAAAGACTCAAGTGTGCTAAGAAGGGAGTCCTGGCCATGACAGTTGTAGTGCCAGTGTCCCCAGCTGCTCCGGTTCCCCAGCAACTCACAGACAACCGTGGTCTGGAGGGTGTGTGACTCTGAAAAGCCAAAACCCCAGAACTCCAAAGTTACAAGAGGTCAAAACAGTGGCTCTCTCCACCTCCGCTCCTACCTCCTCCCAAAATGCATGAAATTCCCTTCCTCTGACTGATAAACCCTCACTCATTCTCCAAGACATATCTTCTCTGTCAACCACATCCCCACCAAAGTCACACTGCACCCGCTCTCCCTCCCCTGCAGCATGTGGCTCCCTCCCATGTACCCAGCATGCACTGTTCAGCCACATATACTCACCCACCCTCCTGAAGGCCCAGCACAGACAGCATTGTGTTTAAATCCCTGATCTACACATCAGCTACTGGCTATATGCCCACGGCAAATGTAATGGAACCTCTCCAAGCCTTGCTTTCCTCATTTGGCAACTGGACACAATTATAGTCTCTACCACACAAGTAAAGATAACATGAGATAATCCTTGCCAGTGTTAATGTAGGACCTACCAAGAAGAATTCAAGAACTAGTAGCTGCTATTGTAAGGTGTATTATTGGTAACAGCAAAATGAACAGCACTTACTAGGCTTAAATGTTTGCTAGATGAAAAAAAATGATATTGGTTAGAAATATATTTTGCTCAGGTCACCAGGTTTCTTATTAACTACTGGTGGTGGCGAGAGAGGTGAATGTCAGAAAAAGGCCAGTTTTTCCCATTTCCTGGATTTGAGAAAGTTGGATAAATTTTTTTCACCTGGCCGGGTGCGGTGGCTCACGCCTGTAATCCTAGCACTTTGGGAGGCCCAGGCAGGTGGATCACGAGGTCAGGAGTTTGAGACCAGCCTGGCCAACATGGTGAAACCCCATCTCTACTAAAAATATAAAAATTAGCCAGGTGTGGTGGCAGGCGCCTGTAATCCCAGCTACTCAGGAGGCTGAGGCAGGGGAATCGCTTGAACCTGGGAGGCGGAGTTTGCAGTGGGCTGAGATCGGGCCATTGCACTCCAGCCTGGGCAACAAGAGCAAAAAAATAACAGACTTTTTTCACCTGAAGGGAAGGCTTGGGAGCTTAAGGACAATGGCTTCTTTCTTAGAGACCTAGTCCTTGACTGAGGGAAAGGGTGAGGGTCTTATACTTCTTTTTTTTTTTTTTTTTATTGAGACAGAGTCTTGCTCTGTCACCCAGGCTGGAGTGCAGTGGCACGATCTCGGCTCACTGCAAGCTCCACCTCCCGGGTTCATGCCATTCTCCTGCCTCAGCCTCCCGAGTAGCTGGGACTACAGGTGCCTGCCAGCGCACCCGGCTAATTTTTTTTGTATTTTTAGTAGAGACAGGGTTTCACTGTGTTAGCTAGGATGGTCTCGATCTCCTGACCTTGTGATCCACCTGCCTCGGCCTCCCAAACTGCTGGGATTACAGGCATGAGCCACCGCGCCCAGCCAGAGGGTCTTATACTTCTGTCCTACTCTTGCTAATACCTAAGACCCAGTCCTTTTGGCACCACTGGGTACATAAAACAAGGTTTGAGTCAGGGATGAACTCCCCCAGGCAGGAGGAGATAGCATCAGGATCTCAGTGAAGTGGGATGGTATCTGAGTGCCTAGCACAGTGCCCCACGCAGAGCTCAATGCATCTTAGCTGAACAATAACGAATGCAGCTGCACATCTTCAGGCCCATATTGAGCTCTTCTCTCTTTTCTGCCTCCTCCTGAGCCCCCAAGCCCAATCACCTTGGCTCTGGTTGTTGTGTGCCATGATGCTCCCCAGGATGGTGACAAGGTGCTGGGCTCTGGCCTTCAGTCTGAGAACCAGCTTCTCCCAAGCTCTTGGGTCCCTGGCCTGAGCCCAGGATGCACGGGGCTCTGCCCACCTGCCCTCCTTGCAGCATCATAAGAAAGGGTGGTCATCCAGGTAGCCTGAGACTTCGTAAGGGGCTTGCCCAGGGCTGGGCTGGGAAAGAGTAATGAAGTCATAGCACAGAGAGTGGGTTGCTGAGGAAAAGAGAATGATGGGAAAGGGTTATTTTCCAACAGGAGTCTTACCTGGGAGACACTGCACAAGGTGCCTGTGTGGTGAGGCTGTGTGACTATTTTTGAGGGCACCAAAGGAGTGGGTAAGGGGAATGCAGACTGAACAATGGGAAGGGAATCTCTTGTTTCCCTGCAGGGCCTCATCTAGGCTCATTGTTTTAAATAGTAATGACTCCCAAATCTCTTCATCCCTGTTCTTCACATTGGTATATCCAACTACCTACCTGTTGGTCATCTGGACCTAAGGTTCCATATGGCCTTAAATCTGACACATCCAAAACTGAGTATTTCCTCTTGGCCCTGGCCATGGAACAACCTGCCTCTCATCCTATATTCCTGGTGAGTGGCATCATCCTCTCACCTGCCTGCTTACTCAAGCCAGAACTGGGTTGAGGTGTGGGCAACTACCGGATGTCATGTAGCCTCCTGGCACAATAGCATGAAGTGAGCTGAGAGGTCATGGAACAAAAAGGCTCACAGACCAAATGTAAATGCTCAAATAACATCGTTTATTAAATAAATGTAAAACACATTCTGAGAAGCAGGAGGCAGGTGCTGGGGTGGGTCAACACACGGGAGAGGGGGCAAGTTGGGTGGAATGATCACACCAGCTGAACTGTGGGTCATGCAGTGTGCATCCATCCTGTCAAATTGAAACCTCCTGCATCCTGAGTGCCTCATGTCTCACGTATTTAGGGTACCGTGAATATTTAGTGCCTCCTTGGTCTTTCTGTCCCTTTTGATCTCTGTACACACGAATATGTTGTACTATCTACAGATGACTAATTTAGTTATCTATGTGTAACACTTCTTTTGAGTTTATTGTTTTCCTGTCTTCTACAGCAGAATTGGATATTCCCAAACAATCGGCAAGTCTGGTGTTTATCCTAGAGTGCTGCCTCCCTTCACACCCCCTAGTTTCAAACAGTCAGCAAGCCCTGCCCATTTTTAACTTCCTGTTTCTCCAATCTGGACATTCCTCTACCTCCACCAAACCAGCCCATAGTATGGCTTGCTTGGATTATAGCCAGAGTCTTTCTAACTGGTCTCTCTCCCTCCAGTCTTAAGCATATAAAATCTGTCCTCCTTGATATAATCAGAGTGATCTATCCAGAAATACATATCAGACCGCATACCTCTCTGCTCTTCCTCTAAGGATTCCCCTTTTGTCCTCGGGATGGTTTCCAAGCTCCTTAGCAAGCTAAACAAGGCCCCTTGAAGGCTGCCGTCTCCACCCTCATCTCCCACCACACCCTGCCTTCACCTGACCCACTTGGAACAGGAAGGTTGGAGCACCTCCATACTCCTGCAGTTCCACCTCCCAGTGCCTTCCTGAGATGGTCCCCTGAAGGGAAGACCCATCCTTCCCTTCTCCAAACACCACTTAAACCACTTAAACCCTTTCATTAAACCCTTACCCTGGCCTCAAACCATCTACCACGCTGCTGTACCCCTTTATTTCAGAGACGGCTCTGACTCTCACTCAGAGGTGACACTCACCCTACCACTTGTCTATGGCTGTGCATCCCTCTTGGGGCCATCTCTTGTGGACAAGAATATGAGCCACATTCTTCATATATGAGAAAATTACACCAATCTCAGAGGATTAGAGGTCATGCCAAAAAACACACCTGGTAGTTATGTTTAAATATATTTTTAAGGCTGGGTTAAAAACCACGATGAGGCGAAACCCCATCTCTACTAAAAAAATACAAAAATTAGCTGGGCCTGGTGGTGCACGCCTGTAATCCCAGCTACTCAGGAGGCTGAGACAGGAGAATCCCTAGAACCCAGGAGGCGGAGGTTGTAGTGAGCCGAGATTGCACCACTGCACTCCAGCCTGGGCGACTGAGTGATTCTCCGTCTCCAAATATATATATACACACACACACATACGTATATATATGTGTATATACATATATATATTTTTTTTTTTTTAACAAACATAGCTGCTATCATTGGCTCCTTTTCTCTTTTTTTTCGAGACGGTCTCACTCTGTCACCCACATTGAAGTGCAGTGGCACAATCATGAGGCCCACCCCAACCTCTGCCTCCCAGGCTCAAGCGATCCTCCCACCTCAGCCTCCAGAGTAACTGGGACTACAGGCGTGCACCACCACGCCTGGCTAATGTTTTTGTATTTTCTGTATTGACAGGTTTTCCTCATGTTCCCTGGGCTGGTCTCAAACTCCTGTGTCCAAGCAATCCTCCGCCCAGCTCGGCCTCCCAAAGTCCTGGGATTACAGGCATAAGGACCTCCTACGGCCAAGTTTAAGCTTCAAGTGGGAGACATGGGACAATTACTTACCAGATACAACCAGTTTCAGAGGAAGCCCTACCTACCCTCTAAGCCTGACCTTATCTTGCAACCTCCATCGCCCCAGACCTCCCCCGGCTCCAAAAAGCACTCCCAAGAGGCCTCATAAAGGCCACAGTTTGGGGAAGGTTATGGCTCAGGGGAAGGGGAGAGGTGCTAAATAATTAAGCCCCCCTACTACTCAGCACCCGCGTGAGGCATCGTCAGGCATCGTCAGGCCTCCAGTGGTGGTGGTGGCACCGGGCCTCAACCTCCCCGGAGGGCTGGACTCTCGCTGCCAGGCTGTGGGGATCAGGCGTTGTGGGGGAGGGGGACACTTAACAGGTATGGAGGGCGGAGCAGAGCCCCGCAGTCACTGGCCTGACTTCCGGAACGAACCGTCGCCAGCAAGCACAGCAGTAGGACCAGGGGGATGCAAGAGCGGGGGCGGCCGGGGATCGTGCTTCTCGCTCAGGTCCAGATTCCCGGCAACCAGGCCGGCGGAATCACGTGCCATGCTCCAGGCCAGCGTAGTCCCGCCCATCTTCCAGCTGAGCGTACCGGGAGGCTCCCATTGGACTGGAGCTGCTACGGAGGCGGGACTTTCCCTTTTTCTTGAACCCCATTGGGTTAAGTCCAGTCCGAGACAAGCGTCTCTCCTCAGCAGTGGGAGGGGTGATTTGGCTCATCCATACTTAGGAATTTGGGGTTTGAGGCCGGGTGCGGTGGCTCACGCCTGTAATCCCAGCACTTTGGGGGGCCGAGGCGGGCGGATCACAAGGTCAGGAGATCGAGACCATCCTGGCTAACACTATGAAACCCCGTCTCTACTAAAAAAATACAAAAAAATTAGCCGGGTGTGGTGGCGGGCACCTGTAGTCCCAGCTACTCGGGAGGCTGAGGCAGGAGAATGGCGTGAACGCTGGAGGCAGAGCTTGCAGTGAGCAGAGATCGCGCCACTGCACTCCAGCCTGGGCGACAGAGCAAGACTCCGTCCCCCCAAAAAAATAATTTGGGGTTTGAGACCCGGCGCGGTGGCTCACGCCTGTAATCCCAGCATAATCCCAGCACTTTGTGGGGGGCCGAAGCGGGCGGATCACCTGAGGTCAGGAGTTGGAGACCAGCCTGGCCAACATAGCGAAACCCTGGCGCGCACTTGTAAACCCAGCTTCTCGGGAGACTGAGGAAGGAGAATCGCTTGAATCCGGGAGGCGGAGGTTGCAGTGAGCCGATATAGCTAGCGCCACTGCACTCCAGCCTGGGCGACAGAGTGAGACTCCGTCTCAAAAAAAGAGAGAGAATTTGAGGTTTAAGTTGTCTCTCCTTGGTCGCTGTGCAGTCGAGTGTTTTTATGTTCAGACCTCTTCCTGCCCATTTTATTTATTTAATTTATTATTTATTTATTTATTTATATTTTTTGATATGGAGTTTCACTCTTGTTGCACAGGCTGGAGTGCAATGGCGCGATCTCGGCTCACTACAACCTCCGCCTCCCAGGTTCAAGCAATTCTCCTGACTCAGCCTCCCTAGTAGCTGGGATTACAGGTGCCTGCCACCATACCCCACTAATTTTTTGTATTTTTAGTAGAGATGGGGTGTGTGTATACATATATATATATATATATATATATATATATATATAGCAAGTAGTCAAGAGCTAGTCTATTTTGATAGATAGCATTTCTCATCAGAGTCTCTTGCCGGGCAAGAACAGTCAAGGTTTGACGGGTTTTATTAGTAATAATTTCTAAACAGCTTGCAACCATATGATTCGGTTGAGCATGTAGATGGGGGTTCGATATCCTCATGAGCCATCTTGTGTCTAAGTGGCAGGCCTATAGTATTATATAATTTTTTTAGGAGGTCATTTATCATCTTTCCAATTACCTATGGCTATGCTTCGTTTTTCGCAGGAAGCATAGACTGGGAAGCCCAGAAGTTTACCTGTTTTTATGGGCAGTAAGAAGAAAGATGGCTTAATGGTGCCAATTACACAGCTACCTGTCCACTGATCAGGGAGCTTAGCATAAGCTCTGCGTATAACCCGGTGGGGGCTGTCCAGTCCCGGTGGAGTTCTGGGTGGGCCCAAACAGTCTGCAACTTTGGAAATTTACTGAATGGATTTCTTTCTGTGTAATTGGAACTCCACCATGTAACTTTTTGTGGTACCATTATACAGTTTTTGCCCAAGACAACTAAGCCGCCAAACAGGATCTTTTTTATCTTCTTTTTAAGTAGCCCAAATGACACAAGACCAGTATTGACACATCTCACATAAATACAATTCTTGACAGATACACTTATTTTTTTTTTACTGTGTCACTTTTTTTTTCCAATTTAGAGAACCGCATCCTATTCCATGCTGCTTACTATCAATAGCGGCACAAGCACCAAATTTTAAGGTTACATTTTTGGGGGCCCCTCTTTTTTCCGTTCTAGCTATTACCTTACTTGTGTCACCTAGAAAAGGACCAGTCCTTAATTTTATTTTAAAAACTGTGATCACGGGAGGCTTAAAATGGGTCATAACACACATCAGGTTGGTTATTCCCTGGGCTACATACCTTGGATAGCATTATACAAACAAGTTTCTTTTAGAGTCCTGGTACACTTATAATAACCATAAAATAATAGGACTGTAGCAATTTTTGTCCTACCTCAGTGACTTGATGTATATACTGGAAACAGTTCTCAATCTGAGGAAGGTCAGTTGAAGTCCTTACTGTACAAGTCCAAATTTTAAGGAAAATGAGTCCCGCAATGAGTTTCCTCATGCTTCGCCTGTGCGTGGACCAGTCAGCTTCTGGGTGTGACTGGAGCAGGGCTTGTCTCCTTCTTCAGAGTCACTTTGCAGGGGTTGGCAAAGCCGCTCCCATCCACGTACAGCTCCCAGTCTACTGATGTTTAAGGGTGGTCTCGGAGGTTAGGCCTACTAGAATAAACTGAGTCCAGCACCTCTAAACAGTTATGTTTAACTGGGCTCTCTGTTACCAGGAGTAAGGTGGCTGGGTTAGGGTGTTGGAAACTTCAATGGTTTTGTGGGGATTTTCACAGAGCAAGGTTTGGTATCTAGTTAGTCTAGCATTTATTAGCTAATGATGTCCTTTGGTATTTATTAAAGTCACCACAGCATGGGGAGACTTTCTGTTTAGGTTTTGCCTAAGAGTTAGCTCATCTGCTTCTTGTGCTAACAGGGCAGTTGCTGCCAGGGCCCTTGGACATGGGGGCCAGCCTTTGGAAACCCCGTCTAGTTGTTTTGAGAGATAGGCCCCTGGCCTTGACCAGGGCCCTACAGTCTGGGTTAAAACTCCAACTGTCATTTTTTCTCTTTCTGACACACAGAGTGTAAAGAGTTTTGTCAGGTCAGGTAGCCTCAGGGCTGGGGCCGACATGAGTTTTTCTTTTTAACTAATGAAAAGCTCTTTGCTGTTGGTTGTAATAGATGTAGTTTATCTAATCTACATTTTTGTTGACTGTCATCTACTAAAATATTGACTTAAATCCTGTAACTATTTGATTTCAAGCTTTAAATTGATCTGGTATTCCTTGTGGGGCTCCAATTGCATTTAAGTAGATGTGAGAATTGAAAGACCTATAAGGGGCTTCTCTCGTTTTATGATGTCTTACTTTTTTTTTCCTCTGGTTGATGAAATGCCAGGGTGAAAGGGATAGCCAAATGGACTAAAGCACAAGTGCCACTCTAGTTATTCAGCAGAGTGCCCAGTAAAGGTCCACCCCGATACCACCACACATCCTCTCGGGGATGAACAAGGGCTGACTGATTGATAAGCTCTTGGAAACTCTTAAGCTCACTGCATCCCTTCAGGTCTCCAAGGAATGCTAAATCTCCTCCCTGCCGTGAGAGACAAGAAGTGAACTTAGTGTTGGGAGATGGAAGCTGGATGGCCCTCGGGGGCTGACCCACAGAGACTTCGGGATATAGCAGAGAGAGCTTGGCATGACTTATTACTCCAGGCTGTAGAATCCTGGAAAAGAGCTACCATGCAGCCCACACCTGGTCGACTGGAGGACCACCTTAGTGGAAGAGGGACAATCAGGGCCTCTGGCCTGCCATGTGCACAAGCATAACAATTGATTTTGTTTAACGTGCAGATGGAATATTTAATCCATTCCAACCAGGCATTTGCATCTTGGTATGCTGTCTTAACTGCCAAAGTTTGTTTTAAGTCTTTAACTTCTATGATCCTCTAGTAAAATGAATGTTTCCTTTAGCATCTATTTTTATTAGTTTTTAGACCAAAGAAAGCTAAACACCATTTTATATTTAATAATGCTTCTTGTATGATTTTTATACCAGGTAAGCTAAATTTTACCTTTATATTAGTGTGTTATTAATGTTAAACTTAATTTTAATAAAACTTTGTAGACATATTTATCCAATTTTTCATGTTTGACCATAAGGTAAGGTTTTATAGACTCTTTTTAACCTTTTATAATTTTTGTTAAAGAGCAGGTTGATGCTTTAAGAAAAACCTGTCACATTTTTACTTTAATGTCCAGTTCACAGAAAAACTGGATGATACCTTTTTAACTTTAGCTAATATGTTTACACACAGAATTTTCTTTACAATTAACATTTTAAAATTTGCTTACACTTTCAAAACAATAATTTTTTTAACCTTTTAATGTAGGTAAAAATCCACATTCTTATGCCTCCTTATAATCTTTTTACCAAAGGTATATTTTACTTTTCTTATACACCTTGCACATAAACTGTTTTTTTTTTTTAAATAGTACTCAGGAGGCCTTATTACTTTTAAATTACACAATATTTTTTGCATAAATTTTTTTATAAAATTTTTTCTTTCACGACTTTCGCCGACAATTCTTCAACATGTCTCAACTTTCTGACTTATTACAAACATTTTTTTTTCTTTAAACAACCAGTTAATTTATTTCAGGACAAGAATTTACCATATAACACTCTTTTTACATAAATTCTGCCTCCCCCGCTTTTTTTTTTAAAGTGAACTTTTTTTTTGTCTTTGGACTAGACCGTCTAAGGCCACAAGATTAGAAGTTACCATAATACATGTTATACTGTTAATTTTTAGCAAACTTCACTTTTGTTGAAAACCTTGTAAGTTTGGGATTTCAATTATCCTTTGCTATTAATAAGACCTTGTTTAGTCTAAATTAACTTAGAATTGGTATAGATGGCCTTTTTTTCTCTCTGCTGGTCTTTCCTTGCCTCTGCCAGATGCTTATGCTACTGTTCTCTTAACTACTGTAGGGGGAAGGGGGTCTAAAACCAGCTGTAACTGTCTATGTACAGAAACTGGTCTGGATGCCTTGGCTTACAGGTTACTTTGTGTCATACCTTTGAAACAAGGGACCTGTCCAGGCTTCCTTCTGATGGCCAACCCACCTCTAATGCTGGCCAGTCTATTTCACAAGTTCTAAGTTTTCCTGGTGTCACAGTAACATCGTAATCTCCCTTAAATTCTTTCTTGAAAAAAAAATTTTTTTAACATAGTTCCTAGTGGGGTGGGCTTATTTGTGCCTGACCCATGCTTCTTCGAGACAAAACACCACGCTCACACCACACGTGCACTACAAAACAAAAAAACAGGGCACACACACTTTTGCAGTTTACACCAAACCAAAATCAGAGTATCCAAAAACCCAAGCCAGGTCAAAACCAAAACCAAAACCAAAGTATCACACAATCTAAGTCAAGTCAAAACCAGAATAAAAGTGCCAGTACAGGCACACCATGGGTGATCAGGCCATGCTTCCACTCAGATGGAGTGGGGCAAGTTCCAAAGACTAGTCTTACCAAGTTTCAGATGTCCGGACTCCAAGTGCCAGTTCCTTCCCAGTGTTCAGCCAGTGTGTTAATCCTCCTCGGGGGCCTGCTACGTGCTGCTCTGGCGAGGCGTTCCACCCGGGGAATTTCCTACCCGGGAGCGCTCTTTGGATCGCGTCACTCAGGCTGGCCAGAGTCCACCGCAGGGATGCTCCACAGGGCAGGCCTAAGCCACCCAAGGGGCTGCCTTGGCCGTCCGTCAGTTACCTCGCTTCCTGTTCAGGGAACCAAGAAATGTAGCAGGACGAGCCCCAGACAAAACCTTTCAGACACCGAGTTGTAGAAGGAAGGGCTTTATTCAGCTGCGAGCATCGGCAAGCTACTGCCTTAAAATCCAAACTCCCTGAATGCACAATTTCTGTCCCTTTTAAGGTCTCACAACACTAAAGATTTCACATGAAAGTGTCGTGATTGATTTGAGTACGCAGGTGGTACGTGACAGGGGCTGCATGCACTGGTGGTCAGAGAGAAACAGAACAGGGCAGGGAGTGTCACAATGTTCTTCTATACAATGTCTGGAAACTAGGAATAACATCGCGTTCTAAGTCATGGGTTGATTTTTAACTACTGGGTTTAGGCCAGGCAGGCCCAGGCCTGGTTTTGGGCCTGGCGCCAGGCTGCCTGTCTTTGGTTTTACTTCCTTGTTTTTTCTTAAAACAGATACTGAGTATAAAGCAATATAAAACAATACGAAAGGGTCTCTCTCTTCCCTCAAAGGGAATAGGCTGCTGTGGAGAAAGGTAAATAAATGGTGGAAAGAATTACATGGGGGATTAACTAATCTGTATACCAAATCCCCACGACAGGCAATTTACTTCTATAACAAACCTGCTCATGTAAAAGGTTTTTGGCCGGGCATGGTGGCTCACGCCTGTAATCCCAGCACTTTGGGAGGCTGAGGTGGGTGGATCACTTGAGGTCAGTAGTTTAAGACAAGCCTGGCCAACATGGTGAAACTCCATCTCTACTAAAAATACGAAAATTAGCTGGGCATGGTGGCACGCACCCGTAGTCCCAGCTACTCGGGAGGCTGAGGAAAGGGAATGGCTTGAACCTGGGAGGGGGAGGTTGCAGTGAGTCGAGATCATGCCACTGCACTCCAGGCTGGGTGACAGAGTGAGACTGTGTCTCAAAAAAAAAAAAAAAAAAAAGCAAAAAGTTTTTAAAAGAAAATAGTGGAAAGACAGAGACCCTAGAAGAGGGAGAAGGCCTAAGGCAATTTCTTCTTCCTCTCTTCCCCATCATTCTTTCAGCCACTGTGGAGAGAGGGAGAGTACGGGGTGCAGGGTAGATGAGAGTAGACAATTCTGATTATTTGAGGAGGGTTTGTGGTTTAGGAAGTGAGCTTCTCACCGATTTTATTTATTTATTTTGAGACGGAGTCTCACTCTGTCACCCAGGCTGGAGTGAGATCTCAGCTCACTGCAACCTCCACCTCCCGGGTTCAAGTGATTCTCCTGCCTCAGCCTCACGAGTAGCTGGGACTACAGGCATGCACCACCATGCCTGGCTAATTTTTTGTATTTTTAGTAGAGATGGGGATTTCACCATGTTGGCCAGGCTGGTCTCAAATTTCTGACCTCAGGTGATCTGCCCACCTCGGCCTCCCAGAGTGCTGGGATTACAGGCGTGAGCCCCGCACCTGGCCTAAAAACTTTTATATTAAGTTCAGGGGTATATGAGCAGGTTTGTTATAGAGATAAATTTCCTGTCACAGGGGTTTAGTGTACAGATTAGTTAATTCCCCTTGTAATTTTTTCCATCATTTATTTACCTTTCTCCACAGCAGCCTATTCACCTAACAATAAACTGAGTGCCCATTATGTGCCAAGAACTGGAGATAAGGATATGAGTAAGGAATCTTACTTATCTCCAGTTCTTATAGCATATACTCATTCTGTTTCTCTTTCCTTTGGCCTAGTTTGAGTGCCCAGCAGGTGTTTCAAGTCACTCATTACGTATCTACTCTGCGAAAGTTGTTTGTGCAGCCTGTTTATCCTCTCCTTTGGAACTTCAGTACTCTTTTTTTTTTTTTTGAGACGGAGTCTTGCTCTGTTGCCCAGGCTAGAGTTCAGTGGTGTGATCTCGGCTCACTGCAAGCTCTGCTTCCCGGGTTCATGCCATTCTCCTGCCTCAGCCTCCCGAGTAGCTGGGATTATGGGTGCCTGCCACCACGCCTGGCTAATTTTTTTGTATTTTTAGTAGAGACGGGGTTTCACCATGTTAGCCAGGATGGTCTCGATCTCCTGACCTTGTGATCCGCCTGCCTCAGCCTCCCAAAGTGCTGGGATTACAGGCTTGAGCCACCGTGCCCGGTGTGCCCTGCTAATTTTTTGTATTTTTTTTTTTTGAGATAGAGTCTCGCTCTGTCGCCCAGGCTGGAGTGCAATGGTGTGATCTGGCTCACTGCAATCTCCACCTCTCGGGTTCAAGTGATTCTCCTGCCTCAGCCTCCCAGGTAGCTGGGACTACAGGCATGTGCCACTACGCCCAGCTAATTTCTTGTATTTTTAGTAGAGATGGGGTTTTACTGTGTTAGCCAGGATAGTCTCGATCTCCTGACCTCGTGGTCCACTGGTCCACCTGCCTTGGCCTCCCAAAGTACAGGAATTACAAGCGTGAGTCACCACACCCAGCCAATTTTTTGTATTTTTAATAGAGATGAGGTTGCACCATGTTGGCCAGGCTGGTCTTGAACTCCTGACCTCAGGTGATCCTTCCACCTCGGCCTCCTAAAATGCTGAGATTACAGGTGTGAGCCACCACACCTGGCCCAATTATCTTATTTATTATCATTATTATTTTTGAGACGGAGTTTTGTTCTTGTTGCCCAGGCTGGAGTGCAATGGCACAATCTCAGCTCACCGCAACCTCTGCCTCCTGGGTTCAAGTGATTTTTCTGCCTCAGCCTCCTGAGTAGCTGGGATCACAAACCCCTGCCACCACCCTCGGCTAATTTTGTATTTTTGGTAGAGACAGGGTTTCTCCATGTGGGCCAGGCTAGTCTCAAACTCCTGACCTCAGGTGATCCGCCCACCTCGGCCTCCCAAAGTGCTGGGATTACAGGCATGAGCCACAGCCCCCGGCTACTTTTTATTATTAACATTAAAATATTTTTGTTTAATTAATTTATTTATTTTTAAAATTATTATTATTACTTTTTTTACTTTAAGTTCCAGGATACATGTGCAGAATGTGCAGGTTTGTTACATAAGTATACATGTGCCATGGTGATTTCTGCACCTATCAACCTGTCATCCAGGTTTTAAGCCCCGCCTGCATTGGGTATTTGTCCTAATGCTCTCCCTCCCTTTGTCCCCAACCCTATTTTATTTTTTTGAGACAGAGTCTCCCTCTATTGCTCAGGCTGGAGTGCAGTGGTGTGATCTCAGCTCACTGCAACTTCCACCTCCCAGGGTCAAGCGATTTTCCTCTCTCAGCCTCCTGAGTAGCTGGGACTACAGGTACACACCACACACCTGGATGATTTTTGTATTTGCTTGCAGAGACAGGGTTTCGCCAGGCTGGTCTCAAATTCCTGACCTCAAGTGATCCACCCACTTTGGCCTCCCAAAATGCTGGGATTACAGGCGTGAGACACCGTGCCCAGCAAAAATATTTTTATTTTAAAATTTATTAAATTTATTAAAATTTTATTTTAAAATTTCACCATTTACAAAAAGTGAAATGATCAGATCTTTAGCAAATCCATCAATGAATTTTGACAAGTACATGTCACCCACACCCCTGTCAAGATATAGAAAGTTCTCTTTGCCCTCTTTGATTCTGCCCTACCCCTGAGTAGCCATGGATCTGATGACTATCACTATAGAGCAGTTTTTCCTAATTTTTTTTTTTTTTTGAGATGGAGTCTCACTCTGCCACCCAGGCTGGAGTGCAATGGCACGATCTCGGCTCACTGCAACCTCTGCCTCCTGGGTTCAAGAGATTCTCCTGCCTCAGCCTCCTGAGTAGCTGGGAGTACAGGTGTGAGCCACCATGACTGGCTAATTTTGTACTTCCAGTAGAGATGGGGTTTCGCTATGTTCACCAGGCTGGTCTCAAACTCCTGACCTCAGGTGATCCACCCGCCTCGGCCTCCCAAAGTGCTGGGATTACAGGTGTGAGCCACTGTGCTGGGCTGCCTGTTTTAAAACTTCCTATAAATGCATGCATAGGTATGGCCTCTTTTGTGTCTGGCTTTTTGTATTTGGCATAATATCTATGTAATCCATCCATGTTGTTGCACCTATCAGTAGTTCATTCTTTCTTTAAAAAAAATTTTTTTTTTTAAATTTTGAGACAGTCTCACTGTCTTAGGCTGCAGTGCAGTGGTGAGATCTCAGGTCACTGCAACCTCCACCTCCCAGGTACAAGCATTTCTTCTGCCTCAGCCCCCTGAGTAGCTGGAACTACAGGTGTGTGCACCACCACGCCTGGCTAATTTTTGTATTTTTAGTACAGATGGGATTTCCCAGCTACTCCAGAGGCTGAGGCAGGAGAATCACTTGAACCCAGAAGGCAGAGGTTGCAGTAAGCCGAGATCGCACCACTGCACTCTAGCCTGGGCGGCAAGAGTGAAACTCTGTCTCAAAAAAAAGCCAGGTGTTGTGGCTCACACCTGTGGTCCCAGCTAGTGGGGAGCCCAAGAGTTCAAGCCTTCAGTGAGTGGTAGTCATACTAGTATACCCCAGCCTGGGTGACAGAGTGAAACCTTGTCTCAGAAAGAAAAAAAAAACAAGATGAAGGAAAGCATATGTAGTTTGCTAAAATTTATGTGGAAAGAGGGAAATTATATGTATATACACACACACTTATATTTGCTTGCATATGCATAAAACGTCTAAGTTTGTTTGGTTTTTTTGGGACAGAATCTGACTGTCACCCAGGCTGGAGTGCAATGGTGCAATCTCAGCTCACTGCAACCTCCGCCTCCCGGGTTCAAGTGATTCTTCTGCCTCAGCCTCCCAAGTAGCTGGATTACAGCCTTCTGCCACCATGCCCACTAATGTTTTGTATTTTTAGTAGAGACAGGGTTTTGCCATGTTTTCCAGGCTAGTCTCGAACTCCTTACCTCAGGTGATCCGCCCGCCTCGGCCTCCCAAAGTGCTGGAATTACAGGCGTGGGCCACCAAGCCCGAACAAATGTCTTAAGTTTGTTTTCTTTCTTTCTTTAATTAATTAATTTATTTATTTATTTTTCGAGACGGAGTCTTGCTCTTGTCGCCCAGGCTGGAGTGCAATGGCAAGATCTCGGCTCACTGCAACCTCTGCCTCCCGGGTTCAAGTGATTCTCCTGCCTCAGCCTCCCAAGTAGCTGGGATTACAGATGCCCACCACCACACCCGACTAATTTTTGTATTTTTAGTAGAGACGGGGGTTTCATCATGTTGGCCAGGCTGGTCTCGAACTCTTGACCTTGTAATCCACCTGCTTCGGCCTCCCAAAGTGCTGGGATTACAGGCTTGAGCCACTGCACCCGGCCAAGACAGAGACTTTTTGCCTTTTGAACCTTTTGAATTTTTAACCAAGTGAAAACACAAAAGGTAATTCCAAGGAGGAAAAAAACCCAAAAAACTCATAGTGAAAATTTAAGAAAAAAACTCAGCCTGATAGAATTCTCTTACCTTCATTAAGAGAAAACAAAAATTGTAGCTGGGGCCAGGCGCGGTGGCTCACGCCTGTAATCCCAGCACTTTGCGAGGCAGAGGCAAGCGGATCACGAGGTCAGGAGATGGAGACCATCCTGGCTAACACGGTGAAACCCTGTCTCTACTAAAAATACAAAAAATTAGCCAGGTGTGGTGGCGGGCACCTATAGTCCCAGCTACTCAGGAGGCTGAGGCAGGAGAATGGCGTAAACCCGGGAGGCAGAGCTTGCAGTGAGCCAAGATCGTGCCACTGCACTCCAGCCTGGGTGACAGAGCGAGACTCCATCTCAAAAAAAAAAAAAAAATTGTCTAAAAATTATATCACTCCTTTTTTTTTTTTTTTTTTTGAGATGGAGTCTTGCTGTGTTGGCCAGGCTGGAGTGCAGTGATGCAATCTTGGCTCACTGCAACCTCTGCCTTAAGAGCTCAAGCAATTCTCTTGCCTCCTGAGTAGCAGGGACTACAGTTGCATGCCACCATGCCCAGCTAATTTTTGTATTTCTAGTAGAGATGGGGTTGCACCATGTTGACTAGGCTGGTCTTGAACTCCTGACCTCAAGCGATCCACCGTGGCCCACCCTCAGCCTTTCAAATTTCTGGCATTACAGGCATGAGCCACTGCTCCCAGCCAAACCGCAGTCTTTACAAGGGATTCTTTTTTTTTTTTTTTTCTGATGGAGTTTTGCTGTTGTTGCCCAGGCTGGAGTGCAAGGATGCAATCTTGGCTCACTGCAACCTCTGCCTTCCATGTTCAAGTGATTCTCCTGCTTCAGCCTCCCCAGTAGCTGAGATTACTGGTGCATGCTACCACACCCGGCTAATTTTTAGTAGAGATGGGGTTTCACCATGTTGGCCCGGCTGGTCTCGAACTCCTGACCTCAGATGATCCACCCTCCGCGGTCTCCCAAAGTGCTGTGATTACAGGTGTGAGCCACCATGCCTGGCCTTTACAAGGGATTCTAATGGTCTAATGCGACAGTTGTGGCTTCAGTGAGCTCAGGGTGCCCTCTGGTGTCCATGTGGGCCCAAGGATGTGATATTTAGAAAAAACACTTGTAATTCTGGGGGACATGTAATTGAAGCCACTTGCCAACTTTTCAAGATTCTTATTTTTTTTTTTTTTTTGGAGACAGAGTCTCGCTCTGTTGCCCCATCTGGAGTGCAGTGGTGCAATCTTCTCGGTTCACTGCAACCTCCGCCTCCCTGGTTCAAGCGATTCTCTGCCTCAGCCTCTGGAGTAGCTGGGACTACAGGTGCATGCCACCATGCCTGGCTACTTTTTGTATTTTTTGCAGAGACAGGGTTTCACCATGTTGGCCAAGGTGGTCTGGAACTCCTGGCCTCAAGTGATCCATTGGCCTTGGTCTCCCAAAGTGCTGGGATTACAGGTGTGAGCCACCATGCCCGGCCTTTTTATTTTATTTTATTTTTTTTGAAACAGAGTCTCACTTTTTTGCCCAGGCTGGAATGTTGGTGGCCTGATCTCTGCTCACTGTAACCTCCACCTCCCGGGCTCCAGCGATCCTCCCACCTCAGCCTCCCAAGTGGCTGGGATTACAGGCGTGCGCAACCAAAGATTCTCATTCTTAGCCCATTCTGTTATCCCTATGAGTCTGCTAATAGTTGTCATACTAGGTCACCCTGTATTTGGATCAGAAGGTACGGTAGGAGCGCCTAGGGTCATATACCAGGCCCAAACAGCTGAGGGCAGTAGAGTAAGGCCTGCAGGTCAATGCTTCAAGGAGGGGTGGGAAGGATTGAGGGTGTGGGGGCCAGACTGTGTAGTGGCAGGAACCCCAGGTGCTGTGTGAAGCAGAGAGCATGCATCACCCTCTGACCCACATTCAGTTTCTTCCTGGGTGTCTGCAATTCCCGGGACTCCCAAGGAATTCAAATGCTGCAGCCTTGGGCTTGCGAATTCTCCAGGATGGGCAGAGTATGGTCTTATTTATCCTACACTTCTGCCTCATAGTGCTCTCCCAGTCCTCTTCTGTTATTAGAGATCAAACCAGGTTGCTTTAGGGCAGTGATTCTCAAAGTGTAGTCCTGGGACAAACAGCACTGGCATCACCTGGAAACTTGTTAGAGATGCAATTCTCAGCTGGGCGCAGTGGCTCACGCCTGTAATCCCAGCACTTTGGGAGGCTGAGGCGGGCGGATCACCTGAGGTCAGGAGTTCGAGACCAGCCTGGCCAACATGGTGAAACCCTGTCTCTACTAAAAATACAAAAAATTAGCCGAGCGTGGTGGCAGGCGTCTGTAATCCCAGCTACCTGGGAGGCTGAGACAGGAGAATCACTTGAACCCGGGAGGCGGAGGTTGCAGTGAGCCAAGATTGCGCCATCGCACTCCAGCCTGGGGGACAATAGCAAGACTTCGTCTCAAAATAAATAAATAAATAAATAAAAAAGGAAATGCAATTCTCTGGCCTGGCCCACACATATTATATCAGAAACTGCAGTTTAACCTCCCCCCACCCCTGGAGAATTCTGCTTTTCGAATCAGGCCTTTCTCTTTTTCTGTCTGTCTTAAGTCTCAACATTGAGTAGCTGTGATTTTGGAATAGTCAGATGTGGGACACCCTTTCTTGCCAGGAAGCATCTGGCTCCTCAGTCAGCTTAGTCTGATTCTTGGCCTGGCCCAGGGAAAGAAATTCATGTTCTGGATTCTGAGCAATGCTCTCTTGTCCCAGGTGCCTGTTGGGCTCCTACTTACACCTCAAAACATAGCTTGAACATTGTCTCTTTTGTGAACTTTCTGTGACTCCTAGGTCAGAGAAGATGGTCTACTTGTGAGTTTGCAAAGCATGTGTACATGTCCTGCCAACCATTAGTGTTACAATTTCCTGACTGATCTCTGCCTGAGCAAGACTGGGACAACCTTGAGCGCAAGGGGGGTTTGGTTCCTCTTACCTCAGCCCCAGCTCCTTAAACACAATGCCTGGCACGTGGTAGGTATTTGATAAATATTTATTCAATGAAGGAACTGCCTGCAATGGCCTGGTAGACAGGAAAGCGGAATGAAAGCAGGTCAAAAGTGGCTGGGAGAAGATTTTCTAAATCCCGATGTTGGGCACAGGGACCCCTGAAGTTTTCTTTTGGAACCTTCCTATCTGTCTTGTTCTCCTCTCACCAGGCACATCCCTGCCCTCCAGAGCCCACTTAGTCACACACTACCTTTCAGGACTACCTTCCACATCAGCCAGGTGCAAACCCCACAATGACTTCTGCCATGGCTCCCAATGCTTGGCTGCAACTCTGAGGCCAATTTCAGTGAGAGTAAGGAGCTTATCCAATGGAAGTGTCACTAGGAGTGACAATGGCTGGCTTGAAGATTAGGGAAATAGTGTCTACATTTCAAAAGAGAAGACTGCTCCACAAGGAATGTACAGTTTTGATATGTGCAGGGCTCAGGTCTTCAGGGGATAAATAAGTTCCTAAATGCGCCATCAACAGGAATTTCCTTCAGGATAAATAGGAAAAGAACATTTAGGCTTTTTAATTAAAATTTTATTTTACATGTTTTTAAAATTCACAATAGATATTTTATCCTAAAATAAAGTAAAACCGAGAGGTGACAGCGTGCTGGCAGTCCTCACAGCCCTCGCTTGCTCTCCCCGCCTCCTCTGCCTGGGCTCCTACTTTGGCGGCACTTGAGGAGCCCTTCAGCCCTCCGCTGCACTGTGGGAGCCCCTTTCTGGGCTGGCCAAGGCCGGAGCCCTCTCCTTCAGCTTGCGGGGAGGTGTGGAGGGAGAGGCGCGAGCGGGAACCGGGGCTGTGTGCCGCGCTTGCCGGCCAGCTGGAGTTCCGGGTGGGCGTGGGCTTGGCGGGCCCCGCACTCGGAGCAGCCGGCCAGCCCTGCTGGCCCCTGGCAATGAGGGACTTAGCACCCGGGCCAGCAGCTGCGGAGGGTGTACTGGGTCCCCCAGCAGTGCCAGCCCACCAGCGCTGCGCTCGATTTCTCACCGAGCCTTAGCTGCCTTCCCGCGGGGCAGGGCTGGGGACCTGCAGCCCGCCATGCCTAAGCCTCCCACCCACTCCAAGGGCTCCTGTGCGGCCCGAGCCTCCTCGACGAGCACCACCCCCTGCTCCACGGCGCCCAGTCCCATCGACCACCCAAGGGCTGAGGAATGCAAGCGCACCGTGCGGCACTGGTAGGCAGCTCCACCTGCAGCCCCGGTGCGGGATCCACTAAGTGAAGCCAGCTGGGCTCCTGAGTCTGGTGGGGACGTGGAGAGTCTTTATGTCTAGCTCAGGGATTGTAAACACACCAATCAGCACCTTGTGCCTAGCTCAGGGTTTGTGAGTGCACCAATCCACACTCTATCTAGCTGCTCTGGTGGGGCCTTGGAGAACCTTTATGTCTAGCTCAGGGATTGTAAATACACCAATCGGCACTCTGTATCTAGCTCAAGGTTTGTAAACACACCAATCAGCACCCTGTGTTTAGCTCAAGGTTTGTGAATGCACCAATCTACACTCTGTATCTAGCTGCTCTGGTGGGGCCTTGGAGAACCTT
Source organism: Homo sapiens (assembly GCF_000001405.40). Classification (NCBI taxonomy): domain Eukaryota; kingdom Metazoa; phylum Chordata; class Mammalia; order Primates; family Hominidae; genus Homo; species Homo sapiens. Next base: position 2,678,677 of record NT_113891.3, read on the forward strand.
TGTGTCCATACTGTGTATCTAACTAATCTGATGGGGACTTGGAGAACCTTTGTGTCTAGCTCAGGGATTGCAAACGCACCAATCAGCACCCTGTCAAAACAGACCACTCGGCTCTACCAATCAGCAGGATGTGGGTGGGGCCAGATAAGAGAATAAAAGCAGGCTGCCCGAGCCAGCAGTGGCAACCCAGTCGGGTTCTCTTCCACACTGCTAAAGCTTTGTTCTTTCGCTCTGCAATAAATCTTGCTACTGCTCACTCTTTGGGTCCATAGTGCTTTTATGAGCTGTAACACTCACTGTGAAGGTCTACAGCTTCACTCCTGAAGCCAGCAAGACCAAAAGCCCACCGGGAGAAACAAACAACTCCAGACGTGCCGCCTTAAGAGCTATAACACTGACCGCAAAGCTCTGTAGCTTCACTCCTGAGCCAGCGAGACCACGAACCCACCAGAAGGAAAAAACTCCGGACACGTCCGAACATCAGAAGGAACAAACTCCAGACGCGCCACCTTAAGAGCTGTAACACTCACCGCGAGGGTCCACAGTTTCATTCTTGAAGTCAGTGAGATCAAGAACCCACCAATTCCGGACACAAAACTTGCTTAATTACAGAAAATATGAAAAGTATATAAAAGCAGGGTCTCACTCTGTCGTCCAGGCTGGAGTGCAGTGGTGTGATCACGGCTCACTGCAACCTCAAACTCCTGGTCTCACACGATCCTCCTGCCTCGCCTCCGAAAACTCTAGTTTTACAGATATGAACCATAGCGCTAGCTCTTACTGTCTTTCTTCAACACGTCCTCCCATCCTTCCCTCCTTTCTCCACTCTGCATTTGACCCCGGTGTATTCCAGCCTCCAGGCCAACACACGTGACCACGTCTGCCTGGGGCAGTTGAAGTAAAGGACGCGAGGCGGCGCTGTCACCGCATTCTGTGAACCGCAGCGCTCTGGGTCCCTCCCGCTGGTCTAGTATCATTTCAGTGAACGTCACTCTACATTTTTTGTGTGTGTGTGAGATGGAGTCTCTGTCGCCCAGGCTGGAGTGCAGTGGCGCGATCTCGGCTCCCTGCAAGCTCCGCCTCCCGCGTTCAAGCCATTTTTCTGCCTCAGCCTCCGAGTAGCTGGGACTACAGGCGCCTACCACCACACCCGGCTAATTTTTGTATTTCTAGTAGAGAAGGCTTCACCATGTTGGCCAAGCTGGTCTCGAACTCCTGACCTCAAGTGATCCGCCCGCCATGGTCTCCCAAAGTGCCGGGATTACAGGCGTGAGCCACCGCGCTCGGCTGTCACTGCAGACTTTGATGGGGGCCACACTCGGGGTATAAATTAGGATCCTCACTGAAAGGGCGGGACCATGGAGGCTTTTTCTTGGCCCCTTAGTTGTGGGTTTTCCTCTGGGCGGCGAAGCCAGTTTCCATCAGAACTGCCCAGAGGCGGGCGCTGCCTTCCTGGGGTGACGCAGCAGCAGGAAGAGTTTCCGGATCCTGGAATCCGTGGGCGGCCCGTGGGAGGGGCTGAGGCTCATTTCTCTACTCACCTGTCTCCGAATCCGCCGTGGTGTTTCAAGCGAGTCAAGATTCCAGATCGCGCCCCAGGCTGGACTCGGAATTACTGCCCCGCGGGTCTGCATTTTCACAGCGGCAGGTGTGAGTTCCCCGCCGCTGGAGACCAGAAGCCTGAAGGCAGCTCCGCCCACCCCAGCCCACAGCGCCGTTATTCCGTTTCTATATCAGTAAACACTTGTCATTTTCCGTAGACCAGGGCGGGGTGACGGGTGATCCCAGTCCTCGCAGTGAACTCTGGGGCGCAGAATTCAAAACGCTTGCGGTCGCCGAGCGCAGCCCCGCCCTGGGTTATGTAAGTGACAGCGCTGGGCCGTTTCTCTTTTTTTTCCGGACCCCGCAGTGGCGCCTAAAGTCTGCAAGGAGGAGGTCGCCTCTGTGCTGTGAGTCCAGGAATCTAAGGCGAGTGCTGAGGGAGAAAATGTAGTTGATGGGGCAGAGCAGAAGGGGCTGTAGGTGGGTTGGAGGGGGAGGGGAACGGGCAGCCAGGCCTGGACCCTGGGGAGTGACTCACCCGGAGCCGAAGACCATCTCAGCTTTCCCTAGCCCAGAAAGGGTGGGACTGGCTTTATTTCTGCCTGCCATCACCTCAAAATGCCGTGGGACAAATCTTACATATTATTATTGTTATTTATTTATGTATTTTATTTTTTTTGAGACAGTCTTGGTCTGTCACCCAGACTGGAGTGCAGTGGCGCCATCTGGGCTCACTGCAACCCCCACCCCCCCGGGTTCAAGCAATTCTTCCTGCCTCAGCCTCCCAAGTAGCTGCGATTGCAGGCACCCCCCACCACGCCCGGCTGATTTTTATATTTTTAGTAGAGACGGGGTTTTGCCATGTTGTCCAGGCTAGTCTCGAACTCCTGACCTTAGGTGATCCACCCGCCTCGGCCTCCCAAAGTGCTGGGATTACAGGTGTAAGCCACCGCGCCTGGCCGGGAAATATCTCTTACAGAAATAAAGGCAGTTGGCTGGGTGTGGTGGCTCACCTGTAATCCTAGCACTTTGGGAGGGTGAGGCAGGCAGATGGTTTGAGCCTAGGAGTTTAAGACCAGCCTGGGCAAAATGGTGAAACCCCTTCTCCACCAGAAATACAAAAAATTAGCCAGGTGAGGTGGCTCATGCCTGTAGTCCCAGCTACTCCGGAAGCTGAGGTGGGAGGATCACCTGAGCCTGGGGAGGTCGCGGCTGCAGTGAGCCATGATTAACCCACAACTGCACTCCGCCTGGGTGACAGAGTGAGGCCCTGTGTCAAAAAATAAGAAAGAAAGAAGAGAGAGAGAGAGGAAGGGAGGGAGGGAGGGAGTTGAGGTTCAGAATATGTAACAGTGTTTATTGCTATACTCCATTCAATGGACTATGGACTATTATGCAGTGATTTAAAAGTAGGAGTTTGGGCTCACACCTGTAATCTCAGCATTTGGGAGGCTGAGGTGGGCGGATCACTTGAGGTCAGGAGTTCGAAACCAGCCTGGTCAACATGGTGAAACCTCGTTTCTACTAAAAATACAAAAATTACCCTGGCATGGTGGCACACGCCTGTAATCTCAGTTACTTGGGAGGCTGAGGCAGGAGAATCACTTGAACTTGGGAGATGGAGGTTGCAGTGAGCTGAGATTGCATCACTGCACTCCAGCCTGGGGGACAAGAGCAAAACTCCGTCTCAAAAAAAAAAAAGATATTTCCCACCTTGGATTGCTGGGTCGGGGGGTGGTGGGTATTTTCATTCATAATTGTCAGATTACTTTCATAAACAATGGAAACAGTTTCAGGCTCCTCAGCTTCTCACCTCCAAAATGGGCCTTTTCCTGTATCATTAACAGTCCTCAATGTTCTGGCTAATCAACTGAGCGACTGTTTATAGATTTGCAGGCCATTTGGATTTACAATTAATCTTATTAATGAGGCTGAAATGTGAAGTTTATCTCAGCCTCAAAGAAGTAATTCAGCAAGGATCAGTGGTTTCACTTAACAGTCTGGCTCTGAGGCTGGCTGTGGCCCTGTTATCCATGGTGAGCACCATGGGAATGCAGGCAAGGGCTGTGAGAGGCTTGGAACAAGGCTCCACCCAGGAGAGATCTGGGTGGGCGTTGGTGACCAGTAGAACCTAGGTGTCCTGGGCCAGTGCCCTTGGAGACTAGTCTTCTTTACCCCAGGCATCTTCTTTATTCTGGAATGAGCCTGCCCATCCCTCAGGAAGACTGAAAGGAATTCGGTCAGAAGAATATTATTGACTTTTATCCAGACTTGATTTCAGTAGAGTTCTGGGACCTGCCATATCCTATGGGTGAGCTCTATCCAGGTCCCCTTCCCTGAATTACCTGTCCTCTCCCCACTGACTGGGATGACACCTAATTTTACAACCTGCTGTAGCATCTTTGCTCCCACTGTGACAGTAAACTCCTTGAGACTGGTGGCCATCTTGGGAAGTGATTAGATTCAGAAGAGGTTGAGAGGTTGGGGCCCCCATGATGGGATTAGTGTCCTTTTAAGAAAAAGAAGAGACTGGAGCTCCCACTCTCTTCACCACGTGAGGATATGGCAAGAAGGCAGCTGTCTGCCAGGCAGGAAGAGGGCCCTCACCAGGAACTGAATCTGCTGGTTCCCTAACCTCAGATTTCCAGGGTCCAGAATTGTGAGAAAGAAATGTCTGTTGTTAACCAATCCATCTGTGGTGTTTTGTTATGGCAGCACAAGCTGACTAAACAAGTGCCAAAACCAAACCAGTAACTCCCACTTTCTAGTCTCGGACCCAGTATTAAGGAATTCTGGTCACATAGTTTATTCATCCATTTAACAAATATTTAGTAAGTGCTTCTGTGCCAGGCATTTTTCTAGGCCTGGTGATCATTTAATCAAAAGAGACTAACACCTGCTCCCTGATGCTTACAATCTGAAAGACAATAAAGAAAAATATAGTAACAGTAGTGAATTATATGGATGTGTTCCAGCAATTGATTGCTGAGCAAAAAATAATCTTAACGCATACAAACGCCGGGCATGGTGGCTCACGCCTGTAATTCCAGCACTTTGGGAGGCTGAGGTGGGCAGATCACAAGGTCAAGAGTTCGAGACCAGCCTGGCCAGCATGATGAAACCCTGTTTCTACTAAAAATACAAAAATTAGCTGGGCGTGGTGGTAGGTGCCTGTAATCCCAGCTGCTTGGGAGGCTGAGGCAGGAGAATCGCTTGAAACCAGAACGTGGAGGTTGCAGTGAGCCAAGATTGTGCCACTGCACTCCAGCCTGGGTGACAGAGTGAGACTCCATCCCCCCCAAAATATATATATATGTATATATATATTATAAACAACCTTTATATTATCTCTCATTCTGTGGGCTGATTGGGCTCAGCTGGGCAGCTCTTCCGCTCCATACAACATGGGCTGGGCCACCATCATCTGGAGCCCAGCTGGTCCAACACATTCAAGAGGCTCCTGCACAGGGCTGCAGTTGGTGCTGGCTTGTTGGCTGGGAACTCACTGAGGCTGTGAACCAGGTGACTTGGTTTCTCCTCCACCTGCTCCTCCACGTGCCCTGGCTGCTTCTGGCTCTGCACCTGGGGTCCGGGTGTTTCAAGTGGCCAAGTCAGAACCACAAGGCATCTTATGCTGGAACCTCAGAAGTCAGGCAGCATCACGTTCCTCATGTTCTAGTCACCAAAGCAAGTCCCAGATCCAAAAAGGGGGATTAGCATCAGCTCTTGATAGAGGATGGCAAGGTCACATTGCTAAAGAGCATGTGGGATGGGAGATATTGTTGAGGCCATCTTTGGAAAAGGACTTTTATGTTTACAAAGTGATAGGTGATAAAAAGAAAAAATAGGCCAGGTGCGGTGGCTCACGCCTGTAACCCCAGCACTTCGGGAGACCGAGATGGGTGGATCACGAGGTCAAGAGATCGAGACCATCCTGGCCAATATGGTGAAACTCTGTCTCTACTTAAAAATACAAAAATTAGCTGCGTGTGGTGGCGTGCACCTGTAGTCCCAGCTACCCTGGAGGCTGAGGCAGGAGAATCGCTTGAACCCAGGAGGTGAAGGTTGCAGTGAGCCAATATCGCACCACTGCCCTCCAGCCTGGTGACAGAGCAAGACTCCACCTCAAAAAAAAGAAAAAAAGTAAAAAAAAAAATGCAAAGTTGACAATCAATGCAAAGTAATAGAGGTGGCATTTTAAGTAGGGTGGTCAGGGTGGGCCTCATGAAGGTGCCATTTGAGCAGACTTGAAGAGGAGAGAAACTGAGACACGCAGGTATGTGCAAAGGAAGAACCTTCCAGAATCACCCTCATGTACACCTATGCTCTGTACATACCCAGGGCTCTGCACTGAGGCAGACCCTAAAGCTGCAGTGGGAATGGAGGTGGACACACTTATGGAAAGACTTCTTCAAAGAATGTTGGGGACCCAGGTCTACCCTTCCTGCTGTGGCTCTTATACGACCTGGAGTTGGGGAGGGAAAGGCACTGGCATGTGGAGGAAGACTAGGAGAGGAGGGGAGGCCAAAGCGTGTCCCACCCTCACTCCACCTCTCTGCTCTCTGTCTCCTACATCGAGTGCCTCCTTCCCCAGGGCTTGTGGTCCCTGACAAGGAGGACCCTGAGGGCAACCACACCTTGCCATGCAGAGCACCTGGCTTCTCATCTGCCAAGCTCACTCTGACCCGGCTGCAGGAAGGGAAGGAGCCAACCCCGGACTCAAGACTCAAGGGGACCAGAACCAGGGAGATGAGACATACCAGGGCTGGGCAGCTGTGGGGGTCCTTCCAGAGAGGAGCTGAGATACGCCTACCTGGAGGGGCCCCTGGGCCTGGAGGGGCTCCTCAGTGTGACTGGGTGAAGTGTTTTCAGAGGACCAGGGTTGAGGTTGGGGGCATCTCATCCAGACCCTGCCGGCATCTGCCCCAGAACCCAAGGGCCCCTCCTTCCTCCCTCCTCAATGGAAATGCTGGAGATGTCCTCAGTCACCCTCTGAGCACTCACACATCACCCCTTATTTGGAAATTTTTCTCACTCTAACCTTCCTTCCTGCCGCACCTTCTGCCCCATCCCCAGGCTCTGGCCTCTCTCTCTCCTCTTCTACCCTTTAGCAGGTAATGACTCAGTTCCCACTGAGGAGCCAGCTGTAGGTGAGAGTTTGGGCTCTCGGTGAGGTTGGGAGAAGGAAAAGGCTTATGGGCCAGGGGGTGGGAGGGAGAATGGGCACAGCCAGAGCAGAGTGGAAGGGTTGGGGGAGGCGATAAAGACAGATGTTTCCGTATTACCATTTTTCTTTCATGGTCCGAGGGAGCTGCCCTTCCCCCAAGCCCAGGAAAGTGAAAAGAGAAGCAGGAACAGTAAAATACTCCACAGGAAAGAAAAATCTTAGTGATCCCTCCTGCTGTCTCTTTCCTTTTGCCTATTCTGGCAAATTTTGTAAGTGAAATTTGTTACCAAGATGTGAAAATCTTATAAGAAAGTCTCTAAATATTTGAGAATAAAATTATCAATGTCTCAGCTCTGCAGGCTGAAAAAACGGAGGCTTTACAAAATAAAATCATGCTTGGAAAACTTCTCCTCTGAGGGATGTCAAAGGCTGCACTGAATAAGCTCTAAGGTGGTGCTGAAATGAGTCATTTATTTGCCTGTGTAAGCTCAGGCAGGTGTTGGAATTGAGGAAGTATAGGTAATGAAAAAAGTAAACATGTCCTCGGGACATAGCGACTGGTGATGACCACACAATCAACACAATAAACTCTAGCATTCACATTGTAGTCCAGCTCATTCAAGCAAAGCTATCTCCAATAGGGAGTTTACCCTGTACAGAACACGTGCATTTCCACCTGTTCTCAGACTGACCCTTTGCTCATCACAATAGTGAAAAAAAACACAGCCCTGGGTGGAGATTTAAGATGCTAATGAGTCATGAGATGTATGAACAAGCATGTACAGCTACTGCACACGTGCACCCAGAAGACCGCCCAGAACATGCTTGCTAGTAACACCTCTTCCCACCCACCTCCTGTGAATAATCATGTAAGACTCCCATAAAGGGAGTTTCTCCAGCAGTGATCAATGCTGTCTCATCCTTAGGAGCAGCCCACCCTGAATCCTCTCAGGGTGTACAGTTTATTTTGCACTTAACTTTCAAAATAATATTTTTCCTTTGTAATAAATTGCTTTGTACTTCATCTCCTTTGCTGCGTGTTTCTTGTTTAAATTCTTTTAAATGAAGAAGTCAAGAACCAAGGTATTACAACAGCCGTCAACATTTCCGGTGCCATGACTCAGAGGTTTGTCTGCTTCGTTGGTTTCAGTTTCCCTTCACTACTGGTGAGTACTATGGCAGCCAGAGACCCCTGATTGACTATCACTGCTTTCCCCAGATCTATTAAGGTTTTGGGGGAGGACCTTTTAACTCACTCACATTCTTTGAGCAACTAATTGTGATTGCTTTCCATTTGGCTGCTGCTTTTACAGTGTTTACAATTACCTTATTTGGATGGAACGCCCTGATTATTCAGCCTTGGGACTTTTGCTGCTTCTGTTTCACTTTTTGTTTTGCTGTTCCTCCCAGGACTGCACCTGATCTGTACCTACTGGCTATTGTAACTTTTTTTTTTTTTTTTTTTTTTTTGAGACAAGAGTCTCACTCTGTCACCCAGACTGGAGTGCAGTGGCTCTATCTCGGCTCACTGCAACCTCCACCTCCTGGGCTCAAGCGATTCTCCTGCCTCAGCCTCCCAAGTAGCTGGGATTACAGGCGTGCACCATCACGCCCGGCTAATTTTTGTATTTTCAATAGAGTCGGGGTCTCACCATACTGGCTCAGCTGGTCTCGAACTCCTGACCTTATGATCAGCCCACCTTGGCCTCCCAAAGTGCTGGGATTACAGACATGAGCCACCGCGCCCAGCACTTGTTTGTTAATCAAGTAATCTCTTCAAAGATTTTTGTTCACCTTGAGGGACACATTAGATCTACTTTTGCCAACAGTCCCCATTCCTCCAGGCTCTGTGTGTTCTGAGACTCCTCTGAGTCTCAGAGGAGTGTGTTCTGAACGTCTCCTCTGAGAACAGGAGACGTTCCAAGAGGCCATCCATGTTGAGTGCAGGATGTGTGGCCACATGGATGTGTAGTCATGGGGACTATAACCAGGCATTCCAAGCATGATGACTGGACATTAAAAATGGCAGATCAGTGAAATAAGGAAGGGCTTGTTGGTGAGACATCCAGGCTCCCCGGCTGGCAGCAGAGATCACTTCAGTTCAGCTTGGAGACGTCCAGCACCAGTGAGACCTAGAATGGTGCATGGCAAATGCCCATGACCTCCTAGGGCCTCAGTTTCATGGGGATTCAAGGGAACACCCTGGACTCCATCGTCCAGCTTAGCTCACAGGGATGCCGATGACCTCCTGGATTTTGGTACATGTTTCTGTGGTTGCAGGATTCTCTTGTTACCTAGAAAGCCACCTCCTCTACTGTCACTGAAACACCTCTAGGGTATATACTAAACATTGGAATATTTTGAAACTGTATAAATTAAAAGATAATAGGTGGGTGCGATGGCTTACACCTGTAATCTCAGCACTTTGCGAGGCCGAGGTGGGCAGATCACCTGAGGTTGGGATTTTGAGACCAGCCTGACCAACATGGAGAAACCCCATCTCTACTAAAAATACAAAATTAGCTGGGCATGGCGGCACATTCCTGTAATCCCAGCTACTCGGGAGGCTGAGGCAGGAGAATTGCTTGAACCAGGAGGCGGAGGTTGCAGTAAGCCGAGATTATGCCATTGCACTCCAGCCTGGGCAACAAGAGCAAAACTCCGTCTCAAAAAAAAATTTTTTTTAAATAAATATAATAAACAATTGCCAAAGAGTAAAACTATTGATACAATCCTCACCACTTTAAGGCTTAAGGTTTTCTTTTCCATCACTGAGTCTCTCCCTTTCCTCTCATTCTTCCACTTACAAATCTCCAAAACAATTCTCACGCACTGTGACTTTGCTCCCTTCAGCTGATTTATCAGTTCATCCTGATAGCCTGATAGGTGACAAGCAGAGGTGAGGACTTCAAAGTTCACACCAAGTAGATCTAGTTCACTGTGGCCCTCCTTGACAGGAGGTTTGTGAAGCTGGCAGGGCTTCCGTCCAGGCTGTGCACTGTCTGGGAATCCTCATTTGCAATGTCTGGAGATCTTCATTTTTCTTACTACTAACAATCATCTTGTTATGTTTGCACTTCTTTGCATTTCACCCCTTTTGAATTCTGTCCTTCCATGAAAATTTATTGTCCTTTTTGATCCATCTGTATTCACAGACTTTCATTTGCTTTCTTTTTCTCTCTAACCCGTAAGACTGATAAAAATTGTCCTAAAGTTTCTTTCTTTCTGCTTTGTGTGTCAGGGCTCCTCTGCCTTTGGTGAGAGCAGAGTTTTATCTTTACCGGAAGAAAACTTTTTTTTTTTTTTTTGAGATGAAATCTCACTCTGTCACCCAGGCTGGAGTGCAGTGGCCCGATCTCAGCTCACTGCAACCTCCACCTCCCTGGTTCGAGCAATTCCCCTGCCTCAGCCTCCCGAGTAGCTGGGACTACAGGTGTGTGCCACCACGCCTGGCTAATTTTTTTGTATTTTTAGTAGAGATGGGGTTTCACCATATTGGCCAGACTGCTCTGGAACTCCTGACCTCAGGCAATCTGCCTGCCTCAGCCTCCCAAAATGCTGTGATTACAGGTGTGAGCCACAGTGCCCAGCCCTGGAAGAAAACTAATTGCTGGGTGAAATATATTTTCTACCAAATTCCCCTTACGAGACCTAGAAAGCCTAATGAACATAGCTACTTACATGTCCTAAGCTGTTATTTTAAGGCCAAAATTAAAACATTAAGGGCACATATAAGGTTGGCCATTACTAACCTGAAAAAAAAGATAAATAAATTTCCATGATTAGGTCTTTTCAACACTGCATAGTCCCAAACAATACTGTTTTACAATTAGAGTTTTTGTTGTTGTTGCTGTTTTTAAATAAAAAGAAAGGAAGTTTGGGTGCAGTGGCTCATGCCTGTAATCCCAGCACTTTGGGAGGCCAAGGCGGGCAGATCACGAGGTCAGGAATTTGAGACCAGCCTGGCCAATATGGTGAAACCCCGTCTCTACTAAAAATACAAAAATTAGCTGGGCATGGTGGCACGTGCCTGTAGTCCCAGCTACTCGGGAGGCTGAGGCAGGAGAATCACTTGAACCTGGGAGGCAGAGGTTGCAGTGAGACAAGATTCAGCCACTGCACTCTAGCCTGGGTGACAGAGAGAGACGCCATCTCAAAAAAAAAAAAAAAAAAAAAAAAAAAAAAGAGGATGATCAGGGATTTTCCAAGGGCCCAGGGGAACCTGACATTATTCCCCCTACTAACCAGACAGCTCTATACTAAGACCAGTCCCTTAGAGACTGATACCAAATCTATTATGCTCATGTTATTCAAAAGAATTTGGGAGGCCGGGCGCAGTGGCTCACGCCTGTAATCCCAGCACTTTGGGAGGCCGAGGCAGGTGGATCATGAGGTCAGGAGTTCGAGACCAGCCTGACCAACATGGTGAAACCCCATCTCTACTAAAAATACAAACATTAGCCAGGCGTGGTGGCTTGCACCTATAATCCCAGCTACTCAGGAGGCTGAGGCAAGATAATCACTTGAACGTGGGAGGCGGAGGTTGCAGTGAGCCGAGATCGCACCACTGCACTCCATCCTGGGTGACAGAGCGAGACTCTGTCTCAAAAAAGAATTTGGGGAAATCTAACATAATTAATGACTCTATAATAAGAAATATACCAGCTGGGTGCAACAGTGGCCCTTTGGGAGGCCAAGGTGGGTGGATCACTTGAGGTTAGGAGTTCGAGACCAGCCTGGCCAACATGGTGAAACCCTGTCTCTACTAAAAATAAAAAAATTAGTCGGGTGTGGTGGCGCAGGCCTGTAATCCCAGCTACTTAGGAGGCTGAGGCAGGAGAATCACTTGAGTCCAGGAGGCGGAGGTTGCAGCGAGCTGAGATCATACCACTGCACTCCTGCCTGGGTGATGAGTGAGACTCTGTCTCAAAAAAAAAAAAAAAAAAAAGAAAGAAAAATACCTCCTACCAACAACTTTCCTCCCTTACAATCTAGTCCAGGGTTACTCTTCAAACCTCTTAAGCTTCTACTCCTGTAGTCCTTCCTCACTTGACACACAGTCTTCTGCACCCCGTCCTTATCAGCTTGTTCACCAAACACTCCCTAAAGAGCCCAGTCCTGCTGGGACAACTCATAGCAGAGTATCCTATTGCCCCCCTAAAACAAAAAGCAACCTACTCTCACTCTCTATCTGTATCTCCCTCTCTCAGGTAACACACAGAACAACAACCAAATCCTCTTAGAGACCTACTTCATGAGTCAGTCTGTCCCAGATATCAGGAAAAAGTCACAAAACTAGTCATAAATCCCCAAGTCCCAATAAATGAACTGCTAAACCTAACTTTTGGTGTCTTTAATTACCAAGACAGAGTGGAAAAGGCACATAGAGATCAAAGGGAAGAAAAGAGAGACAAAAGATAGTCCCAATTTTTGGCCTTCACTCACTATGCGAAAACTCCCACCTCCAGGTCATCCTGAGTGGAACCCAAGGGCTATTCCTGCACTTATAAAAAGCCTGGACACCGGAGCTAAGTAAGTAACAAAGGCCTTCAGGCTTGCAAACCCTCTGGAGCCTGTCATCAATGTGACAAAGAAGGGCAATGGAAGAAGGACTGTCTCCAACTCTGAAGGGAGGAGGGACTCCTAATTCCTTATTGTCCCTGGCTAAAGACTAAAGAGACCAAAGGCAAAAAACAGCTCCTATGTGGCAATCAGCCCCAGTCACAGCAATGGAGCCTCGGATGACCCTGGACATGACAGGCAAAAATATCAATATCCTTTTAAAGACAGAGGCTGGCCTGTCAGTTCTCACTGTCTGCCCTGGGCCTCTGTCTACCAAACACGACACTGTCATTGGTGTTAATAGCAAACTCCAGACTAGGATTTTCACTCTACCATGCAGCTGACCAACTTCTGCTGCAGTAAAACTTAGGGGTGTAGGCCTTTGGTGTGTTTATCAAAAATAAAAAATGATTCCTTTTAAGTCATCACAGAAACTTGAAACAAAGACTCCAAGCTATTCCTATGAAGCACTGGAGGATCTAAGGCTCCTGTCCAAAAACAGCCAAGACCCAAAACATCAGGCAATTAATGTTGCCTCAGCATAAGCTTCTATTCAAGAAAACAACTCACAGTGAAATGTGATGTTTTTATTTTTTTCTTATTTATTTACTGTATTTTAGGCGCTTTTAGTAAAACGACCTTATCTGCTAAAGAAATAATAAATCATACTACTAATTTATAAAAATTAACTCAGTCTTGCTGGCTTTGCATGACTACCAAAATTTAAAAATGTGCAAAACCTGTTTCTCGGGAAGAATGGGCCAACATTCCTATACACCTCCTGGAACAAACTTTGGACCATAATGTGGAAATATCTGACTAAACAAACAATACAAAGAGAGTTCCTTGGACCTGGCCACTGCCAGTTCAAACTTCCATTTTTATCTATGAATAATAGCTTCACTCTGCCAAGGGGAAAATTGCTTTCTTACCTTGCTTTTTACCCAGAGCAATTCCCCTTCTGCCTTTACAGCAACCATGCCAGTTTCACTCCTTTTATAGAAAAACTCCACAAGAGAGTCAGTATATCTAAACCTTTCTCACAGAATCATTTATACACCTCATGATAGAACCCTAAAGGGGGAACTTTATTTCAAAAAGCTTATTAACACCACTCAACTCTACCATCCTCTAATTAGTCCAGTGACCACCAAATTTCCATTACTTTTACCACCTCGATGCAAAATGCTTTTGCAGCACAAATTTCACCATCACATATAATTTGCTTGTGTTGGCCGGGCGCAGTGGCTCACGCCTGTAATCCCAGCACTTTGGGAGGCTGAGGCGGGTGGATCACGAGGTCAGGAAATTGAGACAATCCTGGCCAACATGGTGAAACCCTGTCTCTACTAAAAATACAAAAATTAGCTAGATATGGTGGCATGTGCCTGTAATCCCAGCTACTCAGGAGGCTGAGGCAGGAGAATCGCTTGAACCAGGGAGTCGGAGGTTGCAATGAGCTGAGATCGCACTACTGTACTCCAGCCTGGCGACAGAGTGAGACTGTCTCAAAAAAAAAAAAAAAAAAAAAAGAATTTGTTGGTATTTGTGGATCTTCAGCACGTCTACAACTCCCTCCACAATGGAAGGGACGATGTCCCATAGTTTACATTTCCCCTTATCTACCTTTTGCATTGGCTAACAAATCTCTCCCTTTCCCCATGTACCAACATCACAAGATCCACCGCTGAGCAGGATTCCTTGTTCCCTTGGGATTAGTGCTATCCTCTCTATCGGGACTAGCAGAGCCAGCCACAGAGACAGAGCCTTGGGAACCCAGCATAAACTGTCTCAGGAGACCAGAGTGGCCCTCTGACAAACAGCAGAGAGCCTCACTAGACTTCAGCAACAGCTGGACTTCCTGGCAGTCCTACAAAACCGAAGAGCCTTAGACCTTCTCACAGTTGGACAACGAGGAACATGTTTGTATCTAGAAGAAGAATGTTGTTTTCGCATCAATCAAATTACAAATATATATTAATAGCATTTTCTTGGAATAAGAAAATCATTACCCAGGCAGACAAAATTGAATATTTAGGAGCTTCCGTGGGAACTTGGAAGCAATGGCTGTTTTCTGCCTTGCTCCCTTTAACAATGCCAGTCATTACCATATGTTTAGCTCTAACTTTTGGTCCAACTTTGTTTAAAATGCTGATTTCCCAGCCTGGCCAACATGTCGAAACACTGTCTCTACTAAAAATACAAAAAATTAGCCAGGTGTGGTGGCAGGCGTCTGTAATCTCAGCTACTTGGGAGGCTGAAGCAAGAGAATTACTTGAACCTGGGAGGCAGAGGTTGCAGTGAGCTGAGAGCTGAGATCACTCCATTGCACTCCAGCCTGGGCATCAGAGCCAGACTGTCTCAAAAAAAAAAAAAATTGCTGATTTCTTGCTTTGTCACCTACAGCAAATCCCGGTTCATGTGATGGTTTTGCAAGGCTTCCAACCTTTGGCTGCTAATGAGCTATCTCACATCTTGCCCACCAGTCCCCTGAAAGACATGGCTTACACACTGTTAGACTAGGCAGGAAAAGACTTCAGGGCCCAGGTTAGGCAAGGACAATGCCGCACTCAGCAGGAAGCAGCTCTGGAAGAAATGACCTAGCCTCTCATCCTCCCGTATGATTATGGGTCCTAAGATCTTTTAGGGAGGAATTGAGGCAGGATAGGGAGTCAAGGAAGTAACTGTGTCCTTGGGATGCAGCAACAGTGATAACCATACAGTCAACACAATAAGCTCCAGCATTCACATTGTAGACCAGCTCATTCAAGCAAAGCTATCTCCAGTAGGGAATTTACCCTGTAGAGAGCATGCGCATTTTGATTTTACCTACCGTCAAACTGACCCTTAGCTCATTACAATAGTAAGAAACACACACCTGGGTGGAGATTTAAGATGCTTATGAGACATAAGATGCATGAACAAGCATGTATAGCTACTGCACATGTGCATCCAGAGGACCACCCACCCAGAGGACCACCCAGAACATGCTGACTAGTAACACCTCTTCCCACCTCCTTATGAATAATCATGTAAGACCCCCATAAAGGGAGTTTCTGCAGCAATAATCAATGCTGTCTCATCCTTAGGAGCAGCCCACCCTGAATCCTCTCTCTCAGGGCATACTATCTATTCTGCACTTAACTTTCAAAATATCATTTTTCCTTTGCAATAAATTGCTCTGTACTGCATCTCCTTTGCTGTGTGTCCCTTGTTTACATTCTTTTAAATGAAGAAGACAAAGACAGAGGTATCACAGATGTCATCAACAGAACCTCTATGTCCTCCTTAGGAAAGTGAAATGAGCACCCAATGCCCAGATTTTGGTTATAATACATCAATCTCCAATAGAAGGAACCAGGGCTCCTTAGAAAAATAGCTGATTCTAGGGGTGAAGTAGGAAAAATACAAGATAAGCCTGGAACATCTTGAAATGCTACAAAAGAACTGGGCATGGTGGCTCACGCCTGTAATCCCAGCACTTTGGGAGGCTGAGGCAGGCGAATCACAAGGTCAGGAATTCGAGACCAGCCTGGTCAACATGGTGAAACCCCATCTCTACTAAAAATACAAAAAATTAGCCAGGCGTAGTGGTGGGCACCTGTAATCTCAGCTACTCGGGAGGCTGAGGCAGGAGAATAGCTTGAACCTGGGATGCAAGACCAGGAAGACTCAATATTGTTAATATGTCATTTCTTCCCAACCTGATCTATAGAATCAATGCAATCCCAGTCAAAACCCCAGGACGTTATTTTGTGTATACTCACAAGCTGATTTAAAAATTTATATGGAGAGGCCGGGCACAGTGGCTCATGCCTGTAATCCCAGCACTTTGGGAGGCCGAGGTGGGCAGATGACCTGAGGTCAGGAGTTCAAGACCAGCCTCGCCAACATGGTGAAACCCCGTCTCTACTAAAAATACAAAAATTAGCTGGGTGTGGTGGCGGGTGCCTGTAATCCCAGCTACTTGGGAGGCTGAGGCAGGAGAATCGCTTGAACCCAGGAGGTGGAGGTTGCAGTGAGCTGAGATTGCACTCCAGCCTGGGCAACAGGAGCGAAACTCTGTCTCAAAAAAACAAAAAACAAACAAACAAAAAAGGTTTATATGGAGAGGCAAAAGGCCTAGCCAGCACAATATAGAAGGAAAACAAAGTCAAAGTACTGCCACACCTGACTTCAAGACTTTCTATAAAACTGCAGTAATCCAGACAGATAATTGGTATAGTCATTGCTGGAAGGAGTATGAAGGTTCCTCAAAAAATTAAAATATAGAACTACCATATGATCCAGCAATCCTACCACTGAATATATATTCAAAGGATATAAAATCTGTGTGTCAAAGAGATGTCTGCACTTCCATGTTCATTGCAGCATTATTCTTTCTTCTTTCTTTAGAGTTAGGGTGTCACTGCATTGCCCAGCTTGGTCTCAGAATCCTGGCCTTAAGTGGTCATCTTGCCTCAGCCTCCTGAGTAGCTGGATTCCATGTGCGAGCCACCACACCTGGCTGCAGTGTTATTCTCAAGAGCCAAGATATGGAATCAACCTAAGTATCCATTAATGGATGAATGTATAAAGAAAATGTGGTATATATACACAGTGGGATACTATTCAGTCAACAACATGAATGAACCTAGAAGACATTATGTTAAGTGAAATAAGCCAGGCGCAAAAAGACAAACATGATCTCACATATATGTGGAATGTAAAAAAAGCCAAACTCATATACATGGTGAGTAAACCGGTAGTTGTCAGAGGCTGGGAGGTGGGAGGATTGGGGAGGGGTAAGCAAATGACACAAAATTTCTTTTCTTTCTTTCTTTTTTTTTTTTTAAAGACAGAGTCTCGGCTGGGCGCAGTGGCTCAAGCCTG
Source organism: Homo sapiens (assembly GCF_000001405.40). Taxonomy (NCBI): domain Eukaryota; kingdom Metazoa; phylum Chordata; class Mammalia; order Primates; family Hominidae; genus Homo; species Homo sapiens. The sequence continues at coordinate 2,695,820 of NT_113891.3, forward strand.
TAATCCTAGCACTTTGGGAGGCCGAGGCAGGCAAATTGCCTGAGCTCAGGAGTTAGAGACTAGCCTGGGCAACATGGTGAAACCCTGTCTCTACTAAAATACAAAAGAAATTAGCCGGGTGTCGTGGCATGCGCCTGTAGTCCCAGCTACTCGGGAGGCTGAGACAGGAGAATTGCTTGAACCCGGGAGGTGGAAGTTGCAGTGAGCTGAGATTGCACCACTGAACCACTGAACTCCAGCCTGGGCAACAGAGAGAGACTCTACCAAAAAAAAAAAAAAAAAAAAAAAAAGACAAGAGTCTCTCTCTGTCACCCAGTCTGGAGTGCAGTGGCATGATCTTGGCTCATTGCAGTCTCTGAATCACTCGGGTTCAAGTGATTCTTGTGCCTCAACCTCCCAAGTAGCTGGGACTATATGCATGTGACACCACATCCAGCTAATTTTTGTATTTTTAGTTTCACCATGTTGACCAGTCTGGTCTCGAACTCCTGACCTCAAGTGATCCACCCGCCTCGGCCTCCCAAAGTGCTGGGATTACAGGCATGAGCCATCATGCCCGACCAACACAAAATTTCAATTAGATAGGAAGAATAAGTTTAAGAGATCTATTGTACTTTATGGTGATTAAACTTAGTAACCACATATTGTATATTTCAAAATTATAAGATAAATTATTTGAAGCATTATTACCACAAAAAGTATGTGAGGTAATGTATATGTTAATGGCTTGCTTTAGCCATTTTACAATGTATACGTATATGAAAACATGATGCTATACACCCAAATATAACTTTTATTTGTCAACCAAAATAATTTAATTTAAAAAAGACAGTGTTGTATTGGCAAAAGAATAGACAAATAGATCAATGAAACAGAATAGAGAACCAAGAAATAGACCCACGTAAATACAGATAAAGGAGCAAAGACAATACAGTGGAGAAAAGACTGTCTTTTCAATAAATGGCACTGGAAAAACTGGACATCCACATGCAAGAAAAGTGAAATGAAAAGAGCTCTCTTGAAAGGTTGTTGTGAAGGTCATCTGTGACAGGAACAAAAAGTGCCCAGCAGGGTCTCTGACAGCAAGCTCCTACATTAATCTAATGGCTGGACTTCAATAGCCTTAGCCCCGTCTCCATAAAACTTTGCTATGAAGGCTACAATGATTCCTGTCAGTCATGCAGTCCTACTAACCTGCTGGGTAGGATACAATATCGAAGGGGCCAGTATACTGCCCTCAGGGGGCTCTGTGGCCTCTTGACCTTGTGGATGATGCTGACCATAATGTTCTGCTTGTCCCTGGCTGAAGACAGGCCCCTCCTGCAGAGGCCAGGCATGAATGCACATCTGAGTAAGACTCTATTATGACTCAAGAATAACAAACATAAATAAATAAACATGATAACATAACAAACTAGGTTTCATTTTCTGCTGCTGTAACAGAATACCACAGACTGGGCAATTTATTAAAATATGTATTTCTTACAGTTCTGGAGGCTGGGAAGTCCAAGAGCATGGTATCAGCATCTTGTGGGGGCCTTCCTGTAGTGTCATCCCATGGTGAAAGAGGTAGGGCAAAGGGGCCAAACATACTTTTTATCAGGAGCCCACTCCCACAATAATGACATTAATCTATTCAACCTAATCAACTCTTAAAGGTCTCCCCTCTTAATACTATCAGAATAGCAATTAAATGTCAACATGAGTTTTGGGGGGTCATTCAAACTGTCAGAGGCATGTGAACCAGAGCAACTCCATCTTGAATAGGGGCTGAGTAAAATAAGGCTGAACCCTACTGGGCCACATTCCCAGACGGTTAAGGCATTCTAAGTCATAGGATGAGACAGAAGGTCAGCACAAGATACAGGTCCTAAAGACCTTGCTGATAAAATGGGTTGCAGTAAAGAAGCTAGCCAAAACCCACCAAAACCAAGATGGTGATGAGAGTGACCTCTGGTCGTCCTCACTGCTACACTCCCACCAGCACCATGACAGTTTACAAATGCTGTGGCAACGACAGGAAGTTACTCTATATGGTCTAAAAAGGGAAGGCATAAATAACCCACCCCTTGTTTAGCATATCATCAAGAAATAACCATAAAGATGGGCAACCAGCAGCCCTCAGGGGTGCTCTGTTGATGGAGTAGCCATTCTTTTGTTCTTTTACTTTTCTAATAAACTTGGTTTACTTTACTCTATGGACTTGCCCTGAATTCTTCCTTGTGCAAGATCCAAGAGCCCTCTCTTGGGGTCTGAATCAAGACTCCTTTCCTGTAACAAAACCTTAGCATTAGGTAATCTGTGGTTTACTTTTTTTTTTTTTTTTTTTTGAGACAGAGTTTCTACTCTTATTGCCCAGGCTAGAGTGCAATGGCACGATCTTGGCTCAACGCAACCTCCACCTCCAGGGTTCAAGCGATTCTCCAGCCTCAGCTTACCGAGTAGCTGGGATTACAGGCATGTGCCACCATGCCTGGCTAATTTTGTATTTTTGGTAGAGATGGGGTTTCTCCATGTTGGTCAGGCTGGTCCCAACCTCAGGTGATCCTCCTGCCTTGGCTTCCCAAAGTGCTGGGATTACAGGAGTCAGCCACCGAGCCTGGCCTGGTTTATGTATATTTATCTTTATTCCTACATTTCCATGATTATGAGATTCACAGTTCATCCAATAGACTTGAACTGACCCAATGCCCAGCACTTTCTTAAGTTCTTACAGATGAACAAAGCTAATATTCACAGATTCTATTTATTTATGGCTTAGGACTACCTACTGTAAATTACTGGGGGCCAGTCCATTTTGGAGTTCATAACCTAAAGCAGAAACTCAGGTGGCTAATATGTTACTTTCATGAAGGATTGTTATGAGTGTATCATTTCAATTGTCTTGCAGAAGCCTCATTTGTTCTGTTAGATACAGTAAGTTCCTCTTCAAAGGTTCAGCTTCTTCAACTTCCTTGTTCTTTGTTTTCTATTTCTAAAACCCAACTTCCTTGTACTCTCTTGTTCCTAGTTACCCGCTCTGTAAACACCAACTCCCACCAGTTCCAATCTGTAACTTGCAGAGGGCTCTTCCTGCCTTTGCCATGCCCTGACATGTTTTGCACAGTAAAGGATGGCCTCTCTCTTCTCGCTGAAACAGCCCTTCCCGCCCTACTTACTCACACTCCTGCTCCATTTGAAATAGCCAATTGGGATCAGCTTAGATTGTGCAGTCTGACTTCAGCAAATGGGGACAGGACACAGTAGCAGGGGCTGATTGCGTTAGGGATAAAACCCGCTTCTGTCCATTGTTCGGTGTGCTCTCACAGCAGCCAGAAGTGCAAGCAGCACCCTTCTGCAGAAGTAAACTTGCCTTGCTGAGAAATGCTTTTGTTTGAGTGCTTGTCTTCTTTGCGACTCCAAGCTCTTGTTTTTTTTTTTCTAAATAGCTGCTATCTTTTTGTTTTTGTTTTTGTTTTTGTTTTTTTTGAGATGGGGTCTCACCTTGTTGCCCAGGCTGGAGTGCAATGGTGTGATCTCAGCTCATTGCAACCTTGGCCTCCTGGGTTCAAGTGATTCTCCTGCCTCAGTCTCCCGAGTAGCTGGGATTACAGGTGTGTGCCACCATGCCTGGCTAATTTTTTGTATCTTTAGTACAGATGGGGTTTCTCCATGTTGGCCAGGCTGGTCTTGAACTCCTGACCTCATGATCTGCCTGCCTTGGCCTCCCAAAGTGCTGTGATTACAGGCATGAGCCAATGTGCCCAGCCTCTTTTTTTTTTTTTTTTTTTGAGACGGAGTTTCACTCTGTTGTCCAGGCTGGAGTGCAGTGGTGTGATCTTGGCTCACTGCAACCTCTGCCTCCTGCCTCAGCCTCCCGAGTAGCTGGGATGACAGGTGCCTGCCACCATGCCTGGCCAATTTTTGTATTTTTAGTAAAGACAGGGTTTTGCCATGTTGGCAAGGCTGGTCTCCTGACCTCAGGTGATTCACCCACCTCGGCCTCCCAAAGTGCTAGGATTACAGGCATGAGCCACTGCACCTGGCCCCTTGTTTTTAATTTACAAATGTAATTAATTTAGCTTTGTAAACCAAAAAGTGACTGAGGCAGATCTCAATCAATTCGGTGTTCATTTTGCCAAGGTTGAAAATATGCTGGGGGAAAAGAAACATAAGCCACAATAGGACCTGTGACCTGTGCTTTTTCCAAGGAGGATTTTGGGACCTTCAATATTTAAAGGAGAAAGGGCAAGCAGGAGAGGAAAGAAAAAAAAAGGAAGGACAGGTAGGCAATGATGCGAGTGGTTACATACTTGTGAGGCTGTGATTAGTCCTTAGTGAATCTACATTTTACATGTGAAAAGAAGGGAGGGAGGAAGAAGTCAGTTATGCATTCACATCATGTTCAGTAAATCTATATTTTACATAAGCTAAAGTAAGCATGTAAAATTACAGTTATATGTTTGGGAACAAAAGGAAGGCAAATTTTGCATGACTCAGTTTCCAAGCTTAATTTCTTGCATAGCAGTTTGGGGTCCTGAGATTCTATTTTCTTTTCACATTTCTCCCTTGTTATTCAAAATCTTTCAGAGAAAGCATGGTAGAAGAAAATGGGTGTCTGCTCATGGGTTTAGTCTAACCTCTTCTGCTAGAATGATTTATTCCTGGAAGATTAGATCCCATGTTGCTAGGAAGGCTTATTCTTAGGGGCTTGTAAAGTCTCTTGTCCCATGGAGAAAAATAGAGGGAGGAAGAGAGAAAGAAAAAAGGGAAAGAGAGAAAGAAAAAAGGGAAAAAGAGAAACAAAAGGGAGGGACCAAGACCAGATTATAGAAACAAAGGGAATGCAATCCTGGAAAAGTAATTTAGGATATGCTACCGAGAAGTCCATACTTCAGTAGGCAGGCACAAAGGTGGGGTGTGTGAGGCTCTGATTAGTGCTCAGTGAATCTACATTTTATAGGTGAAAAGAAGGGAGTAGAGAAAAAATCTATTATGCATTTGTCTTGCACTTAGTAAGTCTACATTGTACATAAGAAAAAGTAAGCTTGTGAAAATACAGTTATCTGCAAATGCTACTATTTCTGCTATTACGCTACAAAGTTTAAATTTTCTAGCTTCAGTTTGCAGGGCTGTAAGAAAAGCACAGTTTTAATTTCTAGTGATTCCAAGTGAGAAAAATGGGAGAAATTTTTCTTTTGAAAATGTTACTTTGGAGACTTATAGCCAGGGAAGAATTCAGGATCTAGTCTGAATAAATTGTAGACAAATAGTGAAAACTGAAAAACAATGGACAAGGCTAGAATCTTATAATGAGTATACTATAATTTTCTTTGAAATAATTTTTCTCTCTCCAGTCCCCTATTTTTACCAAAATCAAAATCATAGTGGGACCAACGTATCTGCAAAATAAGTTTTAGTCTTATTATACTTGGTCTGATTATTTGCATAAAGCGCAGCAAGAATAATTATTGGCCAATAGGCTCTTTTTTTTTTTTGAGACAGAGTTTCCACTCTTGTTGCCCATGCTGAGTGCAATGGTGCAATCTCAGCTCACTGCAACCTCTGCCTCCCGGGTTCAAGCGAGTCTCCTGCCTCAACCTCCCGAGTAGCTGGGATTACAGGCATGCGCCACCAAGCCCAGCTAATTTTGTATTTTTAGTCAGGACGGGGTTACTCCATGTTTGTCAAGCTGGTCTCGAACTCCCAACCTCAGGTGATCCATCCGCCTCGGCTTCCCAAAGTTCTGGGATTACAGGCCTGAGCCACTGTGCATGGCCCTAGGCTCTTTTTGAATTGGTTTTGCTAGAGCTTTTCATAAGGAATCTCAGATTAGAGTTTTTCTTGAGTCCAGCCAAGGATTTATCTGTGCCTGCAGATACTTGTATGAATGAGGTAAATTTCTGTCTTCTCAAGGTCTCAAAATAACGTGTGGTTCTTAGGTCTGTGAGAAAGTGATATTCTTACTTACTACCTGTCAGGAACCCTGTAAAGGAAATGCGTAGACAAAGTATGAGGTCAGTTTTTCCAAGGGTTTTTTTTTTTTTTAATCAGTTCTATAACATCAATCTCAAGTTCTCAAAGCAGTCTGCTTATATCTTAAAATATGGCATTCTAGCCAAAGCCTTGGTAAAATAATCAGTGTCAAAATTATGTCCTGTTAAGAAAGAAAACAGATTTTTATTAAACTCATGCAACTAAGTATATTGCCATAAATCATGAATACTCAGAAATAAGGCCAGGCGTGGTGGCTCATGCCTGTAATCCCAGCACTTTGGGAGGCTGAGGCAGGCAGATCATGAGGTCAGGAGATCGAGACCAGCCTGACCAACATGGTGAAACCCTGTCTCTACTAAAAATACAAAAATTAGCCAGGCGTGGTGGCGGGTGCCTGTAATTCCAGCTACTCAGGAGGCTGAGACAGGAGAATCACTTGAACCCGGGAAGCAGACATTGCAGTGAGCTGAGATCGCCCCACTGCACTCCAGCCTGGGAGATAGAGCAAGACTCCTTCTCAAAAAACAAACAAACAAACAAAATCTCAGAAATAGTTTCTGAATTCTGGAGAAATCAGGTAGAGAGAAAGAAATATGCCTCAAATTTTGCTTACAAGAGTACGCTTCATTGTGAAAAGCTGTAAATGTTCAAAAGAAAAGTTTTCTTGACTCTGAAAAACAAAGCAAAAAGAATCAGCAATGTTTCCAACAAAAAAAGTTATAAAAGATTATTTTGGCCAGGCGTGGTGGCTCACCTGTAATCCCAGCACTTTGGGAGGCCAAGGCGGGTGGATCAGAAGGTCAGGAGTTTCAGACCAGCTTGGCCAACATGGTGAAACCCCATCTCTACTAAAAATACAAAAAATTAGCTGAGCGTGGTGGTGCACATCTGTAGTCCCAGCTACTTGGGAGGCTGAGGCAGGAGAATCACTTGAACCCAGCAGGTGGAGGTTGATGGTGAGCTGAGATCATGCCACTGCACTCCAGCCTGGGCAACAGAGCGAGACTCCATCTCAAAATAAATAAAATAAAATAAAATAAACCCCTCTAACTAGGCAGAATTACTTTTCCTTTAACAAAAGCCCTATTTCCATGCCTTCTTATGTTTCTACCAAAAACCACATTCTACTTTTCTTTGCATGTTGCTTGTAGAATTATTTATCTTATATCTAGTAATTTAAATTACATCTATGAATTGTAATGTTAACTCTTAGTAACTCTTATTTTTAGTGAAAAAACTAGGAGGTACACAATTTTAATTAGTACCTCCTGCAGAACGCAATCTCGGCTCACTGCAACCTCCGCCTCCCAGGTTCAAGCGATTCTCCTGCCTCAGTCTCCCAAGTAGCTGGGACTACAGGTGTGTGCCACTACGCCCGGCTACTTTTTTTTATTTTTAGCAGAGATGGAGTTTCACCATGTTACCCAGGACGGTCTCAATCTCCTGACCTTGTGATCCGCCCGCCTTGGCCTCTGAAAGTGCTGGGATTACAGGCGTGAGCCACCGTGCCCGGTCTATCATAGGATCTTATAAGGAGATCAACTGCATTTAGATAGGTGCTTTTAATTTGGCCTGTATCTTTTAACTGGACCATTGAACTCAGGGTAGAGCCCACACTGAATTTTCAGTGCCCAGAAAGAGAGTAATGCCATGGGGACCTGGCCATACAATATTTTTAGTGTGTTTTGCTACAAAAACTTTCTCTCAAGGCTGGTGGGCAACCCAGTGCCAATCAGCCCACTCTGTGATCAGCCCATTTCCCAGCCATTGTATACGCCAAAGTCAAGTTTTCTCACAATATAAAGTGATTTCTGATCCCATTCAAAGCCAAAATCAGGTCATGCAAGGCAAAGGAACAGAGTTTTTGACCTGAGAGGATTTTGTCCTCTCTTGGATTCCCTCTTGGGATTCCCTGAGGAAAAAACAGCAGTTTCTCACAAAAATGCGTCTGTGGTGCCTTTTGCATTTTTCTTAAGGGATCCCAGGCTATTAGAATTTTATTTAATTTAATTTTTTTCTTATGTGGCACCAAGGTTGGCAAGAGGAAGGAGGGGCTGATAGAAATAAATAGGGGAGGCCGGGCGCAGTGGCTCATGCCTGTAATCCCAGTACTTTGGGGGGCCGAGGTGGGTGGATCACTAGGTCAGGAGTTCGAGATCAGCCTCGCCAATATAGTGAAACCCCGTCTCTACTAAAAATACAAAAATTAGCTGGGTGTGGTGGCAGGCGCCTGTAGTCCCAGCTACTTGGGAGGCTGAGGTGGGAGAATCGCTTGAACCTGGGAGGTGGAGGTTGCAGTGAGCTGAGACCACGCCATTGCACTCCAGCCTGGGTGACAGAGTGAGACTCCGTCTCAAAAAAAAAAAAAAAAAAAAAACAAAGAAATAGGGAAACAGAGGAAGTGCATGTGGCTAGCAGGGGGTTGAAAAAGAGAGACATTTAGTTGACTGAGAAATGTTTACCCAGGGAGAAAAGAGACCTTAAAGCAATATGTACACACTGAAGTCTAAAATATCAGTTTTAATTAAGTCAAATTTTGACTATAGAGCTCTAAAAAAATCCTTTGACATCTCTTATTACCAGATTTTAGCCAGGAGGAACAGTTGATATTCCTGGCTTTTCACCTTCTTTACCAAAAGGTATCCTCCCAAGTGCCTTAACCAAAGTTATGACTATTAGGCCACAAGGTGGGTGGCCCTTAGTTGTTCCCTGATGAGGTGGCAAACCTGAGCCATGGCAGAAGTGTTTAATGTTTTTTTTTTTAGTTTTGCTCTGTTGCCCAGGCTGGAGCACAGTGGTGTGATCTCGGCTCACTGCAGCCTCCGCCTCTCAGGTTCAAGCGATTCTCCTGCCTCAGCCTCCTGAGTAGCTGGGACTACAGGTGCCCACCACCACACCCGACTAATTTTTGTATTTTTAGTAGAGACAGGGTTTCACCATGTTGGCCAGGATGGTCTCAATCTCTTGACCTCGTGATCCGCCCACCTCGGCCTCCCAAAGTGCTGGGATTACAGGCATGAGCCACCGCACCCGGCTGAGAAGTGTTTAATTTTAACTACCAGAAGTGTTTGAAGTGATTTTTTTGCTCTTAATTTAGTCAAGGGAATTTTTGAAGACTAGCCATGACACTACTATGTGTCCTTTTAAGACTTGATGTTTCCATTAATTGTTTAGAATAAGAAATCTCTGAAATCTTTAATAGCCCACAGAGAGAGGCTGGGAAGGTGTTCCTGTTATATAAATGAAACCTCTCAGGTAGTCAAATTTTATCTTTTTTTAACCAGCTGGGGGTTTTACAGGTGCAACCTGACTTTCTGCAGCTGTGGGCTTTCCAGTATAGCTCCTGGGCCAGGGATCTCTATCTGCTCCCCAGAGGCTTGTACCTAAGATACAGGGCTCCCTGGGCTTCTCAGTACAGGTGGACTTAAACTAATGGGCTAGAAACAGAGAAAGGGAGGTAGAATTTCCCACTTACAGCCAGACCCTGCAGCACAGCTTTCCAGAGCCTCAGCCCCCCTGCCCTGGCTGATGCTCCCTCCCTGACTCCCCTCACCAGGGCCCTGGCCCCACCACACAGCTGAGCTGGCCCAAGCCAAAGAGTTGCTGGAGCAGCAGCTGGAGTGGATCAGGCTCTGCTGGAGGGGGTGGGGGGCCCAGGCCCTGATGGTCAAGATCCAGAACCTGAAGAAACAGATAAGGAAGGAGGCACCAAGAGAGCCTGGGAGGAGACACCCAAGCTTCCCACCAGTGCCTGTGGCACCCCTCAGCATTGGAAATACTGTGCACCACCCCCAGGAACCCCAGGATCAGAAATATCCCAGCTGCTCCCAGGCCACTGGGAAAATGGAAGAGACCACAAAAGGCCAGAAGTTAGCAGTGTGATGGTTAATACTGAGTGTCAACTTGGTTGGATTGAAGGACGCAAAATACTGATCCTGGGCATGTCTGTGAGGGTGTTGCCAAAGGAGATTAACATTTGAGTCAGTGGACTGGGAAAGGCAGACCCACCCTAAATCTGGGTGGGCACCATCTAATCAGCTGCTAGCGTGGCCAGAATATAAAGCAGGGAGAAAAATGTGAAAAGGCTAGACTGGCCTCCCAGCCTACATCTTTCTCCCATACTGGATGCTTCCTGCCCTCGAACATCGAACTCCAAGTTCTTCCGCTTTGGGACTCGGACTGGCTTCCTTGCTCCTCAGCTTGCAGGCGACCTATTGTGGGACCATGTGATCATGCGAGTTAATACTACTTAATAAATCCCCCTTTATATATATATTTATTCTGTTAGTTCTAGAGAACCCTGACTAATACAGGCAGGTAGTGGGGAGCCAGGGCTCTGCAGTCTCAGTCCCATGCCTCCTTTGACCTCACAGCAGTGCACCTCAGCCTTACAGGAATTTACCCTGGATCATGTCCTACAATAACCTCTCCCCAAACACAGTAAGAAGATGTAGCATGCAGATACCACAGACACACATGTGTTCCATTTTTCATTAGGATTTTTTTTTTTTTTTTGAGATGGAGTTTCCCTCTTGTTGACCAGGCTGGAGTGCAAAGGTGCGATCTCGGCTCACTGCAACCTCTGCCTCCTGGGTTCAAGCGATTCTTGAGCCTCAGCCTCTCGAGTAGCTGGGATTACAGGCGCTCGTCATCACGCCCGGTTATTTTTGTATTTGTAGTAGACGCTGGGTTTCTCCATATTGGTCAGGCTGGTCTTGAACTTCTGACTTCAGGTGATCCACCCGCCTCGACCTCCCAAAGTGCAGGGATTATATGCGTGAGCCACCGCGCCCAGCCTAGTTAGGATTTTTAAAATTCTGACAATCAGGAATGGGGGTTCAGGAGTGGTGCTGATGCAGAGGAGGGAAGCCATGGGGTGGGGGCTGTTAGGGGTGGAGGCAGTAGTGTCTCCTTCACCCCCACCCTGGGGTCTTCTCCTGAAGGACAGACTATCACATCCCAGAATTGGTGAGTCCTCTACTGTGTCTGTTCAACTGAAGAGAAAATATGGCACAGTCAGAATAAGGCATGAAAAGGGGAAAGTGAGGCATGAACACACGGCACACATGCAGACGCTGGTGTACTGTGTGGGTTCAGAGGACGGACGTGGGGGTGAGGGAAGGGATGTAATATGATGAGAGAAGACAGAAACCCCACATAAAGGTCAGGAAAACATCCCAACACAGCATCAAAGGCCAGGGGGCATGAACCAGTCAAGTGTCCATTATGCATCAGATGCCCATGACCTATGTGATGAGATTGAAGAAAAACATACTAAGGTTCAGGGAGGAACTAAGTGTTTCATGAGATCAGCACTCACCGTGGAGGAGACATCTGTCTCATCAGGCAGCTCACTAACACTGACCTCGAAGCGATGCTGCCCATCACACTGGATCCTTGCATGATTCTCATCTGACACAAACGCTGATGGCCAAGCCCTGTTCCAAACCAGCCTGCTCTAGTCACCTGAAAGGAGGCAGAGGGTAGAAACAGAAGACCCAAAGAGGGAAGACACCCAGAGGGAGGGAAGAGGATGTAAGGTGTGAAAAGATAGAAAACATAAGGAATGGGAGAGTAGGTGTCCTTCTGGGTGTGGGGCTCACCTGTCATTGATAAAGGCAATGCTCATCCACTTGATGTCTATGACGTGGCCCAATAGGTTGGTAACCATAGAACTGGTCATTGAAAATCTTTTGGGGTCATTCTTGGACATGTGCAGAACAGCAAACAATTTTAGTCACCTGATGTGTTTCCTTGGCTTCCTGTTCAGTTTTCCTTAGGCCTCAGCTGCTGCTATTGCTGCTGGCTGCTCTCCACATTCTCCTAAATTCCAGATGGGTGTGAGGAGGTAAGGGCGGGAAGAAATAGTGGATTGTGGATTGAGGTGCGATTTCCCACCACTGGAGGGGACAGATTCATAAGCTGGCATTGAAGAGGTTCCTGCCCTTTGCACAGTGTGTTTGGTCACCCCAGTGCTCAGGCTGAACCCTGAGAAGAAAGAGGAACTTGACTGTCTGAAGGCTCTTGGGTGGTGTTTAAGACCCCTGGCCACTGTGTCCTGGCTGAATGCATACATGCAGATGGAATCTCTTTCTTTCTTTTTTTTTTTGAGACGGAGTCTCGCTCTGTCTCCAAGGCTGGAGTGCAGTGGCGCAATCTTGGCTCACTGCAAGCTCCGCCTCCTGGGTTCACGCCATTCTCCTGCCTCAGCCTCCTGAGTAGCTGGGACTACAGGCACCCGCCACCACACCCGGCTAATTTTTTGTATTTTTAGTAGAGACAGGGTTTCACTGTGTTAGAATGGTCTCGATCTCCTGACCTGGCGATCCGCCTGCCTCGGCCTCCCAAAGTGCTGGGATTACAGGCATGATCCATTGCACCTGGCCTCGATATAGAAGTTTTTAAGAGCCAGACGCTTGAACTTGTGGGCATCGGTTTGGGGAAAGAGTCAGTTGGAGTAAAGTTATCTTGAGGCATTAACTTTTTTGCTTCTTAAGGCCATTGGTCTTTTATGCTAGTCTTTCTACAAACATAACATGAGGAAACGCCTAGGCTGGCAGCAATGTTTTCAGCCAGCTGAACAAATAGGTTTTTGGCTAAAGGAGGAGGCTCTGATAACTTCCGGTTTATATGCTCAAAGAATGACTTAAAGACTCAGAATTGCTCCTGGGCTGACTGCTTGGTTCAAGTCTTCTTTATAATATACAAAGTTGTTTTAGCTTTTTGACCGTAGCTTTGTAATGCCATGGAGTAGCCTATAGTCCATACAGGTAGGTTTGGCCTTAAGATAGTAAGATTTACAGGATTGCAAATGCTTGTCTTACAATCTGGTTTTGCTGGTACTTTGATGAGCAAGATTGGCTTTGGCCTCAGTGATGATCGGTCAGTGAACTGCATTGTGCAGTTCCAGCAAGCTATTGCTAGGGCCTTGGAGGGACAAACAGGGAGTGTACATACAATTTTATACTGGCAGTTTTTATAGTACTTTGTAGGACTAGAGATTGTGAGATAGGTTGGGTTCATGGATGTTAACTGACAAATATCAAAGTATATGGATATAGCCCCCACCCTGGGAAGGAGAGGCTTGGGTTTGACTTACAAGACTTCTTTTTTTTTTTTTTACTTGTATGAATCTTAAACTAAGTCCTAGGTAAAGACTTCGGTCATAGCATATATAAGGCTGGCCATTTCTTGGGTCACAAATTGAACAGGTGGTCTGATTATAAGTACAAGTTCTTTTTTTTTTTTTTGAGACGGAGTCTCGCTCTGTCTCCAAGGCTGGAGTGCAGTGGCGCAATCTTGGCTCACTGCAAGCTCCGCCTCCCGGGTTCACGCCATTCTCCTGCCTCAGCCTCCCGAGTAGCTGGGACTATAGGAGCCCACCACCACGCCCGGCTAATTTTTTTTTTTTATTTTTAGTAGAGACGGGGTTTCACCATGTTAGCCAGGATGGTCTCGATCTCCTGACCTTGTGATCCACCCGCCTCGGCCTCCCAAAGTGCTGGGATTACAGGCGTGAGCCACCGCGCCCAGCCTTATAAGTACAAGTTCTTAAGCGAGTCTTTGTACACTTATAAGTATGGTACAACAGAGTTCTAGTTATACTGTTCTTTGACTAAGTAGTATGTGTACAGTGGGGACACTTTTCTGTCAGTGTTTCTTCTAGTATGGTTAAGGGGGTAACAACATCAAAACAATGTACAGCATATTTAAATCTAGCAAGGACAAAAGAGGTCTTTATTTGGGGGAGGAGGTTGAGCACAGTGACAGAACAATAGGAAAACAGTTAGTATTACAGGAAAACTACTAGTCTTAAGATTTCTAACTACATTTACTTGCTTGATGAGTCTTTAAGCTTCAGCCGTGCATAGACTAGTCAGCTTCCGGTGTGTGACTAGAGCAAGGCTTGTTGTTTCTTCAAACTTCAGCTGTGCGTAGACTGGTCAGCCACCGGAGTGACCAGAGCAGGGCTGTCGTCTTCAGCAGCAGCTTGGTCTTGTCTCAGGATCAGCCGGGTTGGATGATCTGGGTGTTGCTGGCTGGTTCACTTGTCCTGAGCTGCCGATTTTAGCCGACTGTGATGGAGTTAAGGCACGATTCTTGCAACTTTAACAGCAGTGGGAGTGGACAAGATTACTCTGTGGGGCTTATCTTACATGGGTCTTAGAGAAGTTGGGTTCTACTTTTTAACTTAAACAAAGCTACTAGGTTTAAAGGGTTTACTGGGTCTGTTAGACTTCTAGGCATTCTTTTATGTACTTAACTATGAACACTTTGCATGGCTGTTTCTAAAGCCTGCATTTGATTTCTTAAGGTTAGTTCTTTTAGTTCTTGGAGATCACTTTTAATTTGACGGTGGCTGATTGAACAAAATCTTATAGGGTAAATACTTAGTTTGTTTGGTGGGGGTGCGCTTGGCTCAGAGGAGGACTATAGGCAAGACTTGATTCTGTCTCAGATGAGTTTCTTGGCAATATTTCTTCAGTAGCTGCTTGAGTGTCTGGTTCATGCATTCTACAGTAAAATAATCTTTTTTTCTCTTTTTTTCCTTCAACTTTGCTCTAGAAAAAAGAAGTGTCCAAGGCCTATTTTTTTAGCCCTAGCTATTCAGACAGTGTTATCTTATAACTGTCCTTGGGTTGGGCACAGTGGCTCACGCCTGTAATCCCAGCACTTTGGGAGGCCGAGGTGGGCAGATCACGAGGTCAGGAGATCGAGACCATCCTGGCTAACATGGTGAAACCCTGTCTCTACTAAAAATACAAAAAATTACCCAGGTGTGGTGGTGGGTGCCTGTAGTCCCAGCTACTCGGGAGGCTGAGGCGGGAGAATGACGTGAACCTGGGAGGCAGAGCTTGCAGTGAGCCGAGATCGTGTCATGGCACTCCAGCCTGGGTGACAAAGCGAGACACCATCTAAAAAAAAATATATGTATAAAACTGTCCTTGAGGTAAGCTTGCTAAGCAGAAAAAAACTTGTTCTTTTCTTTTTCTTTTTAACTTTTGCCTTGCCACATTCTAAGCCTTAGCTTTAACTTTTCTTAAAGTAAGTAAATGTAATACTTATTATTATTATTATTATTTTTAAATTTCTGCCTCAGAATGAATAAATTACATGTATTTTTTTTTTTGAAGCCATGCCTTTGGATTAGGGCAGACTCTAGGATATTTAAGTGAATTCCCTGAGGAATGTGGACACTGTAAGCAGGTGAGTGCATTATTCTCTGCTTCTCTCTCCCCACAGGGCCGTCGTTCACCCTCCTCCACCTTGTCCCCTGCACTGGGAGGCAACCACAACAGGCACGGCCCATGCTCCTGCACCACCTGGCTTCTGCTTGGGTGTGGATGATAACAGGCACCTGCAGGAGATGGGAGCATGCGGGGAGAAGTAACTCAGGGTTTTCATTTCCCTCACCCCCTCTGGACAGCTCTGTGGTTCCGTAATCATTGCCGTCCTCTACCTACAGCCACAGGCATGTGGGTCTGCCCCTAGTGAAAGCTACAGATTTCCTTGGGTTCTGGAAACTGCTCCGTTCGTTGCTCTTTCAAGCTTCAAGATGAAAACAGTTTCCTGCCAGGAATAATCCCAGGGAGCTTCAGCGCCCTTTGTGGCTTTCTTAGCCCTGCCGGCACCTGTGTAGAAGGTGCCATCTCAGGCCAGCGCGGTGGCTCAAACGTGTAATCTCAGCACCTTGAGAGGCCGAGGCCGGAGGATCACCTGAGATTGGGAGTTCAAGACCAGCCTGACCAACATGGAGAAACCCTGTCTCTACTAAAAATAAAAAATTAGCTGGGCATGGTGGCGCATGCCTGTAATCCCAGCTACTCGGGAGGCTGAGGCAGGAGAATTGCTTGAACCCAGGAGGCAGAGGTTGTGGTGAGCCGAGATCACACCATTGCACTCCAGCCTGGGCAACAAGAGTGAAACTCAGTCTTGGAAAAAAAAAAAGGTGCCATCTCTTTCCTGCCAGGTCCCTGACTGACCACAGGGTGCTCCCACAAAAGGAGAAGTGACAAGAATGTATTTAAGACATTGCACTAACACATCTATTCATGATGTTAATTCAAAAAATTGACTTACTACAATAAAAGGGAAAAATAAGAGTATTCTGGAAACAGAGCAAGAAGGAAGGCAAAGGTGAAAACAATCAATTTGGGGCATCTGAGAAGCCCCAAGTGCAGAGGCTGCCCTGAGTCTTTAGAGGACAAGAAACAGAACACACGACCCAAAAGTGAGAGACAGAGCCTGGCCGGAGCAGGATGATAACGGCTCTCCTACAGAGTACTATTCCTGTAAATCTCTGACGAGAGGGGTGAGATCAACATGTAAAAATACACACACACAAAGTGGAGCTGAGGGCAGGATGGAGAACTGTCATTCTCAGCCCGTGACCTCCATGGACTTGGAGAAAGACTCAGCCTGGAGATGTGTGAGGCCTCCGACCTGGAGCAGCACCCGCCCCTAAAGACCAGGCACAAATCCCAGCACACGGAGGGATCCAGACAAATACACAAGAAATGACCACAGCAGGAACTTTATTGAGCACGGAGCAAGGTTGCACACCACTCAGCACCTGCCCCTCCACCTGCCCTTCTCTCCCCACCTGCCTCTGCCCCAGCACAGCAGGTCCTCAGAATCCAAAAAGAGAACCTAACCTGCATGTTCTCTCTCTCTCTTTCTTTCTTTTTTTTTTTTTTTGAGACAGAGTTTATCTCTTGTTGCCAGGCTGGAGTGCAATGGCGTGATTTCGGCTCACTGCAACCTCCACCTCCTGGTTCAAGCAATTCTCTTGCCTCAGCATCCCGAGTAGCTGGGATTACAGGCAGCTGCCACCACACCCAGCTAATTTGTGTATTTTTAGAGATGGGGTTTTCACCATGTTAGCCAGGCTGGTCTCGAACTCCTGACCTCAGGTGATCTGCCTATCTTGGCTTCCCAAAGTGCTGGGATTACAGGCGTGAGCCACCACGCCTAGCCTCCATGTTCTCTTAATAGTTTGTAATATCTTATCACAGCTTCAAAGAAAGGATATGAGAATAATAACTCATAGAGCAAGATATCTATTTAGAGGGAGTGAGTCACAGGGGAGATCTGGGAGGGAAACACTGCAACTCTTTCATTCCCAGAAAAAGATTGATCCAGGGAAGGGGACACCGGGCCTGGATATTGGGATTATGTGGAAGGGGTTCTGGGACATCAGGGGAATGGGCCCCTCTCCCTATATCCTTCCTGGGCTATGCTTGGGAGGAGACACAGTTTATCAGCTGTGCAGCTGGGGGAAGAGAAGTCAGGGTCCAGAGACAAGGGGAGCTGAGAACAATCTGTGTCTTGCTGGTCTGCAGAAGGCAGCTCTCAAACTGTGGAGAACAGTTTGGGATGATGAAAATGTTCTAAAATTAGATATGGTGATTTAAAAATCCAAATATGTGAAAAACCATTGAATTGTATACTTTAAATGGGTGAATGATATGTGAATTATATCTTAAGAAAGTTTAAGGAAAGAAATATAATGATGTGTCATGACAAATCCACTAGAATTTCTAAATTAAAATCACTGACTATTCCAAATGTTGGTGCGAATATGGACCATCAAGAGCTGTCACACACTTTGTCTAGCAGTGTGGCATCATCTTTTTGGGTGGGATATCATATACATACACCAGTAATTCCACTCTTAGGCATATAATTTTGAAAGATATATGCTCATTGTGCCAACATACATGTGCAAGAAGGCTTACAACAGCATTGTTTATAATTTTTAAAACCTGAAAACAAATAAAATGACCACAAACAAAGAAGGATTAATTTAATGTGTGGAATTCTATGAATAATAAACATGAACGCTCTAGAGACACCTATAACAACTTAGCAAACATACATTTGAGCTAAAATAAGGTCTCATAAGAATACACATAGCACGATTCCATTTGTATCAAAAGATTCAAAATCTATATGAAGTTTGAGATAACCTATATTGTTTTAGAGATGTATGCATGGGAGTAAAGCTTTAAAGAAAGGCGTGAACAGGATTACTATGAAATCAGGATGAGGGTGAACTCTCATGACAGCAAAGGGATTGTTATTGCTATCAGGATTGGTATGGAAACTTCTGTGTGTTTTTTTTCCTGACTTTTGTTTCTTTTTCACATGGATTTTCCCTTTAAAACCATTTGTTAAAATGTAAATATAATTCAGGCACTTCACTTTTGGTTGTAACTTACACTGTAAGACTGCTAAAAAAAAATAATATTAGCTACTTACGTGTAATTGGAAAAATTAACCTTTATTCACAAAAGAGATGGGCTGCCCCCTACACCACGAATCAGAGAAGAGACCATGAATTGAAATGGGAACTTGGAATTGTCATTATTCCGTAATTATACTCAGGATCCTGTCCATGAAACATTGGAATACCACTGTCCAACCCCCTTCTGCAGTGATGGAGTGTCTATATCTGAGCTATTCATTATGGCACAGATACAGACATTCATATTCTGTGAATTCTGAGTACTTGAAATATATGGCTGGTGCAAATAAGAAACTGGCTTTTAAAATCCATTTAATTTTAATTAATTAAAGTGTAAATAGTGCCATGTGGACAAGGCAGAATTACAGTGCCGAGACCAGCTCAGTCAGGGAGACCCTAACCCAGTGGCGCTAGAGGAATTAAAGACACACACACAGAAATATGGCGTGTGGGGTGGGAAATGAGGAGTCTCACAGCCTTCATTCCAGTAAACAGTCATTGTGACCAGTTGTCCCGCTTTCCTCAGGTTTTCTTCCACCATCTGTGACAGCTTCTTGATCTGTCCCCAGGTGGGTGGCTGTGTTCAACGGGTGTTGCTCGTGACAGTTAGGGTCCTCCTCAGCATCAGTCTCGACATGGCTGCAACCAGGGGGTCCTCGGGATCCTCCTGGAATCTCTTCCTTGGCATCTGGCTCATGATAAGGTTTTAGGTGTCTTGATAGTATCCAAATTGGCTGCTGGTTTTGGCCTGGAGAAACACAAGCATAACCTCTACCCAAGTTATTATTTTACCTATGTCCCAACTTTTTGTTATTGGATCTCTTCACCAAACCAGTTGTTCTGCTCCTGTCTTTGCAGCTGGTTTCTGTAGATGCTGTTCAGCTGCTGATAACATCTGGCCTTTGGGCAGCCTCAAAAAATTTAAAGTTAATAATGCTAGATTCAGTTGTGTATGGGCTGTCTCGTAATCCCTGTTTCTCCCCCTTTTTTGTTTTTGTCATCAGTTGTTCATCTGTATAAATCATAACTGAGCATTTTCAATTAACTGCGTGGAATGAACCATGTATAAAGAATCAGAAATCACATTAACAGGCATATCAAAAGCAGTCAGCACCTCAATTACAGCTACAAGCTCTGCTTTCTGAGCTGAAGTATAGGTTGCCTGGAAAGCTTTACCTTTTGATCCAGAATAAGAAGCTTTACCATTGCTAGACCCATCTGTGAAATAATGAAAATGCTTAGCAGGCTGCAGATTGTTTACCACAGGAATTGTAAATGCAAACCGTTCACTGTCTTGCTTAGCTAAGGGTATAGTAAAGAAAGAGTCCTTCCTGGCTGTAATGCTCCTATAGCTTGTATAACTGAATTAATGGCTCCTAAATCAGTTAACATTCTCCATTTACCTGATTTTTTCTTAATTACAAAAACCGGAGAATTCCAAGGGGAAAGTGTTGTAGCTATGTTCTCATTTTCTAATTGTACATTAACGAAGTTCTCTAAAGTCTCCAGTTTCTCTTTACTTAGCAGCCACTGTTCTATCCAAATTGGCTTATCTGTTAACCATTTTAAAGGTATAGGTTCTGGAGGCTTAACAATGACTGCCATCAAAAATGATACCCTAAACCTTGGCGGGAACTTTGTCTCTCCACTTGAAGCATTTTTTTTCAAACCTTGCAAATTTTTTCCTAGTCCCATACCAGGGACATGCCCCATTTCATGCATCATATGTTGACTTTGAGGGCTATATAATTGCTCTGGAAGTAGAACTTGTGCTCCCCATTGTTGTAATAAATCTCTCCCCCATAAATTTATAGGTACGGAAGTTATAATTGGTTGAATAGTCCCAGGTTGTCCATCGGGACCTTCACAATGCAAAATATAATGGCTTTGATATACTTCAGGGGCTTTACCAACTCCAACTGTTTTAAGTTGAGTGTGTTGAACTGGCCACGCAGACGGCCAGTGCTGTCGAGAAATGATTGAAATGTCCGCTCCTGTATCTACCAAATCTTTACATTTCTTTCCCTGAATAGTTATTTCACAGGTAGGACGTTTATCAGTAATTTGATTCACCCAATAAGCTGTTTTGCCTTGTTTATTTGTGCTTCCAAATCCTCCTGTTTGTTTAATTTCACTCTTCCCATTCCCACATACGGCACAATCAGGAGCTGTGCTATACACTCTCCTGGCTCTGCTTTCCAGGGAACAGAAGTAGATATAACAATTTGAATTTCCCCATTGTAATCTGAATCAATGACCCCTGTATGTATTTGTATGCCTTTTAAACTTAAACTAGGCCTTCCTAGAAATAATCCTATCGTTCCCGCTGGCAAGGGTCCACAGACCCCTGTTGGGACCTTTTGCAGGGTTTCCCCAGGCAGAAGCCTCACAGCTTTTGTGCAACATAAATCTACTGTGGTGCTACTGGCTGTGGCGGGGGACAGATATTGTACAAGGATGAGGGAATGGCCTGAGCCAGAAATGCCCCGGTTTGGAATGGGGCCCCGGGATGGGCCCCTCATGGTGTTTCCTGAAATCAGGTTCCCATCTTTATCAAACTTAGAGTGACACTGATTAGCCCAATGTTTTCCTTTTTTGCATTTTGGACATATTTCAGGCTCAGTAGTTTTCTTTTTTTCCCCTATATGGTGGCCTGACTTGCTGATTTTTTCTACATTGTTTTTTAGTGTGATCATGCTTCAAACAGTTAAAACAAGCTCCAGGAAATGGAGTATTTCCTTTATCCACTCTCAGTCCTGCCATTGCCTGTGCCAACAAAGTAGCTTTATGCAGATTACCTCCGATACCGTCACAGGCCTTGATATAATCAACTAAATGTGCTTTCCCTCTAATAGGTCGCAAAGCAGCCTGGCAATCGAGATTAACATTGCCAAAAGCTAATAACTGCAACACTATATCCTGAGCAGCTGAATCTGAAATCACCTTTTTAAGAGACTCCTGTCTTAAGAGATTCCAAGCTATAAAATCTGCATACAGTTCTTTTGGTCCCTGTTTTACAGCACTAAAGGAAGGGTATTGTTCTCCACCTGAAGTGATTTTTTCCCAAGCTCTAATGCACACTCCTCTAAGCTGCTCTACGGCATCATCCTGTATGACCACTTGTGCGTCTAAACCAGCCCAGCAGCCGACCCCCAAAAGTTGGTCCATGTTATATTAATTTGAGTTTCGGCCTGGGCATTGCAAGCAGCCTGAATGGAAGCTTCATCTGCCCACCAAGTTTTAAATTGTAAGAATTGAGCAGGACTTAGACAAGCTCGAATAAGAGTGTCCCTGTCAGTAGGAATCATCCGACTGGAAACAGCAACATTCTTTAACAGTCCCATTACAAAAGGAGAACCTGGTCCATACTGATTAATAGCTTGTTTAAATTATTTGAGTAATTTAAAAGGAAAAGGCTCAAATGTAGCTATAATATTTCCCTGTTGATCAGGTGGTGTATTCTAACAGGGAACTGCCAAGCCTCTATATCACCCTCTCGTCTAGCCTGCTGAACTCCTGCCTGAATAGAACTGACAGCAGTCGCTCGAGGTGCTGCTCAGTCACTGGGGCAACTACTTTTCGCCCAGTGTCCTCCAGAAAAGAAAGATCTGGAGGGTCTGGCCACTCTTTTTCTTCAAAATAATAATGAGGGGGTGCAGAAGGGTAGGGATGAACCTCTTCCTCCTGTGCCACTTTAGCTTTAGCTGGCAAATAAACCTGCTCTGTAACCTCTTCTGTTACTTCGTCATACTCTCCTTCCTCCTCATCATCAGTGTGAAAAAGTTCCAAGGTGGAACGAACCAGAGCCCACACTTGTCCCATTGTTACCCGATGCTTCCAAGCTCCCCATCTTACTCACTACGAGGATTGCTTAAGAGTACTTGGGTGTCCTCCAGCTTAGTTCCCCATTCTCCAACTGTTGCTCTGGCGACCCTTCAACCTGGATTCGAGCCCCCACGTATGGGTGCTGCTTACTGAGACCAGCTTGGTGGGGGAGACCCTAACCCAGCAGAGCTAGAGGAATTAAAGATACACACACAGAAATATAGAGGTGTGGAGTGGGAAATCAGGGGTTTCACAGCCTTCAGAGCCAAGAGCCTTGAACAGAGATTTACCCATGTATTTATTGACAGCAAGCCAGTGATAAGCATTGTTTCTATAGATTATAGATTAACTAAAAGTGTTCCTTACAGGAAACAAAGGGATGGGCTGAAATGAAGGGATGGGCTCTGGCTAGTTATCTGCAGCAGGAGCATGTCCTTAAGGCACAGATTGCTCACGCTACTGTTTGTGGTTTAAGAACACCTTTAAGTGGTTTTCCACTCTGGGTGGGCCAGGTGTTCCTTGCCCCCATTCCGGTAAACCCACAACATTCCAGCGTGGGCATCATGGCCATCACGAACATGTCACAGTGCTGCAGAGATTTTGTTTATGGCCAGTTTTGGGGCCAGTTTATGGCCATATTTTGGGGGGCCCGTTCCCAACATTACAGAAACAAAATGCAGCATCTACTATCACTATCTTTTTGTTCAGTCATCCATTATGTGAATGACAACTTCATTGTTACTAACTTTGGAAAGATCCCATTTCAAAGAAAAATGGGATTTCAGCTTCTTCAGTGGTAGATTTTCTTACACTCAGCAGCTAATAAAATATCTGAACCCCACAAAAAACCCCTGTTTATCTCTGTTATCTCTGGGTATAGAAAAATGCTGAATTCTTATTTGTATGTGAAATAAAGTGGTTTTTCAATAAGAAATTTTGCTATAAGGTAAG
Source organism: Homo sapiens (assembly GCF_000001405.40). NCBI lineage: Eukaryota > Metazoa > Chordata > Mammalia > Primates > Hominidae > Homo > Homo sapiens. Next base: position 2,718,819 of record NT_113891.3, read on the forward strand.
AATTTTATTCTAAATATAATTTCTTTCTTTCTTTCTTTCTTTCTTTCTTTCTTTCTTTCCTCCTTCCTTCCTTCCTTGTTTTTTGTTTTTGAGACAGGTTCTCACTCTGTTGCCGCGTCTGGAGTGCAGTGGTGCGATCTTGGCTCACTGCAACCTCTGCCTCCCAGGTTTAAGTGGTTCTCTTGCCTCAGCCTCCCGAGTAGCTGGGATTACAGGTGCCCACCACCATGCCCGGCTAATTTTTGAAGTTTTAGTAGAGACGGGGTTTCACCATGTTGGCCAGGCTGGTCTCGAACTCTTGACCTCATTCCTAGAGCATTTTTTCCATTCATCTTTTATTAGTATTCAGATACACCTAGCAGCTGGTATGTTTTGTAGGATAGTTTTTGGTCATTCATTCTACCATGATTTAGCTTAGTATTAAAGGTTTATAGAATTTCCTTTTAGTTTGTAATTTAGAAACAAGATTGACATTTACTTCTTGTTCATATTCTCTAAGTTTTCACAACAGCTTCTCTCAGATAAGATCTCAAGGCCAGACATGGTGGCTCATGCTTGTAATCCCAGCACTTTGGGAGGCCCATATCACCTGGGGTCGGGAGTTCGAGACCAGCCTGGCCAGCATGGTGAAACCCCGTCTCTACTAAAAATACAAAAATTAGCCAGGCATGGTGACAGGTGCCTGTAGTCCCAGCTACTCAGGAGACTGAGGCAGGAGAATCGCTTGAACCCAGGAGGCGAGGTTGCAGTGAGCCGAGATCATGCCATTGCACTCCAGCCTGGCGGCAGAGTGAGACTTTGTCTCAAAAAAAAAAAAACAAAAAAAAAAACTCCAATAATCAGTTCAAGGTTGAACTGCTAACAATAAGATTTGAAGTTAACATTTAATTAATTTATTTATTTTTTAGACTCAGGGCCTCACTCTGTTGCCCAGGCTGGTATGCAGTGGCACCATCAGAGCTTCCTGCAGCCTTGAACTCCTGGGCTTAAGGGATCCTCCCACTCAGCCTCCTGAGTAGCTGGGACTACAGATGTGCACCACCATGTCCAGCTTAACATTTTATTTTATCTGATAGTAGAGTGAAGCACTTGCATTACAAAAATAAAATACATACAAATTACAACAACTTTGCCAATCTAACATATGACCTCGAATGATAGTTAAATTAGGAGCCAGTCAGCCACTTTCAGACATGTTTTTCAAAGTGAAATTTTAAAGGCAGTGTCATTGTTTACTTCTACTAATGCTCATAGGTTTAGCTGTGGTCCTGCTATAGAGTTTGTTAAGAAAACTTCCCTGAGTTGTTTTAAATGGTCTTATCAAAGCCAAACACTGAAATCCTATAATCATTGGAATTGGGAACAAAAGATACATTTCTAGGCTTTATTTTATTATAAATTAAAATCTTAGTGATTGTAGGATCATTTTTCCTTATGGATTTTTTCTAATATATTTAAAGCATAGATAATTGTGTTCAATCAGTTGTATTTTATGCTGAATCATTTGACCATGTGAGGAAAGCATATTTTTGGACTCTTATCCCATCTTGACCAGAGGGATCAGTAAAAACCTGGAATGAAGAAGTTCTTCATGTGCACATCTTTTTTTCTTGTGTGCACTGCCCTTCATTCACACTTCTGTGCATTCACACATTTGTGATTGCACGTTTTGGTATTGATTTAGAATCATTTATTAATTCCACAGTCAAGTTAATAAAATGCCATTGGGAATTAAAGATAAATTTTACATGCATTTTCTCAAAATTCATTACTTGATCCATTTATTCATTCTAAACCCATGTCAAATGCCATTCTTTAAACCTCATGTTTTATTAAAGTTGATTTCACTTATTAATTCAATCAAAAGCCATTGAAGTTTATAGCAAGAGGCATCAAAGAAGGCAGAATGTTTCTATCTGTTCTGGGATTAACGGGGGTAGAAAGATGGGAAGGGCAGAGGGACAAGAGGCCTCACAGAGACAGACAAGATATAAAGACACCTGCTTCCCTGGCCAGAAACCAACTTCCAGGATTCAGGATTCAGGAGTAAAGTGTCCCAATAATTAGAAGGTTTCCTGGTCTCTCTCAAATTCAGTGCTCATTTGGCCAGGGATAAGGCCCTCACACCCTTTGCTTTGAGGATCCAAGCTTAGAATGTGGCTGTCTCTGGGACATTTCATGCTAAAGAAAGCCCAGCAAGTGTAGACAAAGAGTCTAGAGGGCACCAGCCACCCTTCCATGGAACTCTGTTCAAGGCAACTCTCTGTGTTCTGTTACTTATATTGGCCGCGTCTTCAGGAATTTAGCGAAATGGCCATGTTGTCTCTGAGTGGAAGTGAGGGGAGGCCACTGGGCAGTCAGAGATTTTGAATCCCTGTTTCCTTTCCCCCCATCTCAACCAGAGGCCACTTGTGGAAGCCCAAGAAAAAAAGACACGAATGTCAGAGGTGAATCCAGGCTCATGAACCCATTGTGGTCACGGGACTGAAGCCACGTGGCCCAACAGTAATGAAGTCTATGAGGCCTTGGTAACCCCAAAGCTCTCCCCCAATTAGGAGCTGCCTCTCACTGCCATCAGGCACCCCAGGAGCTGGACATGTGGCATTCTTTGTCATGTCTGATGAGGAACTGGAGAGGTCCCACAGCATATAGACCTTGATCGAATTCGAGCTAGAGTGGAGTCAGGCAAAACTCTGCATTGACTCAGAGGCACCTACACGTGAAATAAAGTCTCCACTCAGAGCTTCCATCAGAGCATCAGGCTCAGTAGCAATTCCCTTCTGCTGTTGCTGTATTTGCCCTGTGACAACTGGTGCTTGAAGGAAGGAGAAATCATTATGTGTGCAGGAAAGCACATGCAATTAGAAAACTGGGACATGATTCATAAGGCAGGAGGGACCCTTTTCTCTTTCGTGGTAGATGTGGGACTCCCTGTCATCTTTGTCCTGATGCCCCAAGTGCACAAGGTGAATTTTCCTGCTCTCAGTTGAGTGACCAACACTGGGAGCTGGAATTCAGAGAAACAGTGGCAGCCTCTCTCTCTCCATCCCCCATCCCAGTAAATCTAAGGCAAGGGCCTAGGGCTCTTGCACTTTATTTTCACCATGCATTTTCCTTCTCTGGTTAAGAAAATAACCAAATGGCCAGGCGTGGTGGCTCACACCTGTAATCCCAGCACTTCGGGAGGCTGAGGTGGGAGGAGCACCTGAGGTCAGGAGTTCGAGACCAGCCTGGCAAACATGATGAAACTCCATCTCTACCAAAAATGCAAAAATTAGCCAGATGTGGTGGCATGCACCTGTAATCCCAGCTACTCAGGAGGCTGAGGCATGAGGATCACTTGAACTCGGAAGGTGGAGGTTGCAGCCAGCTGAGATTGTGCCACTGCACTCCAGCCTGTGATAGAGTGAGACCCTGTCTCGACAACAACAACAACAACAACAACAAAAAAGGAAATAAAAAAAGAGAAAATAACCAAATGTATAAAAATCAAGGTTGCAATTCTGCAATTCTTGTGGCACCCAGAATACTGGACTAGACCAAGGGTGCCAGGTGCTTGTCACTGCTCCACCACTCAACGGCTGTGACCTCAGGAGAATCTCTCCAAGTCCTGGTGCTTGTTAATTCATCTGTGAGTCATGGATAAACACATCCATTCTAGTGAGAATAAATGAAAACACATTTCATCCTTACTGAGATGCAGTGAGTGTTGCCCCAGTACTAAGGGGTAAATGCAGAGAGAAACATTAGTTTAGGATTTTTTTTTTTTTGAGATGGAGTTTCACTCTTGTTGCCCAGGCTGGAATGCAATTGCATGATCTCTGCTTACTGCAACCTCTCCCCACTGTGTTCAAGCAATTCACCTACCTCAGCCTCCCAAGTAGCTGGAACTATAGGCTTGTGCCACTATGCCCGGCTAATTTTTTTGTATTTTTAGTAGAGTTAGGGTTTCACCATTTTGGCCAGACTGGTCTTCAACTCCTGATCTCAGGTGATCCACCCGCCTCAGCCTCCCAAAGTGCTAGGATTACAGGTGTGAGCCACCGTGCCTGACCATCAGCTCGGGATTTTAAGAAACATCCTTAAAAGTAGGAAGAAAGCACATAATACCTGCAAAGCCCTGGGTAAAAATCCTCTTTTACTTCAGTAATGATTACAAAATAATTATTTCTCATAACTTCTAGAAAATTAGAGGAAAACTCATTCCTTCAACATCTCAAGAAACTTAAATACAGATGGTGATTATATATCAGATTGGAACCACAAGCTTTGTTCTGAGTAAAACTGAAAAGAAATGGGGATATCTCCATTTTTGAGTGGTGACCATGGGACCCAAAGTGGTTTGTAAATGACCCTTTATCATCTACACTTGTCAATTTTCAATTGATTCACTCATTTCTTAGAAATCCCTGATAATTCATAATCTTGAAAAAATTTCATGTCCAGATACTAGGCAGGGTAATATGTTTGTTTTAATTTGCTAGGGCTGCCATAACAAAGTACCACACACTGGGTGACGTAAAGAACAGAAAAATTATTGTGCCACAGTTCCAGAGGCTGGAAGTCCAAGATCTTGGTGTTGGCAGTGCACATTTCTTCTGAGGCTTCTTTCCTTGGCTTGTAGATGTGTTTTCCCTGTGTCTTTACATGGTCATTCCTCTGCATCAGTCTATGTCTAATCTTCTCTTTTTATAAGGACACTAGTCACATTGAATTAAGACCCACTCATATGACCTCATTTTACCTTAATGACCTCCTTAAAGACCTCTCCAAATGCAGTCACTTTCTCAGGTACTGGGGGTTAGGACACCAACATGCCAATTTTTGGAGAGATGCAATTTAGCCCATAACAGTCTGGATTAACCTGGAGACTCCTTTTCCTTCCTTCCTTCCTTCCTTCCTTCCTTCCTTCCTTCCTTCCTTCCTTCCTTCCTTCCTTCCTTCCTTTTTTCTTTCTTTCTTTCTTTTTCTTTCTTCTCTTTCTTTTGTTTTCTTTTCTTTTATTGAGATGGAGCCTTGTTCTGTCACCCAGGCTGGAGTGCAGTGGCACGATCTCGGCTCACTGCAACCTCCGCTTCCCAGGTTCAAGCATTTCTCCTGTCTCAGCTTCCCGAGTAGCTGGGATTACAGATGCCTGCCACCACGCCCAGCTAATTTTTGTATTTTTAGTAGAGATGGGGTTTCACCATGTTGGCCAGGCTGGTCTCATACTCCTGACCTTAGGTGATCTATTCACCTCGGCCTCCCAAAATGCTGGGATTACAGGCGCCAGCTACCGCTCCTGGCCGAGATTGCGTTTTCTAAAGAGTAAAACAGAGTAAATCTCTTTGGCTTAACTCTGTCTCTTAATACTCTGAAATTTTGTTCTTGCAGTGAGAACAAAAAAAAAAGACAGCCAAAGGTTGGTGTCACGCAGAAGGTGAGCCCTCCCTAACTCTGGCTGCCCCAAGACGCAGTGCTGTGTCATTCCTGAAAGTTTGCTCCATTCTAGTGATTCTGGCTCCAGCTTTTTCATTGGGAAGAGGATTCTCTCCCAGAGGAAAAACTTCTCCTGCTATGCAGGCTTATTTTCTTTATATTTGTAGGACAAAAAAGTTGATGTAATAAAAAGAATATATTTGTGAAATTTTTGTGGTAATCATTTTGATATCCTTATCAATACCCCATATTGTGATGAACATGTTGGCTTCATTTTGGCAGAAGGGACATGACACTGGACATTTTGAGCCACAATTTCTCTGGGCCTTTCCATGGGATTCAGTTTCTGCCCTGGTAGGTGAAGGGAGAGCTCTTGGTGTAGGGTTTGGTCTTTATAATAAACTATGCTTTTGGGGTAGCAGGTTTATCTCTGGAAGCATGAAGCTTAGTCAGGAGTGCGACCCTCCTCCCCATTCAAAAGGTCAAGGTAGAGCAGGTTCTTGTTCAGGGCGCAGTGAGCGAGAGAAGGGAAAGTGACAGAGCATTCTTTCACCTTTTTGTGACATGCATGCATCCAAGTCTCTGGTGTTTTAAATAACTGAAACTGAGACCTAGATCCACTTATCTGTAAAGTAGAACTGTGGAGAAGGAAGCATATCATCCCCGCCACTGGAGAGATCCCTGAAGAGAGATTTGTGAGCCCCCATTTTATCGAAAATGACACAAAATTTCATCAAAATAAAGTGAAATTGTGGCTGTAGATGGGGTTTTATTTAGAGCTTTGACTCCGCATCTGCTTCCTAAGACATGGTCCTTCCCCAGGATACTACAGAATCACAGGGCTTAGACTGGAGGGGTAAGGCGTGATGGTGTTCTTCCTTTCTGGCCGATAGGATGTTTTGGATTGTATGTATTTTCCAAAGACGGCTGCAGAAGTATCTTCCATCACACTTTGTTTTCTTTAGTTTGATCCACCACTCCCTCATCAAGAGGTAAGTTCTTTCCATCCCCTTAAACATGAGCAGATCTGATATCTGCGTTAGCCAATAAAATAGGGCAGAAACGTGGTTGTGTCAGTTCTGGGCACTGCTGTTAACCATCCTGCCTGCATCTGGTTCCTTCCACTTCAATCCCTGAACCATGTTAAACTCCAAGGCCATCATCTGAGCCCAGCCAACACATAGAACCCTATGAGAGATCATTAAAAATTCTTAGTTACTATTTTCAGGAATATCCTTTTCCATCCTTTCATTTTCAACTTGTATGCGTCCTTAGATCCAAAGTGAGTATCTTGTAGCCAGCATATGGTTAGAATCTTTTTATTATATCCATTGTGATAATCTCAATTCTGATTGGGGAGTTTAATCCATTACATTTAAAGTAATTACTGATGAAGAAGGACTTACCTCTGTAATTGTGATGGTTTTATGCATGTCTTATAGCTGTTTCGTCCCTTATCTTCCTCATTCCAACCTTCCTTTGTGTTTAGTCGATTTTTTTCTAGTGATATGTTTTAATTGCCTTCTCACTTTCTTTTGTGTATATTTTATGTATATTTTCTTTGTGATTACTATGGTATTGCACATAACAATACAACTATAACAATTTTGAATTGAAACCAGTATGAAACTCTGCTTCTTTACATCTTTTTCCACCCCTCATTTTACATTATTGATGTCACAAATTACTCCTCTGCAGGCTAGCAGGCTGGAAAGTCACAATGTTGCAGTCTTCAGTCTAAAATTTGTAAACCAGGCTGGCAGATTGGAAATCTAAACTGTAGTTGCTACTGTCATCTTGAGGCAGAATTTTTTCTTCTTTGAGAAGCCTCACACTTTGCCCAAAGGCCTTCAACTGATTCAAAAAGTCCCGCCCACATTTTTGAGGGTAATTTCTTTTTCATAAAATCAACTGACATAAGATTTTAACCACAAGTGCAAAACACCATCATAGCAACATATAAATTAGTGTTTGATTAAATAACTAGACACTATGGTTTAGTAAAATTGACACATAATACCCACCACCCTAGTCCATGCTTGTGAACTTGGCACCCATTAACGTTTTCTTAAACCATACTTAGTCTCCAAATAAAAACAATTATAAAGTCATACTTTTGCTAAAGATGATACAGCTATCTTGCATCCATCTAAAAACACTAACCATTTCCTCAGAAAAAAATTCAAACTCAATGCATGATAAGCATTTTTCTCTTCGATATACTGTAACCTAAACACCATGTTTAAAAAAAGTTGAACCATCATTAATAAAAGGGAACTATTATTAGCACATTTTATGTTTTATTACAAGATGATAAGGAAAAGATGAAAACAAAGGTATTTGCTTAGTACATGTATGGGTACATACACACAGACATAAATATCATTGTAAAAACATAAGGAAGAAATGCTTATAACATTTACTGTCTTTATTTCTGCAACTGATCACATGGTTACAGCTGGTTATTTATTTATTTATTTACTTATTTATTTATTTGATACAGGGTCTTGTTCTGTTGCCCAGGCTGGAGTGCAGTGGCATTACCTTGGCTCACTGCAAACTCCACCTCCTGGGCACAAGTGATCCTTCTACCTCAACCTCCTAAGTAGCTGGGACTGCAAGCACACCACCAAGTCTGACTAATTTTTTGTATGTATTTTCAGTAGAGATGGAATTTCAGCATGTTGCCCAGGTTGGTCTCACATTCCTCAACTTAAGGAATCCACCTGCCTCAGCCTCCCAAAGTGCTGGGGTTATAGGCATGAGCCACTGTGCTGGCCACAACTAGTGTAAATAGCTTTCTTTCACTAACCATCCCATAGTCCCACTGCCTTCAGCAAGTCCGTCAGCTGATCAGGTTTCTTTTCCTGCTTGGGTGACTCATACCTTCATTCCTGAAGGGCATGGGTCATTAGTAGTCCTGCCTGACTTGGGTTGTTGTAGTTTTTATTGACTTTAATTATAGAGCAGAGTATTACTAAGAGATGCTCTAAAAGATCTCCTGTATTTCAAACATAGTCTTATTTACTGCCATTGTGTAGTAGCAGACCAATTTCCCCCTGATGACCAGGACCAATCACCCCAGAAAGTGCAGTAACTCCTTCCTTTGTCTGTTGATTCAGTAACATGAGGAGCTGAAGGGCCCGGGTGGGTGTCTTAGCTTCCAGCTCAATGGAATAATTTCTGTGTCTCCTGAGGGAGTATTCCTCCCTTTGGTAAACCTCTAGATCCTGATCCTATTCCTCGTGACTGGACAAGACCTCCCAACCAGGGTCTCCAGTACCTCCTACAGGTGTGTTTGGGCTGGCAACAGGTCTGTACTTTCCTGAGACAGAGCTCCCAAAGGAAAAGGCAGACTACCATCTTTGCTGTTATGTAGCTTTCACTGGTGATATCTCCAGTTACTGGAAAATCTGAGGCAACTGGGGACTGGAGCAGGCCCTCAGCAAACTGCAGTAGCCCTACAGAAAAGTGGCCAGACTGTTGAAAGAGAAAACAAAAGAAGAGAAAAACAAAACCCATTCATAGATCAGCAACCTCAAAGAATGAAGGTAGATAAGCCCACTAAGATGAGAAAGAATCAGCACAACAATGCTGAAAACTCAAAAAGCCAGCAAGGGTTTGGAACCAGGCTAAAGCTGAGATGACTGAAAGAGCAGAAGTAGAATTCAGAATATGGAGAGGGAAGAAGTTCACTGTGCTAAAGGAGTACAGTGTGACCCAATCCAAGGAAGCTAAAAATAATGATAAAACATTGCAGGAGCTGACAGACAAAATAGCCAGTATTATAGAAGAATGAAACCAACCTGATAAAGCTGAAAAACACACTAAAAGAATTTCATAGTGCACTCACAAGTATTAACAGCAGAATAGAACAAGTGGAGGAAAGACTCTCAGTGCTTGAAGACCAGCTTTCTAAAATAAGACAGGAAGACAAGAATAGAGAAAACAGAATGAAAAGGAACAAACAAAACCTCTGAGAAACATCAGATTATGTAAAGAAACTGAATCCATGAATTATTGGTATACCTGAAAGAGATGGGAATAATGGAATCAATTTGGAACACACTTCAAGATATCATCCATGAGAACTTTCCCAACCTAGCTAGACAGACCAACATTCAAATTCAGAAATGCAGAGGACACTAGTAAGTTACTCCATGAGAAGATCATCCCCAAGATACAATCATCAGATTCTCCATGGTTGAAATGAAAGAAAGAACGTTAAGGGCAGCCAGAGAGAAAGGCCAGGTCACCTACAAAGGGAAGCCCATTAGACTAACAGTGGACCTCCAAGTGGAAACCCTACACACCAGAAGAGATTGAGGGCCAGTATTGAACATTGTTAAAGAAAAGAATTTCCAACCCACAATTTCATATCCAGCCAAACTAAGCTTCATAAGCAAAAAAGAAATAAAATTCTTTTCAGACAAACAAATGCCAAGGGAATTCATTACCACCAGACCTGCATTACAAGAACTCCTAAAAGAAGCACTAAATATGGAAAGGAAAGACAGTTACCAGCCACTACAAAAACACGCTGAAGTACATAGACCAGTGACGCAATAAAGCAACCACATAAGCAAGTCTGCAAAGTAACCAGCTAACACCATGATGACAGGATCAAATCCATACATATCAATACTAACCTTAAATGTAAATGGGCTAAATGCCACATTTAAAAGACACAGAAGGGCAAGCTGGATAAAGAACCAAGACCTATCAGTATGCTGCCTACAATACACTCATCTTACATTCAATGACACACATAGGCACAAAATAAAGAGATGGAGGAAAATTTTCCAAGCAAATGGAAAGCGGAAGAAAGCCAGGGTTGCAATCCTAGTTTCTGACAACACAGACTTTAAACCAAGAAAGATAAAAAAAGATAAAGGTGGGCATTACATAATGGTAAAGGGTTCAATTCAATGAAGAGATCTAACTATCCTAAATATATATGCATCCAATAGAGGAACACCCAGATTTATAAGGCAGGTTCTTAGAGACCGTCAAAGAGATTTAGAACCTCACACAGTAGAAGTGGTGGACTTTAATACCCCACTGACAATATTAGACAGATCATCAAGACAGAAAATTAACAAAGATATTCAGGACCTGAATTCAGCCCTGGAGCAAATGGACCTGATAGATATTTACAGAACTCCAGACCCCAGAACAACAGAATATACATTTTTCTCATTGCTACATGGCACTTACTCTAAAATCAATCACGCAATCAGAAGTAAAACACTCCTCAGCAAATGCAAAAGAACTGAAATCATAACAAATAGTCTCTCAGACTACAGTGCAATCAAATTCAAAATCAAGAATAAGAAATTCACTAAAACCATATAATTACTTAGAAATTAAATAACCTGTTCTTGAATGACTTTTAGTAAATAATGAAATTCAGGTAGAAATCAAGAAGTTCTTTGAAACTAATGAGAAAAAAGATACAATGTACCAGAACCTCTGGGAAACAGCTAAGGCAGTGTTAAGAGGGAAATTTATAGCAGTAAATGCCCACATCAAAAAGTTAGAAAGATCTCAAGTCAACAACCTAAAATCAAACCTAAAAGAACTTAAGAATGAAGAGCAAACATATCCCGAAGCTAGCAGAAGACAAGAAATAACAAAAAAAATTAACAAAAGTATTGTCTCCTGAAGGAGACAGAGACACAAAAAACCATTTGAAGGATCAATAAATTCAGGAGGTTTTTTAAAAGAAATTAATAAAATAGACCACTAGCTAAGCTAATAAAGAAGAAAAGAGAGAAAATTCCAATAAACACAATCAGAAACAATAAGAGGAACATTACCACTGACCCCACAGAAATACAAGAAACCACCAGAAAATATTATGAACACTTCTATGCGCATAAACTAGAAAATCTAGAAGAAATGGATAAATTCCTGGACACATACACCGCCCCCAAGACTGAACCAGGAAGAAATGCAATCTCTGAAAAAATAATGAGTTCTGAACTTGAGGCAGTAATGAAGAGCCTACCAAAAAAAAAAAAAAAAGTGCAGGACCAGATGATTGACAGGTGAATTCTACTGGATGTACAAAGAAGAGATGGTACCATTCCTATTGAAACTATTCCCAAAAAATGAGGAGGAGAGACTCCTCCCTAACTCATTCTATTAGGCCAGCATCATCCTGATACCAAAATGTGGCAGAGATACAACAACAACAAACAAGAGAAAACATCAGGCCAGTATTCTTGATGAACATTAATGCAAAAATCTCCAACAAAATGCTGGCAAACCGAATCCTGCAGCACATCAAAAACCTTATCCACCACAATCAAGTAGGCTTCATCGCCAGGATGCAAGGTTAGTTCAACATATGCAAATCAATAAATGTGATTCATCACGTAAACAGAACTAAAGACAAAAACTACATGATTGTCTCAGTTGATGAAGAAAAGGCTTTTGATAAAATTCAAACTCTATTCATGTTTTTAAAAAAACTCTCAATAAACTAGGTGTTCAAGGAATATACCTCAAAACAATAAAAGCCATCTATGACAAACCCACAGCCAACTTCATACTGAATGGGCAAAACTAGAAGCATTCTCCTTGAAATCAGCACAAGACAAGGATGCCTTCTCTCACTGCTCCTGTTCAACACAGTATCGGAAATTCTGACCAGGGCAATCAGGCAAGTGAAATTAAAAAAAAAAAAAAAAAAAAAGAAGGATGTTCAAATAGGACGAGAGGAATTCAAATGATTCCTGTTTGCAGATGACATGATTCTATAACTAGAAAAACCCATAGCCTCAGTCCAAAAGCTTCTTAAGCTGATAAACAACTTCAGCAAATTCTCAAGATACAAAATCAATGTGCAAAAATTACTAGCATTTCTACACACTGACAACAGGCAAGCCAAGAGCCAAAGCAGGAATGAACTCCCACTCACAATTGCCACAAAAAGAATACAATACCTAGGAATAATGCTAATTTGGGAGGTAAAAGATGTCTGCAAGGAGAACTACTGGTCCCAAAAAGTGTGCATTAATGTTAGCAGTAGCTATGATAGGCTGGGTGGAATGCCCATAGGTGGTGTTTGCAGGTAGGTGACAGCTAAGGTGATAGCACCCAACCTCGGTTACCCAGGAGGAGTTCTCAGGTGTCCACCGTGGTGGATTGGGTTGAGCAATTCCCAGGACCCTGGGCTGTGTTCTCTGTCTCAGTGGAAAAAGGAAATGAAGCTGTCTTTTCATCACTAAATGCTGTGCCAACTAGTCCCTTAATTTTCTTTTTGCCTGAAGGACTGAAACATTTATTATAGTTTAGATCTGCTAGTTATAACCTTTTTCACTCCCTATATAACTAAAATCTATTTTTCGATAGCTATATTCATGGTATGTTAATTGGTTAATTAGTTTGATTTAATCATTACACATGGTATACATATATCAGTACATCACACAACATCTCATGAATGTATTATGATTTGTCAATTTAAATTATACATATATATGTTTTAGAAAGGTATTATTTTCTGGGAATAGAATCTAGTTTCACAGTATTTTCCTTTTAGGACTTTAAAGATGTTGCTCATCTGTCTTCTCATTTGCATTGTTTCCAGTGAAATAACGGCTGTCATCTTTATTATTATTCTCATGTCTTTTTTTTTACTTTCTGCTTATTCATTTTTCTCTCCTTCTGTTTTCAACAAATACATGTTTTTTTCACCCACAGTTATAGAATGAACTTGAGCAACAATCTATAGGAATGGCTTTTTGACTGTTGGTTGAAAATTTTTAGAAACAGTTGTTTGTTCCTTGTTTTATTAGGACAAAGGCTAATTTCCTCAGAATATTCTTAAATTGAAGAATGTCATAATTAATTTTATTTGTCATCTTGGCTGAACCACAGTGCCCAGATAGGTGATCAAGCATTATTCTGGATGATTTGTGAGAATGTTTCTTGGATAACATTAATGCAAAATAACTAGACTTTGAGTAAAGTAGATTGATCTCTATAATGTGGGTGGGCTTCATTCAATTCATTGAAGGTGTAAATTGAACAAAACATTGACCTTCTCTGAGCAAGATGGAACTCTGCAGCAGACAGCGCTGGGATTTGAACTGCAATATCCGTCAACTGATCTCAAACAGCTGGTTGGTTTGTGTACAGCATTTGGAAGATGAATGGACAACATCCTGTTTGGAAGTCCACCGCTTTGATCGAAGAAGATAAAAACAGAACAACTCTTGTGGGCTGAATTGCAGGGTGTTTCTCAGCAGTAGTGGAAGAATTGAACAATAATAAAGCTCCTATGTTTTAGTTTTTATTGACTTACAGGCAGTGACTAATGGCCTGGCCATATAATTAATCAGGAAAGCAAAGGAAAACTTGCTGATGAAAAGAGTGCCCAAATGAGACACAGTCCTATGGAAATCACGATGGTAATTTGAGAGGTTCATTAATGTAAGACACGTTGATGCCTGATATAGAGTGGATGTTGTTCTTGCCCGAATCTCATGTTGGATGGAATCCCCAGCATTAGAGGTGGGACCTGCAGGGAGGTGATTGGATCACGGGGGCAGTTTCTCATGAATGGTTTAGCACCGTCCCCTCAGTGCCCATCAATGCCCATCAGAATAACTCCCTTCCAGGTTTGGAAGGTGATTGAAATAAACAAGCATTTATCTCCAAGTGTTTGCCAGGTGCACCTGTAATTCCAGCTATGACAACAGCTGAGGCAGAAGGATATCTTGAGTCCAGGAGTTAGAGTTTGGCCTGAGCAGCACTTGAGTCCAGCCAGAGAAAGATATCAAGACCACATCTAAAAAAAATCCACGTTTGCTTGTGGTGATCCCCTGGGTCCATGAAATAAGTAGACACTGGGGCTGTAGCAATGCAGAGAGAGATGGAATCAAGGCATATTCCTCTTGCATTCCCCACATCACAGGCACAAAATACATATAAGTGTTTTCTTTAACAAAAAAAAAGAGAGAGAGACAGAGATAGCATATGGCTATGTGGCAGATTCTTTTATGGGAAGATCTTGAAAATACAGAGCTGGCAAGTTACACTGATACCAGTAGCCCCAGGAAGCAGCAAATGGGTCTTGGCAGCAATAGATACGCACCCTGGAGCTGGGCATTGCTCAGCTGCTGGTAGATGTGTTACCAAACAGAACTGGAGTCCACTCACCAGGGGCAGTAAAAACAAACATCCATACTGAGATTTTGTAGTGAGATAAAGGAGGGCATTTATTTGTAGGGTGCCAAGCAAGGAGAATCAGCCAGCTCACAGTTAAGACCCAACCTCCTCAATGGCTCACAAGCAAGGTTTCTTAAAGATAGGGGTAAATTTCAGGAAAGCAGAGTTATAGGCAACATCATAAATCAATGCATAGAAGTTACACACTGGTTTGGCCTTAAAAGGAGGAATATCCTGATGAGGGAGCTTACAAGTCGTAGATAGAGATAAAGATTCTCTGATTTGTGATTCATAAGGAAGCAAAGCTTCCTTACACAGTTGGGGGCAGTAGAGAGGAATGTTCAGGCCTGGCCTGTGGGCTTTACTCTCTCCAGGCCCCTCAGGAAGAAATTTAGAACAAAGAACAGTGGTCAGAGTTCAGTCCTCAGTTTCCCCTTATCTGAGGTCTTCCTGTCAGTGGATCTATTAGGTGGGAATCTGAGTTTCTGAAAAACAACTCAGGGACATATATTAAGATGTTCTCTTTAGTTTCCATAGAGAATCCAACATCTTGTGACTCTAACTTCCTTGGCTATCGTTTTAAGCTATCATTACCTTCTTGTTTATAAGGTCACTCACTTACTTTTTAGGGCTGGCTAGGTGCCTGGAATTTCTTTTGAAGGAACTGAAGGTTTTTCTTTATTTCCATGTTGGGAGGCCCTGGCAGGCTTCTAAGAGAGGTCCCTGCTTTATCTCAGATGCAAATGCTCAGAGTGCTACTAAGAGCTTGAATGGGAGGTACTGCAACCATGTGGACCACTGAGTCACATTTCTTTACACCAGAAAATG
Source organism: Homo sapiens (assembly GCF_000001405.40). NCBI lineage: Eukaryota > Metazoa > Chordata > Mammalia > Primates > Hominidae > Homo > Homo sapiens. The sequence goes on from NT_113891.3 coordinate 2,734,245, forward strand.
CGCTTGCTCAAAATTCCAGAAAGACATCCTTCTCAGAGGAAGAGTTCCATAAAGAATTAAAATATTCCATTGAAACATTGGTTGTATAAAGCAAGAGTGGGGAAACAAGCATGAAGGGTGGGCTTACACACCTTCATGAGTGTGCTTACACTTGATATGAAAGTATCCTCTCTTTTCCTTGTGGATCAGGGGAAGGTGCTGGTGTGATCTATATACAATCCTTCCCAAGGTGGGAGGACACTGGAATGATGACTGTACTTTACCTCAACTTGCTTTTCTCATACCTGATGCAGTGGTCTCAGGACTAGGGATGCAAATAAAAGTCCAGAAACAGGAATTATTCCTAAGCAAGAAACTGTAAATATATTTTGTGTCCATTATGTAATGATTCCTAAGGGTCTGGAGAAGTAGGTTGTGCCTTCAGTGCATCTGGCAAAGTTGGGGTTAACACTGAATGCAGCTGTATTGCCTGGGGTCAGCTAGCCAACCAGTTCTCTACTGCATAACCCTACCCTCTATGAACTGGAATGGATGATGCAAGACAATTGCTAGAACAGTATTGGTCCGTGCAGTCTAGGTCAGCACAGCAGCAGAACTTCATGTCCCTTCCATAACTAGAAATGTTTGGTATAAATGAAGAGAAGGAGAAATAGTAGCTGAGGGTAAATGAATGAATAAATGGGTTATGCAATGAGGAAAATCCAATGTTACATGAACTACTCAAAAGAGATATAAGCAAGAGATGATATTGTCTCTTAACTCAATTTTACCAAATGCCTGAACGGGTGCAGCCTTATGTTGCTGAGACTACTTCTGTTTTGGGGCTGCACCGGGATAATTTTTTTTTATTATACTTTAAGTTCTAGGGTACATGTGCACAACATGCAGGTTTGTTACCTATGTGTACATGTGCCATGTTGGTGTGCTGCACCCATTAACTCGTCATTTGCATTAGATATTTCTCCTAATGCTATCCCTCCCCCCTGTCCCCACCCCATGACAGGCCCTGGTGTGTGATATTCCCCACCCTGAGTTCAAGTGTTCTGATTGTTCAATTCCCACCTATGGGTGAGAACATGCAGTGTTTGGTTTTCTGTCCTTGTGATAGTTTGCTCAGAATGATGGTTTCCAGCTTCATCCACATCCCTGCAAAGGACATGAACTCATCCTTTTTTATGGCTGCATAGTATTCCATGGTGTATTTGTGACACATTTTCTTTTTTTCTTTTTTCTTTTTGAGATGGAGTCTCGCTCTGTCGCCCAGGCTGGAGTGCAGTGGTGCGATCTCGCTCACTGCAAGCTCTGCCTCCTGGGTTCATGCCATTCTCCTGCCTCAGCCTCCCAAGTAGCTGGGACTATAGGCACCCGCCACCATGACCAGCTAATTTTTTTGTATTTTTAGTACAGACGGGTTTTCACTGTATTAGGCAGGATGGTCTTGATCTCCTGACCTCGTGATCCACCCACCTCAGCCTCCCAAAGTGCTGGGATTACAGGTATGAGCCACTGCACCCGGCTTATGTGCCACATTTTCTTAATCCAGTCTATCACTGATGGACATTTGGGTTGGTTCCAAGTATTTTCTATTGTGAATAGTGCAATAAACATACATGTGCATTTATAGTAGCATGATTTATAATCCTTTGGGTATATACCCAGTAATGGGATGGCTGGGTCAAATGGTATTTCTAGTTCTAGATCCTTGAGGAATTGCCACACTGTCTTCCACAATGGTTGAACTAGCTTACACTCCCACCAACAGTGTAAAAGTGTTCCTATTTCTCCACATGCTCTCCAGCACCTGTGGTTTCCTGACTTTTTAATGATTGCCATTCTAACTGGTGTGAGATAGTATCTCCTTTTGGTTTTGATTTGCATTTCTTTGATGACCAGTGATGATGAGCATTTTTTCATGTGTCTGTTGGCTGCATAGATGTCTTCTTTTGAGAAGTGTCTGTTCATATCCTTTGCCCACTTTTTGATGGGGTTGTTTGATTTTTTCTTGTAAATTTGTTTAAGTTCTTTGTAGATTCTGGATATTAGTCCTTTGTCAGATGGGTAGATTACAAAAATTTTCTCCCATTCTGTAGGTTGCCTGTTCACTCTGATGGTAGTTTCTTTTGCTGTGCAGAAGCTCTTTAGTTTAATTAAATCCCATTTGTCAATTTTGGCTTTTGTTGCTATTGCTTTTGGTGTTTCAGTCATGAAGTCCTTGCCCATGTCTATGTCCTGAATGGTATTGCCTAGGTTTTCTTCTAGGGTTTTTATGATTTTAGGTCGAACATTTAAGTCTTTAATCCATCTTGAATTAATTTTTGTATAAGGTCTAAGGAAGGGATCCAGTTTCAGCTTTCTACTATGGCTAGCCAGTTTTCCCAGCACCATTTATTAAATAGGGAATCCTTTCCCCATTTCTTGTTTTTGTCAGGTTTGTCAAAGATCAGATAGTTGTAGATGTGTGATATTATTTCTGAGGGCTCTGTTCTGTTCCATTGGTCTATATCTCTGTTTTGGTTCCAGTACCATGCTGTTTTTGTTACTGTAGCCTTGTAATATAGTTTGAAGTCAGGTAGCGTGATGCCTCCAGCTTTGTTCTTTTGGCTTAGGATTGTCTTGACAATGCAGGCTCTTTTTTGGTTCCATATGAACTTTAAAGTAGTTTTTTCCAATTCTGTGAAGAAAGTCATTGGTAGCTTGATGGGGATGGCATTAAATCTATAAATTACCTTGGGCAGTATGGCCATTTTCACGACATTGATTCTTCCTATTCATGAGCATGGAATGTTCTTCCATTTGTTTATGTCCTCTTTTATTTCGTTGAGTAGTGGTTTGTAGTTCTCCTTGAAGAGGTCCTTCACATCCCTTGTAAGTTGGATTCCTAGGTATTTTATTCTCTTTGAAGCAATTGTGAATGGGAGTTCACTCATGATTTGGCTCTCTGTTTGTCTGTTATTGGTGTATAGGAATACTTGTGATTTTTGCACATGGATTTTGTATCCTGAGACTTTGCTGAAGTTGCTTATCAGCTTAAGGAGATTTTGGGCTGAGATGATGGGGTTTTCTAAACATCCAATCATGTCATCTGCAAACAGGGACAATTTGACTTCCTCTTTTCCTAATTGAATACCCTTTATTTCTTTCTCTTGTCTGATTGCCCTGGCCAGAATTTCCAACACTATGTTGAGTAGGAGTGGTGAGAGAGGGCATCCCTGTCTTGTGCCAGTTTTCAAAGGGAATGCTTCCAGTTTTTGCCCATTCAGTATGATATTGGCTGTGGGTTTGTCATAAATAGCTCTTATTATTTTGAGATACGTCCCATCAATACCTAGTTTATTGAGAGTTTTTGGCATGAAGGGCTGTGGAATTTTGTTGAAGGTCTTTTTGGCATCTATTGAAATAATCATGTGGTTTTTGTCTTTGGTTCTGTTTATATGCTGGATTATGTTTATTGATTTGTGTATGTTGAACCAGCCTTGCATCCCAGGGATGAAGCCCACTTGATCATGGTGGATAAGCTTTTTGATGTGCTGCTGGATTCGGTTTGCCAGTGTTTTACTGAGGATTTTTGCATCCATGTTCATCAGGGATATTGGTCTAAAATTCTCTTTTTTTTGTTGTGTCTCTGCCAGGCTTTGGTATCAGGATGATGCCAACCTCATAAAATAAGTTAGGGAGGATTCCCTCTTTTTCTATTGATTGGAATATTTTCAGAAGGAATGGTACCAGCTCCTCTTTGTACCTCTGTTAGAATTTGGCTGTGAATCCATCTGGTCCTGGACTTTTTTTGGTTGGTAGGCTATTAATTATTGCCTCAATTTCAGAGCCTATTATTGGTCTATTCAGGGATTCAACTTCTTCCTGGTTTAGTCTTGGGAGGGTGTATGTGTCCAGGAATTTATCCATTTCTTCTAGATTTTCTAGATTATTTGCATAGAGATGTTTATAGTATTCTCTGATGGTAGTTTGTATTTCTGTGGGATTGGTGGTGATATCCCCTTTATCATTTTTTATTGTGTCTATTTGATTCTTCTCTCTTTTCTTCTTTATTAGTCTTGCTAACGGTCTATCAATTTTGTTGATCTTTCCAAAAAAACCAGCTGCTGGATTCATTGATTTTTTGAAGGGTTTTTTGTGTCTCTATCTTCTTCAATTCTGCTCTAATCTTAGTTATTTCTTGTCTCCTGCTAGCTTTTGAATGTGTTTGCTCTTGCTTCTCCAGTTCTTTTAATTGTGATGTTAGGCTGTCGATTTTAGATCTTTCCTGCTTTTTCTTGCAGGCATTTAGTGCTACAAATTTCCCTCTACACACTGCTTTAAATGTGTCCCAGAGATTCTGGTATGTTGTGTCTTTGTTCTCATTGGTTTCAAAGAACATCTTTATTTCTACCTTCATTTCGTTATGTACCCAGTAGTCATTCAGGAGCAGGTTGTTCAGTTTCCATGTAGTTGAGTGGTTTTGAGTGAGTTTCTTAATCCTGAGTTCTAATTTGATTGCACTGTGGTCTGAGAGACAGTTTGTTATAATTTCTATTCTTTTACATTTGCTGAGGAGTGCTTTACTTCCAACTATGTGGTCAATTTTGGAATAAGTGTGATATGGTGCTGAGAAGAAGGTATTTTCTGTTGATTTGGGGTGGAGAGTTCTGTCGATGTCTATTAGGTCTGCCTGGTGCAGAGCTGAGTTCAAGTCCTGGATATCCTTGTTAACTTTCTGTCTCGTTGATCTGTCTAATGTTGACAGTGGGGTGTTAAAGTCTCCCATTATTATTGTGTGGGAGTCTAAGTCTTTTTGTAGTTCTCTAAGGACTTGCTTTATGAATCTGGGTGCTCCTGTATTGGGTGCATATATATTTAGGATAGTTAGCTCTTCTTGTTGAATTGATTCCTTTACCATTACGTAATGGCCTTCTTTGTCTCTTTTGATCTTTGTTGGTTTAAAGTCTGTTTTATCAGAGACTAGGATTGCAACCCCTGCTTTTTTTGTTTTCCATTTGCCTGGTAGATCTTCCTCCATTCCTTTATTTTGAGCCTATGTGTGTCTCTGCACGTGAGATGGGTTTCCTGAATACAGCACACTGATGGGTCTTGACTCTTTATCCAATTTGCCAGTCTGTGTCTTCTAATTGGGGCATTTAGCCCATTTACATTTAAGGTTAATATTGTTATGTGTGAATTTGACCCTATCGTTATGATGTTAGCTGGTTATTTTGCCCGTTAGTTGATGCAGTTTCTTCCTAGCATCGATAGTCTTTACAATTTGGCATATTTTTGCAGTGGCTGGTACTGGTTGTTCCTTTCCATGTTAGTGCTTCCTTCAGGAGCTCTTGTAAGGCAGGCCTGGTGGTGACAAAACCTCTCAGCATTTGCTTGTCTGTAAAGGCTCTTATTTCTCCTTCACTTATGAAGCTTAGTTTGGCTGGTTATGAAATTCTGGGTTGAAAATTCTTTTCTTTAAGAATGTTGAATATTGGCCCCCACTTGCTTCTGGCTTGTAGAGTTTCTGCCAAGAGATCCACTGTTAGTCTGATGGGCTTCCCTTTGTGGGTAACCTGACCTTTCTCTCTGGCTGCCCTTAACATTTTTTCCCTCATTTCAACCTTATTGAATCTGACAATTATGTGTCTTTGGGTTGCTCTTCTTGAGGAGTATCTTTGTGGCGTTCTCTGTATTTCACGAATTTGAATGTTGGCCTGCCTTGCTAGGTTGGGGAAGTTCTCCTGGATAATATCCTGAAAAGTGTTTTCCAACTTGGTTCCATTCTCTCTGTCATTTTCAGGTACACCAATCAAATGTAGATTTGGTCTTTTCACATAGTCCCATATTTCTTGGAGGCTTTGTTCATTTCTTTTTACTCTTTTTTCTCTCAACTTCTCTGCTTGCTTCATTTCATTCATTTGATCTTCAATCACCGATACCCTTTCTTCCACTTGATCGAATTGGTTACTGAAGCTTGTGCATGCGTCATGTAGTTCTCATGCCATGGTTTTCAGCTCCATCAGGTCATTTAAGTTCTTCTCTATGCTGTTTATTTTAGCTAACTATTCATCTAATCTTTTTTCAAGGTTTTTAGCTTCCTTGCGATGGGTTCGAACATCCTCCTTTAGCTCAGAGAAGTTTGTTATTACCAATCTTCTGAAGTCTACTTCTGTCAACTTGTCAAAGTCATTCTCCATCCAGCTTTGTTCCATTGCTAGGGAGGAGTTGCGATCTTTTGGAGGAGAACAGGTGCTCTGATTTTTAGAATTTTTAGCTTTTCTGCTCTGGTTTCTCCCCATCTTTGTGGTTTTATCTACCTTTGGTCTTTGATGATGGTGACCTACAGATGGGGTTTTGGTGTAGATGTCCCTTTTGTTGATGTTATTCCTTCTGTTTGTTAGTTTTCATTCTAACAGTCGGGACCCTCAGCTGCAGGTCTATTGGAGTTTGCTGGAGGTCCACTCCAGACCCTGTTTGCCTGGGTAACACTAGCAGAGGCTTCAGAACAGCAAATATTGCAGAACAGCAAATGTTGCTGCCTGATCCTTCCTCTGGAAGTTTCGTCTCAGAGGGGCACCCGGCCGTATGAGGTGTCATTCGGTCCCTACTGGGAGGTGTCTCCCAGTTAGGCTACTCAGAGGTCAGCGACCCACTTGAGGAGGCACTCTGTCCGTTCTCAGATCTCAAACTCCATGCTGGCAGAACCACTGCTCTCTTCAAAGCTGTCAGACTGGGACATTTAAGTCTGCAGAAGTTTCTGCTGCCTTTTGTTCAGCTATGCCCTGCCCCCAGAGGTGGAGTCTACAGAGGCAGACAGGCCTTGTTGAGCTGCAGTGGGCTCCACCTAGTTTGAGCTTCCTGCCACTTTGTTTACCTAGTCAAGCCTCAGCAATGGCAGACGCCCCTCCCCCAGCCTCACTGTCACCTCCCAGTTCAATTTTGGACTGCTGTGCTAGCAGTGAGCAACGCTCCATGGGTGTGAGACCCACTGAGCCATGCATGGGATATAATCTCCTGGTGTGCCATTCACTACAACTGTTGGAAAAGCACAGTATTAGGGTGGGAGTGTCCCGATTTTCCAGGTACCATCTCTCATGGCTTCCCTTGGCTAGGAAAGGGAATTCTCTGAGCCCTTGTGCTTCCCTGGTGAGGCAATGCCTTGCCCTGCTTCAGCTCACATTCTGTGGGCAACACTCACTGTGTGACAAGTCCCAATGAGATGAACCCAGTACCTCAGTTGGAAATGCAGAAATCACCCGTCTTCTGCACCGCTCACGCTGGGAGCTGTAGACTGGAGCTGTTCCTATTTGGCTATCTTGGAATGATCTCCCCTGGGATAATTTTTCATGACCAAAAAGGATTCTGGTAATGTGCCAGGATCTTCTCACTGTTATGATTCTTCTGGTATAGGAGATCTGTGATTGGCCAGGCACAGTGGCTCAGACTTGTAATTCCATCAGTTTCGGAGGCCATGGTAGGAGGATTGTTTAAGGCCAGGAGTTTGAAACCAACTGGGGCAAAATAGTGAGACCCCATTCCTACAAAACCTTTAAAAAATTAGTTGGGCATGCTGGTGTGTACCTGTAATGCTATTGCTCAGGAGGCTGAGGCAGGAGGATCACTTGAGCCCAGGAATTCAAGGTTACAATGAGCTATGATTGTGCCACTGCATTCTACCCTGGGCAACAGAGCAAGACCTTGTCTCTGAAATAAATAAATATTATAAAAAGAGATAATGTGGTCAAAGACCAGGGTGTGATCTGTGGCCCAATAAAAATATCTGGTCTTTTTCCCTGTTTCCTGACAAGCAGGTTCCAAAACATTTGCAATCTCCTCAGTGATAAGTATGACTTTAATATGCCAATGAGATGACTATGGGGTGAGGGGCTCCTAAATAGCTTCAGGATGGGGGCTGGTTGCCAGAAACACGAAGCTGTGATTAGAGGATTGGAAATTTCAGCAGTATCCCTTACCTCTGAGAAGCAAAGGGGGCTGGAAGTTGAGTTCAGTCACCAGTGGCCATTGATTTAATTAATCTTGCCTACACAATGAAACTTCCATAGAAACCTCTAGAGATTGGGTTTTGGAGAGCTTCCCAATTGCTGAGCACATCCGTGTGTCCATGTGCTGGGAGGATGGTGAACCTCATCTCCATGGGGACAGAGGCTCCTGTGCTCAGAGCCCTCCCAGGCCACACCCTGTGCACCTCTTCATCTGGCTGCTCATTTGTACCCTTTATAACTGCTATGGTTTGAATGTTTCCCTAGAAAAGCATCTCTTGGATAATTTATCCTGAATGCAACATTTTTAAGAGGTGGGACCTTTGAGAGGTGATTGGACCATCAGAGCTCTGCCTCCATTAATGAATTAAGTTTGATCATAAAAGGACCTGAGGCTGTGAGTTTGACCTCTTATTCCCCCTACCTCTCACCCTCTCTTGCCCTTTTGCTTTCTACCAGGTACTGTCCTTGGTCTTGGAATTCCCATCCTCAACAACCATGAACCAAATAAATTTCTGTTCGTTTTAAGTTATCCAGTCTCAGGTGTTCTACTATAGTGGCATAATTTAAACCAAGAGTCCGTAACCCCCGGCTGTGGACTGGTACAGGTTCCTGGCTTGGCAGGAACCAGACCACACAGCAGGAGGTCACTGGTGGGTGAGAGAGCATGAGCATGACCACCTGAGCTCTGCCTCCTGTCAGATCAGTGGCGGAATTAGATTCTCATAAGAGCATGAACCCTATTGTGAACTCTGCATGTGAGGGATCTAGGTTGCATGCTCCATATGAAACAGTAATGCCTGATCATCTGAGGTGGAACAGTTTCATCCTCAATCCATTCCCCTCTATTCCCTGCCACCTCTGCTGGTCCATGGAAAAATTGTCTTCCATGAAATTGGTCCCTGGTGCCAAAAAGTTGGGACCACTGATTTAAGCTATAACAATAATAAACTACAATACTGAGTGTGAAAGAAAAATAAAATTTAGGGACGCCAAATTCACTATACCAAAGGGACAAGTTAAGTTTGGTAACTGAGTGATGGAAAAACCGCCTTTCTTTTGTTCCTAAACAAATAACTGCAAAGATAGAGGAACATATATCTCCCCAGGTGGCCTCCCTCACAAATTGCTCACCAGATAATTCCTTGTGGGCCCCAACATCTTTACTCTAAAACAGAGTTTTGTTGAATTTCACCCTAACAATGTAAATTAACAGCTTATCTTCACAGGTGAAGGACAAAGACAAGACCAGAAATCATCCCTCCACTCACCTGGAGACAAATGTGTATTTGACTTCTCTACCCAACATTTACTTTGTCTTATGTAAAATGCAGATTTACTGAGCACTCGATGAAAGCATAGTTGACTGTTCCTTTTTCCTCTCCTGCCTGCTCTTTCTCCTGTAAATATTAAAGTCCTCAAAACCCTCTTAGTAAAAAGCATGGGCCACAGATGCTACAATAATTTGTGTCTCTGTTTCCAAGGTACATCTTCAGCTTGGCAAAATAAACTTCTAAATTGATTGATACCTGTCTCAGATGTTTTTTGGTTTACATGGTTATAGCAACTTCCTGAGTTCTTTGAGTTAGTTTAAGAATTCCCAAACCTTGGGAGGTGAGAAACCCCTGACTTTGCAGCCATGATAGACAGAAGTGCAGGTAACCTGGAACCCGATAACTTGTGACTTGCATCTGAAGTGAGGACAGACTTGTGAGACTGAGTCCTTAAACCTGTGGAGTCTGAGGCTAACTCCAGGTAGTTAGTGTCAGAATTGAGTCAAATCCTAGGACTCCCAATTGCTGTTGGAGAATCAGAAAATTATTTGGCTGGAGGAAAACCCCATCACCATCCCACAGAGAGAAACTTACAGTATATTGGGGGAACCCACCCCCAATATTTCAACATAGGTTCTTTCTATTTTCCATAAGTGTCGGCCAGCTGAGAAATAAAGAAAGACAGTACAAAGAGAGGAATTTTACAGCTGGGCCACCAGGGGTGACATCACATATCGGTAGGACCATGATGTCTGCCTGAGTCTCAGACCAACAAGTTTTTATTAAGGGTTTCAAAAGGGGAGGGGGTGTAAGAATAAGGAGTAGGTAAAAAGTCACATGCTTCTGAGTGCAAAAAGCAGAACTACTAATAAGAGTCTAACAAAGATCACATGCTTCTGAGGGAACAAGACAAAGGGCAAAAGCAGAACCACTGATAAGGGTCTATGTTTAGCAGTGCACGTATTGTCTTGATAAACATCTTAAACAACAGAAAACAGGGTTTGAGAGCAGAGAAGTGGTCAGACCACAAGTTTACCAGGGCAGAGTTTTTCCCCACCCTAGTAAGCCTGAGGGTTCTGCAGGAGACCAGGGCGTATCTCAGTCCTTATCTCAACTGCATAAGACAGACATTCCCAGAGCGGCCGTTTATAGACCTCCCCCCAGGAATGAATTCCTTCTTCAGTGTATTAATATTAATATTCCTTGCTAGGAAAAGAATTTAGTGATATCTTTCCTACTTGCACGTCTGTTTATAGGCTCTGCGCAAGAAGAAAAATATGGCTCTTTTTGCCCAACCTCGCAGGCAGTCAGACCTTATGGTTGTCTTCCCTGGTTCCATAAAAATTGCTGTTATTCTATTCTTTTTCAAGGTGCACTGATTTCATATTGTTCAAACACACGTTTTACAATCAAATTGTAGCACTATTATCACAGTGGTCCTAAGGTGACGTACATCCTCAGCTTATGAAGATAACAGGATTAAGAGATTAAAGTAAAGACAGGCATAAGAAATTATAAAAGTATTATTTGGGAACTGTTAAATGTCCATATTAAAATGAAATCTTCACAATTTATGTTCCTCTGCCGCAGCTCCAGCCAGTCCCTCATTCGGGGTCCTTGACTTCCCACAACAACAGTAAGAGTAAGCAAGTAAACCTCTACCTTCTTCGGTCCCAGAGGAAAAGATAAAAAAAAATTAAGCATTTATTTCATGTCCCTAAGTCTGCTAAACACAGGTTTCTACCAGCTGTTCATTGTCCAGACATGGAGTGGCCCTACCTCTAATCTAGAAGTTAGGATTTTTTAGGCCTTTGAGGGGGTCACATAAAAACTAATAAGTGTCAGAGATTCTCTCCCCAGAAATATTTCCACACACAAGAAAATACAAATATTAATATAAAACATCAGTGTGCAACCAGATCCTCTGAGATCTTACAAAACCTGGGTGTTTTAATCCCAGTAAGAGACAATGCCAAGGGAAGATGTGTGAATAATCATTTCACCATCACACCATGCCACTCCAATAATCTGGAGTATGAACTGGGATAGACAAAAACTTGATGTAATAACTTATTTTCAAGGGAATGGGTGGAAAGATGTTATTTATTAGTCACCGGTTGATTCAGACACTCTGAATCCCTACCAGATACTAAATAAATTTCTTGTCTTGGAGCACTGCTCCAATAATTAAAATTTATCATTCTTTTCCCACCCTTCACACTCCAGCACTTGAACCCTCTTACTACGTCAGAATTCCATACTGTCAATGAAAAGAGGCAAACTTCATAAAATATTTGAAGAGATTTATTCTGAGCCAAATACGAGTGACCACAGCCCATGACACGTCCCTCAGGAGACCCTGAGAGCATGTGCTCAATGTGGTTGGGGTATGGGTTGGTTTTATACATTTTAGGAAGATATGAGACACTAATAATATATATTTAAGATATACATTGGTTCAGTCCAGAAAAGCAGAACAATTTGAAGCAAGCGAGGGTTGGGGGTTACTGCTTCTAGGTTATAGGTAGATTTTAAAATGTTCTGATTGGCAATTGGTTGAGTTATTATCAATAAAAAGGAATGTCTGGGTTATGATAAGAGGTTGTGGAGTCCAAAATTTTATCATGCAGTTGAAGCCTCCAGGTGCCAGGCTTCAGAGAGAATAGATTATAATGTTTCTGATCAGACTTAAGGTCTGTGTTGATGTTAATTGCTGGTCAGCTTTTCCTGAATTCCAAAAGGTAAGAGGCCATAATGAGGCATGTTCAACACCTGCTTCCCATGGTGGCCTGAGCCAGTCTTTCAAGTTAATTTTTGAGCGCCCTGGCTGAGGAGGGTGTCCATTAAGATGGTTGGGAGAGGGTGGGTTTGAAGTTTATTTTCGGTTTACAACATGTAATGTGTTAAGAGGAGATAGAAACCACCCCCATCCCTAGAAGAGCACAACACTCCAGTCACCCCTGCAGTTGATAATGGACATGAGTCTTAAACTCCATCAGTCAGATGACCACCTGCTGAAGCAGCATTGTTGTCTCAGGTAAATACTCAGGGTTCATTGTATCTCACCAAGAAGATTAAGGACAGTGACACACAAGGAGTGAGTTTATTGGCCGGTGCTATGTTGTCTGCTCTTTACTGAACACATGGCTGGCAAAAAGAAGGGAAGATGGAGCCATCACTGTGAACACGCCTAGTCCCAGATGTCCTTTTCCTATTGGCACAGCTGCCAGCATTCACTTGTGCAAGCTTCCAGCTTGCTTGTCTATGTCTGAAGCTTGATTTTACAGGCTGGTCTTTGTCAGAAAAGAAAACGATTTGGGGCCTGCTTTCCATTAAAAAGAAAACCTTACTGAGACTTCTGTACCCTCACTACCTGCCTAAATAATTTCTTCTTAAATCCTATATCACTGCCAGACTCTGAGCTAGAATGAGGTGACACAGAAAGGCTGGGATTGTGCAGAATGCATTTTAGTAAACATGGCTGAGTGTCAGTAGTGATGTCCAGTTGCCAGGGGCAGCAGTGACATCTATCCTAGCCTTGGGGTCCAGTGTCCAGCACCAGGATGTCAGAGGTGTGAGCAGTGGTGTCTGTGCTCAGCAGCAGGGGCAGTTGTTCCTAGGAGGGACCTGATCCAGGGGCGTGGGCTATGGATTCTTTTCTGGGATGTGTAGTTTTCAGCCTGGTTCTGTGGCCTTCCCCACAATAAAATTAACCCCCAATACCAGGTATACTACTTTATGTATAAATTACAGAAATTTGTTTTCCATAGTTTTCTCCAAGAAGTGAGTGAGAAATGAATCTATGGACCAGGGTCAGAGAGCAGCATTCGGAGGTGTTCCTTGTGTGACAGCCACATCCTGAATTGTCTACCTGGCCTCTACCTCATGGTGGAGAGATCAACAGGGATTATCACATCTCTTAACTGATGATATACATCCTCCCTTTCCTTTCTGCAAGAAAAATCCTCTTTTAAACAGGGTTTGAAAACCCACCCACCCACCCTGGGCACTCTCTGATCTCTGAGGTTCCTGATCTGGCTGAGCAACAAGATTTCTGGTGGAGGCTTAGAAAATACTCAGGCCACTCCTCAGAACCCCTGTCTCACAATATTATGCACAAGACCAAGGAATCATTTACATAACAAGCCCTACAGGCGAGGCCGATGCAGACGTGGGGTCCTGGTGTTCTGGCTACTCCAAGTGTGATCTGGAGACCAGCAACGTGAGCTCCAGCCTTGTCATAAATCCAGAATCTCTTGCTCGACTCCAGACTTCCTGGATCTCAGCACCACATCCAGGTGATCCTGGTGCACACGGGAGTTCCTTGTCTAAGCGTCCTCTAGACATGGGGCCAGAACTGTGCAGTCTGCTCTGTGGTCTGATCAGATCCCTTAGAACTGGAGGTCCAGGGTTCAGTCCTTGCGCTGATTCTTTTCCACAGTCAATCACTCCCTTGGTGCTTCATCCATGCTTGAGGTTTTAAGTATCGTTTATGTGGTGTGAGCTCCTAAATCTATTTCTCCAGCCCAGTCCTTTCCCCTGAACTGTGGAGTTGTCTGCCCAGCTGCCACCCCAGCTCCCCCACCTGCATTCCTAGTAGACATCTCCTCCACTGAGTGCCTGTGATGCCCCCTCCTCAGGATGCTCCTGCCAGAGTCTCCCCATCTCCACTGACAGCAGCTCCACCCTTCCTTCTACTCACTCATTTTACAACTATGGGTGTCCTTGATTCGTCTTTCTCACACCACAGATACAATCCATTGGCAAATGCTGTGAGTCCATCTTCAAATGCATCCAGAATCCCCTCACGTCCCACTATTTCCTGTGCTCACACCCCAGTCAAGGTAACCGACATCTCCAGCCTGGAATACTGCACTCGATTCCTACTGTTTTCCCTTCTGCCTCCCTCATCCCTCGCCTCTCAATTCTGTTCTCAGCACAGCCATCAGAGATCCTTTTAAGAAAGAAGTCATATCATGGCTCTCTTCTGCTCAAAACTGTCCTCTAACTCCCCATCCCACTCAGAGCGAGGTCAGACGCAACCCCACTCCCCTCAAGCCCACCTGCTCTGGCCATACCTCTGACCTCATCTAGTTTCTCTGTCCAGCCCTCCTGGCCTCCTTGCTCTTCTGGGAACACAGACACCTTCCTGCCCTAGTACATTTGGACTGGAGTTTCCTTGCCTAGAAAGAACTTCCCCAGACATCCTCATGTCCCTCAAATCTTTCCTCAAAGGTCATCTTTGCAACAAGGCACACATTGACAACTCCTGTCCAACAGCCACCTTCCCTGTCCCCACTGCCCATACCCGGATCACCTGCCTCATGGCACTTACCACCTTCCATCACTTTCTTTTCTTACTGTGGTTATAGTGTATGTATCGTCTGCCTCTTACCACTGAAGCATATGCTCAGATATTTTTCTGATTTTACTTCAATGGTGTTCCCCAGATGCAGAACTTTTCTGTCCTGTGTCTGGCTGACAACAAAGGTCAGTTGAATGATCAGTGTAGAGCACCTCCTACTCTAAAGCCAGTATCTTTATTAACATAGCCTCAGGCCAAGTGCTGTTTTGTGGCAGCTGCAGCACAAGGTCCCCTCACACTGACACCGAGGCCGCCTGTACTTTTCTCAGCAGGGCTGCTTGTGTGTCCTCCCTCCCCTATCCCTCCTCCCACACCAACCGCCCCGCACACTGCAGCACACGATCAGGTTTCTCTCTTCAGGAAGGAACAATTCTAGACTATGGACCCAATTTTACAAACAAATACAAATCTAAATTAGGCTCTGCTTTAGATTCATGAGTTGGGATTGGAGTCAGCACGAAGATCACTGGAATCAGGGAAGGGAGAGAGGGCAGGAGACCAAAGCAGAAGAGGAGCCCTAGAAGGAGGGCAGGAGCTGAATGGGTCTGAAAATTTGTCTCAGAAAGCACAGGGACTCCCGTGTGCAGGGGCTGCCCTGGGCGATGGGTGAGCCTCTGTGGTCACAGCTTCCGCTGGACAAGTTTCCACTGAAGGGACAAGGACAATGGAGCAGTGAAGGTGACCCAGCTGAGGACTGACCACATAAAGCCCATGAAGAACTGAACAGCAACTAGGCACAGGCCCCGTCCACACTCGGCTCCTCACAGCCTTCCCCACCCCCACCTGCAACAGACTCAGCACAGCGAACATGCAAATTCTGGAAGGTTCTCAGGTCTTTATTTGCTCTCTCAACTTCTAGGAATTGACTTATTTAATTAATCCATCAACGCTTCATAGCAAATATTTGAGAACACAAATTTATATTCAGGTTCTTAACTTCATTAGGGAAGTAAGAAGTTGCAGCTCAGTGCACCATGAATTTGAGACAGAGATGGAGACATCCAGCCCCACCTCTCTGGAACAGGAAAGATGATCGGGGAGGGAACACAGGTCAGTGTGGGGACAGGGGTCACGGTGGACACGGGGGTGGGCTGTCTCTCCACCTCCTCACATTATGCTAACAGGAACGCAGACACATTCAGACGCCTTTGCAGAAAGAGATGCCAGAGGCTCTTGAAGTCACAAAGGAGAGGTGTGAAGAAATCCTGCATCTCAGTCCCACACAGGCAGCTGTCTCAGGCTACAGAACACAATAGTCATGAACAAATTCAGGTCAGTCATGGTAAGTGATGACACTCTGAACGGCCCACCACACACTCGAAACGTCCCAATCAAAGAATCCCCATTACCCAGGCCTTTTCCCTCTGCCCCACCCCCGACCACTTCAGCTCCCCAGAATCTCACCTTTACAAGTGATGAGAGACTCATCAGAGCCCTGGGCACTGTTGCTGCCTGGGGTAGAACAAAAAAAAAGACCTGGTCAGAGCCCGCAGGAGATGTGGGACAAGAGGAATTATGGAGTAGGTGAGCTCCTCCACACGCCCGCCGCCATCACTTACACGCAGCCTGAGAGCAGCTCCCTCCTTTTCCACCTGTGGGAAGAAAATGCCCTATGAGGGGACTGGGAGGAGGCAGGGCCATGTGATCTTAGGGGAACCTCCTAGTCTTGGACCCAAGAGAAGTTTCCAGAACTACGACTGCAGACCCAGGGCAGGATCAGGAAACATGGGGAAAGCAGTTGTGGGTTCTGGACCAACTGCCCTCCTAAGGTCTGTCCTTAGCAGGGACCTTCCCCTGACTCATGAATGCTGGAATCAGGACCCCAACACCATAATCATCAAGGTGATACATCCGTCCTTCATTGTCACATGTGCTTCACAAAAGAGTAAGTGCTGGCACACAGGGTCCCAGGCTGGGATGGCCCATGTGTGGATGGTGCTTCCAGTAACAAGGCGGGGCACACTTCTACCTGGGGCTTGAAACTCCCAGTGGGACAAGAAAACCCAGACCCCGCTCTTCACCCCTTCCCTACCTGAGCTCTTCCTCCTACACATCATAGCGGTGACCACAGCTCCAAGGACAGCTAGGACAACCAGGACAGCCAGGCCAGCAACGATGCCCATGATGGGGATGGTGGGCTGGGAAGATGGCTCTGGGAAAGGAGGAGAAGGTGAGGGGCCCTGACCCCCAAGCCTCAGCCCTGACCCGGCTGAAGGGCTCCAGAAGGACTTCTGCTTTCTCTGATAAGAGATGTGACCCCCCATTCCCCTCCTTACCCCAGCTCAGGGTGAGGGGCTCTTGCAGCCCCTCGTGCTGCATATGGCACGTGTATCTCTGCTCTTGTCCAGAAGGCACCACCACAGCTGCCCACTTCTGGAAGGTTCCATCTCCTGCTGGCCTGGTCTCCACAAGCTCGGTGTCCTGGGTCTGGTCCTCCCCATCCCGCTGCCAGGTCAGTGTGATCTCCGCAGGGTAGAAGCCCAGGGCCCAGCACCTCAGGGTGGCCTCATGGTCAGAGAGGGGGTGGTGGGTCACGTGTGTCTTTGGGGGTTCTGACGGGAAGAGTCAGAAAATTCAGACACTTTGCATCTCTCTTGGGACACTCCAGCAGCGCCCATGTGACCATCCTGAGAATGGACAGGACACCTGGGGTGGGGAAGGCGGCACAGAACCCAGACGCCAGCCTGGACACAGGCACCTGGGATAATCTCCTATTCATTGGAAAGTTCTAGTCTCTGAGGGAGGAACAGCGACTTCTGGTCCTGACCTGAGTGGAGGCTGCAGGACTCAGAAAAGCTGGAATCAAACCTTCAGACACATTGAGTGTGAGGCAGAGAACAAGGCCTGAGAGAAAGGTCAGCAGCCTGACCACAGCTGCTGCAGTGGTCAAAGTGGTCAAAGGAGACCCCTGATCAGTATTCCAGGGACTGTCTTCCCCTCCATTTCCTCAGAGACTTCATCCCTTAATTGTCCTAGAGAGCAGAGGGGGCCCTCAGAGGAAACTCAGGAAAACTCATGCCATTCTCCATTCAAGGGAGGGCGATATTCCAGTGCTGATCCCATTTTCCTCCCCTCCTCGTGGGAGGCCATCCCGGGAGATCTATAGGAGATGGGGAAGGCTCCCCACTGCCCCTGGTACCTGCGCGCTGCAGCGTCTCCTTCCCGTTCTCCAGGTATCTGCGGAGCCACTCCACGCACGTGCCCTCCAGGTAGGCTCTCAGCTGCTCCGCCGCACGGGCCGCCTCCAACTTGCGCTGGGTGATCTGAGCCGCGGTGTCCGCGGCGGTCCAGGAGCGCAGGTCCTCGTTCAGGGCGATGTAATCCTTGCCGTCGTAGGCGGACTGGTCATACCCGCGGAGGAGGCGCCCGTCGGGCCCCAGGTCGCAGCCATACATCCTCTGGAGGGTGTGAGACCCTGGCCCCGCCCCCGCGGTCAGCCCAGTCCCCCGAGCCCCGCCCCGCCCCGACCAACCCGCGGGGATTTTGGCCTAAACCGAAAATGAAACCGGGTAAAGGCGACTGGGGCTCTCTCCGGTCGAGGGTCTGGGCGGGTTCCGCAGATCCACCTTGGGGTGGATCTCAGACGGGGAGACTCGGGGCGACCCGGGCCGTCCGTGGGGGATGGGGAGGGGTCGTGACCTGCGCCCCGGGCCGGGGTCACTCACCGTCCTCGCTCTGGTTGTAGTAGCCGCGCAGGTTCCGCAGGCTCACTCGGTCAGCCTGTGCCTGGCGCTTGTAGTTCTGTGTCTCCCGGTCCCAATACTCCGGCCCCTCCTGCTCCACCCACGGCGCCCGCGGCTCCCCTCTCGGACTCGCGGCGTCGCTGTCGAACCGCACGAACTGCGTGTCGTCCACGTAGCCCACTGAGATGAAGCGGGGCTCTCCGCGGCCGGGCCGGGACACGGCGGTGTCGAAATACCTCATGGAGTGGGAGCCTGGGGGCGAGGAGGGGCTGAGACCCGCCCGACCCACCTCCCTGCGCGGCTCCCCGGGTCCTGCGCCCTCGCCGGGCGGGCCCCTCGCTCCTCTCCGCAGAGGCCGCTTCCCTCCCAACCCCGCACTCACAGGCCCAGGTCTCGGTCAGGGCCAGGCCTCCCGAGAGCAGCAGGAGGAGGGCTCGGGGCGCCATGACCCGCATCTCGGCCTCTGGGGAGAATGTGAGTCCGGGTGGGTGACTGGGGACTTTAGAACCGGGACTGCGGAGACGCTGATTGGCTTCTCTAGAACCCGACACCCAATGGGAGTGGGAATTGGGGACGCGTCATGAGTATTCAGGAAGAAGGACCCGACGCAGGTTGGGAGAAGTGAAACTCAGGGGAGTGGAGAATCCCCAACGCGGCGCCTCCCCAATGCAGACACGGCCCTTGGAGCCTGAGACCCTGAGAGCCCCGCCCGGGACCTGGGACTTCGTCCTGATCCCTCTTCTCCTACACCAAGCATCTTTGTCACACTGTGTGCCTGAGTCCTGGACAAGGATCTGTCTGTGGAAACCAGGGAGAGACCCCAAGGCTGCGCCCAGCCCCTTCCCCTTCACTTCTCCTCCTGGAATCCCCGTCCCTGAACTGGACTCCCTGCCTCCCACCCTTTGCCTTACCTTACCTCACCTCAGGTAATATTAAACTACATCCAGCAAAATAAAGGACACTTACCTCTCCCCTTGGACTCTTGTACAGGGAAACTCACCATGGGGAACTTGATGCCAGACAGTGAGCTCGCCCTGGGAATGGACGTGTAGAGTCAGGAGTTTTCTCTTTAAACCTGGTGAAGTTTTGTCTGAAAGCACCAGGTAGAGATTCTCATAGAGACCAGTTTCCTTTTTGTTTATTGATACAGTAGGTAGCACAATATTGGTAATCCCTGAATGATTAGAATTCCAATCTGTGAAAGACCTGTGTCAAAACTGCATTACAATTAAATTCTCAAAGCTCCTGTTTTACTTTCGCAGACTATGGATCTGTGACTCTGGGTTGTTGCATTTAAAGTTATCCTCATTCTCTAGCCAGAGTTTCCCTGTGTGAGTCCAGAACATCTCCTGAATACAAAGAAGCAGGGTTTGTTACTGTCTATTGCAACCGGGAGCCTGTAGTCATCACCTCAAAGTTGCGAGGGCTCCATGCAGTCCCAATGCTCTTCACCAGCGCTCCAGCACTGCCCGTTTTCGTGAACTATGCACATCTAAGCAGTGTGCATATTTTATTTGGACACTTGATATTTTTGTAACCCCTTTTTAAAAAAAAATCATAAGGAGCCCATTAGTTTTAAGGCAGTCACACAAAATGTATTAAATACCGAATGCAAAGAACCCCCTGCCAGGCTCTTCTACTGCTTTAGAATTCTTTCCTCTGCTCCTTTTCCTCACCTCCTGCTTCTCCAGCCCTTCTCTCTGCCCCTCTCATCCCTCACACCCTCTTTCCCCTTTAGTCCCCGCCACCCTGTCACTCCTGAATTGTGGCACTAACACTGTCCCTCACCTCCTGCCCATGTCTGTTCTCCCCACAGTGCTCAGCAGTCCTGCTAATGTGACTCAGGTCGTGTCATTTCTTCACTTATAATGGTTGGATTTTGGTCTACCATTTTGCTATACGTTTTCAATTTGTCTCGTATCTTTTTGTTTCTGTTCCTCCTTTGCTACTTTCTTATGTGTCAAGTAAACATTTTTTAGCTTATGGTTTTAATTCTCCTAGTGGCTTTTAGCTATATTTCTTTACATTAATTTTTTATTGTTGTAAGAATTGAAACCCAATTCCTTGACTTTTCACAGTGAAATTCAGGTAATATTAAGCTGCATCCAGCAAAATAAAGGACACTTCAAATGGTGTAGTTTCATTTAAACTATCATTATGCTATTATTATTGTATATGTTACATCAATATACGTTATAAACTCAACGATACAGTGTAATACTTTTTGTTTTAGACAAGCAGTCACGTATCTTCAGGAAATTAAGAAAATGAGTGTGTATGTGATATGTGTATGTGCATCATTTCTGTTGTTAATTGTTCCTTTCTGTATATCTGGGTCACCATCTAGTATCATTTCCCTTCAGCCTGTAGAACGTCCTTTAAAATTACATGTAGTACAGGACCCCTAGGAAATGAATTTTATGGGTTTGATGATCTAACAATGTCTTTATTTTTGCCTTCTTTCCTCCCCCCTCCCCCCCCCCTTTTTTTTTTTTTTTTTTTTTTTTTTTTTGCTTATTAGGGCGTTTACGTGTAAAAAAATTCACCAGTTTTAGCTGCACTTTTTGGTGGATATTGGTAATTATTTATAGTGTAACTACCACACTGCCCAGTAGAGAAACACCAAATGCAAAGATCCTCCTACTAGGCCCCTCCACTGCTTTAGAGTCCTTTCCCCTGCTCCTTGTCCTCACCTCCTGCTTCCCCAGCCCTTCTCTCTGCCCCTTATCCCTCAGACCTTCTTCTCCCCTTACCTCCCCCTCCCAGTCACTCCTGAGTTGTGGCGCTGTAGAGAACAGTTTCTTTTCCCTAAAAACTTTCTTTATCCCCCTTTCTATTTAATCCTTGCCTCCCACCCTCACCCCTTCCCTTCATTCAACCACTGCTGTGCTTTCTGTCACTGCAATAGTGACATTTCTAGAATTTCATGGACATGCAATCATATGTTATGTAGTCTTTTGTTTGGTCTCTCCCTTAGCATAACGATGTTTGAGATGATGCCATTCATTCATTTTTGTTGCTGAGCAGCTGCCGAGTATTGCTGGAATCCCAGTTTATTCATTGGTTTCTGTGTCTCCAGTTGATAGACATGTGGATTCCTCCAGTTAGGGCTTGTTATTAATGAAGCCACTATAAATAACTGCTTACAAGTGTGGACTTACATTTTTATTTCTTTTGGATAAATACGTATTTGTGGAATTGCTGGGCCATGTGGTAATAGATGGGTAACTGTATAAGAAATTGCCATACCGCTTTACAAATTGGCTGCCACATTTTTTGCATTCCTACCAGCAATATCAGACATTCCTATTTTTTCCATATTCTTGCCAGTGTTAAGACTTATCATATGTCTTTTTAACTTTATCTGCTCTAGGTGATGTGTGATGGTTTCTCATTGTGGTTTTAACTTGCACTTCTTTGATGACTAGTATTGTTTGCTATCTTTTCATGTTCATCTAAGCGACTTATTACATATATTTTATGAACTATTTTGCAAATTCAATGATTAATTCCAGAGACTTTTTCAGAATTCCCTAGTGTTTTCTACATATACAATGAAGCTGGTGACAAAGAAAGACTTTCATTTCTTCCTTTCTTATCCATTGATCTTTTTTCTTTTAAAATTATTATTATTTGGTAGAGATGAGGTCTCACTTATCAGGCTGGTCTCAAACTCCTGATCTCAAGTGATCCTCCCACCTCAGCCTCCCAAAATGCAGGGATTACAGGCATGAGCCACCATGCCTGGTCCTTGTTGCACTGGTTAGGATGACTGTTAGGTGTTTAAACAAGAATGATGAGAGCTCACATGTTTGTTTACAAGGAACTTAAACAAATTTACAAGAAAAAAACCCATCCCCATCAAAAAGTGGGCAAAGGATATAAACAGACACTTCTCAGAGGAAGACATTTACGTGGCCAAGAAACATATGAAAAAAAGCTCACACACGTATATGAAACGTGACTGTTTATAATCCTATCCAAAAAAGAACTGATTTCAAGCAACAGCAGTATTACTTCCATTCAATACTTGGACCTGCAAACATCAAAAAAGCCACTGGAGAAACTGAACGACTCTCTGAAAGCCTTAAACTAAGATATGAAGAAGTTGAAATCTGGAAAAAACTTGAGGAAAAGGACAAGCAGGGGGAAGCACAGTGGCTACAACAAAAAAGGCAGGAAACAGGAAGAGAGGATGGCAGCACGTTGGCTAAAGGTTCTTTGGAGATTGTATTGGATTCCAAAGACAAAACCCAAAAGAGCAATGGTGAAAAGAATGAAAAATGTGAGACCAAAGAGAAAGGAGCAATCACAGCAAAGGAACTATACACAATGATGATGGATAAAAACATCAGCTTGATTATAATGGATGCTCAAAGAATGCAGGATTATCAGGATTCCTGTATTTTACATTCTCTCAGTGTTCCTGAAGAAGCCATCAGTCCAGTAGTCACTGCTAGTTGGATTGAAGCACACCTCCCAGATAATTCTATAGACACATGGAAGAAGAGGGGGAATGTGGAGTATATGGTACTTCTTGACTGGTTTAGTTCTGCAAAAGATTTACAGATTAGAACAACTCTCTGGCATCTGAAAGATGCACTTTTCAAGTGGGAAAGTAAGACTGTCCTGTGCAATGGGCCTTGGGCTTTGGTTTTAGAGGGAGGCTATAAAAACTGGTTCCTTTGCTATTCCCAGTATACAACAAATGCTAAGGTCACTCCACCCCCACAACACCAGAATGAAGAGTTGTCTATCTCATTGGATTTTACTTATCCCTCATTGGAAGAATCAATTCCTTCTAAACCTGCTGCCGAGATGCCACCTCCACCTATAGAAGTGGATGAAGACATAGAATTGATAAGTGATCAAATAAGTGATAATGATCAAAATGAGAGGACAGGACCACTGAATATATCAATTCCAGTTGAATCAGTTGCTGCTTCTAAATCTGATGTTTCACCCATCATTCAGCCAGTGCCTAGCATAAAGAATGTTCCACAGATTGATCATACTAAAAAACTGGCAGTCAAATTGCCTGAAGAGCATATAATCAAATCTGAAAGTACAAATCATGAGCAACAGTCTCCTCAGAATGAAAAAGTTATTCCTGATTGTTCCGCCAAGCCAGTAGTTTCCTCTCCAACTCTCATGTTAACAGATGAAGAAAAGGCTCATATTCATGCAGAAACTGCTCTTCTAATGGAGAAAAACAAACAAGAAAAAGAACTTCAGGAAAGACAGCAAGGGAAACAGAAAGAAACTGAGGAGGGAAGAACACGAGCAAAAAGCCAAAAAGAAACAAGAAGCTGAAGAAAATGAAATTACACAGAAGCAACAAAAAGCAAAAGAAGAAATGGAGAAGAAAGAACGTGAACAGGCCAAGAAAGTGGATAAAGAAATCTCAGCAAAGAAGGGCAAAGAAATAACAAGAGTAAAAAGACAAAGTAAAAGTGATCATGAAACCTCTGGTGCCGAGAAGTCTGTAGAGGACAGGGGGAGAAGATGTTCAACCCCAGAAGTACAGAAAAAGTCAACAAGAGATGTGTCCCATACATCTGCGACAGGGGATTCAGGTTCAGGCAAGCCTTTTAAGATTAAAGGACAACCAGAAACTGGAATTCTAAGGACAGAAACTTTTAGAGAGGATACAGATGATACTGAAAGAAATAAAACTCAACGAGAACCTTCGATAATAGCACGAAGTGAAGAAATGGGGAGGATGGTACCAGGACTGCCTTCAGGCTGGGCCAAGTTTCTTGATCCAATCACTGGAACGTTTCATTATTATCATTCACCACTAACACTGTTCATATGTACCCACTGGAAATGGCTCCTTCATCTGCACCTCCTTCCACCCCTCCAACTCATAAAGGCAAGCCACAGATTCCTGCTAAGCAGGATAGGGAACCTTCCAAACTGAAATGCTCTTACTCCTCCCCAGATATAACCCAGGCTATTCAAGAGGAAGCCAGCAGTAACTCCAACAGTTAATCAGGAAGACAAGCCAACATGCTACCCTAAAGCTGAGATCTCAAGGCTTTCTGCTTCTCAGATTTGGAAACTCAATCCTGTTTTTGGAGGTTCTGGACCAGCTCTTACTGGACTTCGTAACTTAGGAAATACTTGTTATATGAACTCAATATTGCAGTGCCTATGTAATGCTCCACATTTGGCTGATTATTTCAACCGAAACTGTTATCAGGATGATATTAACAAGTCAAATTTGTTAGGGGCATAAAGGTGAAGTGGCAGAAGAATTTGGTATAATCATGAAAGCCCCGTGGACAGGACAGTATAGATATATCAGTCCAAAAGACCTTAAAGTCACCATTGGGAAGATCAATTACCAGTTTGCAGGATACAGTCAAGATTCACAAGAATTTTTTCTGTTCCTAATGGATGGTCTCCGTGAAGATCTAAATAAAACTGATAATCGGAAGACATATAAAGAAGAAAATAATGATCATCTCAATGACTTTAAAGCTGCAGAACATGCCTGGCAGAAACACAAGCGGCTCTATGAGTCTATTATTGTTGCACTTTTTCAGGGTCAATTCAAATCTACAGTACAGTGCCTCACCCGTCACAAAAAGTCTAGGACACTTGAGGCCTTCATGTATTTGTCTCTACTGATAGCATCCACAAGTAAATGTACATTATAGGATTGCCTTAGATTATTTTCTAAAGAAGAAAAACTCATAGATAATAACAGATTTTACTGCAATCTTTGCAGAGCTCGACGGGATTCTTAAAAAAGAAATCTGGAAGTTACCACCTGTGCTTTTAGTGCATCTGAAACATTTTTCCTACAATGGCAGGTGGAAACAAAAATTACAGACATCTGTGGACTTCCCGTTAGAAAATCTTGCCTTGTCACAGTATGTTATTGGTCCAAAGAACAATTTGAAGAACTATAATTTGTTTTCTGTTTCAGATCACTGCGGTGGGCTGGATGGAGGCCATTACACAGCCTACTGTAAAAATGCAGCAAAACAGCGGTGGTTTAAGTTTGATGATCATGAAGTTTCTGATATCTCTGTTTCTTCTGTGAAATCTTCAGCAGCTTATATCCTCTTTTATACTTCTTTGGGACCATGAGTAACTGATGTAGGCACATAAGGAGACATAGGTTATAAACTAGTTATCTTTTAAAAGGCTCAGCAACACAATTCTTGAAATGCTTATCAAGATAATGGTAGCAATAGCTGGCCATTTAGAGGAATTCTAGGACAGTGGGAGCTGTGTTACTAGCACTATATAATTCCTGTCAGTGGTGACAAATAACACTTAACAAGTATTGCAGTAAGCATCACTTACAGGTACCATTTATTTCAAAACAACTTTTTTAGTCTGCTCCAAAGTTAAAATAATTAACTAGCTAAGCATTATTATTCTACTGGTCTAAAAACCTTTGTACCCTTTTTTTCCTTTTCACTGTTACAGCCTTTTCACATTTCTAAATCCCATCTTCATATACTATGAATACTCTAGAATGATGTGAAGCAGATAGGAATGTATGTGTACATATTTATTGCATACTTACACATCAAATCGATATACATAGTTTAACATGTGGTCCTTTCGTGAAACTTAGAACTCAGAGGATTGCATTTTTTTCTTTGAGCATATTTTGAGTAACTGCAGTGCTTTCTTAGGGAAATGACAGGGCAAAGCTATTTTTCTGTTGGCTTTGGGGGCATTTGGGTGCGCTAAATCTTTATCTTAAAAAATAAATGGAAACTTCCTTTAATTTTTTAAAATGAGACATTAAAATCTTAATGAGAAAAATTAAAAAAGCTCAATATCACTGCTCATTAGAGAAATGTAAATCAAAGCCACAATGAGATACCATCTCCCGCCAGTCAGAATGGTAATTATTAAAAAGTCAAGAAACAATAGATGCTGGTGAGGCTGTGGAGAAATAGGAACACTTTTACACTGTTGTTGGGAATGTAAACTAGTTCAACCATTGTGGAAAACAGTGTGGCCATTCCTCAGAGACCTAGAACCAGAAATACTATTTGACCCCTTGGGTATCTACCCAAAGGAATATAAATCATTCTACTATAAAGACACATGCACACGTATGTTTACTGCAGCACTATTTACAATAGCAAAGACTTGGAACCAACCCAAATGTCCATCAGTGATAGATGGATAAAGAAAATGTGGTGCATACCACCATGGAATAGTACACAGCCAGAAAAAGGAATGAGTTCATGTCCTTTGCAGGGACATGGATGAAGCTGGAAGTCATCATCCTCAGCAAACTAACACGGGAACAGAAAACAAAGCACCTCATGTTCTCATTCCTAAGTGAGAGCTGAACAATGACAACACATGGATACAGGGAGGGGAACAACACATATCAGGGCCTTTTGGGGAGTGTGGGGGGCAAGGGACGGGAACTTAGAGGATGGGTCAATAGGTGCAGCAAACCACCATGGCAGACTATACGTATGTAACAAACCTGCAGGTTCTGCACATGTATCCTGGAACCTAAAGTAAAATAAAACAAAGCAAATTAAAAAAAGAAAGCCCATGTCTTACATGTATGCATATGTTCATTGCAGCACTATTCACAATAGCAAAGACATGGAATCAACCTAAATGTCCATCAATGGTAGACTGGATAAAGAAAATGTGGCAAATATGCTCTACCGGCAGGATTTGATGGCGTGATGTCTCACAGAAAGTTCTCCACTCCCAGACATGGGTCCCTCGGCTTCCTGCCTTGGAAGCGCAGCAGCAGGCATTGTGGGAAGGTGAAGAGCTTCCCTAAGGATGACCCGTCCAAGCCGGTCCACCTCACAGCCTTCCTGGGATACAAGGCTGGCATGACCCACATCGTGCGGGAAGTCGACAGGCCAGGATCCAAGGTGAACAAGAAGGAGGTGGTGGAGGCTGTGACCATTGTGGAGAGGCCACCAGTGGGCATTGTGGGCTGCGTGGAAACCCCTCAAGGCTTCCGGACTTGCAAGACTGTCTTCGCTGAGCACATCAGTGATGAATGCAAGAGACGTTTCTATAAGAACTGGCATAAATCTAAGAAGAAGGCCTTTACCAAGTACTGCAAGAAATGGCAGGATGAGGATGGCAAGAAGCAGCTGGAGAAGGACTTCAGCAGCATGAAGAAGTACTGCCAAGTCATCTGCGTCATTGCCCACACCCAGATGCAACTGCTTCCTCTGTGCCAGAAGAAGGCCCACCTGATGGAGATCCAGGTGAATGGAGGCACTGTGGCTGAGAAGCTGGACTGGGCTGGCGAGAGGCTCAAGCACCAGGTACCTGTGAACCAAGTGTTTGGGCAGGATGAGATGATCGACGTCATCAGGGTGACCAAGGGCAAAGGCTACAAAAGGGTCACCAGTCGTTGGCACACCAAGAAGCTGCCCCGCAAGACCCACCAAGGCCTGTGCAAGGTGGCCTGTATTGGGGCATGGCATCCTGCTCGTGTGGGCTTCTCTGTGGTACGTGGTGGGCAGAAAGGCTACCATCACCGCACTGAGATCAACAAGAAGATCTATAGGATTGGCTAGGGCTACCTTATCAAGGATGGCAAGCTGATCAAGAACAATGCCTCCACTGACTATGACCTGTCTGACAAGAGCATCAACCCTTTGGGTGGCTTCGTCCACTATGGTGAAGTGACCAATGACTTTGTCATGCTGAAAGGCTGTGTGGTGGGAACCAAGAAGTGGGTGCTCACCCTCCGCAAGTCCTTGCTGGTGCAGACAAAGCAGCGGGCTCTGGAGAAGATTGACCTTAAGTTCATTGACACCCCCTCCAAGTTTGGCCATGGCCACTTCCAGACCATGGAGGAGAAGAAAGCATTCATGGGACCACTCAAGAAAGACCGAATTGCAAAGGAAGAAGGAGCTTAATGCTGGGAACAGATATTGCAACTGGTGGGATCTCAATAAAAGTTATTTTCCATTAAAAAAAAAAAGAAAAAGAAAATGTGGCACATATACACCACAGAATACTATGCAGCCATAAAAAAGAATGAGATCATGTCCTTTGCAGGAACATGGATGGAGTTGGAGGCCATTATCCTTAGCAAACTAAGGCAGGAACAGAAAACCAATTACCACATGTTCTCACTTATAAGTAGGAGTTATATGATGAGAACACATGGACACGCAGAAGGGAACAACACACACTGGGGTCCACTTGAGGGTGGAGGGTGGGAGGAGGGAGAGGATCAGGAAAAATAGCTAATGGGTACTAAGGCTTAATACTTGGGTGGGTACTAATGGGTACAGAAATAATCTGTACAATAAAACCGCATGACACAAGTTTACCTATATAACAAACCTGTACATGTACTCCTTAACTAAAAATAAAAGTTAAATTAAAAAAAAAAGAAACAAAGAAACTGCATATCTGGAAAGAGCATATGGTTGGGTTCTGTGTTTTGTTTTTTTTTTTTAACCAATTCACACAATCTCTGCCCTTCATTGGAGTGTTGATTCATATAGGTTTTTTTTTCATTATTGATAAGTTTTAGGTCTACCATGTTATTTCCTCAGTTTTGGTTTCTCTGTTCCTCTTGTCCTGACCAACGACTTCTTATTAGAAACCATAGAAACAAAAGAAAGTAGAATAACACCTTTAAAGTGCTGGAAGAAAAAAAGGACAACTAAGAATTCTATATCCAGCACAGATGTCCTTCAAGGACAGGCAAAATAAGGAGATGTTTCAGGTAAAAGAAAATTAAGAGAATTTGTCACCAGCAGATCTGCACAATAACAATTGGTAAAGAAAATTCTTCAGGCTAAAGGCAAATGATACCAGGTGGGAAATGAGGTTATCAGAAAAGATGAAGATGATCAAAAATGGTAAATACTGAGCTAAGTGCAAAAGGCTATCTTGTTCCCCTCATTTACTCTAATTTATATACATAGAACTGTTTAAAGATAAGAAGAAGTTTTTTTCTTGTGGGACTTATAACCTATATAGATATATTACATATAATATCTGTACCATAAAGATGGACATTTTATAGAGGATAAATGGTTGCAAGATTTCTCTATTTATGGGTACTAGTACATTTTTAACTGAAAGTGGACTGTGAAATGTTAAGAAGAGTTAAATTCTGAAGGAAATTGAGACACAAAAACCATTCAAAAGATTAACAAATCTCATGATGGTTTTTTGAAAAAAACAAAACAAAACAAAATAAAAACTAAACAAAAATAAAACCCTAGCCAGTCTTGAGTCTCATCATTCTACGATTTCAGAACTATTGTGAATACAAAAGTAATCAAAGAACAGTCCTGCCCAGAAAGAGGAGTTATCCCTAAATATGGTGTCCCTGGAACAGGTGGCTCTCCCTGCTGGACCTCTTCCACGTGGGTGCTTTCTGCAGTGACTTTGTTGCCTTGCTATTCCACTTTACCCAGTGTCCTCACCCAAGAGACAAGGGGTGTCTGCTGCTGTATCCACACTTGGAGAAAGAAACCTTGATAGTGTCAGTACATTACAAGCTGGGCATGACAGCTCACGCCTGTAATCCCAGCAATTCAGGATGCTAAGGCAAGAGGATTGCTTGAGATCAGGAATTGGAGACCAGCTTGGACAACATAGTGGGACCCTCGTCTCTAAAAAAAATAAAAATCAGTAAACGGCTGGGCCTGGTGGTGGGCGCTTGTATTTCCAGGTATTGTGGAGGCTGAGGTGGGAAGATCCCTTGAGCTCATAAATACAAGGCTGCATTGAGCTACGATCCCACCACTGGGCTCCAGCCCAGGCCAGAGTGAGGTCTTGACTCAAAAAAATACATTGTAAGCCTTTGCTCACTATGGGTTATTTATTATTTATTCAATGTGTATTTTGATTTTATTTTACTGGCAGCACAATAAACCAGGACATGCTGAAACTAGAAATCACATCCACTTTCCAGTGTTAAAAAGCCCAGTCTAGGGAGGTGAGAAGGAGACAGTCCTCATTAGCGTTGAGGATTCAGGGAGATCGAGATGGGCTGGGCAGGAAGGTTCTTACTTGGAACCTGGAGGATGAGCAATGACATTCCTCTCTCCACCTTAAAGCTCATCCTGGGCATCTGCCTCCTGGGAGCAGGAGCACTGCAAGCTCCGCCTCCCGGGTTCACGCCATTCTGGCTCAGCCTCCCGAGTAGCTGGGACAACAGGTGCCCACCACCACGCCCGGCTAATGTTTTGTATTTTTTAGTAGAGACGGGGTTTCACCATGTTAGCCAGGATGGTCTCAATCTCCTGACCTCGTGATCTGCCCACCTCGACCTCCCAAAGTCCTGGGATTACAGGCGTGAGCCACCGCACCCGGCCTCTCCTTGGGATTTCTTTACTGGACACCAGCCTGAGTCAACTTTCCTGTAAAGCAAAAGAAGCGTGAGGTTGCTAAAGGAGGAATGGTGTGATCTCCACCTTTGGCGAGATCCCTGTCACCGTGTTCAGGCGAAGGGCCAGGCCTTACTCCCCATGCAGAGAGGAGGCTATGGCCATGAAGACGCCTGTGGAGAAGTGAGGACCCGCTCCCTCTACACTGATGGCCAAGAGCCTACAGATGGCGGAGAAGGCTTCCCTTCAGCTGTGTCCTATCAGGTTCTTCCAGGAGTCAAGGAGTAGACCTGCATGTTACCTCTGGTGATGTAAGCTGCATGCACACCTAGAAGTGAGGTCACCCCTGCTGGGGGTCCTGGGGCTGCTGGTTGTTCTGGGTGCTCAGTGTCCAGAAAAGAAGATGGGGAGGAGGCTTTGTGCAAAACAGTAACCATACTCTATAAATTATTTTTTCATTAGCCTTTGTGTCATAAAATAAAATATAGGACTCCAAAAGAAAAAAATGTCTAAAATTTGTGTCCTTTAATACAAAGTAAACACCCATTAATCACCAGGGATAGATGTTTGTGGGGCAAACCAGAAGCCCCATCATTTGCTCCAGCCCAGCAATAAACTCTTTCTTCCCTCAAATAAAAACACAACCTGACTTTTACGATCATCAATTCTTTGTTTTATTTTTATTTTTATCATCCAATATTATGATTTAGTTTTACCTTTAGAAATATGCTTTTGTTTTCTTTATTCTATAGATTCTTCCTTGAAATTTATATTGTGTGGTAGAGCTTCCCATAGTGTGCATTTTGCTGATTGCTCCCCAAGGCATAGTTTAATATGTATTTCTATTATCTGTATTGCCTCTAAATTGGTAATTGGCTATGGAGATCAGCTTCTATTCAGGCTTGGTTTCTTTTTCACTTGGACTTGTTTGATGGTGCTGTATTGTGTTCTTCCATCAAGAGGAAGAACCTCACATTAGTTTTTTCTTTTATTGTGTTGTTAATTGCCATTGCTATTCAATGGCTAAATCTGTTAATTCATGATGGGTTGCAAAAGAGTTATTATAGTCTCAGTCTCTCATTCCTTCTTCATTTATTATCTGAATAATTTCTAAGTAAGAGATTCACCCTCCTCTACTGTTTGTTTACTACTAGAAACTTGGTTTTTGAGAGACTAAGCCAATCATCTACTCACCTATGATCCAGCAATAGCACTCTTAGTTCTAAACCAATAGAAATGCATGTATGTGTGTGCCAAACTATATGAAAATATTATTCATAGCAGCACGATTTGTAAAATCTGTATACAACAAAATTGTCTATCAACAGTGAAAGGACAAGAAATGTGAGTTATTTATAAAGTGGAGCATTGGACAGCCATGGGAGTGAATAGGCTACGACCACACACAGCGAGATGATGAGACCCAGGGTCATGATGGTGACTGTATAATGCCATTCAACTAGACCTGGCAGAACTCATCTGTATTAGAAATCAAGAGTGGCTACTCTAGGGTGGGGAGGGTGGTTTATGACTGAGTAGGACCCAAAGATGCCAGCAAAGTAGGCCTCTACATTAAAAAAAAAAAGAGAGAGAAAAATTAAACAGAGAAATTTAAAAGTTTATAAATAATGTTTACTTGTATTCAAGAAAATTATAGCGACAGCCGCCAGATAATGATCAGCTCTAAAAAGAGAAGCTCAAGAAGCTCATGCCACAGCAGCTGGTACAGCTGAGGAGATCAGATAAACCAGCACAAGCATGGTCATGAAAGGGAGCTGCAGACATATGGTTTCCAGAGTTTCAAAATCCATATGACTAAAATCTATGTGATGCGTATTATATGATGACTGCCTCAAGACAGACAGGTGTCCACTTAGAGACACAGAGCTGTGACTTGCAGGGGCTGGTTGATTTTCTCAGAACTCATTAACCTAAATCCATTAGTTACCATCCTGTTTCCACTCCTATCATCACCTCAGACAACCCTGCGTTTAGCTCAAGATTCTTCCCTTCATCGTAACTGAAAGTCACTAATGACTGCAATCAATTTGAAATACTATAAGTAGGTAAGATTTCCTCAGTAAGTAAATGGTCTTAGCATATTTTTGAAGTCATAACTATAATCAAAGCCTGGGACATTTATTTGCTCTAAACAAGCAGTTATTCTTCATCCAGAATTACACAATAGAAGCTCTCATTCTTGCATTTCCCAACAGTTTGCCTTAGCCAGGAAAATAAACCCCATGGGTCTCTAGCATGACCACAGTGCAAGAATAAGGGGAAGGGCAGAGGTGAGAACTAAGTGCTCTTCTACAGCTACGGGTCTATCAAGGTAATCTTGAGAGGTACTTATCAATATGTGATGTGCCAGCAACAACATGAGGGAAGATAACCACGTGTTTCTAGGATAAGGCAAAGGCCCTGCTCATGGATTCATCCGTAATCTGAACACAGCACATGAAGAGTGAACAGCTGTCAATATCTACTTTCACCTCAATGTAAACTTTCAAAATTAAGACCAAGTGGAGCACGGTGCCCTCTGAAGCACTGTCTGTCACACACTAAGGAGCTAAGAACTCCTGTGGCCTCCTTTAGAACACAGCTCTTCCAGGACACACAATGAGCAGGCCTGCTTTAGCACCCAGGGCCCACATGCAGCTGCTCTGCCCAGAGCTGCCCAGCTCCTGGACCACTCACCTCTGCTCCTGCTGGCTGGTGCCCAAGCTGTAAGGGCTGGCAAATATTTTGAGTATTGGTCCCAAAGGCCCCTGAAGGTGAAAGGATCTTGTTCTTCATTTTCATTACTTCTAAGCACTGAGACCTCTTACAAGAATCATCCACAAGCATTTACTAAGTGAATGTTCACAGGAAACCCTTCCTGAAAAGGGTCCTTCCAACTTTACATTTGACAAGTGTGTACTAAGGCAATAAAACTATTCAACTGAGCATTCAAATTCACACAGAGGATACCACGCCAAGAAAATGAAAGCAGAAATATTGGATTCTCCTTATTTGTTAAACCTTTCCCTCTAGAACCAACAGCTTTTCAAACTCATAAAACACCCCAAAACAGTAAAACAATATCAATTACTCATCTGAAGATATCCACCTGAAACACAGTTATTAATCTTCAAAGGCCTAGCACCAGGCAGCTTCACACAGCACATCTGCAGAATTGTAATGATCAATAAGAGTAAACCCAAAGTACACTAAATACTTTCATGGCCTACAGGAAAAAAAAAAAACGCTCTTTTCAGGACGATGTAATAGTTACACCCTATTTCTTCATGTGCAGCATGATATTCTATGCTTAATGGCATTTAAATGTTACACAGTAAATACTGAGAAAACCCAGAATTTTTGGATGTGCAGAAGCAATATCACATCATTAATACAAAAGGTGCTCAGCTGCGGGATTATAATACCATTGAGTGCTGAGACCACTTGAAATCTTAAGTACATTCTTAGCATATGGTCTCCTGGCTGTCACCCAGCCTGGTACCAGCTACCCACCTGTTGCATAGAGCTAGCCCCAGCACTGCCTTGGTTGGGCCGGTTGTTTTTGTCAAACTCTAAGTCTCCCTCAGAATCCCTGTACTTCTCCACTGCAATGTATTGACAGGGTTGTGACCTTGTCCTTCCCAAGGGGCTCACTCTTGGCCTCTTGCTCACACAGATCCTGCACCTTTTCCAGTCAAATCCCCATTCCAGTAGCAGCAAGGAGATCACTTCTCGTATCACTTTTTGGTGGCTGTGCAGGTTCTTGACACTTTGCCTCAGCTACTGGTGGTAGTGTGGGGGCGAATGCATGGGGAAGACAAAAAAGAAGAACTGAGCCAAGAGGCCTGGTGGGGAAAGTGTGTGGCTGGAGGAGGGAATGCTGGACCCAGGGGCCAGTGGAGGGAGGGTGAGGAGGAGGGTGTGTGGAGCCAGCTGATATGAGGAAGGAGGCGGCAGGAGGATTTGCAGAAGGCAACAAAGGCAGTTTGTACTGTAAAAGGGGGAAGAGAAGGAGGTCTTGACGGGTTGTAATATGCAAGCACCTGTGCTGGGAGCATCCTGTAGTCTCCTGGAGCCATAAGTGCACAGGATTGGAACACAGCTGGGGTAAGGCAGGGAAGTGGGGGCCGCTCTTGAGGTCCATTTAGGGCCATGTGCCTCACTGAGGCAGAGGAGGGGTGGCACTCAAGCTCAGGGGCCTGGTTTGTGGGCCCATGTGGACATGCATCTTCAGCTGCCTAGGAAGGGTCGTGAGAATGGTTTGGAGTAGCTCGATAAGAGCATCCCTAACATCCATTGTATGGGACCTGCTGTCTAGGGACAGGGGTTCTTGCAGGATGCTCCATGGTACACACTGAGACAACCTGTTGCTGGGTCTAAGCTCTTTGTCATATGCCATCATATTCCACTCATGGTGCTTGTTTCTGGCTTTTGTAATCCTTTTCACATCATAAGTGGTGCCATCTATGTGGTTTTGCTACTTTTGATGCCTTCTGTCTTTCCTTTTGTCTTCTGTGTCCTGCAGCACTTCTTCTTTCCAGAGGTCAAATAAATGGGAAGGATCAGTATAGAACTTCAGCCTGTCTTTATCATCTCCATGTGCTCTCATGCTATTCAGGGGAGGTGGTCAATCACTCTGATTGTAAATGTCAGCAGCAGGAGTAGGAATGCTGCTCTTTGAAACTGCTTGCTGGTCTTGGGCTGGGGAACTTTTGAGGGCTTTTTCCATGTTGATGTCCTGTGGTGACACCTCTTCCACTGCTGAATCCAGCTGAGTGACTTTGACCATGAGGCAACAAATTCTAAGAGAATTTGATCTAATGTGGAAGTAGTTAGCCTCCTTAAATAGCTCACCAAATATGTCTTCAGCATGTATGTTCAGATTGCTTAGCTGGTGCGTAATAGTGACAAGATTGTTGTTGGTTACACTTTCAAGTCACTGGTAATCCCTTCAGGCAGAGTTCCCTGGTGCAAATGCTGGGATTAGATGCTCCTCTTCACGGGAGGCATGGCTTATAATGTTCTAATTGACTAATGGCTTCAGAAATTTCCTCAGGAAGCATCACCACTTTGATTCAGATACCAGCAGTAACTGCAATCAAAATTAAAATGATCAGTCCCGCTGATGTAGAGGCAGAGATTGCACTGGTAGCTCCCTGATCTTACTCCACACCAGAACACACATCCCTGGGGCTAGCTAAGTTGCCTCAGGCCAGGCCAAGGCCTTGGTCACCCTATTTGTAATTTTCTCTGCAGTTATTTTGCTTTCATTTATTGAACACCTTAGATATGAGCTAAAATCCCCCACCAAATGTGGGAAACTTTCAACTATTATTTTCTCAAATATTTTTTTCTGATCCTGTGTCTTCTTTTGAGGATCCACTTGCATATCTGGTCACCTGCTTTATATTCTCTGATGGGTTCATGACGTTCTCTTCATTTTTTTCTTTAATCTTATTTCAATCTGTGTTTTGGATTTTAGAATTGAGCACATTCTGGAGATTTATATTCAAAGTCACAGGCTTGTTCTTTATTCTGCCATCTCAAAACTTCTGTGGACCTCTTCCAGAATACTTTCATTTTCTTTTTTTTCTGTTTGAGAATTTCCACTTAGTATCTTACGTGGTTTCAGCAGGGGTTTCTGGGTGTGTGTCCTGCATCTGTGTAATTTAGAGGTTGACCAAGTATTTGGGTCATTTATACTCAGATTTTGTGATTCAACTTCATTGTGGTTGCTTTGTTTCTGGAATTCTCTTTGAATTTCCAATTGTTTTGTTAGACTCAAATCCTGCCTTTTCACCTCTCAAGCCAGTAAGATTTTTGCTTTCTTCTACTGAGCTCTGTGCAGGTTGGCAAATGCACTCAGTCCATGTTACTGAAGACTTGCAGATCTTACCAGGATCATTTATCTCTTTGGAGGGTAGACCTCCCTCTAGTTTCTTTCTGGTTTTTCACCAGATTCCCAAGTGGCCCACACCCATGCAGAGTTTAGTGTTCAACTAGGGATGAGCATAATTTGCATTCACATTGTTGATCTCAACTCTTCTGCAGCTCTCTTTCAACATTCTCATTTACATTTCTAGCTGATTTGGGCTCTGAACTCTATAAACTGCCCATATTGAGCCACTAGGGCTGCAGTTATCTGCTGGGAGGCTGAAGAGCACTCATAGGTAAGAA
This sequence comes from Homo sapiens, assembly GCF_000001405.40. NCBI lineage: Eukaryota > Metazoa > Chordata > Mammalia > Primates > Hominidae > Homo > Homo sapiens. Next base: position 2,771,043 of record NT_113891.3, read on the forward strand.
GGAAAGGCCACCAACTTGCAGTCCTTACCTAAGACAGAAGGAGTCTTAAACAAGAAAGCTCTTATCACATATTGCTTGCCTTTGTTAATTTTCCAGTGACTTCAAATGTTTGTTTTTAGTATTTAGTACAGTTTTCATGTTGCTGTTGGAGGAAAACTTGCTGGTCTATCTCTTCATGTTGCCATAACCAGAAGTTCTACCCTGAAAGAGACTTTTGGGAGAGAAGGTCACAGTCCACAATTCAATCTTCTGAGACAAATATGGATCCAGGCACCAGAAACTGTCAAGTTAGATTTCTAAAATTAAAATAAGATTAGAGCTGGGTGCAGTGGCTCATGTCTGTAATGCCACAACTTTGGGAGGCCAAGGTGGGTGGATTGCTTGAGCCCAGGAGTTCAAGACAAGCCTGGGTAACATGACAAAAACCCATCTCTACAAAAAACACAAAAATTAGCCAGGTGCGGTGGCACACAGCTGTAGTCCCGGCTACTTGGAAGGCTGAGGTGGGAGGATCACCTAAGCCTGGGGCGGTCGAGGCTGCAGTGAGTTGTGTTCGCACCATTGGACTCCAGCCTGGGCAAGAGAGTGAGACCATTGTTTGAAAAAATAAAGATTGAATGAATAATAAAAGAAGATTAGGCCTGGCATCTGTGACCCCAAGGTTCTATGGGAATCACTGACTTCATACAACCTACAATGATAAAGAAGGACACCCTACATATATATGACTGGCCTCTTTAGTATTGGAGAGAGCACATTCCATAGCTCATAACTTTCCGACAGTCTGTGAATCAAGTCACCAAAACTGCAGCTAAAGTTGAATGGAGGCCATGGAAGTAGTTCAGTGAAGTACAAAACAAGCACTGCTTTTGTTCTTGATTCTTTCCCCAAACAATGCACTCACATGTTTTTAATAAATTCTACAGCCGGTTGTAGCTATTGGCAATGAGACCTCCCATTATTGAGGCCCTGGTCTTTTTAACTTGAGGAATTCCAGCAAATCTAAGGAGTACAAGCTCTTTGAGAAATAACTGCATGATATTATTAAACTCTAATGAGGACAGATGATTTCACCAATGAAAAAGTATGACTTCATATCCTGCAAGGGTATTTCTCTAATCCAAAATCCTATGAGCTAGTACAAGTACAGAAACATTCCATAATAAATGGAAATGTCATTTTGATCCAGGCAAAAGTCAAGCATATCTGCCATTTGGCCCTAAATGCTTATTTGGATATTGTTGAGTGTGTGTGTGTGTGTGTGTGTGTGTGTGTGTGTGTGTGTGTTTGTGTGTGGCAGTCATAGGACTCATTGCCCAAGTTTCAGGGTTTGGGGAAAAAGTTCCATTCTTTTTCTGAATTTGAGTAATAGCTTCTGGCTTACTACTGGGCCCTGGTAGATTCTGAATTCTATGATCATGATACAGAAAATGACCAAGTGACTTGAGATGCCCATTATGACCTGAGTTTTATCGGGTCACTCATGCTCACCAGCCCTCAGTCTGCAAGGGGAAATGGTATACACAGCATCAGACTTTAGCAGGTTCCATAAGGCCAGGTAAGTTGCCTAATAATTTGTACTATACTCCTAATGTTCTTATTACCACTGGAGAGTCCACTCTCCCTTGTCTCATTATTGAGGTCTTGAGGAGTTCCCTAAGGACAACTGACTGTAGAAGGAAAAAAATTTGAGTATGCTTGGATACCCCAGAGTTAACTGTCAGGGCATTAGAGTCTCTTTCAGGAATCATCATTAAGAGTAATGGAAATAAAAATACTTCCAGTGAGAAGATGTTCAATTAGACCATCTGGAAGTGCAGTTTACCAAAAGGAGAAACGTCTTACTGTTGGGTCCTAATCAATGCACAGCAGTAGCTAGTAGTTTCCTTAGATAGTCAGTGACTTTAAAGGAATAAGATGGTAAGGTTTGTGATAAGGAGCGTTGGGGAGGAGATTTGAACCACTCACATGGCACATTTAGGTAAACATACCTACCCTCATGCTAACAAAAATGGATAGTGAAAAAATAAAACACAATGTAGAAGCATTGAGAGGCTTAAACTTTAATAAAAATTGTCAAATCCTAAATCACGGAATTGTGCATTTACTTTTTTTGCTGAGCTTATTTACTTAATGTAGGATAATTAAGGTTTAGTTTTCATGGCCTCCTAAGGCATTTGGAATAGAAGACAGAGTTCAGGTAGCACTCAGAGTGGGAAATTTAATAGAGTGTTCTCCTCATTTCACCAGGATCCCAAAGCCAGCTCCTCAGTATAAGGAAAACATCCTTGCTTGAAGGTCTCCCCAGAAAGTCACCTTGGTGCTGAGTGGAGAGGGGCAAAACCTTCTCCTGAGATTAAAGAGAAGTGGATTTGCAGCCCGAGTTCACACTCCCTGGGTGGTCTAAAAATCATCAAGGCATGAATTTATTTTAAAGTAGTGCAGACTCCAAGGAACCTTGGAAAATCAAGCAAAACTTCTCTGAAAAATTTCTACTGTCATTGGCACTCTGAAAATTCCAAAAAATCATTACACCAGCAAAAGGAGCACTTAACAGTTAAGAACAACAACAGAGAACAATGTTCATAAGAGACAAAGCACCGTGAAAGAACAAGAAAATACAACAGACAGCAGAATCATACAATCATATAACTGAGAAATCAGAATAATTGTATAGGATATAAAATTGCTAAATGGGCTATGATTAAAGAACAGATTGTTAAATACATTTAGTGACTATAAAACTATAAATAATCTTCAGAAAAATTTGAAGAGACAAACACATAACACTTAAGCATGAAAATATAATAATAAAATTTAAATCTCAATGAATTTTGAAGACAAACAATTTAACACAAACACACCTAGTAAAGTACAAGAAGTTCTAAAGAATGTACTTTAGTCACAAAAAGATATCCCAGGTAGAAAGTATGAGGTGAAAGAAAAAAACAAACAAAAAATAAAGGTAAATGGATGGTTAAATATAAATTGAGGTTTAAAAGGATAGTGTATATATTGAGAATCTATAAATATTGTTAAATGAAATACAAATTATTTTATCTTTTTCCAGGTCTAATGTTGGATTTCTTTTCTTCATATTCTGATTAAAATTTCAAGATAAACTTCTCACTCATAATGTGTCCCATTCTGGTTTTGTTTTGTACATTTCAGTATAATGCATATAAAAGAATATTCTGCGGGTCTTTTTATGGTATCTTTCCAAGCTATTGTTGGATTGTCCAGTACTTCACGTTCTCCAACCTTGTAAGTAATGAATGTACAAGTTCAACTGTACATTTTTACTAGTGGGCAGTTTTCCACAATATGAATGCCATTCATGTAGTTGGCGGGACCTGCCAGTGTATCTTTCAGAACCACGGACAGATCTACATGTTCTGGGATGTAGGGAGCTAGAGTGCTCTCTCAACTGGATGCAATGGAATGCCAGGGAGGAAAGTTTAAGATAAACTCTAGTCACCACGGAATTGTGATTTTTAAGCATAGTAAGCATAGTCTGAAATACCACATTCTTTCCAACCCCTCTCTGCACCCAATACGTCATTAGCCCTGTATTTTATACTCACTGTCATAAAAGAACCTGTTGGGGAAGGGGAGGTAGCTTTAGGTCAGTCTTGGTACAATCATACAGTGGCTAAATTAGTAGATCTAGTGTAAAATGGCCTGGAACTGAATTCTAGCCTCATATCTTCAAAATTATGGAACTTTGGGCAAGTAACTTAACATCTCTGTACCTAATTTTCTTGAACAAGTTACAGTTTACAGATTTCATTTATTTATTGTGGATAATAACATCCTTCTCATATGGTTGTGATAAATATTGAACAAAATAATCCATGTAGGTACAAAAACCAGTGCCTGAAATATAGCAAGAGCCTTTTAAATGCAGCCATTATTGTTATTATGGTTATTCTTATTGTCGTTTTTCACAGAATACCTTCTGGTTCCCACACAGGATCTCTGAGGACCTGTTGGATCAGCAGCTCTTTTGTAAGATTCGTTGATATTGTGAAAATTCTCTAATCACAGCCCAGCTACAATTTTACAGAAGTTCCCAATACCTTATCTGAAGGTTTCTTACAGTCAGATTATGAGTCTTGGTTGAAGGCATCTTCTGGAGTCATGGTAACACTCCGGGTATTCTGGGAAAACAGTGATTTCAAAATACAGTTTGTCTTGTTGAGACTAGGAATTTGGAAAATTCCAGTCTGTGAAGTGAAGGGAGAGGAGATACTTCCTTAGCAGGAGGAAGAGAATGTACCAAGTACAGGGCAGTTAAAGAAATGTTTGTTTGATTTTTTTGCCAGTGGTTATATCTGTGGTTTCATTAGTTAAATGCCTTATGTGGTACATTCTTCCCAATAAGTATTTTTAAAAGCCTCTGAAAGGAAGGAGCTCTTGCTACCACCATCCTCTCAGTCAAGTGGGAATAATCTGGTGAGCATAGCAGATGCCAATCAGTTCATAAAAAGCTCAATCTTCAAGTTTGCAGAATTAATTCTAAAAACGAGAAGAGTATTGGACATAGAATTTGACATATATGTTGCATGCAGAAGCTGATATTTTAGCTTTATAGTTTACAGGTCCCTCAGAATGTTTTATACTTTTTTATCATAACTGGGAAGCTGTCACTTTAATCTTTGAGTAGGACTAAGGTATGAAAAGAGCAATGATGGTGTGCTCAATGGCTATATTACTAAACACAAGAATGTTTTCAGCTCGATCTACCTGAGCTACATGGAGATTTGATAACTAAATATAAAGTGAATGGAGATAAATGCCTTACTTACCTTCTGCAGATGACACCTTCTAGTTAGCAAGTGGCAGATCCAGGACTACTGGGCTAGGAAGCTGCTTGGGCTGGAGTACAAGGGCAGTTTCAGGGATAGAGAAATTAACAGGCAGAGAGGGAATCTCTGAGACTAGGAAAGACTAACTGCAGCTGGGCCTAGATGATCTGAGATCCAAATGTAGCTGTTGATCTTAAATTATGCAAAGTAGCAATGGAACTGTCAGTCAGTCAGCATGTCTAGCTAGTCAGACAGATCAGGAGTTTAATCACTGACGTTATGGGAAATCAGAAAACTCTGGGATGGCTGGGAGAATATGTGCATATAGACATCTGTAGAGTGGGTGACAAATAAATGAAACCACCTAAATATTTACCCCAGGGGAGTAGGTGCATATAACATACTATGGAACAGCATTAAAATGATGAGTTAAACCATTTTTTCTGTGAAATTCAAAGGATGTTCATGATATAATAGAAATAAAAATATCAAATGGTAGGGCACTGTGAATACAATGTAATTTTTCAAAAGCTACAATGAGCAATAAGATGAAATAAAAGTCATCTAGATTAAAAAGCAAGAGGTAAAACTATCTCAATTGCAGATGATAAAATCTTATATAGAAATACGAAAGAATTCACTAAAAACAAGCTTAGCAACTACTAAACCACTAATACTAAATTAGTTTAGCACATTGGTAGGCTACAAGATCAAAATACAAAAATTGAGTGTGCTTCTATAGAGTATCAATGCATTAATACAAATGTTATTTAAAAATCCAACTTACAATAGCATTAAAAACAATGAAGTCAGAAGAAAATTGAGGGCCCAGCAATACTCTTCACTTATATGGTTAATTGGTTTTATAAAACAGTGCTAATATAATTCAGTGAGGGGAAGAAATTATCTTTTCATCAAACAGTGCAGAAACAACAGGCTATCCCTATGCAAAAGAATAAAGCTGGATCCCTACTTCACACCACATATAAAAATTACCTCAGTGTATCAAAGACCTAAATGTGAGACTTAATATTAGAGAACTCTTAGAAGAAAACATAAGCATAAATCTTCATGACTTTGGATTAGGTAAAAATACCTGATCTTAAATGATACCAAAGGCACAAGCAAAAAGAGGAAATAAAAGATAAATTGAACATCATCAAAATTAAAAATGTGTGAGTCTAAGGACACCATCAAGAAAGTGAAAAGAAACTCATTGAATGGGAGAAAAGTTTTGCAAATCTTATATCTGGCAAGGAAAGGACTTGTATCTAGAATATATAAAGAATGGTTGTAACTCAATATAATAATATTAATAATAAGATAATAATAAACAATAAATAATAATAATAATAAGACAAATAATATACAAAAGGCCCATAAGCACATAGAAACATGTTCAACATCATTAAGCATCAGGGAAATGCACATCAACCCAAAAATGAGATACTATTTCCCACCCACTAGAATGGCTATAATTAAAAAGATAATAATTAGTGTTGATGAGAATGTGGAGATACTAGAATACTCACACTTTGCTGGTGGGGATTTAAGAGACATAGCCCCTTTAGAAAGCAGGCTAGCAGTAGCTCAAATTTGTGAACATTAAGTTATTACATGACCCAGCAATCCCCTCCTATGATACAGTATACCCAAGAGAAATGAAAACATGAGTTCACATAAAAACCTATATGCCATGTTTATAGCAGCATTATTAATCACAATCCAAATGAGAAGGACCAAAATGTCACCAACTAATAAATAAATTGTGATATATCCATACAATGGAATGTAATTCAGCGATGAAAAAGATGTGAAGTACTGATACAAGCTACGACCCACACAAACTTTGAAAATGTTCCGGTAAGTAAAAGAAGACAGACACAAAAAGCCACATGTTGTATAATTTCATTACATAAAATGTTCAGAATAGGTAAATCTGTAGAGTTAAAACATAGGTTGGTAGTTTCTTAGGGCTGGGGTTTGGATATGGATTTTTCTGCAGGGCTGGGAGGAGATAAAAGGATCTGTAATTGATTGTGGTAATGGAGGCACAACTGTGAATATTCTAAAAGCCACTGAATTGTATATTTTGAATGTGCGGATTTTATACTATTTAAATTATATCTCAAGTTGCCCTGAAAATGATTAAATTACATATAAAACTTATAGTCATTACAGCTCAACAAAAGCTACCAGATAAAAACACTCACTATGGTTTGCGTGCAAGTGAAGAAAGTAGACATGCAGAGAGTAGGCTGATACAATAGTAATCACCTTAGTTAAGTGGGTTTGGATTTAGTGAAAGGAGAGATTTAAAAGTATATTTATGCATATTTTGATTGTTTCATTTCCTACTGTGAGCAAGAATTATTTTTACACTAAAATTTAAAAAATAGAAAGTTACAAATCTTCAAAGCTCTGCAGTCAAATAAACATAGTAACAAGTGATAATGAGCTGTCTGGAATGTCTTCCTAGAGAACTGGCTGAAGCACATGCATGCAAAAGGAAGGCAATGGCTGAAGAATCAAGGCAGAACTACAGTGGTAGAAGAGAAGAAAAATGTAAACATGGAGATATAAGACAAGAAGATGACTGATGAAGGAAGTGGACATGAATACTGTGAAAACCTCTTGGGGAGTCAGAAATGACCGGGTCTACGTGGGAGGGAAACTGGATTACAGCCCAAGATGGCCAGCCATCAGGGACAGTGTCCCGAATCAGATTCTGTCCCGAATCAGAAGGGCTGTCTAATCATTCCCTTTCTTTTCCTTCCAACACCCCAGCAAGATTATTGCCTAATTTACAGCCATGCACGTTGAAGAATCAGTACAATTTGGAGACTTTGAGACAACAGACAGAAAATTTTTGAGCTCCTCTGGGCATTAGTGAGCTGTTTTCAGAAAAACAGACTCACTCTGGTATTTCAGGAATAAATAGAAATAAGAGCATACACTAATGTTTGGAAACCACGGGTAGCAAATATTGGTGAAGTCATGTGACAGGCAGAATAACAGTCTCCTAAATATGTCTGTGTCCTAATCCCTGGAACTTATAAAAATGTCTCCTAATAGGGCAAAAGGAAATTTTCAGATGTGATTAAGCTGAGGCTCTTGAGATGGGAAGATTATCCTGGATTATCTGGGCAGGTTCGATGTAATCACAATAGTCCTTATAAGTGAAAGGAGTAGAAAGCAGCATCAGAGTTAGAGCTGTGACAACAGAATCAGAGGTCAAAGTGATGTGACTGCTGACTTGGAAGATGGAGGAAGAGACCACAAGCCAAAGAATGCAGGCAGCCCCAAGAAGCTGGAAAGGGTGAGGAAACAGATTTTCCTTTAGAGCCTCAGAAGAAATGCAGCTCTGACGACATGTTAATTTTAGCCCATAGTGACACATTTTTGACTTCTTACCTCCAGAACTATAAGAGAATACATTGGTGTTGTTTTAAGCCACATAGTTGTGGTAATTTGTTATAGCAGCAGCAGGATACTATAATAATACCAGTCACCATTGGAGCTCCTGGAAGCTGCAGTAGGGAGGTCAGGGAAGCATATACTGAAGACTTCAGCTTGAAGCATGGATGGGAGGTTCTCAGAATCCTGCTGCGAGATTGCTATATTCTCCAGAACCTATGAGAAAGCTCTTATCACTCATCTTAGTCCACACAAGCAAAGCAGGTGGGTCTCTAGCCTAGCAGGGAAGCCACTGAGAACCTGACATCTGCCTGCTCCTCTACCTGCAGCCACCACTGATGGGTACAGGTCTGTCCCACCATCTCTCCAGGGCCCCATTTCTTAGGCAAGTCTCTCTCACTGGAAAATGTAAACTGGAACTATACAGGGAAGGGGATCCTGGGAGATATAGTGCCTGGCTTCTCCTCTGCAGAGAAGATGCTAGAGGGGAGATGAGGTGATACTGGGTTTTTAACAATGCAACACATGAGTTACTAACAGTGAATGAAGGGGGACTGGCTGACCTCAGTTTGACAAGCAAATGTGCCATTAGATGATGCAAACCATTGGTATATCTATGAGATTTAGTAGTTTTAGCAAGCTATTTATTGGAGCAAGGATGTATCAAAAACTATGAAAAGTGCAGGTTTAAAAAATGTACAAAAAATTTAATGGACTACACAAATGAAATAAATTCTTTTTTTAATTATACTTTTAAGTTCTGGGATATATGTGCAGAATGTACAGGTTGGTTATATAGGTACACATGTGCCATTGTGGTTTGCTGCATCCATCAACCCGTCATCTAGGTTTTAAGCCCCGCATGCATTAGGTATTTCTCCTAATGGTATCCCTCCCCTTGCCCCCATCCCCTGACAGACCCCAGTATGTGATGTTTCCCTCCTTGTGTCCACATGTTCTCATTGTTCAACTCCTGCTTATAAGTGAGAACATGCGGTGTTTGGTTTTCTGTTTCTGTGTTAGTTTGCTAAGAATGATTGTTTCCAGCTTCATCCATGTCTCTGCAAAGCACATGAACTCATTCTTTTTTATGGCTGCATAACATTCCATGGTGTATATGTGCCACATTTTCTTTATCCAGTCTATCATTGATGGGCATTTGGATTGGTTCCAAGTCTTTGCTATTGCAAATAGTGCTGCAGTGAACATATGTGTGCATGTGTCTTTATAGTAGAATGATTTATAATCCTTTGGGTATATGCCCAGTAATGGGATAAATAAATTATTAACTATGCTGCTATTTTATTTATTTAAAAATGTGAGTTCGTGGTCTGAGTAATTTACCTCAGTATGACTCAAGAAGGGCACTGGAAGTCCGTTGATCTGGCCAGAACAGAACCACATATATGAATGGAAAAAGTGGTCTTGTGTCTGCCAATCCCAGGGGCTTACAGGATGCTGTCTAGAATAGGCTGGCTACAGCAACTCCTAGTTAAGCCAGAAGTTTGGAATGAGTTCAATTTTGGGGGATTAAATTCTAATGAGAGGCAGAAAACAGGAAAGTTTATGCTTTTCCATGCTAATCAATGGCCCCATAAACATTTTCTTGTATATATTTTTGTAATTTCAAAAAACTCAAGTGTTTTATCAGTAATTTCTTAGAGGTGCACACAGAGAGAGATGAGTATAATTGTGAAGCTAAGTTTTGTAAAGCACAGGGATGGCTAAGAATGGGAAGGAACTGATCCCAGAATCCCACAGAGTTAACCAGTAACCCTCAGCCCAAGTACGTGATGACCACTGTTGAGCTTCAAAGGAAAAGCGGCCATCTGAGGAGCAAACAGAATTGCATGAAGAATAAGAGTGCAGACGGTGTCCTAAATACAGTGCTGAGATTCATGTAGAAGCACAGGAGGAAGCAACTGTGTAAGTATCCAGAGTCCTATGAAGTAGGGATTTCAATCCTCCAAGCCACCCTCTCCCATCTGCTAACAAGGATCAAGGCTTTTGTGGATGTAACTGGCTGTGGTTGATGGGAACCCCTGTGATCCCTATGGGGTTACACATAGCTTCGGAGAGGGGAATGAACACACACACAGCAAAGGGAAACCATCTGGGCCTTTACTGAAACCACTGGCTGACCCCTGGGTTAAAGTATGTATGTTCTGAGTACTGATGTTAATTACATACAGACATTGCTCAGACCCCATGTCACCTCACACTGCTGGAAATTTGCCTTGACCTCGACTCTCACCAATGACCTTATGGGTAGTTTCTATGACCAGCTGACTTAAGAGGAAAATTCTGAGCTTCTTCATAAACATGCCAGCTTAGTGTGTTGGTGTGAGGCAGCAGTAGAGTGTGTCTGCAGTGTGGGCAACTCAGGAATGAGCAGAGACAGTGCTGAAGAGGGTCCTGCCAATAGGCAGGTGGGGCTCTGATTTGCCCACTTTGTGTAGACAGAAGTGGCCTGAGGTGAGAACATGCACAGACTCATAGGCAACGGCAAATGGCTTAAATAGCGGGTCCGGGGCCTGGAAGGAGCAAGATAGGAAGATCAGGAACAGGAATATCTGGAAAGAGGCATACAGTAGATACAAAGTGCTTGGATCTTTTGTATCAGATGTTAATACTCAGCAAAAATTACCCTCTATACAAGTAGTCTAAACAACCAGGTGTACAGGATGAATCATTTGGTACACATCAGCCAGCCTCTGTCCTTAACCATCCCAGTGCTCATGAAACAGGCTCTTGAAAGCAGTATCTATGGTGGAAGAGATGCACTGTGGGTGGGTCCCAAGGCTTGGGCTCCCTTCAGCATGGCTGACGTGGTTATTGTCACAACCTACCTTCCAACGATAAATAAACTCCAACAGATTACCTTTGCTTATGGAGGCCAATGAGCAATTTGATGGCAAATTGATTCTACTCTTACTTTTTCACAATGAAAAAGGCAGGGGTTCTGTCAGATTTAGCTTGCCTTGTATTAGCGGTATGAGTTTGTTCTTTCTTCCCATAGTGCCACACTCAGAAACGTTATCTAAGGGCTCACATATGTATGATCTTCTAATAGGGGAACCACATAACATTGCCCCAGACTAAGGGACCTACTTTATAGCGAACGCTGTCTGGTAGTGGGCACACGACCATGAGATCTCCTGGTTCTACCCCATACTGCATCACACACGCTGCCAGCTGATAGAGCAGTGGAATGGTCTCTTGAGGGTGCAGCTGGGTTTTATCTTGAAGATCACATCCTATCAGGATGGGTAATGTCCTTCAGGATGAAGCATACACTTAGGCTATGGCAGCAGCTGTTACATAGTGCCAAGTCTCCAACAGGTAGAGTAAGTAAGTCTCTAACCACCAGTGCTGGAAGAAGGAATGACTATACTCACCAGCACTTCCGGTAACCCGCGTGGGGTGTTGGTGCTTCCCATCCCCTCAACGTACTCAGCTGGTCTAGGAGTTTGGGATCCCAGAGAAGGAAGTTCCTACCATGGAACAGAGTACAAGTTACATTACGTTTAGGGGTATGTTTGTTACCTGTTCAATTTGGGTTCCTCATGCTAGGAGGCTGTTGGGAAAAGGAGGGGTTACTGTATAAGCAGGGATAATTGATCGTGATTATTATGAGGAGCAGAACTTTAATTTCTGTCTTAATTTCTTGCTGAAACTGGTAACAGTGGTTGCATCCAGGCAAGGAATTTGGAAGAATTGTGGATGGGGTGGAGAACGAAATTTGCTTTGCACACTATACACATTTTTATTATTATAATCTTTTAAATATTGTTCTTGTATTAGCTATTCAAAATAAATTTTAAATTACAAATCAACCCCACATTTATCTAAAAAATTTTTTTATTTCAATAGTTTTTGGGGGACAGGTAGTTTTTGGTTATGTGTGTGAGTTCTTTAGTAGTGAATTCTGAGATTTTGGTGCACCATCACCCGAGCAGTGTACTCTGTACCCAGTGTTGCCTTTTATCCCTCACCCTATTCCCAACCTCCACCAACAAGCCCCTAGAGTCCATTATGTCATTTTGTATGTTTTTGTGTCCTCATAGCTTAGCTCTCATTTATAAGTGAGAACATTCAGTATTTGGTTTTTCCATTCCTGAGTTACTCCACTTAGGATAATGGCCTCCAGCTCCATCCAAGTTGCTACATAAGGCATTATTTCATTCCTTTTTATGGCTGAGTAGTAATCCATGGTGTACATACACCACACTTTCTTTAGCCACTGGTTGGTCAATGAGCACTTAGGCTGGTTCCACATCCCTGCAATTATGAATTGTGTTGCTATAAACATGCGTGTGCATGTGTCTTTTTCATATAATGACTTATTTTCCTTTGGGTAGATACCCAGTAGTGGGATTGCTGGATCAAATGATAGATCTAGTTTTAGTTCTTTAAGGAATCTCCATACTGTTTTCCATAGTAGTTGTACTAATTTACATTCTCACAACCAGCAGTGTAATCCATCCATGCCAACATCTATTGTTTTTTGACTTTTTAATTAATGCCATTTTTTTTTTTTTGAGACAGAATCTCACTCTGTCTCCCAGGCTGGAGTGCAGTGGTATGATCTTGGTTCCCTGCAACCTCCACCTCCCAGGTTCCAGCAATTCTCCTGCCTCAGCCTCCCGAGTAGCTGGGACTACAGGTGCATGCCACCACGCCCAGATAATTTTTTGTATTTCTGGTAGAGACAGGGTTTCACCGTGTTAGCCAGGATGGTTTCGATCTCCTGATCTCGTGATCTGCCTGCTTTGGCCTCCCAAAGTGCTGGGATTACAGACTTGAGCCACCGCGCCCAGCCAAATTAATGCCATTCTTGCATGTATAACGTGGTATCTCATGGTGAACCCCACATTTATTTAGCAAACATTTATTAGGCAGTTACTATGTGTCAGGGTCTCCTAGGCCTCAATGAGTGAAACATCAAAGATTCCACAAGGGGACTAAAAAAACAGCTAAATGCAGGCTACTATAATTAGTGCGGGAAAACTGCTTCCAAGAGGATGCAATGTCTAAACAGAGAACTGGATGAGGAACACAGTTAATCCAGGTGAATGGCAGGAGAAATCTTTTAGGGAATCAGTATCACAAACAAAGGCTCAGAAGAAAGAACACACAGGGAGTCTGGGGGAACTGTCAGCAGTTCAGGGTAGAGATTAGAGAAAGAGGAGCACAGGGGCAAAAAGCAAGCTTGGAGCAGTGAGCAGATTCAATGACTAAGGCTTGTGGGGTTGGGGAGAACCTTTGGCTTTTATCCGAGGACAATGTGCAGCACTGGCAGCACTGAAGTCAGGAAGAACCTTGATCAGATCTGCATTCCAGAATATCACTTTGGTGAAGTGTGAAGAATGAACTGAGAGATGCTAGACTGAATACATGGAGAAGAAGAGGTTCGGGGAAACCCTGGCAGGAACTGTAGGGAGAATGTTAGGATGGAGGAAAAGGTAGAAAGGACCCTGAGAGATCTGAGTAATCAAGACCCAGTGTTTCACACATGGAAAATGAGGTGGAAAAGGAGAAAGGTCCCCATGTGAACAGCACTCCATCTGGAAAAATGACATAAAACAAGGGAATTTGGCCCATGACATAAGAGGTCCTTGGGCTCACATGGTATTGAGTGATCAGGGAGGAGTTTAGTTGAGTTCACCTCTACAGACAGGTATTGAGTGCCAGGTATGCTGTCATCAGGGTCATAAGGAAATCAAAGGTATCTGCCTCATATCTTTGTGACTTACATGTCTGATCCTGCTTAAGAACTATGCCAATCCCCGACTTTCCAGGACCCCCAGTAATTTTGTCGTGTCCATGTGGGAAGTGAGCTGAGGCTTGGCAAGAGGATCTTAGCCCATATGGTCCAAAAAATAGTAGAAATATTTCTTTAGAAGACACAAATTCCCTAATTAAATGGACTAATTTATCCATACAAGAGAAATAAAATCACTAAAAAATAAACTGAGTGAAGGAAAAGAAATCAATAAAGTGTAATTACCAGAAGTTCGTGGGATTCTGCATGAAAACAAGCTTGAAGAAATAGTGAAAGCAGAAGATTTGCCTAACAGTATGACACTCGAATGAAAAAAAAACCAGATAGGTTTAGTGGTGCTGCTTCTTTACAGATGCAGGAGGTTTGAAAAGTAATAGAGAAAAACATTTGGAGAGAACGCCATCTTAGCTTTCACACAGAATGCAAGACCAGCCTTTCCAGTGGGCGTCTCTTGATTTTTGTTTCCAGGGATTCGATTTCATAAACACAGCTCAGCTCTGCAGATCATCTGGCCCAGTCCAGGACCCGGGTTTGTAATGATCTTGTTCAGTCATGGTCCAGCCTGTGTATAGAGACCCTAAGATGATGCCCGGTGATCCTGTCTCTTGGCATCTCATCCAGCTGAGAACCGATGGGGCCTAAACTTGCTTCTAACCAATAGAAAGTGACAAAAATGATGTCACTTCCGTGATGAGGTCATATTACAGCCGCACTTCTGTATTACTAGATGACTCTGTCTTCTACCTTCTTTGTTTGCAAGTTTTGATGAAGCAGAAAGGCCCATGTGGCAAGGAACTGAAGTCAGCCTCTGGCCACCAGCCAGTAAGGAACTGAGGCTGTCAGTCTAACAGGCATGGAGGAATGAATCCTGCCAACAATTGCTTGAGCTTGGAAGTGGATCCTTCCCCAGTTCAGCCTCCAGATAAGACCCAGCCATGGCACTCTGATGAAAATCATGTGAGAAAGCTGCATAGCTGTGTCTGGATTCCTGACCCATAGAAATGTGGGATAATACATGTGTGTTGTTGTAAGCTGCTAAGTTTGTGGCAATTTCTTACATAGCAATGGATAGCTGAAAACACCTCCCACAGCTTTCACTGAGTTAAGCGACCCTTGGGGCCAGTTAGAACTTATCTCATCCCCTTCCCTGTGGCAGCCCTTATCTTTCTCATAGGTTGACATCCCACTTTCTCTTTACCAGTGTGAATGTCAAGTTCTCTTACTATCTCCGTCACTCTCCTCTCACACCATCCAGGAGGCCCCACTAGGGAGTGGCAGGCAGAGAGGAGGAAGTGTGGGGTGTGGGTAGACTCCTCCTCATGGTTCAACCTTGAGTGCAGGTATTACCAGTTGGAAGAAGAGAGGTCAGGAACCAGTAGGGATTGGATGGAGATGAGTGAACACCCCACCACTCTCAGGCCCATGCAGGCTGTGAAATAAAACCGTGATGAATAGACTCTGCATGGCCCCTGCTGGTCTTTACCCTTCAGCATTCTAGATAGTGCACCTCATATGCCATGATGCAAACACCATTGACTCCCTCCAGGGCAGATATAAATCTCCCTTTCCCCCGCATCCAGCAAGCACACTCCATCAGCCTATGGGTCACTTCAACCCCATGACTCCCCAGTCGGGACTGTGGCAAATGCAATAGACTTCAGTCCAGTCTCTGTGCCTGGAGAAGAAAGGGAAGCTGGTCAGAGCCCACAGGAGGAGGTGACCCACAGGGAGCCAGTAGTAGGTGGGTGTGAGGGTGAGTATGACAGAGCAGTTACTTGGGCTCAGCAGTCAGACTGTCTCCTTAGAGTCATGAGTCAGCCCATTGACAGTTACTAAACTTCCTAGTGACCTCAGTTTCCTTGTCTGTAAAATGGGGCTGATAGCTGTCTCTAGGTCATAGGGCTCTTGTGAGGTTTAAATGATTTAATTCATGTAAATCCCTTAGGAACGTGACTGACACTTTTTTTAAGGTACAATTCTGTAAAAGAGTGGGACCCATCCATTTAGGTCCTGTTTCCTTATTCCAGGTGTGATGAAACCAGCTCTCCCCAACACTTATCCTGACCCCCGTTCTATGCCTGCAGGTGGAGCGCTGTTCTGTCCCCTACAACCTATGGTGTGGGGGGCAACCAGGAAAAGGCCAGGGTGGTGCCAAGTATGAGGAAGTCACAGAGTAACACACACACATACACACATACATACCCATACCTGCTTATATACATAAATATGTACAGATACATACATATACGCACTTATAAACACGCACATACACATAGATGCCCATACCTGTTTATACATCCACATGTGCACAGACAGACACACACACATTACACAGTCCCAATTCCTTGATTCAGTTTGGGGCCTGGGTAATTCCAGTTCAATCTCTTTTAAGAAATTTAAGAATCTGAAAGAGAAAGACCTGAGAATTTTTGTCCCACAAGAGACAGACCCACTTCCTAGGCACTGTGGGACTTTCTGAGCCCCATGTGGCCCTGCTCCTGGAAGCTCATGGAGGAGCGGGAAAATCTGACTTAACATCAAGGTTCTGAAGTCCAGAGGCAGCCCTAGGAACTGGCCTTCCCTGGGTACCAGGCCTCCGGGAGTCCAGCAGGTCCCCTTCCTCCTATCTCACCTATGACGTCTCAGCCTGCCTTCCACAGCCAAGGGCCCCTCCCAGGCTTTGCTGCACAGCAGGAATCTCCACGGGGCTCTAGAAGGAACAGGGACAGAGTTTAACTTAACCCCCTCGGGTGATGCACCCTCAGGTCCAGTTTTTTGGTTCTAACATTGGTGATACCACTTTTCAGTCTTAAAATGTCTTTTTCGGCCAGGCGCGGTGGCTCACGCCTGTAATCCCAGCACTCTGGGAGGCCGAGGCGGGCGGATCATGAGGTCAGGAGATCGAGACCATCCTGGCTAACACAGTGAAACCCCGTCTCTACTAAAAATACAAAAAATTAGCCGGGCGTAGTGGCGGGCGCCTGTAGTCCCAGCTACTCGGGAGGCTGAGGCAGGAGAATGGCGTGAACCTGGGAGGCGGAGCTTGCAGTGAGCTGAGATCGCGCCACTGCACTCCAGCCTGGGTGACAGAGAGAGACTCCGTCTCAAAAAAAAAAAAAAAAAAAAAAAAAAAAAAAAAAAAAAGTCTGTTTCTTTTCTGATTTGCAAAAAGGTTTATAACTTTTGATACTCACATCTGCTACTTTCTATTAGAACCTAGCAGTCCTTCGTGGTACTTTCATCTACTGTGTCTCTGCCGATTCCGTTTCCTGGTGTTTTATCTTCTGGTTGGGTTAAAGATTATATGTAATTGTTGGGCACAGAGGGCCAGGAAAGAAAAAGATTCCCGGTGAAGCTAGACCCAAGTACCTCACTGTTGACAAGGGTAACTACTGTCCTTTCCTATTTACCTCCCTGCACTCCTTCTTCTCTGTCCTCCCTCCCCACCCACCCATGGGAGAGCCTCAGGAGCCTGGGCCAGAATCCCCAACCCCGCAGTAGGGAGGAGGAGGAGGAGGCGGCGACGGAGGAGGAGAAGGAGGAGGAGGAGGAGACGGAGACTGTTCGGTCTCCTCTTTCCTCAAATATGGATGCCTCCAAGGAACATAATTCCAGCTCCAAGAGGTCCTGACGTGGGGCCTGGAGGACCCCAGTACCTGCCGGCAGCATCATCTCCTTGCCATGCTCCAGGTGTCTGAGCAGCCACCTAGTGCAGTGACCCATCGGGGCTTCCCTTGTGGCCTCCGCGGTCCAGAACCTCTCCCAGGTGTGATGGATCCTCCAAGCCGCTCTTTGAGCCGCTGTCCAGGTCTGCAGGTCCTCGTTCAGGGACATGAAATCTCCTTGTCGTAGGCGGACTTAAAGTGTCCTTCGAGGAAGCTCCTGTCCGGAGCCACCACCCAGCCAGACAGCAGCATCTGCAGGTGCGGTGCCCTGGACCTGCCCCAGGGTGAGCCGGAGGCGGGGCCAGGGAGGGGAGGGAGGTCGCCCCGCCCACCCCAGCTCCTTCCTCCCTCTGTCATTGGTCACAGAACAAGTCAGTCATGATCCAGATTGAAGGAGAAACCTGGAGCAAAATGGCCCCAGCGCTTCCCCACCTGAGAGGGATCAGCTGAGGCCCCGCCCCCCCATCCCTGGGAGAACCGGGCTGGTCACTCTGGGGTCGGGGCGGGGCACACCTGTGCCCGGAGTCTGAGGTCACTCACCGGCTGACCCTGGTGGTGGTGCGGGCCCAGGAACCTCAGGCCCCTCAGTAACACATTCCCTGCGGTCTTCGAGAACTTTCCTCAGGGCGCCCACAGCCCTGTGCCATCTTCTCCACCCGCGCTTCACGCTCTGATTCTCGCCGCGGCTGTGGAAGCTCAGGAATCGCGTGTCGCCCACGAAGGCGCCGCGGAGGAACTCAGGGCCCACGTGGTGAAGGCGGAGCCCGGCGGCCTTCAAGTACCCGGGGTGCGGGCCTGGGCTCCGGGAACCCGCACATTGCGGGCGGGAGAGGCGCAGGGTGCCTGGGACGCCGCCCCGCTCGCCTCTCTCCTGGACGCCGTCGCCCTGCCTCCCCGCGGGGACACAGCCTCCCTCCCACGTCCCGCCCGGCACCGGAGCCGCTCACTTGGGAGCTTCTTACTGTGTGGGGGGAGCTGGGGAGGGGACAGAGGGACGGGAACCAGGGGAGGGTGGCTTGGGGCGGCGGCTCTGGGAGAAGTGACCTGAGGAGTCTGCAGATCCCAGCCCGGGACGGAGGCGCCGCGAGAGGAGCTACTAAGCCCTCCAAGCCGCCCTTTCCCTCTTGCCTCCCCAGCCCAGTTCATCCTGATCTTCTCACCAGCCCAGTTCTCCCTAAGGTCAGGGCCCACAAAGGAACAGGAAGGGGGTTCCGGGACACAGGATCCGGCTTCTCTGGGTATCTTGGAGTCCAGGAAGGATCCTGGAGATCTCCCACTTTATGAAGCTCATCCTCCACTGACTCTGATGGCTTCTCTAGAACCCGAGACCAACTGATAAAGGCGTCCCATCTGGACGCCCTTATCAGTCCTGGGGGAAAAACAAGAGCCAAGGGTGAGAGGTGGCCATGAGGTCAGGGAAACCCCTGCAGAATTCTCAGGAGAGGGAAATCTTCAGAGCTGTGGCTTTGGCTTAGTTTGTCTTCCCACCAGCCACCTGTCCTGGAGCTGGAGATGCTTAAGTTTAAACCAGAGACTTTGGATATTTTCCCTGAGTGACATAATCCTTGTCTTTCTCTCCTGGAATCGTGGGTCCAGACCATCACAGTGATCCAGTCGGCCCCCTCTCCTTCTTCTCTCACTCCAATCTCTCTCCCTGAGCTGGACTCTCCGCCCACCCTCACATTCTGGAAAAGTGCAGTGGTGTGAGCATGGCCCTGGGGCAGAATTGTCTGGGTGCAAACCCGGCTCCATCCCTACTTTTGTGTGATCTTCATTCCTATGGCATTAACTATGAAAGGGAAAAATAACAGGCACAAGCCATGGATGTGTAGTCAGAATAAAATGAATTGGCATTTTTAAAGTGCGAAGACCACTATTTGACACATAGCACAATAAAAGTGTAAAATGTTATCATTCTTGTCATTTCTTTAGGCCCTTTTTCTTGAGGTCTTCCTCTTCTCTTTGGGTTCCCATGAAAATTTACCCTGTTGGAAGTTGATGTCAGCAAGAGACCTCCTCTTGGGAAATGCTGGCTCAGTGTGGGGCCTCCCTTTTAGTAAAGGGAAAAACCGATGGTGGACCAGTAGCTAGTGAGTCAGAGTCCATTTTATTTAAACAAGATCACCTACCTAGAATTAACTCCATTTTGATAAGGACATGCATCTCACAGATAAGCCCAGTGTAATTTATGAGGAGATTGCTTTATTTGTGTAGAACTTACTCTAGTGCTTTTCATAGTCTTGCAACACATTTTGAATCCCTGGTTCTCATTTCACACTGACTGCCTCACAGAGTGAAGACGATGAGAAGTATCTTCATACTATATTCCCACGTTCGTCTATCGGAGTCACAGTCATATATTACATATGCAGATATTTTTCCTAGAAGTTTGAATTTATTGATGTAGATTTTAATCTGGAATAGATAGATATTACCTAACATTTTTGTTTTTATTACCTCTAAGTTACACATGCTTAAGTAGTCACTACTGATACCTATGCATTTTCTCCCTTGGCATGTGACATTGACATAAAAATTGTACATTGTACTTTAGTTTTCAGCAATTATTAATTATGTAATTTGGATCATCCCTCCCATTGAGTACTACTGGACAAGTGGGAAAAGGGTACATATTTGAAAAATCTGATGGAAAGTATGAAGGGGCTAACCAAGCAGTAAAGATTTGCCAGGCCAGGAACCAGGAGAAGGCAGAAATCTAGAAGAGCAAGTTGAGCTGCAGGGTTGCTTTTGTCCTGGGTGATGTTGGCTGCTCTGGGCAGTGTCTGAGACCTTTGAGGGCTAGGTGGATAAAGTCTACATCTAAAGGCTGCGGGTGCATATGTGGCACTGTAAATCCCTGGGATTAGGATGGGTCCCAAAGGGCTGATCCATAAGAGCAACACAGTCAGTTCTCAGGAGTGGCAGCTCAATTTTTGTTTGAGTGGTCCAGCAGTTTTCACTGCTCTTATTAAAAATTGTAATTGAGGATCTTCCCAGTGTCATAAAGAAGAAAAGAAATATACTTAAAAAGGTTTGAAAAGAAGGCACAAAACTCTTATAATTTGCAAATGGTAATATGCTGAATGCAGAAAATACAAATGATTAGAACACTCTTGAAGTTAATAAGATACATATATATATAAATATATATATATATATATATATATATATTTTTTTTTTTTTTTTTTTTTTTTTGAGACGGAGTCTCGCTCTGTCGCCCAGGCTGGAGTGCAGTGGCGAGATCTCGGCTCACTGCAAGCTCCGCCTCCCAGATTTACTTAGGCCATTCTCCTGCCTCAGCCTCCCGAGTAGCTGGGATTACAGGCGCCCGCCACCATGCCCGGCTAATTTTTTGTATTTTTAGTAGAGATGGGGTTTCACCATGTTAGCCAGGATGGTCTTGATCTCCTGACCTCGTGATCCGGAAGTTAATAAGATATTTTTGCTTGGTAGGTAGAAGAAATTATAGAGCTGTTTTGCACAGATATAAAATGAAAATTTTAAAAAATTGATTCAGCAAAAGTGCGTACATATAAACTTCTAAAACTAAACCTAACAAATTCTGTACAAGATATCAATTGGGATATTTAAAAAACCCTACTGAGTAATAATAGAAGACAGTAATTAAAGAAGACAGTGAATTAACTGAATCAATTTACCAGGATCCTGGCTTGGATGGTTCAATATAATAATGACATTAATTTCCTACAGTACTCTAAGAACTCAAACACATCTCAATCAAATGTTTATCAAGCATTTTTGCAACACATAGTAAGCCAATTTTAAGCCTTATATTGAAATATGAAAGAGAAAAAGTAGCTATGACACTCTAAATAAGAATAATAAGCAGAGAGAATTTCCTTAGCAGATATTAAGACTTATGTTAGAGTTATTTTAATTAAGAGAGTCGAGATGTTGAGACAGGGTAGTAAACTAGAACTTGGGAACAGAATAGAAAGCCCTGAACGTATGTAGAGCAGAGGCAACATTACAGATCAGTGGGTAAAGGAAAACGATTTAGAAAATAATTTAACAACAATTGGTTATCTATCTGGAAAAATGCAATTGTACTCATCTCTTGTAAAAAAATGTGATTGTACTCATCTCTTTACAGTAATATAGTAGAATATCTTCATTACTTTAGTGTAGGGAAAGATTTTTATGCAGGTTACAACAAAGTATTAACCCCAGGGTAATCTTTGACAGGATTAAAGACATTAAAGTTGAGCTCCCAGATTATTTGGGGTTTTCCATTCCCCAGTGGACAGCGATAAATGACTAAATGTTCCTCTGGGAAAGTCCTGTAAAAAGAATTTATCTCAGAGTGAATTATAGGGTCCTTTCTCAAGGGCACCAGCCTTCTGCTTATTTGAGGGGCTCTGACATATCAGCTGGCTTTGGTGTAGCTACTGGATAAGAATTTCTGAATATCCAGGACTCAAGATTGGTGACTGCTCAGCAGACCTAGCAGTTTTTATACCTGTATGTGTCATGTGGCACCTTAATGCCTTGGTAAGGGGGGCATCCTCTCAGCCCTCCCGGGAGATGTGGTTAGGAGATGTTAAGTAGGTTGCACATAATGGATACATTCCCACTTTTCCGTCTTTCTGAGCTGTGTTCAGACACTTTCCTCTGCAGTATGCCTGTGATAGGGATTCTGTTGATATAGGCTAGTGGTTTTCACAAACTGTTGCATATAGCAAAATCTGGAGAGATGATTTGTTTTAATAAACTCAAGGCTCTAGCCTGTTAAATTAGAATAATATCTGGGCCTGTGTAGTTTTGCTACAATTCCCAGATGATTTTGATACATACCAAATATTGAGAACCACTGCTTTGAGCTACTAGTTTTTAACTTGGCTGTTGATTGGAGTCAAACCTGGAGAGTTTTAGGAACAATACTGTTTCCAGGATCCTACTTTTGATGAATTAGATTTCATTGGTTTTACATGTTGATCTAGACCTGGGGCTATTTAAAATCTCCCACGTGATGGAAAGCTCAGTCAAATTTGAGAAACACTGTGCTAGGCCACAGTTGAATTCGGGTTTTAATTAGCTAACCTGGCTGACTATTAACATCACTCTTAGGTGTTCAAAATAACACATTTAATCTAAGATACTGGGTGAAGATCCCATATTGATGAATCCAGGCCAATCACATCTCATTTCTCCCTATGTCAATACTGAAAGCTATGGGGAGAAATCCCTCCAACCAGTGCTCCTCATCACTCTCTCCGTGATGATGCTCCCATTTAGCCGATCCCAAATAAAAGCCAGAAAGCAAGGCTGCCTTTTGTGGTCCAGCAGGCCATGCAGCACAGTGTCCAGGACACGGAGCAGGGAGAGTACATGGAGTGTGGATCAGGAGTGCACAGAGAAGATACCAGCAGACCTGCCCTCTCCATTGCACTCAAAATCACACTGGATTTCCTAGCTAGTGCAATCAGGCAACAGAATATATCAACTACATGAATTAATAAAAGCTTTAAGCAAAGTCATTGAATTAAAACTATATAAAATTATTTATATTTATACATACCACAACCAACACTGAAATTCAACAAAGAAAGAGATACTGTGAACACTAGCACCATATTTCAAGATCTTTGGAATAAATCTACTAAAAGATGCACAAGTAAAACCAGCAATACTTTATTTAAGAGTATTTAATAAGTAAACATTACATGTTCATGAATTATAAGTCTCAATGTGGCAAAATTTGTCAGTGCTCTCCAAATCTGATTACTGAATGAAATCTCTATTAAAAATAAAATTGTTAAAGGTACTTGGAAAGGTGCCTGTCAAGCTAGGAAAGTTGCCAATGATAGAAAAAACACTCCTGAAGTGAAAACTCAAAATTTATGGATTTACTTCATTGTATAGAGAGACATATTATAAAGCCGTGGATTATCTTGGGATGATGAAAATGTTCTAAAATTAAATATGCAGATTTAAAACTCTGAATATGTGAAAAACCATTGAATTGCATACTTTAGATGGGTGAGTAGTATGTGATTTATATCTCAATAAAGTTTAATGAGGAAAACATAATGAGATATTTTGAAAAATGCACTAGAATTTCTATATTAAAATTATTGAGTTTTCCAAACACTGATGAGAATACAGACCATCAAGATCTACCACACATTGCTTGCCACAGCCACTTTATCTAGCAGTGTGGCATCATCTCTTTGAGTGGGATATCATACACATATACCAGTAACTCCACTCCTAGGTGTATAATTTTGACAGATATGTGCCCATTGTGCCAACAGACTAGTGCTAGAAGACTTGTAACAGCATTGCTTGTAATTTTAAAAAATCTGACAACAAATGAAATGACCATAAACGAGAGAAGGGTTAATTTAATATATGATGTATTTATTCAATGAAATGTTACAAATAATAAACATGAATACTCTACAGACACCTATAAAAACTTAGCAAACATACATTTGATCTAAAATGAGGTCTTGTAAGAATATACACAGCATGATTCCATTTGTATGAAAAATTCAAAATTTATATAAAGTTTGAGATAACCTGTGTTGTTTTAGAAATATATGCATGGGGTAAAGCTTTAAAGAAAGACATGAACAGGATTACTATGAAATCAGAATGAGGGTGAACTCTAACGACAGAAAAGGGATTGTTATTGCTATGGGAATTGGTATGAAAACTTCTGGGTTTTTTTTCTGAGTTTTGTTTCTTTTTCACACGGATCTTCCCTTTAAAACCATGTGTTAAAATGTAAATGTAATTCAAGCCCTTCACTTTTGGTTGTAACTTAACAGTGTAAAACTGGTTTTAAAAAAAGTAATGTTAATTATTTATCTGTAGTTGGAAAAATTAACCTTTACTCACAAAAGAGATGGATTTCCCCCTACACCACTCATCAGAGAAGAGACCATGAATTGGAATGGGAACTCGGAATTGTCATCATCCTATAATTCTACTCAGGATTCTGTCCTTAAAACATTGGCACACTGCTGTCCAGCTCCCTTCTGTAGTGATGGAATGCCTATATCTGTGCTGTTCATTACGTCAGTCACCGGCCACCCATGAATTCTGAGTATTTGAAATGTGGCTAGTACAAATGAGAAACTGGGAAAACTGACTTTTAAAATTAATATAATTTTAATTGATTTAAGTGTAAATAGTGTCTTGTGGACAAGGCAACATTACAAAAATAAAATGCAGCACCCGCTGTCTCTGTCTTTTTGTTCAGCCATGCATCGTGTGAATGACAGCTTCATTGTTACTAACTTTGAAAAGACCCCATTTCGAAGAAAAATGGAATTTCAGCTTCTTCAGGGGTGAGACTTTCTTGAACTCAGCATCTAATAAAATACCCAAACCACACGAAAGGACCCTGTTTATCTCTGTTCTCTCTGGGTATAGAAAAACATGCTGAATTCTTATTTGTATGCGAAATAAAGGGGTTTTCAATGGGAAATTTTTCTGTAAGGTGAGAAATTTATTCTAAATATAGTTCTCTAATTTCAAATGTTTTATCCAAGTTGCTTATAATTATTACTGTTTGGCTACTATAGTGTAAATATTTTTCAAATCATCTGAAATTTAAAAATATAGCAATATAATTCTATGCTGTGTGTGAAAAGGATTAAAAACAAGGTAAGCCTGTGTTAGCTTGGTAAATTATCACAATATAAGAGTGTTGTACAATGTACCAAGTTTAATGTAAAAGATAATGAACACCTCACACAGCCCATTAAATTAATCAGAAACATTTCACTGTGAATGTGGAAGGGAAGATGAACAGAATTTTAAACACATTGGGTGTGCACAGAGGATCAGAATCGTGAATTTAGCATCACTTTTATATATTTTTTATTTACTTAGAGAGACTTTAGCACTTACTATGTCTCAGGCACTTTTCTAGATGCTTTTGATGCATTAAAACACATTTAATCCTTGTATCAACTTTAAGAAGTAGCCACCATGCTAATCCCAATTTACGGGTGAGTAGTAACTTTGCGTAACTCCAGCCAAGGGCATGATAAGCTTTTACAGTTCTTTTGTAGTTTTTATTCCTAAAACATGGCTTTCATTCATCTTTTTTCTAATTAATGTTCAAATATATCTAGCAACTGGTTATGTTTTGTAGGATAATTTTTTTGTCATTCATTCTACAATGATTTAGCTTAGCATTAAATTTTATGGAATTTCCTTTTAGTTTGTAAATTAGAAACAAGGTAGGCATTTACTTCTTGTTGATATTCCCCAAACTTCATTGTACACAACAGCTTCTCTCAAATAGGATCTCACAGAATCAGTCCAAGGTTGAACTCCTAACACTAAAATTTTACATTAAAATTGCATTATCTGTTGCCCAGGCTGGAGTGCAGTGGCACCATCATAGCTTGCTGCAGCCTTGAACTCCTGGGCTGAAGGAACCTCCTGCCTCAGGCTCTTGAGTAGCTGGGACTACAAGGCATGCATCACCATGCCTGGCTTGGTATTTTCTTTTATCAGATAGCAGAGTGAAGCACTTGCATTACAAAAATAAAATACATAAAAATTACGACGACTTTGCCAATCTAACATATGACTTCAAATGGTAGTGGTTAAATTAGGAGCCAGTCAGCCACTTTCAAACATGTTTTTCAAAATGAAATTTTAAAGACAGTGTCATTGTTTACTTCTACTACTACTCATAGGTTTAGCTGTGGTCCTGCTATAGAGTTTGTTAAGAAAACTTCCCTGAGTTGTTTTAAATGGTCTTTTGAAAGCCAAACACTGCAATCCTATAATCATTGGAATTGGGAACAAACGATACGTTTCTAGGCTTTATTTTATTATAACTTAAAATCTTAGTGATGGTAGGATTATTTTTCCTTATTGATTTTTTCTAATATATTTAAAGCATTGATAATTGTGTTCAGTCAGTTGTATTTTATGCTGAATCATTTGACCATGTGAGGAAAGCAGATTTTTGGACTTTTAGCCCATCTTGACCAGAGGGATCAGTAAAAACGTGGAATGAAGAATTTCTTCCTGTGCACACCTTTTTTCTTGTGTGCATTGCCCCTCATTCACACTTCTGGGCATTCATACATTTGTGATTGCACTTTTTTGTATTAATTTGGAATCATTTATTAATTCCACAGTCAAGTTAATAAAATGGTTAAAAATAAATTTTACATGAATTTTCTCAAAATTCATTACTTGATCCATTTATTCATTCTAAACCCATGTCAAATACCATTCTTTAAACCTCATCTTGTATTAAAGTTGCTTTCATTTATTAATTCAATCAAATGGCATTGAAATTTGTAGCAAGAGGCATCTAAGAAGGCAGAATGTTTCTATCTGTTCTGGGATTTTAACAGGGGTAGAAAGATGTGAAAGGCAGAGGGAAAAGAGGCCTCACAGAGGCAGCCCAGATATAATGACACCTGCCTCCCTGGCCAGAAGCCAACTTCCAGGATTCAGGATTCAGGAATAAAGTGTCCCAATATTCAGAAGGTTTCCTGGTCTCTCTTGAATTCAGTGCTCAGTTGGCCAGGGCTAAGACCCTCACACATTTTGGTTTGAGGATCCAAGCATAGAATGTGGCTGTCTCTGGGACATTTCATACTAAAGAAGCCCAGCACGTATAGACAAAGGGTCTAGAGGCCACCAGCCACCCTTCCATGCAGCTCTGTTCAAGGCACCTCCCCGTGCTCCATTACTTATGTTGGCCACGTCCTCAGGAGTTTAGAGAAATGGCCGTGTTGTCTCTGAGTGGAAGTGAGGGGAGGACACTAGGATAGTCAGGATTTTGAATCCCTGTGTCCTTTCCCTCCATCTCTACCAGAGACCACTTGTGGAAAAAAAAGACACGAATGTCAGAGGTGAATCCAGGCCCATGGATCCATTGTGGTCAGGGGACTGAAGCCAAGTGGCCCAACAGTGATGAAGTCTATGAGGCCTTCGTCACCCCAAAGCTCCCTCGATTAGGAGCTGCCTCTTACTGCCATCAGGGACCCCAGGAGCTGGACATGGCATTCTTTGTCATTTCTCATGAGGAGCTGGAGAGGTCCCAGAGCATATAGACCTTAATCAAATTGGAGCCAGAGTGGAGTCAGGTAAAACTCTCCATTGGGCAATATAATATGTTTGTTTTAATTTGCTAGAGCTGCCATAACAAAGTACCACACACTGGGTGACTTAAACAACAGAAATTCATTGTCTCACAGTTCTGGAGGCTGGAAGTTCAAGATCATGGTGTTGGCAGTGCTGATTTCTTCTAAGGTTCTTTCCTTGGCTTGTAGATGTGTTCTCTCTCTGTCTTCACATGGTCATTCCTCCGTATCTGTCTGTGTCTAATCTTCTCTTTTTATGAAGACACTAGTCACATTGAATTAGGGCACACTCACATGACCTCATTTTACCTTAATGACCTCCTTAAAACCTCTCCAAATGCAGTCACTCTCTCAGGTACTGGGGGTTAGGACATCAACATGCCAATTTTGGGGGGATACAATTTAGCCCATAACAGTCTGATTATCCTTGAGATTGCATTTTCTAAAGAATAAAATAGAGTAAATTTCTTTGGCTCTGATACTCTGAAATTTTGTTCTTGCAATGAGAACAAAAAAATGGAGAACCAAAGGTTGGTGTCACCCAGAGGGTGAGCCCTCCCTAACTCTGGCTGCCCCAAGACCTGGTGCTGTGTCATACCAGAAACCCTTGTTCCATTCTAGTGATTCCAGTACCAGATTTTCAGCTGGAAAGAGGATGCTCTCCCAGGGGAACAACTTCTCCTGCTGTGCAGGCTTATTTTCTTTATATTTGGAGGGAAAAAAAAGTTGATGTAATAAAAAGAACATATTTGTCAAATTTTTTTGGTAATCATTTTGATATCCTTATCAATACCCCATGTTGTGATGAATATGTTGGCTTTATTTTGGTGGAAGGGACATGACGCTGGTCATTTTGAGCCAGAATTTTCTGGGCCTTTCCATAGGATTCAGTTTCTGCCATGGTGGATAAGGGGAGAGCTCTTGGTGTAGGGTTTGGTCTTTATAATGAACCATGCTGTTTGGGCAGGAGGTTTATCTCTGGAAAGTTGAAGGTTAGGCAGGAGTGCGACCCTCCTCCTCATTCAAAAGGTCAGGGTAGAGCAGGTTCTTGTTCAGGGCGCAGTGAGTGAGAGAAGGGAAAGTGACAGAGAGCATTCTTTCACCTTTTTGTGACATGCATGCATCCAAGTCTCTGGTGTTTTAAATAACTGAAACTGAGATCTAGTTCCACTTATCTATAAAGTAGAACTGTGGAGAAGGGAGCATATCGTCCCCGCCACTGGAGAGATCCCTGAAGAGAGATTTGTGAGCCCCCATTTCATCAAAAATGACACAAAATTTCATCAAAATAAAGTGAAATTGTGGGTGTAGATGGGGCTTTATTTAGAGCTTCGACTCCCCACCTGCTTCCTAAGACATGATCCTTCCCCAGGATACTATAGAATCACAGGGCTTAAACTGGAGGGGTAAGGCGTAATGGTGTTCTTCCTTTCTGG
This sequence comes from Homo sapiens, assembly GCF_000001405.40. Taxonomy (NCBI): domain Eukaryota; kingdom Metazoa; phylum Chordata; class Mammalia; order Primates; family Hominidae; genus Homo; species Homo sapiens. Next base: position 2,800,242 of record NT_113891.3, read on the forward strand.
CAGATAGGATGTTTTGAATTGCATGTATTTTCCAAAGAGGGCTGCAAAAATATCTAAATATCTTCCATCGCACTTGCTTTTCTTTAGTTTGACCCACCACTCCCTCATCAAGAGGTAAGTTCTCTCCACTCCTTAAACATAAGCAGATCTGATATCTGCGTTACCCAATAAAATATGGCAGAAGTGTGGCTGTGTCAGTCTGGGCACTGCTGTTAACCATCCTGCCTGCGTCTGGTTCCTTCCACTTCAATCCCTGGACCATGTAACACTCCCAGGCCATCATCTGAGCCCAGCCAACACATAGAACCCTATAAGAGATCATTAAAAATTCTTAGTTACTATTTTTGTGAATATCCTTCTCTGTCTTTCCAATTTCAACTTCTGTGTGTCGTTAGATCCAAAGTGAGAATCTTTTTTTTTTTTTTTTGAGACGGAGTCTCACTCTGTTGCCCAGGCTGGAGTGCAGTGGTACGATCTTAGCTCACTGAAACCTCTGCCTCCCCGGTTCCAGCAATTCTCCTGCCTTAGCCTCCCTTGTAACTGAGATTACAGGCACCTGCCACTACACCCGGCTAATTTTTTTCTATTTTTAGTAGAGACGGGGTTTCATCATGTTGGCCAGGCTGGTCTCGAACTCCTGACCTTGTGATCTGCCAGCCACCGTCTCCCAAAGTGCTGAGATTAAAAGTGTGAGCCACCGTGCCCAGCCAGATCCTTTTTATTCTGTCCATTGTGATAATCTCTGAATTCTGATTGGGAAGTTTAATCCATTTACATTTACATTTAAAGTAATTACTGATAAGGAAGGATTTACTTCTGTAATTGTGATGTTGGTTTTATGCATGTCTTATAGCTGTTTTGTCCTTCATCTCCTTCATTCCAACCTTCTTTTGTTTTTAGTCATTTTTCATTTAGTCGATTTTTTTCTAGTGATATGTTTTAACTGCCTTCTCATTTTCTTTTGTGTATATTTTATGTATATTTCTTTGTGATTACTGTGGTATTATATATAACAATACAGTTATAACAATCTTGAACTGAAATCAATATGAAACTCTGCTTCTTTACATCTTTTCCCACCCCTCATTTTACGTTATTGATGTCACAAGTTACACCTCGGCAGGCTGGAAGGCTGGAAAGTCATAATGTTGCAGCCTTCAATCTAAAATTTGTAGACCAGGCTGGCAGATTGGAAACCTAAAGTGTAGTTGCTACTGTCATCTTGAGGCAGAATTTTTTCTTCTCTGGGAAGACTCACATTTCGCCCAAAGGCCTTCAAGTGATTCAAAAAGTCCCACCCACATGTTTTAGGGTAATTTCCTTTTCATGAAATCAACTGATATCAGATTTTAATCACAACTGCAAAACACCATCATATCAACATATAAATTTAGTGTTTGATTAAATAACTAGGTGCTATGGTTTAGTAAAATTGACACATAAGACCCACCATCCCAGTCCATGCTTGTGAACTTGGCACCCATTAACATTTTCCTTAAACCTTACTTCGTCTCCAAATAAAAACAATTATAAAGTCTTACTTTTGCCAAAGATGATACAATTAACTTGCATCCAACTAGAAACACACTAACCCTTTCCACAGAAAAAGATGCATGATATGCACTCTTCTCTTTGATATACTGTAACCTAAATACCATGCGTAATAAAAGTTAACTTTTATTAATAAAAGGGAATTATTGTTAGCACATCTTATGTTTTATTACAGATCATCAGGAAAAGATGAAAAGAAAGGTATTTGCTCAATACATGTAAGGATACATACACACAGACACAAATATCATTATAAAAACATAAAGAAGTAATGCTGATAACATTTACTGTCTTTATTTCTGTAAGTGCTCACATGGTTACAGCTGGTTATTTATTTATTTATTTACTTACTTATTTATTTGAGACAGGGTCTTGTTCTGTTGCCCAGGCTGGAGTGCAGTGGCATTACCTTGGCTCACTACAACCTCCACCTCCTGGGCACAAGTGATCCTCCTACCTCAACCTCCTAAGTAGCTGGGACTACAAGCACACCACCAAGTCTGACTAATTTTTTGTATTTATTTTCAGTAGAGATGGAGTTTCAGCATTTTGCTCAGGTTGGTCTCACATTCCTAGACTTAAGCAATCCACCTGCCTCCGCCTCCCAAAGTGCTGGGATTACAGGCACAAGCCACTGTGCCGGCCACAACTAGTATTTATAAATACTTTTTTTGTTGTTTTTCACTAACCATCCCATATTCCCATTTCTTTCAGCAAGTCCGTCAGCTGATCAGGTTTCTTTTCCTGCTTGGGTGACTCAAACCTTCATTCCTGAAGGGTATGTGTCATTACTAGTCCTACCTGACTTGGGTTGTTGCCGTTTTTATTGACTTTAATTATACGGCAGAGTATTACTAAGAGATGCTCTAAAAGATCTCCTGTGTTCCAGACACAGTCCTATTTACTGCCATTGTGTAGTAGTAGACCAATTCCCCCTGATGGCCAGGACCAATCACCCCAGACAGTGCAGTAACTCCTTCCTTTGTTGATTCAGAATCATGAGGCTCTGAAGGGCCTGGGTAGCTGTCTTAGCTTCCAGCTCAATGGTTCATTTCTGTGTCTCCTGTGGGAGCATTCCTCCTTTAGTAAACCTCTAGATCCTGATCCTGTTCCTCCTGACTGGGCAAGACCTCCCAACCAGGGTCTCCAGCACCTCCTACAGGTGTGTTCAGGCTGGCAACAAGTCTGTACTTTCCTGGAACAGACCTCCCAGAGGAAGGGGCAGACTGCCATCTTTGCTGTTACATAGCCTTCACTGGTGATACCTTCAGGTACTGGAAAATCTGAGGCAACTAGGGACTGTAGCAGGCCCCTAGCAAACTGTACAGCCCTATAGAAAAGTGGCCAGACTGTTAAAAGAGAAAACAAAAGAAGAGAAAAAAAATCCACTCAAAGGTCAGCAACCTCAAAGATTGAGGGTAGATAAGCCCATAGAGATGAGAAGGAATCAGCAAAAGAATCTGATAACCAACCTGATAGAGGTAAAAAACACTTTATAAGAATTTCGTGGTGCACTCACAAGTATTAATAGCAGAATAGAGCAAGTGGAGAAAAGAATCTCAGTGCTTGAAGACTGGCTTTCTGAAATAAGACAAGAAGACAAGACTAGAGAAAAAAGAATGAAAAGGAATGAACAAAACATCTGAAAAACATGGGATTATGTAAAGAAACAATGTATGAATGATTGGTGTACCTGAAAGAGATGGGGAGAATGGAACCAATTTGGAAAACATTTCAGGATATGATCCATGAGAACTTCCCCAACCTAGCTAGACAGGCCAACATTCAAATTCAGAAATGCAGAGGACCCCAGTAAGCTGCTCCATGAGAAGATCATCCCCAAGACAAATAATCATCAGATGCTCCAAGGTTAAAATGAAAGAAAAAATGTCAAGGGTATCCAGAGAGAAAGGCCAGATCACCTACAAAGGGAAGCCCATCAGACTAACAGTGGATGTCTCAGTGGAAATCCTACAAGCCAGAAGAGACTGAGGTCCAGTATTCAACATTCTCAAAGAAAAGAGTTTCCAACCCAGAATTTCATATCCAAACAAACTAAGCTTCATAAGCAAAGGAGAAATCAGATTCTTTTCAGGCAAACAAATGCCAAGGGAATTCATTACTACCAGACCTGCATTACAAGAACTCCTGAAGGAAGCACTAAACATGGAAAGACAGTTACCAGCCACTACAAAAACACAATGAAGTACACAGACTAGTGACACAATAAAGCAACCACATAAGAAAGTCTGCAAAGTAAGTAGCTAACATCATGATGATAGGATCAAATCCATACATATCAATACTAACCTTAAATGTAAATGGGCTAAATGCCCCATTTAAAAGACATAGAGTGGCAAGCTGGATAAAGAACCAAGACCTATCAGTATGCTGTCTTCAATACACCCATTTCACATGCAATGACACACATAGGCTCAAAACAAAAAGATGGAAGAAAATTTACCAAGCAAATGGAAAGCAGAAAAAAAGCCAGGGTTGCAACTCTTGTTTCTGACAAAACAGGTGTTAAACCAAAAAAGATAAAAAAAAAGACAAAGAAGGGCATTACATAATGGTAAAGGGTTCAATTCAACAAGGAGATCTAACTATCTGAAATATATATGCATCCTATACAGGAACACCCACATTCATAAAGTAGGTTCCTAGAGACCTTCAAAGAGACTTAGAATCTCACACAATAATAGTAAGAGATTTTAATACTCCACTGACAATATTAGACAGATTATCAAGACAGAAAATTAACGAAGATATTCAGGACCTGAACTCAGCCCTGCATCAAATGGACCTGATAAATATCTACAGAAGTCTTCACCCCAAAGCAATGGAATATACATTTTTTGCATTGTCACATGGCACTTACTCTAAAATCAATCACACAATTGGAAGTAAAACACTCCTCAGCAAATGCAAAAGAACTGAAATCATAACAAATAGTCACTTGGACCACAGTGCAATCAAATTCAAAATAAAGACTAAGAAATTCACTCAAACCATACAATTACATAGAAATTGAATAACCTGTTCTTGAACGACTTTTGGGTAAATAATGAAATTAAGGCACAAATCAAGAAGTTCTTTGAAGATAATTAGAACAAAGATACAATGTACCAGAATCTCTGGGAAAGAGCTAAGGCAGTGTTAAGAGAGAAATTTATAGCATTAAATGCCCACATCAAAAAGTTAGAAAGATTTCAAGTTAACAACCTAAAATCACAACCAAAAGAACTTGAGAACAAAGAGCAAACATATCCCTAAGCTAGCAGAAGACAAGACGTAATAATAAAAAATTAACAAAGGTATTGTCTCCTGAAGGAGACAGAGACATGAAAAACCACTCAAAAGATCAACGAATTCAGGAGGTTTTTTTTTTTTTTTTTTGAGATAGAGTTTCACTCTTGTTACCCAGGCAGGAGTGCAGTGGTGTGATCTCGGCTCATTGCAACCTCCGCCTCCCAGGTTCAAGCGATTCTCCTACCTCAGCCTCCCGAGTAGCTGGGACTATAGGTACCCGCCACCATGCTGGGCTAAGTTTTTGTACTTTTAGTAAAGATGGGGTTTCACCCCGTTAGCCAGGATGGTCTCCATCTCCTGACCTCATGATCCACTGCCTCAGCCTCCCAAAGTGCTGGGATTACAGGCGTGAGCCACCGTGCCCGGCCACTACCACTGACATTCTTCACAGAACTAGAAAAAACTATTTTAAAATTCACCTGGAACCAAAAAAGAGCCTGAATAGCCAAGGCAATCCTAAACAAAAGGAACAAAGCTGGAGGCATTACACTACCTGATTTTTTTTTTTTTTTTTGAGATGGAGTCTCACCCTGTCATCCAGGCTGGGGTGCAATTGTGTAATCCTGGCTCACTGCAACCTCTGCCTCCTGGGTTCAAGTGATTCTCCTTTTCTCAGCCTCCTGAGTAGCTGGGATTACAGGCACATGCCACCACGCTCAGCTAATTTTTTGTATCTTTAGTAGAGACAAGGTTTCACCTTGTTGACCAGACTGGTCTCGAACTCCTGACCTCATGATCCACCTGCCTCTGCCTCCCAAAGTGCTGGGATTACAGGCATGAGCCACCACGTCCAGTGTATGCTACCTGATTTCAACTATACTTCAAGGCTACAGTAACCGAAACAGCATGGTACTGGTACAAAAATAGACATATAGACCAATGGAACAGAATAGAGAACCCAGAAATAAGACCACACACAACTATGATCATTGACAAACCTGACAAAAACAAGCAATGGGGAAAGGATTCCCTATTCATAAATTGTGCTGGGATAACTGGCTAGCCATATGCAGAAGATTAAAATGGAACCCCTTTCTTACACCATATACCAAAATCACCTCAAAATGGATTAAAGACTTAAATGTAAGATCCAAAACTGTAAAAACCGTAACAGAACCTAGGCAATACCATTTAGGACATAGGTATGGGCAACGATTTCATGACAAAGATGCCAAAAGCAAGTGCAACACAAGCAAAAATTGTCAAATGGGATCTAATTCGACTAAAGAGCTCTGCACAGCAAAAGAAACTATCGACAGAGTAAACAACCTACAGAATGGGGGAAAATTTTTTGCAAACTATGCATCTGACAAAAGTCTAATATCTATAAGGAATTTAAACAAATTTACAAGAAAAAACAAAACAACCCCATTAAAAAGTGGGCAAAGCATATAAACAGACACTTCTCAAAAGAAGGCATACATGCAGCCAACAAACATGAAAAAATGCTCAACATCACTGATGATTAGAGAAATGCAAATCTAAACCACAGTGAGATGCCATTTCACACCAGTCAGAATGGCTATTATTAAAAAGTCAAAAAATAACAGATGCTGGCAAAGTTGTGGAGAAAAAGGAATACTTATATACTCTTGGTGGAAGTGCAAATTAGGTCAGCCATTGTGGAAGACAGTGTGGTGATTTCTTGAAGACCTAAAGAGAGAAATACCATTCTACCCAAAGGAATATAAATTATTCTATTATAAAGACATAGGCACACATATGTTCATTGCAGCACTATTCACAATAGCAAAGACATGGAATCAACTTAAATGCCCACCAATTATAGACTGGATAAAGAAAACGTGATACATGTATACCATGGAACACTATGCAGCCAGAAAAAGGAATGTGATCATGTCCTTTGCAGGGACATGGGTGGAGCTGGAAGCCATTATCCTTAGCAAACTAATGCAGAAACAGAAAACCAAATACTGCATGTTCTCACTTATATGTGGGAGCTAAATGATGAGAATGCATAGAGACATAGAGGGGAATAGCACACACTGGGCACTGGGGACTTTCAGAAGGTGGAGGGTGGGAGGAAGAAGAGGATCAGGGAAAATAACTAATGGGTAATAGGCTTAAAACCTGGGTGATTAAATAATCTGTGTACCAAACTCCCACAACACAAGTTTACCTGTAAAACAGCCTGCACTTGTACCCCTGAACTGAAAATAAAAGTTAAAAAAAGGAACTGATCTGTGGATTTTGGCTGTTGCTGAGTAGGTCTATTTCAATTATGCAAACAAGCACTGAGGAAATAATCACAGAGAGGTCAGGGGCCCACTGGGACCACTGTGAGAATGGTTCATGTATGTTAGGGCTTCAGGTTTTCTATTCTTCCTAATGTAATCTTGGCAGGTTGTTTGTTTCCAGGAATTTATCCATTTCCTCCAGGTTTTCCAGTTTGTCAGTACACAATTGTTCATAATAGTCTCTGATGGTCTTTTGTACTTTTGCAATATCAGTTGTAATGTTTCTCTTTTCTTTTCTGATTTTGTTTGAGTCTGTTAGAAATAAAGCTCGAAGTCACAAAGAAAATGAGCACTTGAACAAAGGATTTCTCAGCAAGGCAATTTTTACTTCTGCAGAAGGGTGCTACCTGTAAGCCTGATTGCCACGAGAGCACCCAGAACAAGGGAAAGCAGGGGTTTTTATTCCTAACCCAAGTTGTTTCTACTATTGTGTCCTGTGTCCATTGGCTGGAGCTGGACCGCACAGTCTAAACTGATCCCGGTTGGCTAAAAACTTTAACTTTCCTAAATAAGGTAAAGGTGCAATGGGGAACAAAGGAAAGGAGGGGGTCACTTATGGGAAACCAGGAAGACAATAAGATTTCCAAATAAGGCAAGAGCATAGGCTGCAAGCTGGGACATGTCTGGGCATGTCTGGTCAGATCCAGGCAGACTAGGAGTTAGGCCTTGGTTCAAGTACAAGAACATAGAATGTGTTTATTTCTTTACTGTATGTAACAACTACTTGGAGCACAATAAAGAATCATTAGTAAATTAGAAGATTTGTTAGTATGAAGAGTAAGGGAAACTTAAAGAAAGATTTTAAGAGGAACTATCTTCTTTTTTTGTTTGTTTTTTGTTTGTTTGTTTTGAGACAGAGTCTCACTCTGTAGCCCAGACTGGAGTGCAGTGGCGCAATTTAGGCTCACTGCAACCTCCGCCTCCGGGGCTCAAGCGATTCTCCTGCCTCAGTCTCCCGAGTAGCTGGGATTACAGGCACGTGCCACCACGCCCAGCTAATTTTTTTTTCCTGTTTTCTTTTTTTTTTTTTTAGTAGAGGCGGGGTTTCACCATGTTAGTCAGGATGGTCTCGATCTCCTGAACTCATGATCCACCTGCCTCAGCCTCCCAAAGTGTTGGGATTACAGGTGTGAGCTGCTGCGCCCGGCTGAGGAACTATCTTCTTAACACTTATCATTCTTAACCAAAAAGGAAAACTTTGGAGAGGTACTTTTATTCTTTACAGTTTCCCCCTCTTGATTTTACAGTTCTTCCTCTTCAAATCTCCTTAACATATCTTGATTTTGTTGCTCTTCTTAATCAGTTAGAAAGAACAACTTATCTGAGTAAGGGTGAGGAGAATTGAAAGGGGTTTTGGTAAGAGCCTTTTCTATAAGCCTTTGCACTAATCCATGAATGCAAGATATAATACAACATTCTACAAGGATAAGTACACTGATTATGAGAGCCAGTGAGGTGAGAATTGAGGACATGAGTCCTTTCCACTTAGCAAACCACCTTTCCATTAAGCTAGTGAAAGGATCATTTATTCCAGAGTTTTTAGCTAGTTCATTTGATGAAGCAGTAAGACCTTGTAGTGCTTTTATTATAGTTCGATCAGGGGCAGTATTATTAAGGATAAAAGTACAACATTGAGTTCCAATCATAACACAAACCTTGCCTTTTTCTGCTAGTATCATGTCTAGTGCTGTTCTATTTTCCCAAGTCATCTGATTGGTGGGTCCTAGTTGCTCAGCTATTCCCTCATAGCATCCCTTGTGCAATTAATGGGGTCAGCCCCCGCCCGGCCAGCCACTCCGTCAGGGAGGGAGGTGGGGGGTCAGCCCCCGCCCGGCCAGCCAGCCCATCCGGGAGGGAGGTGGGGGGGCAGCCCCCGCCCGGCCAGCCGCCCCGTCCGGGAGGGAGGTTGGGGGCGCCTCCGCCCGGCCACTGCCCCGTCTGGGAGGTGGGGGGCGCCTCTGCCCGGCCGCCCTGTCTGGGAAGTGAGGAGCCCTCTGCCCAGCCGCCACCCCGTCTGGGAGGTGTACCCAATAGCTCATTGAGAACGGGCCATGAGGACGATGGCAGTTTTGTCGAATAGAAGGGGGGGAAATGTGGGGAAAAGAAAGAGAGATCAGATCGTTACTGTGTCTGTGTAGAAAGAAGTAGACATGGGAGACTCCATTTTGTTCTGTACTAAGAAAAATTCTTCTGTCTTGGGATGCTGTCAATCTATAACCTTACCCCCAACCCCGTGCTCTCTGAAACATGTGCTGTGTCCACTCAGGGTTAAATGGATTAAGGGCGGTGCAAGATGTGCTTTGTTAAACAGATGCTTGAAGGCAGCATGCTCATTAAGAGTCATCACCACTCCCTAATCTCAAGTACCCAGGGACACAAACACTGCGGAAGGCCGCAGGGTCCTCTGTCTAGGAAAACCAGAGACCCTTGTTCACATGTTTATCTGCTGACCTTCCCTCCACTATTGTCCTATGACCCTGCCAAATCCCCCTCTCCAAGAAACACCCAAGAATGATCAATAAATACTAAAAAAAAAAAATTAATTAAAAAAAAATGAATCATTGCTGATTGTAGTAAATATAATTTACCCAACCTACATTTTTTTTTTCGAGATGGAGTCTCAGTCTGTCGCCCAGGCTGGAGTGCAGTGGTGTGATCTCGGCTCACTGCAACCTCCAACTCCCAGGTTGAAGTGACTCTCCTGAGTAGCTGGGATTACAGGTGCGTGCCACCACACTCAGCTAATTTTTGTATTTTTAGTAGAAACAGGGTTTCACTATGTTGGTCAGGCTGGTCTCAAACTCCTGACCTCGTGATCTGCCCGCCTTGGCCTCCCAAAGTGCTGCGATTACAGACGTGAGCCACTGCGCCTGGCTATCCAATCTATATTTTTATTGATAGTCACCCACCTGAATAATGACTTAAATTCTGCAGCTATTTGGTTTCAAGCTTTAAATTCATCTGGTACTCCAATAGCATCTATATAAACGTTGGGATCAAAAGACTCACAGGAACAGTTCTTGTACTACGATGCCTAGTTGTTAATATTTTTGTGAATGAAATGTCAGGGTGAAAGAGATAGCCAATTGAATTAGAGTGCAAGTACCACTCCAGTTATTTGGCAGAGTCTCCCACAAAGGTCCACCACAATACCACCATACATCTGCTCGGGGATGGATAAGGGAGGACTGATGGGTTAGCTCTTGGAAGTGCTTGACCTCACTGCATCCTGTCAGGTTTCCAAGGAAAGCCAAGTTTTCTCCCTGTTGTGAGAGACACGAAGCAAATTTGGTCCCAGAAGATGGAGGCTGAATGGCCTTTGGGGGCTGATCCGCAGAGTGCTGAACCTCAGGGAACAGCAAAGAAAGTCTTTGACACGATTTATTACCCCAGGCTGTGAGGTCTTGGAGCAGAGCTACCATGCAGTCCATATCTGGTCTATTACAAGACCATCTGAGTGGAAAGGGGACAGTTTGGGCCTCTGGTCTGCCCTGTGCCCAAGCATAACAATCGCTCTTATTTTGAGTGTGGATGGATATTTAATCCATTCCAGCCAGGCATTTGCATCCTGAGACCCTGTTTCAGTGGCTAGAGTTTACCTCAGGTCTTTTACTTCTACTATAGCTACTTTGGTTTTGTCACTGGGTATAGGTGGGGTGATGGTTTGAGGAAGATGTGTTAGAGAGGTGGAAGGGGCAATAAAGCAGATTTCAAAAATTCCCCTAGGATCCTTTCCCAAGATGTTGGCCCCTATGCTATAAATACGACTTAATGAAGGGAAAGAGTTTTGGGATGTTGCAATAGTAATAGTAAGCCGAATAGGATTACACTGGTTATATGGACAATTAGAAGAGGCAATCCCTTTTGTAAAATGGATATATGGCTTTAAGGACTGGCAAAGACTGGTGGGAGCAGTCCAGCCTGGACCTTTGGTGTTCCATAGGACATTAGACCAAGTATAGCATAGGGACTCTGTTTTAAGGGGACAAGAGTCCCATTCCCACCAGTTCATACAGCTACTATTTTTGGGGTTATCATGATCTTTACAAGAATTTGTTATATCTTTCCAATCTGAGGAAGTTCAAGAGGGACAAAGATATTTATCTGAGGCAGTAAGCTGTCTTTGGTCCTGTAAATTTCCACAAGGCATGACTAGAGAAGCATCAAAGGTAATAATTTTGGGCAAACTTGATCTAGTTACATTAATGATGAGATGGGGGCAGTTAAGGGAAAGAAAAGAAGAAAAAGAGATAGATTAAGTTTTTCTTTTTATCGTTACTCTGGTGGGAGTTGACGGAATAATGGTCCATGTCTCTGGAGAAGGTGACGCCTACTTGACTCGAGTATAATGGGTCCACCCTTTCTCAGTGGTCCGAACTACTGTTTCAGTTGTTGTGAGCACCAGATAGGGTCCTTCCCAGGTAGGCTCAAGCTTTCCCTCTTTTCAGCCTTTGATAAGGACGTGTGATCTCCGGGTTGATGTTGGTGGGCCCAGAATTCAAGGGGTGGAGTCTGTGCTACCAGACCTTGAGTCCTGAGGGACGAAAGAGTGGAAGACAGACCAAATACATAATTTCTAAGGAACTGATCTTTTGTTTCGATCATAGGAAGGTCAGTAGTAGTGTTTAGATAAGGTAACCCATAAAGCATTTCATAAGGAGACAAGCCAAGATCCCTCCGAGGAGAAGTTTGTGGATTCTTAGTAAAGCAATGGGAAGAGATTTTGTCCATGGTAGGCGAGTTTCTAAAATTAATTTGGTTAGATGACTCTTTAAAGTTTGATTCATTCTTTCTACTCTCCCAGATGAAGGTGGAGGCCAGGAAGTATGATATTCCCATTTTATCCCTAATACTTGGATTAGTCTTTTAATAATGTACACGGTAAATTGGGTCCCATTATCTGAATCAATGTTCTCTATTATTCCAAACCTGGGTATGATATGTTCTAACAGAGCTTTGACCACATTACTGGCTGTTGAACTTGGAAAGGGGATGGCTTCTACCCAGTGGGTAAGATGATCTACTATTACCGGTAAATACTTAAGGCGGCCTACTGGGGGCATTTCAGTAGAGTCAACTTGGACACTTTGAAACCGCCTTAACCCAGGATTTCTCCCTCCGGGAGGTTGTCTTTTGAGGGTCTGCTTATTAGATTTTCTGCACAGTATATAACTTTCCACCATTTGCTTGGCGAGGGTGTATATTCTTATGCACCCATAAACCCTAAGGACTGCATCACACATGGTTTGAGGACCCCAGTGACATCCTTGATGAAGCTGTGACAATATTTCCCTCATAAGGTTTGGGTAACATTTCCCTTCCATCTGGTAATACCCACTTTCCTTTTGAGTTTTCTTCAGCTCCTATTTTTTTCAGTTTTTCCTGATCTACTTGAGAGAAGATAGGGAGTGCAGCTGAAGATGGAAGACAAGGGGTTAGTCGAAAAATGGGTTCTGCTGGAGAAGAGGCAGCTTGCTTGGCTATTTGGTCAGTGAGATTATTTCCCTGGCCTTCAAATAAAGGATTCCTTTGATGTCGTGGGACATGTACAACAGCTATTTCTTTTGGCAATTGTAAATTTTCTAGTACTTGTATTATTAGGTCCCTATGGTCTAAAATTTGACCTTTGCTGTTAATGAGGCCCCGCTCAGTCCAAATTTTTTCAAAAGTATGGACTACTCCAAAGGCATACCTGGAGTCTGTATAGATTGTTGCTTCTTGATTTGCAGAAATTTTAAGGCCTGATTTAATGTGAACAACTCACATGTTTGTGCAGACCAGTCATTTGGTAACCTTTCAGACTCTATTTCTGTGAGGGTATCTCCATCTATCGTTGAATACTCGTTATGCCTTTTTCCTTTGATTACTCGGGAGGAACCATCTACAAACAGGTGTTTCCCAGTATGAAAGGGTGTTTCATTTAGATCAGGTCTAACTTCTGTTTGATAACTAATTAAATCTAAACATCTGTGCTCTGGGCAAAGATCAGGGGTCTGTGGGTTGGGGTTTCCTGTTAAGAAAGCAGCTGGATTAATTGAGTCATCAGTGGTTAAGATTAGATCATCTCTTTCTAACAAGATGGCTTCATACTTTAAAATTCTTGAATCAATAAGCCACCTTCCTGCCTTCTGATTGAGAATTGTTCTCACTTGTTGAGGAGTACTAATGATAAGATTTCCCCAAAGGTTAATTTTCTGCTCTCCTCTATGAGCAAGGCTGTTGCTGCCACTGATGGGACACACTCGGGCCATCCATGGGCTACTGGGTAAAGAATTTTTGACAAGAAGGCTATGGGTTGCCAATGGCCTCCGTGTGTTTGAGTAAGTACCCCTAAGGCTACTTCATTACCTACATTAACAAAAAGATGAAAGGGCAATTCTAAAGAGGGTAAGGCTAGAACATGGGCTGTCACTAGTAACTCTTTTAATTTTTTTATCTGCTGTATTTCTTGTAAAACCATATAAGGGGGTCCAATTCATCCTGTGTAAGTTTTTTTTATGTAGAGGTTTGGTTACTAAAGCATAAGAGTCTCTCTATAAGCAACAATACCCTACTAACCCTAAAAACTTTCTAAGTTCCTTCTTTGTCTCAGGATATCATATGAAGGATATGATGCCTTCAATCCATTCAAATCCAATTCTCCATTTGCCCTTACTGATTAAGTCCCCTAAATACTTGACTTCAGGTTCTACAAACCGAAGTTTGCTTTTTTGACACTCATAACCCCTCCAGTTGCAAATTATTTTTAAAAAACCTATTGAAAATCCTTCTACTTTTTGTCTATCCTCCCCTGAAATAAGGATATTATCCATGTATTGGAGCAGGCATATATATGGTGGTTTGTAAAACTTTTCTATGATCTGTTCTAGTATTTGACCAAACAAATTTGGAGATTCTGTAAATCCCTGGGGCAAAACTGTCCATCGATACTGTTATTTTCAACCAGAGTGAGGGTCCTCCCATTCAAAGGCTATCTTTGCTAGTGGGCAAGCCCAGAAGGCATCCTTTAGATCTATTACTGTGAACCACTCATGGTTGTAAGGAATTTTACTAATAATAGCATAAGGATTAGGATCGACAGAGTGAGTTGTTTGAACTATTTGATTAATAGATCGAAGATCTTGCACTAGCCGATATGACCCCTCTGGCTTTTTCACAGGCAGTATGGGAGTGTTATAAGGAGACATACAGGGTTCAATGAGTCCACCATGGAGAAGGCTTTCTATTGTGGGCTTTAAATTGATCTTAGCTTCTAAGGGAATTGGATATTGTTTTCTTTTTACCTCTTGCCCCAGGTTTTTCAATTTAACTTGGATTGGGGAAATTTGTAACTTTCCTCAGTTTCCTTCCTTTGACCATACATCTGGATGGATGTATCCCTCATTTAGAGTAGCAAGCAAATTTAAGGAGGGGAGGAGATTTCCTTGATTAACACAAAGGCCTAGGTTTAATTTTAGCATTAAGTCTCTTCCTAATAGGTTTCTTCCTGCCTCCAGGATTAACAGAAGTTTAATATTTACTGAGTGGTTCTGATATTTAATTTTTGTTTCTTCTAAGACTTTTGCTTTAAACCCCTCCCCTTTTGCTCCCAAAATAAAAAGTTCTTCTTGTGACCAAGTTACACCAGGGGGAAGATAACAAACTGAGGAATCAGCAGCTCCTGAGTCAATTAAAAAGGTCTGGGTCCCACCTCTAAATTTATCAAGGAGTCTTGGTGGGACTCGAGGTAAAAAGAGTAGAGCCCCTGGCCCCCCATTCCTCCTCAAAGATCATAAGTGGGTGATTTCTTTTTCTTTTTTCCATTCAGGGCATTCTCTTTAAAGTGACCTTCCTTCCCACACTTGAAGCATTTATTCTGCCCTATTCCTCTTTTTATTCCCTTGTTCCCTGGTTTGATTCCTTTACCTCCATTATAGGGTCTGGCAGTCGGGTACCTAAAAGATTTACCAGTGACATTTCTTTGAGCTGTCTATTGGGGAGTTCCCTGCTGTAAGAACAGCATAATCTTTGCCTTGTCCTTTTACTTTTCTTCATCTCTTCGTACATACACCTTTTGGGCCTCCCTTAAGAGTTCCTCTATGGGACAGTCCTTCCAATTTTCTGTCTTTTGTAATTTCTTGGTAACATCTGGCCAGCTATTTGTGACGAAGTGAAGCTTTAACATTCCTTGTCCAAGTGGGTCTCCTCCATCTAAACCAGCATATTTCCTCATTTGTTCCTTAAGCCTGTTAAAAAATTCCATAAGCCCCTCATCTTTTCCTTGCTGTATATTAAAAGCTTTGGTCATATTCTGGGTGCAGGGTAACGATTCTCTAATTCCTTTTATTATCATTTCTTGCAGGTCTCTCATATTCCTCCTATGAGCTATGTTGTTATTATCCCACTGGGAATCTTGAGTAGGAAATTTCTGTTTGGCTGCAGGGACGTTTTGACCAGGAGGATGCTCACACTCCCAAATGGTCATAGCAGCCCTATGCGTCATGCTCCTTTCTTCCCCTGAAAAAAGAATGCCTATGATGGACATTAACTCAGCCCAGTATACAACTGGAGTCCTAAAAATTGATGAATTTGATCTGTCACTACATAGAGATCGTCTAAGAGTGGCTTGAGTTCCCTCTTCAAGCTCCAGACTTCTGAACTGGTCAGGGGAGCATTTACAAAGGCAATGCCCCCTCCTCCTAGAGACACTTCCCTCAATGGGAAGTGGTTTGTAGCTGAACCCCTAGAAGAAGGGAGAAAATGGAAGTTTTGGATATCATTTTTACATTGTTCTAACTCACGTTGAAGTCTTCCTGAGGGAGGGCATTCAAGCTGGGGATGACCCCAAGAATCAGGGTTATAAGGAGGGAAAGAAAATCTGAGTAGGGGAAAGGTCTGGGACTGTTATATCTACTGGAGTGGGAGGTGGGGGATGTTGGTCTACTGGTTGGGGGGAAGAAGGTTTGGTGGGGGAAGGTGGTCTAAGGGGTCCCATGTGTTGGTGGGGTTCTTGGCGTAAGGGGTATTAATTTCATGAGAAGTAGTTTCTGGCTTCTCTCCTTTAGTTTTTAGATGACAAAGGAGGATGGGCCTTTGCCACCAACACAGAGCATAATGTATTTCCTCCTGGGAAACAGGACTTTTATCATTTACATATTCTATTAAAAGCTGGCAGTCCAATCCTCATTTGACCCGAATTTTGGCCAGAAAACTGAAGGCTTTAGAATAGGTTCCTTGGTCCAAATGAAACAATAATACTTTATCATCTGTTGCTTTTTCTTATGTTTAGTCCTCTCGTGTACTTCCAATATTTTAACATGAGTCCTAAAGGACTATCAGAGGTGATTTCACTGTCTGCCTTTTCCTTTTTACCTTCTGTCTTACTCAGGGTATTTCCCATGTTGAATACTGGTTAGGCTCAGTCCCTTGAACTAGAGATTTTTCACCTATCCTTCCCTGGAGGTTTAACCCCTATCCTGGAGGTTCCTTGCAATCTTCTCCTTCTGCTTCGTCCACTCTGGCTGCTTTCCCAGAGGAAATTAGGCTCCCCTTAGCATCAGCGGGACTGTATAAACCCCAATGTCAGGATCCCTACAAGAGGGCCACCATAAGCCGTATGAGGTGACCACAGAACCACAGATTGGACTCACTCACTCTGCACAGCAGTAGTGCTTGTTACCTTTCACACCCTTTAACCTCCAGAATATCCCGACCACCAAGGAAATACTGTTGCCCTTGTGACTTTTTTTACCTTGGTCTGTGCACAGTTACCTGGTCATTGCGGTACTTGCAGGCCTTCTCCTTCCACATTGCTGAGAGCCTGGATTTATTCGTCACAATGGGTAGTCTCAGTCTCCCGTCCCTGGGACCACTGCAGTGGGGCAGTGGGGTGCACCTCCCCTAGATGGGGTGACCAAAGACCCCTTCCCAAAGAAGAATGGGAATAGTGGATGAGCCCCCAGAAAATTGTTAGAAATAAAGCTCGGAGTCACAAAGAAAACAAACACTTGAACAAAGGATTTCTCAGCAAGGCAATTTTTACTTCTGCAGAAGGGTGCTACCCATAAGCCTGATTGCCATGAGAGCACCCAGAACAAAGGAAAACAGGGGTTTTTATTCCTAACGCAAGTTGTTTCTACTATTGTGTCCTGTCTCCATTGGCTGGAACTGGACCACACAATCTAAACTGATCCCAGTTGGCTAAAAACTTAAACTTTCCCAAATAAGGTAAAGGTGCAATGGGGAACAAAGGAAAGGAGGGGTTCACTTATGGGAAACCAGGAAGACAATAATATTTCCAAATAAGGAAAGAGCATAATCTGCGAGCTGGGACATGTCTGGGCATGTCCAGGCAGATCCAGGCAGACTAGGGGACAAAGGAGTTAGGCCTTGGTTCAAGTACAAGAACATAGAATGTGTTTATTTCTTTACTGTATGTAACAACTCCTTGGGGGCACAATAAAGAATCATTAGTAAAATAGAAGATTTGTTAGTATGAAGAGCAAGGGAAACTTAAAGGAAGCTTTTAAGAGGAACTATCTTCTTAACACTTATCATTCTAAACCAAAAAGGAAAACTTTGAAGAGGAACTTTTATTCTTAACAAATTTTCTCTCTTTTTTTCTAGGTTTGTTTAGCTAGTGGTTTATCAATTTTGTTTATGTTTTTGAAGAACAAACTTTTCACTTTGTTGATCATTTACATGGTTTTTAAAAGTCTTTATTTAGTTCTACTATGATCTTTATTATTTCTTTTCTGCTAATTTTTGATGTGTTTTTTTCTTGCTTTTCCAGTTCCTTGAGGTTCATTGTTATATTGTTAATTTGTAATGTTTCTACTTTTCTTAGGTAGGTATTTATTCTTATAAACCTCCCTTTTAGCCCTGTTTAGCTGTATCCCACAGGTTTTGGTATGTTGTGTTTCCATTTTCATTTGTTTCAAGAAACTTTTTAATTTACATCTTAATTTCTCTGTTGACTCAATGGTTATTCAGGAGCATGTTGTTTAATTTCCATGTATTGGTCTTGTTGCCAACATTTCTCTTGGTGTATATTTCTAGTTTTATTCCATTGTGGCCAGAGAAGATATTTAATGATTTCAATTTTTGAAAATTTGTTCAGACTTGTTTTGTGGCTTAACATAGGCTCTCTCCCCGAAAACGTTCCATGTGTTCATGAAAGGAGTGTATATTCTGTAGTGTTAGATAGAATGCTCTATAAATATCTGTTAGCTTTATTTGGTGTAAAATTCTGTTTAAATCCAATGTTTCTTTCTTGATTTTCTATGTAGATGATCTGTCTCATGCTGAGGTTGGGATGTTGAAGTCTCCTACTATTATTGTATTGGAGTCTATCTTTCTTGTTAGATGTAGTAATATTTGTTTTATGAGTCTAGGTTCTCCAGTGTTTAGTGCATATATATTTAGAATTGTTCTATTCTTTTCTTGGAAGGATCTCTTTATGATTACGTGATGGCCTTCCTTATCTTTTAAAAAAGTTGTTCTTGACTTACAGTTTATTTTATCTGCTATAAGTATAGCTACTCCTGCTCACTTTTGGTTTCCATAGATAACCTCTTGCCATTCTTTTACCTTCTGTCTCTATGGATTGTGGTGAGGTGGTATTACCGGTGAGTTTTTCTATAAGCAGAATGTAGTTAGATCATGTTTTCTACCCATTCAGCCATTCTAAATCTTATAAGTGGAGAATTTAATCTGTTTACATTCCAGATTTTTATTAATATGTGAGGCTTTGTGCCGAGACTAGCTCAGTCGGGAAGACCCTAACCCAGTGGCACTAGAGGAATCAAAGACACACACACAGAAATATAGAGGTGTGAAGTGGGAAATCAGGGATCTCATAGCCTTCAGAGCTGACAGCCTCGAACAGAGATTTACCCCCATATTTATTAACTCAAGCCAGTGATAAGCATTGTTTCTATAGATTATAGATTAACTAAAAGTATTCCTTATGGGAAACAAACGGATGGGCCAAAATAAAGGGATGGGTTTGGCTAGTTATCTGCAGCAGGAGCATGCCCTTAAGGCACAGATCACTCATGCTATTGTTTGTGGTTTAAGAACGACTTTAAGCAGTTTTCCGCCCTGGGTGGGCCAGGTGTTCCTTGCCCTCATTCCGGTAAACCCACAACCTTCCAGCGTGGGCATCATGGCCATCATGAGCATGTCACAGTGCTGCAGAGATTTTGTTTATGGCCAGTTTTGGGGCCAGTTTATGGCCAGATTTTTGGAGGCCTGTTCCCAACAGCTTTGTTCCTATCACATTGTTGTTTTCGGGTTGTTTTATATGTCCTTTATTACTGTCTTTTTCTCTTATTGCTTGTCATTATGGTTTGGTGGATTTCTGTAGTAGGACCATTTGAGACCTTTCTCTTCCTCTTTTGTGTGATTGCTTTACCAGTGAGTTTTATACTTGTGTATGTTTTCATGGTGATAATGTGGAAATGTTGAAAATGTCGTTTCAATTCCAGGTTTAGGACTTTCTTGAGCATTTCCTGTAGGCCCTGTCTAGTGGTAATGAAGCCTTTCAGCATTTGCTTGTCTTGGAAAGATAATTTCTTTTTTCAATTATGAAGAATACTTATGTTTTGTTTATTACTCTTGGCTTGGCAGTTCTTTTCCTTCAGGACTTTGATTATACTATCCTATTCTCTTCTGGCCTGTAAGATTTCTGCTAAGAAATCTGCTGTTAGAGCTGGGCACAGTGGCTCACACCTGTAATCCCAGCACTTTGGGAGGCTGAGGTGGGTGGATCATGATGTCAAGAGATTGAGACCATCCTGGCCAACTTGGTGAAATCCCGTCTCTACTAAAAATACAAAAAAAAAAAAAATTAGCTGTGTGTGGTGGCGTGTGCCTGTCATCCCAGCTACTTGGCAGGCTGAGGGAGGAGAATCACCTGAACCCAGGAGGCAGAGGTTGCAGTGAACCGAGATCATGCCACTGCACTCCAGCCTGGCAGCACAGCGAGACTCCGTCTCAAAAAAAAAAGAAAGAAAAAAGAAAAAGAAATCTGCTGTTAGTCTGATGGGGTTTCCTTTATAGGTGACTAAACACTTTCCTCTTGCTATTTTTAGGATTTGCGTTTTACCTTATACTATAGAAAGTCTGATTATATGCCATGGTGAGGAACTTTTTGCATTGTATTTTTCTCAGAATTATTGAACATTTTGTATCTGAATGTCTAAATCACTTGCTAGAGTTGGGAATTATTCATCTATTCTTTCATTAAATAGGTTTTCTAATCTGTTCTTTGTCTCTTTGCCCTTGAGGATACCAATAATTTGAATATTTGGTTGTTTATATTGTACCAAATGTCACAAAGGCTTTGCTCATTCTTTTTTTGTGTGTGTTTTTGTCTTATTGAATTATTTCACTATGTATATCTTCAAGTTTTGGAATTCTTCCTTCTGCCTGACCTAGTATGTTGTTGAAGCTTTCAAATGTATTTGGAATTTCATGTCATGAATTCTTTAATTCCAGAATTTCTGTTTTTTTTAAATCTATATCTTTTGTAAACTTCTTATTTGTATCCTGAATTATTTTTATGTTTTCTTTGTATTTTTTTCAGAATTCTTTTGTATCTCACTGAACTTCTGTAAAATGAATGTTTTGAGTCCTTTATCTAGAATCTTGAAAATTTCTTTTTGATTAAGATCTATTGTCTTCCTTAGCGGCTTTTTTTTTCTTTTTTGCTTTTTCATGTTTCTGTGTCCTAACGTTAATATTTTTGCATCTGATATAACAGTCAGTTCTTCTTATTTTTGAATTTTGTTTCATAGTGGAGAGCATTTTCCTGAAGATGAGTCTATGGTGTTGGTTGCATAGGGTACTTTGGATTTGATTCTGGGTGTAGTACATAGTAGAGTACTATGGCCTCTGTATAATTTCTTTGGCTGTAGACAGTGTTAATAGTATCTGTGATTTCTTCTGTGCATTAGGGTGTGGTTATTAGTGAGGCTGTGGTGAAAATGTGCTGGGGACTGAGATGCCACATGAGACAGTCTTCAGGCTCCAGTGGTGGCAGTGGTGTGCTGAGTGTTCCTATCTTTGTGCCCCAAGGTGGTATATACTGGCATTTGTGTTGGTGGTTACTGGTGGGCTGATTCCTGGGCCTCCAGGTGGCTTGCTTGGATGGCAGTAGTGGCAGTGGTTGACTGGGTAGGTGCTGGGGACTTCGGCTCTTGGGCAGCCAGCTTGGCAGTGGCAGTGGTGGGCTGCTTCTCTGGGTCCCAAGCAGTGTGCACTGTTAGCGGCAGATGCGATAGGCTGGGTGGGATGCCCATAGGTGGTGTTTGCAGGTAGGTGACAGCTAAGGTGATTGCATCCAACCTCAGGTACCCAGGAGGAGTGCACAGGTGCCCAAGGTGGTGGATTGGGTTGAGGAATTCCCAGGCCCTGGGGCTGTGTTCTCTGTCTCAGTGGGAGGGGGCGATGAAGTTGTCTCTTCATCATTAAATGCTGTGCCAACTAGTCCCTTAATTTTCTTTTTGCCTAGAGGACTGAAACATTTATTATAGTTTAGGTCTGCTGGTTATTTTTTCACTCCCTGTATGTCTAAAATCCATTTGTTTGTTTGTTTGTTTGTTTGTTTGTTTGTTTATTTTTGAGACAGAGTCTCACTCTATTGCCCAGGCTGGAGTGCAATGGTGTGATATTGGCCTACTGCAACCTCCGCCTCCCATGTTCAAGTGATTCTCCTGCCTCAGCCTCCTGAGTAGCTGGGAATTACAGGAGCATGCCACCATGCCTAGCTAATGTTTGTATTTTTAGT
This sequence comes from Homo sapiens, assembly GCF_000001405.40. Taxonomy (NCBI): domain Eukaryota; kingdom Metazoa; phylum Chordata; class Mammalia; order Primates; family Hominidae; genus Homo; species Homo sapiens. The sequence continues at coordinate 2,822,133 of NT_113891.3, forward strand.
AGAGACGAGGTTTCACCATGTTGGTCAGGCTGGTCTTGACTCCTGACTTCGTGATCTACCTACCTCGGCCTCCCAAAGTGTTGGGATGACAGGCATGAGCCACCATGCCTGGCCTAAAATCCCTTTATTTTTTGATAGATATATTCAAGGTGTGTTAGCTTAATTTAATCATTACATAGGGTACACATATATCAATACATTAAACAATATCTCACAAATGTATTATACTTTGTCAATTAAAACTATACATATATATTTGAAAAAGGTATTATTTTCTGGGAATAGAATCTAGTTTCACAGCATTTTCCTTTTAGGACTCTAAAGATGTTGCTCATCTGTCTCCTCATTTGCATTGTTTCCAATGAAATAACTGCTGTCATCTTTATTATTATTCTTATTTTTTCACTTTCTGCTTTTTCAATTTTCTCTTCTTCTGTGGTTTTCAACAAATACGTGCTTTTTTTTTTTACCCAGAATTATAGAGTGAACGTGAGAAACAATCTCTAGGGAGGGCTTTTTGACTATTGCTTGTAAATTTTTAGAAACAGTTGTTTGCTCCTTGTTTTATTAGATCACAGGCTAATTTCCTCAGAGTATTCTTATATTGAAGAATGTCATAATTAATTTTACTGATCATCCCTAAAACCATAAAAACCCTAGAAGAAAACCTAGGCAATACCTTTCAGGCCATAGGCATGGGCAAGGACTTCATGACTAAAACACCAAAAGCAATGACATCAAAAACCAAAATTGACAAATGGGATCTAATTAAACTAAAGAGCTTCTGCACTGCAAAAGAAACTATCATCAGAGTGAACAGGCAACCTACAAAATGGGAGAAAATATTTACAATCTACCCATCTAACAAAGGGCTAATATCCAGAATCTACAAGGAACTCAAACAAATTTACAAGAAAAAATCAAACAACCCCATCAAAAAGTGGGCAAAAGATATGAACAGACACTTCTCCAAAGAAGACATTTATGCAGCCAACAGACACATGAAAAAATGCTCATCATCACTGGCCATCAGAGAAATGCAAATCAAAACCACAATGAGATCCCATCTCACACCAGTAAGAATGGCGATCATTAAAAAGTCAGGAAACAACAAGTGCTGGAGAGGATGTGGAGAAATAGGAACACTTTTACACTGTTGGTGGGACTGTAAACTAGTTCAACCATTGTGGAAGACAGTGTGGCAATTCCTCAAGGACCTAGAACTAGAAATACCATTTGACCCAGTGGTCCCATTACTTTGTATATACCCAAAGGATTATAAATCGTGCTGCTATAAAGACACATGCACATGTATGTTTATTGTGGCAGTATTCACAATAGCAAAGACTTGGAACCAACCCAAATGTCCATCAATGATAGATAGGATTGAGAAAATGTGGCACATATACATCATGGAATACTATGCAGCCATAAAGAAGGATGAGTTCATGTCCTTTGTAGGGACATGGATGAAGCTGGAAACCATCATTCTGAGCAAACTATCACAAGGACAGAAAACCAAACACCGCATGTTCTCACTCATAGGTGGGAATTGAACAATGAGAACACTTGGACACAGGGGGGAACATCACACACCGGGGCCTGTCGTGGGGTGGGGGCAGTGGGGAGGGATAGCACTAGGAAATATACCTAATGTAAATAATGAGTTAACAGGTGCAGCACACCAACATGGCACATGTATACATATGTAACAAACCTGCACGTTGTACACATGTACCCTAGAACTTAAGGTATAATAATAAAAAAAAATTTATTGGTCATCTTGGCTAAAGCATCGTGCCTGGATAAGTGGTCAAGCATTATTCTGGATGATTTGTGAGGATGTTTGTTGGATGAGATTAACACATAAATAGCCAGACTATGAATAAAGTAGATTAATGTCTATAATGTGAGTGGGCTTCATTCAATTCACTGAAGGTGTAAATTAAACAAAACACTGACCTCCCTTGAGCAAGATGGAACTCTGTAGCAGACAGCGCTGGGATTTGAACTGCAGTATCAGTCAACTGACCCACTAACAGCTGGTTGGTTTGTGTACAGCATTTGCAAGATGAATGGACAACATACTGTTTGGAAGTCCACCTCTTTGATCAAAGAAGGTAAAAACAGAAAAGCTGTTGTGGACTTAATTGCATGGTGTTTTCTTAGCAGTGGTGGAAGAATTGAACAATGATAAAGCTCCTACGTTTTAGTTTTTACTGACTTACAGGGAGTGACTAATGGCCTGGCCGTATAATTAATCAGGAGAGCAATGAAAAACTTGCCTATGAAAAGAATGCCCATGTGAGCCAAGTCCCACGGAAATCACTATGGTAATTTGAGGTGTTCATTAATGTAAGATCTGTTGATACCTGATATAGACTGGATGTTGTTCTTGTGCAGATCTCATGTCGAGATGTGATCCCCAGCATTATAGGTGGGGCCTGGAGGGAAGGAGGTGGTTGGATCACGAGGTCAGTTTCTCATGAATCCTTTAGCACCGTCCCCTCAGTGCTGTTCAGTGTCCCTCAGAATAACTCCCTTCCAGGTTTGGAAGGTGATTGAAATCAACAAGAATTTATCTCCAAGTGTTTGCCAGGTGCACTTGTAATTCCAGCTATGAGAGCGGCTGAGGCAGAAGGATATCTTGAGTCCAGGAGTTAGAGTTTAGCCTGAGCAACATTTGAGGCCAACCAGGGAAACATATCAAGACCACATCTCAAAAATAACAACAAAAAAAAATCCAGGTTTGCTTGTGGGGATCACCTGAGTCCATGAAATAAGTAGACATTGGGGCTGTAGCAATGCAGAGATAGGTGGAATCAAGACATAGTCCTCTTGCATTCCACACATCACAGGCACAAAATACATATAAGAAGTCCTTTCTTTAACAAAAAAAAGAGAGATAGCATATGGCTATGTGGCGGATTCTTTTATGGGAGGGCCTTGAAAATACATAGCTGGCAAGTTAAACTGATACCAGTAGCCCCAGGAAGCAGCAAATGGGTCTTGGCAGGAATAGATCCTCACCCTGGAGTGGCCTTTGTTCAGCTGGTGGTAGGTGTGTTACCAAACTGAACTGGGGTCCATTCACCTGGGGCAGTAAAAGCAAACATCCACACTGAGATTGTAGTGGGACAAAGGAGGGCATTTATGTGTAGGACGCCAAACAAGGAGAATCAGGCAGCTCACGCTTAAGACCCAACCTTTTTGATGGCTCACAAGCAAGAATTTTTAAAGGCAGGGGCAAATTTCGGGAAAGCAGAGTTACAGGCAACATCATAAATCAATGCATACAAGTTACACTGCTTTGGCCTTAAAAGGTAGAATATCCTGATGAGGGAGCTTACAGGTCTTAGGTAGATTTAAAGATTTTCTGATTTGTGATAGATAAGGAAGCAAAGCTTCTTTACACAGCTTCCTTACACAGTTGGGGGCAGTAGAGAGGAATGTTCAGGCCTGTTCTATGGGCTTGTCTCTCTCCAGGTCCCTCAGGAAGAAATTTAGAACAAAGAACGGCGGTCAGAGTTCAGTTCTCAGTTTCCCCTTTATAAGGTCTCCCTGTCAGTGGATCTATTAGGAGGGAATCCATGTTTCTGAAAAACAACTCAGGGACATATGTTAAGATGTTATTTTTAGTTTCTACAGAGAATCCAACATCTTGTGACTCTAACTTCCTTGGCTATTGTTTCAAGCTATCATTCCTTCTTGCTTATAAGGTCACAGACTTACTTTTTAGGGCTGGCTAGGTGCCTGGAATTTCTCTTGAAGGAACTGAAGGTTTTTCTTTATTTCCAGATCGGGAGGCCCCGGCAGGCTTCTAAAAGAGGTCCCTGCTTTATCTCAGATGCAAATGCTCGAGTGTTACAAAAGAACTTGAATGGGAGGTACTGCAACCATGTGGACCACCGAGTCATATTTCTTTACACCAGAAAATGCACCTGCTCAAAATGTCCAACAATGGTCACAGAGAGATATCCTCCTCAGAGGAAGAGTTCCATAGAGAATTAAAATAGTCAATTGGGTGTGTAAAGGAAAGAGTGGGGAAACAAGCACAAAGGGTGGGCTTATACACCTTCATGAGTGTGCTCACACTTGACATGAGAGTATTCTCTCTTTTCCTGGTGGATCAGGGGAAGGTGCTGGTATGATCTATATATATTCCTTCCCAAGGTGGGAGGACACTGGAATGATGACTGTAATTCACCTCAACTTGCTTTTCTCATACCTGATGCAGTGGTCCCAGGACTAGGGATGCAAATAGAGTTCAGAAACAGGAATTATTCCTGAGCAAGAAACTGTAAATATATTTTATGTCCATTATGTAATAATTCCTAAGGGCCTGTAGAGGTAGGTTGTGCCTTCACTGCATCTGGCAAAGTTGGGGCTAACACTGAATGCAGCTATATTGCCTGGGATCAGATAGCCAACCAGTTCTCTACCTGCATAACCCTACCCTCTATGAACTGGAATGGATGACGGGAGACACTTGCTAGAACAGTATTGGTCCCTGCAGTCTCAGCCAGCACAGCAGCAGAAGCTAGTGTTCCTTCCAAAATTATAAATGTTTAGTATAAATGAAGGGAAGGAGAAATAGTAGCTGAGGGTAAATGAATGAATAAATGGGTTATGTAATGAGGAAAATCCAATGTTACATGAACTACTTGAAAAAGGTATAAGCAAGAGATGATATTGTCTCTTAGCTCAGTTTTACCAGATGCCTGAAAGGGTGCAGCCATATGTTGCTGAAACTATTCCTGTTTATGGATTGCACTGGGATCATTGTTAATGACCAAAGAGGATTCTGGTAATGTGCCAGGATCTTTTCACTGTTATGATTCTTCTGGTGTAGGAGATCTGTGATTGGCCAGGCACAGTGGCTCACACTTATAATTCCATCAGTTTGGGAGGCAATGGTAGGAACATTGTTTAAGTCCAGGAGTTTGAGACCAGACTGGGCAGAATAGTGAGACCCATTCCTACAAAATATTTAAAAATTAGTTGGGCATGTTGGTGTGCACCTGTAATGCTATCTACTCAGGAGGCTGAGGCAGAAGGATCACTTGAGTCCAGGAATTCGAGGTTGGAGTGAGCTATGATTGTGCCACTGCATTCTACCCTGGGCAACAGAGCAAGAGATTATCTCTAAAATAAAATAATAAATATTATAAAAAGAGATAATGTGGTCAAAACCAGGGTGTGATCTGTGGTCCAGTAAAAATATTTGGTCTTTTCCCTGTTTCCTGACAACCAGGTTCTAAAACATTTGCAATCTCCTCAGTGATAAACATGACTTCAACATGGCAATGAGATGACTATGGGGTGAGGGGCTCCTAGATAGCTTCAGGATGGGGGCTGGTTGCCAGAAACATGAAGCTGTGATTAGAGGATTGGAACTGTTAGCCCCATCCCTAAAGTCTGGGAAGGAAAGAGAGGCTTGAGGTTGAGTTCAGTCACACAGTGGCCGGTGATTTAATTAATCATGCCTACAGAATGAAATTTCCATAGAAACCTCTGGAGATTGGGTTTCGGAGAGCTTCCCAATTGCTGAGCACATCCGTGTGTCCACGTGCTGGGAGGATGGTGAACCCCATCTCCGTGGGGACAGAGGCTCCTGTGCTCAGAGCCCTTCCAGGCCTCACTCTGTGCACCTCTTCATCTGGCTGCTCATTTGTATCTTTTATAACTGCTATGGTTTGAATGTTTCCCCAAAAAAGCATCTGTTGGATATTTCATCCCAAATGCAACATTTTTAAGAAATGGGACTTTTGAGAGGTGATTGGACCATTAGAGCTCTGCCTTCATTCATGGACTAAGGCTCATTATAAAAGGACCTGAAGCTGTGAGTTTGACTTCCTTTCCCCCCACCTCTCACCCTCTCTTGTCCTTTTGTTTTCTACCAGATAGAGTCCCTTGATCTGGGAATTCTCATCCTCGACACCATGAACGAAACAAATTTCTGTTTGTTATAAGTTATCCAGTCTCAGGAGTTCTGCTCTAGTGGCATAATTTAAACCAGGGGTCCTTAACCCCCGGGCTGCGGACTGGTACAGGTTCCTGGCCTGGTGGGAACCAGACCGCACAGCAGGAGGTGATCGTTGGGTGAGAGAGCTTGAGCATGACACCAGAGTTCCGCCTCCTGTCAGATCAGTGGCAGAATTAGATTCTCATAGAAGCATGAACCCTATTGTGAACTCTGCATGCGAGAGATCTAGGTTGCATGCTCCTTATGAAGCGCTAACGCCTGATCATCTCAGGTACAACAGTTTCATCCGAAACCATTTCCCTCTGCCCTCCACCACCTCCACTAATCCATGGAAAAACTGTCGTCCATGAAACCGGTCCCAGGTGCCAAAAAGGTGGGGATTTAAGCTATAACAATGAAAAACTGCAATACTGAGTGTGAAAGGAAAATAAAATTTCAGGACTCCAAATTCACTATACCAAAGGGAAAAATTAAGTTTGGAGACTGATGGAAAAACTGCCTTTCTTTTGTTCCTAAACAAATAACTGCAAAGATAGAAGACCATATATCTCCCCAGGTGGCCTCCCTCACAAACTGCTCACAAGATAATTCCTTGTGGGCCCCAACGTGTTTACTCTAAAACAGTTTTGTTGAATTTTCCCCTGACAATGTAAATTAACAGCTTATCTTCACAGGTACAGGACAAAGACAAGACTAGCAATCATCCCTCCACCCACCCAGAGTCAAACGCATATTTGACTTTTCTACCCAACGTTTACTTTATCTTATTTAAAATGCAGATTTACTGAGCATGAGATGAATGCATAGTTGACTATTTTTTTCCTCTCCTGGCTGCTCTTTCCCCTGTACATATTGAAGTCCTCAAAAGCCTGTTAGGAAAGAGCATGGGCCACAGATGCTACAATGATTTGAGTCTCTGTTTCCAAGGTGCATCTTCAGCTTGGCAAAATAAACTTCTAAACTGACTGAGACCTGTCTCAGACATTTTTCGGTTTACACGGCTATAGCAACTTCCTGAGTTCTTTGAGTTAGTTTAAGAATTCTCAATCCTTGGGAGGTGAGAAACCCCTGACTTTACAGCCATGTTAGACAGAAGTGCAGGTAACCTGGGACCCGATACTTGTGACTTGCTTCTGAAGTGAGGACAGACTTGTAGGAATGAGCTGGTAAACCTGTAGAGTCTGAGGCGAACTCCAGGTAGTTAGTGTCAGAATTGAGTCAAACTCTAGGACTCCCAGCTGCTGTTGGAGAATCAGAAAGTTATTTGGGTGGAAGAAAACCCCATCACCATCCCACAGAGAGAAACTTATAGTAAGAGTAAGCAAGTAAACCTCTACCTTCTTCGGTCCCAGAGGAAAAGATAAACAAATGTAATCATTTGTTTCATGTCCCTAAACACAGGTTGCTACCAGCTGTTCATTGTCTAGACGTGGAGTGGTCCTACCTTTAATCTAGAAGTTAGGATTTTTTAGGCCTTTGAGGGTGTCACATAAAAACTAATAAATGTTAGAGATTCTCTCCCCAGAGACATTTCCACACACAAGAAAATATAAATATTAATATAAAACATCGTGTGGACCCAGAACCTCTGATATCTTACAAACCTGGGAGTTTTAATCCTAGTAAGAGTCATGCTGAGGGAAGATGTTTGAATAATCATTTCATCATTACAGAATGCCACTCCAATAATCTAGACTATAAACTGGGATAGACAAAAACTTGATGTAAACCTATCCTCAAGGGAATGGGTGGAAATATGTTATTTATTAGTCACTGGTTCATTCAGCCACTCTTCGTGCCTACTGGGTACTAGATAAAGTTCTCGTCCTGGATCACTGCTCCAAGAATTAAAATTTGTCACTTTTCCCCACCCCTCACACTCCAGCACTTGAACCCTCTTACTACATCAGAATTCCACACTGTCAATGAAAAGAGTCAAACGCAGTAACATATTTAAAGAGATTTATTCTGAGCCAAAAATGAGTGACCACAGCCCATGACACAGCCCTCAGGAGACCGAGAACATGTGCTCAAGGTGGTTGAGGCACAGGTTGGTTTTACACATTTAAGGAAGATATGAGACATCAATCAAATACATTTAAGCTATACATTGGTTCGGTCCAGAAAGTTGGAACAATTTGAAGCAAGCAAGGGTTGCGGGGTAGTGCTTCTGGGTTATAAGTAGATTTTTAATTTTTCTGATTGGCAATTGGTTGAGTTATTATCAATAGAAAGGAATGTCTGGGTTATGATAAAAGGTTGTGGAGTCCAAAATTCTCATGCAGATGACGCCTCCAGGTGCCAGGCTTCAGAGAGAATAGATTGTAAATGTTTCTGATCAGACTGAAGGTCTGTGTTGATGGTAAATGCTGGTCAACTTTTCCTGAATTCCAAGAGGGAAGAGGGCATAATAAGACATGTTCAATACCTGCTTCCCTTGGTGGCCTGAGCCAGTCTTTCAGGTTAACTTTTGAGCACCCTGGCTGAGGGTGTCCATTAAAATGATTGGGAAGGGGTGGCTTTGATGTTTATTTTTGGTTTACAACATGTAAAATGTTGAGAGGAGACAGACACCACCTCCCTCCCTGGAAGAGGACAACAACACTCCAGTCACCCCTGCAGTTGCTCATGGACATGAGTTTTAAGCTCCACCAGTCTGATGACCACCTGCTGAAGAGGTGTCATTGTCTCAGGTAAATACTAAGTGTTCGTCATCTCACGCCAAGAAGATTAAGGACACTGACACACGAGGAGTGAGTTAGGATCAAATGGTTTAATAGGCAAAAGAAAGACAAAGGGAAACAGCTCCTTCTTGTGAGAGAGAGGGGCACCCAAAAGGGAATTCCAGCCTGGAATGGGAGTGCATCGGATTTTACAGGCAGGCTTGAGGAGACGGTGTCTGATTTATGTAGGGCCCACAGGTTGGTTGTACCAGGTGTGATATTTACATAGTGCGTGTGGAAGGCTGTTCACCCCACCCTCATCCTATTATGCAAATGGGCTTTCCACTTGGCCGGTGACATGTTGTCTGCTCCTTACTGTAAACGTGCCTGGCAAAGAGAAGGGAAGATGGAGCCGCCATTGTGAACATACCCAGTCCCAGGCGTCCTATTCCTATTGGACAGCTGCTGGCATTCACCCGTGCAAACTTCCAGCTTACTTGTCTGTGTCTGAAGCTTGATATTACAGGCTGCTCCTTGTTAGAAAAGAAAATAATTTGGAGCCTGCTTTCCATTAAAAGCCTTGTGTACCCTCACTACCTGTCTAAATAATTTCTTCTTAACTCCTATATCACTGCCAGACTCAGCCAGAATGAGGTGACAGAGAGGCTAGGACTGTGCAGAAAGCATTTTAGTAAAGATGGCTGAGTGACAGTAGTGATGTCCAATTTCCATGTGCAGCAGTGACATCTGTCCTAGCCTCAGGGTCCAGTGTCCAGGACCAGGGTGTCAGAGGTGTGAGCAGTGGCGTCTGTGCTCAGCAGCAGGGGTAGTTGTTCCTAGGAGGGACCTGATCCAGGGTGGGCTGTGAATTCTGTTCCCGGATGTGTAGTTTCCAGCCTGCTTCTGTAGCCTTCCCCACAATAAAACTAGCCCCCAATACCAGATATACGACTTTATGTGTACATTACAGAAATGTGGTTTCCATAGTTTTCTCCAAGAAGTGAGTGAGAAATCAGTCTGCGGGTGAGTGTCAGAGAGCGGCATTCAGAGGTGTTCTTTGTGCGAGAGCCACATCCTGAATTGTCTACCTGGCCTCTACCCCATGGTGGAGAGAACAACAGAGAATATCACCTCTCATAACTGATGATATACATCCTCCCTTTTCTTTCTGTGAGAAAAATCCTCTTTTAAACAGGGTTTGAAAACCCACCCCACCCACCCACCCTGGGCACTCTCTGATCACTGATCTCAGTGGTTCCCAATCTGTCTGAGCAATGGGATTGCTGGCGGGGACTTAGAAAATACACAGGCCACTCCCCAGAATCCTTGTCTCAGAGTATTATGCACAAGACCAAGGAATCATTTATATGACAAGCCCTAGAGGTGAGGCTGATGCTCAGACATGTGGGATCCTGGAGCTCTTGCTACTCCAAGTGTGATCTGGAGACCAGCAACATGAGCTCCAACCTTGTCATAAATCCAGAATCTCTTGCTCAACTCCAGACTTCCTGGATCTCAGCACCACATCCAGGTGATCCTGGTGCACATGGGGGTTCCTTGTCTGAGTGTCCTCTAGACGTGGGACCAGAACTGTGCAGTCTGCTCTGGGTGTGGTCTGATCACACCCCTTAGAACTGGAGGTCCAGGGTTCAGTCCTTGTGCTCATTCTTTTCCATAGTCAGTCACTCCCTTTGTGCCTCATCCATGCTTGAGGTTTTAAGTCTGATATATATGGTGTGACCTCCTAAATCTATTTCTCCAGCCCAGTCCTTTCCCCTAAACTCTGGAGTTGTCTGTCCAAATTCCACCCCAGCTCCCCCACCTGCCTTCCTAGTAGACATCTCCTCCACTGAGTGCCTGTGATGCCCCCTCCTCAGGACGCTCCTGCCAGAGTCTCCCCATCTCCACTGACAGCAGCTCCATCCTTCTACTCACTCATTTTACAACTATGGGTGTCCTTGATTCATCTTTCTCACACCACAGATACAATCCATTGGCAAATGCTGTGAGTCCATCTTCAAATGCATCCAGAATCCCCTCACATCCCACTATTTCCCCTGCTCACGCCCCAGTCAAGGTAACCGACATCTCCAGCCTGGAATACTGCACTTGATTCCTACTGTTTTCCCTTCTGCCTCCCTCGTCCCTCGCCTCTCAATTCTGTTCTCAGCACAGCCGTCAGAGAGATCCTTTTAAAACAGAAGTCATATCATGGCTCTCTTCTGCTCAAAACTGTCCTCTAACTCCCCATCCCACTCAGAGCAAAGGCCAGATCCAACCCCACTCCCCTCAAGCCCACCTGTTCTGGCCGCACCTCTGACCTCACCTCAGTTTCTCTCTGTCCAGCCCTCCTGGCCTCCTTGCTCTTCTGGGAACACAAACACCTTCCTGCCATAGTGCATTTGGACTGGAGCTTCCTCTGCCTGGAAAGAACTTCCCCAGACATCCTCATGTCTCTCAAATCTTTCCTCAAAAGTCACCTTTGCAACAAGGCACACACTGACTACCCAGCACAACAGCCACCTTCCCTGTCCCCACTGCCCACATCCTGGATCACCTGCCTCACAGCACTTACCACCTTCTAGCACTTTCCTTCCTTACTCTGGTTATAGTGTATCTATCGTCTGCCTCTTCCCACTGGAACATATGCTACAAAAGGCCAGAGATTTTTCTTTTACTTCAGTGGTGTTCCCCAGATGCAGAACCATTCTGTCCTATGTCTGGCCAATGACAAAGGTCAGTTGAATGAATGATCACTGTAGAGCACCTCCCTATTTTGAAGGCAGTATCTTTATTAACATAGCCTCAGGCCAAGTGCTGTTTTGTGGCAGCTACAGCACAAGGACCCCTCACACTGAGATAGAGGCCGCCTATGTTTTTCTCAGCAGTGCTGCTTGTGTGCCCTCCCTCCCCATCCCTCTTTCTACAGCAACCCCCTCCCCGCACCCCCTGCCCCAGCACACTGCAGCACACAATCAGGTTCTCTCTTCAGGAAAGAACAGTCCTTGATGACGGGTCCAATTTCACAGACAAATGTAAGTCTAAATTAGACTCTGCTTTACAGATTCCTGAGTTGGGATTGGATTCAGCACCAAGATCACTAGAACCAGGGCAGGGAGAGAGGGCAGAAGAGCAGAGCAGAAAAGGAGCTCTAGAAGCAGGGCAGGAGGTGAATGGCTCTGAAAATTTGTCTCAGAATGCACAGAGACCCCCGTGTGCAGGGGCCGCCCAGGGCGATGTGTGAGCCTCTGTGGTCACAGCTCCCACTGGACAAGTTTCCACTGAAGGGACAAGGACAATGGAGCAGTGAAGGTGACCCAGCTGAGGACTAACCACATAAAGCCCATGATGGACTCAACACCAAATGGGCACAGGCCCCGTCCACACTCGGCCCCCCACAGCCTTCTCCACACCCCACCTGCAACAGACTCAGCACAGCGAACATGCAGATTCTGGAAGGTTCTCAGGTCTTTATTTGCTCTCTCAAATTCCAGGAATTGACTTATTTAATTAATCCATCAACCTCTCATAGCAAATATTTGAGAAAACAAATTTATATTCAGATTCTTATTTTCAGTAGGGAAGTAAGAAGTTGCAGCTCAGTGCACGTAAAGTTGAGACAGAGATGGAGACATCCAGCCCCACCTCTCTGGAACAAGAAAGATGACTGGGGAGGAAACACAGGTCAGCATGGGAACAGGGGTCACAGTGGACACAAGGGTGGGCTGTCTCTCCACCTCCTCACATTATGCTAACAGGGACGCAGACACATTCAGGTGCCTTTGCAGAAAGAGATGCCAGAGGCTCTTGAAGTCACAAAGGGGAGGCGTGAAGAAATCCTGCATCTCAGTCCCTCACAAGACAGCTGTCTCAGGCTACAGAAAACAACAGTCATGAACAAATTCTGGTTAGTCATGGTAAGTGATGACACTCTAAACAGCCCACCACACACGCGAAACATCCCAATCAAAGAATCTCCATTACCCAGGCCTTTCCCCACTGCCCCACCCACCCCCAGACCCGCCACCCCACCCACTCTAGACCCCAAGAATCTCACCTTTTCAAGCTGTGAGAGACACATCAGAGCCCTGGGCACTGTCGCTGCCTGGAGTAGAACAAAAACAGGACCTGGTCAGAGCCCGCAGGAGACGTGGGACAGGAGGAATTATGGGGTGGGTGAGCTCCTCCACACTCCCACCCCCATCACTTACACGCAGCCTGAGAGTAGCTCCCTCCTTTTCCACCTGTGGGAAGAAAATGCCCTGTGAGGGGACTGGGAGGAAGCAGGGCCATGAGATCTTAGAGGAACCTCCTCGTCTTGGACCCAAAAGGAATTTCCAGAAGTATGACTACAGACCCAAGGCAGGATCAGGAAACACGAGGAAAGCAAGTGTGGGTCCTGGACCAACTGCCCTCCTAAGGTCTGTCCTTAGCAGGGACCTTCCCCTGACTCATGAATGCTGGAATCAGGACCCCAACACCACAACCACCAAGGTGATACATCCGTCCTTCATTGTCACATGTGCTGCACAAAAGAGTAAGTGCTGGCACACAGGGTCCCAGGCTGCGTTAGCCCCTGTGTGGATGCTGCATCCCAGTAATGAGGCAGGGAACACTTCTACCTGGGGCTTGAAACCCCCAGTGGGACAAGAAAACCCAGACCCCACCCCTCACCCCTTCCCTACCTGAGCTCTTCCTCCTACACATCACAGCAGCGACCACAGCTCCGATGACCACAACTGCTAGGACAGCCAGGCCAGCAACAATGCCCACGATGGGGACGGTGGACTGGGAAGACGGCTCTGGGAAAGGAGGGGAAGATGAGGGGCCCTGACCCTGCTGAAGGGCTCCTGCTTTCCCTGAGAAGAGATATGACCCCTCATCCCCCTCCTTACCCCATCTCAGGGTGAGGGGCTTCGGCAGCCCCTCATGCTGTACATGGCATGTGTATCTCTGCTCTTCTCCAGAAGGCACCACCACAGCTGCCCACTTCTGGAAGGTTCTATCTCCTGCTGGTCTGGTCTCCACAAGCTCAGTGTCCTGAGTTTGGTCCTCGCCATCCCGCTGCCAGGTCAGTGTGATCTCCGCAGGGTAGAAGCCCAGGGCCCAGCACCTCAGGGTGGCCTCATGGTCAGAGATGGGGTGGTGGGTCACGTGTGTCTTTGGGGGGTCTGATGGGAAGAGTCAGAAAATTCAGGCGCTTTGCATCTCTCATGGCACACCCTAGGACCACCCATGTGACCAGCCTGAGAATGGACAGGACACCTGGGGTGGGGAAGGGGCACAGAACCCAGACACCAGCGGATGCAGGCACCTGGGATAATCTCCTATTCATTGGAAAGTTCGAGTCTCTGAGCGGGGAACAGGGACTTCTGCTCCTGATCTGAGTGGAGGTAAAGTGACTCAGAAGTGCTGGAATCAGAGCCCCAAACACACTGAGTGTGAGGCAGAGAACAAGGCCTGAGAGGAAAAGTCACGGTTCCCAAGGCTGCTGCAGGGGTCAAAGGGGACCCCTGATCAGTATTCTAGGGACTGTCTTCCCCTCCATTTCCTCAGAGACGTCATCCCTTAATTGTCTAGAGAGAAGAGGGGGCCCTCAGAGGAAACTCAGGAAAACTCATGCCATTCTCCATTCAAGGGAGGGCGACATTCTAGCGCTGATCCCATTTTCCTCCTCTTCTCGTGGGAGGCCATCCCCGGCGACCTATAGGAGATGGGGAAGGCTCCCCACTGCCCCTGGTACCCGCGCGCTCCAGCGTGTCCTTCCCGTTCTCCAGGTATCTGCGGAGCCACTCCACGCACGTGCCCTCCAGGTAGGCTCTGTCCTGCTCCGCCACACGGGCCGCCTCCCACTTGCGCTGGGTGATCTGAGCCGCGGTGTCCGCCGCGGTCCAGGAGCGCAGGTCCTCGTTCAGGGCGATGTAATCCTTGCCGTCGTAGGCGTACTGGTTATGCCCGCGGAGGAGGCGCCCGTCCGGCCCCACGTCGCAGCCGTACATGCTCTGGAGGGTGTGAGACCCTGGCCCCGGCCCCGCGGTCAGCCCCGTCCCCCCGAGCCCCGCCCCGCCCCGACCAACCCGCGGGGATTTTGGCCTCAACTGAAAATGAAACCGGGTAAACGCGCCTGGGGCTCTCGCCGGTCGAGGGTCTGGGCGGGTCCCGCGGCCTCAGGGAGGCGGATCTCGGACCCGGAGACTCGGGGCGACCCGGGCCGTCCGTGGGGGATGGGGAGTCGTGACCTGCGCCCCGGGCCGGGGTCACTCACCGGCCTCGCTCTGGTTGTAGTAGCCGCGCAGGTTCCGCAGGCTCTCTCGGTCAGTCTGTGTGTTGGTCTTGAAGATCTGTGTGTTCCGGTCCCAATACTCCGGCCCCTCCTGCTCTATCCACGGCGCCCGCGGCTCCTCTCTCGGACTCGCGGCGTCGCTGTCGAACCTCACGAACTGCGTGTCGTCCACGTAGCCCACTGAGATGAAGCGGGGCTCCCCGCGGCCGGGCCGGGACATGGCGGTGTCGAAATACCTCATGGAGTGGGAGCCTGGGGGCGAGGAGGGGCTGAGACCCGCCCGACCCTCCTCCCGGCGCGGCTCCTCAGGTCCTGCGCCCCCGCCTGCGGTCCCCTCGCTCCTCCCGGCAGAGGCCATTTCCCTCCCGACCCGCACTCACCGGCCCAGGTCTCGGTCAGGGCCAGGGCCGCCGAGAGCAGCAGGAGGACGGTTCGGGGCGCCATGACCAGCATCTCGGCGTCTGAGGAGACTCTGAGTCCGGGTGGGTGCGTGGGGACTTTAGAACTGGGACCCCGGCGACGCTGATTGGCTTCTCTAGATATCCGACACCCAATGGGAGTGGGAAGTGGGGATGCGTCACGAGTATCCTGGAAGAAGGACCCGACACAAGTTGGGAGAAGAAGTGAAACTCAGGGGAGTGGGGAATCCCCAACGCTGCGCCTCCCCATTGCAGACGCGGCCCTCGGAGCCTGAGACCCTGAGAGCCCCGTCCGGGACCTGGGACTTCGTCCTGATCCCTCTTCTCCTACACCAAGCCTCTTTGTCACACTGTCTGCCTGAGTCCTGGACAAGGATCTGTCTGTGGAAACCAGGGAGAGACCCCCAGGCTGCGCCCAGCCCCTTCCCCTTCACTTCTCGTCCTGGAATCCCTGTCCCTGAACTGGACTCCCTGCCTCCCACTCCTTACCTCTCCTCTTGGACTCTTGTGTAGGGAAACTGAGCACGGGGAACTTGATGCCAGAGAGTGAGCTCGCCCTGGGAATGGAGGTGTAGAGACAGGGGTTTTCTCTTTAAACCTGGTGAAGTTTTCTCTGAAGGCACCGCATAGGGATTCTCATAGAGACCAGTTTCCTTTTTGTTTGTTAATACAGTAGGTAGCACAATATTGGTAATCCCTGAATGATTAGAATTCCAATTTGTAAAAGACCTGTGTCAAAACAGCATTACAATTAAACTCTCAAAGCTCCTAAGTTTTACTTTCCCAGACTGTGGATCTGTAACTCTGGGTTGTTGCATTTAAAATTATCTTCATTCCCCACCCTGAGTTTCCCTGTGTGAGTCCAGAACATCTCCTGAATATAAAGAAGCAGGGTTTGTTACTGTCTATTGCAACCGGGAGCCTGTAGTCATCACCTCAAAGTTGCGAGTGCTCCATGCAGTCCCAATGCTCTTCACCGACGCTGAAGCACTGCCTGTTTTCCTGAACTCTGCACATCCAAGCAGTGTGCGTATTTTATCTGAACACTTGGTATTTTTGTAACTCTTTTTTTTTTAATCATAAGGAGCCAATTAGTTTTTAGGAAGTCCAACAAAATGTATTAAATACCGAATGCAAAGAACCCTCTGCCAGGCTCTTCCACTGCTTTAGATTTCTTTCTCCTGCTCCTTTTCCTCACCTCCTGCCTCTCCAGCCCTTCTGTCTGCCCCTCTCATCCCTCACACCCCCGCTCCCCTTAGTCCCCGCCACCCTGTCACTCCTGAATTGTGGCACTAACACTGTCCCTCACCTCCTGCCCATATCTGTTCTCCCCACAGTGCTCAGCAGTCCTGCTAATGTGACTCAGGTCATGTCATTTCTTCACTTGCAATGGTTGGGTTTTGGTCTACCATTTTGCTATACGTTTTCAATTTGTCTCATATCTTTTTGTTTCTGTTCCTCCTTTACTACTTTCTTATGTGTCAAATAAACATTTTTTAGTTTATGGTTTTAATTCTCCTAGTGGCTTTTGGCTATATTTCTTTACACAATAGCAAAGAATGGAAACCCGATTCCTTGACTTTTCACAGTGAAGTTCAGGTTATATTAAGCTGCATCCAGCAAAATAAAGGACACTTCTAACAGTGTAGTTTCTTGTAACCTACCATTGTGCTATTATTGTTGTATATATTACATCAACCTATATTATAGACTCAGTGATACAGTGCAATACTTTTTGTTTTAAACAAGTAGCCATATGTCTTCAGGAAATTAAGAAAATGAGTGTGAATGTGACATGTGCATGTGCATCATTTCTGTTGTTAATTGTTCCTTTCTGTATATCTGGGTCACCATCTAGTATCATTTTCCTTCACCCTGAAGCACTTCCTTTAAAATTAAATGTAGTACAGGACCCCTAGGAAATTAATTTTATGGCTTTGATTATCTAAAAATGTCTTTATTTTTGCCTCCCCTCCCCCCGCCCTTTTTTTTTTTTTTGCTTATTAGGGCATTTATGTGTAATAAAATTCACCAGTTTTAGCTGCGCTTTTTTGGCGAATATTGGTAATTATTTATAGTCATGTAACTACCACACTGCCCAGTAGAGAAACCCAGAATGCAAAGAATCCCCTGCTAGGCTCCTCCACTGCTTTAGAGTCCTTTCTCCTGCTCCTTGTCCTCACCTCCTGCTTCCCCAGCCCTTCTCTCTGTCCTCTTCCCTCACACCCTCCTCTCCCCTTAGTTCCCACCACCCAGTTACTTCTGAGTTGTGGCACTGTAGAGAACCGTTTCTTTTCCCTAAAAACTTTCTTTCTGCCCCTTTCTATTTAATCCTTGCCTCCCACCCTCACCCCTTCCCTTCACTCAACCACCACTCTGTTTTCTGTCACTGCAATACTGAAATTTCTAGAATGTAATGGACGTGCAGTCGTATGTTATGTAGTCCTTCGTTTGGTCTCTCCTTTAGCATAACGATGTGTGAGATGATGCCATTCATTCATTTTTGTTGCTGAGCAGCTGCTGAGTATTGCTGGAATCCCAGCTTATTCATTGGTTTCTCTGCCTCCAGTTGATAGACATGTGGATTCCTCCAGTTAGGGTTTGTTATTAATGAAGCCACTATAAATAACTGCTTACAAGTGTGGCCTTACATTTTTATTTCTTTTGGATAAATACATATTTGTGGAATTGCTGGGCCATGTGGTAATAGATGGGTAACTGTATAAGAAACTGCCATACCACTTTACAAATTGGCTACCACATTTTTTGCATTCCTACCAGCAATATCAGACATTCCTATTTTTTCCATATTCTTGACAGTATTTAGACTTATCCAATGTCTTTTTAACTTTATCTATTCTAGGTGATGTGTGATGGTTTCTCATTGTGGTTTTAACTTGCACTTCTTTGATGACTAGTATTGTTTGCTGTCTTTTCATGTTCATCTAAGTGACTTATTACATATATTTTATGAACTATTTTGCAAGTTCAGTGATTAATTCCAGAGACTTTTTCAGAATTCCCTAGTGTTTTCTACATATGCAATGAAGTTGGTGACAAAGACTTTTGTTTCTTCCTTTCCTATCTATTGATCTTTTTTCTTTTAAAATTATTTTTATTTGGTAGAGATGAGGTCTCACTATCAGGCTGGTCTCAAACTCCTGAACTCAAGTGATCCTTCCACCTCAACCTCCCAAAATGCAGGGATTACAGGCATGAGCCACCATGCCTGGTCCTTCTATTGGTTTCTTATTTCATTTTCTTGCCATGTTGCACTGATTTGGATGCCTCTTAGGTGTTTAAACAAGAATGATGAGAGCTCACATGTATGTTTACAAGGAACTTAAACAAATTTACAAGAAAAAAAACAGCCCTATCAAAAATTGGCAAAGGGTATGAACAGACACTTCTCAGAAGAAAAAACATATGAAAAAAAAGCTCAATATCAATGATCATTAGAGAAAAGCAAATCAAAACCACAATGATGTACTATCTCCTGCGAGCCAGAATGGCGATTATTAAAAAGTGAGGAAACAATAGATGCTGGTGAGGCTGTGGAGAAATAGGAATGCTTTTTCACTGTTGGTGGGAATGTAAAATAGTTCAACCATTATGGAGGATGGTGTGACCATTCCTCAGAGATGTAGAACCAGAAATACTATTTGACCCAGCAATCCCTTTACTGGGTATATACCCAAAGGAATATCAATCATTCTACTATAAAGACACATGCACAGGTATGTTTATTGCAGCACTATTTTCAATAGCAAAGACATGGAACCAACCCACATGCCCATCAATGATAGTCTGGGTAAAGAAAATGTGGTAGATATACACCATGGAATACTACACAGCCATAAAAAGGAATGAGTTCATGTCCTTTGCAGGGACATGGATGAAGCTGGAAGTCATCGTCAGCAAACTAACATGGGAACAGAAAACCTAACACCACGTGTCCTCACTCTTAAGTGGGAGGTGAACAATGAGAACACATGGACACAGGGAGGGGAACAACACACACCAGGGCCTTTTGGGGAGTCGGGGGTAAGAGGAGGGAACTTAGAGGATGGGTGAATAGGTGCAGGAAACCACTATGGCAGACTATACGTATGTAACAAACCTGCACGTTCTGCACATGTATCTGGAACTTAAAGCAAAATAAAATAAATTAAATAAAAAGAGAAAGTGAGTGACTTACATGTACACATATGTTCATTGAAGCACTATTCACCATAGCAAAGACTTGGAATCAACCTAAATGCCCATCAATGGTAGACTGGATAAAGAAAATGTGGCACATATACACCATAGAATACTATACAGCCATAAAAAAGAATGAGATTACGTCCTTTGCAGGAACATGGATGGAGCTGGAGGCCATTATTCTAAGCAAACTAATGCAGGAACAGAAAACTATATACCACATGTTCTCACTTATAAGTGGGAGCTAAATGATGAGAACACATGGACCTGCAGAGGGGAGCAACACACACTGGGGTCCACTTGAGGGTGGAGGGTGGGAGGAGGGAGAGGATCAGGAAAAATAGCTAATGGGAACTAAGACTTAATACTTGGGTGGGTACTAATGGGTATAGAAATAATTTGTGAAACAAAACCCCATGACACAAGTTTACCTATATAACAAACCTGCACATGTACCCCTTAACTAAAAATAAAAGTTAAATTAAAAAAAAAAAACAAAGAAAGTGCATGTCTGGAAAGAGCGTATGGTTGGGTTCTGTGTTTTTTTAAACCAAGTCACACAATCTCTGCCCTTCATTGGAGTGTAGATTCATATAGGTTTTTGTCATTATTGATATGATAAGTTTCACGTCTACCATGTTATTTTCCCGGTTTTTGTTTCTCTGTTCCTCTTGTCCTGATCAATGACTTTTTATTAGAAACCATAGAAACAAAAGAAAGTAGAATAACATCTTTAAAGTGCTGGAAGACAAAAAGATCAACTAAGAATTCTATATCCAGCATAGATGTCCTTCAAGGATAGGCAAATGAGATATGTCAGGTAAAAAAAAATTAAAAGAATTTGTCACCAGCAGATCTGTACAATTACAATTGGTAAAGAAAATTCTTCAGACTAGAGGCAAATGATACGAGGTGGAAAATGAGATTATCAAAAAAGATGAAGATGATCAAAAATGGTAAATATTGAGCTAAGTGCAAAAGGCTATCTTGCTCCCCTCATTTATTCTTACTTTATATACATAGAACTGTTTAAGGATAAGAAAAAGTTTTTTATCGTGGGACTTACAACCTATATAGATATATTACATATAATATCTATACCATAAAAGATGGACATTTTATAGAGGATAAATGGTTGCAATATTTCTATATTTATGGGCACTAGTACATTATTAACTGAAAGTAGTCTGTGAAATGTTAAGAATGAGTTAAGTTCTGAAGGAAATTGAGACACTAAAAACCATTCAAAAGATTGACAAGTCTCGGAGATGGTTTTTTGAAAACAAATCCTAGCCAGTCTTGAGTCTCATCATCCTACGATTTCAGAACTATCGTGAATATAAAAGTAATCAAAGAACAGTCCTGCCCAGAAAGAGGAGTTATCCCTAAATATGGTGTCCCTGGGACAGCTGGCCCTCCCTGCTGGACCTCTTCCACATGGATGCTTTCTGCAGTGACTTTGTTGTCTTGCTCTTCCACTCTACCCAGTGTCCTGACCCAAGAGAAAAGGGGTGTCTGCTGCTGTGTCCACACTTGGAGAAGGAAATCTTGAAGGTGTCAGTACATTACAAGCTGGGCATGACAGCTCACCCCTGTAATCCCAGCAATTCAGGACGCTAAGGCAAGAGGATTGCTTGAGATCAGGAGTTGGAGACCAGCTTGAACAACATTGTGAGAACCTCGTCTCTAAAAGATATAAAAATAAGTAAACTTAGCTGGGCACGGTGGTGGGCACTTGTATTCCCAGGTATTGGGGAGGCTGAGATGGGAAGATCCCTTGGGCTTATGGATTCAAGTCTGTAGTGAGCTGTGATCGCATCACTGGACTCCAGCCCAGACCACAGAGTGGGATCTTGACTCAAAAAACAACAACAACAACAAACATTGTAAACCTTTGCTCACCATGGGTTATTTTATTTATTATTTATTCAGTGTGTATTTTGATTTTATTTTACTGGCAGCACAATAAACCAGGACCTGCTGAAACTAAAAATCACATCCACTTTCCAGTGTTAAAAAGCCCAGTCCAGGCAGGTGAGAAGGAGACAGTCCTCATTAGCGCTGAGGATTCAGGGAGAATGAGATGGGCTGGGCAGGAAGGTTTTTTTGTTTGTTTGTTTGTTTGTTTGTTTTCTATGAACAAGTGTAACTTTTTATTATGATAGAGTTGTTTTTATTAAAGGAATACATGAAAATGGTTAAGTAAAATCAAATGGCTCCAAAAGTCTTACAATGAAAACAACAGTCCTGCCAGTTGTTCTCTCGAGAGGCAAGCACTTTTCATTCTCTTAGTTTTTCCTCCTGGTAGTTACCTTCATGGGTTTTTCCAAATTATTATTTTTTTAGTTTTTCAAGTGGGTGCATATATTAATACATGTAATTTTAAAAAGCCTCTTCAGTTTATAATGCACCCTAACAGTCCCCTGCCCCATCCCTCCTAATTCTCCAGAGCAATGACTTTTAACTCTTTTAGCAATGTCTTCTATTTTTTTCTCACATAACTACTTAGTCATTTCTTGATTATTTTATACATTCTATAGTAATTTCTTGATATGACAGATGAGGATTTAGCTCTTACACCATCACTACCTTCACTTTTCCCCCCATATTGTCCCAAAGTAGTTACCAGATTTAGGGGCTAAGTAGTCACCACATCATTATGAGTATGTACATATTGCTCATTGTTGAGAAAAACAGAGTATTATGCTCTTGCTTCCTGCCTTGTGCTTCCTTCTGCCCTAGAATTAATGATTGCCTAACCACCCTTCCCCCTTGTTTTTTTTTTTTAACTTTTGCTTTATCTTCAATGAACTACTTTCCAAATGCCCCAAATCTGGCAATAACTTATTATTATTTTTAAGAGAAGGTAATCTTACTATGGTGGCCAGGCTGGTCTGGAAATCTTGGGCTCAAGCCAACCTCTTGCTTAGCCTCCTGAGTAGCTGGAACTACAGGCATGGGCCATTCCACCCAGCTAACCTATTAATATTTTTACTGTTTCTTTTTAAAGCCAGCTCCATAGCTGGAATATTTCCTGTGTTGGATCCTATTTGCTGGATCCATGTCATTCTCTGGTTTGTCTACTCCTTCATTTTGCTGGAGTATTTTCTCCAATAGTTTCCCAACAAAAGATACATGGAGGTAAACCCTGAGTCTTTGCTTGCCTAAAAATGTATTATTTTACCTTCACCCTTGATTATTTGGCTGAATATAGATTTATTCGTTGAAAATAACTTTCTTTCTGGAATTCTGAAGGCATGGTTCCATTGTTTTCAGCTTCTTTTTCGAGACAAGGTCTCTTCTGTCACCCAGGCTGGAGTGCAGTGGCACAATCACAACTCACTGCAGCCTCGAACTCGCAGGCTCAATTGATCCTTCCATCTCAACTCCCTGAGTAGATGGGACTACAGGTGTGCACCACAATGCCCAGCTAACTTTTGTATTTTTTGTAGAGATGGGGCTTCACCATGTTGCCCAAGCTGATCTCAAGGTATCTGCCTGTCTCTGCCTCCCAAAATGCTGAGCCACTGTATTACAGGCATGAGCCACTGTGCCTGGCCAGTTTTTCTTTTATTCTCTCTCTACTTTCTTCCTTTCTCAAAGGCATCTCAAACTCAGTGGGCCCAAACCCAGGGCAAACTCCATCAGAATATCCTGCTACTTCTGACTTTAAAATATATCTTAAATCACAGTTTCTTACTACATGCAACCCTTTGGTTCAAACTACCATCATCCCTCACTTGAACTTAGAATTGGTTTTCCTGCTTCTGTATTTTTTTAAAACATAAAATATTTCAAATAAACCATGCATGGCTTTATACTTTTTACTACATAAAAAGAATAAAGATCTGGGGTGGCTCAAGCCTGTAATCCCAGCACTTTGGGAGGCCGAGGCGGGCGGATCACTTCAGGTCAGGAGTTCGAGACCAGCCTGACCAACATTGTGAAACCCCGTCTTCACCAAAAACACAAAATTAGCCGGGCATCGTGGCACGTGCCTGTAGTCCCAGCTACATGGGAGCCTGAGGCAGGAGAATCATTTGAACCTGGGAAGTCAGAGGTTGCAGTGAGCTGAAGTTGTGCCATTGCACTCCGTCAGGGTAACAAGAGCGAAACTCTGTCAAAAAAAAAAAAAAGATATGAAGAGCTTATATACTTAAACATGAAATTGCTTTAAGTGTTTGCCATTCACCGTTCACATGCATGCCAGCAGCTTCTTACTGCAAACACCTGGGACTTGCTATAGAGCAGCTGGAGTACATTCTGCCCACACACAGGACAGGGAGCTGACAACCAAGGAGTGGGGGATCAATATGCCAGCTTTCTCCCCTCCGTTTCCCTGTATCTCAGCAGTATGGAGTTTGTTACCAGTGAGAACCTGCTCACTGACTTTAAACTGGTTTTCTTACCTTCTCAGTTCCATTTCTCCGTACCTCAATTGATGATTTCTGATAAGACCTAGAAAATAAACTGCTTTCACTGAAATTGCAGTCTTGGAACCTGCTTTGGGTTCCCCAAAAGACAGAAATATATTCATTTTCCCATCACTGGACTTCCAGGTTGTTTTCAATTTTTCACTGTTACAAACAAGGCTGCAACATTTGCGTGCAAACCTCTGGGTATACACGTAAGGAGCTTTCGGTATTTCCCACTAGTGAAACTTCTCAGTTGGAGGGTATGTGCATCTTCATCTTTAAGAAATACTACCAACATTTGAAAAGCCCGACAATGTCAAGGACTGGCAAGAGTCCCATATGCGATGGGTGTGGAATGGCAGCTCACTGTAGCAGGTGCTGGGGACTCAGTCAGGGTCTTGGAGAGGCACTTAATTATAGCAAGAATATTTCATAAGCGGTATCTGATATAGTCAAGATTAGTGGGGAGTAAAAACATGTTGCTTAGAAATAATTATCCAAAGATCTAAAGTCAACAAAAGTCTTTTTTTCTAATGTAAAAATATAAACTTTTTTTTCAGAGGGAGGGGGAACAACTTAAAATAAACCAGAAAACACCTTCATATTAATCATTCTTCTCATATACTTGAAATTTGTACTTAATACATCCGAGAGAACGCCTGGATATTCTGGCAGAATTTTATATTTCTCCAAATCAATTTCTGGAAAAAACGTGTCACTTTCAAAGTCCTGCATGATCCTTGTCACAAATAGTTTAAGATGGCCTGGGCGACTCATGGCTTCCTTATAAACAGAACTGCCACCAACTATCCAAATCATGTCTACTCTATTTGCTAATTCTGGTTGTTAAGTAAGTTTTAAGATCTCATCCAGACTTCTGGCAAGAAAATGAGCTCGCTGTGGAGGTTCCTTGAGTTCTCTGCTGAGAACTAAATTAATTCTATCCTTTGAAGGTCGATTCTTCCCAGGAATGGAGAACCAGGTCTTCCTACACAAAATCACCAGATTCTGTTTACCTTCTACTGAAGAGATTGTGTCATTCTCTGGAAATACCTAAATTCATTCCTGAGCGGCGGCCAGGGCAGGTCCCCGTTCTTGCCGATGCCCATGTTCTGAGACACAGCGACGATGCAGTTTAGCAAACGAACCATGACAGCAGCGGTGAGCTCCTCCAAGCCCGCTCGCTACACCAGGACGCGCGGCCAAGATTGGCCGGAAGGTTTTTACTTGGAAACTGGAGGATGAGCCATGACATCCCTCTCTCCACCTCAAAGCTCGTCCTGGGCATCCACCTCCTGGGAGCAGAAGCAGCGCAGCAGCGCCACCTGGTGGTCGATGCGCTTCCTTTGCAGATCACGCACAGCCCTGAGATCCACCTCTCCTTCCTACGCACCACGCATTTCTTCACTGGACACCAGCCTGCGTCAATCTTCCTGTAAAGCAAAAGAAGCGTGAGGTTGGTGGGGGAGGAATGGTGTTATCTCCACCTTTGGCGAGATCCATGTCACCGTGTTCAGGGGAAGGGCCAGGCCTTACTCCCCATGCAGAGAGGAGGCTCTGGCCGTGAAGGCGCCTGTGGAGAGGTGAGGACCCGCTCCCTCTACACTGATGGCCAAGAGCCTGCAGATGGCGGGGAAGGCTTCCCTTCAGCTGTGTCCTATCAGGTTCTTCCAGGAGTCCAGGAGTAGACCTGCATATTGCCTCTGGTGATGTGAGCTGCATGCACACCTAGAAGTGAGGTCACCCCTTCTGGGGGTCCTGGGGCTGCTGGTTGTCCTGGGTGCTCAGAGGGAAGACGGGGAGGGCGCTTCGTGCAAAACAGTAACCATACTCTATAAATTATTTTTTCATTAGCCTTTGTGTCATAAAATAAAATCTAGGACTCCAAAAGGAAAAAAAGAAGGTCCAAAATTTGTGTCCTTTAATAAACAGTAAACACCCATTAACCACCAAGGATAGACGTTTGCGGAGCAAACCAGAAGCCCCATCATTTGCCCCAGCTCAGCAATAAACTCTTTCCTCCCCCAAATAAAAATACATCCTGACTTTTCCGATCATAACTTCTTTGTTCTATTTTATATTTTTATCATCCAAAACTATGATTTAGTTTTACCTTTAGAAACATGCTTTTGTTCTCTTTTATTCTATAGATTCTTTCTTGAAATTTATATTGTGTGGTAGAGCTTCCCATAGTGTGCATTTTGCTGATTGCTCCCCAAGCCATTGTTTGAATATGTGTTTTTATTATCTGTATTGCCTCTAAATTGGTAATTGGCTATGGAGGTTAGCTTCTATTCAGGCTTGATTTCTTTCTCACTTGTATTTGTTTGATGGTGCTGTATTGTGTTCTTCCATCAAGAGGAAGAACCTCACATTGGTTTTTTTTATTGTGTTGTTAATCGCTATTGCTGTTCAATGGTTAAATCTGTTAATTCTTGATGGGTTGCAAAACAGTTATTATAGTCTCAGTCTCTCATTCCTTCCTCATTTATTATCTGAATAATTTCTAAGTAAGAGATTCACCCTCCTGTACTGTTTGTTTACTACTAGAAACTTGCTTTTTGAGAGACTAAGCCAAGCATCTACTCACCTATGACCCAGCAATAGCAGTCTTAGTTATCAACCAATAGAAATGCATGTATGTGTGTGCCAAAATATATGAAAATATTATTCATAGCATCACGATTTGTAAAATCTGGATATAACACAATTGTCTATCAACAGCGAAGGGACAAGAAATGTGAGTTATTTATAAAGTGGAGCATTGGACAGCCATGGGAGTGAATAGGCTATGACCACACACAGCAGGATGATGAGACCCAGGGGCATGATGGTGACTGTATAATGCCATTCAACTGGAACTGGCAGAACTTATCTGTGTTAGAAATCAGGAGTGGCTACTCTAGGGTTGGGGAGGGTGGTTTGTGACTGAGTAAGATCCAGTGATGTTTCTGGGAGGCTGTGATTGGTGTACTTTGATGTGGGTGTTGTTTACCTGAGTGTTCACTATGTGAAACTCCACTGCCCACTTGTGGATTGTCCTTCTTTCTCCACGCATGCTGTCCTTCACTCAAATATATTTTGCTGATGTTTTGAAGCAATTCTATCTACGCTAAGAAGAATCACTCCTACTGCACATCCTTGGAAATGCTGGATTGAAAAAATTAGTGCAATTGTTTTTAATTCCAGGAAACAAATACATATAAAGAGGAAAATCTACAACAAGAGCAGTAGGTTTGGGAGCTGACACCAGAACAGCTTTGGAAATGGCTCTCGAGCCAGGAACTGGGGATCAAACCCAAACAAACCCATAGGAGGTGGGGGGTGTGAAATGATGTCCAATAGTGCATGAATGAACGAGTCATGAGCAGTGGCTCATGGCTTGGCTGGCCAGTCACAAACTTGAGGAAAATAGAGTTGGAAAACTGGGAGGTAGAGGAGAGAGGTACGCATAGACCTCTTGCTATAGGCCGAGTGTGTGACAATAGTGGTTGTGTGTGGATGCCTACCAGAGGGTCTTTAAGGGGATGGGGCTCCCTGTAACCAGGTGGGTGAGATGGCTTGATGGACGATGCCACTCAGCCACACAGGCCTTGCTCATGGAGTCCCTGCATAAAGTGGCCGTGGTGGCTGCGATGGACACTGCAAGGGCACAGCAATTGCGTCGCCACTCACCAAGGCTGACCTGGCAGCTGCCACTGCTGAGGGCCCAGCCCACCAAAAGCAGCTGTTTTTTTGACGGAGAAATAAAACAGGCAATGGTAATTAAGAATAAAATAACATTATGATAGATAAATATGCCACTAAAGATATAGTAGAGGTTTAAATAATTTTGAGACTATGAACAAGATTATGGCAATGGGGAGAACTTACTACAAGTAAAGAAGTTAAAACAGTTGTAAAACTTTAGACTGTTTTACACATAAGTTCTACCAAAACTTTGAAGAAGGTTACTGAACTTATACGTAATATTCAAGAGAATGAGGAAACATAGAGAAAGCCAGTAAACTCATTATTGTTTATGTATAAATAACATTGATTCTAAAGCCAGCTAGGGAATACATAAGAGAAAAGCATGATAAGATAATCACTTCTAAGCAATTAGAGGTAAAAATACTGAGAAAAATAGTACTAGATTGTGTCCACCAGTGAACTATAAAAAAATTAAATATCCTGCCCAGGTTATTCATCCCCAGAATACAAGAATATTTAAACTTTAAATCTGTAATGCATTTTACCACTTAATTAAAGAATAAAAGACAGAGATAATGATGTTTTATTAGATGCAGAAATTACTGCAGATGAAACTCAACACTCCATCTCACCCACGTTTCTTCAGTTATCTCCACTTCTAAGAACTTGTGATCAGTACTCGCTTTGGCAGCACATATATTAAAATAGGAATGATACAGAGAAGATCAGCACGGCCCCTGCACAAGGGTGACATGCAAATTCATGAAGCATTCCATATTTTTAAACTCTCAATAAACTAGGTATTGAAGGAACATACCTCAAAATAATAAAAGTCATCTATGACAAACCCACAACCAGTATCATACTGAATGCGCAAAAGCTGGAAGCATTCCCCTTTAACACCAGCACAAGGCAAGGATGCCCTCTCTCACCATTCCTGTTCAACACAGTATTGGAAGTTCTGGCCAGGACAATCAGGTAAGAGAAAGAAAGGATATTCAAATAGGAAGAGAGGAAGTCAAATTGTCTTTGTTTGCAAGTGACATGATCCTATATCTAGAAAACCCCATTGTTTCGGCTGAAAAGCTTCTTAAGCTGAAAAGCAACTTCAGTTAAGTCTCAGGATACAAAATCAGTGTGCAGAAGCCACAAGCATTCCTATACACCAACAATAGACAAGCAGAGAGTCAAATCGTGAATAAACTTCTATTCACAATTGCTACAAACAGAATAAGATGCCTAGGAATACAGCTCACAAGGGAATTGAAGGATCTCTTCAAGGAGAACTACAAACCGCTTCTTAAGTAACTCAGAGAGGACACAGACAAATGGAAAAACACTCCATGCTCAGGGATAGAAAGAATCAATATTGTGAAAATGGTCATACTGCCCAAAGTAATTTATAGATTCAATGCTATTCTCATTCAACTACCATTGACATTTCTCACAGAATTAGAAGAAACTATTTTAAAATTCATATAGATGATTGACATTAAAGGTAAAATTAAAATTAATATATAAAATAAAACTCAAAATTTTCAAGCCATTTGGAGCTTGTCTTGAGCTAATGAGATTAAGCTCATGTCCTCAAGAAAAATGTTTTACTCTGCCGTTTTTAAGTGTGCTTCTATGGAAAGAGTTTGAGAATCATTGATATGGATTATAGAAAATCAGGCTTCATTTAAAAATAAATGTATTTAATCTTAAAAATAGCTTTACTTAAAATGTTTATTGTTGCAGACAAGAAATCTTATTTGAAAAATCAGAAATTGGACATGTCAGTGATTATAGGTTTTTTTTTTTAAATCTGAACATGAAAAAGTTTTCCCCAGTTTTAAGATAATTTACCATGCTATTCAAGTCAGCCTAAAATTTTAAAAAGCTACTACATAATAAGGTAGGGGTTGAAAAAAGAAATATTTCAGATTCAGAGAATTGTCTTTTTTTAGTACTAACTAAAACATTTAAAAAACTACATTTAATGATGTCATTCTAAATTGGCTCAGTAATATTAAATGAGGAATTTATGTTCCAGCAAACAGTGGATGAATGTGTCTATGGAGAGCATTGTTTCAAAATGTTTTAACAAATATATCATTGAAGTTCTTGCTATTTTATTCAATTTCAGCCACTATTCTTTTTAGTTGATTTTTTTGTCAATCTTAAATTTTCAAAAGAAAGATTGTTTTCAAATTATTTTATATTTAATGAATAAAGTTATACATTACTGATTATTTAAATTGAAAAAAAATTAAAATAAAAATAAAATTCATACAGAACCAAAAAGAACTTGTATAGCCAAGACAATCCTAAGCAGAAAGAACAAAGCTGGAGGCATCATGCTACTTGACTTCAAACTATACTACAAGGCTACAGTAACCAAAACAGCATGGTACTGATACAAAAACAGACACATAGACCAATGGAATAGAATAGAGAACTCAGAAATAAGACCACACATCTACAACTATGAGACTTCAGTGACCACATACAATAAAGAATACAGTCTATACAAAAATAGTTTAGAAAATGTAATTTTCACAGTTACCACATTATAATATTGAAAATGTCTAGTTTTCAACTTCAAAAAACATGAGTTATGCATGTATGAAAGTATGACTCATTCACAGGAAAAGCAATAGAAAGAAATTGTTCCTGAAGAACAATGGACTGACTTACTAGACAAAGACTTTGAATCAACTGTCTTAAACATAGTCAAAGAGCTAAAGGAAACCATGGACAAATAACTAAAGAAAATCAGGAAGACTATGTTTCACTAAATAGCAGAAATCAATAAATAATTGTGAAAAGGAAGCAAATGGAAATCTGGAGCTGAAATGTATGGGAAGCAAAATGGAAAATTGACTGGAGGGCTTCAAGAGCAGATTTTAGTTTGCAGAATGAAGAATCAGTAAACGCAAACATAGGCCAATTGAAATTGCCCATTTGAGGAGCAGAAGGGAAAAAGTATGAAGAAAAAAGAACAAAAGAGATCTAAGAGACAACATCAAGTATATGCATTTTGGGAGTTCCCAAAAGAGAGAAGGAAGAAGGGGGGAGAAAGAGTATTTGAAGAAATAATGACCCCAAACTTCCGAAATTTTTTTGAAAACATGAATCTGGGTATCCAAAACACTCAAACATTTAAAGTAGCAGTAATTCAAAGATGTCCACACTGACAGACATTATATTGAAACTGTTGAAAGTCAAAGACAAACAGAGCATCTTGAAAACAACAAGAGAAGGGACTCATTGAGTGCAAGGATCCTCCATGAGATTAACTGCCAAGTGTTCTTCAGAAACCATGGAGTTCAGAAGACATTGGCATGACAAACTTAAAGTTCAGAAAGAAAAAAAAAACCTGTCTCAACTGACAGTTGCATATTTGGCAAAACTCTCCATGAGAAATAATGGAGAAATTCAGACATGCACAGGTAAATAAAAGCTGATGGCATTCGTGTCTGGTAAACCTATTCTACAATTAATGCTAAAAGGAGTGCTTCACACTGAAATAAAAGGACATTAGATGGCAACTTGAAGTCATATGAAGCAAAGAAGTACACAGCTAAAAGTAACTTCATAGGTAAATAGAAAAGCAAGTATTTTTTGGGGGGTGGTAATTTGTAACTCCTCTTTTGTTTTCTCTATTTAATTTAAAAGAAAATGCCCATCAACCAATGAGTGGATAAACAACATGTAATCTATTCTGCAATGGAATATTATTTGACCACAAAAGGAATAATGTACTGATACATGCTACAACTTGGATGAACCTTGAAAACATGTCAAATGAAAGAAGCCAGTCACAAAAGGCCATATATTGTATGACTCCATTTTAATAAAATATTCAGAAGAAGAAAATCTAGAGAGACAGAAACTGGGTTAATGGTGCCAGGGGCTGGTGGCAGGGGAGAGTGGAAGGTGACTGCTTAACGGGTACAGAGTTTCCTTCTAGGGTGGTGAAAATGCTCTGGAACTTGATAGTGATGATGGCTGCATAACGTTGTGCACCTACTAAATGTTACTGCTTTGTACACTTAAATGGTCACAATGGCAAATTTTGTGTTTACGTGCATTTTATCACAACTAAAAAGAGGCTGGCAAATATATTCCAAGTTTGCTTGGGAATCTGCCCATCTGTCTTTTCTCCTCAGGATTTCATCTCTTATTCAGAGCTCACCCTTGCTCTTCTGCAAGTAGAAAGCCTCCTTTCATGCAGGGACCAGCCCCACAGGGTCGGTGGGTCTCTCCCTGTGTGCGGTGATGAGAGAGTGTAGAAATAAAGACACAAGACAAAGAGATAAAAGAAAAGACAGCTGGGCCAGGGGACCACTACCACAAACGCACGGAGACCAATAGTGGCCCCGAATGTCTGGCTGCTCTGTTATTTATTGGATACAAAGCAAAAGGGGCAGGGTAAAGAGTGTGAGTCATCTCCAGTGATAGGTAAGGTCACATGGGTCATGTGTCCACTGGACAGGGGGCCCTTCCCTGCCTGGCAGCCAAGGCAGAGAGAGAGAGGAGACAAAGAGAAAGACAGCTTACGCCATTATTTCTGCATATCAGAGACTTTTAGTACTTTCACTAATTGACTACTGCTATCTAGAAGGCAGAGCCAGGTGTACAGGATGGAACATGAAGGCAGACTAGGAGCATGACCACTGAAGCACAGCATCACAGGGAGACGGTTAGGCCTCCGGATAGCTGCGGGCAAGCCTGACTGATGTCAGGCCCTCCACAAGAGGTGGAGGAGCAGAGTCTTCTCTAAACTCTAAGTGTGCTAAGTAGTGGGTGTTTTTCCTTGACACTTTTCACTACCACTAGACCATGGTCTGCCTGGCAACGGGCGTCTTCCCAGACGCTGGCGTCACCGCTAGACCAAGGAGCCCTCTGGTGGCCCTGTCCGGGCATAACAGAAGGCTCGCACTCTTGTCTTCTGGTCACAACTCACTATGTCCCCTCATCTCCTATCGCTGTATAGCCTGGTTTTTCTTAGGTTATGATTATAGAGTGAGGATTATTATAATATTGGAATAAAGAGTAATTGCTACCAACTAATGATTAATGATATTCATATATAATCATATCTAAGTTCTATATCTGGTACAACTATTCTTGTTTTATATTTTATTATACTGGAACAGCTCGTGTCCTCAGTCTCTTGCCTCGGCACCTGGGTGGCTTGCCGCCCACACTTTCAGAACACGGTCCAAGATCAGCCAGGTCCAAACCCCAAAATGACTTTCTGTCTTGCTTCCAAATGCTCAGATGCAACTCTGGGGCTAACTTCAGGGGAAGTTAGGAGATTATCCAAATAAGATGGTTCACTGGGAGAAAGAATGTTTGGCTTTAATGTTAGGGAAGTTATGTTTGCATTTCTAAAAAGGATCCTGCTCACCAGTGAATATATGGTTTTTGTCTGTGCAGGATGGAGTTCTCAGCAGAGGAATGAAAGACAGCCCTAGGAACATGATACACCTCATGGGTAGCTGACTGACCCACCCATCTACCACCCCCAGCTGAAGGAAGCAGCTAGACTGTACCCTTCACCCATCCTTCAGTTGTATTCCACTGGACGTGGACCCTCTACAAGTGTGGACATTCCTGGATCTCAGTTGCTCTTCCTGCTGTTGAGGAGTCTCCACTGGTGTGGCTCATGCCTAGATGGGCTCTGCAGGAGGCTTAGTGTCTCCCAGTTCTCAAGGCTAATATTCAGTGAACCCAGACCAAGCCTCAAAGTACACAGGGGCTCAGATTTTCATCTATGAAATGGAAGAATCCATCTCCCTCTTTCAGGTGTTGTGGTAATTATATATATATATGTAGACACACACATTTATACATGAACACATACATGACAATCCGTAATCTATATATTGATGGTGTTCTTAGTGTTGCCTTTATTGCTCAGCTGAACTCTATAACCAAAAATTGGATCATGGATTGTGAAGGAAGAACTCATTTCTTTTCTCTGGTGGAGCACTCGGTAGACATTTCTGCCCTTTGGGTTCAAATGAGAAAGTAGCTTTAGCCTGAGGGAGAAAGAAGATTATGACTATTACTAGTATTATAATAGAGATAAGGTCTTGCTATGTTGCCCAGGCTGGAGTGCAGTGACTATTCACAGCTGTGATCATAGTGGACTACGTCCTTGAACTTCTGGGCTCCAGCAATGTTCCAGCCTCGGCCTCCTGAGTAGCTGGGACTACAGGTGCATGCCACCATGTCTGGCCTCATTTCATTGTTATTTTACTTCAAATGCTTTATTTTAAATGTTAAAATATATGTTTTTATATTCAAAAGTGAAACCCTATTTGATCACAGAAGACGTTAAAATGCACAGACAGTTAGAAACATCACCTAGGCCTTTCTTTAAAAAATCACTGCTATTATATTGTTGAACCTTTGTAGACTGCAGTGCAAATGGTGGTCCCTGGAGCTGTCTTGTGCAGTGGTGCTGATTTTCATTTCGTTATTTTCTATGTATGTATTTTTATATATGCTGTCATTTTACAAAGTTGCATTCATATGTTAAGGGTTATCTTGGATGTTGCTTTTGGAATGTATTATTATACAAGTAGTTTTCCATGTTATAAGCTCTGCATAAAGTTTATACACTTTTACAAGCCATATCTCATTTCAGATAAGAAGATGTAACCCAACTTCTTTTTTTGGATCCGTCTGCCTTCATTTCGTCTTGTTGTAAATAATGTTTTGACAAGCATCTTTATATAGAAAGATTCTTCTATGTTTGGAATTTTAGAAAATTCATAGAATACTCAAGTGATAAACATTAGGACACAGACTTTTAAACATTTTTAATTATTTTCATCACATTGTCACATTGGTTCTCTAAATCGTCATACTGACATATTCCACCTCACCTTTCAGGACATGCTAGGACTCAAGGCTATTTACGCATCTGGAATCACAGAGGGGTGTTGGGGGTGAATGTTGAGTGGAATCACAGGGTCTTGAGGGCAACTCCCTCAGAGAAGACCATTACCTTTTCGTTAGGGAAAGCTGGATTAACCTCGCCAAATGTGGTTGAATGAAACTGGCAAATAATTCTCAGAGGAATTTAGGAGTTCAGTGTCTTTAGCTTCATCAGGATCTGCCCAGATGTCCCCATTCTGATTTTCAGTATCGCGTTTATTCCCAATCAATGCCTTCACTTAAATAACAGATATTCTTTAAGTTTGGGATTTGTTTTGTGTTGTAATTTAGCTACGCACAGAATGAGACGCTGCGTTTATTTTTCAGAAATTTCAGCCCTGCAGCTACAGGAGATTAGGATTTCATTCAAAGGAAACATAGAAACTTTTAGGTGATTTATGTGACTCATGAGCTGGAAGTTTGCAGCCCTGAGTTCATCTTTTTCTTTCCCCATTTTGTCCAGCACAATTGGCAAAAATTAACTAATCACCTTACAATAGCTAGTTTAACAAAGTCTTCTAAGGTCTCAAATACATAGTCACCCAGATCTTATAAGTATTTGATTAGGTCTATCCAATGGTGATATTCTGAGTATTCACACTCTCTGTACTAATGGAAATAGAGTCATTTGTGCCTTTAAATCCAAATAGATTAGAGAAACAATTCAAGAAACCCCCCACCACCACCAAATTCAGTGCATTCATTCTTAAAATTCTGTTCCAGTGTCCCTATGCCCCAGTAAGCTAGGCTGGGCATGGTCTGAGGCTTGGTGGGCCAAGGACAGCTGGCTCAGCTGGGGTGCACTATGCACTGGTGGGTCAGCAGCCCAGAATGGTGCTGGATTTATGGGCACCAAGCCTATTCGGGAGTTGCACACACTGAGTCGGGCTCCAGTGGCCCCTAGGCTTCTAAGGGGCACTCTCCTCCTGCTAGTGCCAAGCTAAGCTGTGGGGAGCAGCATGCCTCTGCATGCTGCCTGACAAACTGCAGCCCCAGCCCCTGCCACAGACACCCTGGCCTGTACCCTAGTGCTTTGTATGGCTGTGGCTATTCAGCCGCTACTTCTGATCCCCTAGGACTGGGAGCAGCCTGCCTGGGGGAGACCATCAGGATGTCTATGGAAGGCTGCTTCATGCTACAAGGGCAGAGTTAAGTCTTTGGTATAGAGACTGGTTGGCAAAGTTGAAAATGTTGCCTCAGGTCCTTTTGGGGATTATTTACCAGCCCCTGGTTTGAGTGTTGTCTGGCAGGACCCAGGCTCTGGGAGCTGATCCTCCCTCACTCAAGGCCTGCTGCAGCCTCCCGCTGAGGTCTTGAAACCATCAGGAGCAGTTGTTCTTTGGCCTCCGGGACACCGCAGGGCTGAGTTGCTCCCTGCCTGGAGGTGGTCCCATGGGGCCCACTGTCTGGGTCAAGAATGGTGCAGAGCTGGTGTCCTCAAAATGCATCCTGGTGGAGCCCCAGCAGCTGCAGGTGCTGACTGCCTCTCACGAGGACCCTGGGGGCCTGCAGCTGCAGCGACTCACCCAGCATGAGCGGTGCCACTCAGTGTGCACATGACAGATGCTCCATCCTCAGGAGATGACAAAGACGTGGAGGACAAGGCTGAAGACACAAGTGCATAATCTCCTACTCACCTCATCTGGCACATTAGAAACCTGTCCTCGGCTCATGCACAAATCCACCTTTGGGTGGCCAAAGGCTCCAGCTTACTACAGAGGCCATGTGTACTCTGTGTAATCAACACACCCCAGCTTCTTCCCACCTCCAGTCATCTCACTGTATCTGACATGATGCCAGCAGATTGTCTCAGCTCAAATTCCAGCTCCATTACTTACTGCTGTGTGACCTTGACCAAGTCACTTAACCTCTCTGTGCTTCACGAGCTTCCATTGTAAATGCGTGTGTTTACATATGCCAAGTACCCAGAAAGATGCCTGGAACATGGCAACACCCACCACAGAAGTAGTAGCTGCAATTATTGCCTCATTAAAACAGTGGAGATGTCACCCATCAGGGCTAGAGAGAATTTGGGAAATCCTGATCTGCTTCTGGTTTCAGGTGGGGAAACCTGTAGGACCAGCAGGAACACGGCTGCCTCAGTGCAGCTGGCACAGGGCACTGCCAGCCCAGAGCAACTCAGAGCTCAGAACACTCTGGGGTCCGAAGTCCGAACTGCTGGGGCTCAACTGTGGCGTCAGTTATGGAATGTGGACCCCTCCCTAGGGAGTCTCCCGGGCTCAAAGTCTTCCCTCAACTCCAGAAATTCAAACCCAACACTGACCTCACGGAGAAGTTCTGAAGGTTAAGGAGGAGACACGTGAAAAGTGCCTGGTGGACACCAGGGATGCCAGTGAGATGGGGGACAATGGTGAGGCAGAGTGGAGGGGCAGGTGCCCCCTCCTCAGTATGTCTCCCCCAGGTGCTGTGAGGACAGGTGGAGGCTCTCTCCAGGCTCTCACCCGGCCACACACCAGCGCGTCTCCAGGTTCCTCTCAGCCCCGGTTACCCCCAGCCCTGCAGTTAATCCCTGAGCTGGGAAGGAGCCCTTGAATCCACCCTGTCCTGTGTCACAGTGTCGTCCACTCGGGCTCACATTGCCACTAGGCCACTTGGCAGCCAAGGGATGGAGCCACGTTTTGTACTTTCTGAAACATGGCTTCACCTTCAAGTGCGGTGATGACAGTGCCACACAGAACAAATGTTACTGTCTATCCTCATCGACCATAATTTTCCAGTTTTCCAACCCTCAGGGAGCAAGGAAGAGCATGGCTTCCACCAAAGGGCGTGAGGTCAGCAGTCATAGGGGCAACCAACAGGCAAAGACCCCTGAAAATAGACCCCGCAGGGAAGCACAAGTATTCACTGACGGTGGGAACCCCACAGATCTGGCTGTCTTCAAGCACATCAGAGAGATTGCCATGAGGAGCAACTTAGCCAGAAAGACTTATTTGCCTCCTCAAAAAGCATAAAATTATGTAACATAATACTTTAAAAATTTCTATCAACACAAAACTAATCTGGGCGCAGTGGCTTCCGGTGAGCCACTGGGACAGACGGCATCGTCAGGAAGGCTGGCTCTGTGGTGCCTCAACCTGGCAGAGCCCAGGATGGTGGTGGCCTCCCCAGAAGCACCTGGCAACTCACCTGCACAGGGCCAGGGTCCCAGCTCCCCACACCCCAGCCACCACACCTTTTTCTGCTTTTTTTTTTCCCCATTATTGTTTCTTTCTTTCTTTTTCTTTCTTTCTTTCTTTTTTTTTTTTTTTGTCAAATCTCAAGGAAAAATACATAGTTGCCAGAGGGTGGAAGGTCCTGTTCATTCACATTGAAAAGCTCGGGTATTTCTATTAGAATCACATGTTTTACTTTAGGATGCTGACGCCTGTGTCCATCTCAACCTGGGCATTGTGCTGCCACCTTCCAGAAGAGAAAAACTAGGTAGTGCCTTGTGAAGGGGCAGCGTTTCTCATTTCCGACAACGTCAGTCCCACAGCCACCCAGATGAGTAGATGGGGGACACAGGGGAGGACCCAGACCTGCTCTCCTCCCACAGCACATTCTTGAGTCTTGGAAAGAGTTGTGAAAATGCCACAGGTACAAACACCTGCAGGCCACTCCCACAGGGACAGCTCCGTGAGGCGGTGCCGCTCATTCCCACAACCTCCTGCCACAGGCAACACTTAACACTTAGACAGTGACCCAAGGCCGACCAGGGAGGACGCCAGCCAGGATGTGTCATCCTCAGCTCTTCAGGACATGATGCCAGCAGGGGCAAAGTTATCCCTAGCAACAAGACAGAGGAAGAAAGGATAACAGAAGAAAGGACAATGTCACAGTAGCCCCCATGACCAACAGAGACGGTTCCAGAAGCGCAGGACAACTCCATATGCAGATGCTGTTGCTGTGCAATTACACTCCAAGAGGGGAGTCCAGCTGGCTCTCAGGGTGCTCGCTGCCCTCAGCTGGGGGCCTGCAGGACATCAAGTCCTGAGAATGCCAGGTTCTAGTGGAGTAGGATGAACTGACAGATACACAGCAAAGCTCCACATACTTTTCCTTTTCTTTGTGCCTGCAAAGTTCTTCTTCAGTGTCTCTCTCTTTTCAGCTACTACTGCTGGTTGGTTTAAAAAAACAGGACAATAGTAAAAATTAGAGACAAGTGTTTGGCCATAAAGAGAAACACTGGCTACCTCCCATATTTTCAAGCGTGGGTGATGGTTGTAGTTTTCCATCTCACCTTGTAGGGGATGAATCCAGAAAAAGCTTCTGTTACAAATCAAAATGGACATGCCAGAAGTATTAGCTCAAATCAACCTTGTCCTGTCTAACCACTCAGTGACCCAAAATGCCACTTGGACTATTAATCTCAGGGGCCAGAGAATGGAGCTGGAGAAGGAGTTGTTAGATCGGGGACAAATAACCATGTTATAGTGGCAATAGGAAATGGAAGACCATTTGCTCATAACCACTGAATCACAGCAAGGTGTATAAACACACATCATTGACTGATAGTTTCAGTTCTATGCCCAAGAAAATCATCGATGGAGTGAAGTAATTGAACTATCACAGAAGATACATTTGTATTTTTTCTTTTTTCAACTTTTAGTTTCAGGGGGTGTGTATATATATAATATTTGTGTATATAAAATAATATATATTATTAAAGAAAGCCTTTGTACAGTTTGCTGGAGCCACAGAAGCACCACTCCAGAGCAGAGCAATGCCTTAAATCTTCAGTGTTCATTTGTAGAACATTCACTAGCAGCTACAAAAGTGACTTAATTTTCTTCTGGAAATAATGCTTGCCTGTTGTGAGATGTTGGAATATATATGAACCATCATTACATGTTAACATGCCATAAGGAGTTTTTGATACCTGATTCACATTATTAGAGTTGCTTCTTAGTATCCATGTGAATTTTCACTCCAAAACACAAGCCAGAAGCTTGAGTGAAGGACACCTAGGGCAAATGGTGGCTGAAAGTGAGGAAGATCCAAATTACTGTTGCTTGTACTGTATTAGGAAAAGAAAACAATTCTTCTCTTCTTTGCCAATTAAATTCTTAATTGCTAATTTATAATTATGCTTATATACATTTCAACATTTTAATAAAGTATTTTTTATGGTTAGCTATAAAATTTTTAAAAAGATTCTGTTCCTCTAGAACCACTCTTCGTACCACAGTCTCTATCAGTCCAGATTCTTCAGAGAAGCAGAATCAATAGGGTGTGTGTGTGTGTGTGTGTGTGTGTGTGTGTGTGTGTGTGTGTGTATTTGTATTCATATTATGATATTTATTCATGTGATTATTAGGGCGGTAAGTATGAAAATCTGCAGGATAAGCTAGCAGGCTGAAAACGCAGAAAGAAGATGTTCTAATTCTGAGGCAGGATTTCTTCTTCTCTGGGAAACCTCAGTTTCTGCTCTCAGAGTCTTCTACTGATCGGGTGAAGCCCATCCACATTATTGATGGTAATTTTCTTTTTGTAAAGTCAGCTAATTCAGCATGGGGAAGGGGGTCATGGTAGACATGGGGGAGGGCTGGTCTCTCCACCTTCTCACATTAGGCTAACAGGGACGCAGACACATT
The DNA here is from genome assembly GCF_000001405.40 of Homo sapiens. Lineage (NCBI taxonomy): Eukaryota > Metazoa > Chordata > Mammalia > Primates > Hominidae > Homo > Homo sapiens. The sequence goes on from NT_113891.3 coordinate 2,862,325, forward strand.
CAGATGCCTTTGCAGAAAGAGACACCAGAGGCTCTTGAAGTCACAAAGGGGAGGCATGAAGAAATACTGCATCTCAGTCCCTCACAAGACAGCTGCCTCAGGCTACAGAAAACAATAGTCATGAACAAATTCAGGTCAGTGGCCATAAAGCGTAACACTCTGAACTCCCCACTACACACTCAAAGTGTCCCAAAGAATCACCGTAATCCAGTCTTGTCCCCTGTACCCCATCCCCCTTCCACATAAGGCCCTCCAGGACGCCACCTTTACAAGCTGTGAGAGACACATCACAGCCCTGGTCACTGTCACTGCCTGGGGTAGAACAAAAACAGGACCTGGTCAGAGCCTGCAGGAGATGTGGGAGAGGAGGAATTATGGCATAGGTGAGCTCCTCCACATCCGTCTCCCATAGTTACACACAGCCTGAGCACCTCCTTCTCTGCCTCTGGGAAGAAATCATCCTGTGAGGGGCTAGGGAGGAGACAGGGCCATGAGGTCCTAGAGGAACCCCCTAGTCTTGGACCCCAGAGAAGTTTCCAAAACTGTGACGGCAGACCCAGGGCAGGAAACATGAGGAAAGCAGGTGTGAGGACTGAACCAACTGCACGGTATGTAAAGACATACTTGGTACATAGTAGATACAAAGTTAGCTTTGGTCTTTGGTGAATTCATGAATATGATTGTATTAAAATGTAATTGCATTGCATAAAAATTATAAAATGAAGAATACCAAAAAATTAGGAAAGATTTTATCTTATACAAGGAGTGTACATTTCAATTCACTAGTTTATTCCAATAGAGAAAATGTTATATGCTTATCTGTTGGCCTATGTATGAATTTTCTGTTACTGCATAACATATTACCACTAACTCACTGGCTCTACACAGCACCCATTTATTTCTCTACATTTCCTTAATGAGAAATCCAGGCCTGGTGTGAATGATTCTCAGTTCAGGATTTCACGAAGCTGTGTCCTCATCTTGAGGCTGGGGTCCTCCTTCAAGCTTATACAGAGCTTGGTGGCAGAATTCAGTTTCAGGCAGTTGTGAGATTGTAGTCCTTGTTCCTGGGCAGCTGTCAGGTGGAGGTGGGGTGGAGCTGCTCTCAATTCCTGGAGCCCGCCATATCCTTTGCCACATGGCCCCTTCATTTTCAAAGCTCACAGCGGAGGAAGCCCCTCACGTTGAATCTCGCTCACACTGTGAATCTCTTTGCTGAAGAAGAAATAAGTTGTTTTAAGAGCTCACCTGATTAGGACAGTCCAAGGCAGGATAATCATGGCCTTAAAGTCAACTGATTTGGGACCTTGCTTATATCTGCAGAATCCCTTCACAGCGGCACCTACAGTAGTGTTGATTGAGTAACTGGGGAAGGTGAATCACCAGGGGTGGTTATGTGGAGGCCATCACTGAATCATCCTCGCATAGCCAGGATCTTCCTTTTCTGTTTAATTGGGTCACAGTAGGAAACTGAAGTTCAAATAAATAGATTGTTGTGAATGTTAATAAAATACATCCTATTGATACATGGAAATACTGAAATCTTAAAACCAAATAACACTGAATATCTTTTAGTTAATTTAGAGTAAATAAAAATTAAAGTGTAGTAATTCATTCTCTCTTTTGAAGCGCTATTGTCTATTGTTGTATAATAAATAACATAAAGTTTGACAACCCAAAACAACAAATTCTTATCATCTCCCACAGTTTCCAGTGGTCAGGAATCTGGGAGAGATTTCCTTGAGTGCTTCTGGCTCAGGGCCTCTCACAAGGTTTATTGGGGGACACACCTGTCAGAGAATATGGGGAGGGAGCCAGATAACCCTGGGAAAAGTGGCAGGCCCAGAGGCAAGGCTGACTCCAGTCCTGGACAAAAGGAAAGAAGGGTTGTTGGACGCATCCTAGACCACAAGCAATCTAAGGAGAGTTGAGCAAGGCCATGGAGGAGTCCTCCAGCCACAGATGGCCAACAGAGGAGTCTCCTGTTGCCCAGGAATGGTCTGTCTTAGTGCCCCTGCTGTTACGTGTCAGTGGCTGGGAACAGCCCATGGGAAGCAGGGCCTCTGCACCAATGCTGCTGAGAATGACAGAGCACGGGAGGGAGGCCTTGGGAAATTTCCTGGAAATGCGGCTCAAATCTTCCTCCTGAGGGGTCTGGGCCTTTGGAAATCAAACGCTGTCAGACTGGGTTGCTGGACGATTCTGTTCACATTTACAATGGGACAAGGGAAACAAGGAAGTCCCCAAGTGAATCTCTGGGTTCCACACAAACTCCTCCTGCCCTTACCGTGTATCAGCAGCCCTGCCTCGTCCTGGGGATGAGGGTCCATCACTCCTGCCTGGAGAGGAGGGGAGTGCTCTTCTTCCCTGCTTGTCTCTAGGCCCATACTGTCCTGCGGGCAACTGTAATGTGTAGCTCAATGGGCTCTTGTTTGTCCCCTTGTCTGAGTGCCTCCCTGTGGAAAACCAGGACCTCCTATACTACAAAGCCCAGATTTGGGATATGAGAAGTCCAAGTTCCACAGTGGGTGAATATAAGGGATGGGACATGCAGCCACACTCTCTTCCATCCCTTGGTTTCTGGACCCAAGTTTCTTCCTACTGAGAATACAGCACCGTAGTGATGTCTCTGATTCAATAAATGCACCGTGCCCTGAAAGATGGCACCCATTCCTCAGTGTTTCCTCCAAGCTGGTTCTGAGTTGTGCCTGTTGAAGGCCTGTCCAATGTTCTGTGTGGCCGGCAGCCCCCGCAGGGTGCAGATGGTGATAGGATCAGTGGATCCCCTGGTCATGGTCCATGCTGCACCCACTTCCATTTCCCTGTGAGGTGGGTCCCCCAGGAAGAGGCTGTGCTGAGAGTAATTCCAAACCTGTGGATCAGGAATGTCAGTGGTGCTGGCTGAGAGTCTGAGAATAGTGGGGGAAAAAGCCTACCCATGGAGGAAGTTTCTGTCCCAGTGAGGATGAATCTCTGGCCCTTCCATGATGAGGCTTAATGTGGTCAATGTGTCATTTAGTGGCACTTTGATCACCTAAAGAAATAGTGCCTAAGCAGGGCACATCAGGGCCTATCACGGGTGTCTAATCCTGACAAGTTGGATATTCAGAGGTGGCAGCAGCTAGTTCGGCCTTGGTAGGTGGGAGTCTCACCTTTTGGAGGCTACCTATGGGTCCAGCAGCACTGACTCCCACCGACCAAGGCCACTGAGTGACCTGGAAGGATGGGCACATGAAGGGAGCTATTGTGATTCCTGCATGCATGTTCCCACCCTGCAAGGCCTGAGATGGCCCCCAGTGAAGGCTGGCTAACTTCCATTTGTCTGCTTGGTTGTTCAGTGCCACCTCAGGGGCAGGTATTTTCTGGGCAGATGGGGTGTTAACTTGGGGTTTGGGCTCATTCCACATGGACCATTTCCGTCTCATGATGGACACTGTTGGGCCTGTCCAATCTATAACTCTGTAGGTCACACAGAAGCCAATTCATACAACCACTTGGAATTACGTGGTTCTCAGTGTCCTGTGGTCAAGAATTCTATCTGATCAGGGCCAGCAACACTAAAAGTTGCTTCGAGAAAGGGGCATATATTTCTGCTGTGGATGACATGAACTTACTCCAGAATCCCAGGCCCTCCATTGTGACTTTCCCCACTGATGCTCAGTTCACTCCATCCTGCATCTTTGCCCAGCCCTGCCACCTCCAGCACCAGGGGGTCTGAGGGATGGTGGCTGCCTGCACCACAGCCTGGATCTGCTGCAGAGTCCTTTCCTGTGTAGGCTCCACTTGAATCTGGCATCCTCCTATGTCACCCAAAATGTGGCCAAAATGATATACCTAGATGTGGAATGTGGTGTTGTCAGAACCCAAAGAGATTCACCAGGCAGTCCGCTTCTCTCTCTTTTTTTTTTTTTTCTCACTGAAGATGAAAGATGCAACGGGTTTTTTTTTCTGTTTTCTTTTGTTTTTACTTGGAAGAAATATCTCTGCATGCACCTAGCCACTGGACCCATAAAATTTCACTGCAGTTGCCACTCCTAAATTTCTGTAAGATTTATCCTCCTCTTTCTGGGGTGCATGTGTTTTACCAAGACCTCCAGCATACTTTCCACCTTCTTTCTCATCCATCCCAATCTATGATGTTGCCAATGAAATGAACAGATTTAATATTCTGTAGAATGTCCGGCATCTCTTAAGACTATGTTACAGATGACAGAAGAGTTATAATAGCTCTCAGGGAAAGTGTAAATAAATGTGGTATGAATGTGAATAACTCCATATCCACTTTCTAGCTGGAAAGGAATGCACTCAGCAAATCCTCGGCTGCACACCATTGGCCTGCAGCCTCATTAACTTCTGCTAGCAGTGATATCCAGCCAGCATGGCAGCTGCAATCAAGACCACTACTTGGTCAAGTCTGAAGTAATCCTGTTCATTCTTTAGGTCCTATTGGGCTTCTGCAAGGACAGAATACACGGAGATAATAGGCAACTCCAGCACTATCCCACCTCCTACAGCTCTCTAATGGTGGTGCTACCCCCCACAATACCTGCAATAACCTCCAAGACCTGCCCTGGGACGTAATATCGCTTCGGTTGGGATAGGGGCAGTTTCAGAGGTTTCCCTTTAGCCTTCAGCGCAATAAGAGCCATTAATCCACAGGTTAGAGACGCGGTGTGGGGGTCACTCCAGCTGCCAGTGCATCAATGCCATTATGCACTCAAGGAATAGGGAACTAAACAGGGCTGGGACTACGGGATTGTGAGCTATAATGTGTCCTGGCCTCTGGAAGCCCCTCTGTGATGGGACACGATGGTGCTGTAGGAATCTGGGCATCAATGTTAGTTCACACACAAAGTCAATACTCACCCAAATTCTGCCTATTTCCCTTTCCCGGTGTACAGTCTCCTGTGTAAATGGCTGTAGGTTCCTTTGCAGAAGAGTTCAGGGAATTGACCCAGCATATACTCCCAGGGTGTTCCAGGGTTCTTCCTCCTAGGGATATGGACTCCCCTCCTCTGTCATTGGGATCTGAATCTGAAAGTTAGGTGAGGTCTAGGCATTGAGAACAGATTATGACTTTGTCTTGGATCAAACACCCTCAGCCTCCTGCTCCTCAATTCTTGCTTTCTTTTCATAGATATCAAGCAGCGCCCTTGCTGGCTGTCCTTCTGTTCTGAACCTGGGACACTGCCCTCTGTTAACCTTCCCCACACTCCCTGCAGGTCAAGCACAACCTTGCCTGCTCTGTTGGGGTTGTCATGGTAACTGTGACCTCTGACTTTTGCAGATCACTGCCACCACTTGATCTAGCTGAAGTAGTTCTAGCTGGAAGAATAGAGAATTAAAAGAAATCTTTGTGAAGCCACCACTCAGGTTTGTCAATTTGTAACATTTTAATATTATTGGCTATATGTAGTATACATAGAAAATAATAGAAATATATGCAGATAGCCCTGATTTTCCACAGTTCTGTTATGTATGTGTTTCAGTCGATACTGTACTGAGTAAAGCAAGGACTGCCAGTGGGGAGTGGCGGATGTCTTGAATTTGGTGAATGCCTTTATACTGTTACAAAGTTTTTAAAATCCCTTTGTTTTACATGATTTTAGACTTCGTATAAATTGTTTTTTGTTGAATGTATCATTCTGTGGCTTGCTTTATCATTTAATATGGTTTATGAGGTGAACCCACACCCATAGAAACAGTTACTTTGTTTTCAGTTCTGGATAGTATTCATGGGAGGAATATCCCACAATTTATCTCTTCTGTCCGTGACCTTTAGCTTGTTTCTGTTACAGACACTGCCACAATGAACATCCTGGGTCATCTCTCTCTGGTCCCCTGTGTGAGTTCCCCAAGATATGGATGTAGGAATGGGATTACTGTGCTTTTACCATGTGGTGTTATAGGATGTCAAATTGTTCTCTGAAGAGGTTGTATCAGCTCCCCCCTTTAAAATCTTCTTTGACATTTTACAGGTCAAGTTCTCTTCCTCCCCAACTGGCTGCTCCTCCTCAGTCCCCCTTCATTGGCTCCTTTTGCTGTAGATGCTGGAGCACTCTGGGGTGTTACTACCTTCCTAATCACTCCGGTGTCCTCCACTCTCAGGATTTTAAATATCATCTAGACACAGATGGCTCCCAAATATATATCTCTACATATTTCTATAATCAAAAAAATAATGGTACCAAAACAGGTACTCTGATATACTGCAGATGGGCCTGCAAACTGGAAATGTTTTCAGGAAAGGCAGTATGGCTATTTCTGTCCAAATTAAAAATGCATACACCCAGTAGTCCCACTTCTAGAAATGTGTCCAAAACACACCTGCATTCCTGAAAAATGACTGTATTCAGAATTATATGTTGCAACCCTGTTTGTAAAAGCAAAAAGAAAAGAAGAAAGAAAATGACAGATAAAAGAAAAAATAATCCAAATGTCTGTCACTAGGGGACTGGTTAAAAAAGCATTGCAAGCTGGGCACAGTAGCATTCACCTGTGAATACACTCTACTCCACTCTGGGTAACATAAGGAGGCCTCCCTTCTTAAGAAAACCCAAACAAGCACTGCATAGCTACACGGCAGAGTCTACAAACATTTAACACAAAAGAAGAAAGACATAGAAAACTCTTGATATTCCCTCATGAAGAAATAAAGCAAGGTGTAGAATAACATATAGAGTCTGCTAAAATTTGTGTGAAAAGGGACAAAGGATATATATGTACACATTTATATTTGCTTGCATATGCATAAAATATATTTGGAAGAATAAGCAAGAAGTTAATATCCTTGGTTGCCTGTTGGGGATGAGACAGGGTAAGAGAGAGACATTTTACCTTTTGAACATTTTGAATTTTGAATTTTGAACTATATCAAGAAATAAAAGATAATTCCTAAGGAGACCAAACAAACCCCCAAAAAATTCAAAATGAAAAACTTTTTAAAAACTAATGGAATTTTTTAACCTTTATCGAAATAAAATTTAAAAATTTTCTAAATATTATGTTATTCCTTTAACAAGGAGGTTTACCGCCATTTTAATTCAGTACATTGTTTTCTTTTTAATTGCATGATCTTTCTTTACATCTATCTTTTTTCCATTACAAGGTAAAATAACAGCATGATTAATTAAATGCAGTTTGTTTGGTGAAGGAAATTTTGTTCAAATCTTGGTCTAAGTGGGAAAGGGTTTCTAGGGGATCCAGTGCAGCAGTTATGGGTTTCAGTATGCTCACGACGCCCTCCAGTGTTTGTGTGGGCTCATGGATGCCATATCTAGAAAACACTGGAATTCTCAAGCACACGTGACTGAAGCCATTTGCCAAATGTTCAAGGTCCTATTAATGGCCCATCTGAGTACTTGTCATACGCGGTCACCCTATCTTTGGATCAGAAGGTACACTCAGAGCTCCTAGTGTCACATCCCAGGCCCAACCTGCTGAGATTAGTCGAGGAAGGTCTGGAGGTCAGTGTCGTGAGGGGTGGGAAGACTGAGGGTGTGGGGGCCAGTTGTGGAGTGGCGGGAGCCCCAGGTGCTGTATGAAGCCGAGCCTCTGGATCACCCTGTGACCCCACATTTGGTCCCTTCCTGGGTGTCTTCCATTCCCAGGACTCCCAGGAAATAAAATGCTGCAAGAATGGGGTGGGGAGCTGTCCAGGGTGGGTCAGGTGTGGTCTCACTGATCCTACACCTCTGCCTCCCAGCCCACTCCCAGCCCTCTTCTGATATTAGAAACCAACACAGATTGCCTTAGGGTGGTGGTTCTCAAAGTGTGGTCCTGGGGGAAGCAGCATTGGCATCACCTGGGAACTTAGATATGCAATCTTCAGGGCCTGGCCTGGACCTACTGTATCAGAAACTCTGCATTTAACAAGCCCCCAGCAGAATTCTGCTTTTCAAATCAGATCTCTCTCTCTCTCTCTCTCTCTCTCTCTCTGTCTCTCTCTCTCTCTCTGTCTCTCTCTCTCTCTCTGTCTCTCTCTCTCTCTCTGTCTCTCTCTCTGTTTCAAGTCTCAATATTGAGTAGCTGTGACTTCTGGATAGTCAGGTGTCAGACACCCTTTCTTGCCAGGAGGCACCAGGCTCCTCAATCAGCTTAGTCTCATTCTTGGCCTGGCCCAGGGAAAGATGTTCACTTCCTGGATTCTGAGCAAAGCTCTCCTATCCTGGGTGCCTGTGGGGCTCCCACTTACACCACAAAACAAAGCTCAAATAATATTATTTTCTTTTATGAGATTTTTGGTATTCCTTCATTAGTCAGAGCTGAAGATCTACATATATGTCTACCAAGCAAGTGTGCATGTCCCACTAGCCAGTTTGTTAGTCTTGCCAATGCACCACAACGTAGCAGCCTCTCAGTCTCTCCTTGTGAGGTGTTACCTGGAGTTCTTTGTCTCACCACCAAGAGAATTAAGGAGCATGGATACAAAGGGTGAGGTTGGAGCAAAAGTTTAATAAGCAAAAGAAGAAAGCTCTCCCCCACGGAGAGGGGGCTTGGAAGATGGTTGCCATTTTTACAGCTGAATGCAAAGGCTTTTATAAGAAACTGATGAGGGCTGGGTGTCTCATTTGCATAAGGCATGAATTTCCGGTAGCTCCACCCCATCCTCCTAGTGCCCATGCAGGCCCTTAGCTTGAGTTACTCTATATTGCTTTGTTTCCCTGACTGCCCACGTATCGGGGGACAGAATTTTCCATTGCGGGCATGTCTGGGCAAGTCTCCTGTGCAGCCTTTCTTATTTGTGCAGCTGTGGGCATGTCTTAGGCAAGCCCCCCTGTGCAAGTTCCCTTCTTTGTGCCTGCAGGCTGTTCTTTTGTTTGAAATAATTCAACTGAGGACCCACCATAACTGCCCGCCTGACCAGTTTCTTCCTTTTTCCTCTCTCAATTTGTGTTATGATTTCCTTACTGATCTCTGCCTGAGCAAGACTGGGCACGCCTTGAGGGCAAGGAGGGTTTATTTCCTCTTATCTCAGTCCCAGCTCCTCTTAAAACAACGCCCTGCACACAGTAGGTATTTGATAAATGTTTACCAAATGAAGGGATTGCCTGGAATGGCTTGGCAGACAGGAAAGCAGAATGAAAACCCACAGGCCAAAAGTGGCTGGGAAAAGATTTTCCAAATCCTAGTGATGGGCACAGGGCCCCCTAAAGTTCACTTTTGGAACCTTCCCATCTGTCTTGTTCTCCTTTCATCAGGGACATCCATGCCCCTCAAAGCCCCCCTAGTCACACACTACCTTTCAGGACCACCTTCCAGATCAGCCAGGTGCAAATCCCACAGACTTCCTGCCTGTGGCTCCAAATGCTCAGCTGAAATTCTGAGGCTAATTTCAGTGGAGTTAGAGGCTTATCCCTTAGGAGTGGCAATGGCTGGCTTTAAGATTCGAGAAGTAGTGTTTACATCTCAAAAGAGAAGACCGCTCCACCAGAAATGCAGAATTTTGGTATGTGCGGGTCCGGGGTCTTCAGGAGATAAAGAATGATAGCTCCAGGAGCGCTGGGACCCCCGTGCAGCCACCAGTCACCACAGCCTAGGCAGGGGTTGGGCTCTCACCTCGGCCCCTCCCCTGCACGCCCTGGATGTGGATGGTCCCCGAGTGTGAACTCGCCTGGGCTCTGACCCTGGGTGCCCTTCCCGCTGTTGTGGAGCCTCTGCGGGTGTGGTGCATGCACAGGGGGCTTCACAGGAGACCCGGGGCCCTTTAGAGTCTGAAGGCCAACATTCTTGGAGAATCCATGTCAGGCATTCAGGCTCTCAGGGACTCAGATGCCCAAACTATGAAAATGAGAGAATCTATCCCACTCTCTCAGGTGTGGTGAGATTCATATTATATGACAATCGGTCGTCTACACATTGATCACACTCTCAGTATTGCCTTTATCAGTCGGCCAATGCCTAAAACCCAAAGACGGGTCAGGCATGGTGGAGGACGAGTTCCTTTCTTACCTTCTGAAGGTGCCATCAACAGGAATTTCTACCCTGTGGAGTCTAGAGGAGACTTTCCTTGAAGCTGAGTTGGGAATGGACATTTGGACTTTTTTTTTTTTTTTTTTTTTGAGACAGAGTTTTGCTCTTATCACCCAGGCTGGAGTGTAGTGGCACGATTTTGGCTCACTGCAAGCTCTGCGTCTCGAGTTCCAGCGATTCTCCTGCCTCAGTCTCCTGAGTAGCTGGAATTACAGACACCCACCACCACATCCAGCTAATTTTTTGTATTTTTAGTAGAGACAGGGTTTCGCTATGTTGGCCAGGCTGGTCTCGAACTCCTCACCTCGTGATCTGCCCGCCTCGGCCTCCCAAAGTGCAGGGATTACAGGCATGAGCCAATGCGCCTGGCCAGACATTTGGACTTCTTTAAAATTTTATTTCAAATTTTTAAAACTTTCTAATAGGTATTTTATCTTCTTAGGAAGTAAAATCTCAAGTACAGAAAATATAAAAAGGTATAAAGAAGCAGAAGGATGGAAACTGCCAGTGTCTCCACTGGGAGGATCGGGATGAAACGTTGCCTGGCAGAGCCTCAGACTTCAGAGGGAAGGGGCCTGGAGCTGTGCTTTGCAGCTGCCCCTGAGTTTCCACTCCTGGTTTTTGTGCATGCGGGTGACTGTGCAGGATGACTTAGTGTCGTCATGCTTATGAGTTATTTTGAATCTTGCTTTTCAAAACTTTATTATCAATACACAACTTTCTATCATATTACAAAATCTTCTTACACACAGCTTTCACCAGCTGTAGGCTGTTTCCAAACAGAGGACCTAGCCACTCTTCTTTTGCATGTTTTTTTCATTATTGTAATTAATATCCTTATACCTAAAGATCTTTCTATATATTGGATTTTGTTTTAAAATCACAGATTTCTCAATAAAAGTTACTGGGTCAAAAGGCATGAAATTTTTTTTTTTTTTTGAGATGGAATCTCGCTTTGTCACACAGGATGGAGTGCAGTGGCGAGATCTCAGCTCACTGCAACCTCCACCTCCTGGGTTCAAGAGATTCTCCTGCCTCAACCTCCTAAGTAGCTGGGATTACAGGCACACGTCACCACACCTGGCTACTTTTTGTATTTTTAGTAGAGACAGAGTTTCACCATATTGGCCATGCTGGTCTCGAACTCCTGACCTCATGATCCACCCGCCTCGGCCTCCCAAAGTGCTGGGATTACAGGCGTGAGCCATCATGCCCGGCCGCATGAACATTTTTAAGCCTTCTCATACATATTATCAAATTACTTCTCAAAAGCAGTGTACCGGCTGGGCGCAGAGGCTCACGCCTGTAATCCCAGCACTTTGGGAGGCCCAGGCGGGCAGATCACGAGGTCAGGAGATCCAGACCATTCTGGCTAACACAGTGAAACCCCATCTCTACTAAAAATACAAAAAATTAGCCAAGCGTGGTGGCGGACGCCTGTAATCCCAGCTACTCTGGAGGCTGAGGCAGGAGAATGGTGTGAACCCAGGAGGCAGAGCTTGCAGTGAGCCGAGATCATGCCACTGCACTCCAGCCTGGGTGACAGAGAGAGACTCTGTCTCAAAAAAAAAAAAAAAAAAAAAAAAAAAAGCAGTGTACCAATTATATTCACCCATTTACTCAACCCATATTTATTGAGCCCCTTCTCTGTCCTTGGATTTCTAGATGCTGGAAATCCAAGTGGTGACTAGACAAGGTCCCTGCCTCGAAGAACATGACAACCAATGAAACAAATGAAAACAATTCTAATACCGGTGATAATTGTTATGGAGAAAATATGCTTGAGCTAGAAGGTTGATGGTGGTGAGGATGGTAGGAGATATAGTCTGTTGATCAAGATGTTCCTGGGAATTTGAACACTGGACGTCTGAGCAGAGACCTGAATGGTGTGAGGGGCCTTTGGATCCCTTTGGATCCCTGGGGAGCAGGTGCACTTGGGGAGTTCCAGTGGGAGGTGCCTGAGACAGGATTGAGCAGTGTTAGTGGAGATGAATGAGCTGGGCCGAGAGGGGTGGGATGAGGCCAGAGTGGCCAGAAGGATCCTGTGATGAGGGATGAGGGGCTGTAAAACATAGTGAGAGACTGGGGTTTCACTGTGCTAAGAAGGGAAGAGGCTGGCATGTCTGTGGGACGCGGAGGCGAGGATGAGCTCTAATTCCCATTTGAAATGCTCACTCTGACTATTGTGTGGGTGATGGACAGCGGGTGTGAGAGTCAGCAGGCAGCCCAGCTGGAAGGCCTTCTGGTTTACTATCTTGGAGAGGATGGCCCTGGGGAGGAGGCAGTAGAGGAGTGAGAAGTGATTGGATTTGGGGTTAATACATTTTTAAGATGGTGTTAGCAATAACTCCTTGGAGAACCACACATTTATTTGCTTACTTTAATTCTACAGCAACATTCGAGGTGGCTTACTGCAACAAACCCAGTGTAATAAATACATACGAATTACTTTAAAATCAACGCTAAGGAAAATATACATTTTAAAAGATTAAGGCTGGGGTAAAGCTGGAACATTACTAGGCAGGAAGGAACATCTGAAACATTTGCTGAAATGGAGTTGACCCTTTACCTAGCCATAGATTTGTTGCCTCACGATTTCATTGCATCTGAGCACCAGGGAGGGTGGTGGCAGTTCAGGTCACCAGTCCCTTGTTTCCTGATTCAGGAACAGCGTCCTGTTCTACACTTACAGTCAAAGCAAATTACATCATTATAAGATGTTTAATGATGAAGTCAAAGTCCACAGAGTCAGCAAGCAAGTGTAAAAACCTCAGGAGTCTAAGGACAGTCTACATTTCTCCCCAGAAATGGCCTCCCTATGTACTGTTGAAGGGAGAGGGTCCTTTCAAGGGGCTCCAAGACGCAGAAGCAACTGGGCTGCAGCTCGAAATAAAGATGTCCTTTCTACCTGCAGGTTCCACGAAGCCTCACAGGCAACTTTGGTGATCTCACCTGAGCTAGGAATTCGGTTTTTTGATGTGGGTTCTCTTTGAGCCATTGTGTGAGCTTTAAAATGTGATGTGGAGATTTTGCTATACTGGTGTTTCCTTGCCGGAATTTGACATCCATGGTGGCTCTGGCTTCCCTGTCTGGTCCCAGGAGGAAATGGAGTGTCCTGCACTTTTTTTCAGCTTCGCTTTGTGTAGGAAGGATCAGGAGACCTGGAGTCAGGGGTTCCTCCAATCTCACTCTCCTCCATAAAACAGTGTCTCCTAAGCTTTCTGGGGGTGAGGGCCTTGACACCGTGCTGTTCTGATGAATATAACTGTCCCAGCTCCTGAAATAAAAGCACAGGTGCACAAAATACCTACTGTTGCAAGCAATGCCTAGGTGGGGATGTTTCCTAGGCGCCAGGTTTAGCACTTTGACTTTGTATGTACACACACAGGGGCCAGGCATTGTGGTTTATGCCTGTAATCTCAGCACTTTGGGAGGCTGAGGCATGAGAATTGTTTGAAGCCAGAAGTTCAAGACCAGCATGGGTAACAAAGCAAGACCCAGTCTCTACAAAAAAAAAAAAAAAAAAAAAGGGTATATATATACACAAACACACACACACACACACACACACACACACACACACACACACACACTGGGTGTGGTGGCTCCAGTCTGTAGTCCCAGCTACTCGAGAAGCTGAGGTGGGAGGATTGCCTGAGTCCAGGAGTTGGAGCCTGCAGTAAGCTGTGATCAGGACACTGCAGACTGTCAGAGTGAGACCCTGTCTCAAAAACAAACAAAACAAAAATACATACACACACACACAGCCAGAGCCAGCGCTGAGGGAGAGGCTGGACTCAGGGGCGGGGTCACAGGCGTTTCTCAGGTCCTTCTCGTGGTCTTTGTCTCTTTTTCCTGGAGGTGGGGGACTCTGTACTTCATGAGGAGAAGTTGTCTGAAGAAGGTGGGAGATACTCAGGAGCAGGGTCCAGAGAGGGAAAAGGATGAGGAAGTGGAGACAAAGCAGAGGGGGCAGGACAAGAGGAGAGCACGCAAGGAATGGGGATGGGGAGGACCTTCCAGCTGTCAGAAAGGTCACCCGCAGAATTTGGCTCTTGGTTTTTCTGCTTTATCAGGATGGATTTGGGAAACCAGCCGGAGTGGGAGATAAGGAGTCTACTTTGCAAAGGACACGTGTGAGCCTCCTCCTAGTTTGAACTCATGAGTAGCAGCTAACAGCCAGGACCCTTGTGTCGGGCACGTGAGGCCCCTTTGCAACCAGGGCGTTTTCTGCACCCCACCAGCCACCCCTCCTGGGACCACGCTGGTTCCCTCCAACCCTAACAGGGAGAGAAGGAAGGAGAGGTCTGGAGGGTTTGGGTCCTCCCTTGTGCTCCTTCTTCCTCTGCCATTTATTCCCTGAGTGTCCTCGCCTTTCCTCCGCTACCTGGACCCCACTACAGTAATGCACACTGGCCTGGACTCCCTTTGTAACCACCAAGTGGGTTCATCTTGCCGGCTACCTAGACGAAGCCGATTTATCAAGACAGGAGAATTGCAACAGAGAAAGAGTAATTCATGCAGAGCCAGCTGTGCGGGAGACCAGAGTTTTATTACTCAAATCAGTCTCCCCAAAAACTCTCATCAGTTTTTAAGGATAATTTGGTGGATAGGGGGGCCAGTGAATCGGGAGTGCTGACTGGTTGGCTCCGGTATGAAATCATAGTGAGTGGAGGCCATTCTCTTAGGCTGAGTCAGTTCCTGAACGTGGGGGCCACAGGACTGGTTGGCAGGTCCAGATGGGGCCCTCCAGCTGTTAAAAATACAAAAACCTGAAAAGACATCTCAAAAGGCCACTCTGAGGTTCACAATAGTGATGTTACCTTCAAGAGTAACTGGAGAAGTTGCAAATCTTATGACCTCTGGAATAATGGCTGGTAATATTCAGAATTCCAGCCCCTCTCATCCTAACTTAATGGCCGGTGGCCTTTCTTCGTTTTACAAGAACAGTTTCCCTTTAAACTATAAACTAAATTCCTTCCCAAGGCTAGTTCAGCCTACACCTAGAAATGAAGAAGGGCAGTTTAGCGGTTGGAAGCAAGATGGGGTCAGTTAGGTTTGATGTCTTTCACTGTCATCATTTCCTTAGTTATAATTTTGCAAAGGCGGTTTCACCTTGGCTTCAGCCCCACCCATGCAGTAACACTGTGCCCTGTCCTTCCAATCACTGCCACTAGGTGGAAGCAGAGCGTGCATCGCCCAGATGGGCTAGATTCTCACAGGCTCACTGCTAGAACGAATATTCTTGAGACTTTAGATCTGAAAGTCAGCCTGATTTCTGAAAGCCTTGGACCGTTTCCAAAATCAAATCAATACTCCAGGAACAAGATCTGCCTCGACTTTGCCTCTACCCAAGGACGCTATGGCAACGCAGTTTTCAAACGTGCTTTGAGAATAAATGGAACAGGGTCCCCTGTGTCCCCACTCATTTGCGTTTTCCTTTTTATTACAGCCAACCGCTTTTGTAAATATTGTTACACATCTCTCTATTCCACTGAAAACATCTCTTTCAAATGCACTTTAAGAAAGATTCAATGCCATGAAAATATGAAGGATCCTCTTGAAAGAGAGTTTCTGGTGGTGGGTTTTAATGAACATTTTCTTTTTTAAAACTCTGTAACTATTTCGTTGTGGGGCTTAGCTTCATATTTTCAAACTGAAATATTCTCTTCCTTAACCTCCACATAAATCCAAGTTTATAATTTTTATTATTTTAAAATTTTATTTATTTTTCTGTTTTGGGGACAGGGTCTCCTCCTGTCACTCAGGCTGGAGTGCAATGGCACAATCATAGCTCACTGCAGCCTGGAACTCCTGGGCTTAAGCAATCTTCCTGCCTTCGATTCCCAAAGAGCTGGGATTATAGTCATGAACCACTGCAATCCACCCAAATCCAAGTTTACACTAAAAGATAAAATTCCAACATTGTAGGGGATTGGTCAGGTGGTGGGAATAATTATAAAGATAAAGTTATAGGAAATAGACACAAACCTTCTTGGAAAGTGGAAAGTTTTGCAAAAGCCTCAGGATAGGGTTATAGCTGAAAGCAGCCTAATCCCCTTACCTTGAGTTAATAGCTTCGAGTAAGTACAAAGACATGTAAGAGAGTTTATCTAAAGAGCATGTTTACCTTTGATCATTTGTAGGACTGCTCTCTCCGGGGGACTGCGACCAGATTAATTACCCACAGGTGTGTTGACTCAAAGCCTTTGTCATTAAATCTGTGCTGAATAAAGGCCCACAGGGCCAGATAGTCAGGGCACGCAGCTGCCACAACCCTTTCTGTGAGTGGCCTGGCCCTCTGGTGCACTCTTTCACTGAATATCGGTGTCTGAGTACATTATTCATCCATCGTGCAGCCTGGGTCTGCCGGTCAGACCCTGGCACAACATTTAAGAGGAAATGAAAGTCACAAAGTTATCCCAGTCTCTGGAGTCACTGTCAAAACTTTGGTGAGGAATCTTCCAGGTTTTCCCCTACTTCAAATATATATTAATATTATGTAAGTGATATTAGTGGCATTTTCGCCCAGGCTGGAATGCAGTGGCATGATCTCGGCTCACTCTAACCTCTACCTCCCAGATTCAAGCGATTCTCCTGCCTCAGCCTCCCAAACAGCTGGAACTACAGGCACCCACCACCACGCCCGGCTAATTTTTGCATTTTCAGTAGAGACAGGGTTTCACCATGTTGGCCAGGCTGATCTTGAACTTCTGACCTCAGGTTATCTGCCTGCCATAGCCTCCCAAAGTTCTGGGATTACAGGCATGAGCCACTGTGCCCAGCCTCCTTAACCTTTTAAAAAAGGTTAAAAGTATGCTGGGCACATCTTTTCATAGCAATACTTAAAATTGCTCTTACTCTTTTTAATGACAACATAGAATTTTATCGTGTAGCTGTTCTTTGGGAGACGATTAAAATCTTCTTTATCTTCACTGTGGTAGTGGAGATGTGGGTGTGTACAACAGCTAAAATTCAACAAGTTGAACATTTTAAATAGATGCAGTTTATTGCATGCAAAGTATGTCCCAATAAGATGATTTAAAAATATTATCCTCTTTGAGACTTGTACTTTGCTTATGTGAAACAAAACAAAACAAAAACCCTGTTCTTGTGCCCAGGAGACACACCCTGACACATCTGGAGGTAGAGGGTCATGCTGTCTGCAACTTACCCTCACAGGCTCTGAAATAACAATAATAGCAGCATATTTACAGATTTAGAGAGAGAGAAATTTGTGGTAAAAATGTTCATAAGTAAAACTAGATAAAGGGCAAAAATAAAAGAAATAATGAAACTACGTCTTTTAAATTTTCTCTCTCCGGCCGGGTGCGGTGGCTCACGCCTGTAATCCCAGCACTTTGAGAGGCCGAGGCAGGCAGATCACGAGGTCAGGAGATCGAGACCATCCTGGCTAACACAGTGAAACCCCGTCTCTACTAAAAATACAAAAAATTAGTCGGGCGTGGTGGCAGGAGCCTGTAGTCCCAGCTACTCCAGAGGCTGAGGCAGCAGAATGCCCTGAACCCGGGAGGCGGAGCTTGCAGTGAGCCAAGATCGCGCCACTGCACTCCAGCCTGGGCGACAGAGCAAGACTCCGTCTCAAAAAAAAAAAAAAAAAAAAAAAAAACTCTCCTTTACTTTTTCTCTCCCCTTTTCTTCCTATCTCTTCCCTCATTTCTTCAACACGTCCCCCCATCCTTCCCTCTTTTCTCCATTCTCTGCATTTGATCCCCGGTATATTCCAGCCTCCAGGCCAACAAACTTCTCCGCGTCCGCCGGGAGCAGGTCAGGGAAGGGACGCGAGGCGGCGCTGTCACCGCATTCTGAGCGCCGCAGCTCCCTGGGCCCCTTGTATCATTTCAGTGAAGGTCACTCCAGTCTTTCATGGAGGCCAAACTAAGGGTGTAAATTAGGATCCTCACTGAAGTGGCGGGACCCTAAGAGGCTTTTTCCTGGCCCCTTAGTTGTGGGTTTTCCTGCGGGCGGCGCAGCCGGTTTCCATCAGAACCGCCCAGAGGCGGACGCTGCCTTCCTGGGGTGACGGAGCAGCAGGAAGCGTTTTCGGATCCTGGAATACGTGGGCGGCCCGTGGGAGGGGCTGAGGCGCAGTTTCCTACTCACCCGGATCCGAATCCTCCGCGGTGCTGTTTCAAGAAAGCCGGATTCCAGATCGCGCTCCAGCCCGGACTCGGAATTCCTGCCCTGCGGGTCTGCATTTTCATAACGGGCAGGTGTGAGTGCCCTGCAGCTGGAGACCAGAAGCCTGAAGGCAGCTCGGCCCTCCCCAGCCCACAGCGCCGTTATTCCGTTTCTATATCAGTAAACACATTTCATTTTCCGTAGACCAGGGCGGGGTGACGGGTGATCCCAGTCCTCGCAGTGAATTCCGGGCAGCAAAATTCAAAACACATGCGGCCAAGGCCGGGCACGGTGGTTCACGCCTGTAATCCCAGCACTTTGGGAGGTCGAGGCGGGCGATCACCTGAGGTCGGGAGCTCGAGACCAACCTGACCAACATGGGGAAATCCCGTCTCTACTAAAAATATAAAATTAGACGGGCTTGGTGGTGAATGCCTGTAATCCCAGCTAGTCGGGAGGCTGAGGCAGGAGAATCGCTTAAACCTTGGAGGCGGAGGTTGCGGTGAGCCGAGATCGCGCCATTGCACTTCAGCCTGGGCAACAAGAGGGAAAACTCCGTCGCAAAAACTTTCGGGGGCGGAGCGGAGCCCCGCCCTGGGTTATGTAAGCGACCGCGCTGGGCCGTTTCTCTTTCTTTTCCGGACCCTGCAGTGGCGCCTAAAGTCTGAGAGAGGGAAGTCGCCTCTGTGCTCGTGAGTGCATGGGGTATAAGGCAAGTGCTGAGGGAGAAAACGTAGTTGATGGGGTAGAGCAGACGGGGTTGGAGGTGGGGTGGAGGGGGAGGGCTTTGGACAGAAGACCTGGGAGGCTTGGTGGGGGAGGGGCGCCCAGGCCTGGGCACTAAGAAACAAGTCCCCTGGAGCTCAAGACCATCTCGGCCTCCCCTAGCCCAAGAGAGGACTGGCTTCATGACTCCCTGAAACCATTTCTAAATGCCTTAGAACAAACCTTGCATATTCATTATTGTTATTGAACTATTAAAAGTCTTTTTTGGGGGCGAGCTGAATCAGATCCTTTGCTGGAGCTGGCACACGGAGGAAGTCCTGGAGGGAGGGTAGACACCGTGGAGGTAAGGGCTTGGGACCTGTGTCAGGAGAGCTAGGTCCATCTCCCTCCCAGTCTCTCACTAGGCTTATGATCTTTAGCAGTGAAAATAATCTCTCTAAGGTGGGGAAAGGACCCCGGTCCCTGCTGTGCTCAATAAATTATGAGGATCAAAATAAATTATCAGTGAATGTGAATGGGAAAACTAAGAAATTGTTAAAATTCTCGAATACATTACATTTTCATCCACAGAAAAGTATAGGCTAGGGATCATGGGGGAATAGTTAGTAATGACAGGGATAGTTGAACTTAAAAAAAAAGTTTGTGAGGCTGACAAAGAAGAAACGGACACATTTCCTGATCTTGGAGGGTTCATAGGGTAGAAGATGGTAGATGACAGCTGGGTGTGGTGGCACTCGCCTGTAGTCCCAGCTACTCAAGAGGCTGTGGTGGGAGGATTGCTTGAGCCCAGGCATTCAAGGCTGCAGTGAGCTATAATCATGCCACTGCATTCCAACTGAGTGACACAGCAAGACTCCTCTCTTAAAAAAAAAAAAAAAAAAATTCATGGCAGGGCACAATGAGTACTATCAGGAAGGTTCAAACCACGGGCTAAATCAGTAGTTCTAAAACTTGACTACACATCGGAATCACCTAGGGAACTTTAAAAGATACTAAGATTTAGGTCCAACCTGGGTTTACTGATTTAACAACCTAGGTTGTGGCTGTGGCCTGGGAACATGGATATTAAAAACTCTCCAGGTGGTTCTACGCAGTGGCTAGGTTTGATGACCTCTGCCTAGATGTCCCAACGACTAAGAGATGTGCGTTGGGGACAAGGCAATTCTCTTAGTAGAAAGAGGCTTTCGGGACAGCATTCTTATTATTGAGAATTGAGAATTCATATGCCACACAATTTATCCTTTTAAAGTGTGCAGCTCAGTGGCTTCTAGCGTAATCACAAGGTTGTGCCACCGTCACCACTGTCTACCCTGGAAGATTTTTTTTCCTTTTTTTCTTTTTTCTTTTCTTTTTATTTTAAAGGCTAGTCAAGTGAAACAGTGGGAGTGAAGAAGAAACAAAGACATCTATAACTGGTTGTGATCAATTAGTTGTAAACACTGCACTCAGACCAGCCTGGGAAGATTTTAAGGATATGGTGTGGTCTGATGGGTTCCAAGGCAGAGGTTACAATAGCCTGGAAGAGGGAGACTGCTTAGGCAGTGGCATCCTGGTGGGATAGGGTGAGGAGATCCCAGAGCCCACGTTTACTGCAACCCTGGGGAGATGTCACCAGAGAAATGGGGGTGGTGCCAGACAGCAGATTGTGGCAGCTGAGGTTTTCCACGGTAGAGTAGAAGCATCCATCATGTGTGACATTCAGCAGATGGGGCGCTGTGGGTGGCTTGGAGCACTCTGGTTGTAACTGAGGCAGGCACCGTGTTTAGGAAGGCTGTGCAGTAATCTAGGCTGAAGGGAGGGGAAAGCCTAGACTAAGATTGTGGCTGTGGGATTGAAATAGCGTTGAAGGAGCTGACTTTGACTCCCGGAGATGATGGGGAAAGAGGAAATCAGAAGGGACCAAGGATGGTGATGTTCTTAAGAGAAACTGAGGAGGAAGAGAGGATGATATGGTGGCAGACGTATAGAGAGTCTTTGTAGATCTCTCACATTGGAGGGGACTATGGTCGGAGGTACAGATGTCCTAAGGCAGGCTGGAAAAGGGAGTCTGGAGAGAGCTTGGTGTTGTAGTGAACCACAGGGAGCCGCCTCCTTGGCCCTGTGATCACCCAGGGACTGAATAGAGAGGCGGCCCTGGGAGACTTCAGACACTTAGAGGATATAAGGGGGTGAAAGGGGGGCCTGGCTTTGAGTCAAAGGGAGGAGAAGGAGATTATAAAGCTGAAACGTCTAAGAGAGTTTGTGGTCTGAGCGGTTCTACTGCGGCAGGTGCTTCTGAGAGGCAGAGGTGGCTGAGATCTGGAAACAGGTCTGCAAATCTGGTCACTGGTCTCATTGCCAGTAACGCTGTGCGCGGTTGAGGGAGTGTGTTGGGAGAATAGCCACGCGTTGTCTGTCCTGGAAGGAACAAGCCAGTGAGAGCCGGTTTAATGGGGCGGCCGGCGAAAGGGGCTTGGTGAGGCCCGCGCTCCTCGGGGTGGGGGCGCGGGGATGGGTGGTCGCGATGCCGGGAGGGCAGGCAGGGCCCTGGCCGTGCTTATGAAGTTGGAGCTGTACTCTCAGCTACTCGAAGCTGGTCCCTGCTTTAGGCTGCGCTCCCGCGTGCTCCCCATTTTCTGGGCCCCAGGTCCCGCCTTCTAAATCTCCCCAGGTCTCCAGCCCACTGGAATTTTCTCTTCCAAGCGTGGCCCCGCCCTCTCCGCTCGTGATTGGCCCTAAGTTCCGGGCCCCAGTTTCATTGGATGAGCGGTCGGGGGACCGGGCCAGGTGACTAAGTTTCCGCGGCGCCTTCTCCCCGGCCACTGCTTGAGCCGCTGAGAGGGTGGCGACGTCGGGGCCATGGGGCTGGGCCCGGTCTTCCTGCTTCTGGCTGGCATCTTCCCTTTTGCACCTCCGGGAGCTGCTGCTGGTGAGTGGCGTTCCTGGCGGTCCTCGGCGGAGCGGGAGCAGTGGGACGTTTCCGGGGGTCGGGTGGGTAGCGGCGAGCGCTGTGCGGTCAGGGCGGGGCTCCTGTGCCCTGTCGGTGGCGCAGGGAGCTGGACGCGGCCCGTTACCGCCACACTTCAGCCCTGCTTCCCCGTCACTTTTCAGTCCTCCTCGGGATCGCGCATCACCTGCACTTTCTGGTCTCCTCCTGCTCTTTCTCTCCTCGCGTCTCCTCCGCTTCCTCTCACTTTTCGGACAAACCAGTCCTTCTGAGGCCCATGGGTTCCCGGGCTGCCTCCGGGGCTGCTCCTGTGAATGGCATTCGAGTGCCCTTCCAGCGCGGCCACTGAAGCAGCCACAACCCCCGGTGCTCGGGGCGGCTCTCAGGTCCCTGAAGTCCTGTCCTCTCCCGGAGCCGACGTGTTCTCAGCTCCTGGGCCGCAGCTCCTGGAGTAGGGGCCCTCCTTTCTCGGGACCCGGAGCTGGTGCTTCCTGCTGCTGTGGGGACTGTGGGGGGTCCTGACTCTCAAGCTGAGGGGTTGGAGTCTGCAGGCTCCGGGCAGAGGATTCTTCCTGCGACTTCTCTCATCCCCAGCTCATTCTCCCCTCGCCTCTGGCTCCGAGGGTCCTCTCCTCTCTCTCATCCCACCCCTACTAATGACCAGTGATCTAAGGACACCAGATTCCCTCTCACCTCCTCCCTGCCCATCTCAGGGCCCGCTGAGTCCTTTTGCCCTCCCAGCTCCCTGCTACCCCTTCCTGTGTGCTGTTCTCTGATCCATTTCTAGGGTGTCCTCTGCCCTCATCCCCTGTCCCCGCCACCGAAGGTCCCTCCTGCACCCCTTATGGGCCTTTCCTACAAGCAGCCTTCACCCAGTGCTGCCCCTATGCCTCCCCGTTCCCAAATGTCCCTGACTCTAACTTTCTGGTGCTGCCTTTTATCCGGGGGGGTCTTCCCTCCATCCCACTCCCCTCCAGACCCCCAAGGGGAACCCTGATGCTAATGGCAGTTGGGCCTTAGGCAGGGCGCAGGGCAGCGCAGATGCCCCCTCCCCTCCAGTGCAGATGCCTGTTCTGGACCCTGCCTCATTGTGGCCCCTTCCCCACTCCTTCATCCTCAGCCTCACCCTCTTGAGGACCCCACCCTCCAGCCCACAGGTGCTGGACCATCCCTCCCTGGTCCCTCCGCCCCTCTCCACCTTGGGACCTTGTGCTGCTCCTATCTCTTGCCCAGCTGCCTTGGGCCCTCAGCACGTTCTCATCTTTCAGTGGGAAAGTGGGAGTGCTGGAGCATATGACAGTGCTGAGCATCTTTCCCAAGCCCCACCCTCCCCCAGAGCACCCTCCCCTCCTGTCCTCACCCTACCCCAAGTTCTCCCACAGTCACTCCTGCCCCATGCTCATGCCGCCCTCCAGTTCTTGCTCTGCCCATCTCCCCTCCCCAACCCAGACCTAAAACAGGCTGTTGGGCCAACTGTTCCTTGACCTTCCTTCTTTTCTTTTGGTTCCTTGACCCCAGTGGGCTCTCACTCCCCACACCGCATATCTAAAATCTGTTTTGCCTGCTCTTGGGGTGCCACTGCTCCCCCTCCAGCATTACTCCTTTTGGCAGGTCCTTCCTCAGGCTGAGAATCTCCCCCTCTACCTTGGTTTTCTCTCTCTGGCCAGCACCCCCACTCCTTGCTTTGTTTTTAATTTTTAACTTTTGTTTGGGTACGTAGTAGATATATATGTATATATTTATGGGGTACATGGGATATTTTGACACAGGCCTACAATATGTAATAATCACATCAGGGTAAATGGGTTATATCACAACAAGCATTTATCCTTTCTTTGTGCTACAAACAATCCCATTATGCTCTTTCAGTTATTTTTAAATGTACAATAAATTATTGTTGACTGTACTCACCCTGCTGTGCTATCTACTAGATCTTATTCATTCTAATTATATTTTTGTACCCATTATTAACCATCCCTGCTCCCCCACTCCCCACTACCCTTCTCAGCCTCTGGTAATCATCATTCTATTGTCTCTCCCCATGAGGTCCATTGTTTTAAATTTTGGCTGCCACAAATAAGTGAGAACATGCAAAGTTTGTCTGTCTGGGCCTGGGGCTTATTTCACTTCACAGGATGACCTCCAGTTCTTTGCAAATGACACGATGGCTGAATAGTTCTCCACATACACATGTACACCACATTTTCTTTATCCATGCGTCTGTTGATGGACACTTAGATTGCTTGCAGATCTTGGCTACTTTGAATAGTGCTGCAATAAACATGGAAAAGTAGATAGCTCTTTAATATACCGATTTCCTTTCTTTGGAGTATATGCCTAACAGTGGGAGTGCTGGAGCATATGACAGCTCTATTGTATTTTTAGTTTTTGGAAGAACCTCCACATTGTTTCCCATAGTGGTTGTACTAGTTTACGTTCCCACCAACAGTGTACATCCTCACCAGCATTCCTTATTTCTACATCCTCGCCAGCATTCCTTATTGCCTGTCTTCTGGATAAAAGCCAGTTTATCTGGGGTGGGATGTTATCTCGTAGGAGTTTTGATTTGCCTTCATCTGTTGACGAATGATGTTGAGCACCTTTTCATATACCTGTTTGCCATTTATATGTCTTCTTTTGAGAAATGACTATTCAGATCTTTTCTCATTTTTAAATTGGATTATTATATTTTTTTTCCTATAGTTGTTCGAGCTCCTTATATGTTTCAGTTACTGATCCTTTGTCAGATGAATAGTTTGAAAATATTTTCTCCCATTCTTGGATGGTCTCTTCATTTTGTTTATTGTTTCCTTTGCTGTGCAGAAGCCTTTTTACTTGATATGATCCCATTTATGCAATTTTACTTTGGTTACCTGTGCTTGTGGGGTATTACTTTAAAAATCTTTGCCCAGTCCAATATCCTAGAGAGTTTCCCCAATGTTTTCTTGTATAGTTTCATAGTTTGAGGTCATAGATTTACATCTTTAATCCACTTTGATTTGATTTTTGTATATGGTGAAAGACAGGGTCTAGTTTCATTCTTCTGCATAAGGATATCTAGTTTCCCCAGCACCATTTTTGAAGAGACTCTCCTTTGCCAATGTGTGTTCTTGGTACCTTTGTTGGAAATGAGTTTACTGTAGATGTATGGAATTGTTTCTGGGTTCTCTATTCTGTTTCATTGGTCTGTGTGTCTGTTTTTATGCCAGTATCATGCTGTTTTGGTTACTGTAGCTCTGTAGTATAATTTGAAGTCAGATAATGTGATTCCTCTAGTTTTGTTCATTTTGCTCAGGATAGCTTTATCTATTCTGGTTTTTTTGTGGTTCCATATGCATTTTAGGATTATTTTTATTATTTCTGTGAAGAATGTCATTAGTGTTTTGATAGGGATTGCATTGAATCTGTAGATTACTTTGGGTAGTATGGATATTTCAACAAAACTGATTCTTCCAATCCATGAACGTGGACTATCTTTTCCATTTTTTGTGTCCTTCAATTTTTTGCATCAGTGTTTTTTGTTTTTGGTTTTTGAGATGGAGTTTCACTCTTGTTGCCCAGGCTAGAATGCAAGGGTGTGATCTTGGCTCACCGCAACCTCCGCCTCCCAGGTTCAAGCTATTCTTCTGCCTCAGCCTCCCAAGTAGCTGGGATTACAGGCATGTGCCACTGTGCCTGGCTAATTTTCTATTTTTATTAGAGATGGGGTTTCTCTATGTTGGCCAGGCTAGTCTTGAACTCCTGACCTCAGGTGATCCACCTGCCTCGGCCTCCCAAAGTGCTGGGATTACAGGCATGAGCCACCACGCCCAGCCACATCACTGTTTTATAGTTTTTATTGGAGAGGTCTTTCACTTCTTCAGTTAGGTTTATTCCTCAGTATTTTATTTTATTTGTAGCTATTGTAAATGGGATTCGTTTCTTGATTTCTTTTTCAGATTATTTGCTGTTAGCACTGATTTTTGCATGTTGATTTTGTATCCTGCAACTTTACTGAATTTGTTCTTCAGTTCTAATGGTTTTTTGGTGGAGTCTTTAGGTTTTTCCAAATATCAGACCACATGATCTGCAAACAAGGATAATTTGACTTCTTCTTTTCCAGTTTTAATGCCCTTTCTTTCTTTCTCCTGTCTGATTGCTCTAGTTAGGATCTGCAGTACTGTGTTGCATAACTGTGGTAAAATTAGTCATCCTTGTCTTATTCCAGATCTTAGAGAAAAGGCTTTCAGTTTTCCCCCATTCAGTATGTTACTAGCTGTGAGTTTGTCATATATGGCTTTTATTATATTGAGGTCTGTTCCTTGTATACTTAGTTTTTTGAGAGTTTTTATCATGAAGGGATGTTGAATTTATCAAATGCTTTTTCAGTATCAATTGAATGATACTGGCTTTTGTCCTTTATTCTGTTGATATGACGTATTACATTGATTGATTTGTGTATGTTAAATCATCCTTGCATACCTGGAATACATTCCACTTGCTCATAAAGAATGATCTTTTTTAATGTATTGTTGAATGTGGTTTGCTAGTATTTCCTTGACGATTTTTGCATCGGTGTTCATCAGGGATATAGGCCTGTAGTTTTCTTTTTTATGATGTGTCTTTGCCTGGTTTTTGTATCAGGATATTCCTGGCTTTGTAAAATGAGTTTGGAAGTATTCCCTCCTCCTCTATTTTTCAGAACAGTTTGAATAGGACTGACATATGTTGTTCTTTAAAAGTTTAATTGTGGTAAATTATACATTACATAAATTTTACTGTTTTAACCACTTTTAAGTGTATACTCGGTGGCATTAGATACATTCACATTTTTGTGCAACCCAAAACTCTGTGCCCATTAATCGGTAACTCCCCATTCCTCCCTACCTCTGGCCCCTGGTAACCACCATTCTACTTTTTGTTTCTATGAATTTGACCACTCTAGGTACCTCATTTAAGCAGAATCATGTAATGTTTGTCTTTTTGTTTCTGGCTTATTTCACTTATAATATTTTTGAGGTTCGGTGGGCACAGTGGCTCACGCCTGGATTTCCAGCACTTTGGGAGGCTGAAGCAGGTGGATCACCTGAGTTTCGGAGTTCGAAACCAGCCTGGCCAACATGGTGAAACCCCATCTCTACTAAAAATAATAAAAGTTAGCCGGGCGTGATGGCGGGTGCCTGTAATCCCAACTACTTGGGAGGCTGAGGCAGGAGAATCGCTTGAATCCGGGAAGTGGAGGTTGCAGTGAGCTGAGATCAGGCCACTGCACTCCAGCCTGGGCAACAAGAGTGAAATTCCATCTCCAAAAAAAAAAAATAAAACAATAATAATAATAATATTTTTGAGGTTCATCCAAGTTGTAGTATGGGTCAGAATTTCATTCCTTTTAAGGATGGATAATACTCATTATATGTATGTACCACATCTTGGTTATCCATCCCTCAGACAATGGACACTTGGGTTACTTCTACCTTTTGGATATTGGCAAATATTTCATTTCCTTTGGGTATATATTTATTTCCTTTGGGTATTTCTTTTGGGTATATATCCAGAAATAGAAGCAGTACACAGGGGCTTCATTTTCTCTGTCTCTTTGCCAACCTTGCTCTGTGTGTGTGTGTATGTGTGTGTGTAGGTGTGTGATAACAGCCATCCTGATTGGTTTCAGGTGGCATCTCATTGTGGTTTGGATTTGCATTTTCCTAATGAGTGCTGATATTGAGCATCTTTTCATGTGTTTGTTGATCATTTGTAATTTTCTTTGAAGAATTGGCCATTTAAGTCTTTTGCCCATTTTTTCCCCCACATAGCTTCTCTTATCAGATATATGACTTGCAATATTTATTTCATTTCGGGGTTGATTGCTTTTTCACTCTGATTGTGCCCTTTGATGCATAGATGTTTTGAATTTTCATCAGTCTACTTTGTCAGTTCTTTCTATTCTATCTGTGCTTTGGTGTCATATCCATGAAAGCACTGTCAAATCCTATGTCATGAACATTATCCCCAATGTTTGCTTCTAAGAAATTTTTAGGTTTTAGTTCTTGAGTGTAGAGTTTAGGTCTTTGATTCATTTTGAGTTAATTTTTGTATATAGTGCAAATTAAGGGTCCAATTTTATTTTAACACCCCCTGCCCCCAGAACTATTTGCTGAAAAGATCAACTGACTCTTTGTCACCTGCTCACCCCAGTGGACACTAGCTGTTCCATCCAATTGCTGTCCTGGGGCCTTGTCATGCTACTCTTCCACTTTGAACCCAAGCCCACACCGTTCGTTGCTCCCCTCTGGGATACTGACCCCACTATAAACTTCTCTGGGGCTACAACCTTCCTACCCTTTGTGCCTCATGACCACCCCCTCCCTTGTCCCCGCCATGCCCATGATGAGTCTCTTCTCGAGGCAGCTCCCCTTGCCTCCATCTCACCCTCAGCCTATGCACCACAGCCACACTGGACATGGGTCCCTCTGAGCCTGAGTCCCTTCCCATTCCCACCATCTCCTCTGGCAAGACCTTCCTTCCACCACCTTCATGCTCCTCCCTTGCCCCTGCAGGGCAGCCTCTCCCCTTGGCCCCTATTCCCTTAGGGGGCTTGTGGCCACCCAGTCCTTGCACCTGGCCTACAAGTTTGCCATCTTCATTCCCCCTTCTTCTGTTCATCAGCCCCCTCCTCTATCCTCCCACCCTCACAGTTTTCTTTGTATATGAAATCCTCGTTCTTGTCCCTTTGCCCGTGTGCATTTCCTGCCCCAGGAAGGTTGGGACAGCAGACCTGTGTGTTAAACATCAATGTGAAGTTACTTCCAGGAAGAAGTTTCACCTGTGATTTCCTCTTCCCCAGAGCCCCACAGTCTTCGTTATAACCTCACGGTGCTGTCCTGGGATGGATCTGTGCAGTCAGGGTTTCTTGCTGAGGTACATCTGGATGGTCAGCCCTTCCTGCGCTATGACAGGCAGAAATGCAGGGCAAAGCCCCAGGGACAGTGGGCAGAAGATGTCCTGGGAAATAAGACATGGGACAGAGAGACCAGGGACTTGACAGGGAACGGAAAGGACCTCAGGATGACCCTGGCTCATATCAAGGACCAGAAAGAAGGTGAGAGTCGGCAGGGGCAAGAGTGACTGGAGAGGCCTTTTCCAGAAAAGTTAGGGGCAGAGAGCAGGGACCTGTCTCTTCCCACTGGATCTGGCTCAGGCTGGGGGTGAGGAATGGGGGTCAGTGGAACTCAGCAGGGAGGTGAGCCGGCACTCAGCCCACACAGGGAGGCATGGAGGAGGGCCAGGGAGGCATACCCCCTGGGCTGAGTTCCTCACTTGGGTGGAAAGGTGATGGGTTCGGGAATGGAGAAGTCACTGCTGGGTGGGGGCAGGCTTGCATTCCCTCCAGGAGATTAGGGTCTGTGAGATCCATGAAGACAACAGCACCAGGAGCTCCCAGCATTTCTACTACGATGGGGAGCTCTTCCTCTCCCAAAACCTGGAGACTGAGGAATGGACAGTGCCCCAGTCCTCCAGAGCTCAGACCTTGGCCATGAACGTCAGGAATTTCTTGAAGGAAGATGCCATGAAGACCAAGACACACTATCACGCTATGCATGCAGACTGCCTGCAGGAACTACGGCGATATCTAGAATCCGGCGTAGTCCTGAGGAGAACAGGTACCGACGCTGGCCAGGGGCTCTCCTCTCCCTCCAATTCTGCTAGAGTTGCCTCACCTCCCAGATGTGTCCAGGGAAACCCTCCCTGTGCTATGGATGAAGGCATTTCCTGTTGGCACATCGTGTCCTGATTTTCCTCTATTGTTAGAGCCACTGGATAAAGACAGAGGGTCAGGGACTGGACCATCCAGTGTTGTAATCAGGGCAAGTAGAGGACCCTCCGACAGAATCCTGAGCCTGTGGTGGGTGTCAGGCAGGAGAGGAAGCCTTCAGGGCCAGGGCTGCCCCCTCTGCCTCCCAGCCTGCCCATCCTGGAGAGTTCCCTCCTGGCCCCACAACCCAGGAGTCCACCCCTGACATCCCCCTCCTCAGCATCAATGTGGGGATCCCAGAGCCTGAGGCCACAGTCCCAAGGCCCATCCTCCTGCCAGCCTGGAAGAACTGGGCCCCAGAGTGAGGACAGACTTGCAGGTCAGGGGTCCCGGAGGGCTTCAGCCAGAGTGAGAACAGTGAAGAGAAACAGCCCTGTTCCTCTCCCCTCCTTAGAGGGGAGCAGGGCTTCACTGGCTCTGCCCTTTCTTCTCCAGTGCCCCCCATGGTGAATGTCACCCGCAGCGAGGCCTCAGAGGGCAACATCACCGTGACATGCAGGGCTTCCAGCTTCTATCCCCGGAATATCATACTGACCTGGCGTCAGGATGGGGTATCTTTGAGCCACGACACCCAGCAGTGGGGGGATGTCCTGCCTGATGGGAATGGAACCTACCAGACCTGGGTGGCCACCAGGATTTGCCGAGGAGAGGAGCAGAGGTTCACCTGCTACATGGAACACAGCGGGAATCACAGCACTCACCCTGTGCCCTCTGGTGAGCCTAGGGTGACCCTGGAGAGGGTCAGGCCAGGGTAGGGACAGCAGGGATGGCTGTGGCTCTCTGCCCAGTGTATAACAAGTCCCTTTTTTTCAGGGAAAGTGCTGGTGCTTCAGAGTCATTGGCAGACATTCCATGTTTCTGCTGTTGCTGCTGGCTGCTGCTATTTTTGTTATTATTATTTTCTATGTCCGTTGTTGTAAGAAGAAAACATCAGCTGCAGAGGGTCCAGGTGAGAAAAGCGGGCAGTTTCTGGAGATGGTAAGGCCCCTGTCTGGGCAGTAGGGTCCCCTCATTGCTCCTGCAAAGATAGGCATGTTGGTGACAAGGCTTCCGTAACAGGGGATGAAAGTTGGGGAATTTGGGAAGGGAATGGGGGCAGCATCTCCATCTACACCCATAAGTGCTGCCCAAGCAAGGGTCAAACGCCCAGCTGTGGCATCCTCCTGCTGCAGGTGAGGAGTGGGCAGCAGGGAGGGCTGCGGCGCCTGCTCTGTCCCCATCCCGGTCTCTGTGTCTCTTGAACTCACTAGGGCGCATCCAGGTGGGGTGAGCTGGGAATCACGTGCTGAATGCTAAGGGCCTGGATGATCACGGCCTCAGAGGGAGCAAATAGTAAAGGCAGCTGTGATCTGGGGAGGGCCAGAAACTGGAGAGGAATCTGAGGAGAGGCGGTGCCCCTATTCCCTTCCTCTCTGCATCCCCCTCCCCTGTTTCTCCAGCCATCGGGGCGGACACCGAGAAAAAGACCTATGAGGCCCAGCCTGGGGGCCCTGCCTGTGTAGCCCTTTGGAGACCCCTTGTAACAGGGAGGGTCCTGAGCACACATGGCCATCTCTGTCCACTTTGCAGCTCCCCATGCACCTCCTCCAGGAGCTTTCTTGGGGTTGTCGTGTCCTCTGCACCATTCGAGGCCCTACTCTTTCCAGGTTCCCACGGCCTGGCCTCCCTGAGTTTCTTGCAGATGACATGGATGAGTAGATAAGCAGATGTCCCTGGGCCATTTGAGGAGTGGGGCCCAGCCCCTCATCAGGGCAGCTGTGGTCCCTGTTTTCATCCTACCTCCGAGTGTTTTCTTCTCCAGTCCCTGAGGGACACAGTCCTCAGGGCCCATGTTTTTGGGGATTTAATCTGTGCTCTGTGGCCTCACCTTGCCCTCCCTGAGCCAATTTCCCTTTCTAAAGGTGGTCACTGCCTGGTAAGTTTGGAGTAAGGGACGGTCAGAATCATTTCCCCTACAGTCAGGTTGTTTGATGGGGGATGAAAAGAGACAGCAGGAAGTTTTGTGTTTCTGCAAAGACAGAAGCAGTTCAGGCGACAGTAAGAGGCTGGGGTGTCCAGGAGGATGTGTCTGGCAGTAGGGTCGCTGGTTTCTCATCCTTGAACCTAATTGCACTGTCAATCGGCCCCTCAGGCCTGAGCAGATGGGAAGGTTTGTCCCCTGCCCTGCAGCAAGAGGGCCCTGTCCAGGAGGCACCCACAACAGGGGCAGTGCAGGTCTGTGGTCACTCCTGCTCTCACCTGTGGCGTCTCCCGTAGAGGGATTGTCAGTTCTGGTTCCCTGTGGGCAGGAATGGTTTCCTCATAGGTCACTGGAGTTTTGGCCAGGAAAAGAGTATGAAGTTCATGTGCCAGTTTCTCAAAATTCCTGCTTTCAATGTTGATGTCCAGTAAAGATATTCGTAATTTCAGCTCTATAATCTTAATAGGATTTCCTCTAATATTGTGAAGCATATTATATGAAACAGGAACACAAATTTCTCAAAATTCCTGCGATGTCCAATAAAGATTTTCATAATTTCAGCTCTGCAATCTTAATAGGATTTCCTAATACTGTAAAGCATATTAAATGAAACAGGAACTCAAATTTGGAGCCCCCTCTCCAGGAGGTTCTGTGTGGAGATGGTGGCTGTGGCAGTGGCAGTTCCCAGGTGCAGAGGGTGGGCAGAGGCAGCCTCAGGCTAAGGGGTCTCCCCTACTCCACATGGAGAAAATCCCTTGTAGGTTGCAAGGGCAGTGGCCGGGTGGAATCCCTGCTAGGGACAGAGCAGGAAGGCCTCGCAGCCTCACCAAGCAGCAGCCCTGGGGTGGAGCTGCGTTTCCAGGGTTAAGCGGACCAGGCAGGAGTAGCGGTTACTCAAGAGCAGGTCACAGGCTTGGGTTGTGAGGGTCAGGAGAGGCCAGGCCTCCTCGAGCAAGGTGGGGGTCCCAGGGTCAGGTCAGGTGCAGATCCTGTGGCAGCCACGTCTTTCCATGCTGGGCCTGCTGGGCCCCCCAGGCTTCCTGATGGGGTCCCCAGTTAGGAGCTGCCTGCTCAGGGCTGGGAGGGGAGGAGCACTGAGCTGCAGATAGAGGGCAGAGCCCACAGTGGGCAGGGCCTGCCCTGGTGTGTAGGTGCCTCTGCAGGAGAGGAGGGCCTGGGGACTGAGAGCAAGGGTCAGGGCCTCTCTTTGGGGAGGCCTCTCACTGTAACAGGACTGGTCAGGCCTGAGAGGAGGGCACTGGGTTCCCTCTTGGGTCTTGTCCTTTAGTCTTGGGGCCCTTTCCCTCCCTGCACGATGAGTGGTGGGCACAGGGCACGGGCTGATGTTGATGGAGTGATGGGAGGGAACTGGCAGGGGCTGGGAAAAGCAAGGAGGGAGGAAGAAAAAAGTGGGGGCCTCATCTTCCCTCAGAGAAAGGGCAAATCTGGTTTTGGAGCAACTGAAGAGTGAAAAGTCCCCAGGGAATAAACACAACACTGCACCCAGTGGAGCATTTACCCATTTCCCTCTTTTCTCCAGAGCTCGTGAGCCTGCAGGTCCTGGATCAACACCCAGTTGGGACGAGTGACCACAGGGATGCCACACAGCTCGGATTTCAGCCTCTGATGTCAGCTCTTGGGTCCACTGGCTCCACTGAGGGCACCTAGACTCTACAGCCAGGCGGCTGGAATTGAATTCCCTGCCTGGATCTCACAAGCACTTTCCCTCTTGGTGCCTCAGTTTCCTGACCTATGAAACAGAGAAAATAAAAGCACTTATTTATTGTTGTTGGAGGCTGCAAAATGTTAGTAGATATGAGGCATTTGCAGCTGTGCCATATTAATTGGTGTCATTGTTTTTGTTGTTTTCGTATTATTATTTTTTTTTTTTAAGACAGAGTCTCAGGCCAGGCACGGTGGCTCACGCCTGTAATCCCAACACTTTGGGAGGCCGAGGCGGGCGGATCACAAGGTCAAGAGATCGAGACCATCCTGATCAACATGGTGAAACCCTGTCTCTACTAAAAATACAAAAAATTAGCTGGGCCTGGTGGCGTGTGCCTGTAGTCCCAGCTACTCAGGAGCTGAGGCAGGAAAATCACTTGAACCTGGGAGGTGGAGGTTGCAGTGAGCTGAGATCACACCACTGCACTCCAGCCTGGCGACAGAGCGAGACTCTGTCTCAAAAAAAAAAAAAAAAAAAGACAGAGTCTCACTCTGTCACCCAGGCTGCAGTTCAGTGACATGATCTCAGCTCGTTGCAGCCTCCGCCTCCCGGGTTCAAGCACTTCTCTTGCCTCAGCCTCCCGAGTAGCTGGGGTTACAGACATGCACCACCATACCCGGCTAATTTTTGCATTTTTCATAGAGACAGGATTTTGCCATGTTGGCCAGGCTGGTCTCAAACTCCTGACCTCAGGTGATCTGCCTGCCTCAGCCTCCCAAAGTGCTGGGATTACAAGCATGAGCCACCATACCCGGCCTATTTTATTACATTTTAATTTATTTTATTTTATTATATCATCCACCATGTCTGGCCTATTTTATTATATTTTAAGATATTTTAATATATTACGTGTGTTGTAATTGGATTATCATCGGTGAGCTTTGTGAGTGAGTGTCTTGGAGATGACTCCTCCTGACCAGCCCAGGACCAGCTTTCTTGTCACCTTGAGGTCCCCTCGCCCCATCACACTCTTACGCATTACTCTATGTCTACTGTTATGGGTGTGTAATTTTATACCATAGATGTTTACTCTTTAAACAGACACTTCTAGTCTGTTTTATTTCATGTGTCTGGGAGCGGATAAAGTGTGAGGTTCAGGGAGAAAGAGAGGTCTGTCTCAATGCCTTGGCACGGCATGAAGACAATCTCCCCTCCTTGTCCCCTTTCCCTGCTAGCTCCTGATGACTGACAGATTCACAGCAGAACAGAAAGGACTGGGAAGGGATGGAGGTGGGACATCTGGCACTGACCTTCAGGGGCTGACCCTGTGGGGGAACATCTGCCCTGAAGAGTTGGAGCCTTCATGTGATGACACAGAGCTGAAGTGTGATATTCGGGAGGGGATAGAGAGTGCTTGGAGGTTTTCTGATTTTGAAGAATCCCAGTCAGTCAGGTTCTGGCGTAAAGTGACTGCTGGGGAGGTGTGGACTGAATGAATGAAGAATAAATGAACCAGGAAAGTGGACATGCAAGAGGTGGGTTATTCCTCACCCTATTTCTTGATGCCTCCTGACTGCTGGTGTTGGGGCACACAGATGGGTGATGCACTTCTTGGTCAAGGCAACCTCAGCCCCACCCACGTAAGGTGGTCATGGCAGAGAGTGTAAGGGTGACACCTGTGAAAAAGACCCAAGGCAGGGATGGGAGCCCTTCTTGCAGCAGGAGTGGATGCAGGACCTGCCTGGAAGCAAGAGAAGGACGAGGGACCCTGGCTGGGCCCTGTTTCCTCCCACTGCCTGGTTCACAAAGCAACCAGTAAGGGAGCTGGAGTAGGGAATTCACTCATGTGCTACTTACTGATCCAGAGATGTGTTCGTTGACATTTTCTTTTATGTTTTCAGGTTGATGTCATTTACACATTCATGCATTTATGTTGTGTATTTATTAGTCTTGTTTATTTTAGTTAGCAAGTGTCACTTGTTGAATTCTGTTCTCATTAGGTATAAATTTTCATATTCATTGAAGTTTTTATAATCAAAATTTAATTGTCCATGATTTTAAAAGTCAAATATTTGCATAGGATTTCTCTAGAGAAATGAGTCCTCTCTGCATCTTCTCAATTTCTGCCTTCCTAGAGGCAACCATTTTCAACATTTTTAGCTAAGTCTTTCAACTTTTACTTCCATATGTCTAAATACAATTCCTTCATTAATACTGCTTGATTTTTCCGTTGCAGTCATTATCTGTTGCACAGCACAGTGGTGAATGCAATAGTTAATTGTACCTGTTCCCTTTCACTCTTCCCATTCTTTCATCTTCCCGATGTATTTCTGTAGTAATTATGTTTGGTTCAGTCGTTCCTTGTTTCCTTTTCCATGACTAATTTTCTCATATGTCAGCTTGACCACTTTTCACTTCCTGAACATTTGTTCTTCCTGTAGTTAATACTTGCCTTTGTTTTTGTTTATTTTATAAATAGCACTCATTAACGTTGATATTTCTTCTATTTGTATTACTCCTTTTTTTGGGATGGAGTCTCACTCTGTTGTCCAGGCTGGAGTGCAGTGGTGTGATCTTGGCTCACCACAACCTCCGCCTCCCAGGTTCAAGCAATTCTCCTGCCTCAGCTTCCCGAGTAGCTGGGATTACAGGCACTCACCACCATGCCCAGCTAATTTTTGTATTTTTAGTAGAGACGGCGTTTCACCATGTTGTCCACAATGATGTCGATCTCTTGACCTCGTGATCCACCCACCTCAGCCTCTGAAAGTGCTGGGATTACAGGCGTGAGACATCGCGCCTGGCCTTTTTTTTTTTTTTTGAGATGGAGTCTCGCTCTTGTTGCCCAGGCTGGAATGCAATGGCACAATCTTGGCTCACCACAACCTCCACCTCCCAGGTTCAAGGGATTCTCCTGCCTCAGCCTCCCGAATAGCTGGGATTACAGGCATGCACCACCACACCCGGCTAATTTTGTATTTTTAGTAGAGACAGTTTCTCCGTATTGGTCAGGCTGGTCTCGAACTCCTGACCTCAGGTGATTCACCCGCCTCGGCTTCCCAAAGTGCTGGGATTACAGAGGTAAGCCACTGCACCCAGCCGTATTACTCTTTTAAGAAATTACAGACTTTGGATATTCCACTTTACCTTCTTG
The DNA here is from genome assembly GCF_000001405.40 of Homo sapiens. Lineage (NCBI taxonomy): Eukaryota > Metazoa > Chordata > Mammalia > Primates > Hominidae > Homo > Homo sapiens. The sequence goes on from NT_113891.3 coordinate 2,898,663, forward strand.
GAAATGTCCCTCCTGGGCCCTTCTCGCTGCTCCCATCTGGACTGGAGGCTTCTCCCTGTGGAACAGAGTCACTGTCCTAGGATCTCCCTCCACCGCCATCTGGGGCAGTGCTTTACATGCAGTGGAGCCACCTGGGGTCCAGCCAAAATGCAGACTGATTCAAGATGTCAAGGCTGAGGCATATGAGCCTTTCTGTCTAGTTTCATGAGATGCTGATTCTCCTGGTTCGTGTGTGTGTGTGTGTGTAGAGAGAGAGAGAGAGAAAGGGAATTTTGCTCTGTCAGCCAGGCTGGAGTGCAGTGGTGCCATCATGGCTTACTACAGGCTCAACCTCATAGGCTCAAGTGACCCTCCTACCTCATCTTCCTAGGTAGTCAGGACCACAGGCCACATCCTAATATATTTTTAATTAACTGATGCAGTTTCTTTCTAAATTAGTAAGAGGGCTGAGCATTTTTTCATTGTGGCAAAAAATACACATAAAATTTACTATCATAACTATTTTTAAGAATACAGTACCATTGGCCAGGTGTGGTGGCTCATGCCTGTAATCCCAGCAATTTGGGAGGCTAAGGCAGGAGGATCACTGGAGGCCTACAGTTCAAGTCAGGCTTGGGGAAAGTAGTGAGACCCTGTCTCCAGCCAAAAAAAAAAAATTAAATTAAAATATACTGTACTATAATAGTGTTAATTGTAAGCACAGTGTAGTGCAACCGATCTTTAGAATATTTCACCTTGAAAGCTGAAACTCTGTGCCCCTTTCACAAAAATCCTTATTACCTGGAAGTTTTACCTGGCAGCCACCATTCTACCTTCACATTCATCAAGTTTGACTGTTTTAGACACCTCATGTAAATGGAATTATGCAGTACTTGGAGTTTTTTTTTTTTTTTTGATTGGCATATTTCACTTAGCAATGACTTTAAGGTTCATATACGTTGTAGCATATAGCAAGATTTTCTTCTTTTAAATGTTGAATAATATTCCATTGTCTGTATATAATCATATTTTCTTGATCTATTCATCTGTTGGTAAACATATAGGTTGCTTCCATATCTTGCCTGTTGTGAATAACACCATTATGAATATGGATATGCAATCTTTCTTTTCACTTTTGTATCCCCCCTCATTTTGGTGCAACTAATCTTCTAGTAGCTTTTCCTGAAAGCACGTGCTTAAAGTACATTTGTGTGTTTCAACATATCTACTATCATTTTGCCTCTCTCCAGGAAGAGGAAAGAAATGTATTAAGGTGCTCTTTGGCACAGCATTTAATGGTAAAGAAAGAAACAGTATAACTGGCCGGTGCTGGGTTTCAGCATCCTGCAATTTCAGAACTACTGTGAATACAAAAGAAAGAAAGGTCCTGCCCAGGATGGGAGTCACTCCTATATATGGTGGCCCTGGGACAGCAGACCTTTCCTGTCACACCTCTTCCATGAGGGCCCTTACTTCAGTGACTGTGGTGCTTTCCTTCTCTCTATGGTCCATCTATCTATCTATCCAGTTGGTTGGGTTTCTCTGGAGAACCCTAATATACCAATGGACAGTAAGCAAATAAAACCTAGTATTACCACTAATTGCCATTGAGAAAAATATGCCTAGGCCAGAAGATTGGTGATGGTGGGAATAGCAGGGACATAGTTTAGACAAGGTCATTGAGCAAGACGTTTCTGAGAACTTGACCACTGGTTATCTGAGAAGAGACCTGAATCGTGTGAGGAGTGAGTCATGTGAATCCCTGGGGAGCAGGTACATGTGGGAGTCAGAGCATGGGTAGGTGGCAGAAATAGGGCAGAGCAGTGACAAGAGGCTGGTGTGAGTGGAGACAAGTGAGCTGGGCTGAGAGGAGTGGGATGAGCCCAGAGTTGACAGAGGGGCCCTGTGTTGAGGGGCTTGTAGGAAATGGTGAGACATTGGGGTTTCATTGCACTAAGAGGGGAAGAAGCTAGAGTGGCTTTGGGATGTGGTGGTGATGATGTGCTCTAATTCCCGTTTGAAAGGTTTACTCTACCTGTTGTGTGGGTGATGGACAGCGGCGTGAATGTCTCTTCATGTCCATTACCCATTTTTGAATGGCGTTGTTTTTTTAATGGATGAGTTGTAGTTTTTTTATGTATTTTGAATATTAATTCTTCATCAGATGTATGATTGGCAAATAGCTCCTCCCATTCTGTGCATTTTCTTTCCACTCTTTTAATAATGTCACTTGTTGCAAAAAAGTTTTTAAATCTGATAAAGTCTAATTTATCATTTTTCTTTAATTGCTCATGCTTTGGGTCATCCAGCCAAGAAACTACTACCAAATCCAATGTTCACAAGACTTTCCTCAATGTTTTCTTCTAAGGGTTTTACAGGTTTGACTCTTAAGCTTCGTTGTTTGATACATTCTGAGTTAATTGTTGAGTATGGTGTAGGGAAGGCTATGAATTGTGTCCAACATCATTCTTTTGCATGCGGATATCCAGTTTCTCAGCACCACTTGTTGCAGCACCATCTGTGGAAGTGAGGCTGACACATTTGCAAAATGCATTGAGCACTAGTACACCATGCATTTATTTACTTTTCTTTACTCCACAGTTGTTTTGAGGAGGCTTCCAGTGACAAACACAACAGAAATGAAAATACATGAATTCTTATAAAATCAATATCAAGTAGAATTATAAACTTTAAAATGTTAAGAGTGAGGCAAGGCTAGATCATTACTAGACAAGCTGAAACATAGACTGAAATGGAGGGTTTACGGTTTTCCTTGCTACAAATTTTGTTGGCCCACAATCTGTCATGCTTACTGCATAAGGGAGCCAGCCACAGGGTGGGTTGATAGCTCACATAACCAGTCCCTGGTTTCCTGCTTCAGAAACAAGTTCAGATTCTCTCCACTTACAGTAAAAAAGTGAATTGCAGGATGTTCAAAGTGAAGTTGACATCTACAAAGTCAACAAATAAGTAGTAAGTGTAGACCTCAGAAATTTAACAAGATTCTACTTTTTCCCCCAAAAAAATGTCCTCACAATTTCCTGCTGAAAGGAGAGGGTTCATTCAGGGGACCACATGATGCCGTTCTTCTGCTGCAGTTCTAAATTAAGTTGTCCTTCCCTCTAACTACAGGTCTCACAAACCCTTGCAGCCAGCTTCAATGATTTTAGCTTGACTAAGGTTTTGGGTTTTTGATATTGTTTGTATTTGAGCTGCAGCCTGGGGCTTAGAAATGTGACTTGGGTATTTTGCCAAAATGGTATGTTTTTCTATAGAATTTGACGTTGTGGAGACCCTGCTTTTCTGCCAGGTCCCCAGAGGGGATACAGTGCTTTGTACCTCTTTTTAGTACTTCATTAGCAGTGATAGAAGATTTGGAGTGAGGGCCTCCCTCAATCTCTACCCTCTGCCTAGTGCAGAGGATCATGGACTGTTGCAGTTATGGCAACAAAAAATTTCTCCAGACATAGCTCCTGTCCTCTGGTGGGAAAATCTCCCCTGGATGAGAACACTAGTTTGAGAGGTAGAGACACTCAGGAGCTGGGCTTGGACAGGGGAAGGGAAGAGGAGACAGACACAAAACGGAGTGGGGCTGGGAAACAGGCAAAGGGAGTTCAGGCCTGGAGGGACCTGGCCTGATGAGGCACATGAGGAATGGGGAGAGTGGCAGGATCTCCTATTGCCAGAAAATCGTACTTGTACCCACTGCATTCCCAGCCCTGGTGTATGCATCTCTAGGAAATCAGAATGAATTTGGCTATTATGGTGTCAGAAAGAGCCCTGAAGAGCCTCGTGTGCCTGTCAATGTAATGAAAGTGCAGGTGACAGCCCCTCCTGGAAATATTGTTGCCAAATGTTTAACCCAGATCTGCCTCGGTCTTTAGGAAACACAGCAGAGAGAAGAGCAAAGTAAAAGGCATCAGGGGAAATAATATGATAAATTCGGTGTGGAGAGCATGCTAAAGTTATTTGGCCTGCAATAAGTAATGCTGTTCTAAAAGAAAAAAGGATTAGTGGATTGTTGTAGATTACAGGTAACTAAAGGACACATAATCAAAGGCAATGAGTGGATATTTTATGGAACCAAGTTATAAAAATGTACAAAGAATAGATTGAAGAAGTGAAGATACTTGAATATGAAAGGACTTTAGATAATATGGAATTATTGTTTATTTTCTTTGGTGTGATAATGTAGGTTTTTACTCTTAGGAGATGCACGATGAGGTGTTTAGTGGTGAAATATCATGGGTCTAGCAAGTTACTTTAGAATGGTTCAGTCAAAAATCTTAGTCTCTTCATTCTGTCTCTCTTCATACATACACACACACATACACTCACATATACACACTATACAAACACATATAGCTGAAGCAGCATAAAACCTAGTTTCTAGTAGAGGGATGCAAAAAGGGAGGAGAATTGGTAAGTTAGAGTTTTTTGGCAAAGGACTGACAATGCGCCACATGGATAGGACTTCTATTCCGCTAGCTGGTGCTGTTGACCTTGAAACTCCATGTGCACTCCAGACCAAGGGCAGAGAGAGATGCTCACTGTGGCGGGTAGGGGGGATGTGTTCCTAGAAAATCACAATGACATTCCCCTGAGCTATATCCCTGGTTACTACAGCATTTCCTGATCTTGCCTAACAGGATTACTTCCCTGAACTGTAAAATTCCTGCAGCATTGTATACAGAGAAAGAATAGGAGACATGGCAATCATGGACAAGAAAGGAGGAAATCGTGATAGGAAAGTTAGAGATCCTGTTGCCAACACCCAGTCAGGCATTCGGAGGCTGGGGTCAGTCTAGAAGCCTTTCATAATGCCACGTGGTAGCTCCATCCAGAAATCCTCAGTTGCTCCCTGACTTCTTCCAGCCCCAGGTGATGGCTAGATCCTCCATGAAAGGAAACTGGTTCAAACACGGCCAATATGCCCAGCAACCCATGGGTAATGGGGGATTCTCCATGTTCTCCCCAGGAAGCCTGTCTCCCGTCTTGTAATGCTGGGAGCCACACTAATCATTTTTAAATGGCTGAAGGGGACCCAGTATTTGGTTTGATTTGATTCTAAAAATGGAGGCCAAGAGCCTCAAAATAAAAAAACAGAGTGGAGGTCTGCTCCTGTACTCACCATTCTGATGAATGTACCTTGGGATCCTGAATGAGCACCAAAAATAAAGCAGCACCTTTGTCTGGGGTGATACCTGAGATGCATTGCCTCATGCCAAGAAAATTAAGGACACAGACACACACAAGGAGTGAGTTTAGGAGTAGAGGTTTAATAGGCAAAAGAAAAGAAAGAGAAAGAAGAATAGCTCTCTCTCCTGTGAGAGAAGGGGCACGCAAGTGGGAATTCCAGCCCATGGCAGAGTGCACTGGATTTTATACACAGGCTGAAAGAGGTGTCTGATTTGCACAGGGCCCACAGATTGGTTGGACCAGGTGTGATGTTTACATAGTGCATGGGGAAGCTGACCACCCCACCCTAATCTTCTTATGCAAATAGGCTTTCCACTTGGCTGACACCATGTTGTCTGCTCCCTGCTGCACACGTGGTTGGAAAGGAAAAGTGAAGATGGAGCCGCCATTTGAACATGCCTAGTCCCAGGTAGCCTTTTCCTATTGGCACAACTGCTGGCATTCACTCAGGCAAGCTTCCAGCTTGCTTGTCTATGTCTGCAGCTCAATTTTACAGGCTGCTCTTTGTTAGAAAGAAAATGATTTGGGGGCTGCTTTTCATTAAAAGGAAAACCTTACCAAGGACTTCTTTACTCTCACTATCTGCCTAAATAATTTCTTTTTAACTCCTCTATCAGTTACAAAATCAGTTTTAAAGCACATACTGTTCTGTGATATTGGGATATCTGGACATTTTGTTGTCATAGGAGTTTATCCTTGCAGGTATTACCAAACTGCTTCCTTAGCTATCAACATCCTAGGACCATGGGTCATGACAAGCAAGGAATGTACCCTGCTAGTTTAAAGATAAACTTGATTTGCGGGGAGGGGGTGGTTTTTAGTTACATGGGTAAGTTCTTTTGTGGTGGTTTCTGAGATTTTGGTGCATCCATCATCTGAGGAGTGTACATGTACCCAATGTGTAGTCTTTTCTCCCGCACCATCCTATGACCCTACCCTCTGAGTCCCCAACGTTCATTATATCATTCTTTTGCCTTTGCATGCCCATATAAGTGAGAACACATGACATTTAGATTTCAATTCCTGAATTACTTCTCTTAGAATAATGGCCTCCAACGTCATTCAGGCTGCTGCAATTGCCGTTATTTCACTTCTTTTTGTGGCTGAGTAGCATTCTACGGTATATATATATATACACCACATTTTCTTTTTTTTAATTACACTTTTTATTTTGAGGTAATCATAGATCCACATGTAACTGTAAGAAATAGTAAAGAGGGCAGGCATGGTGGCTCACGCCTGTAATCCCAGCACTTTGGGAGGTGGAGAGAGCAGGATCACTTGAGACCAGGAGCTCAAGACCAACCTGGGCAACACAGCAAGACCCTGTGTCTTACCAATAAAATAATAATAATAATAAAGAGAAATGTCATACATTCTTTACCCATTATTCTTCAATGACATGTTACAAACTACAGCATAATATCACAAGGGACACTGACATTGATATGGTCAAGACACAGAACAGTTCTACCACCACAAGGAGCCCTCATGTTACCCTTTTATAATCACACTGACCTTTCCCCGCTTCCATGCCTAACCCCTGGCAACCACTAACATATTCTCTACTTCTATTAAACTTGTCATTTCAAGAAAGTGATATGAATGGAATCATGCAGTATGTGTTCTTTTGATATTGGCTTTTTTTTTCACTCAGCATGATTCCCTAAAGATTCAAGGATTCATTTACATTCTTGGATGTATCTATCAATAGATTGTTGGTTTTTTTGTTTTTTTGTTGTTGTTTTTTTTAATTATACTTTAGGCTCTAGGGTACATGTGCACAACGTGCAGGTTTGTTACATATGTATACATGTGCCATGTTGGTGTTCTGCACCCATTAACTCTTCATTTACATTAGGTATTTCTCCTAATGCTTTCCCTCCCCCCTCTTCCCTCCCCCAACCCCACGACAGGCCCCAGTGTGTGATGTTCTCCACCCCGTGTCCAGGTGTTCTCATTGTTCAATTCCCACCTATGAGTGAGAATATGCGGCGTTCAGTTTTCTGTCCTTGTGATAGTTTGCTCAGAATGATGGTTTCCAGCTTCATCCATGTCCCTACAAAGGACATAAACTCATCCTTTTTATGGCTGCACAGTATTCCACGATATACACCACATTTTCATTTTCCACTCATTGATTGACGGACATTTGGGCTGGTTCCATATTTTTGCAACTGTGAATTGTGCTGCTATAAACATGTGTGTGCAAGTATCTTTTTCATATAATGACTTCTTTTCCTCTGGTACATACCCAGTAGTAGGATTGCTGGATAAAATTGTAAATCTACTTTTAGTTCCCTAAGGAATCTCCATACTGTTTTCTATAGTGATTGTACTAGTTTACATTCCTGCCAGCTGTGTAAAAGTGTTCCCTTTTTACCACATCCACACCAACACCTATTATTTTTTTATTTTTCAATTATGGCCACTATTGCAGAAGTAAGGTGGTATTGCATTGTGGTTTTCACTGGCATTTCCCTGATAATTAGGGATGCTGAGCATTTTTTTATGTTTGCTGGCCATTTGTATATCCTCTTTTGAGAATTTTCTATTCCTGTACTTAGCCTTCTTTTTGATGGGATTATTCATTTTCCTCTTGCTGATTTGTTTGAGTTCCTTGTAGATTCTGGACATCAGTCCTTTGTCAAATGCATAGTTTGTGTATATGTTCTCCCTCTCTATGGGTCGTCTGTTAACTCTGTTGATTATTTCTTTTGCTATGCGGAGGCTTTTTTGCTGAATTAGGTCCCATGAATTTATTTTTGTTTTTGTTGCATTTGCTTTTGGGTTCTTGCTCATGAAGTCATTGCCTAAACCAATGTCTAGAAGGGTTTTGTTCAGTGTTATCTTCTAGAATTTTTATGGTTTCAGGTCTTAGATTTAAGTCTTTGATCCATCTTGAGTTAATTTTTGTATACGGTGAGACATAGGATCCAGTTTCATTCTTCTACATGTGAGTTGCCAATTATCCCAGCAACATTTGTTGAATAGGGTGTCATTTCCCCACTTTATGTTTTCATTTCCTTTGTCAGAGATCAGTTGACTGTAAGTATTTGGTTTTATTTCTGGGTTCTCTATTCTGTTTCATTGGTCTACATGAGTCTTTAGGGTTTTCTAGCTGTACAATCATATCATCAGCAAACAGCAACAGTTTGACTTTCTCTTTGCCAATTCGGATGCCCTTTATTTCTTTCTCTTGTCTGATTGCTCTGGCTAGAACTTTCAATACAATGTTGAAGACAAGTGGTGAAAGTGGACATCCTTACCTTGTTTCAGTTATCGGGGGAATGATTTCTAATTTCCCTCATTCAATATAATGTTGCCTGTAGGTTTGTCATAAATGGCTTTTACTACCTTCAGGTATGTTCCTTGTATGCCAACTTTGTTGAAGCTTTTAATCATAAAGCAATGCTGGATTTTGTAAAATGTTTGTCAAATGTTTTTTGTGCATGGTTAATACTAAGTGTCAACTTGATTTGGATTGAAGGATACAAAGTATTGATCCTCGGTGTGTCTATGAGGGTGTTGCCAAAAGAGATTAACATTTGAGACAGTGGGCTGGGGAAGGCAGATCCACCCTTAATCTGGTGGGCACAGTCTAATCAGCTGCCATTTAACATAAAGCAAACAGAAAAACAAGAAAAGGAGAGACACTGGCCTAGCCTCCCAGCCTACATCTTTCTCCCATGCTGGATGCTTCCTGCCCTTGAACATTGGACTCCAAGTTCTTCCCTTTTGGGACTCAGGCTGGCTCTCCTTGCTCCTCAGCTTGCAGACAGCCTATTATGTGACCCTGTGATTGTGTAAGTTAGTACTCAATAAGCATATATATATATTATATATTATATATGTTTTATATATATTATATATTATATATGTTTTATATATAATATATATTATAATATATATTATTCTATTATTATATTATTCTGTTAATATTAAATACTAACATAATATATATTATATATAAAATAATATATATATAACGTACTAACTTACATTTTGTGTGTGTGTGTATATATTCTATATATATATTCTATATATATATTCTCTATATATATTCTATATATATTCTATATATATATTCTATATCTATTCTATATATTCTATATATCTATTCTATATATTCTATATATCTATTCTATATATGTTCTATATATTCTATATATATATTCTATATATATTCTATATATATTCTATATATATATTCTATATATATTCTATATATATTCTATATATATATTCTATATATATTCTATATATATTCTATATATATTCTATATATATATTCTATATATATATTCTATATATATTCTATATATATATTCTATATATATTCTATATATATTCTATATATATATTCTATATATATTCTATATATATTCTATATATTCTATATATATTCTATATATATTCTATATATTCTATATATATTCTATATATATTCTATATATTCTATAGATATATTCTATATATATTCTATATATTCTATATATAATATATATATTCTATATATTCTATATATAATATATATATTCTATATATATTATATATATTCTATATATATTCTATATATTCTATATATATTCTATATATATTATATATATTCTATCTATATATTCTATATATATTATATATATTCTATATATATATTCTATATATATTCTATATATATATTCTATATATATTCTATATATATATTCTATATATATTCTATATATATATTCTATATATATATTCTATATATATTCTATATATATTCTATATATATATTCTATATATATATTCTATATATATTCTATATATATTCTATATATATATTCTATATATATTCTATATATATTCTATATATATATTCTATATATATATTCTATATATATTCTATATATCCGATATATATTCTATATATTCTATATATATATCCTATATATATTCTATATATTCTATATATATCCTATATATATTCTATATATTCTATATATATCCTATATATATATCCTATATATCCTATATATATCCTATATATATCCTATATATCCTATATATATATCCTACATATATATCCTACATATATATATCCTACATATATATCCTACATATATATATCCTATATATATCCTATATATATTCTATATATATATCCTATATATATCCTATATATATTCTATATATATATCCTATATATATTCTATATATATCTCCTATATATATTCTATATATATCCTATGTATATATCCTATATATATATCCTATGTATATATCCTATATATATATCCTATGTATATATCCTATATATATCCTATGTATATATCCTATATATATATCCTATATATATATCCTATATATATATCCTATATATATATATCCTATATGTATATCCTATATATATCCTATATGTATATCCTATATGTATATCCTATATATATATACTATATGTATATCCTATATGTATATCCTATATGTATATCCTATATATATATCCTATATGTATATCCTATATATATATATCCTATATGTATATTCTATATATATATTCTATATATATATTCTATATATATATTCTATATATATACTATATATATTCTATATATATAGTATATATATTCTATATGTATATATTCTATATATATTCTATATACATATATTCTATATATATATTCTATATATATTCTATATATATATTCTGTATATATATATTCTGTATATATATATTCTATATATATATTCTATATACATATATATTCTATATATATATATTCTATATACATATATATTCTATATATATATTCTATATACATATATATTCTATATATATATTCTATATACATATATATTCTATATATATATTCTATATACATATTCTATATATATATTCTATATATATATTCTATATATATATTCTATATATATATTCTATATATATATTCTATATATATATTCTATATATATATTCTATATATATATTCTATATATATATTCTATATATATTCTATATATATATTCTATATATATATTCTATATATATTCTATATATATATTCTATATATATATTCTATATATATATTCTATATATATATTCTATATATATATTCTATATATATATTCTATATATATATTCTATATATATATTCTATATGTATATTCTATATGTATATTCTATATGTATATTCTATATGTATATTCTATATGTATATTCTATATGTATATTCTATATGTATATTCTATATATATATTCTATATGTATATTCTATATATATATTCTATATGTATATATTCTATATATATATATATATATTCTATATATATATATTCTATTAGTTCTGTCCCTCTAGAAAACCTGACTAATACAGATTTTGGTAACAGGAGTGGTTCTAGAGGAACAGAATATTAAGGATGGAGTTCTTTTGTTAGTTTAGGGGTTTCTGGAGTTGGTTGCTTAATATGATTAGACCCAAAAATGCTAAGGACTCTACTTCTAATAGTGTGGAGAATGCTGATAGTCCCTGGCATGAACTGTTTAGAGAGTAACGCAAAATAAATGCATTTCACACTATTCACTGCTCCTGAGAGGCAAGTTTAGTGACTCTAACCTAATAATTTTGACCATATGTAGAGAACCAAGGAACATAATGAAGCTGGTTGGTTGCTCCTAAGTTCAGTGGACAAAGTGATAAAAGAAGATAATGAACTCAGGGATTCTGTCTCCCAGCTTCAGAAGCAGATACTGAGCCTCAAATCTGCTAAGATTGCCCCATGAGTGACAGTCTTATCTCCTGTAGAGAAAGAGCTGAAATTGTGGAAAAACAGACAAAAGCTCCTATCATGTGAGTAGCTGACCTGCGATGAAAGATGCATACACAGCCTCACCAAGTGTCTACTGTTAAAGTGAGGGCATTGATCAGAAAAGAATGAGACCCTGCAACTTGGAATGGGGATATGTGGGAGGATCCTAATGAAGCTGGGGACACTAAGTGTGTAAATTATGATGAAACTTTTTTTGCTAGAAGAATCAGCTTCCCCGTCCCTAGTATTGGCAACATCCCCTCCCCAGCCCATGCTGTCATCAGCCTTTCCACCTTTATCTGAGAAGACAAACCCTGCACTGCCTGAGGCAACAGTGATGGCCTGCCCTGAAGCAGTTGCCAGGCAAGATAATGTTGATTCTCCTCAGGAGCCACCCCTAACACCTCTGTTTGCTTCTAGACCTATGACTAGACTAAAGTCCCAGCGGTCCCCTAGAGGTGAGGTTGAGAGTGTGACCCATGAGGAGGTGCACTACACTCAAAAAGAGCTGTTTCAGTTTTCTAATTTATATCAATAGAAATGTGGAGAACAGGCATGGGAATGGATATTACAGGTATGGGATAATGGTGAAAGGAACATAGAGTTGGATAAGGCTGAATTTATTGATTTGGGCCATTAAGTAAGGACTCTGCTTTTAATGTTGCAGCTCGGGGAGTTAAAGAAGGTCGTAATAGTTTATTTTCTTGGTTAGCTGAAATATGGATTAAAAGGTGGCCCACTGTGAGCAAGCTGGAAATGTCTGATCTCCCTTGGTTTAATGTAGAGGAAGGAATTAAAAAGCTTAGGGAGATTGGGATGGTGGAATGGATTAGTCAGTTTAGACCTACTCATCCCAACTGGGAAGGTCTAGAAGATTTACCCTTGACCAGTGCCTTGTGAAATAGGTTTGTGAGGGCAGCACCTGCATCTTTGAAGAGCCCTGTAATTGCTCTTCTCTGCATGTCAGAGCTAACAGTGGGAATCACAGTACTCAACTATAAAATTTAAATACAATGGGAATAATTGGATCCCGAGGTGTCAGGGGCCAAGTGGCAGCATTCAACCATCAAAGGCAAGGTGAGTGTAGCTACCATAATGGACAGCAGAGGCAAAGTGGCAGTCATAATAGTCCAACTCATGCAGAGCTCTGGCATTGGCTAATTAATCATGGTGTTCCTAGGAATGAAATTGATAGGAAGCCTACTTCATTCCTACTTAATTTATACAAGCAGAAAACTTCTATGTGCAATGGACAAAAGACTAATTTTAATCATAAAAACAAAGAATCATGGCCCCTCAGTCAATTTCCAGACTTGAGCCAGTTTACAGACCCAGAACCCCTTGAATGAAAAGGAAGCTGGGTCTCCTTGAAGAAGGACCCCACTACATTACTGACAATTTATGCAGTGAATCTTCTTCCATCCTTCTGTGAGGAGACCTCCAGCCTTTTACCAGGGTAACTGTGCACTGGGGAGAGGAAAATGATTAGATATTTCAGGAATACAGGACACTGGCTCTGAGCTGACATTGATTCCAGGGAACCCAAAACATCATTGTGGCCCTCCAGTTAAAGTAGGAGCTTATGGAGTTCAGGTAATTAATGGAGTTTTAGCTCAGGTCTGACTTACAATGGGTACAATGAATCCCCAGACTCATCCTGTGGTCATTTCCCCACTTAATGCATTTTCCCAATTAATTTTCCCAATTAATGCATCATTTCCCCAATGCAATTTCCCCAATTAATGCATAATTGGCATAGGAATAGTTAGCAGCTGGCAGAACCCCCACACTGGCATGCTGACTGGTAGAGTGAGGGATATTATGGTGGGATAGGCCAAATGGAAGCCATCGGAGCTGCCTTTACCTGGAAAAATAGTAAATCAACAATGTCACATCCCTGGAGGTACAGAGGAGATTAGTGCCACCATGAAGAACTTAAAAGACACAGGGGTGGTGATTCAAATCACATCCCCATTCAACTCTCCCAAATGGCCTGTGCAGAAGACAGACAGATCTTGGAGAATGACAGTGGATTATTGTAAGCTTAACCAAGTGGTGACGACTCCAACTGCAGCTGCTGCACCAGATGTGGTTTCATTGCTTGAGCAAATTAACACATCTCCTGGTACCTGGTATGCAGCCATTGACTTGGCAAATGCCTTTTTCTCCATTCCTGTCCATAAGGCCCACAAGAAGCAATTTGCCTTCAGCTGGCAAGGCCAGCAATATGCGTTTACTGTCCTGCCTCAGGGGTATATCAACAATCCAGCTTTGTGTCATAATCTGATTCAAAGAAACCTTGATCACTTTCCGCTTCTGCAAGATATCACACTGGTCCATTACCTTAATGACATTGTGCTGATTGGATCCGGTGAGCAAAAAGTAGCAAACACACTGGACTTATTGATGAGACATTTGCGTGCCAGAGGATAGGAAATAAATCTGACTAAAATTCAGGGACCTTCTACCTCAGTAAAATTCTAGGGGTCCAATGGTGTGGGACCTGCCAAGATATTCCTTCTAAGGTGAAGAATAAGTTGCTGCATTTGGCTCCTCCTACAACCAAGAAAGAGGCACAATGCCTAGTGGGCCGATTTGGATTTTGGAGGCAACACATTCCTCATTTGGGTATGTTACTCCGGCCCATTTATCAAGTGACCTGAAAGGCTGCCAGTTTTGGGTAGGGTACAGAACAGGAGAAGGCTCTGCAACATGTCCAGGCTGCTGTGCAAGCTGCTCTGCCCTTTGGGCTATATGACCCAGCAAACCCAATGATGTTTGAGGTGTCAGTGGTAGATAGGGATGCTGTTGGAGCCTTTGGCAGGCCCACATAGTTGAATCACAGCAGAGGCCTCCAGGATTTTGGAGCAAGGCCCTGCCATCTTCTGCAGATAACTACTCTCCTTTTGAGAGACAGCTCTTAGCCTGTTACTGGGCTTTGGTAGAAACTGAACATTTGACTATGGGTCATCAAGTCACCATGCAACCTGAACTGCCTATCATGAACTGGATGCTTTGTGACTAATCTAGCCATAAAGTGGGTCATGCACAGCAGCATTCCATCATCAAATGGAAGTGGCATGTACATGATCGGGCTCAAGCAGATCCCGAAGGCACAAGTAAGGTACATGAGGAAGTGGCTCAGATGCCCAGGGTCTCCACTCCTGCCACCCTGCTTTCTCTTCCTCAGCCTGCACCGATGGCCTCATGAGGAGTTCCCTATGATCAGTTGACAGAGGAACAGAAGAATAGGGCCTTGTTCACAGATTGTTCTGCACGATATGGAGGCACCACCCAAAAGTGGACAGCTGCAGCACTACAGCCCCTTTCTAGGACATCCCTGAAGGGCAGCAGTGAAAGGAAATCTTCCTAGTGAGCAGTTCACCTGGTTGTGCAGTTTGCATGGAATGAGAAATAGCCAGATGTGCGATTATATACTGATTCATAGGCTGTAGCCAATGGTTTGGCTGGAGGGTCAGGGACTTGGAAGAAGCATGATTGGAAAATTGGTGACAAAGAAATTTGGGGAAGAGGTTTGTGGATGGACCTCTCTGGTCAAAACCCACAAAGATATTTGTATCCCATGTGAGTGCCCACCAATGGGTGATCTAAGCAGAGGAGGATTTTAATAATCAAATAGGATGACCCGTTCTGTGGACACCACTCAGTCTGTTTTCCCAGCCACTTCTGTCATCGCCCAATGGGCCAATGAACAAAGTGGCTATGGCAGTAGGGATGGAGGGTATACATAGGCTTAGCAACATAGACTTTCACTCACCAAGGCTGACCTGGCTATGGCCACTTCTGAGTGCCCAATTTGCCAGCAGCAGAGACCAACACTGAGCTCTCAATATGACACCATTCCTTGGGCGATCAGCCAGCTACCTGGTGACAGGTTGATTATTGGACCTCTTCCATTATGGAAAGGGCAGAAGTTTGTCTTCACTGGAATAGACACTTACTCCGGATATGGGTTTGCCTATCCTGCATGCAATGCTTCTGCCAAGACTACCATCATGGAGTCACAGAATGCCTTGTCCACCCTTATGGTATTCCACACAGCATTGCCTCTAACCAAGGCACTCACTTCATGGCTAAAGAAGTGCAGCAGTGGGCTCATGCTCATGGAATTCACTGGTCTTACCATGTTCTCCATCCTGAAGCAGCTGGATTGATAGAATGGTGTAATGACCTTTTGAAGTCACAATAACAATGCCAACTAGGTGACGATACTTTGCAGGGCTGGGGCAAAGTTCTCCGGAAGACTGTGTATGCTCTGAATCAGCATCCAATATAGGATAGTGTTTCTCCCATAGCCAGAATTCTCGAGTACAGGAATCAAGGATTGGAAGTGGCAGCACTCACCATCACCCCTAGTGACCCACTAGCAAAATTTTTGCTTCCTGCTCCCACAACATTATGTTCTGCTGGCCTAGAGGTCTTAGTTCCAGAGGGAGGAATGCTGCCACCAGGAGACACAACATCGATTTCATTAAACTAGAAGTTAAGATTGCCACCTGGATACTTTGGGCTCCTCCTACATTTAAGTCAACAGGCTATGAAGGGAGTTAGTGTTGGCTGGCGTGATTGACCTGGACTATCAAGATGAAATCAGTCTACTACTCCACAACAGAGGTAAGGAAGAGTATGCATGGAATACAGGCGATCCATTAGGATGCCTCTTAGTATTACCATGCCCTGTGATTAAGGTCAATGGGAAACTACAACAGCCCGATCCAGGCAGGACTACAAATGGCCCAGATCCCTCAGGAATGTAGGTTTGGGTCACTCCACCAGGAAAAAAAAACACAACCTGCTGAGGTGCTTGCTGAAGGCAAAGGGAATACAGAATGGGTAGTAGAAGAAGGTAGTCATCAATACCAGCTATGCCCACGTGACCACCTGCAGAAACAGGGACTGCAATGGTCATGAATATTTCCTCCTTCTTTTGCTAAAAGTCATGTTTGTGCATGTATACACTTGGACTAAGAAAATACCTTTATTTTATTTCCTTTTCCTTTATCATGTGACATAAGATTTATTGACTTCATGTCAGCATTTAAGTTTTATTAACTTTATGTAATAGTACTTGGGGATTGGTGCGTTTCTGGTTGTACGAAGGATCATTGTATTATGTTGGTGTAATTATGACCTTATTATTGTCTTTGTTTGAAGATTATGTATGATCTCAGGAGATGAGTATGGGTTCAAGTTGACAAGGGGTGGACTTGTGATGGTTAATACTGAGTGTCAGCTTGATTAAATTGAATGATACAAAGTATTGATCCTGGGTGTGTCTATGAGGGTATTGCCAAAAGAGATTAACATTTGAGACAGTGGACCAGGGAAGGCAGATCCATTCTTAATCTGGTGGGCACAGTCTAATCAGCTGCCAGCAAATATAAAGCAAGAAGAAAAACTTGAAAAGGAGAGAGACTGGCCTAGCCTCCCAGCCTACATCTTTCTCCCATGCTGGATGCTTCCTGCCCTCGAACATCAGATTCCAAGTTCTTCAGTTTTGAGACTCGAACTGGCTCTCCTTTCTCCTCAGCTTGCAGACAGCCTATTGTGTGAACTTGTGATTGTGTAAATTAATACTTAATAAACTCTTATATATATATATACACACACACACGTATATGTGCTATTAGTTCTGTTCCTCTAGAGAACCGTGACTAATACATGTATCTATCGAGATAACAATATTATTTTTGTTTTTCATTCTGTTTATGTGATGTATCACATTTATTGACTTGCGTATGTTAAACCATCCCTGCATCCCTGGTATGAAACCCACTTGATCATGGTGGATTATCTTTTTGATATGCTGTTGGATGGATTAACCAGTATTTTGTTGAGAATTTTTGCATCTATGTTTATTAGGGATATTGGTGTGTAGTTTACTTTTTTGGTTATGTCTTTTCCTGCTTTTGGCTTCATAGAATGATTTAGGGAGGATGCCCTCTTTACCTTTTGAAATAGTTTCAGTAAGATTGAGACCAATTCTTCTTTGAATGTCTGATGGAATTCAGCTGTGAATTCATCTGGTCCTGGACTTTTTTTGGTTGGCAATTTTTTTTTATTGCTCTTTCAATCTTGCTACTTGTTATTGGTCTGTTCAGTTTCTGTTTTTTCCTGATTTAATCTGGAGGGTTGTATATTTCCAGGAATTTATCAATATCAATCTATTCTAGATTTTCTAGTTTGTGTGTGTAAAGGTATTCATGGTAGCCTTGAATTTCTGTGGTATCAGTTGTAATATATCCTGTTTCATTTCTACTTCAGCTCGTTTGGGTCTTTTCTTCTCTTGGTTAATTTCACTAATGGTCTATCAATTGCTTATCTTTTCAAAGAACCAGCTTTTTGTTTCATTTATCATTTTTCATGCTTCAATTTTATTTAGTTCTGCTCAGATCTTTGTTATTTTATTTCTTATGCTGGGTTTGAGTTTGGTTTGTTCTTGTTTCTCTAGTTCCTTGAGGTTTGACCTTAGATTGTCTTTTTGTGCTCTTTCAGACATTTTCATGTAGGCATTTAATGCTATGAACTTTCGTCTTAGTACTTCTTTTGCTGTATTCCAGGGTTTTAATAGGTTGTGTCACTATTATCATTCAGTTCAAAGAATTTTTAAATTTCCATCTTGATTTTAATGTTGACTCAAAGATCATTGAAGAGCAAGTTATTTAATTTCCATGTATTCACACAGTTTTGAGGGTTCCTTTGGAGTTAATTTCCAGTTTCAGTCCACTGTGGTCTGAGAGAGTACTTGATATAATTTTGATTTTCTTAAATGTATTGAGACTTACTTTGTGACCTATCATATGGTCTACCTTGGAGAATGTTCCATGTGATAATGACAAAAATGTATATTCTGCAGTTGTTGGGTAGAATGTTCTGTAAATATCTGTTAAGTCCATTTGTTCTAGGGTATA
Source organism: Homo sapiens (assembly GCF_000001405.40). NCBI lineage: Eukaryota > Metazoa > Chordata > Mammalia > Primates > Hominidae > Homo > Homo sapiens. The sequence continues at coordinate 2,917,559 of NT_113891.3, forward strand.
GTTTAAGTCCATTTTGTCTTTGTTGACTTTCTTGATGACCTGTCTAGTGCTGTCAGTGAAGTATTGAAGTCCCCCACTATTATTGTGTTGCCACCTATCTCATTTATTAGATCCAGTAATAATTGTTTTATAAATTTGGAACCCCTAGTGTTAGGTGCATATATATTAAGGATTGTGATACTTTCCTGTTAGACTAATCCTTTTGTCATTATATAGTGTTCCTCTTTGTCTTTTTTTTTTTAAACTGTTGTTGCTTTAAAGGCTGTTTTGTCTGATATAACAATAGCTACTCCTGCTCACTTTTGGCTTCCATTTGCATGAAATATTTCCACCCCTTTACCTTCAGTTTATGTGAGTCCTTATGTGTTAGGCATTCTCTTGAAGACAGCAGATACTCGATTGGTGGATTTTTACCCATTCTGCCAATCTGTATCTTTTAAGTGGAGCATTTAGATTATTGACATTCAACATTAGCATTGAGATGTGAGGTACTATTTTATTCATCATGCAGGTTGTTGCCTTAATACCTTGTTTTTTCCATTTCATAGTGTTGTTGAAGAGTGATGGCTAAATGTATCCAGCATAATTCGCCTACACTTAGTTTTCTAGATAATTGAGTTGGGTGGCCCCATTTTAATAATGACAAACATGAAATTCTAAATGCAATATCATCTTGGAGAGATTATTTGATTTTTTCCTATAGGAATTGTCTCCAAACTGCTTTCTAGACAGCCTCACAAAGCATCTAGAATGTATAAATTTGACTTTCATAATGCATTAATGATATGGTTTGGCTGTGTTCCCACCCAAATCTCATCTTGAATTGTAGTTCCCATAATTCCCATGTGTCATGGGAGAAATGTAGTGGGAGTTAATTGAATCATGGGGGCAGATCCCCCATGCTGTTCTCATGATAGAGTGACTCTCATGAAATCTGATGCTTTTATAAGCATCTGACATTTCCCCTGATTACACTAATTCTCTCTTCTGCTGCCATGTGACAAGGTGCCTTCTGCCATGATTATAAGTTTCCTAAGGCCTCCCCAGCAATGCGGAACTGTAAGTCAATTAAACCTCTGTTGTTTATAAATTACCCAGCCTCAGGTATTTCTTCATAGCAGTGTGAGAATGGACTAATACAGTAAATTAGTACCAGGAGTGGGGTGCTACTATAAAGATACCCAGGAATGTGGAAGTGACTTTGGAACTGGGTAACAAGCAGAGGTTGGGACAGGTTAGAGGGCTCAGAAGAAGACATGAACATGTGGGAAAGTTTGGAACTTCCTAGAGACTCAGAGGGCTCCGAAGACAGGAAGATATGGGAAAGCTTGAAACTTCCTAGAGACTTGTTGAATGGTTTTGACCAAAATGCTGATAGTAATATGGACAATGAAGTCCAGGCTGAGGTGGCCTCAGATGGAGATGAGAAACTTGTTGGGAGCTGGAATAAAGGTGATTCTTGCTACGCTTTAGCAATGAGACTGGCAGCATTTTGCCCCTGCCCTAGAGATATGTGGAACTTTGAACTTGAGAGAGATGATTTAGTGTATCTGCCAGAAGAAATTTCTAAGCAGCAAAGTGTTCAAGAGGAAGCAGAGCATAAAAGTTTGAAAAATTCGCATCCTGATGATGCAATAGAAAATAAAAACCCATTTTCTGGAGAGAAATTCAAGCCCACTGCAGAAATTTGCATCAGTAAGGGGGAGCTCAATGTCAATCACCATGACAATGGGGAAAATATCTCCAGGGAATGTCAGAGACTTTCACAGCAACCTCTCCCATCACAAGCCCAGAGGTCATCCTTAAGTGAAAAAATCAACCACAGGAGATGACATGATAATAGGCTTATTACAGTAGAGGAAGGTACAAAGTGTTTCTCATCATTGGTGTGTTTGTTAAAATGGGGAGGGGTTACTGAGTGAGTGGGCAGTGGGTGGTGGTGGTGACAACCACATTCTCTCACTGTGGCCCAACACTTTTGAAGCAGTTTCCCATTTCTCCATTAGATGTGTCTTCTCCACATGCAGAAAATGTAGTCTCATAGCTTCCCTATTGGGTGCTGGACTGTTGGCATTTCATTATTTTTTTTAAATCAAAGACATGGATATCTTTTTTCTTAGTTGATTTCTAGGACTTCAAGGTTATTTGGGGGAAGAAGTTGCTTGAGGAGGCTCCTGGGTGGACCATGGAGTCCCTCCTAGGGATTTATTTGGTGCTCCTGGTGTGGGTGACTATCTCCCTGAGTCCCAAAAGACAGCACATTCTGCCGGGTACCCAGAGGTGGGGACAGATGCTAACAGCTCCATCTTATAAGTGCAACATGAAATTTAAGGTCAGGGAATCTCTTAACTTTTCTTGAAGGACCTCATATTTAGCTTCTTGACTCAAAATCATTTGTGGATTTGAACAGGTTTCCTCTGCAATGTACTCTCTGGAGGGGAATACATTGAAAATACAGTTCATTTTCAGATACTCAATGGGATTGAAAAGTTGAATTGTGTGCTTTCTTGCAGTGAGCACAGAGGAATTTGCTGTCCCATGCCACTGGGACATTTTTAGGAGCACCATTCTCTTCCAGAGGGCTTGAGTAAGGTCAGTGAGGAATTAACATGTAGCATATTGGCAACTCCAGGGTTGAGCAGGGAGACACACATGTTTTTCTGATGTGTGAAGTTCTGAGGGCATTTTCCAAAGTACTTGTTCACTGAGCAGGTGTTTCCACTACTTGCATTAAGTCAGGGGATATGGAAGCCACTTTTCCAGCAATCAAACTCAATGAGAAGATGAACAAGAAGTGTTCTGAAAGTAAGCAGAAAAGGCCCTTTCCATGAATTTTCCTAATTTTTAGATTTCTCTTAAACAACATGCCTGAAGTTACAACCACATCCTTCTCTAGCAGCTTCTAAATGAGAAAATCATCAAAAGGGTATTTAGTACTCAAGTGGTGGACACAGGATAAATGCTGAAAATCAGTGCTCGATTCGAAGATAGTGATGTTCCAGGATGTTGGAGTCTCTCAGGTGTCAGTAGGGAGGCGGGCCGGGAACTTCTCCCAGTAACCAGAAAGAAGAGCCTCAGGGAGATGAGGATGTCTCACAGCCAGGGACGGGACAGTAAAGGGCCCCATGTGAGTGCATCACAGGGATCTGTTCCTGTTTAGACTCCAATGCTCAGTACCCAGTGCAGAACATGGCAAGACTTCAGCAAATACATCAGTCAGCTGGATGAAGGAGGCAGGTGTGAGCCAGCAAAAAAAAGCTTGTGATTTTATTGGAGCATGAATTTAAAAGTGTTGATGAGGCTGGGCGCGGTGGCTCATGCCTGTAATCCCAGCACTTTGGGAGGCCGAGGTGGGTGGATCACGAGGTCAGGAGTACGAGACCAGCTTGACCAACATGGTAAAACCCCATCTCTACTAAAAATACAAAAATTAGCCGGGCATGGTGGCAGACGCCTGTAATCCCAGCTACTTGGGAAGCTGAGGCAGAGAATTGCTTGAACCCAGGAGGCGGAGATTGCAGTGAGCTGAGATCATGCCACTGCACTCCAGCCTGGGTGACAGAGCGAGACTCCATCTCAAAAAAAAAAAAGTGTTGATGTACCTACCTTGCAAGGAGGTAGATAGGTAGACAGAAGCATGGATAGATGGATGGATATTCTTTTTCTGTGTTTTTCTATTTCTGTTCTTTCTCTGTGTTTTGTCTCTTTCTCTTGCTCTGTCTGTATCTTCCACTGTTCCTTCATAATCATGTCTTAGCCATCATCAGTGACATCTTTTATCTGGTCTTATAAGATCTTGTCTGTCTGTTGTATTAGTAGCCACAGGACAGAAAAAGGAAAGGAGTCGTGAAAAACAAGATAAGGAAAAAGATGCTCCTGACATGGGGCATCGGGAGGATGTGTGGCCCTGAGGCTCCCGGGAGACAGGGGCTGCGCCTCACTGCAGAGTCCATCCTGCTGAACACAGAGGGGAAAAGCGCCCTGACAGCCCCGTCCGTGCTGCTCAGAAAAGACGGCTCCGTCTCCAGATCCTTCTCTCTATGTCCTTCAGTCTTGGCTCTCTAGGTACAATTTACTGCTATGAAAAGGGATTTGAGAATTCCCAGAGGAGCCTTTCAGCCTCTTTGCATGGCTCTTTCTGGCCTTTCAAAAGCGCCAGAGACATCAGAAATGAAATCGTACACACTTATTCGGAGTTTTCCACAATCATTGAAATTTCTGTGAGTGCCAAAGTTAAGTTTTTGGCAACCCCGTCAAAGCCGGGTGTGCCCAGGACAGTCAACTCAGGCGCTGGACTCTCATTCTGGTTGGATTTTATGACAGCCGTATTCGCCATAAGAATTCTAGAGCCAGACCTTGTTACTTCACAATTGCCTCACGTTGCAGGACAAGCAAATCTAGCCTGAGTCCTGTGGATTCCAGGGCTGCTCAGGAGACGCCTCCATCCTGGCGTGGATGACCTCAGGATCAGCCCCGTCTGCCCCACTCAGCCCGCAGCCTGGTCCCCGAAAGCGCTCAGTCAGAATCCGAGAGCAGTGTGGCGGCGCCCCCGTGTGGCCACAGGACTGAAGACAGAGGACCCCGCTCCCCTTTCTCCCCAGCCAGGACGTCCCAGGCTCTCCCCCTGTTCCCCGCACCTGGACGGGACTCTGCACAGAAGAGAGTCTCCCGGTCTCGTGTCAGGCTCTGAGTTCATCCAGCTTCCCAAAATCCATGTTGATATGAACGTTTTCTCCCACAACTGATTGACTGGACTTTTGTCTCAGGGCAGAGGGAGGCCTCCAGACCAAAACAGCAGGATCAGGTCTGGAGCTGACTCAACCCCAAACCCTTGCTAATGCACGACCCAGTCCCCCAGCCTCCAGGATGGGACCTTGGCCTCCTGTCCCCTCCCTTGTTCCTGCCACTGCTCCTGCAGGTGGAGGCTGCTCATCCCAGGAATCAGTCTGTGAGCTCCAACCTTGGGGCCTCGGTCCAGGAAGGAGGGAGGCTCCAGAGAGCAGAAGGGAGATGAAATGGATCATAAGAGAAGAAGGAATCATACCAAACACTGGAACTGTAGGTCAATTAAACCTTTTTCTTTATAAGGGGGGGGGAGGAAGAGGAGGAGGAAAAAGGAGGAGGGTGAAAGGAGTCAGGGAGGAGAGAAAAGTGGGAAGTGTTTCTTTAGAAGGGGTGTGTGTGTGTGTGTGTGTGTGTGTGTGTGTAGGTGTAGGTGTGTGTAAAGCAGGAGGGAGTTCCTAGGATCCTGAAGAAAAGAGAGTGAAGGACAGGGGCTAAGGGGCCCAGCCCTGGTAGGTTGAGGGCCCCACTTTCTGTGCTCGGGCCTTACTGTCCTAGCAGAGTCCAGCCCCGGGAAGCCTGGGGTCACAGCACTCGGCTTGCTGGATGGCTGCCTCTTCATTGTCTTTGACAGCAGGAGCTACCTTGCCAGGCCCAGTGGCCACAGGGTCACAGGCAGAGAGCAGGTCCCTCTGCTGGCAGCCAAGGAGGTGCTCTTGGAGGATACGTGCACAACTTAGCTGGGAGTCTGAAGATGGTGGTGGGTTACAAAGAGCTCAGCGATGAGCCTGGCCCAAGATTCTGACCCCTTGCCCTGGATCCTGAGGGTTCCACCCTTCCCTATTCCCAACAGGTCTCAAGAATTCTTCTGTTAGTCTCCTGCCCTCTTGGGACAGCCCCGCACTTCCCTCACTTTGATACCCTGGTACCCAGGCATCTGCCTCCTTCATTCTCCTCCAGCTACCCAAGCACCCCCAGGCCCTGCTCTCTGCCAACCCTGATCCCTGAACTCCAGCACTTTCCAAACCCACCCCCGAATTGCTGGATAATATAGTGGTTCTATTTTTAGATTTTTTAAAACTCTCCATACTGTCTTCTATAGTGGCTGTACTAATTTAAATTCCTATCAACAGCGTACAAGAGTTCCCTTTTCTCCACATCACCAGCATCTGTTATTTTATTTTATTTTATTTATTTTATTTTTGTCTTTTCAGTTGTGGCTATTCTATCTGGGGTAAGATGACATCTCATTGTGGTTTTGATTTGCATTTCCCTAATGATTAGTGATGTTGAACATTTTTTTATGTATCTGTTGGCCATTTATATTCTTCTTCTGAAAAATATTTATTCATGCCCTTTGCCCACTTTTTAATAAGATTGTTTGGTTTTTTAATTCTTGAGTTGTTTGAGTTTCTTATAGTATTCTGGATATTAGTCCCTTGTCAGATAAATTGTTTGAAAATGTTTTCTCCTGTTCAGCAGATTGTCTCTTCACTCTGTCAATTGTTTTATTTGCTATGCAGAAGCTTTTTTAGTTATTATAGTCCTATTTGTCTGGTTTTATTTGTGTTTTCTATATTTTTGAAGTCTTAGCCATAAAACCTTTGCCCGGACCACTGGCCTAGAATGTTTCCCCTGTTTTCTTCCAGTTGTTTTATAGTTTCAGGTCTTTCATTTTATTTAAGTCAACTTGAGTTGATTTTTAATAGGGTGAGAGATAAGAATCTAATTTCATTCTTCTGCATACGGGATATCCATTTTCCCAGCCCTTTTACTGAAGAGGGTGTCCTTTTCCCAAATGTGTGTTCTTGGCACCTTTGTTAAAAGTCAGTTGGCTGTAAATATATGGATTTATTTCTGCATTCTCTATTATGTTCCATTGATTGGCATGTCTGTTTTTATATCAATACCATTCTGTTTTGGATACTATAGCCTTGTAATGTATTTTAAAGTCAAGTAGTGTGATGGCCCTAGCTTTGTTCTTTTTGCTCAGGATTTCTTTGGCTATTTGGACTTTTTAAAAATGTTTTGGGTCCATAGAAATATTAGAATTATTTTTTCTAATTCTGTGGAAAAATAACCTTGGTATTTTTGTTGGAATTCCCTTGAATCTTTAGATTGCTTTGGGAACTATGGTCATTTTACTAATATTAATTCTTCTGATTCATGAGCATGGAATATCTTTCCATTTGTTTGTGTCCTCTTCTTTCTTTCATCAGTGTTGTATAGATTTATTTTTAAGAGATCTTTGACTTCCTTGCATAAACTTATTCCTAGGCATTTTTTTCTAGTTATCGTAAATGGAATTGCTTTTTTGATTTCTTTCTCAGCTACTTCATTAATAATGTATAGACATTATACTGATTTTTGTATGTTGATTTTGCATCCCACAACTCTACTGAATTTACTTATCATATCTAATAGTTCTTTGATGGAGTCTTCAGATTTTTCTAGAAATAGGATCATTTCATTGGCAGGGAGGGGAGAGAGGCTGAAGGTTAAGCTGATGGCCAATGATTTAATGAATCATGCCTAAGAAATATGACTTCCATCAAAACCCAAAAGGGCAGGGTTTGGAGAGCTTCTGGATAGCTGAACACAGGGAAGCTAACAGGAGGTGAACAAGAACTCAGCCATGTGCCAGAGAGGGTGGCGCATCCCAACCCCATGGGACAGAAGCTCCTGCACTGGAAACCCTTCTCACCTTGCCCTATGTGTCTGTTCATGGGGCTCTTTGTGTCTTTTAAAATATCTTTTTAAATAAACTGGTAAATATATGTAAGTGTTTTCCTGAGTTCTGTGAGCCATTCTAGCAAATTAATCAAACCTGAGAAACAGGTTATGGGAACACTGATTTAAAGCAAGTTAGTTAGAAACACGGGCAAAATGGCTTGAGACTGGCATCAGGAGTGGGAGGCTTGAGACTGGCATCAGGAGTGGGAGGGGGACAGTCATGGGGACTGAGCTCTCAACCCATGGGATGCGATGCTATCTCCAGGGAAAGAGTGGCAGAATTCAGTTAGAGGACACCCAGCTGGTGTCCATCACAGAACTGATTGCTTGTTTGTTGGAGAAATTCCCTACATTTGGTCAGAGAAGTCTTCTGTGTTGATAGTTGTTGTGGTGTGAGAGCAGTGGAAAACAACGTGAGATTTTCCACACTCAGAGTGGATCTAAATGTTGAGTTGCTTTTAAATTTGACTTAGTCGTGGCCTGACTAAACAGGATTAGATGTGAGAAATTTTTTGGTATAATGTATAGGAAGGAACTAAAGGCTGATGAGGATGGGAGTGTTGGAATAGATGTTCTGTGCATGAGTACCCCCTTCATCCTCTCTGTCTCCCAAGAACCAAAAAATACTCTCTCTGCAGCTTTAACAAATACTGGTTTGGAAGAGAGTGACTGCGTTTTTCAAAGTTCTAAATGGCTATGATTGCAGGACCTTTGTGATGCTCAGGAATGTCCTGATGTCAGCGGAGATGAAGGAAAACCAGAGATTCAAAAGTCAAAGGAAAGGGCCATTTACCATAATTCATATCATACATATTTCCTGGAAAAAAAAGAAAAATTCCTTGGGGAAAAAGCATCAAAATCATCAGGAAGTCTTCCACACAGAAATGACTTCATTAATTTGATCTCTGTCATTCTTTCTTTTCATTCATGTATTATTATCCATAGAGATTTCTATCCTGTGGGTTTTTTATTTAATTTTTGTTTGTTTGGTTTTTTCAGACACAGTGAGACCCTGTCTCAAACAAACAAACGTCACAGGCTGCAGTGCAGTGGCACAATCATTGCTCACTGCAGCCTCGACCTCCCTGTCTGAAGCAATCCTCCAGCCTCAGCCTCATGAGTAGCTGAAACTACAGGAACATGCCACCATGCCCAACTAATTTTTTAAAAAATTTTTTTGTAGAGATGAGGTATCACTATGTTGCCGAGGCTGGTCTCAAACTCCTGGGTTCAAACAATTCACCCACCTTGGCTCCCCAAAATGCTGGGATTACAGGCCTGAGCCACGTACCCAGCCTCTATCCCATGTTTTGATTCATCATCATCTCCTAAGCCCTTTCCCAGCATCGATAGTCTACTAAACATGCCATGATTAAATTATATCTCTATACCTTGATATAAACAAAAAATTATATGAGCAGTAAAGACAAATATGAAAAAGTAAAATTACTGCCAAAGTTATTAGGAGGATAACCTAAATTATTTGGGTAGGAAAATCTTTCTATTTTATTTTTTTTTCCAGCCAGGGTCTCATTCTGTCACTCAGGCTAAATTACAGTGGCCCGATCATGGCTCACTGCAGCCTTGACCTCCCAAGATTCAGGTGATCCTCTTGCCTCAGCCCCCTGAGTAGCTGAGACAACAGGCATGTGAGACAATGCCTGGCTCCTTTTTATATTTTTAGTATAGATGGGGTTTTGCCATGTTTCCCAGGCTGGTCTCAAACTTCTAGGCTCAAACGATCCACCCACCTCAGCCTCCCAAAGTGCTGGGATTACAGGCATGAGGCACTGTGCCAGCCTCTTTTTTTTTTCTTCACATCTGCTGGAATGGAAAATATTTCTTAAATGAGACACAAATGTATCAAATTGAAAATGTTTAAACTTCAAAGGACTTACATACATATACAGTCATTCTTCGCTCAATGGTGAGATAGCTTCTGAGAAATGAGTCCTTAGGTGATTTTGTCATGTGTGGACATCATAGAGTGTCCTTACATGAACCTAGATGGTATAACCTACTTCACACCTAGGCTACGTGATAAGCCCATTGCTTCTAGGCTACAAATTATATAGCATGTTACCGTATGGAACATTGCAGCCAATTCTAACACAATGGTAAGTATTTGTGGATCTAAGCATGTGTAAACAGAGAAAAGGTACAGTAAAAATGTGATTAATAAAAAGATCTTTAAAATGGCGTATCTGTCTAGGACACTTACCATGAATGGAGCTTGCAGGACTAGAAGTGCCCTGGGTGAGTGAGTGAGTGAGTGGTGAGTGAATGTGAAGGCTAGGGCATTACTGTACACTACTTAGACTTTATAAACTTAGGCTACACTAAATTGATTTTAACATTTTCTTTCTTTAATAATAAATTAACTTATTAATAATTAACTAATAATTTTATTATTTATTTATTAACAATTAATAACTAATTAATAATTAGTTACCATAGCTTTCTGTAACCTTTTGAACTTTTTTGTTTTATTATTATACTTTAAGTTTTAGGGTACATGTGCACATTGTGCAGGTTAGTTACATATGTATACATGTGCCATGCTGGTGTGCTGCACCCATTAACTCGTCATTTAGCATTAGGTGTATCTCCTAATGCTATCCCTCCCCCTTCCTGCCACCCCACAACAGTCCCCAGAGTGTGATGTTCCCCTTCCTGTGTCCATGTGTTCTCATTGTTCAATTCCCACTTATGAGTGAGAACATGCGGTGTTTGGTGTTTTGTCCTTGCGATAGTTTACTGAGAATGATGATTTCCAATTTCATCCATGTCCCTACAAAGGACATGAAGTCATCATTTTTTATGGCTGCATAGTATTCCATGGTGTATATGTGCCACATTTTCTTAATCCAGTCTATTGTTGTTGGACATTTAGGTTGGTTCCAAGTCTTTGCTGTTGTGAATAGTGCCGCAATAAACATACGTGTGCATGTGTCTTTATAGCAGCATGATTTATAGTCCTTTGGGTATATACCCAGTAATGGGATGGCTGGGTCAAATGGTATTTCTAGTTCTAGACCCCTGAGGAATCGCCACACTGACTTCCACAAAGGTTGAACTAGTTTACAGTCCCACCAACAGTGTAAAAGTGTTCCTATTTCTCCACATCCTCTCCAGCACCTGTTGTTTCCTGACTTTTTAATGATTGCCATTCTAACTGGTGTGAGATGGTATCTCATTGGGTTTTGATTTGCATTTCTCTGATGGCCAGTGATGGTGAGCATTTTCTCATGTGTTTTTTGGCTGCATAAATGTCTTCTTTTGAGAAGTGTCTGTTCATGTCCTTCGCCCACTTTTTTATGGGGTTGTTTTTTTTTTCTTGTAAATTTGTTTGAGTTCATTGTAGATTCTGGATATTAGCCCTTTGTCAGATGAGTAGGTTGCGAAAATTTTCTCCCATTTTGTAGGTTGCCTGTTCACTCTGGTGGTAGTTTCTTTTGTTGTGCAGAAGCTCTTTAGTTTAATTAGATCCCATTTGTCAATTTTGGCTTTTGTTGCCATTGCTTGGTGTTTTAGACATGAAGTCCTTTATAAACTTTTTAAACTTTTCTACTCTTTTGTAATAGCACTTAGCTTAAAACGTCAACACGTTATACAGCTCTACAAAAATATTTTTCTTTATATTCCCATTCTAGAAGCTTATTCCTATTTAATTATCTTTACCTTTTAATCTTTTTTGGTAAAAATAAAGACATACATTAGCATAGGCTGACACAGGGTCAAGACCAACAATATCAACCATCTTCAGCCTTCACATCTTGTCCCACTGGAAGATTTTCAGGTGTAATAACACCCATGGAGCTGCCATCTCCTGTGATAACAATGCCTTCTTCTGGAATACCTCCTAAAGGACCTGGCTGAGGCTGTTTTAATTTTTTTATATATATAGAAGGAGCACACTCTAAAATAACAATAAAAAGTATAGTAAATACATAAAACATAGCATAGTCATTTATTATCATTATGAAGTATTATGTACTGTGCATAGCTGTATATGCTAGACTTTTTATAGGACTGGCAGTGCAGTAGGTTTGTTGACAGCAGCATCACCACAAACACATGATTAATGCATCGTACTATGAGGTTATGATGGCTTCATGTCACTAGGTGATAGGAATTTTTCAGGTCCATTAAACTCTCATGGGACGACAGTCATATATGCAATTCATCATTGACCCAAACATCATTATACAATGCATGACTCTATAACACAGTGGGGTGTGTGTGTGTGTGTGTTTGTATTTTGTGTGTAAGATTAACACTGAAATTGAGGTATCAACTAGGCACCAAGGTAAAAACATATTAACTTTTCCTGTGAGGTGTCAAATTACCCCATGCAGAATTTGAAATGCAAACGACCATTGGAGGCTTAGAGGTCTTCGGGTTCAAACCGTCAGAGAATAGCTCATTTTAAACTCATCCTCCCACGGTAAACAAGTATAAAAGTCACAAAAAACATACAATGCAGTTGTGCAGCCACAAAACAGCAACCAGCACAGGACTATCACCTTTTGGAGAATGGAAGTTCCTGAAAGGGAGATTCACATCCTTATCAGCTTTCTTTCCAGAAGCATTTGCCAAAATACAATGAAGAGAAATGGAACCCAAGCAGAGAAAATCAGTCTCGTCGGCAAAGGAAACAGAGATCAGAGTTCAGGCTTGGCACATTGACTGGGATTTAGGGGTAGGGTGCTGAGGGAGGGAGTTACAGACAAGAAACCCCCAAAATCTGCACTCCTGAGCTGCATATGCTCCAGATGACACTCTAAGAAGCCCACTGGAGAACAGCTTCTTGGAGATTGCATGCTAAGTAGAAATGTCACAGGCTCCATAGTGTGAGGAGATGTTGGAATTTCAGCCCTGCAAAACCTGTGTTGAGACATCAGGATGGGGAAGCCACGTAAGTGAGGACCGTGACCTTGGAGTAAGAACCACACTGAAATAGACTCACCCTAGCAAAGGCTAAAATCAAGAGTAAGCAGAATCAAAGTGGGTCTGATTTTTACTAAAGGTGATTCTTTGATAATTACCTAACTGTCAAACTATTACCAGTCTTTGGAGGAAGATAACAAAACCCAGAGCCTCTAAAATCCATCATGTAGAATATGTGCCATGCCAAGCAGCAGAGAGAATGCAGCAACTAAAGAAGAAATAATCAACAGAAGCCAACTCAAAGATGATCTGAATATTGAAGTCAGCAAACAAGGACATTCTTCAAAATATTTATGATTAATATGTTAAGGAAAATAGAGGAAAAGATGGGCAAACTATTTCAAAATTCCCAGAAAGATTAATCATAAGAAGAGAAAAAACACAAATGAACACTATGAGAAGGGACATTATAAAACTGTAGATTTTATTAAAACAAAAATAAGAGAAAGTTAGACACAACTTCATGGAAAGAGCTTTTAAAATTTAGGTATAGTGACATGAGTTCTTGAAAAAGACGGTTGAACAAAGCCAACAGAAAACTAAGTAGAAAATATAAATAATCCTATATCCATTCAGAAATTGAGTTCTAAATACATTCCTTCCCACCAGAGAAACTCCATGCCCAGATTTCTTCACCTGTCAATTCTTTCAAAAACTTTTTAAAAGGCATGTCAGCCTTATACAGTCTTCCTCTGGTACCTTTTGGGATGGGTTCTAGGGCACCTGTGGATACCAAAATCCATGGATGCTCAGGTCCCATATATAAAATAGCCTAGTATTTGCCTATTAGCTATGCACATCCTCCCATATACTTTAAATCATCTCTAGATTACTTATAATTCCTAATGCAATGTAAATTATTTGTAAATAGTTGTTACACTGTATTGCTTAGGAAATAATGACAAGAAAAATGTCTGTACATCTTCAGTACAGACATAACCACTGTAGGTACTCCTAACTACAGAGTATACATCAGCAGCAACATAACATTTTCAATCCTAAGGTTGTTGAATTCACAGATGTGGAACTCACAGACATGAAAGGCAGACTGTGTGCTATGGTTTGGCTGTTTGCCCACCCAAATCTCATCTTGAATTGTAGTTATCATAATCCCCACGCGTTGTTGGAGGGACTCGATGGGAGACAATTTAATCATGGGGGTGGTTCCCCTCATGCTGTTCTCATGATAGTGTGTTCTCACAAGACTTCATGGTTTTATAAGGGGCTTTTTCTGCTTCGGTTTGGCACTTCTCCTTGTTGCTGCCATGTGAGGAAGGATGTGTTTGCTTCCTCTTCTGCCATGATTATAAGTTACCTGAGGCCTCCCCAGTCATGCTGAACTCTGAGTCAATTAAACCTCTTTCCTTTTAAATTGCCCAGTCTTGAGTATGTCTTTATTAGCAGTATGATAACAGATTAATACACTGTCTTATATTTTTTAGATAATAAAGAGTAAACACCTTCCAACTAATTTTATGAGGCAACATAAGTCAGACAAGGACCTAAACATGACAATTATATTACAAGAAAAATAAACTCATCATCGAAATGATCTGATGAACATAGCCTCCAAAATTCCAATTAAAATATTAGTAAATAGAACCAAATAATATATGAAATGGATAACACATAATGACCAAATGGGATTTATAAGAGAAATACATGGTAGATTTAACTTCAAAATGTCAGAATAATCTACCCCAAAAATAGAGAAAAGTAGGACAACATGTGGTTATATCAATAGATGCAGGAAAACCATTTGATAAAGTTCAGTAGGCATTCATAATAAAAACTAAATAAACTAGACATAAAAGGGAACTTCCCTAACAGAATACAGTTATTTACAACAAAGAAATACAAAGAAATACCTAAATCTAAAGTCATAATTAACGAAGAAATATTAAACACTCCTCTGAGGTGGGGACAAGAGAAGGATGTCCACTATCATCACTTTTATTTAACATTGTACTGTGTGTCCAACAGCAAAAATAGATTACATAAGATATATGACTGTCTTCTTCAAGGAAAACATTATCGTGTATGAAGAAAATTTAAGAAGCTCTATGAACAGACTATTAAAAATAAGTGAATTTGGCAAGGCCAGTATAAAGCAAAAAGTAACATTTCTATACGTGAGTAATAAACAGTGAGAAGAACTGACATTCTTTAAATAGCTCTATGTACAATACCACAAAGAAACATAAATTGTAGAAATAAATATAAAAGTTATACAAAATCTCATCATTCAGAATTACAAAACATTGCTGAGACAAATTAAGTGGATAGTTATTTCATATATATGAGGAAGACAATATTGCTAAGATACCGTTTATCCACAAAGTGATCCATGGAGTCAATGCAATTGTAATAAAACTCCCAAGAGTTTTTTTTGTGGGAATTGACATGCTTCTTCTAAAATGTATACAAAAATGTGAGGAGCTTAAAATAGCCAGAACAATATTGGAAGAGAACACAATTGGAGGACTTAAACTATCAGATATCAACAGATATTTGAAAGCCACAGTGATTAGAAAAGTGAAGTATTTGTTCAGGGATAAACAAACAGGAAAAAATTATTAAAATAGAGCCCTCTCTATTTTCTTCTATGAGTTTTATAATTTAGCCCTTACATGTAGGTCTCTGATCCATTTTGTGTTGATTTATACATATGCTGTGAGGTAGGGTTTCAACTTCTTTGTTTTTTTTCTTTTGCAGAGACAGTGTCTGTGTCACCCAGGCTACAGTGCAGTGGTGCAATCAGAGCTCATGGTAACCTTGAACTCCTGGGTCCAAGCAATTCTCCTGTCTCAGCCCCTCAAAATGCTGAGATTGCAGGTGGAGTCACCACTTCCAGCCCCTCAACTTCATCCTTTAGAATGTGGGCATCCAGGTGCCCAGCTCCATTAGATGAAGAGTGTATACTTTAACACATTGAGTTGTCTTAACACCTTTACTGAGGTTCTTTGCATATATCTCTTTATGTGTCTCTGAGCTGTTGTCTAGGGCCCTTTCATTTTAATCTGAATGACTCACATTAGTATTTCTTATAGGAAAAATCTACTGGCAATGGAATCTTTCAGTTAGTTGTTAATTAACTGGAAACATCTCAATTTCTCCTTCATTTATTTTAATTTATTAATTGTGATAAAATGCACATAAAATTTACCATCTTAACCATTTGTAGTGGTAGTGTTCAGTAGTGCTAAGAACACTCACACTGTTTTGCAAACCAATCTCCAGAACTCCTTTCATATTGCAAAACTGCATATTTTCATTTTTGAAGAATAAGTCTTCTAGATATAGAACTTTTGGTTGACAGCTTTATTTTTGTAGCACTTTAAACATGTCATACCACTCTGACTTTCCTCAGTGTTTTCTGGTATGAAATTGGCTGTTAATCTCAATGAGGATCCCTTGTACATGATGCATTATTTGTTTCTTGCTGCTGTCCAAGTTCTCTCTGCTTCTATTTCAACAGTTTGGTTATAATGTTTCTTGGTTTGGATGTCTTTGAGTTTATTCTGCTTGGTAGATTCACAGATTTTTATCAACTTTGGCAAGGTTTCACCTGTTACCCTATATTTTTACTCTCTCTTTCTATCTCTCCTCTACTTTGGGAACTCCCATTATGCATCTGTCAGTCCACTTGATGCTGTACAGAGGTGTCATAGCCTCTGATCATTTCCCTTTATTTTTTTTTCTTCCTGCTCTTCAGATTGCATAATCGTAATTGGCCTATCTTCAATTTGCTGGTTCTTCTGCCTGCTAAACTCTGCATATATTAGTCAGCATGGCGGTGTCCCACAAGTCCCTTAGGCTCTGTTCACTATTTTTTGTTCCTTTTTTCATTTCTATTCCTCAAAGTCTATGATTTAAGATGACTTGGCTTCGCGTTTGCTGATTCTTTCTTCTACCTGTTCAAGTCTGCTATTGAACATCTCTAATGAATTTTTTTTCAGTAATTATATTTTCCCTTCTAGAATTGCTGTTTCCTTATTATATTTTTAATGAGTCTTTATTTGGTGAGATATTGTTCTTCTGGTTCCTTTACATATATACATATATATATACACACACATACACATATATGTGTATATATATACATATATATATATATTTACATATATAGAGAGAGAGTCCACGGTCTTTTTTATCTATTTGAGCATATTTAAACTATTGGTTTAAAGTCTTGGTCTAGTAAGTCCAATGACTTGGCTTCCTTAGGGACAGGTTCTGCTGATGTATTTTTTTCTGCAAATGGGCCACTTTCTTAAACTTCTAAATACCTCAAGAATTTTCACTGAAAACTGAACACTTTGAATACAACAATCTAGTAACTCTGGATACCATATTCTTTCCACTCCCCAGAGTTTCTTGTTGCCACTTGAGGATGGAGTTGTTTCTTAGTGACTTTTCTAAACTATTGTTAAGCTGTTCTTTGTCATGTGTGGTCACTAAAATCTATTCTGTTAGCTTCATGGTCAGCTAGTGATTTGACAGAGGTTTCCTTAAACAGCTGGAGCCAAAAAAATAAATAATTAATGCCCTCCCAGGCTTTGCAGATGGACTCTGAGTTGGGACACTTCTTCAACACTTAACCAGGCAGTTTAGACGTCCACCTTAACCTTCACTGGCTGCTTACTTGGAGGCTAAAGATCACCCAGAGGTAAAAGCCTAAGGTCATCTCAGGTCTTTTTAAAGAATGTGGGCATCCAGGGCTAAATATCCAGTGTTTAGCCCTGGCCATGTATGTGACATTCTGATTTCCTCAGTATATGCGGGATATTTTGAAAGCCATATTGCCTTATGTATCTCCATCTCCAGCCTCTACCTCCCTAGGCTTTTCAGTCTGTCTGCTGTTAACCCATCCATCATTCCATGCCCCAGGCATCTGTGACTAGTATTTGCCTTTAAATGCTTTTGACAAACATTGCTATGGAGACCTCTCCAATCTTAATAAAGTTCCAAGAGGAGTGAAGCAAAGACCAGCCTCTAAGCTGATCTTTTTGGGGGCTATCATGCATGTCAAAGGACACAAACACAATTCTTTGAAAAGAAAGTTCATTTTGCCTTTTCTGGCATCAGGAAACTACACCAGGAATGTGGGACACCGTCCCCATGGCTGCCTCATAGCTGAGGGTGTGGGGGTGGGAGTGAGTAGGTGGCTAAGGAATAGTGGCACATGCTCTCCTACCAAAATCTAGAGCTCCTTTTTCATTAAGCACTACTTTGGTTGTTGTAAAAAAAAAAAAAATTCATAGACTCCAGAGTACAGAAAAACTTAATTTTGATAGTTTTTTTCCAGGTTAATAGTTGCTTTAGTTGGGGAATGTGTTGTTGGAGTTCTCTACCATTTTTGGTGAAGGCATTACAGTTGTCTTTTAATAAGATTTTAAAATTATGAAAAAATCTTATGTATCTACCCATGTGCTTACCATTTCTGGTGCTCTTCATTACATATTTGCTTTTGGTATAATTTTCTTTTTGCCTGAAGGACTGAAACACTTATTACAGTTCGTGTCTGCTGGTTATGTATTTTTTCACTCCCTATAAGTCTAAAATCCCTTTTTTTATAGATATCTTTAGAGTCTGTTAAGTAGCTTGATGCAATCATTACACATGGTATACATATATCAGTACATCACACAGTACCTCATGAATGTATTATTATATGTCAATTAAAATTATACATATATATATGTTTTTAAAAGGTTTTTTTTCTGGAAATAGAATCTAGTTTGACAGCAGTTGTCTTTCAGAACTTTAGCGATGTTGGTCATCTGTCCCTCATTTGCATTGTTTCCAATGAAATAACTGCTGTCATCTTTATTATTCTTCTTATGTGTTGTGTTTTGTGTTTTTCATTTTTGCTTTCTGCTTTTTCAATTTTCTCTCCTTCTCTGGTTTTGAACAAATACATGTTACTCTCACTCACAACTATAAAGCGAACTTAGGAAACAATCTATAGGGAGAGTTTGTTGATGATTGGTTATACATTTTCAGAAACAGTTGTTTATTCCTTCCTTTACAAAGGCTAATTTCCTTAGAATATTATTGTATTGAAGAATGTCATAAATAATTTTATTTGTCACCTGGACCTGGTGCCAAGATACGTGGTCAAGCATTATTCTGGATGATTTTTTTAGGATGTTTCTTGGATATGATTAACATATAAATTGCTATACTTTGAGTAAAGTAGATTGACCTCTATAATGTGGACAGGCTTCATTCAATTCATTGAAGGTGTAAATTGAATGAAACACTGACCTTCCCCAAGCAAGATGGAATTCTGTCCTGGGATTTGAACTGCAGTATCAGTCACCTGACCCATAAAGAGCTGGTTGGTTTGTGTACAGCATTTGCAAGATGAATGGACAACACCCTGTTTGGAAGTCTACCCCTTTGATCAAAGAAGATAAAAACAGAACAGCTCTTGTGGGCTGAATTGCAGGGTGTTTTCTTAGCAGTGATGGAAGAATTGAACAACGATAAAAGCTCCTATGTTTTAGTTTTACTGACTTATGGGCAGTGACTGATGGCCTGGCCATATAATTAATTAAGAAAGCAGTGGAAAACTGGCCTATGAAAAGAATGCCCATATGAGACACAGTCCTATGGAAATCACTATGGTAATTTGAGGGGTGCATTAACGTAAGACATGTTGATGCCTGATATAGATTGGATGTTGTCCCCACCCAAATCTCATGTCGAGATGTAATTCCCAGTGTTGGAGTTGGGGTCTGGTGGGAGGTGACTCAATCATGGGGTGGTTTCTCATGAATGGTTTAGTACCATCCCCTCAGTGCTGTTCAATACCCATCAGAATAACTCCCTTCCAGGTTTGGAAGGTGATTGAAATCAACAAGCATTTATCTCTAAGTGCTTGCCAGGTGCACCTGTAGTCCCAGCTATGACAGTGTCTGAGGCAGAAGGATATCTTGAGTACAGGCATTTGGGTTTAGCCTGAGAAATATTTGAGTCTAGCCTGGGAAACATATCAAGACCACATCTCAAAAAAATTTACATTTGCTTGTGAAGATCACCGGGGTCTACGAAATAAGTAGACACTGAGGCTGTAGCAATGCAGAGATGGGCTGAATCAAGACATACTCCCCTTGCATCCCCCACCTCTAATAAGCACAAAATACTCAGTAAAACTGTTCTTTTTAACAAGACTGGGCACAGTGGCTCACACCTGTAATCCCAGCACTTTGGCAGGCCAAGGTGGGTAGATCACTTGAGATCAGGAGTTTGAGACCAGCCTGGCCAACATGGCGAAACCCTGTCTCAACTAAAACTACATCAATTAGCCAGGCATGGTGGTGCACGCCTGTAATTCCAGCTACTCAGGAAACTGAGGCAGGACAATGGCTTGAACCTGGGAGGCAGAGGCTGCAGTGAGCCGAGATGGCGCCACTATACTGCACCCAGGGCAACAGAGCAAGACTGTGTCTCAAAAGAAGAAAAAAAAAGAAGTATTCTCTTTAACAAGAAAAGAGACAGAGACAGAGACCAAAAAAAAAAAAAAAAAAACGTGAATGGGAGGTATTGCCACCATGTGGACCACTGAGCCACATTACACTAGGAAACACACTTGCCCAGAATGTCCAACAATGGTCAGAGAAATTTGTTCCTCAGAAGAAGAGTTTCAGAGAGAATTAAAATAGTCATTTGAAACATTGAGTGTATAAATCAGGAGCGGGGAGACATAAGCATGAAGGGCGGGCCTATACACCTTCATGAGTGTGCTCGCTCTTGACATGAGTGTGGACAAAGGAATGTCCCCACTAGAGAGTGTCCTCTTTTTCCCTGCTGGATCAGGGAAAGGTGCTGGTGTGATTCTACATACAATTCTTCCCTAAAAAATAATAAATAAATAAATAAATAAATAAATAAATAAATAAAAACAATCCTTCCCAAGGCCAGAAGACACTAGAATTATGACTATACTTTACCTCAACTTGCTTTTCTCATACCTGATGCAGTGGTCTCAGGACTAGGGATGCAAATAAAAGTCCAGGCACAGGAATTATTCCTGAGCAAGAAACCGTTAACATATTTAAAAACCATTATGCAAGACTGCCTAAGGGCCTGGAGTAGATGTGCCTTCACTGCATCTGGCAAAGTTGGAGCTAACATTGAATGCAGCTGTATTGCCTGGAAGCCAGATAGCCAACCAGTTCTCTGCCTGAATAACCCTAACCTCTATGAACTGGAATGGACTGATGGGAGACACTCGCTGTTACTAGCATGGTATAGCTCCCTGCATAGATAGGCCAGCACAGCAGGAAAACCTAATGTCCCTTCCAAAATGAGAAATATTTGGTATAAATGCAGAAGAGGAAGAATAGTAGCTGAGGTGAAATGAATGAATAAATGGGGTATGTAATGAGGAAAATCCAATATAACATGATCTCCTCAAAAGAGGTATAAACGAATGATGACATTGTCTTTTATCTCATTTTTACCAGATGTCTGAAAGGTTGAAGCCATATGTTGCTGAGACCATTGCTATTTTTGGACTGCAATGGGCGAATTGATAATGACTAAACAGGACTCTGGTAATGGGCCAGTATCTTTTTACTGCTATGATTCTTCTGCTATAGGAGATCTGTGGTTGGCCAAGCAAAGGGGCTCACATTTATAATTTCACCACTTTGAGAGGCCATGGTGGGAAGATTGCTTTTGAGGCCAACAGTTGCAGAACAGCCTGGGGCACATAATGAGACTGCATTTCTACAAAATATTTAAAAATTAGTCAGCCATGGTGGTGTGCACCTATAGTGCCAGCTGCTCAGGAGACTTGAGGCGGAAGGATCACTTGAGTCCAAGAATTTGAGGTTACAGTGAGCTATGATTGTGCCACTGCATTCTACCCTGGGCAACAGAGCAAGACATTGTCTCTAAAATAAAATAATAAATAAATAAATAGAAATTATAAGAAGAAATAATGTGGTTAAAGACCAGGAAGTGATCTGTGATCCAATAAATATATTTGGTCTTTGCCCCTAGTCCCTGACAGGCAGGTCCTAAAACGCTTGCAGTCCCTCAGTGATAAGCATGATTTTAATATGGCAATGAGATGACTATGGGGTGAGGGGCTCCTAGATAGTTTCAGGATGGAGGCTGCTTGCCAGAAACACCAGCTGTGATTAGAGGATTGGAACTTTCACTGCCATCCCCATCCTCTGGGGAAGAAAAGGGGGCTGGAAGTTGAGCTCAGTCATCAATGGCCAATGATTTCACCAATCTTGCCTACACAATGAAACTTCCATAGACACCTCTAGACAGTGAGTTTTGGAGAACTTCCCAGTTGGTGAGCACATCCGCATGTCCACGTGCTGGGAGGACGGCACACCTCATCTCCATAGAGACAGAGGCTTCTGCGCTTATATCTTTCTGTAAGGCAGACACCCTTGTTTCTAGGAGGGACCTAGGGTGGACTGTGGATCCTTTCTCTGGGGCAAATAAAAATGTAGAATCAGAAAATTCAGGCACTTTGCACTCCTCATGGGACACTCCAGCAGCACTCACATGACCATCCTGAGAATGGACAGGACACCTGAGGTGGGGAAGGGAGCACAGAACCTAGACACCAGCCTGGACACAGGCACCTGGGATAATCTCCTATTCCTTGGAAAGTTCCAGTATCTGAGGGAGGAACAGTGACTTCTGGTCCTGACCTGAGTGGAGACCGAGGGACTCAGAAGAGCTGGAATCAGACCCCCACACACACTGAGTATGAGTCAGAGAACAAGGCCTGAGAGAAAAAGTCACAGTGCCCAAGACTGCTGCAGGGGTCAAAGGGGACTGCTGATCAGTGTTCCAGGGATTTGCTCCAGATTAATCTGAGTCATGGAAAAACTGCCTTTCTTTTGTTTCTAAACAAATACCTGCAAAGACAAAAGACCACATAAATCCCCAGGTGCACAACTTTTTCAGATTTAAAGAAAAAACAACCCCCGTCTTTCCCTCCATTCCCAGGAGAAGCTCACTCTGTGGCATCAAGCTGCCTGGGTGAGCTCTCTTCTAGAAGAGTCCAGGGGGACAGGCAAGGAATGGGAGGCAGGAAGTCCAGTTCAGGGAGGGGGATTCTGGGATGAAAAGTGAAGGGAGAGGGACTGAGCCCATGCT
Organism: Homo sapiens; assembly: GCF_000001405.40. Classification (NCBI taxonomy): domain Eukaryota; kingdom Metazoa; phylum Chordata; class Mammalia; order Primates; family Hominidae; genus Homo; species Homo sapiens. Next base: position 2,940,158 of record NT_113891.3, read on the forward strand.
GAGGGTTTTTCTCTGGTTTCTCAGACAGCTCCGGGGCCAAGATTCGGGGAGACATTGAGACAGAGCGTTTGATATAAAAGAAGGCGGTAAGAGCCAAGTCCCAGGGCCCGGGGCTTGGCTCTCTGGGCTTCAGGCCCCGAGGACGGTGCCTGGGATGGGCCGGCTCAGCTTTGGGGTTTCCCGAGCTCCGCTCTCTCTCTTCCACCTTTCCCAACCTGTGTCAGGTCCTTTTACCTGGATACTCATGATGCGGCCTCAGTTCTCACTTCCATTGGGTGTTGGGTTCCTAGATCAGCCAATCAGTGTCGCCGCGGTTCCTGGTTCTAAAGTCCTCGCCGGCCCACCGGGACTCAGATTCTCCCCAGACGCCAAGGTTGCGGGTCATGGAGTCCCGAACCCTCCTCCTGCTGTTCTCGGGAGCCGTGGCCCTGATCCAGACCTGGGCAGGTGAGTGCGGGGTCGGGAGGGAAAAGGCCTCTGCGGGAAGGAGCGAGGGGCCCGCCCGGAGGAGTAAATCTGCACATATATTTAATTACAGATTACAATTACAATCAAGGCAGAAATGATCTCATTTTTACATTACAACTCTGGAAAAGGCAATAGACTGAGATGCAAGTGTGCCCCCAAGTGATGGGCAGAAGGAGAGAAGGTGTTTTGGATGCATTCTAGAACACAGGTAATCTAAGGAGAGTTGATCAAGGCCGTGGAAGAGTCCTCCAGCCACTATTGGCCATCAAAGGAGTCCTCTGTGTCCCAGGAATGGTCCTGCTTTGGTGTCCCTGGTGTGACCCATCACCCGCTGGGAACAGCCTGAGAGAAGTAGGGCCTCTGCACCAATGCTGCTGAGGATGTCAGAGCACAGGAACGAGGCCTTGGGAAATTACCTGGAAATGCGACTGAAATCTTCCTTCCTGAGGGGTCTGGGCTCTTGGAAATCAAACCCTCTCAGGTTGGGTGGCTGGACGATTCTCCTCACACTTACAATGGGACAAGGGGAACCAGGAGGCCCCCAAGGGGATCCCTGGGTTCCACACGAACTCCTCCTACCCTCATTGTGTGACAGCAGCCATGCCTCCTCCTGGGGATCAGGATCTATTACCTGTGCCTGGAGAGGAGGGGACTCCTCTTCTCACCCGCTGGTCTCTGGACACATACTGTCCAATTCCCCTGTGGCAGCTGTAATGTGTAGTTCAATGGGCACTCGTTTGTCCCCTTTTAAGGGTACCCTCCTTTAGAATCCAGGACCTTCTACCCTGCAGAGTGTGGTTTTGGGAGAGAAGTGCAAAATCCCACGACAGGTGAGTTGAAGGAATGGGATATGGAGCCACATCCACTTCCACCCCTTGGTATCTGGACCCACGTGTTCTTCCTACTGAGATTACAGAACTGTAGAGATGTCTTTGATTTTTAAAATGCACCATGTCCTGAAAGATGGCACCCTCCCACCCGCAGAGTGCTTCCTGCAAGCTGGCGTTGAGCTGTGCCTATAGAAGCTCTTTTCAACATTCTTTATGGCCAGCAGCCCTTGGTTGGTGCAGATGGTGATAGGACCAGTGGGTCCCACAGCATGGCCACACTGCACCTCCTTCGCTGTCAAGTGGGTCCCCCACGAAGATACTGCACGGAGAGCAGTGCCAAGCCTGTGGATCAGGAATATCAACAGCCCCCAGAGAGTGGTGCTGGCTGAGGGTCTGAGAGCAGGACAGGAAAACCCACCTATGGAATAGGTGCCTATCCCTGTGAAGATGAACCTCTGGCCCTTCCAGGATGGAAGGAGTGCAATGTAGTCAACTCCTCACTTAGGGTCTGGTTGGTCACCTAAAGAAATAGAGCCCTACCAGGGAAGATCATTGGGTTCAAATGCTGATGAGTAGGACATTTAGAGGTGGCAGTGTCTGGATCTACCTTGGTAGGAGGGAGTCAGTACTGTTGGACCCATAGGTAGCCTCATCCCTGCCACTGTGTTTGCTCCATTTATGTACCCATCCTACCCGGCCTGGGCTGACCCATGGGGAAGGCTGGCTAATTTCAGTGCTTCTGCTTGGTTGTTCAGGGCCATTTCAGGTTTGGGTGTTTTCTGGGGATGTTAACATGGGATTCAGGCTCAACTCACAAGAAACTTTTCCATCTCATGATGGATGCTGTTGGGCATGTCCAATGTATGACTTCATGAGTTACACAGATGCTAATTCGTAGGGGCACTTGGAATCACATGGTTGTTTTGTGTCCCATGGTCAAGCATTCTATCTTATCAGGGCCTACAGTAACATGCCAAAAGTTGCTTCCAACATATTTCTCTGCTTTGGATGGGGCATATTTCTGTGCTGTGGATGACATGGCCTTACTCCAGAATCCCAGGCCCTCCACTGTGACTCTCCTACTGGTGCTTGGTTCAGCTCCACCCCAAATCTTACCCCACCACTGGCACTTTCAGCACCAGGGGGTCTGAAGGATGGTGACTGCGCCATGGCCTGGATCTGCTGCAGTGTCCTTTCCTGTGGAGGCTCCACTCAAAGCTGGCATCCTCCTATGTCACCTAGAGTGTGGGTCAAAGCAATACACCTACATGTAGAATGTGATGTCAGAACTCAAACAGGCTCACCAGGCAGTGTGCTTCCTTCCTTGCATGAGGATGCAAGATGCAACAGTTTGTCTTTCACATTGGAAGGGACACCCCTGGATGCCCCTAACCACTAGACCTGTAAAACTTCACTGCAGTGGCCACTTCTGAATCTCTGTAAGGTTTATTTATCTTCACCCTCTGGAGAGAAGATGTTTTACCAAAGCCTCTAGTGTACCTTCCTCCTCTTACTCATCCATCCCAGTCAACATGATGTTGTCAATGAAATAAAGGAATTTAATATTCTATAGTATATCCAGGTTCTCCAGATCTCTTAAGACTGTACTATAGAGGCCTGGGGAATTATAATAGCCCTGAGGCAAACTATAAATTAAAGTGTTGTGGATCCCACATGAATCACTTTATATCCACTTTTGTGTGTGTGTGTGTGAGGCAGAGTCTTACTCTGTCACCCAGGCTGGATTACAGGTGCACACCACCATGCCTGGCTAATGTTTTGTTTCTGGTTTTGGTTTTGTTTTTGTTTTGTTTTTGGACAGAGTTTCACTCTTTTTGCCCAGGCTGGAGTGCGATGGCATGATCTCAGCTCACCGCAATGTCCGCCTCCCAGGTTCAAGTTATTCTCCTTCCTCAGTCTCCCGAGTAGCTGAGATTAGAGGCATGTGCCACCACGCCCGGCTAATTTGGTATTTTTAGTAGAGAGAGGTTTTCTCCATGTTGGTCAGGCTGGTCTCGAACTCCCAGCCTCAGGTGATCCGCCCTCCTCTGCCTCCCAAAGTGCTGGGATTACAGGCATGAGCCACCACACCCGGGCTATATCCACTTCTAATTGGAATGGAAGGGAATGCACTCACCACATCCACAGCTGCACACTGTGTGCCTGAGGCCTTATTAATCTGCTCTACCAGATATATCCAGCCGGCATGCTAGCTGCAATCAGGACTCCTACTTGGTCACATCTGGAGTAATCCCATTCATTCCTTAGTAATCCCATTCATTCCTTAGGCCCCATCAGGCTTATTTGCTAAATTACATGGAGATAATAGGCAACCCCAACACCACCCCACATCCTCCAGCTCTCTAATGGTGGTGCTACCCCCACAGCACTTGCAGTGCCTTCCACAAGATTCACCCTGGGACTTACGATCATTTTTGATTTGGCCAGAATGGAGGCAATTTCAGAGGTTTCCCTTTGGCCTTCAGCACAATGAGAGCCCTTACTCCACAGACTAGGGATGCAGTGTGGGGGTGACTCCAGCTGCCAGGGCATCAGTGTCAATTATGCACTAGGAGAATGGGGAGATAACCAGGGCTGGGTCTGTGGACTCACTGACCCCATGGTGAGCCGTGATGTGTCCAGGTTTATTTCGTGGTCTCCGTAATCCCCAATGTGAGGGGGTCATGATGATGCTGTGGGCCTCTGGGCATCAGTGTCATCTCACACCCAAAGTCAGTACTCCCCCAAGTTCTCCCTATTTCCCTTTCCCAGGGTACAGTCTCTAAAGTAAATGGCTGTAGGTCCCTTTGCACAATGGCTCAGGGAATTGACCCAGCATACACTTGCCACAGGGTTGCAGGGTCCTTCCTCCTAGGAATATGGACACCTCCTCCGTCACTGGGTTCTGAATCTGAAGCTTGGCTGAGATCTAGGCACTGAGAATGGATCATGATTTTGTATTGGTTCAAACACCCTCAGCCTCCTGCTCCTCAATTCTTGCTTTCTTATCATAGATACCAAGCAGTGCTCTTGCTGGCTGCCCTTCTGTTCTGACCCTGGAACACCACCCTCTATTAACCTTACCCACAACTGCAGGCAGGTCAAGCCCCCTCGGCTGCTCCTCTGGGGTTGCCATGGTAACCGTGTCCTCTGGCTTTTGCAGGTCACTGCCACCACTTGTTCTCTATCTCTTCAGGGCCACACCCTCTCCGTGGATATTAATGAGCCCAACTCTGGGACATCTTTTCCTACCATCACCCTCAGCCTTCAGAGAACAATACAATGAAACTTCTTAGTGATGCAGGTCCCTGTTGCCAGCACGTTCCTGAGGCTCTGGTGGAAGGTGGGCCCCCTGGGTCCTCTTATAAAGCACGGTTCCGGTGGGCTTTCCGGCCTCACGTAATGTCTCCATCCCACAGGCCAAATTCCCCCAGCCTCATTATTCCCTCTTCTACATGTTCCGGGGCAACTAAGTCAGGTCTAGCTTGTGAGATACCGGCATCATTTTTTCCCAGTCTACATGGATCACCCCAGCAGTGGGTTTGCCCCATGCCCTGGGGTCTTTGAAAAACCCATGTGATACGGTTGGCTGTGTCCCCAACCAAATCTCGTCTTGAATTTCCACGTGTTGTGGGAGGGACCAGGAGGGAAGCAATTAAATCATGGGGGCAGGTCTTTCCCATGCTGTTCTCATGATAGTGAATAAGTCTCATGAGATCTGATGGTTTTAAAAGGAGAAATCCCTTTCGCTTGGTTCTCATTCTTCTCTTATCTGCTGCCACGTGAGACATGGCTTTCACCTTCTGCCGTGATTCTGAGGCCTCCCTAGCCACATGGAACTGTGAGTCCATTAAACCTCTTTTGGTAAATTGCCCATTCTGGGGTATGTCTTTATCAGCAACATGAAAATGGACTAATACATCATGCCTTGAGAAAGTGTTCCCAAGTCAAAGGATTTTTATCTATCTAGCTTGAAATTCTGTCCCTTTGATCAAATGCCCTCAAATTCCAATCCCAGAAGTGTTCCCCAGGATCCTATGTGGACATGCCAGCTAGTTCCTGCAAAGCTCCTGAGTGGAATTCCCGCTGCATTATAAGGGTGAGGCTTCTGCAGCATCTTCCAGCGTAGGAAGTGGGAACTATTACTGGAAAAGGCGAGCCTTCTCTGCATGCCCAGAGGGTACTGGAGGGCACCCATCTGATAATGCTGTCCTAGTTTGCAGAATCTCATGTTTCCCCACCAGGGCCCTGATTTTCCACAACAGGCCTGCCTTGGCTGAATGTCAAACATCTCTGGAGGTCTGTAACCCTCACAATGATATCTTCAGCTACCATTCCACACTATCTACCCTTTCGCTACAGGAAATAAGGGCCTCTCCATGAGACACTGCAGAGGCCTCACACGTAGCCAGTGACAGCTGTTAGAATCCCTCAGATTCTCATTCTCCTTTTATAGGGCATCAACACAGCTGAGCAGTAACCAGCCAGCTTCCCTGTTGTAGGTTTTCCCTCCCACCCTGTCATTATTGTGTAGAGGCTTCTATCACACCACCTGCCATAGCACCCGGGAACCAGGGCATCTTCTCAGGTCCGTGCTGGGGATATCCACAGCAGCTCAGCTGCACCTTGTGCCATGGACTTTCTCTGTCCCCAACCAACGTGGATGGCATTCTCGGCCTGCCAGGCAGTGGGCAAGCTCAGCCCCAATCCCCGTTTTTGTCTGTGTCTATGGACCACTCCTGAAGCCACTTGTGTTGGTTAGCATCCCCTGAGGAGCAGACTGCAATACAGAATTAAATGTGCCAGGATTTATTAGGGGAAATAGCCATGTAAGAAATTGGGGAGCAAGACAGAAAAGACTGGGAAAGCCATAAGACTGTGGCGCAAGTGGCTTTTTTATTTTTATTTTTTGAGCAATCTCAGCTCACTGCAACCTCCACCTCCCAGGTGCAAGTGATTCTCATGCCTCAGCCTCCCAAGTAGCTGGGATTACATGCATGCACCACCAAACCTGGCAAATTTTTGTCTTTGTAGTAGAGGCGGGTTTTCACCATGTTAGCTAGGCCGGTCTCAAACTCCTGACCTCACGTGATCTGCCCACCTTGGCCTCCCAAAGTGCTGGGATTACAGGCGTGAGCCACTGTGCCCAACCAGACTGCAATGCAAGTTTAAACCCCAGTGAAGGAGAGAGGGAAGGAAGTTTGGCTGAAAGTATCCTAGACCCAGTGCAGGTTAAGAGAAGTTCAGTAAGGGTGAGCCCTGGAGCCTCAGTGGGCCTTTAAAGGAGGGACAATCCTGTCTTTGTTTCTCCTCTTCTCTCAATTATTGAATCGAAGAAGCCAATGGCAAGTATGGTCTGAGAGCAAACGTAGCAATAGATTTCAGGCGGCAACAGCTGGAGCATCATCAGTTGTGCTTCCTCTAGCTGAGGGGCTGGGATGTGCATTCTCAAGACTGCCACAACAATCCAGTGGGGAGAAAGGACAAAGGGTAATGATCAAAGAGAAAAAAAGGTATGAACTGATGAACTGATACCTTTAAGTAGATGAGAAGGATGATGTTTGGGACACCAGTAGAGGGACTGGCTCTGGCTGGGAGCGGGAAGGTTAACCCACAACAACCATCCATGTGGTAGAAGACCCAGCATGCAGTGCAGCTGCAAATGCATGAGCAGATGGAATCTGTGAAATTGTCTTCTAGTGTGTTCAGTTTTCTCAGTGAAGTAGGAAGCAAGGTCATCAGCTGAAGTAAGAATGCAGATAGAAGGTTGGATGTGTGAGCAGAGAGAAGGTGTGTGAGAGTCACCCAGACCAGTAGGAGGCTGAGGGTGAGCCATGCTTGGAGAGGGTGATTGCTGGTCGTGGTGGGGGGTCCCCATGAGGTTTGGGTCATGAAGTTAGAGAGAGAAGTCAGCATGCTGTGTGCTGCTTTCCAGCCTCCTTCAGCTCATGGGGGCAGGTGCAGTGTAGGCAGAGGTGGATTCCACCAGCTGTGTAGTTTTGCCAAACAAGTATGGCAACGCAAGGGAGGGGCAAGGGAGGGATGGAAATTATTTACAATAGAATTCAAAATGGCTGAAGAGGGAGGAGAGGACATCAAGGGTGAGGGACAGTGAGTAGATGGCAGGATCACTGGATTGGGAATCCCAGAGTGGGTGGAAGGATTGTTGGAATTGATGTACTACAGGGCAGACTCCAAGCCTGGAAAGCAGGCACATAGGCAATGAGTGGTTCACTGATATTACGTCACAGCATATGATAAAATGATAGTATAAGTATCCTCAGAGCCTGTGGCCTCCGTGCAAGGGGATGAGTGGAAAGATGGTCAGAGAATGGAAAGTGTGAGATAGAGAGTATGGAAGGGCTGGGGTTCTTGGCCATGATGAGACCTAGGACTCTTTAGGGGAGAACAACAACAAAGCAACAGGATCCTGGTGTCAGGGACAGACCATGGCCATGGCGGGATGATAGCAGCTCTCCTACGAAATAATGCTTATATGACAAGGGCATGAGATTCAGGCAGAGAGAGGAGAAGGTCATGGAGGAGAGGAGTCCCAGCATCTGAGAAGCCAGAGGGCGATGCATCCTCTCTGCTCTATGGGTGTTTATTGCTGCCATAAAAATTAACACAAAACAAGTGGCTTTAAACAGCATCTCTTTATCATGTCACAGTCATGTGTGTTACAATTTCAACAGTCTCATGGGGCTAAAATCAAGGTAAGGGGAGGTCTGTGTTCCTTCTGACTCTGAGGAAAAATCTACTGTCAAGCTCATTCAGGTTCTTGTCTGAATTCACTTCCTTGCAGATAGGACTGAGATCCCCACTTCCTTGCTGGCTCCTGTCCAGGGGCCACCCTTAGCTCCTAGAGCCCTCTCTCAGTTCCTCACACATATCCCATGCAACATATCCAATCCTCCTGCTTGGAACCTCTGACCTCCCCCTTCTGCGGTGTCTCCTCTGCCTTCCTCCTCTGCAGCATCTGACTCCAGCCAGAGCAGCTTCTCTGCTTTTAATGGCTTGTGAGATTTGATCGGGCCCACACAGATAGTCCAAAATAATCTTGCAATTTTAAGGTCCTTAATCTTCATCACATCAGTATTTTCCCTTTTGCCATGTAATGCAACCTACTCGTGGGTGCCCAGGATTGAGATTGGATGTCTTTGGGAACCATTACTCGGCCCATCACATCTGAGTATGTTGAAGTCACCGAGGATCAAGGAGACAGCACTGCTGGAGAGGGCGATAGTGAACCAGGAACTACAAGAGTCAGGACTGAGAGGAACGGCCTGGGGCCCACAGGGAATGGCTGCAATGAGGGGAGTGGGGCCTGAATCTGATGACAGCTTTGGGGGCTTAGGAAGGAAGGAGGCAGAAAGGTCTGAGAACCACAGTGAGGAGTGAGGATGCCACCCCACCTCTGGGCCAAGGGTACAAGGTCCCTGTGCAAACTCCCCCATGTGGGAGGACTTTGGAAGGGACCACATCCTCTGGCAGACACAGACATCGCTGGAGCTGTGAGGTCCAGGAACATCCTGAGACAGGATGTGGAGGTTTTGCTGATCATGGGCTGAGAATTCCAAGGGGCACAGCGGGAAGACTTCTGGATTTGGGAATGGGGTATGGGGAGACAAAATAGGGGTGTGCAGAGCCTTGTGGGGATGTGAATGCAGGGTGTTTGGGGGACCCAGTGTGACTGACACAAACAGGGAAAAGGCATGATGAGCTCAGTCCTGGTGGACTCAAGGCAGATGATGGTGCTGAGGCTGTGGGAGACGAGGGAGGAGGCTCAGGGGTGGCTTTCACCTGGGCTCTGTCCATGGAGGTGAGGACAGTGAGATAGTTGGGCCTCAGTGCTGTGTGGACCCTTTCTTGTCTCCCTGATGACTGGATGGAGGGCCTGGAGGAAGAGGGGTCTTAGAGGATTCACTCATGTCCCTGGGGGAGGGGGACTCACTCCAGGTCTCAGGTCTGCACTGACACATTTGTTTGTGGCTTGGGGCTGCCTGCTATAAACTATTGGGGGTTCGTCCATTTTGGAGTTATAACCTAAGGCAGAAACTCAGATGGTTCAAATGTCCTCTTCATGAAGCAATGTTATCAGCGTATAATTTAGATTGTCTTGCAAGAGTCTCATTTGTTGTTTTTCTAAATGCCTGCCAATATTGTTTGAAAATCTACAAATGTGATAAATGTATCTTCAAAGTTAACTGGTTGCAGGTTGTTTAACCTTATATGTACAGTTTCACATATGTATAAAAACAGTAGTTTGGGCCTCTTATATTCTAATAATTAAGACTTTAAGCTGTGTACACATTGCAATGCAAGTATGCGTCATGCATAACCCTAGCACTAAGAGTCAAGAGGGAAAGTACCTCTCCCCTAACATTTTACAAAGTTTCTGTGTTCTTTTTCCACTGAGTGGGAACAAGTCAGCTAGTGAGGAACATGAGGCCTTTGGCCTCATCTAAAGATACTTTAGCTACCAATTGTGAGAAGCACTGACCACCGGGAAGGCCTCCCTGCCTGGTTCCTGGACCTCTATACCATGGCAGAGGCCATCTTCCCTCCTAGTGCAGAGTGATGTCCCAGGTAGTGACCTGGTTAGCCATTGTCCACTCTCGGGCAGTTTTGCCTTCTAAGACATTGGTTTTTCTCTGAGGACCTCCCTGTTTTCAGATGATCAAAACTGGGGCCATCCACTCCCTTCTGAACCACCTCTGCCCAGTGGCCTGTGGCTGTGCCCCCAGTCACAACAGGACACCCCTTCAGAACACGCTGCAGGAAGCCGACATCTCTACACAGGCTCACACATGCACAGTGTGTGCACGGAGCTTTGGTTCTAGTTCAGGAAGAATGGGAGGAGGCTCACTAGTCCAACAGAGCTTGAGCCCTGTACCAGTGTCATATTCCAGGAGCCAGAGTTACAAGGGATACAAAGTGCCCAGACCTACCAGAGAAGGCAAACCCCTACAGCATGCAGGGCTAGACAGGGGCAAGAAACAAGGTCATTCTGGGCCAGCAAGAAGAGGGAAAGGGAAATTACAGTCATACTTCAGATATATGCAGGTTTGGCTCCAGACCATGGCAACAAAGCAAGTCACACAAATTTTTCAGTTTCCCAGTGCATATAAAAGTTATATTTACACTTGACTGTAGTCTCTTAAGTGTACAATAGCATTATGTACAAAATGAACTATGTACATACCTTAATGTAAAACTACTTTATTGCTAAAAAATGCTAACAATCACCTGAGGCTTCAGCTAATCCTAACCTTCTTGCTGTGGAGGGTCTTGCCTCAATGTTAATAATTGCTGACTGATCAGAAGGGTGGTTGCTGAAATCGCTGTGGCAATTTCTTAAAATAACACAACGAAGTTTGCAGCAAGATTATTCTCCTCACTTGGACACTTAGAGGCCATTGTAGGGTTACTAATCGGCCTGCCTTCAATATTTTTGTGTCTCACAGAATAGGGAAGGCCGGGAGAGAGAGAGAGAGTCAAGAAACCAGCCAGTTGGTGGAGAAGTCACAACATACACAACATTTATCAATAAGGTTCACCATTTTATAAGGGTGTGGGTCATGGTGTCCCAAAACAGTTACGAGAGTAACTTCAAAGATCACTGACCACAGGTCACCATACAGGTGTAATAATGAACAAGGTTGAAATACTTCAAGAATTACCAAAATGTGACACAGAGACATGAAGTGAGCACATGCTGTTGGAAAAATGGTGCCAAATAGACCTGCTTGACACAGGGTTGCCACAAACATTCGGTCTATAAATAAAAAAGCAAGAAAAAAGAAAGAAAGATGGAAAGAAAGAAAAAGCAAAGGAAAAAATGCAGTGTCAGCAAACAGTAATAAAGGAAAGCACAGTGGAAGGTGCACCTGCAAAGGGGAAATCAGCACTGAAGCAAAGTCAGGAAAAGCTTTCAAGTCAGATGGGCCTGGACCTGGGCATGAACCCTCCAGGTCCTCCCACCAGCCAGCTGAAGAGGCCTGAGCACATCTGACCCAGAGCTGGCCCCGACAGACACTTGCCCAGTGAGTGAGTGCTGAATGAAACCATCTGAGCCAGTTTCCTCATCTGCAAACCAGTGACATAATTCCTGCCTTGCAGAGTTTCAGAAGAATAAGTGAGAAAAGACACAGTGCCAAGAGAAACAGACACAAGACCTGTGGCGGGCTGGACACCAGGGCTCTAAAGCAAGTTCTGCCTAAACTGGCAAGAACATTTTTCAGGTCAGGAACAGGAGTTGTTCTGGATTCTGTCTGGGGTCAGGCTGGGAGGGAGCTGGGGGTGGCAGAGTAGGATGGGGGCAAGGGCTGTGGCAGGGCCTGGCACTGAAGTGAGGCCAAAGCCTGGAGAGAGTGGCTCCTGGTGGCTTTTGGGCAGCTCACGCAACTCCCTGCCTCACCCACTGTGTGAGTCAGCGTTCTCTAGAGGAGCAGAACTAATAGGATGTATGTACATATGTAAGGGAGTTTATTAAGGAGAATTGACTCACACGATCACAAGGTGAAGTCCCACGACAGACCGTCTGCAAGTTGAGGTGCAAGAAAGCCAGTGATGGATCAGTCCAAGTCCCAAAACCTCAAAAGTAGGGAAGCTGACAGTGCAGCCTTCAGTCTGTGGCCAAAGGTGTTTGGCTGCAGATTCCAGGACAGGACCTTCTTGTCCTCTGCAGTGACCCCCCACCTCGCCTGACTATATCTGTCCAACTTGATGGTGCCACCGAGGGTTCTGATGCAGGGAAGGAGCTGTGTGCTCTGTGTGGGAGGATGCCTTCTGCCTTTCTAGCTGGGCCTCAGGTCAGGGCTTTGAGCCTGAGCAGGGAGAGGAGATGGAAGGGAGATGGCCTTGGAGCAAACATCTGCCCCTGCCAGTGCATCCCGTAGGTATCATCCCATCCACCAGTGCCTTGGCAGGACCCCACTCACTCAACCCTCCCCCTGGTGGTAGTCCCTGGTGGTGCCTCCTCAGGACCTCCTGCCTCCAGCCGCACAAATCCCCAAGAATGGCACGTGGGTACAAGGGTGTTGGGAAGTGTCATCCTCCAGTGCTGACTTGAGTGTGTGTGTGTGGCTGCACACGTGTGTGCATGTGTGCACAAGTGGGAATTGGAGTGTGTGTACACGTGTGTAAGTGTGAGTGTGAGAGTGGAGCATGAATGTGCAGGTGCCCACAGGCAGCAGTTGGGGTGCCAGTGTCCTCACTCCTGCCTGCTTTCCTTTCTCTCCAAAACGTGACCACACAGCAACTTAGTGACTATCTAGATTTAAGTCTATCAAACAGAAGGGAAACACAACTAGGATTCCTGTAGTGTAGGGAAGGGAAATGCCTAGCCCAGCTCTCTGATTCCCCTTTTAATGGGTTTGAGCTGCAATATGGGTGCAGAAGAGCCTCCCACAGCGCCACTGGTGGTGGAGGAAATAGCCCCTCTCATTGGCCCATTTTCACGCTGCTGATAAAGACATACTGGGAAGAAAAAGAGGTTTAATTGGACTTACAATTCCACATGGCTGGGGAGGCCTCAGAATCATGGCGGCAGGTGAAAGGCACTTCTTACATGGCAGTGGCAAGAGAAAATGAGGAGGAAGCAAAAGCGGAAACCCCTGATAAACCCATTAGATCTCGTGAGACTATCACAAGAATACCACGGGAAAAACTGGCCCCAGTGATTCAGTTACCTCCCCCTGGGTCCCTCCCACAACATGTGGGAATTCTGGGAGATACCATTCAAGTTGAGATTCGAATGGGGACACAGCCAAACCGTATCACTGGATGAGAGCAATTAGATTGATGTCATGATGTATATGGGTCCATGGGAACTTGAAAAAGTCTTCCCCTTCCACCTAGTTTAACAAGATAAACAGGAAAGGAACTTCCCTTAAGGGAAGATATTGACTCTATCCCTGAAATTAAATCACAAGAAAATAAGAAATGCATGAGATCTAAACTAAGCCATTTGGGTAAACTGTCTCAGAATTTAAAGCATCAGCAGTCACAAGCTATCAGTATCAGTGACGATTCTTTCACTCCATGGTCTAGTCCAACGAGACTGGTCAGGGCTTGCCGCCTGCTCCTCGGTGCTGTCCTGGTACTTTGAAAGTATCTGTGATTCTGTGAACTGCACCGCCAGCTGCCCAACAACTTCCCTTTGCTGATCTGAGCCAGACTCTGCTTTTATGGCTTACACCCAAATAATTCAAGTTATTTTAAAAAAATAATAATAAATCAAGTTATTCATTTATGAGTTATACAGTCCCATGTGGGGAAAGGGAAGGAGAGTGAGGTAATACTCAATTTTACTACCTGCTATGCATTTATAAGTGAGATACTTCTTTTTAAAGTCATATTTTTGGATTAGAACAAACTCTGGTATATTTAAGTAAATTCCCTGAAGAATGTGAACACCGTAAGCAGGTGAGTGCATTATTCTCTGCTTCCCCTCCACAGAGCTGTGGTTCACTCTCCTCCATCCTGCCCCCTGCACTGGGGGCACCACAGAGACAGCACGGCCTGTGCTCCTGCACCACCTGCTTCTGCTTGGGTGTGGATGATAACAGGCACCTGCAGGAGATGGGAGCGTGGGGGGAGAAGTAACTCAGGGTTTTCACTTCCCTCACTCCCTTTGGACAGCTCTGCGGTTCTGTAATCATTGCCGTCCTCTACCTACAGCCACAGGCCTGCGGGGCTGCCCCTAGTGAAAGCTACAGATTTCCGTGAGTTCTGGAAACTGCTCCCTCTTCCTTGTTCTTTCAACTCAGAGATGGAAACAGTTTCCTGCCACTGATCATCCCAGGGAGCTTCAGCACCCCTTGTGGCTTTCTTAGGCCTGCCAGCACCTCTGTAATGTGTGTCTTCTTTCTTTGTCATCTCTTTCCTGCCAGGACCCTGACTGTCCCACAGAAGAAGTGACAAGAATTTATTTATGACATGACAATAACACATGTATTCATGGTGTTAATTCGATTTGTTTCATAGAGACAGCGTCTTGCTATGTTGCCCAGGCTGGTCTTCAACTCCTGGCCTCAAGCAATCCCCCTGACTTGGCCTTCCAAAGTGCTAGCATTACAGGTGTGAGCCATTGTGCCCAGCCCTTAACTTGAAAATCTGACAGTATAATAAAAGAAAAAAATAGAAGTATTCTGGAAATGGAAGAGGAAAGAAGGCTAAGGTGGAAATCATCAATCTGTGTCATCTGAGAAGCCCCACGTGCAGAGGCTGTCCCGGGACTTTAGGGGAGAACAAAAACAAAGCACCCAGGATCCTGGTGTCAGGGACAGAGCATGGCCACGGCGGAATGGTAGTGGCTCTCCTATGAAATAATGCTCATAAACATCCCTTGTGAGAAGGATCAGATCAACATATAAAAATATGCCAAATAAAGTGAAACTCAAGGCAGGAGTGGGACTGGCCATTCTCAGCCCGCGACCTCCATGGACTTGGAGAAAGGCTCAGCCTGGAGATGTGTGAGGCCTCCGACCTGGAGCAGCACCCGCCCCTAAAGACCAGGCACAAATCCCAGCACATGGAGGGATCCAGACAAATACACAAGAGATGACCACAGCAGGAGCTTTACTGAGCACAGAGCGAGGCCGCACACCACTCAGCTCCTGCCCCTCCACCTGCCCTTCTCTCCCCACCTGCCCCTGCCCCAGCACAGCAGATCCTCAGAATCCAAAAAGAGAACCTAACTTCCATGTTTTATTAATGGCTTATAATATTTTATCACATCTTCAGAAAACACTATGCAGAAGATAACTGTAGAGCAAGACATCTATTTAGGGTGAGTGAGTCACAGTGGAGATCTGGGAGGGAGACCCTGTAACCCTTTCATTCCAAGAAAAGAAAGGTCGATCCAAAGAAGGGGACCCCAGGCCTGGATATTGGGATTACATGAAAGGGGTTCTGGGGCATCAGGGGAATGGGTCCCTCTCCCTACATCCTCCCGGGGCTGTGCTTGGGAGGACAGCAGCTGGGGGAAGAAAAGTCGGGGTCCACAGAGATATAAGGGGGCTGAGAACTATCTGTGTCTTGCTTCTTGCTGGTCTGCACAAGGCAGCTCTCAAACTGTGGAGAACATGGTAATGACCAGATCCCGCTCAGCCGCTCTCAGCCTTTACACCTAGAGCATTATGGGCAGCCCATCACCATCCCCTACCTTCAAATCCAAAGATCCGTACAGCCCAAAGCTGCTCCCTGGCCTCAACTCCTGTTGGCATCAGGCCCCAAGGAAGCTGTGAGCACGTCTGCCTGGGACCCTGTCACCATCTGGAGAATGACAATAAAGGGGACCCAGCAGCCTGCAGGAGGCTGTATTTGAGGCAGGACCATGGGATGGGTGAGGCACAGGACTGTGGCTCCATCCTCTCTATTTGAGGAGTTAGAGATGAGCTGCCTCTGCCACCCCTTCCATGGTGATATTTCTAGAGTACACCCCTGTGCTGAAATTCTTATGAGGAAAGAGACCTGATGAGATGCTATGGTGAAGAGGGGCCATAAGGGTCTTGAATACCAAGTTAATTTTGCTACCAGCTGAGATTAGGAAGTGAAGCCCAGGACCCAGGAGAGGAGGAGGAGGAGATAACACAGGACCCTGTGATCACTCTCCTGGCCATCTGTGTACAGTGAGACGCTTCCCTTCGGGGTTGGGAGCACCCAGTGTCATGGTCCTGAGTGTTGCTACCCTGCTGTTCTCATCTGTGAATGCAGCCAGACCACTTTCTTCCTCTGATATAAATAACTTGGAGGATCTGTCACCAGACACCTCATATCTACATATTAATAAATTCTGTACGGTGGTTTGGCTTAATGTTTTATATGTTATAAGAAATAAGCAAAACATAGGGATGATATTTTTAGTAAAGGTATTTCAGGGTATATGAGAATCAGATTCCTAGGGCCCTGTGTACCTCATCTTGCTGTTTAAAGTCCTCATGGAGGATCAGTGGAGTGCAGAGCCCAGAAATCATCCTGAAGGCTGAAGCTCCCTGGTGAAAAGGACCCTCTCCTGCACCCTGGGGCTCAGAGGGAACAACAAAGCTCCCTCCCAGGGTCTCCAGCCTCTGGCCTATACTGTCAGCCTGCACTTTCTTGGCCTTCCTGGCTGCTAATATTCCAGTTCCCAGCAGCCTCCTCTCTCACCCTTCACCTCTTCTGACTGGGTGCGAATGGTAACTAGACCAGGCAGTGCCCTCCTTGTCAGTCTGCCTGTCTGCCTGGTTCCCTCTCAGAGTTTGTGTCTTCACTCGGTTCATCATCCCCAGCCCCAGCAGGAACAGGGAGAAGTGACTTGGCAAATGCCCCACTCAAAATGGGATCCCTCAACCAGAGACCACTTGTGAAAGTCAGTTTTCCCTGACTAAAGAAACAGGACATTTACCCTGTTAGAAGTTGATGTCTGCCAGAGACCTCCACCTGGGAAATGCTGGTTCATGGCAGGGTCTCTCTTTTAGTAAAGGGAAAAATTCCTGGCTAATTGATAGCTAATAAGTCATTTAGAATCCAGTTCATGTAAAAGGATTACCTACTTAAAGGATTAACTCCATTATAATAAGGACACACATCCCACACCGCACATCCAATGTCATTTGTGAGATTGCTTTGATTCGCTCATGTAGAATGTTACTCTGCTGCTTTGCAGAGAGGCTTGCCACACATTTCAAATCTCTGCTCCTCATTTCACACCATCTGGCTCATGAGGTGAAGGTGATGAGAAGTGTCTTCAGACAATACTCCGAGGTTTGTCTATCAGAGTCATAGTCATATATTACATATAGAGATTATTTTCTTAGAAGTTGTAATTTATTGATATGTATTTTACTCATGGCATAGATAGATACTATCCAACAATTCGTTTTTATTACCTCTACATTACACTGCTTAGGTAGCCACTACTGGTACCTCTGCATTTTCTTTCTTGTATGTGACATTAATGTATAAGATTGTATGTACATGGTGGCTTGGTTTCCAGGAATTGCTGATTAGGTAATTTAGACCATTCCTTCCACTGAGTACAATGGGAAAAGGAGGAAAACATACATATTTGAAAAATCTGGTTGAGCAAATGGATGGGCTAACAAAGCAGTGAAGATTTGCCTGGCCAGGAACCAGGAGAGGGGAGAAATCCAGAAGAGCAACTTGAGCTGTGGGGCTGCTTTTGTGGATCAGAGGCAGTAACACCTGCTCCCTGGCCAGAAGCCAACTTCCAGGATTCAGGACTCAGAATTCAGAACTTAGACGGTCCCTTGGTCTCTCTAGAATTCAGTGCTCATTTAGACCGGGCTAAGACCCTCACACTCAATGGCTGGAGGATCCAAGCTTATGGCATGACTGCCTCTGGAGCATTTCATGCTAGAGAGATCCCAACAGGTGTAGGTAAATGGTCTAGAGGGTACTAGCCGGGCTTCCATGGAACTCTGTGTAAGGCACTTCCCTGTGTTGTTACTCATGTTGGCCATGTCCTCGGGAATTTAGTGGAACGGCCATGTCGTCTTGAGTGGAAGTGAGGACGGTGAGGTGGTCCCTGGGCAGTCAGAGATTTTGTGTCCCTGCGTCCTTTCCTTCCATCTCAACCAGAGACCACTTGTGAAAGCCCAAGAACAAATGTCATTAAATGTCTGAGGCGAATCCAAGACCACCGATCCATTGCTCCCAGGAGCCTTGGGCCATGTAGCCCAGCAGTAGTGAGGTCTGTGAGGCCTTGGTCACCCCCAAAGTGTTGCCCCAAGAGGAGCTGCCGCTCGTTGCCATCAGGCACCTCAGGAGCTGGACATGGTATTCATTATAATTTCTGATGAGGAACTAGAGAGGTCTCATAGCATATAGACCTTGATCAAATTGGGTCATGGTGGAGTCAGGCAAAACTCTGCAATGACTCACAGGTACCTAAGTATAAAACAAAGTCTCAACTCAGAGCATCCATCAGAGCTTCAGGCTCAGTAGTCATTCCTTTATGCTGTTGCTGTGTTTGTACTGTGATAACTGGTGCTTGAAGGGAGGACATATAGTTACATGTTGCGGGAAAACACATGTCATTAGAAAACTTGGCATGATTTAGGGACAATTGCCTTTTCCATGGTAGATGTGGGACTCTCTGTCATCTTCACCCTGTTGTTCCAAGTGCAGAAGAGAGAGCTTCTTCCTGCTTTCAGCTGCGTGACTGACAACGGAAGCTGGAATTCAGAGAATCAGTGGCAGCCTCTGTCTCTCCAGGCCCCAACCCTGCAGGTTTAAGGAATGGACTTAGGTCTCTGGCACTTTGTTCTCAACACACATTTTCCTTCACTCATTCAGAAAAAAAATAATAATAATAGAAAATGAACCAAAGGCTGCAATTCTCATGGCACCTAGAGAACTGGAGTACGGACCAAGGTTGCCACATGCCTGTCATTGCTCCACCACACTCGGTTGCCGTGTGACCTCGGGAGAAGCTCTCTACCACTAGGGACTTTTAAACTCATCTGTGAATCCTGGATAAACACAGACATTCCGGTAACCTTACTGAAATGAAGTGAGGACCAATGAGTTGACAGGTGGAGAAAATTTTTTTTTTTTTTTTTTTTGAGACAGAGTCTTGCTCTGTCACCCAGGCTGGAGTGCAGTGGAGCGATTTCGGCTCACTGAAAGCTCCACCTCCCGGGTTCATGCCATTCTCCTGCCTCAGCCTACCGAGTAGCTGGGACTACAGGCGCTCACCACCACACTCGGCTAATTTTTTGTATTTTTAGTGGAGACGGGGTTTCACCATGTTAGCCAGGATGGTCTCGATCTCCTGACCTCGTGATCCGCCCGCCTCGGCCTCCCAAAGTGCTGGGATTACAAGCGTGAGCCTCCGCGCCCGGCCGCAGAAACAGAAAAATTTAAGTGATGGCCTTTACTCCTAGACAGGGCTTTTTTAGGAACATGCACCTTAAAAGTAGGAGGAAAACATAATGCCAGCAACACCCTGCCTAAAAGCCCCTTTAGTGATGATAATTATCATTCATCTTTCTATAAAAGCACAGCAAGACTTTCTACCTCAATATCTCAAATCAGTTAAATATATCTTCTGATCATATACCAGTGTGGACCCACATGTTTTGCTCCAAGTGAAAATGAAAAGGAATGAGAACATCTCCACCTTTGTGTGGTGACCATGGGACCACGGAGGCTTGGAAGCCAGCCTACATCTGCCCAAACTCTACATCACCTGCCATTGTCAATTTTCAATCTATCCGTTCTATGCTTTGGAATCCTACATAATTCATACTCTTGAAAAATCTCATTTTCATATGTAGGGCAGGGTAGAAAAGGTGATATCTCTGTTTTAATTTGCTAAGACTTCCATAATAAAGTGGCACAGACTGGGTAAGTTAAACAGTAGAAATGTATTATCTCCCAGTTCTGGAGGCTACAGGTCCACGATGGAATGTATTGCAGGGCTGACTGCTCCTGAGGCCTGTCTCTGGCTTACAGATGGCCATCTTCTCCCTCTATCTTGTCAACATTGGCCTCAAAATATGTGTACAGGGACACAGTTTAGCCCATAAGAGTCTGCGCCATCCTTGGCGGTGCATATTATAAGAAATAAAAGAGAATACAACCCTTTGGCTGGACTCTGTTGATATTTTGAAATGTTGGTCTTGCAATAAGAACACCACCAAAGGCCAGGCGCAGTGGCTCACGCCTGTAATCCCAGCACTTTAGGAGGCCGAGGCGGGCGGATCACGAGGTCAGGAGATCAAGACTACCCTGGCTAACACGGTGAAACCCCTTCTCTACTAAAAATACAAAAAGAAAAATTAGCCAGGCGTGGTGGTGGGTGCCTGTAGTCCCAGCTGCTCCGGAGGCTGAGGCGGGAGAATGGTGTGAACCCAGGAGGCAGAGCTTGCAGTGAGCCAAGATCTCGCCACTGCACTCCAGCCTGGGCAACAGACCAAGACTCCATCTCAAAAAAAAAAAAAAAAAAAAAAAAAGAACACTACCAAAACAAGGGAGCCGAAGTTTAGTTTTCCCTGGAAGGTGAGCACTCCCTGAGCCTGGCCGCCCCAGGGCAGCAAGACCCAGTGCTATGTAGTTCTCCAAAGTCCTATTTACTTTAGTGATTCTGATTCTGTATTTTTAACTGGGAAAAGGATTCTCTTTCAGGAAAGCAACCACTTCTGATGCTATTTAGGTATTATTCTCCTTATACTTATAGGAGAAAAAATTGATGTTAATGAACAGGAAATATTTGCCAAATTATCACACAAATAATTTTTGTATCATTTTAAAATACTCCTTATTGTACTGAGCTTGTTGGTATTTTAATAAAAATTATTGGCACATAATATTTATACATACTTTGGGGTACACATAATATTTTCATGCATGTGTAGAATGTGAAATGATTGAGTCAGGATATTTAGGATACTCATCACCTCAAGCATTTATCAGTTATTTGTGTTGGGTGAATTTCAAATCCACTCTTATAGCTATTGTGGAATACACAATACATTGTTGTTAACTACAGCCAGCCTGCTGTGCTATCGAATATTAGAATTTATTCCTCCTATTTAACTGTATCTTTGTACCCATTAAGCTACCTCGTTTTATCTCCCAGATCCCCCACACACCCTTCCCAGCTTCTGGTAACTATTATTCTGCTCTCCACCTCCATAAGATCAACTTTTTTTCAGTCCTCACATGTGAGTGAGAACATGTGATATTTGTCTTTCTTTGCCTGGTCTATTTCACTTAACATACTGACCTCCAGTTCCATCCATGTTGCTGCTAGTTATTATGAGGTAGTTCTAGCTGGAAGAATAGAGAATTAAAAGAAATCTTTGTGAAGCCCCTACCCAGGTTTGTCAATTTGTAACATTTTAATATTATTGGCTATATGTAGTATACATAGAAAATAATAGAAATATATGCAGATAGCCCTGATTCTCCACAGTTCTGTTATGCATGTGTTTCCGTTGAAACACATACAGTACAGTACTCTATGTACTGTACAGTACTACTGTACTGAGTACTGGACTGCCAGTGGGGAGAGGCGGATGTCTTGAATTTGGTGAATGCCTTTATATTGTTACAAAGTGTTTTTTTTTTTTTTGGTTGTTTGTTTTGAGACGGAGTCTCGCTCTGTCGTCCAGGCTGGAGTGCAGTGGCGCGATCTCGGCTCGCTGCAAGCTCCGCCTCCCGGGTTCACGCCATTCTCCTACCTCAGCCTCCCAAGTAGCTGGGACTACAGGAGCCCACCACCACGACCGGCTAATTTTTTTGTATTTTTAGTAGAGACGGGGTTTCACTGTGTTAGCCAGGGTGGTCTCGGTCTCCTGACCTCGTGATCCGCCCGCCTCAGCCTCCCAATGTGCTGGCGTGAGCCACCGCGCCCGGGCTACAAAGTTTTTTAAATCCTTTCGTTTGACATGATTTTAGACTTTGTAAAAATTGTTTTTTGTTGAATGTATCATTCTGTGGCTTGCTTTATCGTTTAATATGGTCTATGAGGTGAACCCACACACCCATAGAAACAGTTCATTTGTTTTCAGTGCTGGATAGTATTTATGAGAGGAATATCCCACAATTTATCTCTTCTCCTGTCAGCGACCTTTAGCTTGTTTCTGTTACAGACACTGCCACAATGAACATCCTGGGTCATCTCTCTCTGGTCCCCTGTGTGAGTTCCCCAAGATACGGATGTAGGAATGGGATTACTGTGCTTTTACCATGTGATGTTATAGGATGTCAAATTGTTCTCTGAAGAGGTTGTATCAACTCCCCCCTTTAAAATCTTCTTTGATATTTTACAGGTCAAGTTATCTTCCTCCCCAACTAGCTGCTCCGCCTCAGTCCCCCTTCATTGGCTCCTTTTGCTGTAGATGCTGGAGCACTGTGGGGTTTTACTGCCTCCCAATCACTCTAGTGTCCTCCACTCCCAGGATTTTAAATATCGTCTAGACACAGATGGCTCCCAAATATATATCTCTACATATTTCTATAATCAAAAAACTAATGGTACCAAAACAGGTACTCTGATATATTGCAGATGGGCCTGCAAACTGGAAATGTTTTCAGGAAAGGCAGTACGGCAATTTCTGTCTAAATTAAAAATGCATACACCCAGTAGTCCCACTTCTAGAAATGTGTCCAAAAATACACCTGCATTCCTGAAAAATGACTGTATTCAGAATTATATGTTGCAACCCTGTTTGTAAAATCAAAAAGGAAAGAAGAAAGAAAATGAAAGATAAAAGAAAAAATAATCCAAATATCTGTCACTAGCGGACTAGTTAAAAAAGCATTGCAAGCTGGGCACAGTAGCATTCACCTGTGAATACACTCTACTCCACTCTGGGTAACATGAGGAGGCCTCCCTACCTTCCTAAGAAAACCCAAACAAGCACTGCATATCTACACGGCAGAGTCTACAAACATTTAACACAAAAGAAGAAAGACATAGGAAACTCTTGATATTCCCTCATGGGATGGTCTCCATGATACATTGTTAAGAAGAAATAAAGCAAGGTGTAGAATAACATATAGAGTCTGCTAAAATTTGTGTGAAAAGGGACAAAGAGATATATATACACATTTATATTTGCTTGCATATGCATAAAATATATTTGGAAGAATAAGCAAGAAGATATCCCTGGTTGCCTGTTGGGGATGAGACAGGGTAAGAAAGAGACATTTTACCTTTTGAACATTTTGAATTTTGAATTTTGAACTATATCAAGAAATAAAAGATAATTCCTAGGGCAACCAAATAAACCCCAAAAAAATTCAAAATGAAAAACCTTTTAAAAACTAATAGAATTTTTTTACCTTTATTAAAATAAATTTTAAAAATTTTCTAAATATTATATTATTCCTTTAACAAGGAGGTTTACCGCCATTTTAATTCAGTACGTTGTTTTCTTTTTAATTGCATGATCTTTCTTTACATCTATCTTTTTTCCATTACAAGGTAAAATAACAGCATGATTAATTAAATGCAGTTTGTTTGGTGAAGGAAATTTTGTTCAAATCTTGGTCTAAGTGGGAAAGGGATTCTAGGGGATCCAGTGCAGCAGTTATGGGTTTCAGTATGCTCACGACGCCCTCTAGTGTTTGTGTGGGCTCATGGATGCCATATCTAGAAAACACTGGAATTCTCAAGCACACGTGACTGAAGCCATTTGCCAAATGTTCAAGGTCCTATTAATGGCCCATCTGAGTACTTGTCATACGCGGTCACCCTATCTTTGGATCAGAAGGTACACTCAGAGCTCCTAGTGTCACATCCCAGGCCCAACCTGCTGAGATTAGTCGAGGAAGGTCTGGAGGTCAGTGTCGTGAGGGGTGGGAAGACTGAGGGTGTGGGGGCCAGTTGTGGAGTGGCGGGAGCCCCAGGTGCTGTATGAAGCCGAGCCTCTGGATCACCCTGTGACCCCACATTTGGTCCCTTCCTGGGTGTCTTCCATTCCCAGGACTCCCAGGAAATAAAATGCTGCAAGATTGGGGTGGGGAGCTGTCCAGGGTGGGTCAGGTGTGGTCTCACTGATCCTACACCTCTGCCTCCCAGCCCACTCCCAGCCCTCTTCTGATATTAGAAACCAACACAGATTGCCTTAGGGTGGTGGTTCTCAAAGTGTGGTCCTGGGGGAAGCAGCATTGGCATCACCTGGGAACTTAGATATGCAATCTTCAGGGCCTGGCCTGGACCTACTGTATCAGAAACTCTGCATTTAACAAGCCCCCAGCAGAATTCTGCTTTTCAAATCAGATCTCTCTCTCTCTCTCTCTCTCTCTCTCTCTCTCTCTCTCTCTCTCTCTCTCTCTCTGTTTCAAGTCTCAATATTGAGTAGCTGTGACTTCTGGATAGTCAGGTGTCAGACACCCTTTCTTGCCAGGAGGCACCAGGCTCCTCAATCAGCTTAGTCTCATTCTTGGCCTGGCCCAGGGAAAGATGTTCACTTCCTGGATTCTGAGCAAAGCTCTCCTATCCTGGGTGCCTGTGGGGCTCCCACTTACACCACAAAACAAAGCTCAAATAATATTTTTTCTTTTATGAGATTTTTGGTATTCCTTCATTAGTCAGAGCTGAAGATCTACATATATGTCTACCAAGCAAGTGTGCATGTCCCACTAGCCAGTTTGTTAGTCTTGCCAATGCACCACAACATAGCAGCCTCTCAGTCTCTCCTTGTGAGGTGTTACCTGGAGTTCTTTGTCTCACCACCAAGAGAATTAAGGAGCGTGGATACAAAGGGTGAGGTTGGAGCAAAAGTTTAATAAGCAAAAGAAGAAAGCTCTCCCCCACGGAGAGGGGGCTTGGAAGATGGTTGCCATTTTTACAGCTGAATGCAAAGGCTTTTACAAGAAACTGATGAGGGCTGGGTGTCTCATTTGCATAAGGCACAAATTTCCGGTAGCTCCACCCCATCCTCCTAGTGCCCATGCAGGCGCTTAGCTTGAGTTACTCCATATTGCTTTGTTTCCCTGACTGCCCATGTATCGGGGGACAGAATTTTCCATTGCGGGCATGTCTGGGCAAGTCTCCTGTGCAGCCTTTCTTATTTGTGCAGCTGTGGGCATGTCTTAGGCAAGCCCCCCTGTGCAAGTTCCCTTCTCTGTGCCTGCAGGCCGTTCTTTTGTTTGAAATAATTCAACTGAGGACCCACCATAACTGCCCGCCTGACCAGTTTCTTCCTTTTTTCTCTCTCAATTTGTGTTATAATTTCCTTACTGATCTCTGCCTGAGCAAGACTGGGCATGCCTTGAGGGCAAGGAGGGTTTATTTCCTCTTACCTCAGTCCCAGCTCCTCTTAAAACAACGCCCCGCGCACAGTAGGTATTTGATAAATGTTTACCAAATGAAGGGATTGCCTGCAGTGGCTTGGCAGACAGGAAAGCAGAATGAAAACCCACAGGCCAAAAGTGGCTGGGAAAAGATTTTCCAAATCCTAGTGCTGGGCACAGGGCCCACTGAAATTCACTTTCGGAACCTTCCCATCTGTCTCGTTCTCCTCTCATCAGGATAGAGCCCACCTAGTCACACACTACCTTTCAGGACCACCTTCCAGATCAGCCAGGTACAAATCCCACCGACTTCCTGCCTGTGGCTCCAAATGCTCAGCTGAAATTCTGAGGCTAATTTCAGTGGAGTTAGAGGCTTATCCCTTAGGAGTGGCAATGGCTGGCTTTAAGATTCGAGAAGTAGTGTTTACATCTCAAAAGAGAAGACTGCTCCACCAGAAATGCAGAGTTTTGGTATATGCAGGTCCGGGGTCTTCAGGAGATAAAGAATGATAGCTCCAGGAGCGCTGGGACCCCCGTGCAGCCACCAGTCACCACAGCCTAGGCAGGGGTTGGGCTCTCACCTCGGCCCCTCCTCTGCACGCCCTGGATGTGGATGGTCCCCGAGTGTGAACTCGCCTGGGCTCTGACCCTGGGTGCTCTTCCCGCCGTTGTGGAGCCTCTGCGGGTGTGGTGCATGCACAGGGGGCTTCACAGGAGACCCGGGGCCCTTTAGAGTCTCAAGGTCAACATTCTTGGAGAATCCATGTCAGGCATTCAGGCTCTCAGGGACTCAGATGCCCAAACTATGAAAATGAGGGAATCTATCCCACTCTCTCAGGTGTGGTGAGATTCCTATTATATGACTATCGGTCATCTATACATGGATTGTACTCTCAGAGTTGCCTTTATCAGTCGGCCAATGCCTAAAACCCAAAGATGGGTCAGGCATGGTGGAGGAAGAGTTCCTTTCTTACCTTCTGAAGGTGCCATCAACAGGAATTTCTACCCTGTGGAGTCTAGAGGAGACTTTCCTTGAAGCTGAGTTGGGAATGACATTTGGACTTTTTTTTTTTTAAGAGTTAGTAACTCCGTGGAGAACCACACATTTATTTGCTTACTTTAATTCTACAGCAACATTCGAGGTGGCTTACTGCAACAAACCCAGTGTAATAAATACATACGAATTACTTTAAAATCAACACCAAGGAAAATATACATTTTAAAAGATTAAGGCTGGGGTAAAGCTGGAACATTACTAGGCGGGAAGGAACATCTGAAACATTTGCTGAAATGGAGTTGACCCTTTACCTAGCCATAGATTTGTTGCCTCACAATTTCATTGCATCTGAGCACCAGGGAGGGGGGTGGCAGTTCAGGTCACCAGTCCCTTGTTTCCTGATTCAGGATCAGTGTCCTGTTCTACACTTACAGTCAAAGCAAATTACATCGTTGTAAGATGTTTAATGATGAAGTCAAAGTCCACAGAGTCAGCAAGTAAGTGTAAAAACCTCAGGAGTCCAAGGACAGTCTACGTTTCTCCCCAGAAATGGCCTCACTATGCACTGTTGAAGGGAGAGGGTCCTTTCAAGGGGCCCCAAGATGCAGGAGCAATTGGGCTGCAGCTCTAAATAAAGATGTCCTTTCTACCTGCAGATTCCACAAAACCTCACAGGCAAATTTGGTGATCTCACCTGAGCTAGGAATTCGATTTTTTGATATTGGTTCTCTTTGAGCCATTGTGTGAGCTTTAAAATGTGACATGGAGATTTTGCTATACTGGTATTTCCTTGCTGGAATTTGACATCCACAGTGGCTCTGGCTTCCCTGTCTGGTCCCAGGAGGAAATGGAGTGTCCTACACTTTTTTTCAGCATCGCTTTGTGTAAGAAGGATCAGGAGACTTGGAGTCAGGGGCTCCTCCAATCTCACTCTCCTTCATAAAACAGTGTCCCTTAAGCTTTCTGGGGGTGAGGGCCTTGACACCGTGCTGTTCTGATGAATATAATTGTCCCAGCTCCCGAAATAAAAGCACAGGTGCACAAAATACCGACTGTTGCAAGCAATGCCAAGGTGGGGATGTTTCCTAGGTGCCAGGTTTAGCACTTTGACTTTGTATGTACACACACAGGGGCCAGGCGTTGTGGTTTATGCCCGTAATCTCAGCACTTTGGGAGGCTGAGGCATGAGAATTGCTTGAAGCCAGAAGTTCAAGACCAGCATGAGTAACAAAGCAAGACCCAGTCTCTACAAAAAAAAAAAAAAAAAGAAAAGAAAAGAAAAAAATACACACACACACACACACACACACACACACACACACACTGGGTGTGGTGGCTCCAGTCTGTAGTCCCAGCTACTCGAGAAGCTGAGGTGGGAGGATTGCCTGAATCCAGGAGTTGGAGCCTGCAATGAGCTGTGATCGGGACACTGCTCTAGCTTAGTGAGACCCTGTCTCAAAAACAAACAAACAAAACAAAACAAAATACATACACACACACAGCCAGAGCCAGCACTGAGGGAGAGGCTGGTCTCAGGGGTGGGGTCACAGGCATTTCTCAGGTCCCTCTCAGTGGTCTTTGTCTCTTTTTCCTGGAGGTGGAGGAGTCTGTACTTCATGAGGAGAAGTCCTCTGAAGAAGGCGGGAGATACTCAGGAGCGGGGTCCAGAGAGGGAAAAGGATGAGGAAGTGGAGACAAAGTGGAGGGGGCAGGGCAAGAAGGGCACATGTGAGGAATGGGGAGGGGGAGGACCTTCCAGCTGTCAGAAAGGTCCCACGCAGAATTTGGCTCTTGGTTTTTCTGCTTTATCAGGATGGATTTGGGAAACCAGCCAGAGTGGGAGATAAGGAGTCTACTTTGCAAAGGACACGTGTGAGTCTCCTCCTAGTTTGAACTCATGAGTAGCAGCTGACAGCCAGGACCCTTGTGTGGGGCGCGTGACGCCCCTTTGCAACCAGGGCGTTTTCTGCACCCCACCAGCCATCCCTCCTGGGACCACGCTGGTTCCCTCCAACCCTAACAGGGAGAGAAGGAAGGAGAGGTCTGGAGGCTTTGGGTCCTCCCTCGTGCTCCTTCTTCCTCTGCCATTTATTCCCTGAGTGTCCTTGACTTTCCTCCGCTACCCGGACCCCACTACAGCAAAGCACATCCTGCACACTGGCCTGGACTCCCTTTGTAACCACCCAGTGTGTTCACCTTGCTGACTGCCTAGACAAAGCCGATTTATCAAGGCAGGGGAATTACAATAGAGAAAGAGTAATTCATGCAGAGCCGGCCGTGCGGGAGACCAGAGTTTTATTACTCAAATCAGTCTCCCCGAAAACTCTGATCAGTTTTTAAGGATAATTTGGTGGATAGGGGGGGCCGGTGAATCAGGAGTGCTGATTGGTTGGCTCCGGTATGAAATCATAGTGAGTGGAGGCTGTTCTCTTAGGCTGAGTCAGTTCCTGAGTGGGGGGCCACAGGACTGGTTGGCAGGTCCAGATGGGGTCCTCCAGTTGTTAGAAATGCAAAAACCTGGCCTGGCGTGGTGGCTCACGCCTGTAATCCCAGCACTTTGGGAGCCCGAGGCGGGCGGATCACGAGGTCAGGAGATCGAGACCATCCTTGCTAACACGGTGAAACCCCGTCTCTACTAAAAATACAAAAAAATTAGCCGGGTATGGTGGCGGGAGCCTGTAGTCCCAGCTACTCAGTAGGCTGAGGAAGGAGAATGGCGTGAACCCGGGAGGCAGAGCTTGCAGTGAGCCGAGATCGCGCCACTGCACTCCAGCCTGGGCGACAGAGCGAGACTCCGTCTCAAAAAAAAAAAAAAAAGGAAGAAAAAGAAAAAAGAAATGCAAAAGACATCTCAAAAGGCCGCTCTGAGGTTCACAATAGTGATGTTACCTTCAAGAGTAACTGGGGAAGTTGCAAATCTTATGACCTCCGGAATAATGGCTGGTAATATTCAGAATTCCAGCCCCTCTCATCCTAACTTAATGGCTGGCGGCGTTTCATTCGTTTTAAAAGAACACTTTCCCTTTAAACTATAAATTCCTTCCCAAGGCTAGTACGGCCTATGCCCAGAAATGAACAAGGGCAGGTTAGCGGTTAGAAACAAGATAGGGTGAGTTAGGTTTGATGTCTTTCACTGTCATCATTTCCTTACTTATAATTTTGCAAAGGCGGTTTCACCTTGGCTTCAGCCCCACCCATGCAGTAACACTGTGCCCTGTCCTTCCAACCACTGCCACTAGGTGAAAGCAGAGAGAGCATCGCCCAGATGGGCTAGATTCTCACAGGCTCACTGCTAGAACGAACATTCTTGAGACTTTAGATCTAAGTCAGCCTGATTTCTGAAAGCCTTGGACCGTTTCCAAAATCAAATCAATACTCCAGGAACAAGATCTGCCTCGACTTTGTCTCCACCCAAGGACGCTATGGCAACGCAGTTTTCAAACGTGCTTTGAGAATAAATGGAACAGGGTCCCCTGTGTCCCCACTCATTTGCGTTTTCCTTTTTATTACAGCCAACCGCTTTTGTAAATATTGTTACATATCTCTCTATTCCACTGAAAACATCTCTTTCAAATGCACTTTAAGAAAGATTCAATGACATGAAAATATGAAGGATCCTCTTGAAAGAGTTTCTGGTGCTGGGTTTTAAAGAACGTTTTGGTTTTTAAAACTCTGTAACCATTTTGGTGTGGGGCTTAGCTTCGTATTTTCAAATTGAAATATTCTCTTCCTTAACGTCCGCATAAATCCAAGTTCACAATTTTTATTATTTTAAAATTTTATTTATTTTTGTTTTGGGGACAGGGTCTCCTCCTGTCACCCAGGCTGGATTGCAATGGCACAATCATAGCTCACTGCAGCCTGGAACTCCCTGGCTCAAGCGATCCTCCTGCCTCCAATTCCCAAAGAGCTGAGATTATAGGCATGAACCACTGCAACTCACCCAAATCCAAGTTTATACTAAAAGATAAAATTCCAACATTTCAGAGAAAATGAAAGTCACAAAGTTATCCCAGTCTCTGAAGTCACTGTCAAAACTTTGGTGAGGAATCTTCCAGGTTTTCCCCTACTTAAAATATATATTAATATTATGTAAGTAATATTAGCGGCATTTTCACCCAGGCTGGAGTGCAGTGGCACGATCTCAGCTCACTGCAACCTCCACCTCCCGGGTTCAAGCAATCCTCCTGCCTCAGCCTCCCGAGTAGCTGGGACTACAGGCGCCGGCCACCATGCCTGGCTAATTTTTGTATTTTCAGTGGAGACAGGGTTTCACCATATTGACCAGGCTGATCTCGAACTCCTGACCTCAGGTGATCTGCCCACCTTGGCCTTCCAAAGTTCTGGGATTACAGGCGTGAGCCACTGGGCCCAGCCTCCTTAACCTTTTAAAAAAGGTTAAAAGTATGCTGGGCACTTCTTTTCATAGCAATACTTAAAAGCGATCTTACTCTTTTTAATGACTGTATAGAATTTTATAATATAACTCTTCTTTGGGAGACAATTGAAATGTTCTTTATCTTCACTGTGGTAGTGGAGATGTGGGTGTGTACAACAGCTAAAATTCAACAAGTTGAACACTTTAAATAGATGCAGTTTATTGCATGCAAAGTATGTCCCAATATGATGATTTAAAAATATTATCGTCTTTGAGATTTGTACTTTGCTTATGTGAAACAAAACAAAACAAAAACCCTGTTCTTGTGCCCAGGAGACACACCCTGACTCATCTGGAGGTAGAGGGTCATGCTGTCTGCAACTTACCCTCACAGGCTCTGAAATAACAATAATAGCAGTATATTTACAGATTCAGAAAGAGAGAAAGCTATAGTAAAAATGTTCATAAGTAAAACTAGATAAAGGTCAAAAATAAATAATAAAACTACGTCTTTTAAATTTTATCTCTCCTTTACTTTTTCTCTCCCCTTTTCTTCCTATCTCTTCCCTCCTTTCTTAACACGTTCCCCTATCCTTCCCTCCTTTCACCACTCTCTGCACTTGATCCCCGGTGTATTCCAGCCTCCAGGCCAACACACTTCACCGCGTCCGCCTGGGGCAGGTCAGAGAAGGGACGCGAGGCGGCGCTGTCACAGCATTCTATGCGCCCCAGCGCCCTGGGCCGCGCAGGTCTTTTATCATTTCAGTGGTCACTCCCGTCTTTGACGGGGCCACACTCGGGGTGTAAATTAGGATCCTCACTGAAGCGGCGGGACCCTGAGAGGCTTTTTCCTGGCCCCTTAGTTGTGGGTTTTCCTGCGGGCGGTGGAGTCCGTTTCCATCAGAACCGCCCAGAGGCGGGCGCTGCCTTCCAGGGGTGAAGCGTTTTCGGACCCTGGAATCTGTGGGCGGCCTGCGGGAGGGGCTGAGGCGCAGTTCCCTACTCACTCAGATCCGAATCCACCGCGGTGCTGTTTCCAGCGAGTCAGATTCCAGATCGCGCTCCAGCCTGGACTCGGAATTCCTGCCCCGCGGGTCTGCATTTTCACAGCAGCAGGTGTGAGTGCCGCGCAGCTGGAGACCAGAAGCCTGAGGCAGCTCGGCCCTCCCCAGCCCAAAGTGCCGTTATTCCGTTTCTGTATCAGTAAACACGTTTCATTTTTCGGAGACCAGGGAAGGGTGATGGGTGATCCCAGTCCTCGCAGTGAATTCCGGGCCACAAAATTCAAAACGCTTGCTGGCAAAGCCGTGCGCGGTGGCTCAAGCCTGTAATTCCAGCACTTTGGGAGGCCGAGGCGGGCGGATCACCTGAGGTCGGGATTTCCAGACCAGCCTGACCAACATAGAGAAACCCCGCCTCTACTAAAAATACAAAATTAGCCGGGGGTGGCGCATGCCTGTAATCCCAGCTAGTCGGGAGGCTGAGGCAGGAGACTCACTTGAACCCGGGAGGCGGAGGTTGCTGTGAGCCGAGATCGCGCCACTGCACTCCAGCCTGGGCAACAAGAGCGAAACTCCGTTTCAAAAAAAAACAAAAAACAAAAAGCTTTCGGGCGCCGAGGGCAGCCCCGCCCTGAATTTTGTGAGCGCCCGCGCTGGGCCGTTTCTCTTTCTTTTCCGGACCCTGCAGTGGCGCCTAAAGTCTGCGAGGAGGAAGTCGCCTCTGTGCTCGTGAGTCCAGGGATCTAAGGCAAGTGCTGAGGGAGAAAACATAGTTGATGGGGCAGAGCAGAGGGGGCTGGAGGTGGGGTGGAGGGGGAGGGCTTTGAACAGAAGACCTGGGAGGCTTGGTGGGGGAGGGGACCCAGGCCTCGGCGCTGAGAAGCAACTCCCCTGGAGCTCAAGACCTTCTTGGCCTCCCCTAGCCCAGGGGAGGACTGGCTTCATGTCTCCCTGAAACCGCTTCTAAATGCCTTAGAACAAACCTTAAATATTCATTATTATTATTGAACTATTAAAAGTCTTTTTTGGAGGCGAGCTGAATGAGACCCTTTGCTGGAGCTGGCACACGGAGGAAGTCCTGGAGGGAGGGTAGACACCGTGGAGGGAAGGGCTTGGGACCTGTGTCAGGAGAGCTGGGTCCATCTCCCTCTCTGTCTCAAACTATGCTTATGATCTTTAGCAGTGAAAATAATCTCTCTAAGGTGGGGACAGGACCCCAGTCCCTGCTGTGCTTAATAAATTATGAGGATCAAAATAAATTATCAGTGAATGTGTATGGGAAGACTAAGAAATTGTTAAAGTTCTCGAATACATTACATTTTCATCCACAGAAAAGTGTAGGCTAGGGATGATAGGGGAATAGTTAGTAATGACAGGGATAGTTGAACTTAAAAAAAAAGGTTGTGAGGCCAACAAAAAAGAAATGGACACAGTTCCTGATCCTGGAGGGTTCATAGTCTAATGGGAGAGGAGGGTAGAAGATGGTAGGTGATGGCTGGGTGTGTGGCACTCGCCTCGCCTGTAGTCCCAGCTACTCAAGAGGCTGTGGTGGGAGGACTGCTTGAGCCCAGGCATTTGAGGCTGCAGTGAGCTATAATCACGCCACTGCATTCCAACTGAGTGACACAGCAAGACTCCTCTCTTAAAAAAATAAAATAAAATAAATGAAAAAAATAAGATTCAAGACAGGGCACAGTCGGTACCATCAGGAAGGTTCAAACCATGGGCTAGATCAGTAGTTCTAAAACTTGACTACACATCGGAATCACGCAGGGAACTTTAAAAGATACTAAGGTTTAGGTCCAACCTAGGTTTACTGATTTAACTGGTTGTGGCTGTGGCCTGGGAACATGGATATTAAAAACTCTCCAGGTGGTTCTACGCAGTGGCTAGGTTTGAAGACCACTGCCTAGATGTCCCAATGACTAAGAATGTGCGCTGGGGACAAGCCAATTCTCTTAGTAGAGGCTTTCCAGACAGAATTCTTATTATTGAGAATTGAGAATTCATATGCCACACATAATTTATCGTTTTAAAGTGTACAGATCAGTGGCTTCTAGCATAATCACAAGGTTGTGCCACCGTCACCACTATCTACTTGGGAAGATTTTCTTCCTTTTTTTCTTTTTTTTTTTTTTTGAGGCGGAGCCTTGCTCTGTTGCCCAGGCTGGAGTGCAGTGGCGCAATCTCAGCTCACTGCAAGCTCCGCCTCCCGGGTTGACCCCATTCTCCTGCCTCAGCCTTCTGAGCAGCTGGGACTACAGGTACCCGCCACCACGCCCAGCTAAGTTTTTTGTATTTTTAGTAGAGACGGGGTTTCACTGTGTTAGCAGGATGCTCTCCATCTCCTGACCTCGTGATCTGCCCACCTCGACCTCCCAAAGTGCTGGGATTACAGGCGTGAGCCACCGTGCCCGGACCCTTTTTCCTTTTTTTTTTTTTTAAAGGCTAGTCAAGTGAAACAGTGGGAGTGAAGATGAAACAAAAACATCTATAACTGGTTGTGATCAATTAGTTGTAAACACCACTGCACTCAGACCAGCCTAATTGGGAAGATTTTGAGGATATGCTGTGGTCTGATGGGTTCCAAGGCAGAGGTGACAGTAACCTGGAAGAGGGAGACTGCTTAGGCAGTGGCATCCTGGTGGGATAGGGTGAGGAGATCCCAGAGCCCACGTTTACTGCAACCCTGGGGAAATGTCACCAGAGAAATGGGGGTGGTGCCAGACAATAGATTGTGGGAGCTATGGTTTCCATGGTAGAGTAGAAGCATCTACCATGTGTGACATTCAGCAGATGGGGCGCTGTGGGTGGCTTGGAGCACTCTGGTTGTAACTGAGGCAGGCACAGTGTTTAGGAAGCCTGTGCAGTAATCCAGACTGAAGGGAGGGGAAAGCCTAGACTAAGACTATGGCTGTGGGATTGAAATAGCGTTGAAGGAGCTGACTTTGACTCCCGGAGATGAAGGGGAAAGAGGAAATCAGAAGGGACCAAGGATGGTGAAGTTCTTAAGAGAAACTGAGTAGGAAGAGAGGATGATGTGGTGGGAGACGTGTAGAGAGTCCTTGTAGATCTGTCACATTGAAGGGGACTATGGTCCCAGAGGTACAGATGTCCTAAAACAGGCTGGAAAAGGGAGTCTGGAGAGAGCTTGGTGTTGTAATGAACCATGGGGAGCCGCCTCGTTGGCCCTGTGATTACCCAGGAACTGAATAGAGAGGGGGCCCTGGGAGACCTCAGACACTTAGAGGATATAAGGGGGTGAAAGGGGGGACCTGGCTTTGAGTCGAAGGGAGGAGAAGGAGATTATATAGCTGAAACGTCTAAGAGAATTTGTGATCTGAGCGTTTCTACTGGGGCAAGTGCTTCTGAAAGGCAGAGGCGGCTGAGATCTGGAAACAGGTCTGCAAATCTGGTCACTGGTCTCATTGCAGTAACGCTGTGCGCGGTTGAGGGAGTGTATTGGCAGAAAAACCACGCGTTGTCTGTCCCGGAAGGAACAAGCCAGTGAGAGCCGGCCTGATGGGAGGACCGCCGAAAGGGGCTTGGTGAAGCCCGCGCTCCTTGGGGGTGGGAATGCGGGGATGGGGTGGTCGCGATGCAGGGAGGGCGACAGGGTCCAGGTCGTGCTCATAAGTTTGGAGCTGTACTCTCAGCTACTCGGGGCTGGTCCTTGATTTTGGCTGCGCTCGCGCACGCTCCCCCTTTTCTGGCCGCCAGGTCCCGCCTTCTAAATTTCCCCAGGTCTCCAGGCCGCTAGAATTTTCTCTTCTGAACGTGGCCCCGCCCTCTCCACTCATGATTGGCCAAGTTCCGGGCCTCAGTTTTCACTGGATAAGCGGTCGCTGAGCGGGGCGCAGGTGACTAAATTTCGACGGGGTCTTCTCACCGGTTTCATTCAGTTGGCCACTGCTGAGCAGCTGAGAAGGTGGCGACGTAGGGGCCATGGGGCTGGGCCGGGTCCTGCTGTTTCTGGCCGTCGCCTTCCCTTTTGCACCCCCGGCAGCCGCCGCTGGTGAGTGGGGTTCCTGGCGGTCCCCGGCGGAGCGGGAGCGGCGGGGCGTTTCCGGGGGTCCGGGTGGGTTGCCGCGAGCGCTGTGCGGTCAGGGCGGGGCTCAGGTGTGCTGTCTGGAGTGCAGGGAGCTGGACGCCGCCTGTTCCCGCCACACCTCAGCCCTGCTTTCCCATCTCCCGTCTCTTTTTTTTTTTTTTTTTTTTTTCTTTCTGAGACGGAGTCTCTGTCGCCTAGGCTGTAGTGCAGTGGCGCGATATTGGCTCACTGCAAGCTCCGCCTCCCGGGTTCACGCCATTCTCCTGCCTCAGCCTCCCTAGTAGCTGGGACTACAGGCGCCCGCCACCACGCCCGGCTAATTTTTTGTGTTTTTAGTAGAGATGGGGTTTCACCGTGTTAGTCAGGATGGTCTCGATCTCCTGACCTCGTGATCCGCCCGCCTCGGCCTCCCAAAGTGCTGGGATTACAGGCGTGAGCCACCGCGCCCGACCTCCCGTCTCCTTTCAGTCCTCCTCGGGATCGCGCATCACCCGCATTTTCTGGTCTCCTCCTGCACTTGCTCTCCTCGCCTCTCCTCCGTCTCCTCTCACTTTTCGGACAAACCAGTCCTTCTGAGGCCCCTGGGTTCCCGGGCTGCTCCTGTGAATGGCATTGGAAGGCCGTTCCAGCGCGGCCGCTGAGGCAGCCACTTCCCCCGGTGCTGGGGGCGGATCTCAGGTCCCTGAAGTCCTGTCCTCTCCCGGAGCCGATGTGTTCTCAGCTCCTGGGCCGCAGCTCCTGGAGTTGGGGCCCTCCTTTCTTGGGACCCGGAGGTGGTGCTTCTTGCTACTGTGAGGACTGTGGGGGGTCCTGACTCTCAAGCTGAGGGGTTGGAGTCTGCAGGCTCCGGGCAGAGGATTCTTCCTGCGACTTCTGTCATCCCCAGCTCATTCTCCCCTCGCCTCCGGCTCCGGGGGTCCTCTCCTCTCTCGCATCCCACCCCTACTAATGACCAATGATCTAAGGACACCAGATTCCCTCTCACCTCCTCCCTGCCCATCTTACGGCGCCCTGGGTCCTTTTGCTCTCCCAGCTCCCTGCTACCCCTTCCTGTGTGCTGTTCTCTGATCCATTTCTAGAGTGTCCTCTGCCTTCATCCCCCGCCCCCGCCACTGAAGGTCCCTCCTGCCTCCTTTATGGGCCTTTCCTGCAAGCAGCCTTCACTCCGTGCTGCCCCTATGCCTCCCCATTCCCAAATGTCCCTGACTCTAACTTTCTGGTGCTGCCTTTTGTCCGGGGGGGTCTTCCCTCCATCCCACTCCCCTCCAGACCCCTAAGGAGAGCCCTGATGCTAATGGCAGTTGGGCCTTAGGCAGGGCGCAGGGCAGCGCAGATGCCCCCTCCCCTCCAGTGCAGGTGCCTGCTCTGGGCCCTGCCTCATTGTGGCCCCTTCCCCACTCCTTCATCCTCAGCCTCACCCTCTTGAGGACCCCACCCTCCAGCCCACAGGTGCTGGACCATCCCTCCCTGGTCCCTCCGCCCCTCTCCACCTTGGGACCTTGTGCTGCTCCTATCTCTTGCCCAGCTGCCTGGGGCCCTCAGCAAGTTCTCATCTTTCAGTGGGAAAGTGGGAGTGCTGGAGCATATGACAGTGCTGAGAATCTTTCCCAAGCCCCACCCTCCCCCAGAGCACCCTCCCCTCCTGTCCTCACCCTACCCCAAGTTCTCCCACAGTCACTCCTGCCCCATGCTCATGCCGCCCTCCAGTTCTTGCTCTGCCCATCTCCCCTCCCCAACCCAGACCTAAAACAGGCTGTTGGGCCAGCTGTTCCTTGACCTTCCTTCTTTTCTTTTGGTTCCTTGACCCCAGTGGGCTCTCACTCCCCACACCGCATATCTAAAATCT
Source organism: Homo sapiens (assembly GCF_000001405.40). NCBI lineage: Eukaryota > Metazoa > Chordata > Mammalia > Primates > Hominidae > Homo > Homo sapiens. The sequence goes on from NT_113891.3 coordinate 2,977,486, forward strand.
GTTTTGCCTGCTCTTGGGGTGCCACTGCTCCCCCTCCAGCATTACTCCTTTTGGCAGGTCCTTCCTCAGGCTGAGAATCTCCCCCTCTACCTTGGTTTTCTCTCTCTGGCCAGCACCCCCACCCCTTGCTTTGTTTTTAATTTTTAACTTTTGTTTGGGTACGTAGTAGATATGTATGTATATATTTATGGGGTACATGGGATATTTTGACACAGGCCTACAATATGTCATAATCACATCAGGGTAAATGGGTTATCTATCACAACAAGCATTTATCCTTTCTTTGTGCTACAAACAATCCCATTATGCTCTTTCAGTTATTTTTAAATGTACAATAAATTATTGTTGGCTGTACTCACCCTGCTGTGCTATCTACTAGATCTTATTCATTCTAACTATATTTTTGTACCCATTAACCATCCGCACTCCCCCACTCCCCACTACCCTTCTCAGCCTCTGGTAATCGTCATTCTATTGTCTCTCCCCATGAGGTCCATTGTTTTAATTTTTGGCTGCCACAAATAAGTGAGAACATGCGAAGTTTGTCTCTCTGGGCCTGGGGCTTATTTCACTTCACATGATGACCTCCAGTTCTTTGCAAATGACATGGTGGCTGAATAGTACTCCACATACACGTGTGCACCACATTTTCTTTCTCCATTCGTCTGTTGATGGACACTTAGGTCGCTTGCAGATCTTGGCTATTTTGAATAGTGCTGCAATAAACATGGAAAAGTAGATAGCTCTTTAATATACCGATTTCCTTTCTTTTGGGTATATGCCTAACAGTGGGAGTGCTGGAGCATATGACAGCTCTATTATATTTTTAGTTTTTGGAAGAACCTCCACATTATTTCCCACAGTGGTTATACTAGTTTACGTTCCCACCAACAGTGTACAAGGGTTCTCTTTTGCTACATCCTCGCCAGGATTCCTTATTGCCTGTCTTCTGGATAAAAGCCAGTTTATCTGGGGTGGGATGATATCTCGTAGGAGTTTTGATTTGCCTTCATCTGATGACGAATGATGTTGAGCACCTTTTGATATACCTGTTTGCCATTTGTATGTCTTCTTTTGAGAAATGACTATTCAGATCTTTTGCTCATTTTTAAGTTGGATTATTAGATATTTTTCCTATAGAGTTGTTTGAGATCCTTATATGTTTTGGTTACTAATCCTTTGTCAGATGAATAGTTTGAAAATATTTTCTCCCATTCTTGGATGGTCTCTTCACTTTGTTTATTGTTTCCTTTGCTGTGCAGAAGCTTTTTAACTTGATATGATCCCATTTATGCATTTTTACTTTGGTTGCCTGTGCTTGTGGGGTATTACTTAAAAAATCTTTGCCAGTCCAATATCTTAGAGAGTTTCCCCAATGTTTTCTTTTATAGTTTTCATAGTTTGAGGTCATAGATTTACATCTTTAATCCTTTTTGATTGGATTTTTATATGTGGTGAGAGATAGGGTCCAGTTTCATTCTTCTGCATAAGGATATCTAGTTTCCCCAGCACCATTTATTGAAGAGACTCTCCTTTGCCCTGTATGTGTTCTTGGTAACTTTGTTAGAAATAACTTCACTGTAGATATATGGATTTGTTTCTGGGTTCTCTATTCTGTTTCATTGGTCCGTGTGTCTGTTTTTATGCCACTACCGTGCTGTTTTGATTACTCTAGCTCTGTAGTATAATTTGAAGTCAGATAATGTGATTCCTCTAGTTTTGTTCTTTTTGTTCAGGGTAGCTTTATCTATTCTGGGTTTTTTGTGATTCCATATACATTTTAGGATTGTTTTTCTATTTCTGTGAAGAATGTCATTGGTGTTTTGATAGCAATTGCGTTGAATTTGTAGATTGCTTTGGGTAGGATGGATATTTTAACAAAATTGATTCTTCCGGCTGGGCACGGTGGCTCACTCCTGTAATCCCAGCACTTTGGGAGGCCGAGTCAGGTGGATCACTTGAGATCAGGAGTTCAAGACCAGCCTGATCAACATGGAGAAACCCCGCCTCTACTAAAAATACAAAATTAGCCAGGCGTGGTGGCATATGCCTGTAATCCCAGCTACTCAGGAAAGCTGAGGCAGGAGAATCGCTTGAACCCAGGAGGCAGAGGTTGTGGTGAGCTGAGATTGCACCATTGCACTCCAGCCTGGGCAACAGGAGCAAAACTCCATCTCAGAAAATAAAAATAAACATTGATTCTTCCAGTCCATGAACATGGAATGCCTTTTCCATTTTTTGTGTCCTCTTCAATGTTTTGCATCAGTGCTTTATAGTTTTTATTGGAGAGATCTTTCACTTCTTCAGTTAAGTCTATTCCTAGGTATTTTATTTTATTTGTAGCTAATGAAAATGGGATTCGTTTCTTGATTTCTTTTTCAGATTATTTGCTGTTAGCACATAGAAATGCTATTGATTTTTGCATGTTGATTTTGTATCCTGCAACTTTACTGAATTTGTTCTTCAGTTCTAATAGTTTTTTGGTGGAGTCTTTAGGTTTTCCAAATATCAGACCACATGATGTGCAAACAAGGATAATTTGACTTCTTCTTTTCCAATTTTGATGCCCTTTATTTCCTTCTCCTGTCAGATTGCTCTAGCTAGGACTTGCAGTATTGTGTTGCATAACTGTAGTGAAAGTAGTCATCCTTGTCTTGTTCCAGATCTTAAAGAAAAGGCTTTCAGTTTTCCCCCATTCAGTATGTTACTAGCTGTGAGTTGTCATATATGGCTTTTATTATATTGAGGTCTGTTCCTTGTATACTCAGTTTTTTTAGAGTTTTTATCATGAAGGGATGTTAAACTTATCAAATGCTTTTTCAGTATCAATTGAAATGGTGATATGGCTTTTGTCCTTTATTCTGTTGATACGATGTATTACATTGATTGATTTGTGTATGCATACCTGGAATACATTCCACTTGGTCATGAAGAATGATCTTTTTAATATACTGTTGAATGTGGTTTGCTAGTATTTCATTGATGATATTTGCCTCAATGTTCATCAGGGATATAGGCCTGTAGTTTTCTTTTTTTGATGTGTCTTTGCCTGATTTTGATATCAGGATATTCCTGGCTTTGTAAAATGAGTTTGGAAGTATTCCCTCCTCCTCTGTTTTTCAGAACAATTTGAATAGGACTGATATTTCTTGTTCTTTAAACGTTTAATTGTGGTAAATTATACATTACATAAATTTTACTGTTTTAACCGCTTTTAAGTGTATACTCGGTGGCATTAGATACATTCACATTTTTGTGCAACCCAAAACTCTGTACCCATTAATCGGTAACTCCCCATTCCTCCCTACCTCTGGCCCCTGGTAACCATCATTCTACTTTTTGTTTCTATGAATTTGACCACTCTAGGTACCTCATTTAAGTAGAATCGTGTAATGTTTGTCTTTTTGATTCTGGCTTATTTCACTTATAATATTTCGAGGTTCATCCAGGTTGTAGTATGGGTCAGATTTTCATTCCTTTTAATGATGAATAATACTCATTATATGTATGTACCACACCTTGGTTATCCATTCCTCAGACAATGGACACTTGGGTTACTTCTACCTTTTGGATATTGGCAAATATTTCATTTCTCTTGGGTATATATTTATTTCTTTTGAGTATTTCTTTTGGGTATATATCCAGAAATAGAATTGTTGGATCATACGGTATTTCATTTTTTAATTTTTAGAGGAATCACCATAGTGTTTTCCATTGCAGGCGTGCCATTTTGTATTTCTAGAAGCAGTATACAGGGGCTTCAGTTTCTCTACCTCCTTGCCAAACTTGCTGTTTGTGTGTGTGTGTGTGTGTGTGTGTGTGTGTGTGTGTGTGTGTGTGTGATAATAGCCACCCTGATTGGTTTGAAGTGGTATCTCGTTGTGGTTTGGATTTGCATTTTCCTAATGAGTACTGATATTGAGCATCTTTTCATGTGTTTATTGATCATTTGTATATTTTCTTTGAAGAATTGGCCATTGAAGTCTTGCCCATTTTTCTCCCCCACATAGCTTCTCATGGCTATTTTGCCCATTTTTGAGTGGGTTGACTGTTTTGTTGTTTTTGTCAAACTTTTTTGCATATTCTGGAAACTAATCTCTCTCTTTTTCTTTTTTTTTTTTTTTTTTTTTTTTTGAGATGGAGTCTTGCTCTGTTGCCCAGGCTGGAGTGCAGTGGCACGATCTCAGCTCACTGCAAGCTCCACCCGCTAGCTTCATGCCATTCTCCCACCTCAGCCTCCCTAGTAGCTGGGACTACAGGCGCCCGCCACCACACCCGGCTAATTTTTTGTATTTTTAGTAGAGATAGGGTTTCACCATGTTAGCCAGGATGGTCTCAATCTCCTGACCTGGTGATACACCCGCCTCGGCCTCCCAAAGTGCTGGAATTACAGGCTTGAGCCACCACGCCTGGCCTTCTGGAAACTAATCTCTTATCAGATATATGACTTGCAATATTTATTTCATTTCAGGGGTTGATTGCTTTCTCACTCTGATTGTGCCCTTTGATGCACAGATATTTTGAATTTTTCATGAGTCCAGTTTGTCAGTTCTTTCTATTCTATCTGTGCTTTGGCGTCATATCCATGAAAGCACTGTCAAACCCTATGTCATGAACATTATACCCAATGTTTTTTTCTAAGATATTTTTATGTTTTAGTTCTTGAGTTTAGAGTTTAGGTCTTTGATTCATTTTGAGTTAATTTTTGTATATAGTACAAATTAAGGGTCCAATTTTATATTATTTGAACATCCAGTTCCCCCAGCACTATTTGCTGAAAAGATGGACTTACTCTTTGATACCCTGTCACCTGCCCACCCCAGTGGACACTAGCTGGTCCATCCAATTGCTGTCCTGGGGCCTTGTCATGCCACTCTTCCACTTTGAACCCAAGCCCACATCATTGCTCCCCTCTGGGATACTGACCCCACTATAAACTTCTCTAGGGCTACAACCTTCCTACCCCTTGTGCCTCATGACCACCCCCTCCCTTGTCCCCACCATGCCCATGATGAGTCTTTTCTCAAGGCAGCTCGCCTTGCCTCCATCTCACCCTCACCTGTGCACCACAGCCACACTGGACATGGGTCCCTCTGAGCCTGAGTCCCTTCCCATTCCCACTGTCCCCTCTGGCAAGACCTTCCTTCCAACACTGCCTTCATGCTCCTCCCTTGCCCCTGCAGGGCAGCCTCTCCCCTTGGCCCCTATTCCCTTAGGGGGCTTGTGGCCACCCAGTCCTGGCACCTGACCTACAAGTTTGCCATCTTCATTCCCCCTTCTTCTGTTCATCAGCCCCCTCCTCTATCCTCCCACCCTCACAGTTTTCCTTGTATATGAAATCTTCGTTCTTGTCCTTTTGCCCATGTGCATTTCCTGCCTCCTCAGGGAGGTCGGGACAGCAGACCTGTGTGTTAAACATCAATGTGAAGTTATTTCCAGGAAGAAGTTTCACCTGTGATTTCCTCTTCCCCAGAGCCCCACAGTCTTCGTTACAACCTCATGGTGCTGTCCCAGGATGGATCTGTGCAGTCAGGGTTTCTCGCTGAGGGACATCTGGATGGTCAGCCCTTCCTGCGCTATGACAGGCAGAAACGCAGGGCAAAGCCCCAGGGACAGTGGGCAGAAGATGTCCTGGGAGCTGAGACCTGGGACACAGAGACCGAGGACTTGACAGAGAATGGGCAAGACCTCAGGAGGACCCTGACTCATATCAAGGACCAGAAAGGAGGTGAGAGTCGGCAGGGGCAAGAGTAATGGGAGGCCTTCTCCAGGAAAGTTGGAGACAGAGAGCAGGGACCTGTCTCTTCCCGCTGGATCTGGCTGGGAGTGGGGATGAGGAATAGGGTCAGGGAGGCTCAGCAGGGTGGTGAGCCGGAACTCAGCCCACACAGGGAGGCATGGAGGAGGGCCAGGGAGGGGTCGCCGCTGGGCTGAGTTCCTCACTTGGGTGGAAAGGTGATGGGTTCGGGAATGGAGAAGTCACTGCTGGGTGGGGGCAGGCTTGCATTCCCTCCAGGAGATTAGGGTCTGTGAGATGCATGAAGACAGCAGCACCAGGGGCTCCCGGCATTTCTACTACAATGGGGAGCTCTTCCTCTCCCAAAACCTGGAGACTCAAGAATCGACAGTGCCCCAGTCCTCCAGAGCTCAGACCTTGGCTATGAACGTCACAAATTTCTGGAAGGAAGATGCCATGAAGACCAAGACACACTATCGCGCTATGCAGGCAGACTGCCTGCAGAAACTACAGCGATATCTGAAATCCGGGGTGGCCATCAGGAGAACAGGTACCGACCCTGGCCAGGGGCTCTACTGTTCCCGCAATTCTGCTAGAGTTGCCTCGCCTCCCAGCTCTGTCCGGGGAAACCCTCCCTGTGCTATGGATGCAGGCGTTTCCTGTTGGCATATTGTGTCCTGATTTGCCTCTCCTGTTAGAGCCATTGGATAAAGACAGTGGGTCTGGGACTGAACTGTCCAGTGTTGTAATCTGGGAAAGCAGTGGGCCCTCTGACAGAAGCCTGAGCCTGGGGTGGGAGTTAGGCAGGAGAGGAAGCCCTCAGGGCCAGGGCTGCCCCCTCTGCCTCCCGGCCTGCCCATCCCGGAGAGTTCCCTCCTGGCCCCATGACCCAGGAGTCCACCCTTGACATCCCCCTCCTCAGCATCAATGTGGGGATCCCAGAGCCTGAGGCCACAGTCCCAAGGCCCATCCTCCTGCTAGCCTGGAGGAATTAGGCCCCAGGGTGAGGACAGACTTACAGAAGGTCCGGGATCTGTGAGGGATTCAGCCAGAGTGAGAACAGTGGAGAGGAGCAGCCCTGTTCCCTGCATCTCCCTTAGAGGGGAGCAGGGCTTCACTGGCTCTGCCCTTTCTTCTCCAGTGCCCCCCATGGTGAATGTCACCTGCAGCGAGGTCTCAGAGGGCAACATCACCGTGACATGCAGGGCTTCCAGCTTCTATCCCCGGAATATCACACTGACCTGGCGTCAGGATGGGGTATCTTTGAGCCACAACACCCAGCAGTGGGGGGATGTCCTGCCTGATGGGAATGGAACCTACCAGACCTGGGTGGCCACCAGGATTCGCCAAGGAGAGGAGCAGAGGTTCACCTGCTACATGGAACACAGCGGGAATCACGGCACTCACCCTGTGCCCTCTGGTGAGCCTGGGGTGACCCTGGAGAGGGTCAGGCCAGGGTAGGAACAGCAGGGACGGCTGTGGCTCTCTGCCCAGTGTATAACAAGTCCCTTTTTTTCAGGGAAGGCGCTGGTGCTTCAGAGTCAACGGACAGACTTTCCATATGTTTCTGCTGCTATGCCATGTTTTGTTATTATTATTATTCTCTGTGTCCCTTGTTGCAAGAAGAAAACATCAGCGGCAGAGGGTCCAGGTGAGAAAAGGGGACAGTTTCTGGAGATGGGAAAGCTCCTTTCTAGGCAGTAGGGTCTCCTCATTGCTCCTGCCCAGACAAGACGTAGGTGACAAGGCTGCTGGAACAGGGGATGGAAGCTGGGGTATTTGGGAGGGGAATGGGAGCTGCATCTCCATCTACACCCATAAGTGCTTCTCAAGCCAGGGCTGGGGCAAGGCCTTCGAATATCCAGCTGTGGCCTCCTCCTGCTGCAAGTGAGGAGTGGGCAGCAGGGAGGGCTGTGGCACCTGCTCTGTCCCCATCCCAGCCTCTCTGTCTCTCGGGCTCACTAGGGTGCGTCCAGGTGGGGTGAGTTGGGAATCACGTGCTGATTGCTGAGGGCCTGGATGATCATGGTGTCAGAGGGAGGAAATAGTAAAGGTGGCTGTGATCTGGGGAGGGCCAGAAACTGGAGAGGAATCCAAGGAGAGGCGGTGCCCACCCGTGTGCCTCCTCCAGGAGGCACTTTCCAGGTTCCCACCACCTGGCCTCCCTGAGTTTCCTTGCAGATGACACAGATGAATAGATAAGCAGATGTCCCTGGGCCATTTGAGGAGCGGGGCCCAGCCCCTCATCAGGGCAGTTGTGGTCCCTGTTTTCATCCTACCTCCAGCGTGTTTTCTTCTGCAGTCCCTGAGGGACACAGTCCCCAGGCGCCATCTCTTTGAGGCTTTGTTCTGTGCTCTGTGGCCTTACCTTGCCCTCCCTGAGCCAATTTCCCTTTCTCAAGGTGGTCACTGCCTGGTAAGTTTGGAGTAAGGGACGGTCAGAAGCATTTCCCCCACAGTCAGGTTGTTTGATGGGGGATGAAAAGAGACAGCAGAAGTTTTGTGTTTCTGCAAAAACAGAGGCAGTGCAGGGGACAGTGAGAGGCTGGGGTGTCCAGGAGACCTGAGTCTGGCGGTAGGGGCGCTGGTTTCTCATCCTTGAACCTAATTGCACTGTCAGTCGGCCCCTCATGCCTGAGCAGATGGGAAGGTTCGTCCCCTGCCCTGCAGCAAGAGGGCCCTGTCCAGGAGGCACCCACAGCAGGGGCAGTGCAGGTCTGTGGTCACTCCTGCTCTCACCTGCGGCGTCTCCCGTGGAGGGATTGTCACTTCTGGTTCCCTGTGGGCAGGAATGGTTTCCACGTAGGTCACTGGGGTTTTGGCCAGGAAAAGGGTATGAAATTCATGTGCCAGTTTATCAAAATTCCTGCTTTCAATGTTGATGTCCAATAAAGATGTTCGTAATTTCAGCTCTATAATCTTAATAGGATTTCCTCTAATACTGCTGTTGTAAAGCATATTAAATAAAACAGGAACTCAAATTTGGAGCCCCCTCTCCAGAAGGGTCTGTGTGGAGATGGTGGCTGTGGCAGCGGCAGTTCCCAGGTGCAGAGGGTGGGCAGAGGCAGCCTCAGGCTAAGGGGTCTCCCCTACTCCACGTGGAGAAAAGTCCTTGTAGGTTGCAAGGGCAGTGGCCTGGGTGGAATCCCTGCTAGGGACAGAGCAGGAAGGCCTCGCAGCCTCACCAAGCAGCAGCCCTGGGGTGAAGTAAGTGGACCAGGAGTAAGTGGACCAGGCAGGAGCAGTAGTGACTCAACAGCAGGTCACAGGCCTAGGTGGGTGCTGAAGGTCATGGGAGGCCAGGCCTCCTCGAGCAAGGTGGGGGGTCCCAGGGTCATGTCAGGTGCAGATCCTGTGGCAGCCATGTCTTTCCATGCTGGGCCTGCTGGGCCCCCCAGGCTTCCTGATGGGGTCCCCAGTTAGGAGCTGCCTGCTCAGGGCTGGGAGGGGAGGAGTGCTGAGCTGCAGATAGAGGGCAGGGCCCACAGTGGGCAGGGCCTGCCCTGGTGTGCAGGTGCCTCTGCAGGAGAGGAGGGCCTGGGGACTGAGAGCAAGGGTCAGGGCCTCTCTTTGGGGAGGCCTCTCACTGTAACAGGACTGGTCAGGCCTGAGAGGAGGGCACTGGGTTCCCTCTTGGGTCTTGTCCTTTTGTCTTGGGGCCCTTTCACTCCCTGCACGGTGAGTGGTGGGCACAGGACAGGGGCTGATGTTGATGGAGTGATGGGAGAGAACTGACAGGGGCTGGGAAAAGCAAGGAGGGAGGAAGAAAAAAGTGGGGGCCTCATCTTCTCTCAGAGAAAGGGTGAATCTGATTTTGGGGCAACTGAAGAGAGAAAAGTCCTTAGGGAATAAACACAACACTGCACCCAGTGGAGCATTTACCCGTTTCCCTCTTCTCCAGAGCTTGTGAGCCTGCAGGTCCTGGATCAACACCCAGTTGGGACAGGAGACCACAGGGATGCAGCACAGCTGGGATTTCAGCCTCTGATGTCAGCTACTGGGTCCACTGGTTCCACTGAGGGCGCCTAGACTCTACAGCCAGGCGGCCAGGATTCAACTCCCTGCCTGGATCTCACCAGCACTTTCCCTCTGTTTCCTGACCTATGAAACAGAAAATAACATCACTTATTTATTGTTGTTGGATGCTGCAAAGTGTTAGTAGGTATGAGGTGTTTGCTGCTCTGCCACGTAGAGAGCCAGCAAAGGGATCATGACCAACTCAACATTCCATTGGAGGCTATATGATCAAACAGCAAATTGTTTATCATGAATGCAGGATGTGGGCAAACTCACGACTGCTCCTGCCAACAGAAGGTTTGCTGAGGGCATTCACTCCATGGTGCTCATTGGAGTTATCTACTGGGTCATCTAGAGCCTATTGTTTGAGGAATGCAGTCTTACAAGCCTACTCTGGACCCAGCAGCTGACTCCTTCTTCCACCCCTCTTCTTGCTATCTCCTATACCAATAAATACGAAGGGCTGTGGAAGATCAGAGCCCTTGTTCACGAGAAGCAAGAAGCCCCCTGACCCCTTGTTCCAAATATACTCTTTTGTCTTTCTCTTTATTCCCACGTTCGCCCTTTGTTCAGTCCAATACAGGGTTGTGGGGCCCTTAACAGTGCCATATTAATTGGTATCATTATTTCTGTTGTTTTTGTTTTTGTTTTTGTTTTTGTTTTTGAGACAGAGTCTCACTCTGTCACCCAGGCTGCAGTTCACTGGTGTGATCTCAGCTCACTGCAACCTCTGCCTCCCAGGTTCAAGCACTTCTCGTACCTCAGACTCCCGAATAGCTGGGATTACAGACAGGCACCACCACACCCAGCTAATTTTTGTATTTTTTGTAGAGACGGGGTTTCGCCAAGTTGACCAGCCCAGTTTCAAACTCCTGACCTCAGGTGATCTGCCTGCCTTGGCATCCCAAAGTGCTGGGATTACAAGAATGAGCCACCGTGCCTGGCCTATTTTATTATATTGTAATATATTTTATTATATTAGCCACCATGCCTGTCCTATTTTCTTATGTTTTAATATATTTTAATATATTACATGTGCAGTAATTAGATTATCATGGGTGAACTTTATGAGTGAGTATCTTGGTGATGACTCCTCCTGACCAGCCCAGGACCAGCTTTCTTGTCACCTTGAGGTCCCCTCGCCCCGTCACACCGTTATGCATTACTCTGTGTCTACTATTATGTGTGCATAATTTATACCGTAAATGTTTACTCTTTAAATAGACATTTCTGGTCTGTGTTTTATTTCATGCGTCTGGGAGCGGATAAAGTGTGAGGTTCAGGGAGAAGGAGAGGTCTGTCTCAATGCTTTGACCCAGCATCAAAGCAATCTCCCCTCCTTGTTCCCTTTCCCTGCTAGTTCCCAATGACTGACAGATTCACAGCAGAACAGAAAGGACTGGGAAGGGATGGAGGTGGGACATCTGGCGCCAATATTCAGGGGCTGACCCTGTGAGGGAACATCTGCCCTGAAGAGTTGGAGCCTTCATGTGATGACACAGAGATCTCTGTCACTGTATTCAGGGAAAGGATCAAGCCTCACTCCCCATGCAGGGAGGAGGTTCTGGCTGTGATCCGGCCTGTGGGAGAAGTGAGGACCCGCTCCCTCTACAGTGACAGCCAAGAACCTGCAGGTGACAGAGAAGGCTTCCCCTCAACTGTCTCCTATCAGGTTCTTCCAGGCATCAAGGAATAGACCTGGGACATTGCCTCCAGTGACATGAACACACCCAGAAGTGAGGTGGCCCTGCCAGGGGGTCCTGGTGCTGCCACTTGTTTTGGGAGCTCAGTGTCTGGAGAGGGGTGTGGAGAGTAGGCTTTCTGCAAAACAGTAATCATGACCTATAAATTATTTTATTCTTCATTAGCTTTTTGCCATAAAATAAAACAGGTACCCAAAAAGAAAAACTGTCTGAAAATGTTGCCCTTTAATAATAATAATAAATAATAATAATAAAAGATAAACACCCTTTAACCACCAGAGATATAGAAGTTTGTCAGCCAGCCCAGAAACCATCATTTGCCCCAGCTCAGTGATAAAGGCTTCCCTTCCCCACATAAAATCACAGCCTGACCTTTATGATGATTGCTTCTTTGTTCTATTTTATATTTTCATCCTCTGAAATTGTAGTTTAGTTTTACCTTGGGATGTATAATTTTTGTTCTCTTTTTTCTTTTTTTTTTTTTAAGACGGAGTCTCACTCTGTCACCCAGGCTGGAGTGCAGTGGCATGATCTCGGCTCACTGCAAGCTCCGCCTCACGGGTTCATGCGATTCTCCTGCCTCAGCCTCCCGAGTAGCTGGGACTACAGGCGTCTGCCACCACGCCCGGCTAATTTTTTTGTATTTTTAGTAGAGACAGGGTTTCACCATGTTAGCCAGGATGGTCTCAATCTCCTGACCTCATGATCTGCCTGCCTCGGCCTCCCAAAGTGCTGGGATTACAGGCGTGAGCCACCGCACCTGGCCTGTTCTCTTTTTTTCTCTATGCTCCTCCTTGAAATTTTATTGTCTGGCTGAGTTTTCCATAGTTTGCATTTTGCTGGCTCCACCCCAAGGCATAGTTTAATATGGACCTGTTTTATCTGTACTTTCTACAAATTGGTAGTTGGCTACAGAGATTTGCTTATAGACTGACTTGATTTTCTTCTTGAATACTTCATTTATGGCACTCCATTGTATTCTTCCATCAGGAGGAAGAACTTAGTACTGGTTATTTACTTCTACTCTACTTTTAATTGCCATTGCTTTTCAATGGCTAAATCTGTTAATTCGTTATGGGTTGCAAAAGAATTATAGTCTCAGTCTCTCATTCCTTCCCCATTCACTAGCTGAATAATTTCTAAAATAAGAGATTTACCCTTGGCTGGATGCGGTGACTTACGCCTGTAATCCCAGCACTTTGGGAGGCCGAGGCTGGTGGATCACCTGAGGTCGGGAGTTCAAGACCATCCTGACCAACATGAAGAAACTGTGTCTCTACTAAAAACACAAAATTAGCCGGGAGTGGTGGCGCATGCCTGTAATCCCAGCTACTCGGGAGGCGGAAGTAGGAGAATTGCTTGAACCGGGAAGGCGGAGGTTGCAGTGAGCCGAGATGGCGCCATTGCACTCCAGCCTGGGCATCAAGAGTGAAACTCCGTCTCAAAATAAATAAATAAATAAAGTGGAGCACTTGACGGCCATGGGAGAGAATCGGTTATGACCACACACAGCAAGATGATGAGCCCAACAAAGATGATGAGCCCGACTACATGAAAACAACTTCTAATTTCATTCAATCAGAACCAACAGAACTCATCTACAGTGTTAAAAATCAAGACAGTGGCTACTCTAGGGTGGGGGAGGCTGGTTTATGACTCAACGGTGTTTCTTGGAGGGTGAAAATGATGTTGCTTGATGAAGGTGTTGTTTATCTGAGTTTTTACTTAGGCAAAACCCACTGCCCACCTGTGATTTGTCCACCTTTCTACATGCATGTTGTCCTTCATTCAAGTTTACATTTCTGGTGTTTTGAAACAATTCTCTCTAAGCTAATATAGAATTTCTCCTACTCCAAGTCCTTAGAAATGCTGCATTGAAAATACCAGTGAATTTTTTTTTAATTCCAGGAAATAAATGCCCATGACTCAGATATAAAAAGGAGAATCTACAAGAGCAGTAGGCTTGGGAGCTGACACCAGAACAGCTTTGGAAAGGGCTGTCGAGCCAGGAACTAGGAATCAAAACCCAAACAAGACCACAGGAGGTAGAGGGTAGAAATTATGCCCCAGTAGTGCATGAATGAATGAATCAAGGGCAGTGACTCATGGGTTGCCTGGCCAGTCTGGAACTTGGGGAAAATAAAGTTGTAAAATTGGGGGATGGAAGAGAGAAGTGTGCACTGACCACTTTCCATGGGAAGAGCATGTGAAGATAGAGGTTGCATATGGATGCCTGCCAGAGGGTCTCCAAGGGGCTGGGGCTCCCTGTAACCAGGTGAGCGAGATGGCTTGATGGATGATGCCACTCAGCCGCACAAGGCTTGCTCATGAGTCCCTGCACAAAGTGGCCGTGGTGGCTGGGATGGACACTGCATGGACAGAGCAATTGAGTCACCACTCACCAAGGCTGACCTGGCAGCTGCCACTGCTGAGGACCCAGCCTGCCAAAAGCAGCTGTTTCTTTGAACAGAGAAAAAAAACAGACAATGTTAATTAAGAGCAAGACAGTGTTATGACAGATAAATATGCCACTGCAGCTATAGTAGAGATGTAAACAATCTTGAAATTATAAAAAAAAAATGTCGATGGAAAAGACTTACTGCAAGTAAGAAGTTAAAACAGTTGTAAAAATTCTATCTCTGCCCAACTATATACAGATTGTTTCACAGGGAAGTCCTACTAAACCTTCAAAGAAGGTTATTGGACTTATTTAAAATATGCAAGAGAATGGAGCAAAATACAGAAAGCTAGGCAACTCACTTTATCAGCTATGAATAGTGTTAATTCTAAAGCCAGTTAGGGAACAAATAATAAAGAAACAAGATAGGAAAATCACTATTAGTAATTAGATGTAAAATAGATGAGAAAAATAGTAGACTGTGTCCATCAGTGTGCTATAAACAAATTAAATATCTTGACCAAGTTATGAATCCCAAGAATAAAAGAATATTTAAACTTTAAATCTTTTAATGCATTTTAACACTTAATTCAATAATTTAAAAAGAGACAATCATATTTCACTAGATGTAGAAATCACTGTAGATGAAATCTAACACTACACCTGACCTACATTTCTTCAGTTATCTCCACTTTTAAGAATTTGTGATCAGTGCAGCACTATTCACAATAGCAAAGGTAAGGAATCAACCCAGATGCCCATCAACAGTGGAATGGATAAAGAAAACTGCGGCACAGGGCCAGGCGCGGTGGCTCACGCCTGTAATCCCAGCACTTTGGGAGGGTGAGGCGGGCAGATCACGAAGTCAGGAGTTCGAGACCATCCTGGCTAACACAGTGAAACCCCGTCTCTACTAAAAATACAAAAAATTAGCCGGGCGTGGTGGCGGGCGCCTGTAGTCCCAGCTACTCGGGAGGCTGAGGCAGGAGAATGGCATGAACCCAGGAGGTGGAGTTTGCAGTGAGCCGAGATCACGCCACTGCACTCCAGCCTGGGTGACAGAATGAGACTCCGTCTCAAAAAAAAAAGAAAAGAAAAGAAAAGAAAACTGCAGCACTTATACACCATGGTACGCTACCCAGCCAAAAAAACAAGAACGAAATCATGTCCTTCACAGCAACATGGATGGAGGTGGAGACCATTATTCTAAGCAAATTAATGTAGGAACAGAAAGCCAAATACCACATATTCTCACCTATAAGTGGCAGCTAAACATTGAGTACACATGGACACAAAGAAGGGAACAATAGACACTGGGGCCTCCTTGAGGGTGGAGGGTGGGAGGAGGGGGAGGATTAAAAAACTACCTATTGGGTATTGTGCTGATTACCTGAGTAACAAAATTATCTGCACACCAAACACCCGTGATACACAATTTACCCATGTAACAAACCTGAATATGTATCCCTTGAACCTAAAAAATCAAAAAGAAAAAAGTAAAAAAGAATTCCTGATCAGATTGAGCCAGGACAATGGCCGGGCGTGGTGGCTCACGCCTGTAATCCCAGCACTTTGGGAGGCCGAGGCAGGTGGTCAGGGTAGGCCTCTTGGAGGAGCCATGTGAGCAGACTTGAGAAGGAGAGAAACAGCCATGCAGATATTTGAAGGAAGAACCTTCCAGTATCCCACTCTAAGCATACCCAGGACTCTCCTCTGGGGCAGACCCTAAAGCTGCAGTGGAAATGGAGGTGGCCACACTCACAGAGACTGTGGCAGAGAGTGATGGGGATTTGGGTCTCCCCTTCCTGCTGTGGCTGTTAGAAGTGCTGGAGTTGGGGAGGGAAAGGCACTGGCATGTGGAGGAAGACTAGGAGAGGAGGGGAGGCTGAAGTGTGTCCCACTCTCACTCCACCTCTCTGTTCTCTATCTCCTGCATCCGGTGCCTCCCCGACTTCCCCAAAGTTGTGGTCCCTGACAAGGAGGACCCTGAGGGCAACCACACCTTGCCATGTAGAGCACCTGGCTTCTCACTTGCCAACATCACTCTGACCTGGCTGCAGGAAGGGGAGGAGCCAACTCTGGACTCAAGACTCAAGGGGACCAGACCCAGGAAGATGAGACATATCAGGGCTGGGCAGCTGTGGGGGGCCCTCCCAGAGAAGGCCTGAGATACACCTGCCTGCAGGTGCTCCTGGGCCTGGAGAAGCCCCTCAGTGTGACTAGGTGAGGTGTTGTCAGAGGACCAGAGGCTGAGGGTGGGGCGTCCCATCCAGATCCTGCCCCCCTCTCTGCCCCAGCACCCAAGGCCCCTTCCTCCCTCCTCTATGGAGATGCTGGGGATGTCCTCATTCTCCCTCTGAGCACTCACATCTCACCCCTCATCTGTCTCTCTAACCTCCTTCCTTCCTGCTGCAGCTTCTGCCCCAGCCCCAGGCTCTGGCCTCTCTCTCCCCAGTTCCACCCTCCAGGGGGTGATGGTTCACTTCCCTCTGAGGAGCCAGCACTAGGTGAGAGGCTAGGAGAAGGAAAAGCTCATGGGCCATGGGTTGGGAGGGAGAATGGGCACTGAAATGGAAGGGTAGGGAGACAGAAGAGGCAGGTATTTCCAAATCACCATTTTTCTGTCATGGTCCAAGGGTGCCATCCTTCTCCCAGGCCCAGGGATGTGGAAAGAGCAGCAGGAATTGGGAAATACTCCACAGGAAAGAACAATGTGCCTCCTCCCTCCACCGGCTTCTTCCTCTTGTCTATTCTGGTCAATTCTCTAAGTGAATCATGTTACCAAAATGTAAAATGTTTATTTTAGGAAAGTCTCCAAATATTAGGGAATAAAATTACTAGTGCCTAAGCCCTGCATACTGAAAAACAGAAGCTTTAAGAAATAAAGACCTGCATGGAAAATTGCTCATCAACTCGGGGAAGTCAAAGTCTGAGCTGAATCAGCTCTTTTTTTCTTTCTCTTTTTTTTTTTTTTTTCTTTTTTTGAGACGGAGTCTTGCTCTGTCGCCCAGGCTGGAGTGCAGTGGCATGATCTCAGCTCACTGCAACCTCTGCCTCCCCGACTCAAGCAATTCTCCTGTCTCAGGCTCCCAAGTAGCTGGGATTACAGGCATGCGCCACCATGCCCAGCTAATTTTTGTATTTTTCAGCAGAGACGAGGTTTCGCCATGTTGGCCAGGCTGGTCTCAAACTCCTGACCTCAGGTGATCCGCCTGCCTCAGCCTGCCAAAGTTCTGGGATTACAGGCATGAGCCACCATGCCCAGCTGAATCAGCTCTAAAGTGGTGCTGAAGTGAGAGCCATTTATGTGCCTGTGTGAGTTCCCACAGGTCTTGAGACCTCTGTGTCCTCCTTAGAAGAGTGAAGTGAGCACCCAGTGCCTAGACCTTGGTTGTGATAAGTCATTCTCTGATAAAAGGATTCAGGGCTCCATAGAAAAACAGCTGATTCTAGGGCTGGCATAGGAAAAATATAAGGTGAGCCTGGAACATCTTGTAATGCCAGAAAGTAACCGCCACCCATCTCCCAACCCTCACCACCAAAAAATAAGGGCATGTCAGAGGGACACAGGAGTCAACCTGAAAGAGCTCCCTATGGACAAAGCCGGAATAATCCGAGCAACAAAGTTACAATAGTATTGGATTATGACCCAAAATATAAATAAATATTCATTCCACACTGATTTATTTAATCAAAAATAATTAAATAAATAAATAGGGAAGAAGGGGCAAATCTTCCTTACAGAAGAATTTCAAAACATATATTACGAGAATCTCTTTCCCAGGAGATTGGAATTTTATTTCTCTCACCTTGAATATGGGCTGGACTTGCTGACTTGCTTCCAAAGACTAGAGTATGAAAAAGGAAAAATAATAACTTTACAGTGGAGAAATGTAGCAGACACTACCAAGCAATCAGAGTCATGTTAACATCTTGCCCCCCAGAAATGATGTGATGAGGACACTCCCCTCTATGGTATTCTTCCCTTAAACCCATAACCCCAATCTAATCATAAGGAAGCATCAGGCAAACCCAAAGTGAGGGACATCCTACAAATTATCTATCCAGTATTCTTCAAAACTTTCAAGGTCATGAAAACAGGTAAAGACTGAGAAACTCATGATCAGAAAGACTAGGGAGACCCAAAAGCTAAATGCATTAATGGGCCCTGGAAAAACTGGTGAAGTCCAAATAAAGTCTACAGTTTAGCGAATAGTATTATAGCAATGTTAATTTCTTAGTTTCTTAGTCTTGACAGAATTTTGTTAGATGTTAACATTAAGGAAAGCTGGGGTTTATGGAAACTCTGTGTTCTAGCTTTGCAACTCTTTAAATCTATTATTGTTATTGTTATTGGGTTTTTTTGTTTGTTTTGTTTTTGTTTTTTTTTGAGATGGAGTCTCGCTCTGTCGCCCAGGCTGGAGTGCAATGGCGCGATCTCAGCTCACTGCAACCTCCACCTCCTGGGTTCAAGCAATTGCCCTGCCTCAGCCTCCCCAGTAGCTGGGATTCCAGGCACCCGTCACCACGCTCGGCTAGTTTTTGTATTTTTAGTAGAGATGGGGTTTCGCCATGTTGGCCAGGGTGGTCTCGAACTCCCGACCTCAGGTGATCTGTCCGCCTCGGCCTCCCAAAGTTAAATCTATTATTATTCAAAACAAATTTAACTAAAAGTGAAATGAAGCTAGGTACAGTAGCTCATGCCTGTAATCCCAGCCCTTTGGGAGGCCAATTTAAGCCCAGGAGTTTGAGAGAAGCCTGGGCAACATAGTGAGACCTTGTCTTATAAAAAAAATTAATTTAAAAAATGAAATGAATAGACATATATTAAATAAATTAAATCGATAATTAATAACATTCAGAAACAGAAAACATCAGCCCCAAATGGGTTTACTGATAAATTCTATCAAACATTTAAGGAAAAAATTATACCAATTTTCTATAATCTCTTCCAGAAGACATACTTTCTTTTGTTGTTGTTGTTATTCAGTGTTAATTTCATAATCATAAACTTAATGCTGCAATCCAGCTAGGCATGGAAGGGAACAAGGAAAACATGAAACCCAAAGGGAACTGCAGTGAGAGCACAAAGATTCTAGATACTGCGAGCAGATGGATGGAGGGTGCTCTCCTGAGCTACAGAAGCAATGGTCTAGTGGTTAAGATAAAACACAAGTCAGGCCGGGCGCGGTGGCTCACACCTGTAATTCCAGCACTTTGGGAGGCTGACGCAGGTGGGATCACCTGAGGTCAGGAGTTCAAGACCAGCCTGACCAACACGGAGAAACCCCGTCTCTACTAAAAATACAGAATTAGCCAGGTGTGGTGGCGCATGCCTGTAATCCCAGCTACTCGGGAGGCTGAGGCAGGAGAATCGCCTGAACTCAGGAAGCAGAGGTTGCAGTGAGCCGAGATGGCGCCATTGCACTCCAGCCTGGCAACAAGAGCGAAACTCAGTCTCAAAAAAAAAACACAAGTCAAACTTAGTCAAGTTGTGTACAGTCAGCGATGGTGATCTTCTTGATGGTCTTGCCATTCCCAGACCCGAAGTGCTCCATGGCCTCCACAATATTCATGCCATCTTTCACCTTGCCAAAGACCATGGGCTTGCCATCCAACCACTCAGTCTTGGCAGTGCAGATGAAAAACTGGGAATTGCCCGGGCTAGGTGGCTCATGCCGTAATCCCAGCACTTTGGGAGGCCGAGATGGGCAGATCACCTGAGGTCAGGAGTTCAAGACCAGCCTGACCAACATGGTGAAACCCCGTCTCTAATAAAAATACAAATATTAGCCAGGCATGGTGGCGCATGCCTGTAATCCCAGCTACTCAGGAGGCTGAGGCAGGAGAATTGCTTGAACCTGGGAGGCGGAAGTTGCAGTGAGCCAAGATCGCGCCACTGCACTCCAGCCTGGGCGACAGAGTTAAGACTCCATCTCAAAAAAAAGAGAAAAAAGAAAAACCGGGAATCATTTGTGTTGGGTCCAGCATTTGCCATGGACAAGATGCCAGGACCTGTATGCTTTAGGATGAAGTTCTCATCATCAAATTTCTCCCCGTAGATGGACTTGCCACCAGTGCCATTATGGCGTGTGAAGTCACCACCCTGACACATAAACCCTGGAATAATTCTGTGAAAGGAGGAACATTTATAATCAAATCCTTTCTCTCCAGTGCTCACAGCACGAAAGTTTTCTGCTGTCTTTGGAAACTTGTCTGCAAACAGCTTGAAGGAGACACAGCCCAAGGGCTCACCATTGACAGCGATGTTGAAGGACACGGTGGGGTTGACCATGGCTGATAGTATGGGGCTCCTGATGGTGGCGTCTGCAAAGCCAAGACAGACACTTTCTATCTCATTTCATGAGGCCGGGATTCCATGAGGGAATACTTTCTAACTAATTCCATGAGGCCAGCGTTAGCCAAATACCAAAATCAGATGAAGACTTCACAAAAAAAGAAAACCACAGACCAATATCTCTCATGAACATAGGTGCAAAAATCCTCAGCAAAATGCTAGCAAATCAAATCCACAATGTATGAGAAGAACAATACACCATGCCTAAGTAAGATTTATCCCAGGTATGCAAAGTTACTTCAACATTGGAAAATCAGTTAATGTAATCCATTAAATCAACTGGCTAAAGAAGAAAATCACATGATCATATCAATAGAGGCAGAAAAAGCAATTGACAACATCCAACACCCATTCATGATGATTAAAAAAAAAAAAATCTCTTAGCAAGCTAGGAATAGAGAAGACCTTACTCAACTTGATAAACAACATCCACAAAACTTCCACAGCTAACATCACACTTAATGGTGAGAAACTAAAAGCTTGCCTGCTAAGATCAGAACAAGGCAGGAATGACCCTCTCAACACAGCTTTTCAACGTTGTACTGGAAGTCCTAGCTAAAGTAGTAAGACAAGAAAAGGAACTAAAAGGTATACAAATTTGGAACAAGAAATAAAACTGTCTTTGTTTACAGACGATATGATTGTCTATGTAGAAAATCAAAAAGAATCCACACATAAAAAACTCCTGGAACTAACAAGCAATTATAGCAAGGTTGCAGGATATAAAGTTAATATGTAAAAGCCAATCACTTTTCTATGTATCAGCAATGAGCATGTAGAATTCGCCATTTAATTTTTTTTTTTTCAAGACGGAGTCTTGTTCTGTCGCCCAGGCTAGAGTGCAGTGGCGCGATCTCAACTCACTGCAACCTCCTCCTCCCAGGTTCAAGCAATTCTCCTGCCTCAGCCTCCTGAGTAGCTGGGATTACAGGTGTGCCCCACCATGCCCAGCTAATTTTTGTATTTTTAGTAGAGACGGGGTTTTACCATGTTGGCCAGGCTGATCTCGAACTTCTGACCTCATGTTCTGCCTGCCTCAGCCTCCCAAAGTGCTGGGATTACAGGCGTGAGCCACCGTGCCTGGTCCAGAATTTGCCATTTAAAACACAATACCACTTACATTAGCACCCCCAAAAATGAAACACTTAGGTACAAATCTAAGAAAATATGTACAAGATCTATATGAACAAAACTACAAAACTGACAAAAGAAATCAAAGAACTAAACAAATGGAGAGATATTCCATGTTCATAGTCAGGAAGGCTCAATACTGTTAATATATCTGTTCTTTCCAACTTGATCTGTGGAATGAATGCAATCTCAATAAAAAACCTCAGTAAGTTATTTTGTGGATATTAACAAACTGATTCAAACTTTATATGGTGAGGCAAAAGACCTAGCCAGCACAATATAGGAGAAAAATAAAGTCAAAGACCACCACTACCTGACTTAGACTTTCTATAAAGCCATAGTAATCAAGACAGAGTGGTGATTAGCATAGCCATTGTGGGAAACAGTATGGAGGTTCTGCAAAAATTTTAAAAATAGAAATACCACATGATCCAGCAATCCCACTAATGGGTATATATCCAAAGGATATGAAATCAGTACGTTGAGATATTTGCACTCCCATATTCATTGCATCATTATTCTTTTTTTTTTTTTTTTTCCTTTAGAGATAGAGTCTATGTTGCCCAGGGCAACTCCTGGCCTCAAGCGATCCTGCTGTCTCAGCTTCCCAATTATCTGGGATTATAAGCACGAGACACTGCACCTGGCTGCAGCATTATTCTCAATAGCCAAGATATAGAATCCACCTAAGTGTCCATCAATGGATGAATGGATAAAGAAAATGTGGTATATATAAAAAATGGAATACTATTCAGCCTTAAAAAACAAAATCCTGTCATTTGTGACAACATGGATGAACCTGGAAGACATTATGTTAAGTGAAATAAGCCAGGCACAGAAAGACAAATACAATCTCACTTATATGTGGAGTATAGAAAAAGCCAGACTCATAAATAGAGAGTAAACTGGTGGTTATCAGAGGCTGGGAGGTCGGGGAATTGGGGAGATGTTAGTCAAAGAACACAAGATTTCAGTTAGGAAGAATAAGTTCAAGAGATCTATTGTACCTTATGGTGACTAAACTTAATAACAACATATTGTGTATTTCAAAATAGTATGAGAATAGCTTTAAGCATTCTCATCACATACACACAAAATATGTATGTGAGGTAATATACATATTATTAAATTGTTTGGTTTATCCATTCCACAATGTGTGTGTATGTATGTGCATATATATATAAACATGATGTACACCACAAATGTATAAAATTAGTCAATCGAAAAATTAATTTTAGAAAGACAGAGTGGCATTGGCAAAGAATAGACAAATTGATCCACTTGAGCAGAATAGAGAGCCAAGAAATAGTCCCACATAAATACAAGGAGCAAAGACAATACAATAAAGATAGTCTTTTCAGCAAATGCTGCTGGAACAACTGGACAGCCATGTACAAGAAAAATGAAAAGAGCTCTCTTAAAAGGTTACTGTGAAAGCCACCTGTGACAGTAACAGAAAGTGCCCAGAAGGGTCTCTGACACTTAGTAATGTAATCTCTCTCACTGTAATGTAATGGCTAAACTTCAACATCCCTCAGCCCCCATCTCCATAAGACTTTCCCATAGAGGCAACAATGATTCCTGTCAGTCACCCAGTCCTGCCAATCCACTGGGTAGGATACAATATTGAGGGGCCCATCAGCACACTGGCCTTAGGGGGCTCTGCAGCCCCTTGACCTTGTGGATGATGCTGGCCTTAATCTCCTCTTGTCCGTGGCTAAAGACAGGCCCCTTCTGCGGAGGCCAGGCCAGAATGCTCATCTGATTAAGACTCTATATTAAGAGTCAGGAATAACAAAAACAACAATAAATAAATAAACACAGTAACATAATCTATGTGTCTTAGTCCGTTTCCTGCCGCTATAACAGAATAATACAGACTGGGTAATTTATTTTGTTGTTTTTTCAGACAGGGTCTCTCTCTGTCGCTCAGACTGGAGTGCAGTGGCATGATCTCGACTCACTGCAACCTCCACCTCCCAGACTCAAGTGATCCTCCCACCTCAGCCTCCTAAATAACTGGGACCACAGACCCGCACGACCACACCAGCTAATTTTTGTGTTTTTTTGTAGAGATGGGTTTTGCCATGTTGCCCAGGCTGGTCTCAAACTCCTGGGCTCAAGCCTTCCACCCACCTTGGCCTCCCAAAGTGCTGGGATTACAGGCTTGAGCCACCACACCCAGCACAGACTGGGTAATTTATAAAGAAAATAAATGTTTTTCCCACAGAGCTGGAGGCTGAGAAGTCCAAGAGCATGACACTGGCATCTTATGAGGGCCTGGCTGCAGTATCATCCCATAGTGAGAGGTGGAAGGGCAAAGAGGCTGAACTGATTTCTATCATGCCATACAATGGCATTAATCTATTCAATCTAATCAACCCTGAAAGGTCCCACATCGGCTGGGCACGGTGGCTCATGCCTGTAATCCCAGCACTTTGGGAGGCCAAGGCAGGTGGATCACCTGAGGTCAGGAGTTCAAGACCAGCCTGACCAATATGATGAAACCCCGTCTCTACTAAAAATACAAAAATTAGCTGGGCGTGGTGGCATGTGCCTGTAATTCCAGCTACTCAGGAGGCTGAGACAGGAGAATCACTTGAACATGGGAGGCGGAGGTTGCAGTGAGCTGAGATTGTGCCATTGCACTCCAGCCTGGGCAACAAGAGCGAAACTCCATCTCAAAAAAAGAAAAAAAAAAGTCTTGCATCTTAATACCATTAGGATAGCAATTAAATGTCAACACGAGTTTTGGTGGGGACATTCAACTTTAGCACTAGGTATTCTGGTTTATGTATTTTTTTAGCTTAATTCCTTCATTTCTACAATTATGAGATCCACGATTATCCACTATATTTGGTTTTCTTTCTTTTTGGTTTTGTTTTTTGTTTTTTGAGAGAAGAGTCTCGCTCTGTCGCCAGGCTGGAGTGCAGTGGCATGATCTCAGCTCACTGTAACCTCTGGCTCCCGGGTTCAAGTGATTCTCCTGCCTCAGCCTCCCGAGTGGCTGGGACTACAGGCGTGCACCACCATGCCTGGCTAATTTTTGTATTTTTAGTAGAGACGGGGTTTCACCATGTTGGCCAGGATGGTCTCGATCTCTTGACCTCATGATCCGCCCGCCTCGGCCTCCCAAAGTGCTGAGATTACAGGTGTGAGCCACTGCGCCTGGCCTCATCCACTATATTTGAACCAACCCAAAGGCCAGTGCTTTCTTAATTAAGTTCCCACAGGTGAACAAAGCCAAAATTCAGATTCTATTTTATTTATGGTTTAGAATTACCTACTGTGAAAAAAAAAAAAACTAGCTACTATAAATTATTGGGGGTTAGTCCATTTAGTCCATTTTGGAGTTCATAACCTAAAGCAGAAACTCACATGGTTGAAATGTCACTTTCCCAAAGGATTGTTATTAGTGTATCATTTAGATTGTCTTGCAAAAGTCTCATTTGTTGTTTTTTCTAAATGGCTGCTAATCTTTTAAATTAACAGATAGAGGGCCAGGCACGGTGGTTCACACCTGTAATCCCAGCACTCTGGGAGGCTGAGGCAGTCGGATCACTTGAGGCCAGGTGTTCAAGACCAGCCTGGCCAACATGGTGAAACCCTGTCTGTACTAAAAATACAAAAATTAGCTCGGCATAGTGGCACACGTCTGTAATCCCAGCTTCTTGGGAGGCAGAGGCATAAGAATTGCTTGAGCCCGGCAATCGGAGGTTCCAGCAAGCAGAGATTGTGCCATTGCACTCCAGCCTGGGTGACAGAGCATTGCTCTGTCCACCTCCCAAAAATGTAGTTAATTTTTTTTCTTTTCTTTCTTTTTTTTTTTTTTTTTTTTGAGAGACGGAGTCTTGCTCTGTCGCCCAGGCTGGAGTGCAGTGGCACAATCTCAGCTCACTGCAACCTCCGCCTCCCAGGTTCAAGCAATTCTCCTGCCTCAGCCTCACAAGTAGCTGGGATTACAGGTGGCTACCACCACGCTTAGCTAATTTTTTGTATTTTTAGTAGAGACGGGGTTTCATCATGTTCGCCAGGCTAGTCTTGAACTCCTGACCTTAAGTGATCCCCCTGCCTCGGCCTCCCAAAGTGCCGGGATTACAAGCATGAGCCACTGCGCCCGGCCAACTTTCAATGTTAATTAGTTGTGGATTGTTTAACCATATACTGCATAGTTTCGCTTATCTATAATAACAGTAGTTTGGGGCTCTTATATTCTAATAATTAAGACTTTAGCTGTGTACACATTGCAATTAAAGTATGAGTCATGCATAACCTTATCACCAAGATACAAGAGGGAAAGCCCTTCTCCCCTAAAACTTTTACAAAGGTTCTGGGTTCTTTTTCCACTTAAGTGGGAAAAAGTCAGCTAATGAGGAACGTAAAGTCTTTGGCCTCATCTAAAGGTGCTTTGGCCCGCAAGTGTGAGAAGCACTGACCGCTGGGAAGTCCTCACTGCCTGGTTCCTGGACTCTTACACCATGGCAGAGGCCATCTTCCCTCCCAATGCAGAGTGATATCCAGATAGCGAGCTGGCTAGCAGCTGTCCACTCTCCAGCAATCCTGCCTTCTGGGGCATGGTTTTCTAAGGACCTTCCTGTTCCTAGATGATCAAAATAGGGACCAGCCACTCCCTTCTGAGCCACTCCTGCCTCTGGGCCTGTGGCTATGTCACAGTCCAGTCACAACAGGACATCCCTTCAGAACACCCTGCAGGAAGCTGACATCTCTATGCAGACTCACACATGCACGGTGTGTGCACAGGCCTTTGGTTCTACTTCAGGAGGTGTTGGGGGAGGCTCACTAGTCCAACAGAACTTGAGGCCAGTTGTACCAGTGTCATATCCCAGGAGCCAAGGTTACAAGGGATACAAAGTGCCCAGACCTACCAGAGAAGGCAAACCCCTACAGCATGCAGGGCTAGACAGGGGCAAGAAACAAGGTCATTCTGGGCCAGCAAGAAGAGGGAAAGGGAAATGACAGGCATACCTCGGAGATACTGAAGATTTGTTTCCAGACCATAGCAACAAAGTGAGTCACACAAACTTTTTAGTTTCCTATTGTGCATAAAAGTTATGTTTGTACTATATTGTAGTCTGTTAAGTGTACAGTAGCATTGTGTACAAAAAACTGTGTATATACTTAATGGAGTCTCGCTCTGTCACCCAGGCTGGAGTGCAGTGCCACGATTTTGGCTCACTGCAACCTCCGCCTCCTGAGTTCAAGCCATTCTCCTGCTCAGCCTCCCAAGTAGCTGGGACTACAGGTGCCCATCACCATGCCCAGCTAATTTTTGTATTTTTAGTAGAGATGAGGTTTCACCATGTTGGCCAGGCTAATCTTGAACTCCTGACCTCAAGTGATCCACCCACCTCGGCCTCCCAAAGTGCTGGGATTACAGGCGTGAGCCACTGTATCTGGCCATATACTTTAATTTTAAAATACTTAATTGCTAAACAAATGCTAACAATCATATGAGGCTTCAGCTAATCCTGATCTTTTTGCTGGGGGAGGGTCTTGCCTCCATGGATCAGGGGCATGGCTGCTGAAGGCTGCTTTGACAACTTCTTAAAATAAGACAATGATGTTTGCCATTTGCCGCATGGATTATTCCTTTCAATATTGTTGTGCCTCAGGGAATAGGGAGGCCTGGAAAGCAGAGTCGGGAGAATGGCCAGTTGGTGAAGCAGTCACAACACACACATTTTTCCATTAAGTTTGCTGTCTTATATGAGCATCGCTCATGGTGTCCCAAAACAATCACAATAGTTAACTTCAGTAACTGATTACAGGTCACTGTAACAAGTATAATAATGAAAACGCTTGAAACATTTTGAGAATTCCACAGCGTGACATGGAGACATGATGTCTGCCTGCTGTTGGGAAAATAGCACCAATAGACCTGTTTGATGTGCTTGACACAGGGTTGCCACAAGCCTCCAATCTCTAAATAAAAAACAGCATCTGCAAAGAGCAATAAAGGGAAGCACAATAAAAGGTACATCTGCAAAGGGGAATCAGCACTTAAGCAAGGTCAGGATGAGCTTTCAAGTCAGGTGGACCTAGACATGAACCCTCCAGGCCCTACCAACAACCAGCTGTGGACCTTCGAGCACATCCAGCCTAGAGCTGCCCCCAACAGACACTTCCCCAGTGAATGCTGAATGAAACCATCTGAGCCAGTTTCCTCAGGTGCAAACCAGTGAGGTAATTCCTACCTTGCAGAGTGAAGTGAGAAAACAGTGTTAAGAAAAAGGCATGCCGGGTGCGGTGGCTCACGCCTGTAATCCCAGCACTTTGGGAGGCCAAGACGGGCGGATCACGAGGTCAGGAGATCGAGACCACCCTGGCTAATACGGTGAAACCCCGTCTCCACTAAAAATACAAAAAATTAGCCGGGCGTAGTGGCGAGCACCTGTAGTCCCAGCTACTCGGGAGGGTGAGGCAGGAGAATGGCGTGAACCCGGGAGGCAGAGCTTGCAGTGAGCCCAGATTGCGCCACTGCACTCCAGCCTGGGCAACAGAGCGAGACTCCGTCTCAAAAAAAAAAAAAAAAAAGACACAAGACCTGTGGTAGCCTTTCCTTTCTGTCTGGCAGCAGCCACTGGGTAAACCAAGATGGTGCATACAAGTACATCCAGAAGCTATGGAAGAAGCAGTCTGATGTCATGAGCTTTCTTCTGAGGGTCCGCTGCTGGCAGTACCACCAGCTCTCTGCTCTCCACAGGGATCCCCGCCCCACCCAGCCCAATAAAGCACGCTACTGGGCTACAGCCAAGCAAGGTTATGTTACATATAAGCGCCACGGTGGCTGAAAATCTAGTTCCTAAGAAGGCAACTTAACAGCAAGCCTGTCTATCATGGTGTTAACCAGCTAGTTTGCTTAAAGCCTTCAGTCTGTTACAGAAGAGCAAGCTGGATGCCACTGTGGGGCTCTGAGTCCTGAATTCTCACTGGGCTGGTTAAAGATTCCACATACAAAGTTTTTGAGGCTATCCTAGTTGATCCATTCCATAACACTATCAGAAGGAAACCTGACACCCAGTGGTCCACAACAAGCATAGGGAGATGCGTAGGCTATCTGCAGGCCAAGAGAGCCACGGCCTTGGAAAGGGCTGTAAGTTCTACCACACTATTGGTGGTTCTCGCCATGCAGCTTGGAGAAGGTGCAATACTCTCCAGCTCCACAGCTACCGCTAATGTTTGTAAAATTCATACCTAATAAACACTAGATCAAAAAAAAAAAATCACAGACCTGTGGTAGGCTGGGCACCAGTGCTCTAAAGCAAGTTCTGCCTGAACTGGCAGGGACATTTTTCACATCAGGAACAGGAGTTGTTCCTGGACTCTGTCTGGGGCCAGGCTGGGAGAGACGTGGGGCAGAGTGGGGCAGGGGCAGGGGCAGGGCTGGGGGCTGGGGCCTGGGCAGGGCCAGGCACTCAAGTGAGGCCAAGTCCTGGAGCGAACCAGTTCCTGGTGGCCGTTGGACAGCTCACACAGCTCCCGGCCAGGTCACCCGCCATGGTCCTCCCTCTGCCCTGGCTCTCTCGGTACCATTTCCTTCGCCTCCTTCTGCCCTCCTGGTCCTTGGCACCCCAGGGCTCCCATGGGTGCTGCTCCCAAAACCCCAAAGCAAGCATGGAAGAGCAGACCAACTCCAGAGGAAATGGGAAGATGACGTCCCCTCCCAGGGTAAGTGGCACCACAGGTAGGAACAGAGGGTGTGAGAATTTACACTGGGGTGTGGGAAAAAAAAACCCTCAATCCCACCCTGCACCACCCCACACCATGCCTACCCCTGCAGCTCTTTTCTTAGTTCAGCTACCAACTCCTCTCCCCACCTCCCCCAGCCCAGACCTCAGGGTTCCCTTCCCTCACCCCACCCCCACCCACAACAGCACAGTCCACAAAGTCCTTGAACAGGATCTATTCCCCCTCACCTAACAGTTAATTATTTCTTAGCGGGGAGGAGCGGCTGATCCTCTTTCCAGTGACCCCATATCCTTGTTCAAGGAAGCCAGTTACAGCCCCTGGGCCAGGGAACTCTATTTGCTCCCCCTACTACCACCCAGAGGCCTATGCCCAAGACAGGAAGCTACCTGGCCTTCTCAGTACAGGTGTCCTTAAATGACCGGTTCAAAAACGAATAGGGAAGGTGGAATTTCTCACTTCCAGCCACAGCCTGCGACAAAGCTTCCCAGGGCCTCGGCCCCCTGCCCTGGCTGATGCTCCCTCCCTTAATTCCCTGACCAGGGCCCTGGGACCCACCGCACAGCTGAGCTGGCCCGAGCTGAAGAGTTGTTGGAGCAGCAGCTGGAGCTGTACCAGGCCCTCCTTGAAGGGCAGGAGGGAGCCTGGGAGGCCCAAGCCCTGGTGCTCAAGATCCAGAAGCTGAAGGAACAGATGAGGAGGCACCAAGAGAGCCTTGGAGGAGGTGCCTAAGTTTCCCCCAGTGCCCACAGCACCCTCCGGCACTGAAAATACACGCACCACCCACCAGGAGCCTTGGGATCATAAACACCCCAGCGTCTTCCCAGGCCAGAGAAAGTGGAAGAGACCACAAACCGCAGGCAATTGGCAGGCAGTGGGGGAGCCAGGGCTCTGCAGTCTTAGTCCCATTCCCCTTTGATCTCACAGCAGGCAGGGCACCCAGGCCTTATAGGAATTCACCCTGGACCATGCCCTAAAATAACCTCACCCCAAATACAATAAAGGGACGAAGCACTTATAGATACCACAGACACATGTGTTTCATTTTTAGTTTTGTTAAAAAAAAATTCTGACAAATCAGAAATGGGGGTTCAGGAGTGGTGGTGATGCAAAAGATGGAAGCCATGGGGTGGGGGCTGTCAGGGGTGGGGGCAGTAGTGTCTCCTTCACCCCCACCCTGGTGTCCTCTCCTGAAGGACAGACGGTCACATTCCAAAATGGGCGAGTCTTCTACCGTGTCTGTTCAACTGAGAAGAAAACGTAGCCATGGTCAGAATAAGGCATGAAAAGGGGAAAGTGAGGCAGGAACACACGGCACACATGCAGACACTGGTGTACTGCCTGGGTTCAGAGGACGGACGTGGGGGTGAGGGAAGGGATGTAATATGATGAGAGAAGACAGAAACCCCACATAAAGGTCAGAAAAACATCCCAACACAGCATCAAAGACCAGGGGGCATGAACCAGTCAAGTGTCCATTATGCATCAGATGCCCATGACCTATGTGATGGGATTTAGGACAAACACACTAAGGAACAGGGAGGACCTAAAGGGTTTCATGAGATCAGTACTCACTGTAGGAGGAGATGTCTATCTCATCAGGCAGCTCACTAATATTGACCTCAAAGCGATCCTGCACATCATTGAGGATCTTGGCATCATTCTCATCGGACACAAATGTGATAGCCAAGCCCTTGGTGCCAAACCGGCCTGCTCTGGCCACCTGGAGGGAGACAGAGGGTAGCACTGGAAGACCGAAGAGGAAAGAGACCCAGAGGCAGGAATGAAGATGTACAAACAGAAAACAAGGGAATGGGAGAGTGGGATTTTTTCAGCCTGTGAGGTTTACCCGATGCAGGTAGGTGTCAGAATCCTCAGGCATGTCATAATTAAAAGCAATGTTCACCCGCTCGATGTCCATGCCTCGGCCAAATAGGTTGGTAGCCACAAGAATTCGTCGTTGAAAATCTTTAAACTGCTGATACCGAGAAAGCCTTTGTGAGAAAGGAAATTTAAAACATGTTGAGATTCCCTTCTCTCAACTGTCTTTTTCTCCCAAGGACACAAAATATCTTTCCCATCTTCAGCTCACCTCTCCTCCTGGGGCATCCCACGGTGGATGGCAATGGCTGGGAAGTTCTGCTCCACTAGTAGCTGGGCCAAGGCAATGCACCGCTGCACAGACTTCACAAAGATCACCACCTGTTGTGGGGTGGGGTGGGGGGTCGCAAATTGGGGGAATAGGGGTCCATGGTGTGTGAGAGACATTACGTGGGAGAGGGGAGTTTCTAGTAATTACGTTCTCAGGAATTCCTCTTCATTTCTCTTATTCCCCCACTATATATTTAGAGCAGAAAAGGAAATATAACTTTATTTCAGCACTGATTTTTCCCTAAGGAAGCTGGCCTCTGAGGTAGCACAGAGTTCAGAAATCAAAATTGCCAGACATGCTAGGAGATGAGGATGAGATCACCTCATGAAAAAGTGATAAAAAACTAGAATTAAGATCTGGAGGGGTAACTGATATTCCTGCTCACCAAAACATTAAACCTAAGGGAGCTATCCTAATTCTAGAAAGCAGTTTTAAATGCAAATAGACCACTCACAAGTATATTAATTAAACACTTTTTTGAGATGGGGTCTCACTCTGTCCCCCAGACTGGAGTGCAGTGGTGCAATCGCAAGTCACTGCAGCCTCCACCCTCCTGGGTTTAAGAGATCCTTCCACCTCAGCATCCCAAGCAGCTGGGACCACAGGTGCACACCACCACGCCCAGCTACTTTTTTTATTT
Organism: Homo sapiens; assembly: GCF_000001405.40. Classification (NCBI taxonomy): domain Eukaryota; kingdom Metazoa; phylum Chordata; class Mammalia; order Primates; family Hominidae; genus Homo; species Homo sapiens. The sequence goes on from NT_113891.3 coordinate 3,009,329, forward strand.
TTTATTTTTACTATTTGTAGAGACGGGCGTCTCCCTATGTTACCCAGGCTGGTCTTGAAGTCCTGGGCTCAAGCAATGCTCCTGCCTCAGCCTCCCAAAGTACTGGGATTATGGGCATGAGCCACTGCCCTGCACCCAGTCAGAAATGCTTCTCTTGAATAAGCAGTTATTAGAGGAATTAAACATTCAAGAACCCTAACATGCCCCCAAACATCGTTTCAAGACTTTTAACAACTTCCTAAAATCCTTCAAGGACTTTTGGAGACAAGATCTCACTCTGTTGCCCAAGCTGGAGCACAGTAGTGCAATCATAGTTCACTGCAGCCTCAATTTCCTGGGCTCAAGCTATCCTCTCACCTCAGCCACCAGAGTATCTGGGACTACAGGCATACACCACCACACCTGGCTAATTTTTTTCTTCTTTGGTAGTGATGAAGTTTCGCCATGTTGCCCAGACTGGTCTCAAACTCCTGGACTCAAGTGATCCACCTCCCTCAGCCTCCCCAAGTGCTGGGATTACACACATAAGCCACCGTGCCTGGCCAAGGATCTTAATTTTTGAAGTTTATTTTCCTTGAGGTTATTGAGGACATACCCGTGCCAGCCATAGAATAGAAAAGCAGCTCCCACCTTACTCATGCTCAGCCCCTAAGATATTTATACCCTCATTATTCTCTCCCACATCACACATGTGATTTCCTCAATAAAAGTGTACTTAATATCCAGGTTTCTGCTACAGCTGGAGTGCTCCAATGCTCATCCCCCTACTGGACGTCTAACTGACCTGGTTGAACTCAAGGACATCCAGAAGGTCAAAGAGCTTCCGGTTCTTCTCGTTGTCCTTCAGTTTCACGTAGTACTGCTGCAACCCATGCAGCGTCAACTTCGTCTCATCATCCACGAAGATCTCCATTGGCTGGGGGGGAGGAAGGGGGTGGGGAACGGGAGGAGGGCAGAGTGGGGGGGTTAAACCTGGGGGGGTGGAGGAAGTTGATCTCCAATACACCCCATGGGGGGATGGGGAGGAAAGAGAAGATTGAAAACCCCACCCCACTCCCAAAAATACCCACATTTTACTGTGGTCTCTCTCACATTACATCTAATTTCCTTCCTATCAGATGAGTTTTAAGACTGCCCAACTAAAAACTATCATGGGAAAGAAACTGCAAATGAAGTCAAGGAGCAGTGAAACCACCCAATGGCACAGATGCCATTACCTCAAATAGAGGTGGGAGAGGAAAGAAAATGGGAGATGATTCTCAAAGGGAGAGCAAGGACCAAACATCTGGGAAATGATGGGAGGCAGTGACTCAAGGTCAGAATAACTCCATCAGAGGTGCTTCTAAGAACATGGGGTGGGGGGAGGACAACTGCTCCATTTGATTCTCCTACTTCAACTAAGAGAATCTCGTGTGCATTAGCAAAGTGGATGTCTTTTATGATCAGAATGCTGCAATGGACAGTCAAAATGCCACTTAAGGAGAAACAAAAATTACTCAAGATGAGTTACTTGCCGTCAGACCACAACAGGATAGTTTTAGATGAGACTGGTCTCTTGACTAAGAATTAAACCATCTACAGGTTTACAGGAAAGGTATCAGTAAGTGGTGTTAAAATACCAAATTCAGAGCAGCAGATACGCTTTTAAGGGACAGGATCTCACCATGTTGCCCAGGCTGGAGTGCAGTGGCTATTCACTGGCACAATCATAGCACACTATAGCCTCAAATTCCTGGGCTCAAGTGATCCTCCTGCTTCAGTCTCCTGAATAGCTGGGACTACAGGTACACACCATTATACCTCACTGCATTCATCTTTAAAATTAAAAAACCCCCTGAAGGGGAGGAAAGTAACAAAGACAGAAATTACCACAACTCCAAAGCCCAACTTTCCTAACACTTTTTATACTATCCTGGGGGAAGATAGTTAATATGAAGACCCAGAGGACAAAATAGGAAAGGATGTGTGTGTCATGGGAAAAAAACCAGAAGCCCAATCCCAGAAGGCAGGTTTTGTTTTTTGTTTTGTTTTGATACAGGGTCTCACTCTATCACCCAGGCTGGAGTACAGTGGCACAATTACAGCTTACTGCCACCTCCACGTCCCGGGCTCAAGCAAACCCTCCTGCCTCAGCTTCCCAAGTAGCTGGGACTACAGGCATGCGCCACCACGCCCGGTTTTTCTGGTAGAGACAAAGTCTCACTACACTGCCCCAGCTAGTCTCAAATTCCTGGGCTCAAGCAATCCTCCCACCTTGGCCTCCCAAAGTGCTGGGATTAGAGGTGAGCCACCAGGCCCAGCCAAGGCAGGCTTTCTAAAGAGAAGTTCCATGGCCTCCTTCAAATCTCATTCTAGCCCCAAATACAGCTAAAGAGTGATCATCCCACGGGAAGGAACACTGCAGGGAGGGGAAGAACACACTCCACTGCTTATGCAATTGGCCCCACCTAGCCCCAAACCCTAACAACCACCCGATTACATCCACTTTACCTTTCCTATGTCCCTCTCCTCTGAGTATTAAAAAAAACAAAAAAATTTTTTTAAGAAAAAAAATCTACCACCCCATTCAGGACACCCCTCCCCAACACATATTGGGGGAAACGGGGCACGGCACGCGTTGGGTTCAGGAAAAAAACCGGGAACGGAAAAAGAGGCTGGTTTGGTCCTCAGCTTCCTGGTCAGGTTTCCCCGCGGCCTCCGCTGCCGCCATCCACCGCTGGGTGCCGTCTGCATTCCCTCGCCGCGCCACGGTGCTTCTCTGTTGCCGGCTCACATCAACCGAGGTTCCAGATGGGTGCAAGGAGATGTGGGTGGGAAGGAGTAGGGTATCGGGGATTGAGGTGCCAAAGGCCCCCACCCCTGGAGGTGGGGAAGGGGAGGATTCATTTGTGCTGATGCTCTTCTTTTGGACATGCCCTGCCATCTGTCTGTCCCTCTCTTGCTCTCCTGCCACCGGGAAGTAGGAGTTTTGGTGAGCAGAAGGCTCCAGCTGTATGCTCGATGCCACCTTGAGGGTGCGTGGCTGTAGGGTGCATGTAAGAGACGATGGATGGGTGGGTGGTAGGGCAGAAAAATCCTGCCCTCCCCCGAAGGGAGAAGAGGTTCAAAAATGTTGTGATTTATGAAAAAGTCGAACACTACCCGCTCTCACATTAACCCGACCAAGTCTTCCGGAGTTTCCCTGGCACCCGCGCAGGCCCTAACACTAGCTGTCTCTGCTTCTGTATGTCTCTTCAAGGAGTCATTACTCCCAGTTGGGCACAAGCCGCCTTCTTGGCACTTGAATGACAAGGGAGTCTGAGGAAGAGGGCGAGGAAGGGGAGGAGGCAGCGGGCGGGGAGTGGAGGGAGAGAAGGTAGAAGGGTATTTACATCTTGCATGAACTTGCGGCAGACTGGACGGATCTCTTTGCTCAAGGTAGCACTGAACATCATGACCTGCTTCTCGTGGGGGGTCATGCGAAAAATTTCCTGGACATCCCGACGCATGTCTACAAGAACAAGGAAAAAAATTGTAGGAGAAAATAAGCAGGTATGATAAACAAAGATTAGAGGTAGACTTCCCAGTGAGGTGAAGATTGCTGGAAATAGTAACAACACAATGGAAAGAGCAATGGACTTGGAATCAAGAAGTGGGATCAGATTCCAGCTGTTTGTTTTAACCAAGCAAGAAATAAGGTAAAACCCCAAAGTTCCCAACTATGAAATGGGGATAAAGCCCAGTGCAGAGGCTCTCAAGGCCTTCAAAACATGCTTTATGGGACCTTCTCCCAACCCTTTCCTGCCCAAGCCCCAGCCAGCCTTCAGCAGACTACAAATATCAAGCACATATTATATTCCAGATATCAGAGTCCATCTATGACTCTCTGGATTACTTTTCTATCAAGTCAGGCAAATATGACATCCCTACCTGGAGCCCACCTTTATAGCTCACCATATAGAATTGCCAAAGATCATTTGTAATGACTTATGGGGCCTATGTCCAACCCCACTCTCATTCACCAAGATTCAATTCTTACAGAAAAATCTTCCATTAACCCCACCTGGCACACTAGAATACCACATCACACAAACTGCTACAAACACTCTCTACATTAATCCCAGACCTGAGTCTAGACACTTATTCAGCTATAAATTCTGACTGTAAATGCTGTGCTGGAGATGCCAGAAGGGTACTGTCTTCTCTTTCAGTTTAGAATCTCCCCTATGACTCCCAGTATATGAATCTATAATGAAAACGGTGGTGGTGGTGATGACTTATGCCTAAAATTATCAAAGTCCCCTATTCTCAAAGGTTAAAAACAAAAATCATAGAAAGATGATAGATGACACCCTTTACTGTGCTTAAAAGCATAATAAAGACCAACCAGGGAACCCAGAGCCATCAGTCATGGGTGATAGATAAGAGTCGTCCTTGCACTGAGGTGCTCCTGTTTCAAATAAACATCATTTGGCTCCAAAGAACAACTCCCCAGCATTAGCCAAGCCCCAGCACTGCCACTCACCGAGCTGTTCAAGCATCTTATCACATTCATCCAAAATAAAGTGTTTAATGTGTTTGAGGTTGAGGCTCTTATTTCGAGCCAGGGCTAGGATACGGCCTGGAGTCCCCACGACGATATGCGGGCAGTTCTTCTTCAGCACCTCTTCATCCTTCTTGATAGACAGACCACCAAAAAAAACAGCAACCTGCCGAGCCAGAAGCAAAGAGTCTCAAAACAGAGGAAGGAAAGAGTCCAATCCCCCCAGGGTTCCCACTCTGTTTGAGCTAAACCAATTTTTAGCATGTTTCCAAACTAAAACTAACTTTAGAGGTCACCTAATTTAAAAATTTTATGTCCCCCCCACCAAACACTGAGGGTGATTGCCTAAAGTTACATGGCTAGTCGGAGCAGTCAGGACAATAATTCAGTTCTACTGACTTAATCTAACCAACTTCCTTCATTTATGAGGCCAGGCTTCATTTAAAAAATAAAGGAGCCAGGTGTGGTGGCACACGCCTATAATTCCAGCTACTCAGGAGGCTGAGGCACGAGAACCTGGGAGGCAGAGGTTGTGGTGAGCCAAGATCCCACCGTTGTACTCCAGCCTGGGCAACAAGAGTGATACTCCATCTCAAAAAGAAATAAAATAAATAAAAATAAAATAAAGCCAGGCCCAGTGGCTCACGCCTGTAATCCCAGCAGTTTGGGAGGTCAAGGAAAGTGGATCACTTGAAGCCAGGAGTTCAAGACCAGCCTGGCCAACACGGTGAAACCCCATCTCTACTAAAATACAAAATTTACAAATTTACTACTAAAAAACAAAAAATACAAAATTTAGCCGGGAGGCTGAGGCAGGAGAATCGCTTGAACCCGGGAGGTGGAGATTGCAGTGAGGCGAGATTGAGCCACTGTACTCCAGCCTGGATGACAGAGCGAGACTCCATCTCAAAAAATAAAAAATAAATAAATAAAGGACAGCAAGAAATCACCAGATTAGTGTAAAGTACCACAAAAAACACATGGAACATTAAGGTTTCCTAAATAAACCCAGAATCTCAAACTCTTTTCACACAAACCCCATGAAATTACTGCTTCGGGCTAAATATTATCATTTCATGTTAAAACCATTAGGTGAATAGTTGTTTGGGGATCTGGGCCTTGGTACAGTATCAAATAACACCAGAAACTACTTTCTGGTTTCAAGGGGGAAAAGAACAACTGTGGGATCAGACTGTCACGACGCTAATCCTATGGTAAATCTAAAATCATTAATGAGGCCAGGTGCAGTGGCTCACTCCTGTAATCCCAGCACTTTGGGAGGCCGAGGTGGGTGGATCACTTGAGGTCAGGAGTTCGAGACCAGCCTGGCCAACATGGCGAAACCCTGTCACTACTAAAAAAAAACAAAAATTAGCCAGGCATGATGGCACACTGTAGTCCCAGCTACTCGGGGGGTTGAGGCGGGAGAATCGCTTGAACGTGGGAGGCGCAGGTTGCAGTGAGCTGAGATCGCGCCACTACACTCACAGCCTGAAGGACACAGCGAGACTCCATCTCAAAACAAATAAATAAAAATAAAATAAAATAACTAACATAAGTCGACCAGATTTGTGGCATAACAGGAGATACAGCATCACCTATGAAGGATTCTTGCCAAAAATGCTTAACTTCAATCAGATTTTTTCTTTTTTTTTGAGATGGGAGTCTCACTCTGCCACCCAGGCTGGAGTGTAATGGCACAATCTCAGCTCACTACAACCTCTGCTTCCTGGGTTCAAGCGATTCCCCTGCCTCAGCCTCCCAAGCAGGTGGGACTATAGGTGTGTGCCACCATGCACGGCTAATTTTTGCATTTTTAGTAGAGAGAGGGTTTCATCCTGTTAGCCACATTGGTCTTAAACTCCTGACCTCAAATAATCCACACGCCTTGGCCTCCCAAACTGCTGAGATTACAAGTGTAAGCCATTGTGCACTTGGCCAGAATCCTCAATATTCACACACCACTGGAGCTGTTTTAAAGTTTCCGGCTTTCTCTGCCACATACCCCAAAATTATTAAACTGATATGATTCAAAGTCAGTATAAAGTAGTAAGAAAAGGGTGGTCTTGTGTTAAGCATCATCCATAGCCCAATTACGAATCCTCCTGTTACATAGGAACTCAACACTCTGTTACACCACAGCAAACTAAAGCTTCTCCAAAATTAAAGAGACTATTGGCCTACAAGTTTCTTATCCCTCCAACTTGCCACACCCTCACTCTCAGGTCTCTTTACCTTGGCTTACCTTGACATTGGGCATGTATTTAGAGAAGCGCTCATATTCCTTGCTGATCTGAAAAGCCAACTCCCGAGTGTGACACATCACCAGCACAGACACCTTAGGCAGGAAGTATACGGAGACATATGGTAAATGTAGCTCTTCATTATCCCCTCTAGGGAAGTGACTGTCACAAAAACACACCTGGGCCGATAATAAATGACTTCAATTCTGTGATCTAAATCATGAACCCCACGCTTGCGACAGAACATCCCCCACAGCTGTCAGGTTGTCAAGGGTAACAGAGGTCATGTGCTCATGGCTCTGCAAGCATCATGTAGTTAGGACAAAAACACCCTTCCCTTATAGTCCTAACCAAAATCCCCTCCCCAGCACTCTCCCCAAATATACCTGCCCAGTAACTGGCTCCAGCTGTTGCAGTGTGGCCAAGACAAACACTGCTGTCTTTCCCATGCCCGACTTGGCCTGGCACAGGACATCCATTCCCAGAATGGCCTGAGGGATGCACTCATGCTGGACTAAAAGTTGGGGGGGGAGGAAGATAAATTAGACTTCAGTCTCCAGATAACTCTACCTTTTTCACCATGCCAAGCCCATTTCTTACCACTCAATTCTCAAAGTCTAGTATTTACCTGGTTCTTGCCAACTTCCAGACCCATTTTACCTCTCTCTGCTCAATTACATTCACCTCAAAATCAGACTCTCCTAATTCCTCCTAGCTTTAGCCTCCTCCAGATCTAGGCCTTCCCAGTCCTAGTAACAAACCCCTTGCATCTACCAACCGCTCACCTTCAATGATCCTAGCTCTGTCCTTATTTTTCTTAATCTGTAACAATTCATGACATTTGAATACCTGCCACAGACCACTTCTCCTGCTTAGGTTGCTATACTTCGGGTCACGTAACTACTACAACCCTGGACAAAATGAAGGACTTGGTACCTGACCCAGAAGCCAGTCATCTCTAAACCAGTCATAGAGGTTTCCAGAGACCACAGTTGGCCTGGCCCAACAGAGGGAGACTACAGGTCCAAGCAGGACCTTTCTGGAAATTTAAAATTAGAAGTCAAGTGACAAAATTAAAAATAAGCAGACAAGAAAAGCCAGTCACAAGAATGAATGGCAGACCTGGAAGTCACTTTTGGATCATTAGCACTTTGGTGCTATCACGAAAGAAAGAATAAGCCTGTATAAGCCTCCTCTATCCAAAATTGTTTTTGATACTTATCCCGATTTTTTCTTCCTCACTGTCGCCCCGGCTGGTGCACAGTGGTGCAATCACGGCTCACTGAAGCCTCAACCTTCACCTGCTTAATTTCTGAACGTTTTGTAGAGACAGGAGTCTCGCTATGTTGCCCAGGCTTCTCTTGCACTTTTGAGCTCAAGTGGCCACCCTCCTGCCTCGGCCTCCCAAAGTGCTGGGATTACAGGCGTGAGCCACTGCACCTGGCCCTGATCTAGCCTTAAGTATAAACCCTTACCACCACCTGAGCAACGACAAACACATCTTTGTATTGTACCCTTAAAGAGCCCAATGAGCACTACATGCCCAAGAGAAAATTTACCTTCTGACGGATGCTCAAAGCCACAGTCGACAATGGCCCGGAGCAACTCTGGCTTGAGCAGGAAGTCACGAAAGCCAGAGCTGTGGATGGAGACATAGGAGCCCTTGACATCCTTCTTGGCAGGGGCCTCAGCCCCATCTCCCCCAGCTGCTGTCTCCACCTCATCATCTTCATAGTCCAAGAGCTCATTGTCCACATCGTTCTCTGCCATAACTGGGCCGGCAGGGGAAGAAGGGAAGGGGGATCTGGATGGGTTCTCGCAAAATAGGTGAAAACAAGGGGTGAAGAGTAGGGGATTGAGGAACAGCAAAGGAAAACAAAGATACTATTTCTAACAGAAGAGCTGGAGGGGGGAAAAAAAAAGCAAGACTTAATCACGAGCACAGCCTTCACCACCTCTTTTCCATCCCCAGTTCCCACTTTCCCTAAACCAGGAAACTTTTACCTGGAAAGAAAAACAGATACAAAACATAAAAACGAAAAGCAAATATAACAGAACAGAAAAAGCAGTACCAGGGAAAGTGGTTAGGACAGAGGTTCCCAACAAGATTAGCAATCACAGTAGCGGAAACCAGAAAAGTTGGAAGGGGAAGACCAACTTATAAATTCTTGATCTGAAAGTAACAGTGAGGAAATAGAATAGATAATAAAAGGTAAAATATGACTAATAACTTAGTAAAGTGGAAAATGGAGATGACAAGTAGAGTCCTGAAAAGTCCTCAAAGGAAGACTCCGCTTTCCCTATTATAATCCCACCGTTATGGATGCCTAACTCAGCAGCCATCAGTCAAGGGTGATAGATGAGGGTCATCACTGCGCAAAGCGCTCACCTTTCGAAAAGAAAACATCATATGGCCGCCGTCCACCTCCCATAGCTCTCAGCCTCCCACTTCTCAGTATCCTCCCTTCCGCTGTTTAAGCAAGCCTTGTGTAATTAGCATGGGGGGGAGGGGCGGTGCAAGACAAATGGCTCGGCCACAAAAAAACAAAATTCATGTCTCCACCCTACAATAAGAAAGCTAATAGGTGACAGAGAAAGGCAATCCCCGCCCAGGCTTTAACAGGATCTTTACCAAGTGGTCTCACATCACTGTTACGCTACGAAGGTGAGACTCCTTTTGGAGAAACATACAATGACACCAATCGTATCGTAAACACTTGGAAGGCACTCCAAATTAAGTTGGCCAAGTCAAGGTGAGAAAAATCCAACTGGGCCCAGAAACCAGCTCCTCCTCCCAGTCCCACCGAGGGCCGAAAAAGAGCTCAAGAAAGAACAAGGAAGGTGAGAAGAGCCCCGCCCTCCGCAAATACCAAGACCAAGGGACGCCGAGCACCGCCTCTCATTGATGCTGAGGCCTCCAATATGAGAAGAACCCATTGGAAGAAGGGAGCAAAACGAACACAATGGCGCCGAGGACACCATCTTGGATTGGGTCCCCCCTTAGCTTCCCTTCCTTCCCCCAGGAGCTCTTTGCTCTCGAAAGGGATGCAAGCTAAGGAAATAGCGAACCAACTAGGCCCCAGCGACCAGACCATCGCCTGTGAAAAGGGTATCAGGAACCCATGTGACGGGATGGGTGCGGAGAAGCGCAGATGGAAACGGATTGTAGCGAAGGCCAAAGCTTACCTAAACAGGGAGAGCGCGTATGGCGGCAGCAACAGCGACGAAGGAGGGAAATGTGCCTTCACTTCCGGTTGCAGGCTTCCCTCTACTCCAGCCTCCCGCCTTCTTGGCTGCAAGAGCGCAGGCGCAAGGGACCGGAAACAGGGCCTTCCGCGGTTATACAGATCCGTGCGCTCCAGGCTTGCCTTTGGAAAATGCCTGTCTGAAATTTGTTTTAAAACCGTTTCTAACTTCACTGCTACCGCCAGTAACAAAAGATATAAAGGAAACTAACGTCTCCCCCCCACTGTTATCTTTATTCTCTTATCCTACTCCTCTCCATGCCCCTCATCTCTTCGTTTAGGTTTTTGCCACGCAGGTCTTCTCTGTAGGCACCCCTCCGTGGATGCGCGAGGAACGAGTGTGGCGAAGGCTGCGAGTTCCCACGGGGTCCTTGGCCCGGTAGTGAAGGTGACCTGAGGACTGCTGGGCACGCACTAGGAACCGGCAGGCCCTAGCTGAGGGGAGGGAGGAGGGAAGTCTCAGGGAACTGGATTGCTCGGGGGTGTTTCCCGACTCTTTCCCAGTCGTGGGGCTGGTGGGCGGTATTTTCCCAAAAGGATGCTGTCCGAGGTAGCTGATGCCCTAGGGCCAGTGAGTCAGGAAGGTGTTCTGAATCCGAGCGGGAAGACGGGGTCTGGATTCGGCCCCAAGTGTTAATAGTAGGGCTTGAGGGTTATACTACATTCCATTAATACTGTTTTTGTTTTTGTTTTGAGACAGAGTCTCGCCCTGTCGCCCAGGCGGGAGTGCAATGTCCTGATCTCGGCTCACTGCAACCGCTGCTTCCCGGGTTCAAGCGATTCTCCTGCCTCAGCCTCCCGAGTAGCTAGGATTACAGGCGCCCGCCACCACGCCCAGCAAATTTTTGTTTTTTTAGTAGAGACGGGGCTTCACCCATGTATGACCTCAGGTGATCCACCCACTTCGGCCTCCCAGAGTGCTGGGATTACAGGCGTGAGCCACCGCGCCCGGCCCATTAATACTGTTAATTCGAGCAGAATGTTCTTGGCCCCGCCCCAACAGCCCCATTGTTCAACCTGGATTTTTTTCCTGAATGAAACATTTGCTATCCCCGTCTTTGAGATGGGGAGCCACAAAAGTAAGACCTGATGTCCTGCTGTGTAATAAAACAACAAACGTTTGGCCCTCTCCCTGTTAACATACTTACTGATTTAATACTAAGGAGTAGGTACCGTTATTCTCATCTTATTGACAGAAGCGAAGCAAAGCAACATATCTCAAGCAGTACGGCTGGTGAGGTTACAGCCAGGATGCAAACATCTCTCATTCTCTATTGTATTCTGCCTCCCTGCTCAAAGAATCTGGTTAGTAAATACACTGCAGGTTACCTTATTGGTTCAAATTCTTGGTGAAGTAAGCTTGTCTTCAGTGACAAATGAAGTAACTAATTCAAGAATGGTGTCATAGAAGGTATTTTCCCAAGTATCATTTAATTTATTCAAAAGTATTTATCAACTGCCTCCCTTGTGCCACATGTTGTCCTAGGATCTGGGGACACAACGGTGAACAGCCCTGTTCTCACAGTGTTTACATTACAGGAAAGAAAACACATAAACACAAATATAATGTCAAGTATCGATAAGTGGTCAGGGTGCAGTGGCTCAGGCCTGTAACCCAACCCTTGAGGAAGCCGAGCCCGAAGGATTGCTTGAGCCCAGGAGTTTCAGACCAGCCTGGGCAAGTGAGACCCCATCTCTACAAAAAATTTTAAAATTAGCAAGGCATAGTGGCACTCGCCCGTAATCCCAGCTACTCAGGAGGCTGAAGTGGGAGGATCATTTGAGTCCAGGGGGTCAAGGCTGCCGTGAGCTGGAACTCCAGCCTGGGCAACACAGCAGGACCTTGTCTCAAAAAACCAGTAGCAGTAAGTGCTATGAAGAAAATGCAAGGTAAAGGGGCAAAGAGCACTTGCTCCTACACTCCAGCTTTTCTCTACAGTTGCGATCTATAGTCCTCAGATTCCCAAATGAGGAACCATGTTTCTCACTTTAGAGAAATAATAAAGTACTACTTGTTCTTGTTTCTCCAAGAAGTTTCAAAGGATAGCCATTTGGGCTGTTTAGGGAATATGTAAACAAAAAACAAGAAAGTGACTGAAGGCCAGGCACAGTGGCTCACACCTCTAATCTCAGCACTTTGGGAGGCCAAGGCAGGTGGATCACTTGAGGTCAGGAGTTTGAGACCAGCCTGACCAACATGGCGAAACCCCATCTCTACTAAAAATACAAAAAATAGCCAGGCGTGGTGGCACACACCCATAATTCCAGCAACTTGGGAGGCTGAGGCAGGAGAATCGCTTGAACCTGGGAGGCAGAGGTTGCAATGAGCTGAGATCACGCCATTGTATTCCAGCCTGGGCAACAAGAGCAAAACTCCATCTCAAAAAAAAAAAAAACAAAGTGACTGAAAATGAGAAATGATGAGGCAAAAGGAGGCTGCTTCAACTCACCAATTTATTTGCCAATAATTATTTTATTGATACTTTTTTTATTGTTACAATGGGAAAGTAAGGTGTCAAGGATATAGAAAGGAAGGGCATGCATATGAGGGAACACAGTATCATTTTAGATCTTAGAAAGCAATGAGCATCTGATAAGTCTTTGGGGAAATAGGAAAGGAGGAAAATCTAATAAAGACAAAGATCAGCAAAAGAAAAACAAAGAGAGGCTACAAAATGCAGTTATCTACCTGGAATTATAAGAGAGGGGCTAAATGTAGTCATCTCCTCTTTTTGGAGATCAGAAGGTCTCTGGGAAAAGAGAAGAACCAATTTTTCAGAAAATAACTAGGGTCACAGAATGAACAAGTGGAATTAGAGAGCCAGTGATGGACGTGAGGAAACAGCTGTGTAGGTTTTGACCAGTGAGCAGGTGGTGGTAATAGTATCACAGGGTTGCTACTTACTGAATCACTGCTACAACATGCAAGGAACTCTGCTAGACTTTACAGAATGATTCCTAATCATTGAAGCAACCCTCACAAGGTAGGCATTATTATCATCCCAGTTTCACAGAGGAGGACATCGAGGCTACCAAGTTAAGTAGCTTGTCCTGGTTTCACAGCCAGCAAGTGACAGGGTCAAGAGAGGGACCCACATCGGCCAGACACTGAAGTCAGGATGTTTTCCACATTCCTACTTCCCCATATTACAAATTTCACAGAGGGTTTAGGTGAGAATGACTTGGAAGTTTACAAAGTCCCAGTGAGGGTTAAAGAACAACAAGGAGATTCAGATGTGAGCAGGATATTTATAAGTGTCACAGGAAAATTATTGGATCCTGCCTCCCAGGATTTCTAGGGGATGGAAAGAAGACAGGGATTATGGTGGGAGGTGATTTTGATTGGAGGATTTCTTTGAGGGAGGGAACTGGCAGAAGGAGTCAGGCCCTACGGTGGCCCTAGGCAGAAATCCGGTAGTTGGGGTGGACCTGGGGCCTGACGTCGCAGACCATGCCAAGAAGCTGGGCCAGGACACGCTCTCGGTTTCTCTGCTGGGAGCTCTGCATGCCCTGCACCTGGCGCCTTGTAGCCTGCTCCACCTCAGCAGACAGGTTCCCCTGGGAGCCCATGGCCTGGGGGGTAGGGAGAGGGGTGGAAGAGAGAAAGGGAAAAGCAGAAACAGACAAGGGTCCAGGCATATGAGGGGAAAGATCCTGAAACAAAGCCTAGAAGAAAGGCCCTCTCAGAAACCACCCCCATCCCACAGAAATATCCCAACACCAAAGAGATCAACACAGTCCCCTTTCCCCTTAGACCTAACATGCAACTTCATCCTAAAACAGACCGTAATATCCCCACCACCTCACCATCCATGACCATAAAACTCTACCCTCCACCACAAATGTTAATCATACTCCACATAGATGTTATACTTTACACAGACTGTGGCATTCCGCCCACAAGCTCTATGTGGCCTTCAAAACTCCCAGACTCTCCTACATATCATCACAAAGTTTCACCAATGTTGTGGTCCCTGCCAGGGTCCCCTCAGCCTCAGCCCTCTGCCACCATATTTTCTTGTTGAGTCACCCTTACACACCTCACTAGATGCACCCACCAACTTGCAGTGGGGTCTCATCCCGACTCTGCCTCAACTCACCGCCTGCTGCTTGCTCTGGAATTCGTGCTCTCGCTCTCTGCGGTATTGCTCCACCTCCATCTGTGCCTCCTCCTTTGCCTGCTTCAGTCGCCGGGCCTTCCCTGGAGGCAGAAGAAAGGACAGTGAGTGGGGATGGACCCACACACACACAATGTAATAGCAGGAGTCAGTCCCTTCCAGAAAGTTATACAGCCTTCTCTCAGCCAACCAGGTGCCAGATTCTAATATCCATCCATTTCTTCCCTCCTAACCAGCCTCCAGACCCTAGCTGTCTTCCCGCCAGCCTTGGGTTTTCCCAAAATGTTTGCTGTCCCCCACCCCCAATTTTCTTTCCAAACTCCTAAGGGAGGAAAGAGGGGACTCACTCTTTCTGGCATCTGCCACCTTCTCAGCTGCCCGCTTCTCAGCTTGCAGAAGCTGCTGGATACCTTGGGACTGACTGGCCATTTCTGTTGTTATGGCCGATGCTGTTTTGAATGCTGTCAAAGTACCAGATGGCTCCCACCCCCCACCGCTTACTTCTCCTCCTCCAGCTCGTTGCTGCAGTCCTCCACTACCCCTGGGTCTTAGTGCTCCCCTGCTCACTCAGCCTCCTGCACCGAGTGTCTCTCCCAATCTCATCCTCCTATTGATGACTGGTCCTCCTCTCCAGCACTTCTTGCTCAGGCAGTACCCAAAGGGGCCGCCTGGGAGCAGCAGAGACCAGGCCCAAAGCTGCGGGCTTACAACAGGTTAGCCATCCCAGTCGGAAAGGTCTAGGGATGAGGCAGGGGCGGAGACGGGGGAGTACTGAGGTGAGAGAAGGAGAACTTGATTGGTGGTAACAGAGGAAGCATAAAGGGTTGTGAATGCGGTGAAAAGGTAAGGATGTCATCATGCAACCTGTGTTGGGAAAAGAGCATTCTGGGCTTAATTCTAAACTAACTCTCTACCTTTCTCTCTCTCTCCACCATCCCGCCCCCTCCCCTGCCTCCCGTTGTTAACATCTCCATCTTTTTCTACATATTTCTCAAGTCCAAATTTTTGCATCTCACTTGCCCCATCCTACGATAGTCTTCTTCCGTCTTTTGTCTGTATTTTTTCTTTTTTTTGATCTGTCCCTGTTGTTGTCCCACTGTGGTTTTTGTTTTTGTTTTCCATGTTTAATGTGATTTTTATCCTGTCTTTATCTCCTCTATTTTCTCTGTCTTCTCATCTTTTCGTCCATCACTGAACCATCTCCTCTCTCTGCCAAGTTAGAGGAGGCGGGAAAAAACCTCCAAATAACTCTCTTTTCTCCCTCCCCTCCCCTCGCCTCCTTTTCCTCGCCTCCAGTCCAGTCTTCTGGTTTCAGACGGCCCCTTTAATTTAAGTTCCCTAGTTTCCCCTGGGAGATCTGGCCAAGAACTACCCGGTCGGGGCGGAACGACATCCGGTAACGCCCCTCACAGTTCACTTCCGTCCTCCACCAGCGTCTCTGCTTGCGCCATTTCCTCCAGCCTGGAGTGTCTCCGCCCTTCCCGCCTCCCGTCTCCGAGCTTCTTAAACACAGGCCTTGGGCCTACGGCTCTGGGGGTACTTGGGGGGGCGGGGGCAGGTCTGATGAGTAACCCCTCCCCCCAGGTTCCAGAGGAAGAAGCCTCCACATCTGTCTGCCGGGTACATGATATTCAATTTCTAGATCATTATTGGAGATTATCTGTGACTTTTTAAAACTCAGATTTCTGCTGATAAAAATTTTCCCCATCCGGCCCTGTTGGGTTTTTTTAAAGTTCTTTGTTAAAAATTAAAAATTTACCTGGGCTCCTGAGCCTTAAACCAATTATTTACCCTTTTCTCGAATTTTACATTAAAAAAATTAAACCTCTGATCCTATCACCCCCCTCAAAAAAAATTTTTTTTCAAATCTATCATCTGATAAAGGATCAGAGTTAGGTTAGGCCTCATCTCTTGCTGAAGATATTAAAAAAAGACGGAACCAAAGGGAGAAACAACAGGGGATGTCAGAGATGGAGGGAGAAGGACCAGCCAAGGCTGAAGTCCTGACTGCTGCCTTTTTTCCTTCCCCAGCCCAAGAGTTCCATGGCCTCCACTTCCCGCCGCCAACGCCGAGAACGTCGCTTTCGTCGTTACTTGTCTGCAGGACGGCTGGTCCGGGCCCAGGCCCTCCTCCAGCGACACCCAGGCCTCGATGTAGATGCTGGGCAGCCCCCACCACTGCACCGGGCCTGTGCCCGCCACGATGCCCCTGCCCTGTGCCTGCTGCTTCGGCTCGGGGCTGACCCTGCCCACCAGGACCGCCATGGGGACACGGCACTGCATGCTGCTGCCCGCCAGGGCCCAGATGGTGAGTCTGCTCAGTGGGGAACAAGGTCATAAGCAGCTGACCAGACCTGAAATGAAAGCCAACCAATAGTTGAGAAATAAGCTGGTTATTTGGTCATCAGGACCTAGGGAAGGAGTTAACCAAGTTGGCATGTGGCTGTCATTTGTCCCTTTACATTACTGAGCTACCATTGTCTGAAGAACCCAACATTCCCCAAAGATCAACTGGTCTTCAAATTTCACATCTGTTTAGATTAGTAGCTACTTTGTTTCTTGACAGATTGTTTGCTCGTAGCCAAAAAGTAGCATAGAAGGTAGGCTCTGGAGTTAGATTGCCTGGATTCAAACCCCAGCTCCAAATCCCAGCTCCACACTTCATAGCTACGTATTCTTGGACAGGTTACTTGAGGCTTAGTTTGCCCATGTGTAAAAATTAAAATAATAACAACCTTTGCTATGTGCCAGACATTTCTTATAAAGTAACACATTTAATCCTCACAACAATCTTAGGAGGTGAGTACTGATATTATCCCCCATTTCCCAGCTGAGGAAACAGGGCATAGAGAAGTCATTTGCCAGAGTTACAGTTATTCACTGGTAGAGCAGAGATTATAACCCAGATGGACTAGATAGAGTGTCCATGCTTTTAACAGCTACATTGTCCTGTGTTATACATTATAGCATTGTACATTGATTGTGCCCATGTTCAGAGTACCCATGTTGTGCCATATATGTTTTGAGAATCAACTGACATAGTACATAATTAGAGTACCTGGCACACACGATAAGCACTTGGTATATGCTGGCGATTGTTGTTCCTGTTTCTCTGTTTTTTGTTTTTGTTTTTGTTTTTTATGAAGTTTCACTCTTCTTGCCCAGGCTGGAATGCAATGGTGCGATCCTGGCTCACTGCAACCTCTACCTCCCAGGTTCAAGTGATTCTCATGCGTCAGCCTCCCAAGTAGCTAGGATTACAGGCGCATGCCACCACGCCCAGCTAATTTTTATATTTTTAGAAGAGATGGGTTTTCGCCATGTTGGACAAGCTGATCTCGAATGCCTGACCTCAGGTGATCCACCAACCTCAGCCTCTCAAAGTGCTGGGATTACAGGTGTGAGCCACCACACCTGGCCTTGTTCCTGTTTTTGTTATCAACAGGTCCATACTCCCTTAACCACAATTCTAAACTCAAAAACACTCTGAGAACCAACATTTTTCATCAGGCTGCCACCAAAATTCATTTGGTGACAGAAACCTAATCTGAACTAAAGTAAGACTATTATTTATTTTCATCCTACTGATGTCAATATTCATACATTTCCCTGCAGAAACACTCATGTGTTTGGTTCTTGGGCTGCCTAGGCCCTCCTGGGCTACCTAATATAGAGTGAGTGTACTTTTAGGTCAGCCCTATCAAGTCCCAAAAACATTTGAATTCTGCAAAACCTTTGGCACTGAAGGATTCAAATGGGGAACCTGGTGATATTATAATAGTGGTGGAGGCCAGGTGCGGTGGGTCATGCCTGTAATCCCAGCACTTTGGGAGGCCAAGGCAGTCAGATCACGAGGTCAGGAGTTCGAGACCAGCCTGACCAACATAGTGAAACCCCCATCTGTACTAAAAATACAAAAATTAGCCAGGCATGGTGGCACACACCTGTAGTCTCAGCTACTTGGGAGGCTGAGGCAGGAGAATCACTTGAACCCGGAAGACAGAGGTTGTGGTGAGCCGAGATTGCACTACTGCATTCCAACCTGGGCAACACAGCAAGACTCCGTCTCAAAAAAAAAAAAAAGAGTGGTGGAAGCAGCTCTTTATAGGTAGAGCCCTGCTTACTAGAATAAAAGCTGAAACCTTCTTTCCCCATCTAGAGATTTCCTTCTGGAGTAAGAACATTACAGGAAAACCTCTAGATCCAGATGAACAACCCTAACATCCCCCAGCTCAAGTATAGACAGAAGGCCCCTCCCCCAAAACTCCCCCAAATGGTCAAAAAACCCCCTATTTAAAAATTTCCTTTAACGTACCTGAGATAGGCTAGCATATTCAGATTTGTTTCTTGTTGTTTTTACTTAAAACAGAGTAGGTTTACTGAGTGCAGGCATCTAACTTGACAGCTCATATTGTAAGAGGCAGGACCCTGGAAGGCAAAAGAGCAGATTACCCCGAAGCAGACCTGCATCCAGACCCCAGCTCTGCCATCAACAGGGACATGCAGCTTACCTCTGTGAGCCCAATTTGCCTCGCAAAAATGGGAGTTTTGTTTTTTGTTTTGTTTTGTTTTTTTGAGATGGAGTTTCCCTGTTGTTGCCCAGGCTAGAGTGCAATGGCGCGATTTCAGCCCACCTCAACCTCTGCCTCCTGGGTTCAAGAGATTCTCCTGCCTCAGCCTCCCAAGTAGCTGGGATTACAGGCATGCACCATCACGCCCGGCTAATTTTGTATTTTTGGTAGAGACGGTTTCTCCGTGTTGGTCAGGCTGGTCTCAAACTCCCGACCTCAGGTGACCTGCCAGCCTAGCCTCCCAAAGTGCTGGGATTACAGGCGTGAGCCACCGCGCTCAGCCAAAATGCCCCTGATAGTGTGGTAGGGATTTCCTTTATTGTTTGTTTGCTTGTTTGTTTTGAGACAGGGTCTCATTCTGTCTCCCAGCCTGGAGTGCAGTGGTGCAATCATGGCTCACTGCAGCCTCTACCTCGTGGGCTCAAGCAGTCCTCCCACCTCAGCCTCCCTAGTAGCTGGGACTACAAGCACACACCACCATGCCCAGCTAATTGTTTGTATTTTTGGTAGAGACTGTTTTGCTATGTTATCCAGGCTGTTCTGCATCTCCTGAGTTCAAACAGTCTGCCCACCTCGGCTTCCCAAAGTGCCGGGACTAGAGGCGTGAGCCACCACACCCAACTCCATTGTATTGAATTTTAAGAAGCTGGTGAGACTGATATTATCCCATTTACAGATGAGGAAAGCAGGGCCCAAAAGGTTCGGGAACTTGTCTGAAATCTCACAGCTCTCAGGTCATTGTCTTCCAAAGGGGGACCCAAGCTCAGTGCCTTCACTCCCAGACCCTGGTGTCCTCTCTGGCCTTATTTACTCCTGGTCCTCTGCCAGCCCTGCCACCAGATGGCCTTCTAACTCCTTGGTTGAAAGGCCCATCTCATTCAGCTTCCAGCTTCCTTTTTCTTTTCCTTTTGAGACGGAGTCTTGCTTTGTCGCCCAGGCTGGAGTGCAGTGGCATGATCTCGGCTCACTATAACTTCTGCTTCCTGGGTTCAAGCGATTCTCCTGCTTCAGCCTCCCAAGTAGCTGAGATTACAGGCACACACCACCATGCCCAGCTAATTTTTTTATTTTTATTTATTAATTTTTAAATTTTTATTTGTTTATTTATTTTTGAGACGGAGTCTCCCTCTGTTCCCCAGGCTGGAGTGCAGTGGCAGTATCTTGACTCACTGCAACCTCCGCCTCCTGGGTTCAAGTGATTCTCCTTCCTCAGCCTCCTGAGTAGCCGGGACTACAGGAGCCTGCCACCATGCCCGACTAACTTTTGTATTTTTAATAGAGATGGGGTTTCACCATGTTGGCCAGACTGCTCTCGAACTCCTGACCTTAGATGATCCACCTGCCTCGGCCTCCCAAAGTGCTGGGATTACAGGCATGAGCCACCATGCCCGACCTAATTTTTGTGTTTTTAGTAGAGATGGGGTTTCAACATGTTGGCCAGGCTGGTCTCAAACTCCTGACCTCAAGTGATCCACCCACCTCAGCCTCCCAAAATGTTGGGATTATAGGCATGAGCCACCGTGCCCATCCCACAGAATGTCTTTTGGTTTTGTTTTTGTTTTCTGTTTTGTTTTGTTTTGTTTGAAAAGGAGTCTCATTCTGTCGCCCAGGCTGGAGTGCAGTGGCACAATCTCGGCTCACTGCAACCTCCACCTCCCAGGTTCAAGAGATTCTCCTGCCTCAGCCTCCCAAGTAGCTGGGACTATAGGCGTAGGGACTGTAGGCGTATGCCACCACGCCTGGCTAATTTTTTGTATTTTTAGTAGACACGGGGTTTCACCATGTTAGCCAGGATGGTCTCGATCTCTTGACCTTGTGATCTGCTCACCTCAGCCTCCCAAAGTGTTGGGATTACAGGCGTGAGCCACAGCGCCTGGCCAAAATGTTTTTATGTTTATTTTTCTTAGTATGAAACTCCAGCGTATTAAAGAGCATTGAGAACGGTTGATCTGGTAAATCGCTATAAAGGCGGCATTTCTTTTTTTTTTTTTTTTTTTTTTTTTGGCGAAGTGGGGGATGGAGTCTCATTCTGTCGCCCAAGCTGGAGTGCAGTAGTGTGATCTCGGCTCACTGCAAGCTCCGCTTCCCAGGTTCAAGCCATTCTCCTGCCTCAGCCTCCCAAGTAGCTGGGATTACAGGCGCCCGCCACCACGCCCAGCTAATTTTTTGTATTTTTAGTAGAGACAGGGTTTCACTGTGTTGGCCAGGCTGGTCTCGAACTCCTGACCTCATGATCCGCCCGCCTCGGCCTCCCAAAATGCTGGGATTAGAGGCGTGAGCCACCGCGCCAGGCCTAAAGGGGGCATTTCTAATACTGGAGAAAGGTGAACTTTTTTTTTTTTTTTTTCCGAGACAGAGTCTCGCTGTGTCACCCAGGCTGGAGTGCAATGGCGCAATCTCAGCTTGCTACAACCTCCGCCTCCCGGGTTCAAGCAATTCTCCTGCCTCAGCCTCCTGAGTAGCTGGGCACCTGCCATCATGCCCAGCTAATTTTTGTATTTTTGTAGAGATGGGGGTTTCACCGTGTTGGCCAGGCTGGTCTTAAACTCCTGTCCTGACCTGAGGTGATCCACCCACCTCAGCTTCCCAAAGTGCTGGGATTACAGGCATGAGCCACTGTGCCTGACCAGGTGAACTATTTTATAAATAATATTGGAACATTTGGCTCATCTAGGGAAAAACAAGAGTCCCACCTCACACCTAATCAAAAAGTAAATTCCAGCAGATTAAATACCTGAATATGACAGGAAGGTACACACCAAATTCATGGGACAGATGGCCTGGGGAGGAATGAAACTTGGAAGGCGGTATCACGGTAAACTACCTTTATCTGTGATGATTTTATTTCCTTAAAATAAATTATACTACAAACATGACAGTACATTAACAAACCCTGTGGTAGGAATGGGGTTGTGTATTGTATTATACTTTGTATTTTTGAGAGTTTTTTAATTTCTTTTTTGTTGTTGTTGAGACAGAGTCTCACTCTGTCACCCAGGCTGGAGTCCAGTCGCGCAATCTTGGCTCACTGCAACCTCTGCCTCCCGGGTTCAAGCAGTTCTCTGCCTCAGCCTCCCAAGTAGCTGGGATTACAGGCATCCGCCACCACGTCAGGCTAATTTTTGTATTTTTAGTGGAGACGGGGTTTCACCATCTTGGCCAGACTGGTCTTGAACTCCTGACCTCATGATCCACCCACCTTGGGCTCCCAGAGTGCTGGGATTACAGGCATGAGCCACCGCGCCTGGCCGAGTTTTTTAATTTCTAAAAATAAAAATGAGTATACATCTAAAGTAGTAGAAGAAAATGCAGAGAATGTTTTATAATCTTAAAATAGAGCCTTCCTAAGAGTGAAGTGAAATAAAAAGTCAGAAAATAATATATTGATATAGATTTAACTACATGAAAATTTTAGTCCGGGTGCGGTAGCTCACACCTGTAATCCCACACTTTGGGATGCCAAGGTAGGCAGATCACTTGAGCCAGGAGTTCAAGACCAGCCTGAACAACACAGTGAGACCTGGTCTGTACAAAAAATACAAAATTAGCCAGGCGTGGTGGTACGTGGCTGTCGTCCTGTAGTCCCAGTTACTCAGGAGGCTGAGGTGGGAGGATCGCTTGAGCCCAGGTGGGGCAGAGTTTGCAGTGAGCAAGATCATGCCACCGCACTGCAGCCTGGGCAACAGGGTGAGACCTTGTCTCAAAAAGAAAAAAAAAGCTTTTTTAAAGATAGATAGAAGAAAATGTTTGCAATATGTATAACACATACAGTATATAGAACCCTCATATCAATATATATAATTTCCAAAGAAAAAGTGGATAAAGAATATGAGCAATTCATTCACAAAAAATACAAATAGCCAAAAGACATGAAAAAGAAAAAAACATTGTTAATAAAATAATTTTTTAATCTATCCAACTGGCAAAATTAAAAGGGTTGATGATATTCAATTTTGGTAAAGGAAGACATAGGCACACTTGTATATTGGCACAAACTTATTGAGAGCAGTTTGACCAAATTGCGCATGTCCTTTGACTCAGAAATTCCACTTATGAAAATCTACCCCCACAGAAAGACTGTAAGATACTCATGAGGCTGAACATTTTTTGAAACAAAGTCTATCGATATTGGGGTAAGGAGATTTGTTTTGTACACACAGTGGAACACTA
Source organism: Homo sapiens (assembly GCF_000001405.40). Classification (NCBI taxonomy): domain Eukaryota; kingdom Metazoa; phylum Chordata; class Mammalia; order Primates; family Hominidae; genus Homo; species Homo sapiens. The sequence continues at coordinate 3,032,198 of NT_113891.3, forward strand.
ATTATAAAGTCGTCAAAAAGTATGAGGTAGACTGTATATATTCCTGTGGAAAAATATAAATGAGATGTTAAATGAAAGAAGCAAGTTGCCAAGCAATATTTGTAGTATGGTTACATATCTCCAAATAAATGTGTCATATGTATGCTTTTAGGTACACCAAGGTGGGACTGGAAGGGATCACAGTACACTGTTAATAGTTATCAAATTTGTTCGTCCTTCTTTAAAAAGAAAATTTCAACTTAATTATATCCCTTTCACATTAAAATGTCAAATAAAATTGGGGGAAAAGCCACCTACAGCCCCACCACCCATAGGCTAGAATTTTTACATATTTTTTGCCAGTCTATTTTTTTTCTTTTTTTTTTTTTTTTTTGAGATGGGAGTCTCCCTCTGTTGCCCAGGCTGGAGTGCACTGGCATGATCTCAGCTCACTGCAACCTCTGCCTTCCAGGTTCAAGTGATTCTCCTGACTCAGCCTCCCAAGTAGCTGGGATTACAGGCACATGCTACCACGCCTGGCTAATTTTTGTATTTTTAGTAGAGACAGGGTTTCACCATGTTGGCCAGGCTGGTCTCGAACTCCTGACCTCAGGTGATCCACCCGCCTCAGCCTCCCAAAGTGCTGGGATTACAGGCCATGAGCCACCACGCCCGGCCTCTTTTTTTCCAACCATAGGATTTGGTCTCTTGTTTTAGACAGTTATTATCTGATCCTCTCTCTCTCTCTCTTTTTTTTTTTTTTTTTTTTTTTTGAGATAGAGTCTCACCCTGTCACCCAGGCTGGAATGCAGAGGCGCGATCTCGGCTCACTGCAACCTCCGCCTCCCAGGTTCAAGCAGTTCTCTGCCTCAACCTCCCAAGTAGCTGGGATTACAGGCGTCAGCCACCACGCCTGGCTAATTTTATATATAATATAAAATATAATTATATATATATTTTGTTTGTTTGTTTTAGTAAAGACGGGTTTTCACCATCTTGGCCAGGCTGGTATTGAACTCCTGACCTTGTGATCCATTGTCCCCCCCACCCAGCCTCCCAAAGTGCTGGGATTACAGGCGTGAGCCACCGTGCCTGGCCACATCTGATCCTCTCTACAGTTTTGTAGCCAGCTTTTTTCAAACACATGCCTCAGTTGTAGTGGCTGTTTAATATTATGTTTTTATAGTTGGAGGCCCTACTCCTTAAAACCTATGAATGTAAACCTCCCATGCAAGCCTGAGCACTCACCATGCTCACCACCTGAGCTCAGGTGGGGAACAAGCGAATGAGAGACAGGACCAGGTACTTTCTGGGTGGGACAAGTTGAGAGGGTCTGTGACAGGTCACAGCAGCACTAGGGAGAAGTGCCCCCCCCACCAACCCTGATGTGATTTGGGTAGGGATGGTGGGCCTTCGCCAGCCACACCTGGGCCATTCTGTCTTCTTGCCTTCCTGGCCTTGCCTTCCCCTATTCCAGCTTTCTGCCAGGTAAACAGTACTTTCCAGCACTACCAAATAAAGATTTAAGGACTGCTAGCCCATTTCCTCTTACCCCGGGGAAAGAAAGTAGGTCCACAGGAAGGAAGGCTGCCTCCCTCCCCTTCTTCTATCCCCCAAGTGAAAGAGGTGGTTGGTGGCCACAGCAGGTGGGCCTGGCCAGGATGCCTGGGTTGGCAGTGAAGGAAGTAGCATGGCACTCAGCTAACCTTGGGCCAGATGCAGCAAGGTTGGGACTGAAGAAAAGGGGAGTTCAGGAACGTCGGTTCCTCTCCTGTTTTCTCTCAGCCCATGGGTGAGACCCTCTGTCACACTCCACTCCCTTTCCCCTGCCCTAGGTCAGCAGTCATTTGGAAAGAGCTTGCTCTGCCGCCGGCCATAGTTGTTGCCGGTTCACCTCCCCACCCCTCTCCCATCATCCCCTGGTAAGGCTGGCTGAGAGAAATTCCCCTGAAAACATTTATTTTACTCAGTTTATTGATAAGTGATAATAAAAGATAAGTATTACATATTTGTGTATTTATTAATGGCCCAGAGTAGAGCATTCAGATATTTTCCCAGTCTGATATATGGTTTCAGGTGAGAAAATAAGGGATTTATATAGTGACAATATTTTTAAGTGAAAAGTGGAATACATAGTCAAAGAATTTGGGCACTGCCTTGGTGGCTGGAGGCAGGTCAGAAAATGTCAGTTGGCATGGTAGAACTTCTAGGATGCTGAAATAGTTTGTGGAGACACAAGTAAGAATTTTTTTTTTTTTTTTTGAGACGGAGTCTTGCTCTGTCACCTAGGCTGGAGTGCAGTGGCACGATCTCGGCTTACTACAAGCTCCACCTCCCGGGTTCACATCATTCTCCTGCCTCAGCCTGCCGAGTAGCTGGGACTGCAGGCGCCCGCCACCAGGCCTGGCTAATTTTTTGTATTTTTTAGTAGAGATGGGATTTCACCATGTTAGCCAGGATGGTCTTGATCTCCTGACCTCGTGATCCGCCCGCCTCGGACTCCCAAAGTGCTGGGATTACAGGCGTGAGCCACCGCGCCTGGCTGAGAATATTTTAAACTACCACACTTACCATGCATGTGGTAAACTATCAGTCTGTATTTATCAGTGATGGTTATTTCCTAATACCCAGGAGGCATCCATGTGAGCCACCCTTCCATTGCTTTAAGACCAAGGGAGTGAGTGACCAGCAGGATTCAAGATGGCAGCTCTGCCGAGGAGTGGGAGTCCCAGCTAACTTCTGCTCCCTGCTCTCCCACCAACAGCCTACACCGATTTCTTCCTCCCGCTGCTAAGCCGCTGTCCCTCCGCCATGGGAATAAAGAATAAGGATGGGGAGACCCCTGGCCAAATTTTGGGCTGGGGACCCCCCTGGGATTCTGCTGAAGAGGAGGAAGAAGATGATGCCTCCAAGGAGCGGGAATGGAGACAGAAGCTCCAGGGTGAGCTGGAGGACGAGTGGCAGGAAGTCATGGGGAGGTTTGAAGGTGAGAAGTCCACTGCTATCCACAGCTGCCCTTCCCCACTGGCTGCTTTCCATCTGCATGAATGCGTCACACTAGGCTCCTCTGCCCCCTCCTCTGTGCTTCCCTGCTTCTTGGGGCCCATCACCTTCTCACAGCCTCTCTCCAACTACCCCCATCCCACCCTCCCAAACAGGTGATGCCTCCCATGAAACCCAGGAACCTGAGTCCTTCTCAGCCTGGTCAGATCGCCTGGCCCGGGAACATGCCCAGAAGTGCCAGCAGCAGCAGCGAGAAGCAGAGGGATCCTGTCGACCCCCACGTGCTGAGGGCTCCAGCCAGAGCTGGCGACAGCAGGAGGAGGAGCAGCGGCTCTTCAGGGAGCGAGCCCGGGCCAAGGAGGAAGAGCTGCGTGAGAGCCGAGCCAGGAGGGCGCAGGAGGCTCTAGGGGACCGAGAACCCAAGCCAACCAGGGCCGGGCCCAGGGAAGAGCACCCCAGAGGAGCGGGGAGGGGCAGCCTCTGGCGATTTGGTGATGTGCCCTGGCCCTGCCCTGGGGGAGGGGACCCAGAGGCCATGGCTGCAGCCCTGGTGGCCAGGGGCCCCCCTTTGGAGGAACAGGGGGCTCTGAGGAGGTACTTGAGGGTCCAGCAGGTCCGCTGGCACCCTGACCGCTTCCTGCAGCGATTCCGAAGCCAGATTGAGACCTGGGAGCTGGGCCGTGTGATGGGAGCAGTGACAGCCCTTTCTCAGGCCCTGAATCGCCATGCAGAGGCCCTCAAGTGACCCTAGGGAAGAAGCAAGAAACTTCGGGGCTGCAGCCTCAGGATGAGGCAGAAGGAAGGGTAAGGGAAAGGATGGGGACCACAAGGAAGAGCCAGGTGCTGCTCAGCAGAGGATATGGGTGGGAGCGAAAGTTGTAACAAGTGGGGGTGGGGGGTGCGGGCCGCCACCACTGCTCCTTGACTCTGCCGTTTCCTAATAAGACCTGGTTCCACATCTCACTCCCAGTGTCTCCTCTGTCTTTTTCCATTGCTGTGGTTTTCATCACCCATGACATCTCCTTTCCCGCCCCGCCTGCTGAAACCCACAGCTCCCACACACCTGCAACACACACGCACACGCTAACACGGGCTCTGAGCTGGAGGCAAGAAGCCTCTGCATGCCCCCTCAGTTCAGCCCTAAGAAGGCCCAGTTTGCCATCCAGTCTCACTCCACTCCCTACACTGGGGTCTTGTCCACCCTGCAATCTGTGGCTGGAGAAATAGATGCGAACAGAGGCAAAAAGGGGAACAAAACCAGTTTCCCTCCCCTCCCTGGCTCCCCAAGCTGAACCACATCCTCCTCCCCACTTAACACCCCCTTCCCCCAACACAGGGCTTTCCCTTTGCTGAGTCACTGAATGAGCGAGTTGGGGGTAGCCGGCGCTGGGGGGCCATGAGGAGGCTGGGGGAGGATGGGGAATACAAGCAGAATGGCTGGAGGAAGAGCCCTGTGGGGGAGTGGAATTTCAGTTGCTAAAATTAGGAGCAGGGGAAGGAGGTGGAAAGAGCAAAATTATGTAACATGGGTTGTCTGTTCTTGGGCAACTGGAGCTCCACACCCAAAGCCAGCCAGGCTGCTGGCTCCATCCATCTCTGCCCTCTAGCTTGTCAGTTGTATCTCTCTTCCTCCAGGGCCCCAATCCTCATCTCCGCCATTCAGCTGCTGCCCCATCCTAAACCTGAGTTCATCTCTGGGCAGCCCAGGCATGGCCTTCCCTATAAACATTTCCTTTTCCAAGAACCAGTAGTTGAAGTCCTGAGAGGTGGAGGGAGAGTCTGGGATTCCCACGGAGGAGAGAGGGGGGCTCCCTGGAAACTAAGATAGGTAGACCCCACTACCATCGCCCAGGACACAACTGGGAACTTGGCAAAAAGAAAGGACAGGGCTGCAAGGAGAGTACAGACATGTGCTGGTGAGTGCACTGTCTGCATAGTTACACCAGAGCATCTTATCAATCAGAAACTTATCTTTCAGGTTTTGAGCCCAGTTCTCTACAGGAGAATCCCAGGAGTGGAAGTGGAAGGCAGTAGAAGACAGGGAGGGCACGCCTCTGGGAACACGGGAACATGGGTGGGCATGAGATCCTTGAATAAGACAGCCTGAAGTTCGGAAGAGACCAAGGCCTCTGAAGGACCAGGCAGATGTTCAGGGTGCAGGAGGGGGAAGGGCTGGTGAGAAAGATCCTGTGAGAGGAAGCTGCTGTGATTCAGAGAAGAGACTTCAAGCTGTGTGTGACCCTGGCGTCCGGTTCCTCTCACAGGCTGGAGCTTTTCGGAAGTGGCATGCAAAGAGTCCAGGTTTGGCCTTGGGGGGAGTTGGGGTTAGGATCCCTAAGCTGGAGGTTGAGAAGTAAATTACAGAAAACTCTGGTGACCAAATTTGCTCCTCCACCCAGGAGATTTCTCACTGGTTTTTAAGCACATCATTTCCCCTTCTGCAAGAGTTACATAAAACCAAAGCAAAATAAGCCCTGAAACCTGGGCCCACCGGACCACAGTCTTTTCAACGTCCCTTCCTGGTGTCTGGCCCCCAGCCCTGGTGGGGGTTCCCCTGAGATAAGGGCTGTTCACTTTCTCTGACCACATGGTTTCCGCTTCTGTGTCTCTTGTTTCCTAGGCTGATAAAAATACTGAGCCCTAGAGGCCCTGGCTTCCTCTGACCCCTTGGGGCAGGCAGCACGCATCCTGTCCAGCATGGTGGGGGCAGGGACAGGGGCCAGGGATTCCCAAGGGGTGACTCAGTGCCTGCCATGAAACAGTGGGTAGGTGGAAGTGTATCTCTGCTCTCTAGAGCTGGCACCAGGAGTTGAGTCTCAGTGGAGGATGCATTGGGATTCAATTGGAGGAACAGGCCTGGAAAAGAATAATGAGATTGAAGAGGGTCAGTTTGAGGACTCAGGTTGGGGCAGGTTTGGATTAAGTTAGGAAAAGGATCTGGGAGGGACTCTGTTCAGTGTAGGTCAACTGAGCATTATGTAGCCCAAAGATAAATTTAAACCCTGCTTCAAGCTTACAATCTAGTGGGGAGGCAGACCCATACCTAGTTAACTGATTCAAGGCATGATGAGTAAACTTTAAGATGATTACAGAAAGAGGGGAGATTAAGTCCATTTGAAAGCATCCAGGGAGCCTCTGAGGAGACAGCATTTGAACTTGCTCTAATGAATGGGTTCACTAGGTGGAGGTGGATGGAAAGGTTCCATAGGCGAATAACACGTCTTGAGCGAGCCTGACAAGTCAGAAAATGCAGTATGTTCTGGGAAAGGAGCGTCCTGAGGGAGAAGAAGCACAGGTGTGAGGGAACATGTGATGAAGAAAGGACCACAGAAAGTCAAGGTCAGAGATTGGACTGCATCCTGTGGGCAGTGGTCCAGGTGACGATGAAAAAGAGGGAGAACAGGTGAGTGCTGCAGTACAGACAAGGAGTAAGAAAACGGCCATCATCTTGTGAATTAATACCTACTGTGTGTTAACCAGCCCTTTTCCTAACACCACAAATCCTCTCAACGTCTGTCCAAAAGGTGGGTGGTGGTGGCCAGGCACCTCACTCCTGTAATCACAGCACTTTGGGAGGCCAAGGTGGGAGCACTTTGGGAGGATCACTTGAGGCCAGGAGTTCGAGACCAGCCTGGCCAACATGGTGAAACCCCGTCTCTACTAAAAATATAAAAACTAGCTGGGTGTGGTGGTGGGCACCTGTAATCCCAGCTACTCAGGTGTCTGAGGCACAAGAATCACTTGAACCCGGGAGGCAGAGGTTGCAGTGAGCTGAGATCATGCCTCTGCTCTCCAGTCTGGGTGACAGAGCAAGACTCTGTATCCAAAAAAAAAAAAAATTATTAAGCACCTATTAGGAGCAGGGCACTGCTTGACAATAGGTATAAATAATAAAGTCACTGCCTTCATAGAACTTGCAGTCTAATGAGACAGTATACAAATAATAACTATACATTATAGTTATAATGTATAGGTATGCCTGCTTAGGGTAATAAAGTGCTCAATGAAGGTTTGAGGTACCAGCATGACTCTCAGGTGGAGATTTCCAGAAAGCAGGTCTGGAGCTCAAGAGAAGTTGGGTCTGGAGGAACAGATTTGGGCATCATTCCCTTCCCAGTAGAGGTTGAGCCTTTGAGTGGACAGGATCTTCAAGGGAGGGGGCGGAGTGACCAGAAGAGCCCTGAGCATGATCAAAGGAAGAGAACCAATAAAGGAGAGGTTGGGGAGCAGTCAGAGAAGTAGGGCACGGGGGGCGGGGGATGCCAAGCAGAGACAGGGCAGCCATGTTTGAGGCTTCAAAGAGGTCTAGTAAATGAGGGTTGAAAAGATTGTTGGGTTCAGGAACTAGACGATTACAAATTTTGAGAAAACCGTTTCCATTTAATAGAGGGGCAGAAATCACTTTACATAGGTTGAGGAATGAGTGGGAGGTGAGGAAAAGGAGGTGGTGGGCATGAGGTCAGAATGGTGAACACAGAATAACTGAGAATCATCTCTTAGTTCTACCCACAGATTTTACAGTTGAGGGAAATTTTACCAGTTCCTGAAAAAGTGGTTCGTTAAGGGGGCTAGTCTTTTGAGACATCACACGAAAACGGAAGGTGAGATAGACTGGACATTTGAGGGAGAAATATTCCAAGGAAGGATCTTTTTTGTTGTTTATTTTCAAGAAATAAAATTGAAGGTAAAATGAAGATGCTTAAAGAGACAAAGATAGGCCAGGTGCAGTGGCTCACACCTGTAATCCCAGCACTGTGGGAGGCCAAGGTGGGCAGATCACTTGAGGCCAGGGGTTCAAGACTAGTATGGCCAACATGGCAAAACCGCATCTCTACGAAAGATACAAAAATTAGCCAGGCGTGGTGGCACATGCCTGTGGTCCCAGCTATTCACTGAGGTGGGAGAATCGCTTGAACTCAGGAGGCAGAGGTTGCAGTGAGCCGAGATCACACCACTGCACTCCAGCCTGGGTGACAGAGCGAGACTCAGTCTCAAAAAAAAAAAAAAAAGCCCAGGTGCGGTGGCTCACCCTTGTAATCCCAGCGCTTTGGGAGGCTGAGGTGGGCAGACTATAGATATCAGGAGTTCAAAACCAACCTAGCCAACATAGTGAAATGCTGTCTTTACTAAAAATACAAAAATTAGCTGGGCGTGGTGGCACACGCCTGTAACCCCAGCTACTCAGGAGGCTGAGGCAGGAGAATCACTTGAACCCGAGAGGTAGAGGTTGCAGTGAGCCGAGATCGCGCCACTGCACTCCAGCCTGGGCAACAGAGCAAGCCTATCCCAAAAACAAACAAGAAAGGGAGAGATAGTGAAAACATAAGCAAGAAGTGGGGAGAGAATATAGTAAAGATAGAGGAAGTGGGATAGAGTACAGATAAAAGGATCAGTCTTGGAAACAAGAAAAAGTACTGTGAGTCAGTATGTAAGGAAAGATTAAATATAACAAAATTAAGGAAAAAGAGGGAAGTGAGATCCACACTTGATGGCCTTAAGCTCAATGAAATATTAATAGATGAGAGTGAAGAACATCAGAGGCACGGAGATTTAGAACATCACGCACAGGAGTATAATGGGGAGTCAACAAAGAATGAGTAAAAGTTGTGTCCAAGAACACTGATGACTCTCTGAGATTAGCTGGCCAGGATTAGTTATAGGCCTCTTATGGTGACTCAGCTGTCTACTGCAGCGCTTGGCAGCCTAAGACAAAGCCCCAAGAATGAGACCACTTAGTTTACCCAAGTCAATTTTTGAGACAGAGTTTCACTCTTGTTGCCCAGGCTGGAGTGCAATGGCTCAATCTTGGTTCCCTGCAACCTCTGCCTCCCGGGTTCAAGCGATTCTCCTCCCTCAGCCTCCAGAGTAGCTGGGATTACAGTTGCCCACCATCACGCCCAGCTAATTTTTGTATTTTTAGTAGAGATGGGGCTTCACCACATTGGCCGGGCTGGTCTCGAACTCCTGACCTCAGGTGATCCGCCCACCTTGGCCTCCCAAAGTGCTGGGATTACAGGTGTGAGCTACGGTGCCCGGCGGTAAGAGATTCTAAAATGCAGACAAAGTGGAGTTGAAATTGTTGACCATGCAGTACATGTTAAATCAACAAGCAAAACCAGGAAAGCAGAAGCAGCCGGAAGTCTTGGTAAGAATAAAGAACTGATTCAAGGGGAGGCAGAGAGTGGGAGATGTGAAAAGTGAGTGGTTGTGATGAGAAGGGTAATTCAGAGATCAAGATCTTGAAGGCATAATTCTTCCAAGTGATGCTGGGGTTTGAGGTACAACCTTACTCCTGGGTGGCTAAAATGGAGGAGGGAAGAAGAGGCTGTAAAACCAGTAGACTTGAGAAACTTGGAGAATTGAGAGGCCAGACTGTAAGACTCATCTGATCTGTGTGGCTTCTTTTTTTATTTTTATTTTTTTCCTCTGAGACGAAGTCTCGCTCTGTCACCCAGGCTGGAGTGCAGTGGTGTGATCTGGGCTCACTGCAAGATCCGCCTCCCGGGTTAATGCCATTCTCTCGCCTCAGCCTTCCGAGTAGCTGGGACTACAGGCACCCACCACCACGCCCAGCTAATTTTGTTTTTGTATTTTTAGTAGAGACGGGATTTCACCTTGTTAGCCAGGATGGTCTCGATCTCCTGACCTCGTGATCCACCCGCCTCAGCCTCCCAAAGTGCTGGGATTACAAGTGTGAGCCACTGCGCCCAGCCGATCTTTGTGGCTTTTAAAGTCACTAAAGATGGTGGTAGGAGGCCGGGTGCGGTGGGTCATGCCTGTAATCCCAGCACTTTGGGAGGCTGAGGCGGGTGGATTGCTTGAGCTCAGGAGTTCAAGACCAGCCTAGGCAACATAGCAAAACCCTATCTCTGGAAAAAAAAAAAAATACAAAACTTAGCCGGGCATGGTGGTATGCACCTGTAGTCCTAGCTACTCAGGAGGCTGACGTGGGAGGATCACTTGAGCCCAGGAGGTCGAGGCTGCAGTGAGCCAAGATCACGCCACTGCACTCCAGCCTGGGTGACAGAGCAATACCTTGTCTCAAAAAACAAACAAACAAGGATGATGGTAGGGATAAGATGTGGAGAAAGACTGAGCTAGTTATACAAGTTGTTAAGAGCATAATAAATATTTTGATGGATAAGATTGTGCTGTGAAGACAGGAAGAGCATGGCAAATGCAAAAGGCACGTGCTTTGGGAGATGAGGAGGAGTTTATCAGTGGTCTGGGGGAGAGAAAATAACGACCCCTCTCTTCTGCCTTCATTCCCCTAGTGATGGAGGTCGAAGAAAGAGCAACCTTCACCACAGAGAGGAGTAGCATCATTAGGGGAAAGCCAGGTTTCAAAATGCCCAGAGGAAAATGCTTTCAAACATAGAAGACAGGATTTGAAAATGTGAAGAGTTCCACCAAATATTGTGAAATGGATTGGTAGAAGGGTCCTTGTGGGGTAGGGAATTGAATCCAGGGAGGTTAAATCCCAGTGGGAATTCAGAAGACTAAGTCTGGAGAGTTTAGCTTCTAGGAGCAGGAGGTTGTTGCCTCTGGAATTCAGAATGGAAGATGCACTGCATCCATTGTGAGGGGAAACAAGTGCCTCAAAGGGGTCTTATAGGGATGCACAAGATAAGTTCCATGGCTTTAAACACCATCCTCATGCTGACCATGCCCAGGTTTCTTTCTCTAGCTTGGACCTTGCCCCTGAAATCCAGATGTGTATCTGCCCAGTGACATCTCTACTTGCATGTCTAATAGACTTAGACTTACCACACCCAAAATAGAATTTTTTAGTTTTTCCATCCATCAGAATCCTGCTTCTCTCCCAGTATCTACATCTCCCACCCATCAATCCATCATCTAGTCCTGTTGTTTCTACCCCTGGAATGTATAATATATCCCAAACTTGTCTACTTCTCTCCATCTCCATGGCTGCCACTATTTTCTCTTCACCATCAATGCCACTGCCACCTGTCTCCTACCAGCCAGCCTAAACACAGGAGCCACAGTGATCTTTTAAAAACAAGTCCAGGCTGGGCGCGTTGGCTATGCCTATAATCCCAGCACTTTGGGAGGCCGAGGTGGGTGGATCACGAGGTCAGGAGTTCAAGACCAGCCTGCCCAACATGATGAAACCCTATCTCTACTAAAAATACCAAAATTAGCCAGGCACGGTGGCGCATGCCTGTAATCCCAGCTACTCGGGGGGCCGAGGCAAGAGAATCGCTTGAACCTGGGAGGTGGAAGTTGCAGTGAGCCAAGATCATGCCGTAGCACTCCAACCTGGGCAACAGAGCGAGACGCCATCTCAAAAAAAAAAAAAAGTCCAGGCAAGGCTCAGTGGCTCATGCCTGTAATCCCAACACTTTGCGAGGCTAAGGTGCAAGGATTGCCTGAGGCCAAGAGTTGAAGGCTGCAGTGAGCTATGATGGTGCCATTGCACTCCAACCTGGGCAGAAAAGTGAGACTCCATCTCTTAGAAAAAAAAAACCAGGCCGGGTGCAGTGGCACATGTCTGTAATTCCAGCACTTCGGGAGGCTGAGGCAGGCGGATCACTTGAGGTCAGGAGTTCAAGACCAGCCTGGCCAACATGGTGTACTTTCTATACTAAAAGTACAAAAATTAGCCAGGCATGGTGACATGCACCTATAATCCCAGCTACTTGGGAGACTGACATAGGTGGATTGCTTAAACCTGGGAGGCAGAGGTTGCAGTGAGCCGAGATTGTGCCACTGCACTCCAGCCTGGGTGACAGAGCGATTCTGTCTTAAAAGAAAAAAAAAAAAAAAAGGCTGGGTGCGGTGTCTCACGCCTGTAATCCCAGCACTTTGGGAGGCCGACGCAAGTGGATCACCTGAGGTCAGGAGTTCGAGACCAGCCTGGCCAAGATGGTGTACTTTCTCTACTAAAAGTACAAAAATTAGCCAGGCATGGTGGCATGCACCTATAATCCCAGCTACTCAGGAGGCTAAGACAGGAGAATCGTTTGAACCCGGGCAGCAGAGGTTGCAGTGAGCTGAGATTACGCCATTGCACTCCAGCCTGGGCAACAGAGTGAGACTCCGTCTCCAAAAAAAAGAAAGAAAAAAAATCCAGGGCCAGTGTGGTGACTCATGCCTGTAATCCCAAAACTTTGGGAGGCTGGCCCAGCATGGTGGCTCACACCTGTAATCCCAAAACTTTGGGAGGCTGAGGCAGGCGGATCACCTGAGGTCAGGAGTTTGAGATCAGCCTGACTAACATGGTGAAACCCCATCTCTACTAAATACAAAAAATTAGCCGGGAATGGTGGCATGCACCTGTAATCCCAGCTACTTGGGAGGCTGAAGCAGGAGAATCGCTTGAACCCAGGAGGCAGAGGTTGCAGTGAGATGAGATCAGTCATTGCACTCCAGCCTGGGCAACGAGCGAAACCGCCTCTCAAACTAACAAAAAAAAACTTTGGGAGGCCAAGATGGGCAGATCACTTGAAACCAGGAGTTCGAGACCAGCCTGAGCAGCATAGACCCTGTCTCAACAAAAATTTTAAAATATTTTTTAAAATTAGCCAGGCACAGTGGCACACACCTGTAGTCCTAGATACTTGGGAAGCTGAGGTGGAAGGATGACTTGAGCCCATGGTTTTGAGGTTGCAGTGGGCTATGATGGTGCCACTGCACTCCAGCCTAGGCCACAGAGCAAGACACCATGTCAAAAGAAAAAAAAATCCAATCACCTCTGCTCACCTCCCTCTTCTCTCTCTCTCTCTCTCTCCCTCCCCCTCTCTCCCCTGCAACACACACACACACACACACACACGCACGCACCACACACTCTGACGACCTTTAAAGGCTTCCTGTGGCTGGATGAAATCTAGAGGCTTTACCCTTCTTGCATGGCCCTGCATGACCTGGCCCCTGCCCTCCTCTCTGACCTCATCTCCCACCCGCCTCCCAGTCTCTCTCTCTGCTCCAGCCACACTGGCCTTCTGTTTGTCGTCAACACCCCCAGCTTGGTTCCGCCTTCCAGCCTTTGCAGTAGCTGCTCCCTTTACCTGAAATGCTTTGCTCCCAAACTTTTACCTGGTCACTATTTTTTGTCATTTGGGTCTCAGCTCCAGTGCCACCCAAACACTCAAAGAGGATTTTGCTGACTACTGTATTTAAAAGTAGCTCCCTGCCACTCTTACAACATCAGCCTGTCTTATTTTCTCATAGTACCAATTTCTTCTTCAGTTTCTTTCTTTTCCGTCTGGCCTCACTGGAATACAAGCTCCACAGGTGCTGGTACCTTCTCTGATCCCTTTGCCTCCATGTCCCTCCTGCCTTAGGACAATGCCCAGCATGTGTTAGGCACGCAGATACTCACTAAATGGAGGAATGGATGAATAATTCATAAAGCAGGATAAAGTTCAACTTTAGGCTTGTGGCTCAGATTGGACTTACATTTAGAGTCAGATTTAAGTTTAGTGTTAGGAGTGGTGGTAAACTGGTTTCAAGATTAGCCCTAGAAACAGGGTTGGGTTGGGGTAGAGGAGAAGTTTTATTTAGGGGGTTATTAATTGGGATGTGTTTAGATTTGAGGTTAGGGTTACAGTTGGGGTTGAGTTTGAGTTGTGATTTGGGTTGAGGTTAAATTTGGGTTAGGGTTGATGTTGGTATTAAATCCCAATTCAGGTTTTGAGGCTAAGTTCAAGTTTGAAGCTAATGTCATTTCAGTCTCATTTGGAGGCTTCAGAGATTTCACTAGTTTCTCCACAAAGACCACTATAAAGACTGTATTTCCCTGAGTCTGGGGCACAAGACTCCAGTCATCAGCTCTCCCACCCAGGGAAAGTCCCAAACCAACTGCTGGCCTGCCCAAGAAAGAAACCAAATTCATACAACCTCCGAAACTGAGATTGAAACCAAGATTGGCCCATCTCAAGGAGCATCCTTCGCATATCTCACATGCACGTGACACTGAGCCTCAGCCCAGTCTTACCCTTCCTTCCTCTGTGTCTCTCATGTCTCCCCATCACCCTTCTTGCCTTCCCTTTTTTGTCTTTCAATGTCCCATTCTTCCTCTTTAATTTAAATTTCTCTCTGTGTCTCACTGTTAATTGCAATACCTTTTTTTGTTTGCTTGTTTTGTTTTGTTTTGTTTTTTGGTTGGTTTGTTTGAAATGGAGTCTCACTTTGTTGCCCAGGCTGGAGGGCAGTGGCACGATCTCGGCTCACTGCAACCTCCGCCTCCTGGGTTCAAGCAGTTCTCCTGCCTCAGCTTCCCTAGTAGCTAGGATTACAGGCGCGTGCCACCATGCTCGGCTAATTTTTTGTATTTTTAGCAGTGATGGAGTTTCACCGTATTAGCCAGGATTGTCTCTATCTCCTGACCTTGTGATCTGCTCGCCTCAGCCTCCCAAAGTGCTGGGATGACAGGCATGTGCCACTGCTCCTGGCCTTGTAATAACATTTTATATTTTAATATAGCTCAGCTGGGGTCCCAGTCCATCAGCTCATACCATTAGAGAAGCAGAAAGAGACAACAGGAAGCAAAAAGGACCCTGAGAGAAAGGGCAACACAGAGAAAAAGAAAGGAGCAGGGGCTAAAAGGGAAACCCACACTGACACAAGAGATAATAAGGTTAAAAGAATGAGAAGAAGGTTGGGCGCAGTGGCTCACGCCCATAATCCCAGCACTTTGGGAGGCCAAGGCTGGTGGGTCACCTGTGGTCAGGAATTCAAGACCAACCTGGCCAACATGGTGAGACCCCGTCTCTACTAAAAATACAAAAAAAAATTTGGCGGGCTTGGTGGCGTGTGCCTGTAATCCCAGCTACTCGGGAGGCTGAGGCAGGAGAATAGCTTGAACCTGGGAGGCAGAGGTTGCAGTGAGCCAAGATCGTGCCACTGCACTCCAGCCTGTGCGACAGTGAGAAACTGTCTCAAAAAAAAAAAAAGGAAAAGAAATTTTCTGACCTATCTCATCTGATAGTAGGTTATAAGACCCTCATTCCAGAAGAGGTTCTGCCCTATACCTGGGAGGAAGGAATGCTGTACAGAGAGACCAAGAAGAATATGGCCAGGCCTTGCTGGGATCCCCCCAGTCCCAGTCTGTGACCATTAGATGATACTCCTTTTGTTCAATTACATTTCTGCACAGCTGTTCATTCTTCATCAAATCTAAGCATAAAAATAGTTTTCCCCTGGGTCCTTGGGTCTTCATTTCTGAAGGCTCCCATGTCACCTAAAACTTTGATTAAATAAATGTATTATGCTTTTCTCTTGTTAATCTGTCTTTTATTATAGGAGTATTGGCCATAACCCTTATGATGGGTCAGGAAGGGATCACCCCTTTCTGCCCCTACAGAAATAATAGCTAAGACTAGTAAAGCATAAAAGGCAAAGGGGCAGGTCCTCAAGTAGAGAAGAACAGGAGAAATAGCTCATACACACCCAGAATGTTACTTACATGTCCCTCCATGTTACACCAAGACCCCTCAGGGACCTTGTGCCTGGGGAGAGAAGTGGTCTGCCCCATGCAACAGTGGGCTTTACCCCGGGTCACCACCAGCCCCAGCTCCAACCCCTCTAACACTCTCCAAGTAAAATCACATCAGTAGCAGTAATAATATTTGAGGTGACAAGTTGGTATTATCTCAAACTTAGGAAAAGTGAATAAAGTCATCTTTAGAAACTGCTTTTTTTAAACCTTGTAACTTGCAAGCTAAGTGAAAATGGGCTCATGTATGAGAATGTTCGTGTTAGACATTTTTTGTGTTAGACAAAAACTAGAAACAAACCAAATCCCCATCAACAGAATATATTAGAATATATTGATACAATAGAATATTACATCATAATTTTTTTTAAAAACATTACTGATACATACAACCACGTATATGAATCTCACAAACATAATGCTGACTGAAAGAAGTCAAACAGAAATGAGTACATTCTGTGTGATTTCATTTATATGATGCCCCAAACCAGGAGGAAATAATCTATGGTGATAAAAGTGAGAGAGTGGTTGGTTATCTTTGGAGGGTATCAGCAGGGAGGGGGCATGAGGGAACCTGCTGGGGACCTGAAAATACGTGGAGCTGGGTGGTGGCTACATACAGATGGAAAAATTCATCAGCTGTACACTTAAGAGGTGTCCACCTCATACCTAAGTTACATATCAATAAAAAGGAAAAAAATTTTGGAAACTTTTTTTTTTTTTTTTGAGACAGAGTCTTGCTCTGTCCCCCAGGCTGGAATACAGTGGTGCGATCTTGACTCACTGCAGCCTCCGCCTCCCAGGTTCAAATAATTCTCCAGCCTCAGCCTCCCGAGTAGCTGGGACTGCAGATGCGCACCAGCACGCCTGGCTAATTTTTGTATTTATTATAGAGATGGGGTTTCACCATGTTGGCCAGCTGGTCTCAAACTCCTGACCTCAAGTAATCCGCCCACCTCAGACTCCCAAAGTGCCAGGATTACAGGTGTGAGCCACTGCACCAGGCCTGGAACAATTTTAAAATAATGTATTGGCTCTGCAAATGCAGCTTCAGAACAAGTCCCTTAGCTGTCCCCACCCCACCCTAAGTCACCACCCTTAAGCCTCACCCATGTGGAATTCTGAAACTTCCTTTGTAGAAAACTTTGGAAGGTGTCTGCCACATTGATCCTGGAATGTGTGTTTATTTGGGGTTATATAAATCTGTTCTGTGGAAGCCACCTGAAGTCAGGAAGAGATGGAGGGCATCCTTCAGGAGTGAGATGAGACCTCATCATACTTGACTGTCCAGCATCATCTCTGAGTAAGGGGACCAAAAAATTTATCTTCCAAACTAGGACACTTTCAAGAGTGGAAGGGGGATCCATTAATATTTTCACCTGGACAAGAGGCAAACACCAGAATGTCCCCGATGAAGGGGATATATAATGGACCTTCTTGATGTGAAACCTGCCAGATGGGCTGGAAAGTCCGTATACTGGGACAAGTATGATTTGAGTTGTTTGGGACAAGGACAGGGGTACAAGAGAAGGAAATGGGCAAAGAGAGAAGCCTGTACTCAGCCAAGGGTGCAGAGATGTTATATATGATTGCTCTTCAGGGAACCGGGCCTCCAGCTCACACCCCAGCTGCTCAACCGCCTCCTCTCTGAATTGACTGTCCCTTCTTTGGAACTCTAGGCCTGACCCCACTCCCTGGCCCTCCCAGCCCACGATTCCCCTGACCCGACTCCCTTTCCCAGAACTCAGTCGCCTGAACCCCCAGCCTGTGGTTCTCTCCTAGGCCTCAGCCTTTCCTGCCTTTGACTGAAACAGCAGTATCTTCTAAGCCCTGGGGGCTTCCCCGGGCCCCAGCCCCGACCTAGAACCCGCCCGCTGCCTGCCACGCTGCCACTGCCGCTTCCTCTATAAAGGGACCTGAGCGTCCGGGCCCAGGGGCTCCACACAGCAGGTGAGGCTCTCCTGCCCCATCTCCTTGGGCTGCCCGTGCTTCGTGCTTTGGACTACCGCCCCGCAGTGTCCTGCCCTCTGCCTGGGCCTCGGTCCCTCCTGCACCTGCTGCCTGGATCCCCGGCCTGCCTGGGCCTGGGCCTTGGTGGGTTTGGTTTTGGTTTCCTTCTCTGTCTCTGACTCTCCATCTGTCAGTCTCATTGTCTCTGTCACACATTCTCTGTTTCTGCCATGGTTCCTCTCTGTTCCCTTCCTGTCTCTCTCTGTCTCCCTCTGCTCACCTTGGGGTTTCTCTGACTGCATCTTGTCCCCTTCTCTGTCGATCTCTCTCTCGGGGGTCGGGGGGTGCTGTCTCCCAGGGCGGGAGGTCTGTCTTCCGCCGCGTGCCCCGCCCCGCTCACTGTCTCTCTCTCTCTCTCTCTTTCTCTGCAGGTTCTCCCCATGACACCACCTGAACGTCTCTTCCTCCCAAGGGTGTGTGGCACCACCCTACACCTCCTCCTTCTGGGGCTGCTGCTGGTTCTGCTGCCTGGGGCCCAGGTGAGGCAGCAGGAGAATGGGGGCTGCTGGGGTGGCTCAGCCAAACCTTGAGCCCTAGAGCCCCCCTCAACTCTGTTCTCCCCTAGGGGCTCCCTGGTGTTGGCCTCACACCTTCAGCTGCCCAGACTGCCCGTCAGCACCCCAAGATGCATCTTGCCCACAGCAACCTCAAACCTGCTGCTCACCTCATTGGTAAACATCCACCTGACCTCCCAGACATGTCCCCACCAGCTCTCCTCCTACCCCTGCCTCAGGAACCCAAGCATCCACCCCTCTCCCCCAACTTCCCCCACGCTAAAAAAAACAGAGGGAGCCCACTCCTATGCCTCCCCCTGCCATCCCCCAGGAACTCAGTTGTTCAGTGCCCACTTCCTCAGGGATTGAGACCTCTGATCCAGACCCCTGATCTCCCACCCCCATCCCCTATGGCTCTTCCTAGGAGACCCCAGCAAGCAGAACTCACTGCTCTGGAGAGCAAACACGGACCGTGCCTTCCTCCAGGATGGTTTCTCCTTGAGCAACAATTCTCTCCTGGTCCCCACCAGTGGCATCTACTTCGTCTACTCCCAGGTGGTCTTCTCTGGGAAAGCCTACTCTCCCAAGGCCACCTCCTCCCCACTCTACCTGGCCCATGAGGTCCAGCTCTTCTCCTCCCAGTACCCCTTCCATGTGCCTCTCCTCAGCTCCCAGAAGATGGTGTATCCAGGGCTGCAGGAACCCTGGCTGCACTCGATGTACCACGGGGCTGCGTTCCAGCTCACCCAGGGAGACCAGCTATCCACCCACACAGATGGCATCCCCCACCTAGTCCTCAGCCCTAGTACTGTCTTCTTTGGAGCCTTCGCTCTGTAGAACTTGGAAAAATCCAGAAAGAAAAAATAATTGATTTCAAGACCTTCTCCCCATTCTGCCTCCATTCTGACCATTTCAGGGGTCGTCACCACCTCTCCTTTGGCCATTCCAACAGCTCAAGTCTTCCCTGATCAAGTCACCGGAGCTTTCAAAGAAGGAATTCTAGGCATCCCAGGGGACCACACCTCCCTGAACCATCCCTGATGTCTGTCTGGCTGAGGATTTCAAGCCTGCCTAGGAATTCCCAGCCCAAAGCTGTTGGTCTGTCCCACCAGCTAGGTGGGGCCTAGATCCACACACAGAGGAAGAGCAGGCACATGGAGGAGCTTGGGGGATGACTAGAGGCAGGGAGGGGACTATTTATGAAGGCAAAAAAATTAAATTATTTATTTATGGAGGATGGAGAGAGGGGAATAATAGAAGAACATCCAAGGAGAAACAGAGACAGGCCCAAGAGATGAAGAGTGAGAGGGCATGCGCACAAGGCTGACCAAGAGAGAAAGAAGTAGGCATGAGGGATCACAGGGCCCCAGAAGGCAGGGAAAGGCTCTGAAAGCCAGCTGCCGACCAGAGCCCCACACGGAGGCATCTGCACCCTCGATGAAGCCCAATAAACCTCTTTTCTCTGAAATGCTGTCTGCTTGTGTGTGTGTGTCTGGGAGTGAGAACTTCCCAGTCTATCTAAGGAATGGAGGGAGGGACAGAGGGCTCAAAGGGAGCAAGAGCTGTGGGGAGAACAAAAGGATAAGGGCTCAGAGAGCTTCAGGGATATGTGATGGACTCACCAGGTGAGGCCGCCAGACTGCTGCAGGGGAAGCAAAGGAGAAGCTGAGAAGATGAAGGAAAAGTCAGGGTCTGGAGGGGCGGGGGTCAGGGAGCTCCTGGGAGATATGGCCACATGTAGCGGCTCTGAGGAATGGGTTACAGGAGACCTCTGGGGAGATGTGACCACAGCAATGGGTAGGAGAATGTCCAGGGCTATGGAAGTCGAGTATGGGGACCCCCCCTTAACGAAGACAGGGCCATGTAGAGGGCCCCAGGGAGTGAAAGAGCCTCCAGGACCTCCAGGTATGGAATACAGGGGACGTTTAAGAAGATATGGCCACACACTGGGGCCCTGAGAAGTGAGAGCTTCATGAAAAAAATCAGGGACCCCAGAGTTCCTTGGAAGCCAAGACTGAAACCAGCATTATGAGTCTCCGGGTCAGAATGAAAGAAGAAGGCCTGCCCCAGTGGGGTCTGTGAATTCCCGGGGGTGATTTCACTCCCCGGGGCTGTCCCAGGCTTGTCCCTGCTACCCCCACCCAGCCTTTCCTGAGGCCTCAAGCCTGCCACCAAGCCCCCAGCTCCTTCTCCCCGCAGGGACCCAAACACAGGCCTCAGGACTCAACACAGCTTTTCCCTCCAACCCCGTTTTCTCTCCCTCAAGGACTCAGCTTTCTGAAGCCCCTCCCAGTTCTAGTTCTATCTTTTTCCTGCATCCTGTCTGGAAGTTAGAAGGAAACAGACCACAGACCTGGTCCCCAAAAGAAATGGAGGCAATAGGTTTTGAGGGGCATGAGGACGGGGTTCAGCCTCCAGGGTCCTACACACAAATCAGTCAGTGGCCCAGAAGACCCCCCTCGGAATCGGAGCAGGGAGGATGGGGAGTGTGAGGGGTATCCTTGATGCTTGTGTGTCCCCAACTTTCCAAATCCCCGCCCCCGCGATGGAGAAGAAACCGAGACAGAAGGTGCAGGGCCCACTACCGCTTCCTCCAGATGAGCTCATGGGTTTCTCCACCAAGGAAGTTTTCCGCTGGTTGAATGATTCTTTCCCCGCCCTCCTCTCGCCCCAGGGACATATAAAGGCAGTTGTTGGCACACCCAGCCAGCAGACGCTCCCTCAGCAAGGACAGCAGAGGACCAGCTAAGAGGGAGAGAAGCAACTACAGACCCCCCCTGAAAACAACCCTCAGACGCCACATCCCCTGACAAGCTGCCAGGCAGGTTCTCTTCCTCTCACATACTGACCCACGGCTCCACCCTCTCTCCCCTGGAAAGGACACCATGAGCACTGAAAGCATGATCCGGGACGTGGAGCTGGCCGAGGAGGCGCTCCCCAAGAAGACAGGGGGGCCCCAGGGCTCCAGGCGGTGCTTGTTCCTCAGCCTCTTCTCCTTCCTGATCGTGGCAGGCGCCACCACGCTCTTCTGCCTGCTGCACTTTGGAGTGATCGGCCCCCAGAGGGAAGAGGTGAGTGCCTGGCCAGCCTTCATCCACTCTCCCACCCAAGGGGAAATGGAGACGCAAGAGAGGGAGAGAGATGGGATGGGTGAAAGATGTGCGCTGATAGGGAGGGATGGAGAGAAAAAAACGTGGAGAAAGACGGGGATGCAGAAAGAGATGTGGCAAGAGATGGGGAAGAGAGAGAGAGAAAGATGGAGAGACAGGATGTCTGGCACATGGAAGGTGCTCACTAAGTGTGTATGGAGTGAATGAATGAATGAATGAATGAACAAGCAGATATATAAATAAGATATGGAGACAGATGTGGGGTGTGAGAAGAGAGATGGGGGAAGAAACAAGTGATATGAATAAAGATGGTGAGACAGAAAGAGCGGGAAATATGACAGCTAAGGAGAGAGATGGGGGAGATAAGGAGAGAAGAAGATAGGGTGTCTGGCACACAGAAGACACTCAGGGAAAGAGCTGTTGAATGCCTGGAAGGTGAATACACAGATGAATGGAGAGAGAAAACCAGACACCTCAGGGCTAAGAGCGCAGGCCAGACAGGCAGCCAGCTGTTCCTCCTTTAAGGGTGACTCCCTCGATGTTAACCATTCTCCTTCTCCCCAACAGTTCCCCAGGGACCTCTCTCTAATCAGCCCTCTGGCCCAGGCAGTCAGTAAGTGTCTCCAAACCTCTTTCCTAATTCTGGGTTTGGGTTTGGGGGTAGGGTTAGTACCGGTATGGAAGCAGTGGGGGAAATTTAAAGTTTTGGTCTTGGGGGAGGATGGATGGAGGTGAAAGTAGGGGGGTATTTTCTAGGAAGTTTAAGGGTCTCAGCTTTTTCTTTTCTCTCTCCTCTTCAGGATCATCTTCTCGAACCCCGAGTGACAAGCCTGTAGCCCATGTTGTAGGTAAGAGCTCTGAGGATGTGTCTTGGAACTTGGAGGGCTAGGATTTGGGGATTGAAGCCCGGCTGATGGTAGGCAGAACTTGGAGACAATGTGAGAAGGACTCGCTGAGCTCAAGGGAAGGGTGGAGGAACAGCACAGGCCTTAGTGGGATACTCAGAACGTCATGGCCAGGTGGGATGTGGGATGACAGACAGAGAGGACAGGAACCGGATGTGGGGTGGGCAGAGCTCGAGGGCCAGGATGTGGAGAGTGAACCGACATGGCCACACTGACTCTCCTCTCCCTCTCTCCCTCCCTCCAGCAAACCCTCAAGCTGAGGGGCAGCTCCAGTGGCTGAACCGCCGGGCCAATGCCCTCCTGGCCAATGGCGTGGAGCTGAGAGATAACCAGCTGGTGGTGCCATCAGAGGGCCTGTACCTCATCTACTCCCAGGTCCTCTTCAAGGGCCAAGGCTGCCCCTCCACCCATGTGCTCCTCACCCACACCATCAGCCGCATCGCCGTCTCCTACCAGACCAAGGTCAACCTCCTCTCTGCCATCAAGAGCCCCTGCCAGAGGGAGACCCCAGAGGGGGCTGAGGCCAAGCCCTGGTATGAGCCCATCTATCTGGGAGGGGTCTTCCAGCTGGAGAAGGGTGACCGACTCAGCGCTGAGATCAATCGGCCCGACTATCTCGACTTTGCCGAGTCTGGGCAGGTCTACTTTGGGATCATTGCCCTGTGAGGAGGACGAACATCCAACCTTCCCAAACGCCTCCCCTGCCCCAATCCCTTTATTACCCCCTCCTTCAGACACCCTCAACCTCTTCTGGCTCAAAAAGAGAATTGGGGGCTTAGGGTCGGAACCCAAGCTTAGAACTTTAAGCAACAAGACCACCACTTCGAAACCTGGGATTCAGGAATGTGTGGCCTGCACAGTGAAGTGCTGGCAACCACTAAGAATTCAAACTGGGGCCTCCAGAACTCACTGGGGCCTACAGCTTTGATCCCTGACATCTGGAATCTGGAGACCAGGGAGCCTTTGGTTCTGGCCAGAATGCTGCAGGACTTGAGAAGACCTCACCTAGAAATTGACACAAGTGGACCTTAGGCCTTCCTCTCTCCAGATGTTTCCAGACTTCCTTGAGACACGGAGCCCAGCCCTCCCCATGGAGCCAGCTCCCTCTATTTATGTTTGCACTTGTGATTATTTATTATTTATTTATTATTTATTTATTTACAGATGAATGTATTTATTTGGGAGACCGGGGTATCCTGGGGGACCCAATGTAGGAGCTGCCTTGGCTCAGACATGTTTTCCGTGAAAACGGAGCTGAACAATAGGCTGTTCCCATGTAGCCCCCTGGCCTCTGTGCCTTCTTTTGATTATGTTTTTTAAAATATTTATCTGATTAAGTTGTCTAAACAATGCTGATTTGGTGACCAACTGTCACTCATTGCTGAGCCTCTGCTCCCCAGGGGAGTTGTGTCTGTAATCGCCCTACTATTCAGTGGCGAGAAATAAAGTTTGCTTAGAAAAGAAACATGGTCTCCTTCTTGGAATTAATTCTGCATCTGCCTCTTCTTGTGGGTGGGAAGAAGCTCCCTAAGTCCTCTCTCCACAGGCTTTAAGATCCCTCGGACCCAGTCCCATCCTTAGACTCCTAGGGCCCTGGAGACCCTACATAAACAAAGCCCAACAGAATATTCCCCATCCCCCAGGAAACAAGAGCCTGAACCTAATTACCTCTCCCTCAGGGCATGGGAATTTCCAACTCTGGGAATTCCAATCCTTGCTGGGAAAATCCTGCAGCTCAGGTGAGATTTCCGGCTGTTGCAGCTGGCCAGCAGTCCGGAGAGAGCTGGAGAGGAGCCGCATTCTCAGGTACCTGAATCACACAGCCAAGGGACTTCCAGAGATTCGGGTGTCTAGGCTTCAAATCACCCTGTCCTAACTCTGCAACCTGAACCAGCCACTTAACCTATCTATCCAATGGGGATAGGAATGTCCACCACACATAGGGCATGTGAGAGAAGGCCTGACCTCCATCAGAGGACCTCACTCAGCCCTTGGCACAGTGGGCACTTAGTGAATTCTGGCTTCCTTCAACCAGTTTCCAGCTGTTCTATCCCCTTCCATTCTCTCAGTGGGTGAAATCGAAGAGACTGAGGACAATAAAGAACAAGGAACCGAACTGCCGGACGTGGTGGCATGCACCTGTAATCCTACCACTTTGCAAGGCCAAGGTGAGAGGATCGCTTGAACCCAGGAGTTCCAGAACAACCTGGGCAACATAGTGAGATCCTGTCTCTATTTTTTAAAAAAGAATGAAACATAGGAATAAGATGTGGGTGAAGGACTCACATGCCGGCTTGGTCCCACTGGTCTTTGTGGTGAAGGAGGGGAGAGGTGAGAGGTGGGTAATCCGGAAAGAGAAAAGCACCCCCTCCCTGGATGAAGGCTCTTCTGGAGAGAGTCAAAGACAAATAAGGGTGGGGCGCAGTGGCTCATGCCTGTTATCCCAACACTTTGGGAGGCTGAGGTGGGAGGACCACTTGAGCCCACTAGTTCAAGACCAGCCTGTGCAACATAGCAAGACCTTGTTTCTAGAAAAAAAATTAAAGATTAGTCAGGTGTAGTGGTGCATGCCTGTAATCCTAGCTCCTCAGGAGGCTGAGGCAGGAGGATCACTCAAGCCCAGGAGTTTGAGGTTACAGTAAGCTATGATCATGCCACTGTACCCCCGTCTGGGTGACAGAACGAGACCCTGTCTCAAAAAAATAATAATTCCAAAAACAAATATGGAGACGGAAATTGAGCCCCCCTAGACTGGGAGCCCCCACTGAGTTCGGAAATTAGGCTTTACCTCCAGCCCTGGGGTGCCAGGCAGGAGAAAACCATGTGGTAGGCTGAGGGGGTAGGGTGACCCATTGGGGTGACCTAGATAGGGCCTTGGGTCACCCTCTGCCTCCTCCAGCCTGTGGCTGAAAGTCAGCCATGAAGTAATGGGGGACACTGTTACTCATCCCAGAAGCACCCACACTTACTCACTTTTGGGAAGGGGGACCTAAAGTGTGAAAAAAAGGTGAGGATTTTCCGTCTCACCCTAAATGGGACACCCTAAGTGGGGCATCGGTTTTTCCTCCTCCCCAGAACTTCCTGGTGTTTTCAGGCACCACAGGCTCCTTCCTGCCATCCCCATCTCTCTCTAATATTCTCCCCTTCTTTCTCCTTCAGCCTCCTCCCTTCAGACCCCATGAGCCTTGAATTAAGCTCCTTGGAGGAGAAGAGTTGACTGTCGGGTAGGAGACAGAGAGGCCTTCAGGCAGCTCTAGGGGGAGAAGTGCGGGGCCCCTCCAGGCTTCATTCCTCTGTCATGATAGGGGCTTACTCTGCTGCTGGGCCTTTCTGAGTGGTGCTTGCTGGGCTCTGTAATGACCCCTCTCACTGTTGGGGGGTACCCAAGAGAAAAGAGTATGGTGCAGAGTCTGGTTGGGACCATGTGGCCCTGAAAATCAGGATGCCTAGAGAAGCTTCGGAGTTTGAGAAGTCCCCCTTCCTCCCACCCTCCAACTGGGCTAATGGTGGGGCCTGGCCATTCAGAGGCAGGGAGGGGGTGGGACAGGCAGACCATCATCCCTAGGAGCAAAGGCCATACACTGTGTTGTGATGAATTGTTTCAAGCAACCAGAAGAGTACTGAGAATATTTAACCCGCACCCGTGCACCCACCCTGAATTAAGACGTGTGTCGCAACTCAGCATCTTTATCGGCAGCACTGAAGCTTTCCATTCTTTATTTTCATCAGGTTCAAAATCAATTTCCAAACAGTCTCCTACATTTTTCCCACTGCCATGGGGTCCTGGGCGTCCGGGCCCCCAATATTCACGCACTCGCACCACGCACTCATATTCCCTCACCCCACCATCACGGCCCCAAAGAAGGTCTTCCCTCTCGCGAAGTCCACCATATCGGGGTGACTGATGTTGACGTACACCCTCTCGCCCCTCCGGAGCTGCACCAGGCCGCCGAACCCCACGCTCGTGTACCAGAGAGGCCCGTACCCTTGTCTCCTGGCCGGGTCCAGCACTGGAGTCACCGTCTCGGCGCCCTCGAGCAGCAGCTCGGGAGTGCCCGGCCCGTAGGCGCCCCCCGCCCGGTACAGAGAGCTGCGCAGCGTGACCGAGCGGCCCTGGGGGTCCCCGCCGCCAGGGGGCGCCCGGCCCCGGTAGCCGACGAGACAGTAGAGGTAATAGAGGCCGTCCTGCGGGAGCGCCAGCCCCTCGGCGTCCGAGAACTGCGTCCCGCTCGTCAGAAACGCCTGTTCCTTCGTCGTCTCCCAGCCTAGCCCCTGCCCCTTCAGCGGAGCGCCTGCGGAGACACGGGCCGACGCGCTCTTGGGAATGCGATCCTAAAGGCTTGGGACTTCTGGGGAAGTGGCGGCTTTTAGCCCCTGCGGGAGCCGAGCCGGGCCGGGGGAGGAGGGATGGTGCTGTTTCTGGGATGAGTGCGAGTTGGGGGCCGAGGGAACACGGATGTGGGGTGCAGAACGCTGTAGTGGGGACCTCCAGGCCGGCTTTTGCTTGCACCGGAGGGAAGAAGAAACTACACTGCGGGGACGAGCGTAAGAGTGGGCACGAGCGACAAAAGGTCGTGAAGCGGGTGGGAAACCGAGCACTGGAATCATGGAGCCGAAGGACTCTGGGCGAGCAGAACTGGAACCTTCGGATTATTTACACTCTTATTCAGGTCTTGGAGGTCCTTACCTATGAGGTGGGCAGCTGGGAGCCCGGGGCTGAGATCTGTTTCTGGCTCCTCCTCTGGCAGCTTCTGAAACCCTGGAAGGGGCAAAGAGTCCACGATTGGGGGCAGGGCAGCCACCCATGCAGGCTACCCTTGAGAGAACAGGGCGCAGGGATGGGGAGCCTGGATTCCTAGAGGAAGAGGTATCTGGGGACGCAGCAGGGAGCTGGGAGCCCCTGAGGGTCTGAAGCGGGGAAGGAGAGACAGTCTGCTCTTACCCAGTCCTTGCTGGGCCTGTGCCCCGGGGTCGGCCGTCTCCGTTACCTGGTTGGGTGGGGTCACAGTGCCCAGAGTTCAGATTCAGCTCATGTCACCCCTACCCCTCTGAAAGTGGACCCAAGCTGCAGGCCTGGGGTTTCTCCTACCAGCACCATCCCCAACACACACCTCCTTAGAAGGGAGAACAAGCAAGGCATAGGTACTTGGGCGGAGAAACAGATGTACCTCGGGAAGAGGAGAGGAGACACAAGGGGCTTATGTCGGGACACAAGCACAACATCACAGGAACATGGAAAGAGAGTCAGCAAAGAGACAAGACATCCCCACCAGGGACAGCCGAGCCAGCTGAGCCAGAGGGGGCAAAAGACCACAGGCACAACCAGAGGGAGCCAAGCATCCGCAAGATACAACTCTCCACCAGGGCCTGTTGCAGCCACTCACCAGTCCTCCCTGATCCTGGGGCACTAAGGCCAGCACAGCCAGGACAGTGATAGGCACCGCCAGCAACAAGGTCACCAGAGAAGTGGCTCCTGCCACAGCTAGCAGGAGGGAACCCCTCCCCTGGAGCCTCCCACCCCTGCCCTCCAGCCCCAGTGCCCCCATTGAGACTGAACCAGAGCCAGAGCAGGGGGCTTTCATACCTCAGGGACGGGCCCACCCCCTCCCTGTAGACCTGCACACCTGGCTGGGACTTTCCGCACACCCCTGCTCCCCTCACCCAGCTTCCTGTTTACCCAGAGCTGGGGTGGGGCAGCTGGATGCCTGGGTTCTCTGAACTGGGGAAGAAGTTGAGGTTAGGGAGACAGGCTCTCAGGGTGGAACCAAAGGGGTCTTTAGACATCTTCTGGCTCAGCAGAGAGAGAAACTGAGGCCCAGGGAGGGAAGGTAGCTTGCAGGAAGCCAGTCAGCAGAGCTGAAATGAGAACACAGATCTCCAGGTTTCCAATGTGGTTTGCATTCTTCTATACCCTCAAGGTAGGTGCTGGAGGAAGAGCTGATCCCGTCTCTGAGGTCAAGGGCCGGACTAGGACAAGGACTGGAATCTTGAGGGATGGATGTCTGGGTTCCCTGAGAAGAACTGATTCCCATACTGGGCTGACCTCCTCCCGTTCCCTTGCTCATCTCCAGCCCCCTGTGCTGAGTGAGAAAGGGAGAGGTAAGCCTTAGCCTCACCACTGACTACTGACTCACTAAGGAGGGATGGAAATGGAGCTTTACCTCCCTTGCTACAAAAAGTAAAGACAGATGGACGAGGCATACTCCCACCCTCAGAGAGCTTCCAAGTCTACAATGAGCCCTATCCATTAGTAGGTGCTTACTAAATGTTTATACATAAATGAATAAAAGGACAAATAAATGCAGGAATAACCAAAACAAAGCAGCAAGGACCACATGAATGGTAGATGTAGGCAGCATGAGTGGTTAAGAGTCAAGGGAGTAGCCGGGGTAGTGGCTTACACCTGTAATCCCAACACTTTGGGAGGCTGAGGCAGGTGGATCACTTGAGGTCAGGAGTTCGAGACCAGCCTGGCCAACATGGTGAAACCCTGTCTCTACTAAAGATACAAAAAGTTAGCCGGGCGTGGTGGCACGCGCCTGTAATTCCAGCTACACAGGAGGCTGAGGCAGGAGAATCACTTAAACCTGGGAGGCAGAGGTTGCAGTGAGCCAAGATTGCACCATTGCACTCCAGCCTGGGCAACAGGCTGAGACTCTCTCTCAAAAAAAAAAAAAAAAAAAAAAAAAAAGAGTCAAGGGAAGAAAGACCAGGTCCAAGGAAGCTGGAAGTGGCTCCAATCATCTCCCCTTCTTGGTAACATCTCTATGTGTTTCCGTAATACTAATAATAATATAGCTGACCCACAAAATGCACTTAACATGTTTATGCCACTGATTTACACACTTTAATAATTTTTTTTTTTGAGACAGGGTCTCGCTATGTCACCCAGACTGGAATGCAATGGCAGGATCATGGCTCACTGCAGCCTTGACCTCCCAGGATCTATGGATTCACCTACCTCAGCCTCCTGAATAGCTGGGACTATAGGCACATGCCACCATGCCCAGCTAATTTTTGCATTTTTTGTAGAGATGGATTTTTGCCACATTGCCCAGGCTGGGCTCAAACTCCTGGACTCACGTGATCTGCCCGTGTTGGCCTCCTAAAGTGCTGGGATTACAAGCATGAGCCATCATGCCCAGCCAATAATTATAATCCTGACAAAAACCCTAAGAGGAAACTGAGGTACAGAGAGGTTAAGAAACTTATGGAGCTCACAGAGTCAGTGGCAGAACCAGAATTTGAACCCAGGCATCTGGCTCCAGAGCCTTGATAACAAGACAGTTTAAAAACTGAATACTGGGGCTGGGCGCAGTGGCTCTTGCCTATAATACCAGCACTTTGGGAGGCCAAGGAAGGTGGATCATCTGAGGTAAGGAGCTCGAGAGCAGCCTGATCAACATGGTGAAACCCCATCTCTACTAAAAATATAAAAATTAGCGGGGCGTGGTGGTAGGCACCTTTAATTCCAGCTACTTGGGAGGCTGAGGCAGGAGAATCACTTGAACCCAGGAGGCGGAAGTTGCAGTGAGCCGAAATCATGCCATTGCACTCCAGCCTGGGTGACAAGAACAAGACTCTGTCTTAAAAACAAAAACAAACAAACAAAACAGTATTAGGCCAGGCGAGATGGCTCACACCTATAATCCCAGCACTTTAGGAGACCAAGGCAGGTGGATCACTTGAGGTCAAGAGTTTGAGACCAGCCTGGCCAACATGGTGAAACCCCTTCTCCATTAAAAATACAAAAATTAGCTGGATATGGTGGCACAAACCTGTAGTCCCAGCTACTTGGGAGGCTGAGACAGGAGAATCGCTTGTACCCAGAAGGCAGAGGTTGCAGTGAGCCAAGATCACACCACTGGACTCCAGCCTGGGCAACAGAGCAAGACTCCGTCTCAAAAAAAAAAAAGAGTACTGACTTGAGATTTGTATGTAAAATTTGCCTTCCTCAGGCCAGAAAAGAAATGGGGAAATAAATACTGAACTCCAGTCAATGTTAAGCTTCTGAAGGGTTTAGATGTAAAATGTACTGATATTTGTAATTTTAAAAGATATTTAAAAGTGAGATGGATTGATAAATATGTGATAAAGCAAATAAAAAATGTTAATAGAGCCAGGTGCAGTGGCCCACTCCTGTAATTCCAGCACTTTGGAAGGCTAAGGTGGAAAGATTGCTTGAGACCAGGAGTTCAAAATCAGCCTGGGCAACATAGTAAGACCCCATTTCTACAAAGCCTCATGTGGTAGCTGGTGTCTGTAGTCCTAGCTACTCAGAAGGCTAAGGTGGGAGGACCTCTGAGCCCAGGAATTCAAGGCTGCAGTGAGCTATGATTTCACCACTGCACTTCAGGCTGAGTGACAGAGTGAGACCCCATCTCAAAAACAAAACAAAACAAAAAATGTTAATAGTAGCATCTAGGTGGTAAGAATATGTTCACTGTACAATTATTCTCATTTCACCCTATGTTTGCACTTTTTAATAATAAAATGTAAAAAAAACAAAACAAACAAACAAAAAACCCTGAATATTATTCAGCATGGGGAACATGGAGGATGGGGAGAAGGGTGGGGGAGGAAGTAGAAGGTTCTTGAATTTGGAAGGGGAAACGCAAATTAATATGGACCCACCCAGGCACCACATCTCCTCCTCACCCCTTGCCTTACAGGCGCTCCCCAGTCTTCACCCTCCTCAAGGAGTGGGTGTGCAATCCTCCAGCACCCATCTCCTTCTCCATCACAGTGCCACTAAGAAGCCTTCACCCAGGTCTCTCCAGAGAGCCTCAGGCCGCTGCCTTTACTTAGTTCTGTGTTCAATGCCAGAATGCTGCCTCCTACAGGAAGTCCACCTGTATTGCCCACACCTCCTTTCCTGTCACCAACTTGTCACCAACTTTCTGTCCTTGATCTATCCACAGGGCTCATGTAGATCTAGTATGGCTGCCTTTAACTCTCATGTTTGTTAATCAGACAGCCAAGCAGCCTGCTGCATAGAGCTGCAGAACACCAAGTGGGTCACCAGAACACCAAATATGCCAGAGCTCCCAGTCTGAACTGGAGCAGGGTACATGTGTCCACAGACATATGCCAAGATCAAGAGGTCTCAACAGATGCAGTGTAAGAGGTAATAGAGAAGAGTTAATCAAGGAAGACACCTGAAGGTGGTGGGTGTTTGCTGACTAGTGGCAGGATCAGTGAAATGACTGGAGCTGAGGCAGATTATGGCCCTAGCTACAGGCCCAGAAGTTTGAAAAGAAAGATGTTGTAACCCTAACCCTGGAGCCGAACTTCCTCTCCTAACAATGCTGGGGAGGAACCCAGGCTGGGGGAGAAGTTAAAGCCAGAGGAGGGGCAGGAATGTCTGAGGTGGCAACACTTCTCTTCAGCCAGACAGCACTGGCCAGTTTGGAGTCTGTCCATCCTGCAGGCCACAAGCTCTGGGTAAGCTGGGAATGGGCAGGGACCTTGGTGGAAGGATGGTCACACCCCAGAGTGGGGTGAAGCTAAGATGAGGGGAGGGAGAGTATGGGTTTGAGTTTCCCTGGGCCGTCGAGGAATCCTCTGAGTCTCTGCTCCCCAAAGAAATTAAAGACAATTCATTTCTGTGCCCACGGCCCTTATGGCCTCCACCTGCACTTCTGCTCCCCACCCCCCAGAATTCCTCTTAAACCCAGAAGGGTCCCAGTTTCCAGACCCTAGTCAGTATATCTGGCTCTGGGGTGAAGAGAACGGCCCCCTCTTCACCCTCAAACAGGAACCAGTGGTTGGAGGGGAGGAAGTGCCTGAGGGGAAGTTATGGGGCCCCAGATACTCCTCCATGCCCCACTTCAGCCCTAGCAGCATCTGCCTGTGGGAAGCAGCTCTCCACACCAGCCAAGGGGGCCCCCACACTCCCGCGCTGCTCTGCGGCTCAGGGAGCAGCCCACCTGCTGGGTGTGCTGATATCACCCTCCCTTCTTCCCCCCAGTGCCCACACCCACCCAGGCCCAGGCTCCTTCCCCTCCATCATCCCCTTACCAGCACCTAGAACCATCCAGGGCTGAAAAGTCCCCTCCAAACCACGTGGTCAGCCCAGGGCAGAGGAAAGGGCTGGGCTCTGGAGTTGGGCAGAGCTGGCCTTAAACCCCAGCTCCACCTTTCTGGGATGGGTGACCTAGTAAAGTCCAGGCTTGAATCTCGGGTCTTTACTTGGGCAACGGGCACCATGATACCCTATGTTCTGGGGATTAGCAGTGAGGAATGGAAAGTGCCCAGCTCAGGGTTGGCACATAAGGGAGGCTCCCCAGCCTGGGAACGATTATAACAGAGGGCCCCTCACTTCACAGATGAGGAACTTGAGGCAAGTCACCAGCCCCTGATCATTTCGCCTAAAAGAGCAAGGACTAGAGTTCCTGACCTCCAGGCCAGTCCCTGATCCCTGACCTAATGTTATCGCGGAATGATGGTAAGTAAAGTGTCTCTTGCATCTGCATAGAGAGGGTCCTGGGAGCTTAGGAAGTGATGGGGAACAGTGATGTATGCAGCTCATGACTAGGTGGACAGGCCTCTGGGGACAGCTGGTACAGGAGGGAAAGGGACCTCACGGGAGGCCCAGAAACCTGGTAAGAGGTGAGGTATTAAGGTCTGGGATGGAGAAGCTCTGAGGGTATATTTTTCTGCCTCTAAAACTGTTGGAGAGGGAATCTGAGAAAGCTGCAACCAACCAGGAGGCTGGGGTACGCTGGAGAAGGAATGGGCTTCCTAACCTTGAGCCCTCTTCCCTGAAGATATATGTATCTACGGGGGCCTGGGGCTGGGCGGGCTCCTGCTTCTGGCAGTGGTCCTTCTGTCCGCCTGCCTGTGTTGGCTGCATCGAAGAGGTGAGCGCTGCACTCCCTCCCTCCCCCTGCAGCAGTGCCCCCTGTGCCCCCACCCCCACACGCTTTCCCACTGCTTTCCCAGAACACTGCCTGGCCCTGGAGCCACTGGGAAGCCAACAGGGGAGTCCACGCCTGCTGGTGGGGGGGGCCCGGGAGGGCCCGGGAGAAGCACAAAGGGTGGGCTGTGTTGAGCTTCTTCTTTTCTTCCAGTAAAGAGGCTGGAGAGGAGCTGGGTGAGTCTGGGGACAGGGAAGGGGGAGGGCAAGAGAGATCCTGAGTGGGTGAGTGGGGAGAAGCATGGCTGAGCGCTGAGAGGAGGGTTGGGGACGGGAGACAAGGAGAGAGAAAGTAGGAGCATGAGAGAGGCAGAGAAAATCGAGGCAAAAGAGAAAGAGAAAATGAGACAGAAACCAAGAGAAAAAGTGAGACAGAGGATAGGAGAGACAGGGAGAAAATGAGAGTGAGAGAGACACAAAGAGAAGAGCAATGAAAGAGAGAGAGAGAGAGAGGCTCCAGAACCAGGCACAGTGGCTCACGTCTGTCATTCCAGCTATCGCAAGGCTGAGGCAGGAAGATAGCTTGAGCTCAGGGGTTGAAGACAATCCTGGACAACATAGTGGGACTCTGTCTCCAAAGAAAAAAGAGAGAGAGAGAGAGAGAGAGAGGGAGAGAGAGAGAGAGAGAGGGAGAGAAGTAAGAAAGGCTGGAGGTGGGAGCAGAACTCACAGGGAAGGATCTGACGGCATCGCCTCCCATCAGCACCTTCTGTCCTGGTCCCAGGCCCAGGGCTCCTCAGAGCAGGAACTCCACTATGCATCTCTGCAGAGGCTGCCAGTGCCCAGCAGTGAGGGACCTGACCTCAGGGGCAGAGACAAGAGAGGCACCAAGGAGGATCCAAGAGCTGACTATGCCTGCATTGCTGAGAACAAACCCACCTGAGCACCCCAGACACCTTCCTCAACCCAGGCGGGTGGACAGGGTCCCCCTGTGGTCCAGCCAGTAAAAACCATGGTCCCCCCACTTCTGTGTCTCAGTCCTCTCAGTCCATCTCGAGCCTCCGTTCAAATTGATCATCATCAAAACTTATGTGGCTTTTTGACCTTTGAATAGGGAATTTTTTAAATTTTTTAAAAATTAAAATAAAAAAAACACATGGCTCACCCTTCCACCCACTCTGGGGTCAAATAGTAATTTATTGGGTGAATGACAGTGTTCAGGGACCCAAGCTCCCCTAACAGCCAGAAGAGGGTATGTGTGGGCCTGGCAGGAAAGGGCAGTTGCCAAGGAGGAGTCATATCTGATCCTTCCCATTTCTCAGGACAATCAGGCTCAGCCTCCTGGGACTGGGGGAAGCAGATGTGCTGAGCTCCCACATGGTGGTGGGAGGGGCGCTGGGACCACAGCCGGCAGCTGCCTTCTTGGACCTTTCCAGGTCAGACCTGGTGGAAGGGAAAGTTCAGAGTTGGGGGAATCCGGAGAGAGTAGATTTGGCATCTGGAGAATGGAGAAGAAAACACTTGAGACTCATGAGGAGTTAGTGGTGGGGCAGATTTATTGGGGTCTTTTGAAGAGGACTAGGGACATCTGGGCTCTGGAATCACTCCTCGGGGCCCATCTGAGGAGTGGCAGTGTGTTCCCATGTGACAGTGGCCTGGTCAGAGAGAGGACAGGAGCTGCTCAGTGTTGCAGTCCCGAGGCTCTCCTCTTCCTGGTCTCTGTCCTCCCTCCTCCCACTCTCTTACTGCCCCTCCCATCCCGTCCACTATTGCCCCTGGCTCCATTACTCACATTTGCCCTGGTAATAGACGGTGCTGCCCACGGCCACAGAGAGAAAGCTGACAGCATAGAATCCAGCCCGAAGGAGGAGGACTGTACCAGCCCCTAGCTGAGGATGTTCTGCATGGGGCAATGGAGACGGGGGTTGGGGAAGAAGTGCACACAGGCTCAGGGAGGGAAGGGGCCTCAGAGGAGCATCCCTGCCTCCCAAGGACATTGCCTCTTGGGGCCTCCAGCCAGGAGGAGACACCACCTCCCAGCATCTCACCTTTCTCCACCACCAGCCGAGTCCCATTCCCTGTCCCGACACCAAGGCCCAGCACCTCCACTCTGCACACGTAGATGCTGGCGTCATGGCCTCGCACGTCCCGGATGTGCAGCTCAGCCTGGTGGTCATGGAGGAAACGGGAAGAAGCAAGTGGGGCCAGGCGGCCCCTGAACTCTGGGGTTCCATTCCTCACCTCCTTCCCTGGAACCACCTCATCTCGGAACCACGTGACGGAGCCAATGGCCAGTCTCCCTTGGCTGGCATTGAAGGAGCAGGGCAGGAAGGCAGAGGATCCTTCCAGGGTACGAATCTCAGGGGGCTGGGACACCCAGAGAGCACAGGATCCTGGGGGCAGAAGGAAGACCCAGAGAAACACCTCCCCAGTTATTCCAAAGAGAAAAGACAACAGAGCTTGGAGTAGAACATCCCAGCTTTCTCCAGGCATAGGGTGCATGGGAATAGATACTTTGGGGCCTCATTAAACCCTTCCCTCTTAACCAATCTGATTTCTTAACATTGCTTATTAAATCATTTTTCGGCTGGGTGCAGTGGCTCACGCCTGTAATCCCAGCACTTTGGGAGGCCGAGGTGGGCGGATCACCAGGTCAGGAGATCGAGACCATCCTGGCCAACATGGTGAAACCCCGTCTCTACTAAAAAAATACAAAAATTAGCCGGGCATGGTGGTGTGCACCTGTAATCCCAGCTACTCGGGAGGCTGAGGCAGGAGAATCGCTTGAACCCGGGAGGCAGAGGTTGCAGTGAGCCAAGATTGCGCCATTGCACTCCAGCCTGGGCGACAAAGCAAGACTCCATCTCAAAAAATAAAAAATAAAAATCATTTTTCAAATTCTTCCTATACCAACTCTCACTCTCACCCTCTGCCATCATTCTCCAGCCAGTTCAGTAGTAACTTGTCTAGCTGAAATGTAAACCATCATGGTGAAATTAAGCTCATTAATGAATGCAGCTGCCTAGTTAACTAATATCACTCATTATATTATCCAGGTATTATTTTAGTACAAATGGCATTGTACAGTAAGCCATCCTTCCTCTTTTTCTTTTTTCTTTTTTTGAGATGGGGTCTTGCTCTGTTGCCCAGGCT
Source organism: Homo sapiens (assembly GCF_000001405.40). NCBI lineage: Eukaryota > Metazoa > Chordata > Mammalia > Primates > Hominidae > Homo > Homo sapiens. The sequence continues at coordinate 3,068,170 of NT_113891.3, forward strand.
GGAATGCAGTGGTGCAATCTTGGCTCACTGCAAACTCTGTCCCCTGGGTTCAAGCGATCCTGGTGCCTCAGCCTCCCAAGTAGCTGGGACTACAGGCACCCACCACCACGACTGGCTAATTTTTGTATTTTCAGTCGAGACAGGGTTTCACCATCTGGTCTCAAACTCCTGACCTCAAGTGATCCACCCACCTCGGACCAGGCTGGTCTCAAACTCCTGATCTCAAGTGATCCACCTGCCTCGGCCTCCCAAAGTGCACCCAGCCACTCTTGGTTTTCGTTAAAGAAAGTAACTAATTAAATCTCCAGGTGAAGACGTGGCCTTAATTGGTTGAGATTCCTATTTAACCCGTCCATGTTGATGAATTAAACCAAATATTAAAATCCCTGATTAAATTATCTACTTAGGGAAATTTACAAGTCATTCTATTTCAGTGGTTCTCAAACTTGAGTGTGTATGGAAATTACCTGGAGCATCTGCTAGAACAGATTCCTGGGCCTACCCCCCGAGTTTTTGACTCAGTAGGTCTGGAGTGGGGCCTAAGAATTTGTTCTAGGTTCCCAGAAATCCACATTTTGAGAACTCCTGCATTTAGTTAATAATATGCCTGATAGTTAAGGTCTCTCAGTTCATTAAAAACAGTTTCGGCCGGGTGCAGTGGCTCACGCCTATAATCCCAACACTTTGGGAGGCCAAGGCGAGTGGATCACCTGAGGTCAGGAGTTTGAGACCAGCCTGGCCAACATGGTGAAACCTCGTCTCTACTAAAAATACACAAGTTAGCCAGCAGTAATGGCATGCACCTGTAATCCTAGCTACTTGGGAGGCTGAGACAGGAGAATCATTTTTACCCAGGAGGTGGAGGCTGCAGTGAGCTGAGATACCGCCACTGTACTCTAGACTGGACAACAGAATGAAACTGTCTCAAAAAAAAAGTTTCACCACCAGGCGGGCGCAGTGGCTCATGCCTATAATTCCAGTAATTTGGGAGACCGAGGCAGGCAGATCACTTGAGATCAGGAGTTTGAGACCAACCTGGCCAACATAGCAAAACCCCATCTCTACTAAAAATACAAAAATGGCTGGGCGCAGTGGCTCAGGCCTGTAATCCCCGCACTTTAGGAGGCCGAGGCAGGCAGATCACCTGAGGTCAGGAGTTCAAGACCAGCCCGGCCAACATGGTAAAACCCTGTCTCTACTAAAAATACAAAAATTAGTTGGGTGTGGTGGTGCGCGCTTGTAATCCCAGCTACCTAGGAGGCTGAGGCAGGAGAATTGCTTGAATCTAGGAGGCAGAGGTTGCAGTGAGCCAAGATCATGCCACTGCACTCCAGCCTAGGTGACAGAGCAAGACTCCGTCTCAAAAAAAAAAAAAATTAGCCAGGTGTGGTCGTGCGTGCGTGTAGTCCCAGCTACTCAGGAGGCTGAGGCAGGAGAATCACCTGAACATGGGAGGCAGAGGTTGCAGTGAGCCAAAATCGCACCACGGCACTCCAGCCAGGCGACAGAGCGAGACTCAGTCTCAAAAAAAAAAAAAAAAAAAGTTTCACCAAGAAATTTATCATAGATTTACTTGGATCTCTCAAACTAAAAAGCCTCACAGTGGGTGACACAGAGAGACTGTGAATTGGGGGAGTCCACTGAGTGTCACCTTTGGAGCAGTCCCACTCCTCCCTCAGAGCCGTGTGTTTCAGCCCCCACCAAGCCCGTTCCCTATAGCATCTAGTCCAGCCTCCTGGATCTCCCTCCTCCCACCCACACTCCTTGGGGTCCTGAGCGCACGCCCTGTCACCTGGATGGACCATGATCAAGATGAGCAACAGCATCCAGGCCATGTCGGAAGATGTCCCAGTTGGCGAAGGGGATCTGAGCAGTGAGGTCTGGGTGGAGGAGGAAGGACTCACTACTTGTAGCCAGGCCTTTGGTCACCAGATGGGGATGGGGAGCTTCCTATGACACACGGGACTCACACATCACTTGCCAAGGACCACAACTGCCAGGGACCTCGAGCATCAAATGCTTGCCTCCCTGAGGAGAGAGGACAGATGCTGCTGGAGGAGATGTCAGGGTCTCTAGGAGGCCAAGGGGCCAGCTTGTGGCAGGCTAGCTAAGCGTGTGAGGGGGAGGGTGGGGCTTAGATGGCTGCTAACCCAAGGGTGAGTGGGCGGTTGGGCGGGTGAGACCAGGATGTGGGTTCCCCCACCTTCCGAGGTTCAAGGAGACCAGCTTTTACCCAGAACAAGCCTCCAGGAGCCCTCCTTGGCCCAGAAGCTAACCTACTTACCCTCCCTGCTGCTCACCAGTACCCAGACCCATCCCACCCATTCCCTTCCTGGAATCTGGCCTCACTGCACCCCAGGGCTACTCCAAGATTTCTATGAGGGATTAGGAGAAGCAAGCTGATTGGTGAAGCTATATTTAATTTGCATAGCAATCACCTTGTGTGTGTGTGTGTGTGTGTGTGTGTGTGTGTGTGTGTGTGTGTGTTTGGTTGGGTTTTTTTGTTTTTTGTTTTTTTTTTGAGCTGGAGTCTCACTCTGTCGCCCAGGCTGGAATGCAGTGGCACAATCTCGGCTCACTGCAACCTCTGCCTCCTGGGTTCAAGCAATTCTCTTGCCTCAGCCTCCCAAGTAGCTGGGATTACAGGCGCACATCACCAAGCCCAGCTAAATTTTGTATTTTTTGTAGAGACAGGGTTTTACCATGTTGGCCAGGCTGGTCTCCAACTCCTGATCTCAAGTGATCCACCAGCCTCGCCCTCCCAAAGTGCTGGGATTCCTGTTTTGGTTTTTTGAGACAGGGTCTGGCTCTGTCTCACCCAGGCTGGAGTTCAGTGGCGCCATCACGGCTCACTGCAGCCTCAACCTCCAGGGCTCAGTTGATCCTCCCACTTCAGTCTCCTGAGTAGCTGGGACTGCAGGCGCACACCACCACACCAGGCTAATTTTTGTATTTTTTGTAGAGATGGGGTCTCCCTGTGTTGCCCAGGCCGGTATCCAACTCCTGGGCTCAAACAATCCATCCACTTAGGCCTCCCAAAGTGCATGAGTCACCATGCCTGGCGAAATGTATTTCTTAAATAATGAGACTTGAAAGTCTAAATTACTCCTTAAACCATGGACTACAGGATGGATGTTATGTTAGCAGGCAGGAAAACAACATTCAGCTGGGCGTGGTGGCTCATGCCTGTAATCCCAGCACTTTGGGAGGCTGAGGTGGGAGGATCACCTGAGGTCAGGAGTCCGAGACCAGTCTGATCAACATAGAGAAACCCCGTCTCTACTAAAAATACAAAATTAGCCGGGTGTGGTGGGGCGCACCTGTAATCCCAGCTACTCGGGAGGCTGAGGCAGGAGAATCACTTGAACCCAGGAGGCGGAAGTTGCAGTGAGCTGATATCGCACCATTGCACTCCAGCCTGGGCAACAAGAGCGAAACTCCGTCTCAAAAAAAAAAAAAAAGAAAAAGAAAACAACATTCGTCTCTTTGGACATCTCCATCAGAGCTCTTGGATAACTATGTACATTGTCAATGAGCAGTAATCATTTTAAAGAAATCTTGTTTTTCGGAGCAGTAGACCTCAACAGTAGGCTTAAAATATTCAGTAAACCAGCGGGGCATAGTGGCTTACACTTGTAATCCCAGCACTTTGGGAGGCCAAGGTGAGAGGACGGCTTGAGGCCAGGGGTTTGAGACCAGCCTGGGCAACATGGCAAGACCCTGTCTCTACAAAAAAATTTAAACTTAGCTGGACATAGTGGCACACACCTATAGTACCAGCTACTCAGGAAGTTGAGGAAGGAGGATTCCTTGAGCCCAGGAGTTTCAAGGATGCAGTGAGCTATGATTTTGCCACTGCATTTCAGCCTGAGCAATGGAGGGAGACCTTGTCTCTAAATAAAATACAATTTAAATTGGGAATAGTAGTAAATGGAGTTTAAAAAAAAATAATTTTGGCTAGGTATGGTGGGTCACACCTGTAATCCCAGTACTTTGGGAAGCCCAGGAGGGCAGATCACTTGAGTTAAAGAGTTGGAGGCCAGGCCAGGCATGGTGGCTCATGCCTGTAATCCCAGCACTTTGGGAGGCTGAGGTGGGCGGATCACGAGTTCAGGAGATCGAGACCATCCTGGCTAACACGGTGAAACCCCATCTCTACTAAAAATACAAAAAATTAGCTGGGTGTGGTGGCATCTGCCTGTAGTCCCAGCTACTCAGGAGGCTGAGGCAGGAGAATCACTTGAACCTTGGAGGCAGAGGTTGCAGTTAGCCGAGATTGCGCCACTGCACTCCAGCCTGGGTGACAGAGCAAGACTTTGTCTCAAAAAAAAAAAAAAAAAAAAAAGAGTTGGAGATCAGCCTGGACAACCTGACGAAACCCTATCTCTACAAAAAATACAAAAATTAGCTGAGCATAGTGGCTCATGTCTGTGGTCCCAACTACTCAGGAGGCTGAGGTAGGAGGATCATTTGACTCTGGAAGGCAGAGGTTTCAATGAGTTGAGATCATGCTGCTGTACTACAGCCTGGGCAACATATTGAGACCGTGTCTCAAAAACAAACAAACAAACAAAAAAAAGAAAAATTTTAAAATCAGTAAACCACGTTGTAAACAGATGTACTATCATCTAGGCTTTTATTTATTTATTTATTTATTTATATATTTTTTTGAGATGGAGTCTTGCTCTGTCACCCAGGCTGGAGTGCAGTGGTGCAATTTTAGCTCACTGCAACCTCCGCCCTCTGGGTTCAAGTGATTCTCCTGCCTCAGCCTCCCTAGTATCTGGGATTACAGGTGACTGCCACCACACCCGGCTAATTTTTGTATTTTTAGTAGAGACAGGGTTTGACCATCTTGGCCAGGCTGGTCTTGAACTCCTGACCTCAGGTGATCCGCCCACCTCAGCTTCCCAAAGTGCTGGGATTATAGGCATGAGCCACCACATCCAGCCATCTAGGCTTTATTGTTCCATTTACACAGCGTGGCAGAGTAAATTTAGCTAATTCTTGCCAAGTGCAGTGGTATGTGCCTATGTCTCTGCTACTCAGAAGGCTGAGGTGGAAGGATCACTTGAGGACAGAAGTTCAAGACTGCAGTATGCTACGATTTTGCTTGTGAAAGCCATGGCTCCATGGCACTCCAGCCTGGGCAACAGAGCAAGACCTTCTCTCTCTCTCTCTCTTTTTGAGACAAGGTCTCACTCTGTTGCCTAGGCTAGAGTGCAGTGGCACAATCACGGCTCACTGCAGCTTCAACCTCATGGGCTCACACCATCTTCCCACCTCAGCCTCCTGAGTAGCTGCCACACACCACCATGCCTAGATAATTTTTGTATTTTTTGTAGAGACAGGGTCTTACCATGTTGTCCAGGCTGGTCTCAAACTCCTGGGCTCAAGTGATTTGCCCACTCGACCTCTCAAAGTACTGGGATTACAAGCATGAGCCACTGCGCTTGGCCAACCTCAGCTCTACAAAAAAGAAAAAAAAAGTCCAGGCACAGTGGCTGACTCCTGTCATCCCAGCACTTTGGGAGGCCAAGGAGGGCAGATCACTTGAGGTCGTTAGTTCAAGACCAACCTGACCAACATGGAGAAACCCCGTCTCTACTAAAAATACAAAATTAGTCGGGCGTGGTGGCGCATGCCGGTAATCCCAGCTACTCGGGAGGCGGAGGCAGGAGAATCACTGGGAGACGGAGGTAGTGGTGAACTGGGATCGTGCCATTGTACTCCAGCTTGGGCAACAAGAACAAAACTCTGCCTAAATAAATAAATAGATAAAATTAGCCAGGTGTGCTGGTGTGTTCCAGTAGTCTTAGCTACTTGGGAGGCTGAAGCAGGAGAATCACTTGAGCCCAGGATTTCGAGGCTGCAGTGAGCTATGATCTTGCCACTGCACTCCAGCCTGAATGACAGGGTGAGACCCTGTCTCAAAAAAAAAAAATCACTACTGACAGATCATAACAGATAAAATAATCAAGAAAAAGTTTGAAATATTGCAAGAATTACCAAAATGTGCCACTGAGACACAAAGTGAGCACAGGCTATTGGAAAAGTGGCACCTACAGACTTGCTCAACACAGGGTTGCCACAAACTTCAATATATAAAAAAATGCACATCTGTGGAACACAATAAAACAAGGTAATACCTCTACAGGGATTGGTACAAGAGTATGCCAGACACTCTTGTATGTGTATCACACAGCTACAGGAGATAATACAGCACATAGAAGTGAAGGATGACATGTAATATGCCATGTGTCCACCCCTTACCGCATGCCCCCTTCTGGCTCCTTTTACTATTACATTTTTTAGAGACAAGGGTCTCACTCTATCACTCAAGCAGGAATACAGTGGTGTGATCATTGCTCACTGCAGCCTCGATCTCCTGGACTCAAGCAATCCTCCTGCCTCAGCCTCCCAAGTAGCTTGGAATACTGGTATGTGCCATCACACCTGACTTTTTACTTTTATTTATTTTTGAAAGACAGCATCTTGCTATGTTGTCCAGGTCTCAAACTCCTGGTCTGGCTCCTTTTATTTATTTTATTTATTTATTTATTTTGAGATGGAGTCTTGTTCTTGTTGCCCAGGCTGGAGTGCAATGGCTCAATCTCAGCTCACTGCAACCTCTGCCTCCCGGGTTCAAGCGATTCTCCTGCCTCCGCCTCCCGAGTAGCTGGGAGTACAGACGTGCGCCACCACACCCAGCTAATTTTTGTATTTTTAGTAGAGACTGAGTTTCACCATGTTGGCCAGGCTGGTCTCAAACTCCTGACCTTGTGATCCGCCCGCCTTGGCCTCCCAAAGTGCTGGGATTACAGGCGTGAGCCACCGCGCCCAGCCTGGCTCATTTTATATGAATACATGTTGTTGTTGTTGCTGTTGTTGTTGTGAGACAGTCTCGTTCAGTCGCCCAGGCTGGAGTGCAGTGGCACAATCTTGGCTCATTGCAACCTCTGCTTCCCAGGCTCAAGCGATTCACGTGCCTCAGCCTCCCGAGTATCTGGGTTCACAGGCGTGTGCCACCACACTCGGCTAATTTTTGTGTTTTTAGTACTGACGGAGTTTTGCCATGTTGGCCAGGCTGGTCTTAAACACCTGGCCTTAAGTGATCCACCCGCCTTGGCCTCCCAAAGTGCTGGGATTACAGGTGTGAGCCACCACACCTGACCTAATATATGTTTTTTCCTTTGTATCTGTGTTTCTAGCTCTGTGTCACAGTACTTTTGTAGACTGTCCAGTTCCCACCCATCACTGAAGTAATTCAGAGCTTTCTTTTGGAGAAGCAGTCATCTCATGGTTAAGAATGCTGGTTTGGAATGAGTCTAGGTTCAAATGTCAGCTCCCCCGCAATCCCCACAATTATGTTATACAACCTTTTTTTTTTTTGAGACAGGGTCTCACTCTGTCAACCATTCTGGAGTGCAGCGGTGTGATCATATGATCATAGCTCCCCGTGGCCTTGAACTTTGAACTCCTGAGCTCAAGTGACCCTCGCACGTCAGCCTCCAGAGTATTTGGGACTACAGACACACATCATCACGTTTGGCTCACTTATTTTTATTTTTTGTACAGACAGAGTCTCACCGTGTTGCCCAGGCTGATCTAAAACTCCTGGCCTAAAGCAATCCTCCCACTTCGGCCTCCCAAAGTGCTGGGATTACAGGTGTGAGCCACTGTGCCCAGTCTAATCTTGAACAAATTATTTTACCTCCCTAAGCTACCGGAACAACCACACATGCCACACAACCTGGGAAGGACCAACTCAGCCATTCTCCAGCAGCGAAGTGGCTGCCACCCCAGGGATATCTAACTAGAGGATGTGGGATGGAGGCGTCATGGCAAGGCAAGGCCTGCCCCCTGGTGGTCAGAGAGCATGGGAGGCCCGAGCTACCAATGGTGGCTTTTCTCAACTGGGCCTTGATTCCAGCTTCTGCCCGATCCCCTACCTTGCTTGCCTCCTTCTATCAACACCCCATTCACACCCCAAAGGATCAATATAGGAAAAATTGTCTCTACTATCTCAGCTGTAAGAAGCCCACGGTTTGGGGAGGGAGAAGAGGTCACCACCAGTGGGGACGTGGAATAAGTAACTGGCTGGGGATAAAACTCCACTCTTCCGGCCGGGAGCAGTGGCCCACGCCTGTAATCCCAGCACTTTGGGTGGCCGAGGTGGGCAGATCACCTGAGGTCGGGAGTTCGAGACCAGTCTGGCCAACATGGTGAATCCCCATCTCTACTAAAAATACAAAACTTAGCCAGACGTGGTGGTGCGTGCCTGTAATCCCAGCTACTTGGGTGGCTGAGGCACGAGAATCACTTGAATCCAGGAGGCGGAGGTTGCAGTGAGCCAACATTGTGCCACTGCACTCCAGCCTGGGCAACGAGCAAAACTCCGTCTCAAAAAAAAAAAAAAACAAACTCCACTCTTCCACAGTGTACACTCAATCACATGGTTCTACTCCACGTCCCAAGGCAATGTGGCTTAGAAGACAAATCAGCCTAGGTTGGAGTCCTGGTGCCACTACTGTAAACTGGGGGTACCACCTGTAAACTTCCAGACCCCATTGCCCTAGGTGTTCAATGTGTGGTTCTTCTCCAGTGCTTCCCCCGTCCTGTGCAAGGGTGGCAGTGCCATTGCTACACCTGGACTCAAGGGCATCCTGCTCTCCCAGCTCTTTTCTATATCTAAGACTTCTAAACATTTGTCATAGCTAAAAATGTTCCAGATTCCAAAGACAGTATGTGGGTTTTTTTTTTCAGTCCATCTAGAATAAATCCTGATATGTGTGTACATTCAAGGGACCCCTTTTAATAACTCTGAGAACCTCTAGGGAAGGCTAACCTGCAAGACAGGAACTGCTGCGCTAATCAGCACAGTGGGCACAAGAATGGAACTTTTTTTTTCTTTTTTTTTTCTTGAGACAGAGTCTTGTTCTGTTACCCAGGCTAGAGTGCAGTGGTGCGATCTCGGCTCACTGCAACCTCCGCCTCCCGGGTTCAAGAGATTCTCCTGCCTCAGCCTCCTGAGTAGCCAGGATTACAGGCACCCACTACCATGCCCAGCTAATTTTCATATTTTTAGTAGAGACGGGGTTTCACTATCTTGGCCAGGCTGGTCTTGAACTCCTGACCTCGTGATCCACCCACGTCGGCCTCCCAAAGTGCTGGGATTACAGGCGTGAGCCACTGCATCCATCCTGGCCAAGGATGGAACTTTTCTAAAGAAATTATTCCCAGGCACTCAAGAGGAAAGGCAACAAATAAAACAGTGTTGAAGTGGATGTGCACTGGTCTCTGTTTTTGTGTGTGTTTTTTTTGTTTTTTTTTTTTTGAGAGGGAGTCTCGCTCTGTCGCCCAGGCTGGAGTGCAGTGGTGTGATTTCCGCTCACTGCAACCTCTGCCTCCCGGGTTCAAGCGATTCTCCTGCCTCAGCCTCCCAAGTAGCTGGGACTACAGCGCCTGTCACCATGCCTGGCTAACTTTTTTGTATTTTTACTAGAGACAGGGTTTCACCATGTTGGCCAGGCTGGTTTTGAACTCCTGACCTCAAGTGATCCACCTGCTTCAGCCTCCCAAAGTGCTAGGATTACAGGCGTGAGCCGCCGCACCCAGTCTCTGGTCTGACTTCTTTAACAACAAGCTGTGGGCTGGCTGGATGTAGTTGAGGCCAATAAACTCCCAACTCAGACCATGAAAACAGGTGAAAACACAAAAGTCCACAATCCAGCACAGGTGATCTCATCTTTCCCCCACCCCCACCAGGGTTCCTCTACGTGCTGGCAGGGGTGAGATTGAGTGACTTCTCTGGCCAAGTCTTATCAATATTTTTCAACTAATGAATGGCTCCCAGGTGATGATACTTTCAGCTTCTGAGAACAGCTTCTCCTCTGAGGCTCATAGCATCTGACCTCACGACCTTCAATCTCTCCTTGGTGTCGTCCACTCGCCCTCACATTCATCAAGAGCCCATCCCTGACTCTGCAGCCTCTTCTCTATTTATTTTTTCTTTCTTTTTTCTTTTTTCTTTTTTTTTTTTTTGAGACAGAGTTTTGCTGTTGTTGCTGGAGTGCAATGGCGTGATCTTGGTTCACCGCAACCTCTGCCTCCCAGGTTCAAGCGATTCTCCTGCCCCAGCCTCCAGAGTAGCTGGGATTACAGGCACCTGCCACCATGCCAGGCTAATTTTTGTATTTTTAGTAGAGAAAAGGTTTCACCATGTTAGCCAGGCTGGTCTCGAACTCCAGACCTTGTGATCCGCCCACCTCGGCCTCCCAAAGTGCTGGGATTATAGGCGTGAGCCACCATGCCCAGCCCACTTCCTCTCTATTTCAACCTCTGCCAACTCCTTAATGGACTTAATGTCCATATGAATGACTTTTTTTTTTTTTTTTTTTGAGAGAGAGTCTTGCTCTGTCACCCAGGCTGGAGTGCAGTGGCGTGATCTCGGCTCCCTGCAAGCTCCACCTCCTGGGTTCACGCCATTCTCCTGCCTCAGCCTCCCTAGTAGCTGGGACTACAGGCACCAGCCACCATACCTGGCTAATTTTTTTGTATTTTTTAGTAGAGACAGGGTTTCACCATGTTAGCCAGGATGGTCTCAATCTCCTGACCTCGTGATCCACCTGCCTCGGCCTCCCAAAGTGCTGGGATTACAGGCGTGAGCCACCGTGCCCAGCCATAAATGACATTTTTAAACATTGATATATAATTTCATACAGTAAAATGCACAGATCTTAATGTACAGTTTGATGACCTTTGGCCAATATGTACACCCATGCAACCACACTGTAATAGAGATATAGATAATTCTCATTATCCTGGAAAATTCCTCCATGCCCCTTTTTGGTAAATCCCTTTCCCCTCCTAGATGCAACCATTTTACCATTTTTAACCTCTGTAGACTTTTTTCTTGGGACAGAGTCTTGCTCTGTTACCCAGGTTGGAATGCAGTAGTGCAATTATAGTTCACTGCTGCCTTGACCTCCTGGGCTCAAGCCATCCTCCCACCTCAGTCTCCTGAGTAGCTACGACTACAGGCATATGCCACCGCACCCAGCTAATTTTTTAACAGTTTTTTTGTAGGCTGGGTGCAGTGGTTTAGGCCTATAATCCTAGCACTTTGGGAGGCCGAGGCAGGGGGATCACAAGGTCAGGAGCTCAAGACCATGCTGGCTAACACAGTGAAACCCCATCTCTACTAAAAATACAAAAAAAAAAAAAAAAATCAGCCGGGCGTGGTGGCACATGCCTATAGTCCCAGCTACTCGGGAGGCTGAGGCAGGAGAATTGCTTGAACCTGGGAGGCAGAGGTTGCAGTGAGCCGAGATCGCGTCATTGCACTCCAGCCCGGGTGACAGAGCAAGACTCTGTCTCAAAAAAAAAAAAAAAATTTTTTTTTGTAGAGACGAGGTCCTTCTATGTTGCCCAGACTGGATTCTAACTCCTGGGCTCAAGTGATCCTCCTGCCTTGACCTCTCTAAGTGTTGGGATTACAGGCCTGAGCCACTGCGCTCGGCCTCTATAGATTAGTCTGTTCTTGAACATCATATTAATGGAGTCATATAGTACATACTCTTGTATCTGGCTCCTTTCATTCTGCTTAATGTCTGTGAGATTCGCCCACGCTGTTGTATGTATCAGTGTTTCATTCCTTTTTTTTGCTGAGTGGTAATCCTTTATATGATGTAGCACAGCTTGTTGATCTATTCACCTGATGAAGTACAATTGGGTTGTTTCTATTTTTTGTTTTTCTTATTATGGCTCAATCTGCTATGAAACTTCTTGTACCCATCTCGCAAATGCCTTTTCAATACCCTAAGTGTGCAACTTCACAGTTATTTCACCTTGTCCACTCCAATCATCACCTTGACTCTCCATGACCTACATCTCAGATCCTGTCACCATGGAAGCTGTTTCACTTTGAAATCTCACCTCCTCTTTCCCAAGGACATAAAAGCCATCCAACCTGAGTCCCCCAGACTCCTGTACCCTAAACGTGTGCTTTTATACCACTGTCCTGTTGGAAAATTTTTGGGTTGTTTCTCCCACTTTTTTTTTTTTTTTTTTTTGAGACAGAATTTTGCTCTTGTTGCCCAGGCTGGAGTGCAATGGTGCGATCTCGGCTCACTGCAACCTCCGCCTCCTGCGTTCAAGTGATTCTTCTGCCTTAGCCTCCCAAGTAGCTGGGATTACAGGCATGTGCCACCACACCCAGCTAATTTTGTATTTTTGGTAGAGATGGGGTTTCACCATGTCGGTCAGGCTGGTCTCGAACTCCTGACCTCAAGTGATCCGCCTGCCTCGGCCTCCCAAAGTGCTGGGATTATAGGCATGAGCTAGCACCCCTGGCCCCACTTTCTTTTTAAAAAGTGTTATTATATATTTTTTATTATATATATTTTTGAGATGAGATCTCACTATGTTGCCCAGGCTAGTCTCAAAGTCCTGACTCCGGGCTTTAGGTGTTCCTCCGACCTCAGCCTTTCACGTAGCTGGGATTATAGGCATGCACCTGGCTTCCCACTTTCATTCAATAAATTTTGCGCATCTACCATGGCTTTCCTAGGCAATCCTGTCATAGCCACAGTTGTCACTACTGCTTATTCTCTGTCAAGTCCCCAATCTACATCTCCCCCTCAGGCCTCTTTCTTGAGACCTAAGTCCACACTATCTAACTGCTCTCTAGGCGGCTTACCCTGAATACTCCACAGGCATTTCAAAGTCATCAGTGTCCACTCAGACCAGGTCAGCCTCCTGTCATCCCTGTCCCAGTGAATGGAAACACAAAGCCCCAGTCACTTAAGGCAAACACCTGGGATTCATCCTACTCTGCCTTCTCCCTCAGTTCCCCCATCCAAAAGATCTCCAGGCCCTGTCCATTTTGCTTCTGAAAGATCGCAGGTGTCTTTCCCTTGCTCTTCATTCCACTGGTTGCTAAATCCCTCATCAACTCAAGGGGAAACGAGCAGAGTTGCTTCTCTGATGGGTAGTGTGGTTTCTGCACAGCATCCCCTTCATCCCACCACTGCTGGGCATTGAGGTTCATTCATCTATTCAGCATTGCTCTTCACGAGGGCCTTCCATGGGCCAGACACCCTATCTTCATCTCTCTTAATCGCTCTTTTCAGTATCTCTCTCCTTATCTCTCATATTTCCCACAGCTCTGTCCACAACTCTTTCTGTCTCACCATGTTATTCATATTACTTGTTTCTTCCCCCGTGTCCACTCAAACGCCACATCTCTACACACCCCTACCCCTCTGCCTCTCTGTCACATGCATACACACTTCTGCTTATTCACTCATTCAACAAATATTCAGCGAGCACCTTCCACGTGAGACATTCTATTTTTTTTCTTTTTTTTTTTTTTTGCGCTCTCAGCTCACTGTAACCTCCACCTCCCAGGTTCAAATGATTCTCCTGCCCCAGCCTCCAGAGTAGCTGGGATTACAGGCACATGCCACCACCCCTGGCTAATTTTTGTATTTTTAGTAGAGATGGGGTTTTGCCATGTTGGCCAGGCTGGTCTTGAACTCCTGGCCTCAAGTGATCCACCTGCCTCAGCCTCCCAAAGTGCTGGGATTACAGGTGTGAGCTGCCGTGTCTGGTCTGCCTCTCCGTCTTTCTCTCTCTCTGTCTTCCTCCATCTCTCTTCGCATCGCTTTCTGCCTCCCCATCATTCTCCATGTTTTCCCTTCCCATCTCTCCCCATCTACATACCTTATTCTTTTACTCCATTTCTCTTCCTTCCCCATTTCTCTCTGGGTGAGAGAATGAAGGAAGGCTAGTGACTAGTCACCTCTTCCCTCTAGGGGCCAGAGTTCAGGCCTGCCTCAGCTCTGCCAGGCTGGTTGGCACTACTCTTGTTTGCCCTTGGAGTCTCTGCACAAGGATGCTTAAAAAAAAAAGTTTAGGCCAGGCACAGTGGCTACCGCTTGTAATCCCAACACTTTGGGAGGCCGAGGAGGGTGGATCACGAGGTCAGGAGTTCGAGACCAGCCTGACCAATATGGTGAAACTCCGTCTCTACTAAAAATACAAAAAGTAGCCAGGCGTGGTAGCATGCACCTGTAATCCCAGCTACTCAAGAGAAGAATCGCTTGAACCCAGGAGGCAGAGGTTGCAGTGGGCCAAAATCACGCCACTGCACTCCAGTCTGGGCGACAGAGTGAGACTCCATCTCAAAAAAAAAAAAAAATTTGTGCAGCAGCGACAGAAAAGTAACCTACAATATTAGAGGAAGACTCACATCTCTCAGAAACTATATATTAAGCAGGCAAAAAAATTATTAAAGACAACGGGTGCGGTGGCTCATGCCTGTAATCGCAGCACTTTGGGAGGCTGAGGAGGGTGGATCACGAGGTCAGGAGGTCAAGGCTATCCTGGCTAACACGGTGAAGCCCCATCTCTACTGAAAATACAAAAAATTAGCCAGGCGTGGTGGCATGCATCTGTAGTCCCAGCTACTAGGGAGGCTGAGGCAGGAGAATCGCTTGAACCTGGGAGGTGGAGGTTGCACTGAGCTGACATCACTTCACTGCACTCCAGCCTGGGTGACAGAGCGAGACTCCATCCCAAAAACAAAACAAAACAAACAAAACACACGCACACACAAAGGTGGGAGTGTTATGTAAGAGAACTGCAGGGGATATTTCCACTCCCAGGCTCAAAGGGGTGAGGGGAGAGAGAGGTTACAGCAGTGGTTCTTAGTTATTTTGTGCCACAGATCCCTTTGGCATTCTAGTAAAGCATAAAATTTAAAAAATATACATACAAAAACAAATCGGCCAGGCGCAGTGGCTCACGCCTGTAATCCCAACACTTTGGGAGGCCGAGGCAGGTGGATCACCCGAGGTCAGGAGTTCGAGAGCAGCCTGGCCAACATGACAAAACCCTGTCTCTACTAAAAACAAAAAATTAGCTAGGCATGGTGGTCGGCGCCTGTAATCTTAACTACCTGGGAGGCTGAGGCAGGAGAATTGCTGGAACCGGGAGGCGGAGGTTGCAGTGAGCCGAGATCACGCCATTGCACTCCAGTCTGGGTGACAGAGCAAGACTCCGTCTCAAAAAAAAAAAATTGCATCGAAATCAAATTCCAGTTATCAAAATATTAATAAAAACTTTCAATAGAGTAAATTGAAACTGTCCCAAGATTGACAAGAATTGCATGCTGGGATCTGGGCAGAAATATAGTTATAATTAAGCATAAACCAGGCTGCACTTTGGCTCACTGCTCTATTCCTGCAAGTCTCCAGATCCTGAC
The DNA here is from genome assembly GCF_000001405.40 of Homo sapiens. Taxonomy (NCBI): domain Eukaryota; kingdom Metazoa; phylum Chordata; class Mammalia; order Primates; family Hominidae; genus Homo; species Homo sapiens. The sequence continues at coordinate 3,083,438 of NT_113891.3, forward strand.
CATCTGCATCCCCGTTGTGCTAACATTAGGATGAGAATGTCTCTATATTATGATCCATTGTCTCTATATTTAAAAAAAAAAAAAAAAAGAAGCCAGGCACGGTGACTTACGCCTGTAATCCTGACACTTTGGGAGGCTGAGGAGGGCGGATCACGAGGTCAAGAAATCCAGACCATCCTGGCCAACATGGCAAAACCCTGTCTCTACTAAACATACAAAAAAATTAGCTGGGCTTGGTGGCGCGCATCTGTAGTCCCAGCTACTCAGGAGGCTGAGGCGGGAGAATCTCTTGAACCCATGAGGCAGAGGTTGCAGTGAGCCAAGATCATGCCACTGCACTCCAGCCTGGGTGACAAAGCAAGACTCTATCTAAAAAAAAAAAAAAAAAAAAAAAAAAAAAAAAGACCAGCACTGTGGCTCACGCCTGTAATCCCAGCACTTTGGGAGGCCAAGGTGGGCAGATCACGAGGTCAAGAGTTTGAGACCAGCCTGGGCAACATAGTGAAACCCCATCTCTACTAAAAATACAAAAAAATAATGGCATGAACCCAGGAAGTGGAGCTTGCAGTAAGCTGAGATCCTGTCACTGCACACCAGCCTGGGCGACAGAGCGAGACTCCGTCTCAAAAAAAAAAAAAAATTGCTGGACGTGGTGGCGGGTGCCTGCAATCCTAGCTACTTGGGAGGCTGAGGCAGGGGTATCACTTGAATCCGGAAGGTGGAGGTTGCAGTGAGCCGAGATCGCGCTACTGCACACCAGCCCGGGCGACAGTGTGAGACTCTGTCTCAAAAAAAAAAAAAAAAAGATAATTAGTCACCATGGCTGGGTGCAGTGGCTCATGTCTGTAATCCCAGCACTTTAGGAGGGCAAGGCAGGTGGATCACCTGAGGTCAGGAGTTCGAGATCAGCCAGAGCCAACATGATGAAACTCCTTCTCTCCTAAAAAATACAAAACTTAGCTGGGCGTGGTGGCGGGCGCCTGTAACCCCAGCTACTCCGGAGGCTGAGGCAGGAGAATTGCTTGAACCCAGGAGGAGGAGGTTGCAGTGAGCTGAGATCATGTCACTGCACTCCAGCCTGGGTGACAGAGAGAGACTCCATCTCAAAAAAAAAAAAAAAAAAAACCTAAGGCGTGGTGGCACATGCCTGTCGTCCCAGCTACTCAGGAGGCTAGGGTGGGAGGATCACTTGAGCCTGGAGGTTGAGGCTGCAGTGAGCCATGACCATGCCACTGCACTCCAGGCTGGGCAACAGAACAAGACGCTGACTCAAAAGGAAGAAAAGAAAGAGAAGAAAAGTCTATCTGGGTATGATGATGACTCCTAATATCTTCTCTCTGGTGGTTGATCTGGTCATTTGATAAGATCTCTAGGCAGGAGGTCTTAAGACAATTGCACTTCTTTTGCAAAGAAGTTTTTTCAGTCAGATAAGGAAATTCCAGAAAGTGTGGTAGGACAATTCTAAGGCAGCTTCTAAGGCCTCTCAGCATTTCAAAGCACCAGTCTTTGGGGTATCACTTTCTGAGCCCCAGCATCTTCTTGCATGTCTATTCTTTTCCCCTCATCTCTGTTTCCTTCTCAGAAGGCCCTGAGTTTCCTTCTCCACCCGCTTGTCTTCCTATATACCCTTCAGTATTCACTTTTTTTGGTGGGGGGGATGGAGTTTCGCTTATTGCCCAGGCTGGAGTGCAATGGCGTGATCTCGGCTCACTGCAATCTCCACCTCCCAGGTTCAAGCGATTCTCCTGCCTCAGCCACCCAAGTAGCTGGGATTACAGGCATGCGCCACCATGCCTGGCTAATTTTGTACATTTAGTAGAAACGGGGTTTCTCCATGTTTGTCGGGCTGATCTCAAACTCCTGACCTCAGGTGATCTGCCTGCCTCGGCCTCCCAAAGTGCTGGGATTACAGGAGTGAGCCACCGCGCCAGGCCTAGTCTTCATTTTTGTCCCACAGTCAGAGCAGCTGTCATTCTCTCTATCCCAGGCAGTTTTTCTGAGCATCTAAGCACTGTCTCACCCCAGTAGTCTGTCAAGCCATTCTCAATGGAAAGACCAGTCTGGGAGGCAGTCTCACTCAGAATAAAAGCCAGAGTCTTTACAAGGCCCTACCCAAGCTGACCTCCTCCTCACCTGGCTTCAGCAGCACAGGCCTCCCTGCTACTCCATGAACACTCCAGATATCCACACTGCTCTCACATCAGGGCCTTTGAACTTGCTGTTCCCTCCACCTGAAATGTTCTTCTCCCATTGTGATATTGTTATAATAAAAATATATATTTTTGGGCCCGGGTGTGGTGGCTCACACCTGTAATCCCAGCACTTTGGGAGGCCGAGGGGGGCAGATCACGAGGTCAGGAGATCAAGACCATCCTGGCTAACATGGTGAAACCTCGTCTCTACTAAAAATACAAAAAAAAATTAGCCGGGTGTGGGGGCAGGCACCTGTAGTCCCAGCTACTCGGGAGGCTGAGGCAGGAGAATGGCGTGAAACCAGGAGGCGGAGCTTGCAGTGAGCCGAGATCGCCACTGCACTCCAGCCTGGGCGACAGAGCGAGACTCCATCCCCCCACAAAAAAAAAGGCCAGGCGCGGTGGCTCATACCTGTAATCCCAACACTTTGGGAGGCCAAGGCGGTCAGATCACAAGGTCAGGAGATCGAGACCATCCTGGCTAACATGGTGAAACCCCGTCTCTACTAAAAACACAAAAAATTAGCCGGGCGTGGTGGCAGGCGCCTGTAGTCCCAGCTACTCAGGAGGCTGAGGCAGGAGAATGGCGTGAACCTGGGAGGTGGAGCTTGCAGTGAGCGGAGATCGCGCCACTGCACTCTAACCTGGGCAACAGAGCAAGACTCCATCTCGGGGAAAAAATAAATAAATATGTATATATATGGGTTGGGTGTGGTGGTTAACACATGTAATCCCAGCACTCTAGAAGGCTGAGACCAGAGGATCACTTGAGCCCAGGAGTTCAAGACCAGCCTGGGCAACCTGGCGAGACTTCATCTCTACAAAAAATTTTAAAATGAGCCAGGCATGGTGGTGCGGGTCCCAGCTGCTTGGGAGGCTGAGATGGAAGGATTGCTTGAGCCCAAGAAGTTGAGGCTGCAGTGAGCTATGATGGTGCCACTGCACTCCAACCTGGATGACAGAACAAGAAACTGTCTCAAAAAAATAAAAATAAAAAAAAAAAAAAGGTCAGGCACGGTGGCTCAGGCCTGTAATCCCAGCACTTTGGGAGGCCAAGGTGGGAGGATTACTTGAGCCCAGGCAGTCAAGACCAGCCTGGGCAACACAAGGAGACCCTGTCTCTAAAAAAAATTTTAAAAATTAGCCAGGTGTGGTGGCACATGCCTGTAGTCCCAGTTACTCAGGAGGCTGACAAGGGAGGATCGCTTGAGCCTGGGAGGTCAAAGCTGCAGTAGCCATGTTTGTGCCACTGCACTCCAGCCTGGATAACAGAACGAGACCCTGTCTCCCTGTCTCAAAATATTAATGTGTGTGTGCGTGCGTGTGTGTGTGTGTGTGTGTGTGTTTTGGTCTCCATCCTGGCTCCTGGCCAGACCTCCTAAAGCCCTTGTAATTTCCTAAATGATAAAGTGAAGGGAGCTTTTGTTATTCATAACAAGCTCTTTTCAACCACAACTGAGTTTATGTTAGTAAGTTGACTTTTAGAAAGCCCCTAAGGTTGGGGTTTGTTGCCAAGGTAGGCAACTGTGTGATTAGAGAGTTAGAACTTTTAGCTCCAACCCTCTGACCTCCAACTAATGGCTATTGAATCAAGTATGCCTGCATAATGAAGCCTCCATAAAAAAAAACAAAAAAGATGAGGGTTGGAGAGCTGCCAGGTTGATGAACACATGGAGGTGCAGGGAGGTGCCCAGAGAGGACAAGAAAGCTCCAAATCCCCCTTCCCCGATACTTTGTCCGGAGCAACTCTTCCATCTGACTGTTCCTAAGTTTTATCCTTCATAATAAACTAGCTAACATAAGTAAAGTGTTTACCTGAGTTCTGCGTGCTATTCCAGCGAATTACTGAGCCAGAAGAGGGAGTCATAAAAACAGTTAGGAGGCCTGGACTTGTTTGTGATTGGTATCTGGAGTGGGGGCAGCCTTGTAGAACTGAGCCCTTCAACTTGGGGATTAGATAACTGGTAATTATGGGTAGAGTGTCAGAACTGAATTAAACTGCAGGACTCCCAGTTAATATCTACCAAGAACTGAAGAATTGATTGGTGTGGGAGAAGTCTCCACATGATTGGTGTAAGAAGTGGTGTTCTTGGCCAGGCGCAGTGGCTCACGCCTGTAATCCCAGCACTTTGGGAGGCCGAGGCGGGCCGATCATGAGGTCAGGAGATTGAGACCATCCTGGCTAACATGGTGAAACCCTGTCTCTACTAAAAATACAAAAAATTAGCCAGGCATGGTGGCGGGTGCCTGTAGTCCCAGCTACTCGGGAGGCTGAGGCAGGAGAATCACTTGAACCTGGGAGGTGGAGGTTGCAGTGAGCAGAGACTGCACCACTGCACTCCAGCCTGGCCAACAGAGCAAGACTCCATCTCAAAACAAAATAAAACAAACAAACAAAAAAAACTGAGATTCTTTGCAAAGAGCCTGGAATAACTTCCTTTTAGTCCTGGACTATAATGATGATGATAAATATACCTCGATGTAACCCTGAGATCCCAAGATTCACTAGCCCTTGAATAAAAAAAAGGAAAAAGAAAAAAACAGTATATTTTTTCGTTTTGCAAATCACAGTTCCCTTATTAAGATGGAATTGCTGCCAATTACAGAGAAGCTATTTGCCTAAGCCAAAAATCCATGAGGTTCACATGGACTTATAGTTACACAAATTAGAAACAAATGTTATATTTAAAACCATAGAGAAATGCCCAGGTGATGAAAGCTGGGGTGAAGGAGTCTGCACATTCATTTCAAACTGTTAAAGGATTTGTGGGCCATGCAATGGTCCCTTGCATTAGAGAAGTCAAAGAGCTTTGTGCAATCCTCTCCTGTCTGTGATCTGGAAGACACGTGCTCATCACAGAGCTCCAGCTGCTCCGAGACTTTACTCCTTTCTTCAGCTGCACGCACTGCTCTCTCGCTTTTGTTAGGAATTGACTAATTCCTCCTCTTCCTCTTCCTCCTCCTCCTTGCCATCTCTAGGCCCAGTCAGCATCTCTTGTTCATCCTCTGATCCCATGTCCAGCTATGGTTCTGGATTCAACACTAGCAGCAACAGTGGCGCTGACTCCACTTTAGGATCAATAAATATTTTTCTGGCTAGGCGCAGTGGCTCACATCTATAATCTCAGTACTTTGGGAGGCCAAGGTGGGTGGATCACAAGGTCAAGAGATCGAGACCATCTTGGCCAACATGGTGAAACCTCGTCTCCACTAAAATTACAAAAATTAGTTGAACATGGTGGTGCGCACCTGTAGTCCCAGCTACTTGGGAGGCTGAGGCAGGAGAGTCGCTTGAACCCAGGATGTGGAGGTTGAAGTGAGCCAAGATCGCGCCACTGCACTCCAGTCTAGCGACAGATGGAGACTCTGTCTCAAAAAAAAAAAAATAAGTATTTTTCTTTCTAGCCGTATATCCACCTTACATGGTCCCTCAACTCCCCAAGCCCACTCTGCCTGCCCCATCTCCTCCTTCCACATCCTCTCCTCAACCTAGCACTTGGTTGGCAATGCCTTCCTCGATCCTCTGCCAAAGACCCTCTAGCCAGTGCTTACCCTGTCTGTTCTCTCTCTTTACCCAAAGAAATACATAAAGTTTGACCAGAATGGAAACAGAGATATCAGTGAAAAAAGGTGATTTGGGGAAGTGTGCAGGCCTAGGAAGACAGAGGCTTGTTCCTTTGCTTGCTTAAAATCTTTGATCAAACGGCCAGGCGTGGTGGCTCACACCTGTAATCCCAGCACTTTGGGAGGGCGAGGTGGGCGAATCATGAGATCAGGAGTTCAAGACCAGCCTGGCCAACATAGTAAAACCCCGTCTCACTAAAAATACAAAAAATTAGCCAGCTGGGCGTGGTGGCAGGTGCCTGTAATCCCAGCTACTCTGGAGGCTGAGGCAGGAGAATCACTTGAACCCGGGAGGTGGAGGTTGCAGTGAGTGGAGATTGCACCACTGCACTCTAGCCTGAGTGACAGAGTGAGACTCCATCTCAAAAAAAAGAAAAGAAATCTTTGCTCAAATATCACTTTTTCAGAGAACGCTTCTCTAACCACTCTATTTATTTTATTATTTTATTGTATTTTTTGAGACAGGGTCTCACTCTGTTGCCCAGACTGGAGTGTAATGGCACGGTCATGGCTCACTGCAGCCTTGATCTCCTGGGCTCAAGCGATCCTCTCACTTCAGCCTCCCAAGTGGCTAGGACCACAGGCGTAAGCCACCGTGTCTGGCCAGACCACCATATTTAAAACTGGGGACAAGTCAGGCTCACACCTGTAATCCCAGCACTTTGGGAGGCCAAGGTGGGAGGATCACAAGGTTAGGAGTTCAAGACCAGCCTGGCCAACTTGGTGAAACCCCATCTCTACTAAAAATACAAAAATTAGCCGGGTATAGTGGTGATCGCCTGTAATCCCAGCTATTCATTAGGCTGAGGCAGGAGAATCGCTTGAACCCGGGAGGCAGAGGTTGCAGTGAGCTGAGATTGTGCCACTGCACTCCAGCCTGGGCAACAGAGCGAGATTCTGTCTCAACAAAAAAAGCTGGGTGCAGTGGCTCACGCCTGTAATCCTAGCACTTTGGGAGTCCGAGGTGGGTAGATCACCTAAGGTCAGGAGTTCAAGACCAGCCTGGTCAACATGGTGAAACCCCGCCTCTACAAAAATACAAAAATTAGCTAGGTATGATGGCAGGTGGCTGTAATCCCAGCTACTCGGAAGGCTGAGGCAGGAGAATCGCTTGAACCCAGGAGGCGGAGGTTACAGTGAGCTGAGATCAAGCCATTGCACTCTAGCCTGGGCGACAGAGTGAGACTCCGTTTAAAAAAAAAAACAAAAAACAAAAAACAAAAAACTGGGGACCATTGGCAATAATACTCCTATGTCCCCTCTTCCCTACTTTGTTTTCCTCCATAGGCACCTGGCGCCTTTTTTTTTTTTTTTTTTTTTTTTTTGAGACGGAGTCTCACTCTGTTGCCCAGGCTGGAGTGCAATGGCGCGATCTCAGCTCACTGCAACCTCTGCCTCCCGGGTTTAAGCGATTCGCCTGCGTCAGCCTCCTGAGCAGCTGGGATTACAGGCACGCACCACCAGGCCCTGCTAATTTTTGTATTTTTAGTAGAGATGGGGTTTCACCATGTTGGTCAGGCTGGTCTCCAACTCCTGACCTTGTGATCCGCCTGCCCCAGCCTCCCAAAGTGCTGTGATTACAGGCGTGAGCCACTGCGCCTGGCCACCTAGCACCTTTAATATACTTATTTATTTGTATTGTCTGCCTTCCCCAATTAGATCAACCATGAAGACAAGAGTTTTCATTTGTTGGGTTCTCTGGGCCTAGAGGCATGTCTGGCATATAGTAAGCATTCAGTAAATATCTGTTGAGTGAACGTATGAATAAAGAAGTGAGTTCCTCCCAGCAGGCACTGAGAACATTGGGAGTACAGGGTTGCAGCTCTCTCTGCAGCAGGAGAATGTAGCTGCAATAAAGGGAAGTCAAGAAGCCAGAGTCCAGCCAGGTGCAGTGGCTCATGCCTGTAATCCCAGCACTTTGGGAGGCTGAGGTGGGTGGATCACAAGGTCAAGAGATAGAGACCATCCTGGCCAACATGGCGAAACCCCATCTGTACTAAAAATACAAAAATTAGCTGGGCGTGGTGGTGGGCGCCTGTAGTCCCAGCTACTCAGGAGGCTGAGGTAGGAGAATTGCTTGAACCCAGGAGGCAGTGGTTGCAGTGAGCCGAGATTGCACCATTGCACTCCCGCCTGGGCGACAGAGCAAGACTCCGACTCAAAAAAAAAAAAAAAGCAGCAGCAGCAGCCAGAGGCCACTCCAGCATCTCCCCTACCTGGCTTGGGTCAGGGAGAGGGCAGTGAGAAGTGAAAACTCCCAGCTACAGAAAAGGAAATATGTTGCGGGGAAGGGAGAAGGAAAGGTGTCTTCATCAATGCCGGGGCAGGGTAGATGGAGCCCTGGGCAGGGAGTTTGGACCAGGAAATCTCAATGAGGGAAATGTGCTGTCCTCACCTCTCCAAGAAGCGACTGGCCAAACAGAGTGACAGAGGGGATAAAGGTTATGCCTAGGGAGGCATGTGTCAGAGGCTATCATCCACTCTGTTGAACCCACAGTGACCAGCACCACCATCACACAAACATGCCTGCATGTGTGCACGCACGCGCAGTGTGCAAACCTGATGTCAGCCTCACTCCCTGGCTCTTCTGTCCACAAACGCTGTTTCTTTAAGTACCACTTTCAGTTCCTCCAAAGAATCTACTTAAACTCTTAAATTCCTGATCTCTATAGATTTTACTAAAGATTTCAAAGGAGATAAGATGAGAGGGTTACGTTGCACATTCTAAAGCAAACAAATTAAAATGTTTTGTTAGACATTTCCATATTTTTAAGGGCCTCCTTGGAGCTGCCAGGCTGGGAGTGAGGTTTCTCTCCCTTTCTAAACCCTGTGCCCATCTTGTCACCCTCCTGGAGCTGCCAGCAGACTTCAGATTCTTCTCCGATCTACAGAGCAGAAAAATTCAGCCAGCCCTTCCTTGTCTTCCTATCCACAGCTGCCTGCCCAGACTCATGAAACCTGACAAAATGCAAGGTCTTATCATTACCTGAACCTTGGACCTGTTCAAAAATACTAGTTCCTGAGAATAAATATCCCTGGTGTCTTCCTGCCCTTCCTGCACACCTCCAGTGGCTTATCAAAATATTTGTTTCATGCGCACACTGGGCTCTCATTTAAGAGGAATTTGGGAGAATGTTATTTTCTAATCTGCATTTCACACCAGGCTCCCCCTCCTTCCTGGGGTGCTAGTGTCAGCAGAACCTGATGGGGAAGTGAGGTCTGGGAGGCAGAGGAGGAAGGAATGAGGGGAAAGGGGAAGTTTGGGAGGAAGGCTTCTGAGAAGACTGGTGGGAGAGAAGGAGAGCCTGCAGACAGAGGCCTCCAGCTTGGTCTGTCTCCCCACCTCTACCAGCATCTGCTGAGCTATGAGCCAAACCAGGGATTTACAGGGTAGGGAGGGTGGGATAGGCAGCGGCATTAGATCGGAGGAATGAGATGGACAGACCTGGGCTGTGGGCTAGGAGGGCAGTCAGCTGGCCTAGGGTAGCCCGGGCTGGTGTCAGGGTAAGGAGAGGAAGGGAGGGATGAGGGCTGATTAATTTTTTTCACCCCACAGGAGGAAAAGCTTTCGGACTGCTGAAGGCCCAGCAGGAAGAGAGGCTGGATGAGATCAACAAGGTAGAAGGAAGAACTAAGGGGGCAGAGCCAGGGGGATGGGGCGTGGATGGGGAGGGCCTACCCTGGCTCTTATTTTCCCCTCCATAGCAATTCCTAGACGATCCCAAATATAGCAGTGATGAGGATCTGCCCTCCAAACTGGAAGGCTTCAAAGGTGAGGGGGAAACTGTAGGCGGTGGAGACAGGGCTGGGGGTAGGAGGGTTAGGATTTCCACAAGAACAAGGCAGGAACAGCAGAGATAAAAAGTTTACTTTTGTGGTAGCAAAAGGGGAACCTGCCTTTATTGCCCTCCTGCCACACTGCGGTCCCTTTCCCGGGCCTGCCTCTCTCAGCATCCCCTCTAGCTCCTTACACCCTAGCGGGGCCCCTCAACTCCCCAACCCCACTTCCTCTGCCTGCCCCTCCTCCTCCTTCCACGTTGTCTCCTCCACCTAGCAGTTGGTTGGCAACCCCTTCCTCAGTCCCCTGCTGAAAACCCTCCAGTCAGCGCTTATCCCTTCTGCTCTCTCCCCTCACCCAGAGAAATACATGGAGTTTGACCTTAATGGAAATGGCGATATTGGTGAGAAACGGGTGATTTGCGGGGGCAGGGTGGTGTGCAGGCCTAAGAAGACAGAGGTCTCTCCTACATGCTCCATTCCTCATGATTTGGGAGGGGGCCCACCTACCACAGTGGGAGGAAGGAGAATGGGGATGCGGAAGTGGGAGAGGAGAGAGAGGGTCTCCCCACCTTCTCCCCATCCCCATCCTCTGCCCCCAGATATCATGTCCCTGAAACGAATGCTGGAGAAACTTGGAGTCCCCAAGACTCACCTAGAGCTAAAGAAATTAATTGGAGAGGTGTCCAGTGGCTCCGGGGAGACGTTCAGCTACCCTGACTTTCTCAGGATGATGCTGGGCAAGAGATCTGCCATCCTAAAAATGTGAGTGTCAATTTCCAACCTCCCCTGTACTTACCTGTTTTCTCCTCCCCCATCCCTACCCTTGTCCACAGGCTCAACATTTCTACACGTTGCCCATCATCCCTTCTTCCATCCTTAGAGGGACCCTTCCAAGGTCCCGACCCCATCCCTATCCATAGTCCTGGTCCCCAGAAACTCCAACCCCTGCCCTTCCTCTTCCCCCTTCCACCCTCACATCCCCATCCCCTTCTAGCCTTTCCTAGCACCCTATGATTTATTCCCTTGAGAGGAGTGTTCCCTGATCCCTGTGCCTCTTCCCATCTCAACCAGGATCCTGATGTATGAGGAAAAAGCGAGAGAAAAGGAAAAGCCAACAGGCCCCCCAGCCAAGAAAGCTATCTCTGAGTTGCCCTGATTTGAAGGGAAAAGGGATGATGGGATTGAAGGGGCTTCTAATGACCCAGATATGGAAACAGAAGACAAAATTGTAAGCCAGAGTCAACAAATTAAATAAATTACCCCCTCCTCCAGATCAAGTCAGCTTAGTTTTTATTTGGGTGATTTTTTTCCTGGGTTTGGGAAGGAGAGACAGGTCTTGAGGGAAAGGTGGCAAGGATTTGGCCATATGAACAATCCATCAACAACGCTATAGTGTGTCCACTACAGCAGATGGTTTCACGCACCAAGGGGGATTCCAGCTGTGTAAGACAGCCTTAACCTCAAAGAATGCAGGCAGGACAAAAACACATGTCCAAACAAGGTACTCAGGCCCATGACAGATTTCATGAAGAGCAAGGAATACCATGAACCAACATTCTCCACCACTATAAGCTTTGTCACTTTGACAAATCACTCAGCCTCTGTGAGGCTTTTTTCTAAAAATGGGGATAAAGTGACCTATGCTATTGTGCCTGACATATCATAAGCCCTCAATAATGTTTAAAACTTGAATGAGCCGGGGCCGATGGCTTATGCCTGTAATCCCAGCACTTTGGGAGGATGGGGTGGGCAGATCACCTGAGGTCAGGAGTTCGAGACCAGCCTGACGAACATGAAGAAACCCCGTCTCTACTAAAAATACAAAATTAGCCTGGTGTGGTGGCGCATGCCTGTAATCCCAGCTACTTGGGAAGCTGAGGCAGGAGAATCTCTTGAACCCAGGAGGTGGAGGTTGTGGTGATCCGAGATCGCATCATTGCACTCCAGCCTGGGCAACTAAAAAGCGAACTCCGTCTCAAAAAAAAAAAAACCGAACATACAAACAAACAAAAAACACTTGAATGGGTAGATGAATGAAAGAACTGGTGCTATTAAATAAAGCAAAGAATTTACAGCTGGGCGTGGTGGCTCACGCCTGTAATCCCAGCACTTCAGGAGGCCGAAGCGGGCAGATTACCTGAAATCAGGAGTTGGAGACCAGCCTGGCCAACATGGTGAAACCCCATCTCTACTAAAATACAAAAAATTAGCTGGGCATGGTGGCAGGTGCCTGTAATCCCAGCTACTCGGGAGACTGAGGCAGGAGAATCGCTTGAACCCGGGAGGTGGAGGTTGCGGTGAGCCGAGATCACGCCATGGCACTCCAGCCTGGGTGACAAGAGTGAGACTCTGTCTCAAAAAAAAAAAAAAAAAAAAAAAAAGACTGGAAGGAGAAACTCATTGGAGACAATGACTATGGACATCCCTTTTAAGAATTTTGCTGCAAAGGGTAACAAAACGGTATGTGTGGTAGCCGGCCGGGGAGAAGGGAGAAGAGAATCATTTTGGAAGTTTGAAAACAGAAGTCATCTTAAATCTTACTGAGCCTCTGACTAAAATTCTCATCTGATTTCTGCAAACTTTTCTGCCTTCACTTTTCATAATGAATAAGCCGCCTCCTTTATTTAGCCATATCAGCCTAGGCACAGGCCCCCAAACTCATGCCTCCACTAATCTGTTCTCTGCACCTGAGATGTACACCTTCTTCTGAAACTTGGGTAAGTTCTAACTCGTTCTTCATATCTATTTATTTATATATTTTTGACAGATATCTACTCCGATCATTCTTCATATCATTTTTTTTTTTTTTTCCTGAGATGGAGTCTCATGTTGGCCAGGCTGGTCTCCAACTCCTGACCTCAGGTGACCCACCCACCTTGGCCTCTCAAAGTGCTGGGATTACAGGCGTGAGCCACTGCTCCCGCTCCCGGCCCTTTTTTTTTTCTTTTTCTTTTTTTTTTTTTTTTGAGACGTAGTCTCACTCTGTCGCTAGGCTGGAGTGCAGTGGCGTGATCTCAGCTCACTGCAACCTCCGTCTCCCAGGTTCAAGCGATTCTCCTGCCTCAGCCTCCCAAGTAGCTGAGACTACAGGCACGCGCCACCAGTCCAGCTAATTTTTGTATTTTTAGTAGAGACGGGGTTTTGCCATGTTGGCCAGGATGGTCTCCATTTCTTGACCTTGTGATCTGCCCGCCTCAGCCTCCCAAAGTGCCAGGACTACAGGCATAAGCCACCACGCCCGGCCTCATATCTCTTAATAAGAGTTTTTCTAGAAACATTTCTCAATCACCCCAGGCATAATCATATTTTATTTCTCTACTTCTTTCTTTTTTTTTTTTTTTTGAGATAGAGTTTCGCTCTTGTTGCCCAGGCTGGAGTGCAATGGCACGATCTTGGCTCACCACAACCTCCGCCTCCCAGGTTCAAGCGATTCTCCCGACTCAGCCTCCCGAGTAGCTGGGATCATAGGCATGCGCCACCACGCCTGGGTAATTGTATTTTTAGTAGAGACGGGGTTTCTCCATGTTGGTCAGGCTGGTCTCGAACTCGTGACCTCAGGTGACCCGCCCGCCTGAGCCTCCCAAAGTGCTGGGATTACAGGCGTGAGCCACCGCGCCCATCCTTCTTTTTTTTTTTTTTTTTTTTTTTTTGAGACGTAGTCTTGCTCTGTCACCCAGGCTGGAGTGCAACCTCCGCCTCCCTGGTTCAAGGAATTCTCTGCCTCAGCTTCCCGAGTAGTTGGGATTACAGGCGCCCGCCACCACGTAGGGCAAATTTTTGTATTTTTAGTAGAAATGGGGTTTCATCATGTTGGCCAGGCTGGTCTTGAACTCCTGATCTCGTGATCCACCTGCCTAGGCCTCCCAAAGTGCTGGGATTACAGGCGTGAGCCACCGCGCCAGGCCTTATTTCTCTACTTCTATAATATCCTGTGCATTATCTCCAGCGCCTTCAAATCATAGTCATTGAATGATCTGTTGAATGGGTATAACTCTGATGGGAGCAGAGAGTTCTAGAATCGGGTAGTAAGAGACAAAGGAGGGTAACAGTACTGCATTTCACAAAATGAAACCCATTGTTAAGAAATTACAAATTCCCAATAATTTCAAATATAAAAATTTATTCATGAAAATTATAGGTTATAAAATTAAATGTCCGTCTTAGTCGATGGTTGCCCATATTTTGATGAACGAGTCATTCCTAGCCTATCTTTGTTCAAATGATTTGCATACATTATGCAAATAGGTAGAACTGCCCGAAGAATGCCTACGCTGCGTGGTGCGGACGAAACGCTTCCCGGGGCCTTTGGATTGGTCTGTCTAGCCACCTCATTTGCATGACGTAATATAATAACTGGAAGGCCCCGCCCCTCTGGTGCATTTCCCCGCTCCAACCACCTCCTCAAACTCACGGCAAAGGGATGCGAGAGCTGGAACTCTTACCAGGCCTGCGGAAACTCAGCCCTCCGGCAGCTAATCCCGCCCGCCAGCCCCCGTCCTCTCTCTCTTTCTCCCTAGCTGAAGGCGCCACGGGCCGTGTGTCGTTGCCTTCCACTTTTGGCGTCCCAACGTCTCTCCGCTCCCATCTTTCTACTAACGTCCGACGCACGCTCCGCCTCTTTCTCCCACATTCGTCGTGTAAATTCTGCGTCCCAACCGCCCAGCCGACCTGCACCGCATTCCCGCCCCCTCAACACGGCTCAACGGCCGACGCTGGGGGCCCGCCTCCTTAGCCAATCGGGGTCCTAGTGCCCTTAAGTCCCTCCTCTTTATGCAAATAACCTCCGCATGCTCCGCGCGCCCGGCCCTTTTTTTTTTTTTTTTTAAACTAAAGACAGCCCTGGAAGTAGAGGGTTAGGGTAGAAAGTGCCCCGCCCTTTATGCAAATTAAGGGGCGTGTCTAGGCGCGGAGGGAGGTGGGAGGTGGGAGGGGGTGCTCCCGGGGGCGGCGGTTGCCCGGATGGGCCGTTAGTCGGGGCTCAGCCGCGGAGTGAGCGAGGGAGACGGGAGGAGCCGAACCCGGCGCCATCCGCCGCCATCCTCCCCCGCCCCACCGCCATCCCGTCCCGGGGAGCCCCTAGGCCCGGGTCCCGGATCCCCGCGCACCCGGCCAGGTGAGTCTGGGTGAACCGTGCGCTGACGCCCTTTTCCGGCGCGGGAGAGGTGGTGGCGGTGGCGGTGGCGGCGGCGGCGGCGGTGGTGGGCCGGGGGGAGGAGAAGCTGCCATTAGCCGCCGCCATTTTGTCCTCCTGCTGCCGGGCCTGCTTGCCCCTCCCCCTCCGGTACCTCTACTCCGGGACCCGCACCTCCGGCAGTTCATTCAGGATCCGTAGTCTGCCCCTAACCACCCACCGTCTTGGCTTCAGGGGGTGACCCCTGCGCCTGGGTCCGTAACTCCCTACCCTCCGCTGCGCTCCTGGCTTTTCACCCCCATTTGTGGGCCCCCTCCCCGGCTGCCGCCCCGTGGTGGGCCGCGCCCGACGGTTCTCTCGGAAGGGCGCTTTTCCTCCATATTGGACCCCCTCCTATCATCCAGCGCTGTGTTCCCCCCTCTGGACGCCCCTCTTCGTGTCGAGCCACTCCCACTCTAGAATCCTGCTTTTATCCCAGCATCTTTGCTTTCTATGTTGCTCAGTCGCCCTATGTCTGCTTTTTCATTTTTCCTGTTCCTCGTCTCCTTTCTCCCCCAACCCCGTTTTTCTTCTTGGGCCTCTGCCCCCTTACTTCGTTGTCTACATCGTTTTTTTTTTTGCCATTCCTGTTTCCATATATTTTCCACCTGCTTTCGTATTCATTATTTTCTGTTAGTTTTGGTCTATTCGCTACATGACTCTTGTATTCGTTTTCCCTTCATATATTTATCTTCACAGATTGGCCTCCTCAAACACCTACGAAGCAACATCCATCTTATCTCTAGCTTGTCATAAAGTTCTTTCTCCCCAATTTTAGCTTTCATTCTGGGCCTGTCTGGATTTCCCTGCTTTCTTCCCCACTATTTCTCATCTCTTTACACTGTTCCCGTCCATAAACGAATGCCTGGTCACTCTGGAATGGACTGAGAGACCTGTCGTCCGGCTTGCTTAGGGAGCTGGAGGTATCGAGTAAAGAAACACTGGTGATGGACATTTTTAATGAGGATAGGAAAACGAAGATGGCTCTGGCCTTGGCCCTCTGTTTTCTGGCCCATGGTTACAGGGTGCTAAGGTGGCTCCATAATGCTTTTTCTCAGTTCTTCATATGGTAAAACAGTATTTCATCTGGAGGCGATTTTTTCCAGGAGCCAATACAGGAGCAAGTTTAGGAAAAGATGGGATATTTCAAATACTTGAGGTTCCTATAGCCTGGGAGTATGTACAGCCCTAGTTGTTCTATGAGGATTTCTCTGGTACCAACCCCCATTCCGGCTGAGCAAGCTCATAAAATCCTTAAACTCCCAGCATACCTTCCTGCAAACCTTCCCAGATGGACACGAGGCTGCTGGGCTGGGAGCCTGGGGTACAGGGCCCTGGGGGCATGATTAGGGAGCTTGTGTCCAATAAACAGGGAATCTAAAGTGTTGTTTCTTCTTCTCTGATGGAATTGTATGCTTCTTTTTTAGTTTTCTCTTGCTTGAATTTGTCCTGTTGTAAGTCTCTGAAACGATTTTGGTGGAGAGAGAAGAGATTATTACTTGTAGGGAATTACTCTTTGTAGACAGGCACAAAGGGCAGAGTGTTTATACTAGGAGGATGCTGGATTTTTACTTAGATTTCCTTGACAAAGGTGTCTGGGGGAAAGGAGGGAACATGGCATTTGAGCTATGAGGGAGCTAAGTAGATCATGGTTGCTTAAGAAGAGTGGGCAGTTTACATAGACTGGAGGAAAAGACACCAGAGGGCCTCATATCTGAGTCCCTAATGATAATGCAATGGAGTTTTTAAGTTTCTGTTATGGTCTGTACAGGGGACAGAGACTGAGACACTTGCTGTCTGGCCCACAGGCTCTGGCACGTTTTGGGGGAGGTGCCTGCAGGACCCAACATACTCAATGAGCTTCCAGCGCAATGTCCGATCGCTCGGGGCCGACTGCCAAGGGAAAGGATGGAAAGAAGTATTCCTCGCTCAACCTGTTTGATACGTATAAGGGCAAGTCCTTAGAGATCCAGAAACCCGCTGGTGAGAGTCCTGCAAAGATGCTTCTGATGGTTGAAAGCTAGGCATGCATGGGGCATACGTTTTAGAGCTCTTTAAAGGGAAGTGGCTGTAGTAGAAATACCAAAAGACTAGAGGAGATTTCCCAACTTTACACTGGGTCCTTTAAAGGGGGTGTGGGCTCTGGGTGAACACCAGTTATCCTCCTACAAAGGCGTGTCTGTGGTTCCCTGTCTTTGGACACGTAAGAATTGGAGGAAAATAAATGTGGATTTGGGAAACTTTGAGGCCAGCTTGCTTCTTGCAGGCTCATGATCAACCAATCTCACATAAAAGTATTGAATGTTACATATCTCAGCCTTCTTGATAGGGATTTCATAGATTTTTTTTTTTTTTTTTTTTTTTTTTGAGACCAAGTTTAGCTCCTGTTGCCCAGGCTGGAGTGCAATGGTGTGATCTTGACTTACCACAACCTCCACCTCCTGGGTTTAAGCGATTATCCTGCCTCAGCCTCCTGAGTAGCTGGGATTACAGGCATGCGCCACCACACCCGGCTAATTTTGTATTTTTAGTAGAGACAGGGTTTCTCCATTTTGGTCAAGCTGGTCTTGAACTCCTGACCTCAGGTGATCCGCCTGCCTCGGCCTGCCAAAGTGCTGGGATTGCAAAGTGTGAGCCACCACAATCAGCGCGATTTCAGAGATTATTAAGGGCAGGGGAAGGAATCCCTTCTAAGAGAAGTTTGGAGGAAGTAGGTAATAAAATATTCAACATGTATAAATGTGTCCCAGGATAGGAGGCCATCAGATCTCCCACATGAGGCATTTTCGACCCTCTCTCCGTCTTGTTCTCCAGTTGCCCCTCGCCATGGCCTGCAGAGTCTCGGGAAAGTTGCCATTGCCCGGCGTATGCCACCTCCAGCCAACCTTCCAAGCCTGAAAGCCGAGAACAAAGGCAATGACCCCAATGTCTCACTAGTGCCAAAAGACGGAACAGGATGGGCAAGCAAACAGGAGCAGTCCGACCCCAAGAGGTAGACAGAGGCTTGGGGGACCTAGAGTGATGGGTATTTTAACTTGAACTTCAGGGAGCATTGGGGCTTGGTTTAGTCCAGCCACGTCTGAGCCAGAGACGAAGAGGTCCCTTTCTTACCTGTTGCAGGTTCCTTGTTAAATGACTAAGGAATGGTACTAAACTTTAGCTTTTTGTCTTGGAGAGAGAGCATGAAAAAATAGACAACAGCCTACAAAGGATGACAAAATTATTTTGTCCTTATATTTGTAAATGGTAGCAATGGGCATGATTTCAGTCCTGAGTCTCCACCAGTTGGAGAAGTCAGGGAGGCATCTCAGGTGTGAATAACCTTCCCATTCTGTCCCCTCAGTTCCGATGCCTCAACCGCTCAGCCGCCGGAATCGCAGCCACTGCCGGCTTCACAGACGCCTGCCTCCAACCAGCCGAAACGACCCCCAGCAGCCCCCGAGGTACCTGGAGAACTGGAGGGGTGGGGAGGAAGAATGGTTCATAGCTGCCCCACCCACATCATTTATCATCTTTCTGAACACTTCCCCAGAACACTCCTTTGGTTCCAAGCGGGGTAAAGTCCTGGGCACAAGCCAGCGTCACCCATGGAGCACATGGAGATGGTGAGTGCAGCACTTAATTGGGGAGCTGTGTCTGGGCACCATGGGATGCATGAACCCTGCACTGTATTTTCAGCCAAGTGACCTTGGTCCTCTTTGGCTAAATCAAGGACCACCCATATTCAGTTTCATGGAGGCACATGAGCAAGTTTAAGTCTCAGTCTTATATGATGGAGTGTAGTGGTGCCAGAACTGACCTCCTTGGGGAATAAGCAGTTATTCTGTAGCGGGGTGAGTTTGAAGGCGGGAAACCTGATGGTCTGGTACCTGTCAGAGCCTTCCACTTTTTTTTTTTTTGAGACGGAGTCTCATTCTGTCACCCAGGCTGGAGTGCAGTGGTGCAATCTCGGCTCACTGCAACCTCTGCCTCCTGGGTTCAAGCGATTTTCCTGCCTCAGCCTCCAGAGTAGCGGGACTACAGGCACACGCCAACACACCCAGCTAATTTTTTGTGTGTTTTTAGTAGAGATGGGGTTTCACATGTTGGCCAGGATGGTCTCGATCTCTTGACCTCGTGATCCGCCCGCCTCAGCCTCCCAGAGTGCTGGGATTACAGGCGTGAGCCACCGCGCCCAGCCAGAGTCTTCCACTTTTATAGCATGTCCTCAGGAAATGTCTTCTGTCTCCTGTTCTGCATCCCCATCCTAATAGGTGGAAGGGCATCAAGCCTACTGTCACGATTCTCTCGAGAGGAATTTCCGACCCTGCAGGCGGCTGGCGACCAGGACAAGGCTGCCAAGGAAAGGGAGTCTGCCGAACAGTCGTCTGGGCCCGGACCAAGCCTCCGCCCCCAAAGTGAGTGGCTGCCTTTTGGCCAAGACATTACCTATTGCATCTCAGAGCTAGGTGCTGGCTTATTCACCTTCCTCCCCATCACTTTCAGCTGTGTTCACTTGTCCTCCAATCATTGATACCTCTCTCTACCTTTTCCAAAATACAGATTCTACAACTTGGAGGGACGGAGGTGGGCGTGGCCCTGATGAGCTGGAGGGCCCGGACTCCAAACTTCATCATGGTCATGATCCCCGGGGTGGGCTACAGCCTTCAGGCCCACCCCAGTTCCCTCCCTACCGCGGAATGATGCCGCCTTTCGTGAGTCTTGGTGTCTTGTCTTGGAACGATTACACTGGAAGCTGGAGAGCTAGGAATCAGGACTTAGTCTTTGACCTATGAGATAGAAGGGAGGGTGGGAGGATGATTGATAGCAGGCTTAAGGAGCTAGAAGGGTATATGACTGTCCCTCTGAGCAGCTACTGTTGGACCCTTTTACAGATGTATCCCCCATATCTCCCGTTCCCTCCGCCCTATGGACCCCAGGGGCCTTACCGATACCCCACTCCTGATGGGCCCAGGTGAGCAATCCAGGTCTGGGTTTGTGGCTGGGGGCAGGGGAAGCTTATTGGGGGAGGAGATGGTTTTCTAGCCAGGAGGCTCAGTCTAGGATCAGTCTCGCATGTGGTTATACAACATGCCATATTTCATTTTCTTTTTTGTGTACAGCCGTTTTCCCCGTGTGGCGGGCCCCCGAGGCTCAGGGCCACCAATGCGCTTAGTAGAGCCTGTGGGTCGTCCCTCTATTCTCAAAGAGGATAATCTCAAAGAGTTTGATCAGTTGGATCAGGAGAATGATGATGGTTGGGCAGGTAAGTGGATATTAAGGGTCAAGAATTTGGATCTTGAAAGGCAAAACCTAATGAGGAAAAAAAAATACAGGGTTATGTGGGTGAAAGGCAGACATTGAAGTGTAGGAAGACCAGGCCCAATGGCTCACATCTGTAATCCCAGTGCTTTGGGAGTGTTAGGTGAGAGGATCGCTTGAAGCCAGGAGTTCAAGACCAGCCTGGGCAACACAGCAAGACCCCCCACCTCTACAAAAAAAAAAAAATTTTTTAGTTGGGTGTGGACTGTGCATCTGTGGTCCCAGCTACTCTGGAGGTTGTGGTGGGAGGATCAGTTGAGCCCAGGAGTTGGAGGTCACAGTGAGCTATGATCGTGCCACTGAACTCCATCCTGGGCAACAGAGCGAGACTTTTAAAAGGAAAAAAAAAAAAGAGTAGGGGAGGATGGATGGGGAATACCAAGTCCTTGCAAAGTGGTGAGAGGAGTAAGAATGACAAGACTTCATTGGTGGATCTAGACTTCGGAGGGAAGGATATTGGCATTGGTAGTCCATCTTGTTACATAGTTCCAGACTACCTCCCAAGATTGGAGGGCAGAATGCTTGGGTTACTAATACTCATATTTCCCCTCAGGGGCCCATGAAGAGGTTGACTACACTGAAAAGCTCAAGTTCAGCGATGAGGAAGATGGGCGAGACTCTGATGAGGAGGGAGCTGAGGGCCAGTGAGTTAGGGCCATCAGGGGAGAAGAGGAGGGGGTCTTGGTTTGTATTTTGGTAATATACTCTTAGAGGAGTATATTAGTTGCAGCTGATTTTAATTTCACTGTTGATCTGCTCACAGCAGGGATTCCCAATCAGCTTCTGGTGAGGAACGGCCCCCTGAAGCAGATGGCAAAAAGGGCAACTCCCCCAACAGCGAACCGCCCACTCCTAAGACGGCCTGGGCAGAAACCTCTCGGCCTCCAGAGACAGAGCCGGGACCTCCTGCCCCAAAGCCTCCCCTACCCCCACCTCACCGGGGCCCCGCCGGGAACTGGGGCCCCCCTGGGGACTACCCAGTGAGTGTCTCCAATAAGGGATTGAGAGGGTCAGCTGTGGGAAATTGGTGTCAGCTGAGTAATTGAAGCGGTTGTGATATAGAGGAAGGGGGGTGCTAAAAATGGGCTGTGTGAAGTGCCAGGCTGCAGAACATCCTGGGAAGCTTTTAAATATCTTTGGTAATAGGGGAGTCTGGGTAAGAAGTGAGAAACTGGGATGCTAATGAGGAAAGAAGAAAAAGGAGCCCTGGGTGTTTGGGTTTCGGAAGGAGAGAGGGAACAGAAAAATAAAAAGACTAGGGTGGCTAGATAGCTGGATCTGTTAGTATGCATCAGTAGTCCAAGCTACTCAGCAGGCTGAAGCAGAAGGATCACTTGAGCCCAAGTTCAAGACCAGCCTGGGCAACATAGCAAGACGTGGTCTCAAAGAAGACCAGGATAATGAGTTTGTCACCACCCAGAGAGATCAACCCCAAAGCCTGGGTCGTTGCATCCTGCAAGTAGCGACAGTTGATTTGTTGTAAAAGAGATGATAGAAAGCATAGTAACTGATTCCCCTGGCCCTGCTGGGTCTTGCCAATTGACAGGATCGTGGGGGTCCTCCCTGCAAGCCCCCAGCACCTGAAGATGAGGATGAGGCATGGCGGCAGCGACGAAAGCAGTCGTCATCTGAGATTTCCCTGGCAGTGGAGCGGGCCCGGCGACGGCGAGAAGAAGAGGAGCGGCGCATGCAAGAAGAGCGCCGGGCAGCCTGTGCTGAGAAGCTCAAGCGACTCGATGAAAAGTTTGGGGCACCTGACAAGCGGCTCAAAGCAGAGCCTGCTGCCCCACCTGCTGCCCCTTCTACCCCAGCTCCACCACCTGCAGTCCCTAAAGAACTCCCTGCACCTCCAGCTCCACCTCCAGCATCAGCCCCAACACCAGAGAAAGAACCTGAAGAGCCAGCACAGGCCCCTCCTGCCCAATCTACTCCTACTCCAGGTGTGGCTGCGGCTCCCACTCTGGTGAGTGGTGGTGGCAGTACCAGTAGCACCAGCAGTGGCAGCTTCGAAGCCAGCCCAGGTATGGAGATGGGGATAGGTACTACCAGATGTCAGATCACTGCTTCAAGGTGCTTAAAGGTGCAGGGTGGTAAGGCTGGGGATAAATGAAGTAGAAGGCAGTTGTTTTGGTTTATTGGACTGTCAGTGATAGTGTTCTATCATTTGTATATCTGAAGGAGGGAAGGTTTTGTCTGGAATCTTAGGTTGTAGTCTAATACCATTTCTTGGCAGAGTACTGTAGCTCACGCCTATAATCCCAACACTTAGGGAGGCTTGGGGTGGAGGATCGCTTGAGCCTAGGGAGTTTGAGACCAGCCTGGGCAACAAAGCAAGACCCTGTCGGCCAGGCATGGTGGCTCACACTTGTAATCCCAGCACTCTGGGAGGCCGAGGCGGGCAGAACATGAGGTCAGGAGTTCAAGATCAGCCTGGCCAACATAGTGAAACCCGTCTCTACTAAAAATACAAAAATTAGCCAAGTGTGGTGGCATGTGCTTGTAGTCCCAGCTGCTTGGGAGGCTGAGGTAGTAGAATCGCTTTAACCCGGGAGGCAGAGATTTCTGTGAGCCAAGACCATGCCATTGCACTCCAGCCTGGGTGACAGAGCAAGACTCTGTCTCAAAAAAAAATCCTGTCTCACAAGAAATACATAAATAAAAATGAAAACTATTTCCTATAGGCCAAGACTGAAGAAAGTACTGTTGTTCTAATGGTTTCATAGAAAGTTAATGCCACCACCATAGGCTCATGAGAGGCCATGAAGTGCTTTAATGGGTCTTAAATGGGAGGGGCTTCAATAGAATAGATGTTGAATAGAATATTTTAGTCTTAAGGGAGCTAGAGATGAGACGTGAGATTCCTGGGGTGTTCATGGAGTGTCTATTGTTGGACTAGATCACTCTGTTGTGTTTTTTCCGATGCAGTGGAACCACAACTGCCCTCAAAAGAGGGTCCTGAACCACCAGAAGAGGTTCCTCCTCCTACCACACCCCCAGTTCCAAAGGTGGAACCCAAGGGTGATGGGATTGGTCCCACCCGCCAGCCCCCTAGTCAGGGCTTGGGCTACCCCAAATATCAGAAGTCGTTGCCTCCTCGTTTCCAGCGGCAGCAGCAGGTGAAATCAAGTTGTTTACCCTCTAAGGGCTGCTTTTCTTCCTGGCTTCGGTCCCTAATTCTCTTCATAAGTTACCTTCTGGGTCCCTTTGCTTCTTTGTCCAGTTGTCTCCATTGTCACGCCAATTTCCCCTAGTCCAAGTTTTTTCTTTGCTGATTCCTTTGTCCATGTGTGCTTTGAGCCTCTCTCATCTTGTCTTTCCTCCTTTCCTAGGAGCAGCTCCTGAAGCAGCAGCAGCAGCACCAGTGGCAGCAGCATCAACAGGGCTCTGCCCCTCCTACCCCAGTGCCCCCATCACCACCACAGCCTGTGACCCTGGGGGCTGTGCCAGCTCCACAGGCTCCACCCCCGCCCCCCAAGGCCCTGTACCCAGGTGCTCTGGGCCGGCCCCCACCCATGCCCCCAATGAACTTTGATCCCCGATGGATGATGATTCCTCCTTATGTGGACCCCCGGCTCCTCCAGGGTCGTCCCCCTCTAGACTTCTACCCTCCTGGTGTGCATCCCTCTGGTAAGGGGGCATGGGAGGAGTGAGAAACAGGAAAGTCCCCTCAGTCTTAGGCATTGGATATTAGGGTCTTACTGTGATTCTGGTACGATAGGTTTTGCCCATCATAGTGATGAGGGAAGGGCATATGCTTAGCACTGCTGAGATAGCTCTGTTGCAAAAATGGGCTTAGTTAAGAAATAAGCAGTGGTTGGCCAGGCATTGTGGCTCACGCCTGTAATCCCAGCACTTAGGGAGGCCGAGGTGGGCAGATCAGCTGAGTTCAGGAGTTCGAGACCACCATGGCTAACGTGGTGAAACCCCATTTCTACTAAAAATACAAAAAAGTAGCCGGCGTGGTGGCGCTCGCCTGTAGTCCCAGCTACTCGGGAGACTGAGGCAGGAGAAACGCTTGAACCCAGGAGGTGGAGGTTGTAGTGAGCCGAGATTGTGCCATCGCACTCCAGCTTAGGCAACGAGCGAAACTCCGTCTCAAAAATGAATTGAATGAATAGCACAACTCCATCTCAAAAATGAATGAATGAATGAAAGAAGCAGTGGTCCTTCATTTGCCAGGATTTATTTGGGGTGGGTTGATTCTCTTGTAGGGAATCTGAGTGGATAACCTTGTTATATAAGAGCAGGCAAGGCCCGGACCTACTGGGAACAAGAGATGGAAGAGCTGACTTGACCGCGAGGGGAGATGCTTTTTGGGCTGGAGGGCTTGTGACATGAATAGGATTATTTTTCTTTTTCTTTGGTTTCTTCAGGCCTAGTTCCCCGAGAGCGTTCAGACAGTGGGGGCTCAAGCTCAGAGCCATTTGACCGTCATGCACCTGCTATGTTACGGGAACGGGGCACTCCACCGGTGGATCCAAAGTTGGCCTGGGTGGGAGATGTCTTCACCGCCACACCCGCTGAACCCCGCCCACTTACCTCACCTCTGCGCCAGGCTGCGGATGAGGATGACAAGGGGATGAGGTGAGTCTTGGTCATGAGAAATGGGTGAGTTCACAGTGAAAGGATCTAGGCCTGGGAGAAAGGTACTTTGGGTTAGTGGTAGGGATAGGGATGAACGGGAAAGGAGAGGCTGGATGGAGTGGCTCATGCCTGTAATCCCAGCATTTTGGGAGGCTGAGGCAAGAAGATTGCTTGAGCCCAGCAGTTCGAGACTAGCCTCGGCAACTGGATGCCATCTCTGCCAAAACAAACAGAAAAATAGTAAAAGAGAGTCTGCATCATAATAAAGTGTTCTTTTCCCACCTAGTTCTGGTTTTCCTGAGATACTTATTTCCATTCTTTCTGTCTGTCTCTTCAGGAGCGAGACTCCTCCAGTACCTCCCCCACCACCCTATCTGGCCAGTTATCCAGGCTTTCCTGAGAATGGAGCCCCTGGGCCCCCAATCTCTCGCTTTCCTCTGGAGGAACCAGGGCCCCGTCCACTCCCCTGGCCCCCAGGCAGTGATGAAGTGGCCAAGATACAAACTCCACCACCCAAGAAGGAGCCCCCTAAGGAGGAGACTGCACAGCTGACGGGGCCAGAAGCAGGCCGAAAGCCTGCCCGCGGAGTCGGGAGTGGAGGCCAGGGCCCCCCACCACCACGCAGAGAGAGTCGCACAGAGACCCGCTGGGGCCCTCGTCCAGGGAGCAGTCGTCGTGGAATCCCTCCAGAGGAGCCAGGGGCCCCACCCCGCCGGGCTGGGCCTATAAAGAAACCTCCACCACCTACAAAAGTAGAAGAGCTGCCTCCCAAGCCCCTCGAACAGGGGGATGAAACCCCCAAACCCCCAAAGCCAGACCCACTCAAGATAACCAAGGGGAAGCTAGGGGGCCCCAAGGAGACCCCACCCAATGGAAATCTTTCCCCTGCCCCAAGGCTTCGGAGGGACTATTCGTATGAAAGAGTGGGTCCTACCTCTTGCCGGGGTCGGGGCCGAGGCGAGTATTTTGCCAGAGGGAGGGGTTTTCGGGGGACCTATGGGGGACGAGGGCGGGGAGCCCGAAGCCGGGAATTCCGCAGTTACCGAGAGTTTCGAGGAGATGATGGGCGTGGAGGTGGGACAGGGGGACCAAACCACCCTCCTGCTCCCCGAGGCCGCACTGCCAGCGAGACACGGAGCGAGGGTTCAGAGTATGAGGAAATCCCCAAGCGGCGCCGGCAGCGGGGCTCAGAAACAGGCAGCGAGACCCATGAGAGTGATCTGGCTCCTTCAGACAAGGAGGCTCCCACACCCAAGGAGGGAACACTCACCCAGGTCCCTCTCGCTCCCCCACCACCAGGAGCCCCACCTTCACCAGCCCCAGCCCGCTTCACTGCCCGGGGTGGGCGAGTCTTCACTCCCAGAGGGGTGCCATCTCGCCGGGGCCGAGGAGGAGGGAGGCCCCCTCCTCAAGTTTGCCCAGGCTGGAGCCCTCCAGCCAAGTCTCTGGCTCCCAAGAAACCTCCCACAGGCCCTTTGCCACCAAGTAAGGAGCCTTTGAAAGAGAAGTTGATCCCAGGGCCTCTGTCCCCTGTGGCGCGCGGAGGCAGCAATGGAGGTAGCAATGTGGGCATGGAAGATGGGGAGCGACCCCGAAGGAGGCGACATGGGAGGGCTCAGCAGCAGGATAAACCGCCTCGTTTCCGGAGGCTGAAGCAGGAACGGGAGAATGCCGCAAGGGGGTCTGAGGGCAAGCCCTCCCTAACCCTTCCAGCCTCCGCTCCTGGACCTGAGGAGGCCCTCACAACAGTCACAGTGGCCCCAGCACCTCGCCGGGCAGCTGCCAAGTCTCCTGATCTGTCAAACCAGAACTCAGACCAAGCCAATGAGGAATGGGAGACTGCATCAGAGAGCAGTGACTTCACCAGTGAGCGCCGAGGGGACAAAGAGGCACCCCCACCAGTACTGCTGACACCCAAGGCTGTGGGAACTCCTGGGGGAGGTGGAGGTGGAGCCGTACCAGGTATTTCAGCCATGTCCCGCGGAGATCTGAGCCAGAGAGCCAAGGATTTGAGTAAACGGAGCTTCTCAAGTCAGCGGCCAGGCATGGAACGGCAGAATCGGCGCCCTGGCCCAGGGGGCAAGGCTGGCAGCAGTGGCAGCAGCAGTGGAGGAGGCGGTGGGGGTCCTGGAGGAAGGACCGGGCCAGGACGAGGCGACAAGAGGAGCTGGCCCTCTCCCAAGAACCGAAGGTGGGTAGGAACAAACAAATTTATTGTGGTTTAAAAATTGGAGGAGGGGGGAAAAGCCTGAGGGAAAGATAAGTTTGGGTGTAGTGGAGATTGTGGCCTGAGGGGCCATGGGCTCTAGAATGTCAGTAGGATTTCCATGTCTGGCTAAGGCAACTGGAAAGCGGTTGGTAGGGTGTTAGAGTCAAGAACACCCACCTATGTATTCATTGCTGGTTCTTTGCTTTCCAGTCTGTGCATCTGTACGCATAGGAACCCTTAGAAGGACTCAAAAACACCTGGACTTTAATAGGGAAGAGAATAGGTTGTAAGCAGAAGTTGGGAAACATAACTTGTGGGAAAAAGTAACGATTTAGTGGATACTGGAGCTAATGCTCTGTTTTCTCCAGTCGTCCTCCAGAGGAGCGTCCCCCGGGGCTTCCCCTGCCTCCCCCACCTCCCAGCAGTTCTGCTGTCTTCCGCCTGGACCAAGTTATCCACAGCAACCCTGCTGGCATCCAACAGGCTCTGGCCCAGCTTAGTAGCCGTCAAGGGAGTGTAACTGCACCAGGGGGTCATCCAAGGCACAAGCCTGGGCCTCCCCAAGCCCCTCAGGGCCCCTCTCCTAGGCCCCCAACCCGATACGAGCCCCAGAGGGTCAACAGCGGCCTCAGTTCTGGTAAGCTGGAGGGGTTATGGGTGGGAATATCTCCATCCCCAGAGAAGGTCAAGTGCTGGAGGGAGCGGGTGGAGAACCTGGCCTAGGGGCCCTGCTGCTGGGTGCGTTTCTGCAGGGAGCAAGGGTAGAAGAATTGGGAGGTGGAGTAGAGAGGAAAAGTTAGGGTCAGTGGCAGAGCCAGGCAGATGCTGACCCTTTTTCTCTTTCCCAGACCCCCACTTTGAGGAGCCGGGGCCAATGGTGAGAGGGGTGGGTGGGACTCCTCGGGACTCTGCCGGGGTTAGTCCCTTTCCCCCTAAACGTCGGGAGCGGCCTCCCAGAAAACCAGAGCTGCTACAGGAGGTAAGGGATGGGTTTGAGATTGTGCTTCACTGCACTCTTACTCGTGAAAATTCTTCTGGGTTATGTTTTCTCTGTTCTCTTTCCTGTTTCTTTCACTGTGTTTTTACTCCAGAATTCTCAGTATTAGTCTCCCATGTGTCTCCCTTGTTGTCCCCACACCCTGTGTCACCCCACTCTGTCCTGGCTTCCTATAATTCCCAATTCCCACCCAATTCATGTTTTGCTTCTGGCCCTTCTCATCTGTAGGAATCTTTGCCACCTCCTCATAGCTCTGGATTCTTGGGCTCTAAGCCTGAGGGCCCAGGCCCTCAGGCAGAGTCCAGAGATACAGGCACAGAGGCCCTGACCCCTCACATCTGGAACCGTTTACATACTGGTGAGTAAAGCTGAGTGAAAGGACTATGGTAGAAGGGTTAAGAATGAGAGGGGCTTCTGAACTGTCATCTCCTCACTTCTCTTCTGGTTGGTGCTCCCTTCTCCAGCCACTAGCCGAAAGAGTTACCGGCCCAGCTCCATGGAGCCTTGGATGGAGCCCCTGAGTCCTTTTGAGGATGTGGCTGGCACAGAAGTGAGTGAGGGTGGGAGGGTGTGTCTGAGCTGGGACTTTTTTGAGCACTGGTCATACCCCCCACCTGCTCTGGGTTGAGTCTGGAGCTGTTCTCTCACTTGGCTGTCCCCTTTCTGCAGTTTGTATGTGTGCATCAGTCAGGTATTGGGGTGCTTTCTACCCTGACTTAACTAGCTCCTTCTCCACTCCTCTCAGATGAGTCAGTCTGACAGTGGGGTGGACCTGAGTGGGGATTCTCAGGTGTCATCAGGTCCCTGCAGCCAGCGAAGTTCCCCTGATGGAGGACTCAAGGGGGCAGCAGAGGGACCCCCCAAGAGGCCTGGAGGCTCCTCACCCCTGAATGCTGTTCCTTGTGAGGGTCCACCTGGCTCTGAACCTCCTAGGAGACCACCACCTGCCCCCCACGATGGGGACAGAAAGGTAAAAGACCAAAAAAGGATAAGGGGAATGTTTCCAGGAATCTGACTTTGGCCCTACCTTTTTCTGCTTTTTCTCTCTGCGTGTGTGTTCTGGGCATTCCAATTTGGATTTCCCTTTCCCTCCCCCAATGCACTTTACTGTGTGCCCAATCCAGGAGCTGCCCCGGGAGCAGCCTCTGCCCCCTGGCCCCATTGGCACAGAACGATCACAGCATACAGACCGAGGCACAGAGCCTGGCCCCATTCGGCCATCCCATCGACCTGGTCCCCCAGTCCAGTTTGGCACTAGTGACAAGGTCTGTGTGGGCTGGATCTGGGTATCCTGAGTTGGGTGGAGAGAAGGGAAGGACTAAAGGTGGGACATAGAGGACACATGTCTGTCACGGGACAATGTCTCCTGCCTTCTTGTGATCACAGGACTCAGACTTACGCCTAGTGGTAGGAGACAGCTTGAAAGCAGAGAAGGAGCTAACAGCATCAGTCACTGAGGTAAGTGGGAGTAAGAGTTTGGTGGAAAGGCCCAAGATTTCTGGGGAAGATTGCTGGGAGTGACCAGGGCGTCCAGGATGCCAGACATCCCTCTCCACGAGGCCTCTCCTTCCCAGGCCATTCCTGTATCACGAGACTGGGAGCTGCTTCCCAGTGCTGCTGCCTCTGCTGAGCCACAATCCAAGAACCTGGATTCTGGGCACTGTGTCCCGGAGCCCAGCTCCTCAGGCCAGCGCCTGTATCCTGAGGTTTTCTATGGCAGTGCTGGGCCTTCCAGTTCTCAGGTAGGCCCCGCTTCCCATTGCATGACCCCTTCAGTGAATAATAATTTTTTTCTGCCTGGTATGTATTTATAATCAAGCCTTTCTACGTTGCAGAGTTGTGAGATACCACTTTGTCACATCATTTTTCTCCCTACTTTTTGCTTCTATGGGTGGGATGGTGATCTTTTTTCTTGACCACAGATACTAAAGCTGTTTCAACCGTGCTCCTCTCCTGCAGATCTCTGGGGGAGCCATGGACTCTCAGTTACATCCAAACAGTGGAGGCTTCCGCCCTGGGACACCCTCACTGCACCCTTACAGGTAAGACTCGATGCCTGTGGATCACAGAAGTACTTGGAGATGTGTTTCGGGGAGAGGGAAGGGGAAGACACAGTTCTAGGGTACTAGAAGCTAGTGGACTTAAGGCATTGCTAGGACTCTGGCTTCCTAACAGCTTTTCTCCCCACAATTTATTTTCAGATCACAGCCCCTATACCTACCCCCCGGCCCAGCCCCTCCCTCAGCACTGCTCTCTGGGGTAGCTCTCAAGGGCCAGTTTCTGGATTTCTCCACAATGCAAGCTACAGAGCTGGGGAAGTTGCCGGCTGGAGGAGTTCTCTACCCTCCACCTTCCTTCCTCTACTCTCCGGCTTTCTGCCCCAGTCCTTTGCCTGACACATCGTTGCTTCAGGTAAGAGGGGGGCAGGTATTAGATATTGGGGGATAGGGTAGGGAGAATGATTTTGTGGGGGTTGATATATTTCTCCCTGTTTCCCGACAGGTACGCCAGGATCTGCCATCCCCTTCGGATTTTTATTCTACTCCTCTGCAGCCTGGTGGCCAAAGTGGCTTTCTCCCTTCAGGGGCTCCTGCCCAGCAGGTATATTGTATCTTCACACTTCCCCTTCATTTGATTTCTCTGTCCAGTTGCTGGCTTTGATTTTCCCTGGTTTTCTGACATTCCTCCCTGCCCCCAACATGCACACCCAAATTTCTTGTTACAGATGCTTCTACCCATGGTAGACTCACAGCTGCCTGTGGTGAACTTTGGCTCCCTGCCGCCAGCACCACCTCCTGCCCCACCTTCCCTTTCTCTGTTACCTGTGGGCCCTGCTCTGCAGCCCCCCAGCCTGGCTGTGCGGCCCCCACCTGCTCCTGCTACTCGGGTGCTGCCTTCACCTGCCAGGCCCTTCCCCGCTAGCTTGGGGCGAGCAGAGGTAAGGTACAGGAACTGAGGGGCTAGGGAGCGCCAAGACTTGGGAGTAGGGATTCTGTATTTCAAGGTAGGCAGCTCATGATTTTTTTCCCCTCAGCTGCATCCAGTGGAACTAAAGCCGTTCCAGGATTATCAAAAACTGAGCAGCAACCTTGGGGGACCTGGATCATCACGGACTCCCCCAACTGGAAGGTGAAACGGAATAGGGATGTGGACTTTCCAAGTGCTTCCTTACTTTGGAACCAGGGTCTGGATCCTAGGCTTGCCTTAGACGCCCTTCTTCCCTTAGGTCCTTCTCTGGCCTCAATTCCCGTCTCAAGGCCACGCCTTCCACCTACAGTGGAGTCTTCCGCACCCAGCGCGTCGACCTTTACCAGCAGGTGAAGGAGAAACCCTTGTGGCCCCAACTCTAAATTCGAGTTGCCACCTGATTTCCTGTCCTTCCGTCTCATCGCTGACCTCTCACTGTGACTCACTGTTTAACACATGCCTGTCCCCTAGGCCTCCCCACCAGATGCCCTGCGCTGGATACCTAAGCCTTGGGAGCGGACAGGGCCGCCACCTCGAGAAGGGCCCTCCCGACGGGCAGAGGAGCCTGGGTCCCGAGGGGACAAGGAGCCTGGGTTGCCCCCACCCCGCTGAGGGAGTTCCTCTTGCCCCCTACCCCCGGGGCTTGTATATAGATTATAAATATATAAGGGGGAAAGGGGTGGGCGGGGAGGGGTTGTGGGGCTGGGGCCTCACTTCCCCTCCTCCCCCTTCCCCTGGTCCCCTGTCCCTGGGGCTGTTTGTTAAAAAAGAGTAATAAAAGGATTTAAAAAAAAAAACTTCTACAATGATTTGGGGGATGAGTTGTTTGCATTGTCTTAAAGCATGGTGCTGAGTGATCTGTAGTTTCAGTCAGGGAAATATTCATTACTTATTCCAGTGAGCTGTTGAAACTAAAAACATGACCATCGTATTGGATCTTTAAATTTTTGTGAGTCTGGAATTTGGGCTGAGCTCAGCTGGATAAATCTGCTTTTTTGTGCCAGTGAGCGAGGTCAACTGGTTATCAGTCTGCAGCTGACACCTGGGCTGGTCCCAATATGGCTTCCTTTGCATATCTAGGGCCTTGGTGGGACATCTGTAACATTACTGGGTTATCAACCAGTGTCTTCACATGGACTCTCCAGCAGGCCTGTTAAATGTCCGTGAGCTCATGTTCCAAGAGGTCTAGCTGGAATTTTCTAAGCTTATGCCATGCTTAGTTGATAGAGCACTAAACTAGCCAAGGTAGGGGATGGGGGGGTTTAGAAGGGACTTCAACTGCATCTCAAAGGGACTAGCAAAGAATTTGCAGCCATGGGACTTCAGTTCTTTATGATGAACTAAGGGGAAATCTCTGTTAAGGCCTCAATGTTGGAGCACACTTAAGGGGCTCTTTGAATTGGATAGACCAATTCCAGCATTGTCAAACTAAGTGGGATTTCACATGGTAACGCTGCATGCTAGTTATGCTAAAGACTATACTTAGGTCTGCAGCTGCTCAGAAACTTTTTTTGATGGGTAATTTGAGAGCTCTATGCTAGTGTGCACCTGGAATATGCTCCCAACTCAAAATACAGGTTTTTTATTTATATATAAAGTGCTTTCGCACAAAAAATACAAACATCAGGCTGGGCGCGGTGGCCCAGGCCTGTAATTCCAGCACTTTGGGAGGCCAAGGCGGGTGGATCACAAGGTCAGGAGTTCGAGACCAGCCTGGCCAATATGGTGAAACCCTGTCTCTACTAAAAATACAAAAATTAGCCGGGCGTGGTGGCGGACGCCTGTAGTCCCAGCTACTCAGGAGGCTGAGGCATGAGTGAGAATCACTTGAACCCGGGAGGTGGAGGTTGTAGTGAGCCGAGCTCGAGATCGGGCCACTGCACTCCAGCCTGGGAGACAGCAATACTCTGTCTCAAAAAAAAAAAAAAACATCAAAACTGGCTTGTACAATTTAGCGTGCTGAGTAGAACACAACAGTGTTCCAAGGAAGTATTAATTTAAAAAAGTTCACACAAGATTAAGGGACACACTACCTAATGGAGACAATGTAGAGAGAAAGCAGCCAGAAAAATCCGACTTTTATTTCTTAAATACTGTGAAGGAAGAGGGGGGAAACGGTCCCCTGATGAGGAAGGGCCATAGAGCAAAGAAAGAGCTAAGGATCATCAGCAAAGGCCCGCTGGGCATTGGGGAAGCGCTGGGGACTGTAGTTGGGGTCTTCCTGCAGTCGTTTTTGTATATCAGACCGGAGCTAAAGAGAAAAAGTAAGCAGGTTGGAGAAACGCTGGCCAAGTCCCTATGATCCCAGCAAGCACACAAGGCCATCCCTCAGAAGCTAACATTTCCCCCCCCCAAGCACACTGTCAAATAGCCCGGGGTGGCACTGTCAAGCCTTCCCAGATGCCAAAGGGGAAAACAAATGGTAGCACCAGGCTGACCAGTTCATCGCTGAAGGGATCCAGGGAAGAGGGACCCTAGCCCAACCCCTCCCACTAGACCATCCCTATTCTGCTTCAAGGTGGCACCTGCTGCCTGTAGCTCTCCTGAACCTCTGGTGCCTCCAGGTCCCGGCTCAGGCTCTCGGGGCTCGTCAGGGGCCGAGCTCCGGCTGCCTTAGCTGCCCGGCTCACAGCCTCTGAGAGAAGCAGCTGGGGGCCCTCACCCTGCATCGTCTGGGGGACAGGGGGTTGGGAGGGAAAAGAGGATCAACGTCAGATCCAGTGCCACCATCCGGCTCACCCTTTCCATGAGTCAACCACTCCACTGAGTCTCCATGCTAGTGGAGAGAGGGGAAATTAAGAGTCCAGGATGTGGTTTTTACAGCAGAAATGCCTTCCT
This sequence comes from Homo sapiens, assembly GCF_000001405.40. Classification (NCBI taxonomy): domain Eukaryota; kingdom Metazoa; phylum Chordata; class Mammalia; order Primates; family Hominidae; genus Homo; species Homo sapiens. The sequence goes on from NT_113891.3 coordinate 3,117,100, forward strand.
AATTCTCTTTGGCACTAGCCAAAACTAAAGTGAATGTGCTTGAACGTGCTCTTCAAAACGAAAGGCAGAAGGGGTCAAGCCATCCGGGATTCAGAGCTAGGTAATCCACAAGAGGAAACCCACCTTAAAGGAAAATGGGATCTAAGCACATGGGGATTAGGCAGCTGAGCAACTAATACAGGACTGCTAGCAAACAGACTAAGGTCAAGTCCTGTATGGTTATGCAACAACCAAGAGCAAGTCTGAATCCCAGAAAAAGTTTCCTCATTAAACGAGGGGAGGGGAGACTGAATAACAAGAGCTCCCACCATCTCTACATAGTTTGATTCCAGGCATGACGGGGAAACCTGGATAGAGAGAGAGGCTTAGGGAAGAGGAAAACCAACCTTGCGTCTCTTGGCAGGCATACCACTGAGGTAGGCATCACTCAGAGGGGGCTGCGGTTTCACCTTCCGCTGGCTCTGAATGTCCTGCTGGATAATAGGGACCCATTCCTGGGGAGGAAAAGAGAAAATAGTAATGTCCTTGACTTTCAGCTGCCATGACCCACTGGATTACTTCCTGACACTTACTGGGGGGACTGCAGCTGCCCAAGGTTCTGTCTCAGCTGAAGCTCCATCCTGTTCATCCCGGGAGCCCCCCTCAGGAGCAGGAGGTGGACCTCGGGACATGGCCTCTTCTGCTGTTGTTCCAGGGGCTGGGGAAGCATTCTCCCGCTGGGTGTCAGATGGCGGGAAGAGCCAGGCTTCAGAATTTTTAGCCTCCAAACCTTTCTCCCCCAGCCCTCCACTCCACATTATCTGGCCCCTCAACCTCCCCCTCTCTAGAGTACCTGAGGCTCAGGGGAAGCTCTTTCTGCTCCCTGAACTTCCATTGGCTCCTCAGGAAGTGGCTGTGAAATTAAAGAACACCATACTTCCTCTCAGATCTCTCCAGTTCTCTCAAGTACCCTGACCCCATCGCCCAACAGGTCCCTTACCTGGGGGGGATCACCAACCCTGCGAACGTATCTGAGAATGGCATCAGGGCCTACAGGCATGTGCTCCAGTACCACCTGAAGCCTCAGTCCCATCATAGTGGTCAGCCAGCTCACCAAGGAGGGATTCACCCCACGAGACATACGACGCTGAGGGACAGAAAGCAGATTTAGAACACAAAACCCTCAACCACCTTTAGAAATAGATTAGATCCAGGTTACAGAATGTCAGTTTAGAAAAGAAAAATGAAAACTGCAGAGAATGGAAACCTCAGGAAACAAAAGGCTAAGGATCTGGGGCTAGGTGGTGCTTACAATTCGGCCATTGATAACAGCAGCAAGCTCCATCTGCTGTCCCCCCAAGCAGTGCAGGTTTAGGGCCAGGCATTCAAACAGGCCTTGGTTACACAACTCCAGCAACCGGGCCCCAAATCCACTATCTGTGGGCAAAATACAAGGAGGGAATGCTGGCACGTGGCAGCCCTGCACATGCAACAGGCCCCACTTGCCCCCGCCTGGCCAGCCCCTGACCTGTGCAATGCAGCACATGCGCAGCAATGCTATTAAACTGCTCTTGGAGAAATTCCAGGTTTGTCCGGATGATGTCCACACCTGGCTGAACCTGCACCAAGGACTGAGAGACAAGATAACACAAAGATCCCAAAATCAAGAATCATAAGACTGGGAGTGGAGGAGGCAGCTGCCTCGACCAGACCCAGGAGAGGAAAGGAATAGAGAAGGGTTACTCACAAAACTCTCCCGCACATACTCTTCTAGCCCCGTGATCAATGTGTGGGTTGCCATCTGTGGAGGAAACAGAACAGGTTTAGTTCAAAGCCTCAGTCCTCCCAAGACTTCCACCTCGACCCCAACAAGTCCAGGGCTTGTGTGGGGGCAATTGGAGCTTTACCTGGCAGAGAAGCAGTCAGAAATAAGGAATAAAATGTGCAAAAGAGGAGAGTTCTGGGGCCCCTGGCCTTCATTTACCCGGATGTTACTGGGTGTGGGCTCCTGACCACCCAGGTAGTGCTGGTGGAAGAAGGATCGCAGCTGGGGCTGGAGCCGTTGTAGTGGCTGGAAATGCCCATGGAGAAGCATCACTACGTCCACCATAGAGAAGTTCTGGCACAGAAGAGAAAGCAAGGCCCCAAAGAATCCTGGGGGACAAGGGCAGATGTTAGCAATGGCCTTTACCACCTGGCCTGCCCACCCACAACCAGATCATCAACCTCATCCCACCTTGGCAACACCCCTAAACCAAGGCCATCTACATTCCTCTGGCTGCCCCTTCCTGGAGCAAGCCAAAGCATCCTTTTTGCTCACCAAGGGCCCCATCAGCTCCAGGCTCAAAGATGTTGCTGGATCCACTGAGGCGTTGTATGAAGGCAGCAATACTTTCACTGCTGCCAGCCCGAGCCCCCAGGGAGCCCAGCAGGGAGCTGAGCACACCCTGCACCACTGAGGTAAAAAACTCCGGTGACAGGCTCTCAAGACCCAGGCCTCCAGGACTCCCTGCGCCACCAGAAGGGGAGCCTGGTGGGGGCATGGTCTGCTGCTCTGGGGCAGGTGGTGGGGGTGGAGGAGGTGGGGGTGGTGGAGGGGCTGTCTGTGTTGCCTGGCAAATAAAGAAAGAACAAAGAACAGAAAGTGAGGTGAGAATGAAGACACACGGAAATAATACGGCATCAAGAGGGCACAAACCAACGGGTCTGGGAAGATGGGGAGTTACATTCTGATCTTCACTGCTTAAAGCAGAAGTATGGTAGGTATTTAACAGAGTCAGGCAGCACAACTTACCTACCTCTTCCTCTGAACAGGTTGTCAGAAAGCAGTGACACTAATTACTATACTTTCTTTTTCTAAACCTCATTTTCTTCATCTTTAAAATGAAAGGTTCAGAGTCAATGAATTCCTAGGGCCCCTTCCCCTAACATGTCACTAGGGGCTCTTACCCAGTGGTTATATAATGGCAAGAAGGTACCACTGCCTGGCTGGGCCGGGGGACAGGAAGATGAGGTGAATGGCAAGCCAGCCACTCACCTGCAAGAAGTCAGTCATGCCTTGGAGAAAGGCAGGGACACCAGGCATCGCCACAGTGATGGTGGGAGAAGCCACACCAGACCCTCCAGCCCCTGGCCCTGCAGGCCCTAGCAGGTTCCCCAGAAGCTGAGAGAACTGAAGATCAGCCATGGAGGGTTGAGGGGTGGGTGGAGGCTGGGCAGGCCCCCCAGGAGCGGGGCCAGCTGTGGTAGCTGTGTTGGTGGTGCCAGCACTGGCAGAAGCAGTGGCAGGGGCTGGCGGTGGAGCCATACCTGGGGTCCCCTGAGCTGTAAGAAACCAAAAAAAGAAAGCTGGGCTGAGCATGGTGGCTCTTGGCTGTAATCCTAGCAACTTTGGGAGGCCAAGGCATGAGAACTGCTTGAGCCCAGGAGTCTAGGCCACATAGCAAGACCCCATCTCTACCAGAAAAAAAAAAAGACAATTACTAGCCAGGAGCTAGTACTGCTAGCTACTCAGGAGGCTGAGGTGGGAGAACTGTTTGAGCCCAGGAGTTCAAGGTTACAGTGAGCTTTAACTCACTGGATTGCACCACTGCACTCCAGTCTGGGTGACAGAGCAAGACTCTGTAACTTAAAAAAAAAAGAAAAAAGCTGGCCGGGCACGATGGCTCAAGCCTGTAATCCCAGCACTTTGGGAGGCCAAGGTGGGTGGATCACAAGGTCAAGAGTTCGAGACCATCCTGGCCAACATGGTGAAACCCCCTTCTCTACTAAAAACATAAAAAATTAGCTGGGCGTGGTGGCGTGCACCTGTAGTCCCAGCTACTCAGGAGGCTGAGGCAGGAGAATCACTTGAACCCGGGAGGCAGAGGTTGCAGTGAGCCAAGATTGTACACTGCACTCCAGCCTAGCAACAGAGTGAGACTCCATCTCAAAAAAAAAAAAAAAAAAAAAAAAAAAGCTGAAACCTGAAGACACAAGACACTACAGCAGCCCCATTCCAGGAAAGCAGGAACCAAGAAAATATGGAAAGAACTGGAAAGTGCCAGTGAGCAGACTAGGAAAGGAGTTTAAACTCTGAGTGGGGAAGAATGAAAACTCACCCACAAGGACTGGCTGCATAAGAAGCTGCCCCACAAGGCCGCTCACCATCTGGGCCAACGAGGCATTGGTACCCAGACCGGCGCCCTGCTGGATAGAGAGCAAGGGAGAACTTCAGACCTGCCCTTCCATGCACCACCACAGGAGTCTCTCCCTAGACTGTTACGCACTAGAACTCCCCGACCCTTGCTCACCAGTGTCCCAGAGACTGGGGGCCCTCCAGGATGGGAAGGCCGAGCCTGTGGAGGAGTGGGCCGGGCAATCACCACCCGGGTTGGAGCTGTTGGGAAGCCTGGCACCTGCTGTCCTGTGGGTGGCAGAAGAGACAGACCGAAGAGGGCTGAGGGCCAGGCCCTTGCCAGCCAGCTGCCACCATGGACTGTGCCCTACCTCCCAAGCCTCCCCTTCCAGGTCATTACCTGCGGCCGCGGAGGCAACAGCTGCCACCATGGCCTGATGAGTGATCTGGTGGGCGACGGCGTGCATGAACTCAGGGGGCAGGGAGGGCAGCTGGATGAGGGTGGAGCCTGGGGGGCGGGTCTGATGTAACCTTGAACCTGGACCCCTTCAACCCACCCACTCAGCCCTTCCCTTTCTCTACCCAGAGCTCAGCCTGCCCTGATGCCCTCACTCTTACCCAGGGTTTGGCCATGACCAGGGGGTCCCAGGGGGCCAGTGGGAGCACTCGGAACACCACCAGGCTGTGTGCCAGAATCTGGGCAGGGAGACAGAGACAGTGGCCCTGAGGTAGGTAGGGCCAAGGCCTAACTATATCCTTCTGAGATCAGGCATACTTCAGGCCCATAATCCCCCAATCAGAAAGCCTGCCTTTCCCTCCATCTAAACAGGGAGAGGTACTCCCTTCACCACACAAACACACCTCCAAAGACAAACCAACCCCCACACCCCCCACATCTGTCTACTTAAGCTTCTGCTCTGGTCCCCAGGCTACCACCACCAGCATGTGCCTCTCCCTTCCCCACCCTGTTCCCTCACACCTCAGCATGAACCTCCCTCATCATGCTGATCCTGCTCTTCTCGCCAGCAACTATTCTCACCTTGAATGTTCATGTGCATCATGACCACGGGTTCCACACTCTGGTGGGAAATCCGGATGACCCTCGGGTGGCTGGTGGCTGGCGGGGGAGCTGGACCTGGCGGGGGAGCCCCCTCAGCTGAGGACTCGACATTGGTAGAAGACGGAGCCACGGATGAGGCCTGCCCAGGACCAGGGGGAGGTGCCTCTGCATTGGGAGTTGGGGGGGGCCGAGTCCCATTTCCTGTCATGGTCACAGTGGTTCCCACATTGATCTGAAAAAGACAGATGGACAGGCAGATGTGAGAAAAATACAAGAGCCTAACCAAGAAAACCTCATGATAAACCTCTAAAGTATCTCCAGCCTTCATCACCATGTTTCCAGTCTCCTCCTTTCCTAACCTCCTTCAGGCCCAGTAGCTACCCTGGGTCACTCTATCAACACCCCTCACTCTCCCTCAGGCCAGACTCCCCCTAACCCACCTGTATGGGAATGGCTGCCTGCTGGAGCACCATGGGGGTGGTGTAGTGAGACATAGGCCGGACCACATGCAGGTGTCGTGGGGGCGTGCAGGCCAGATTGCAGCGCAGGTCAGACAGTGCAACAAAGGTGTTGCCCAGCAGTCGCAGGCTCTCCCCTACCAAGTTGATCAACCGCTGATCCTCCTCCCGGCCCTCGTGCTGCGCACAACCAGCCAAACACAAAAAGGCAGAAAATATCAAGCTGGAGTCCATCTCACTAATAAAAGCAATAATGCCTACTGAGAATACCATGTCCTCCAAAACTTTCAGTTATATCCTTGGAAGTTTACATGTAGACCAAATCTTTGCAAATAAATTATATCTTATTCACATAAGGAACATCCTATTAAAACACTACTATGAATCAGTAAGTCATCATATACTGATCTCCTGTACTTTACATTTTCTAAATTCATTCAGGGGCACAAGGGGTACGATACGAGGACAGTGCTTACAGCAAAGATTATCACCTTCTCTGTAAGGGAGGACAAAATCACTTACAGGTTTAGAGAGAAACTGTTTTGTTGCAATGTGTGTTTTTTTGTTTTGTTTTGTTTTTTGAGACAGTCTCGCTCTGTCACCCAGGCTAGAGTGCAGTAGTGCAATCTCGGCTCACTGCAACCCCCTCCTCCCGAGTTCTAGCGATTCTCCTGCCTCAGCCTCCTGAGTAGCTGGGATTACAGGTGTGCACCACTACATCCAGCTAATGTTTATATTTTCAGTAGAGATGGGGTTGCACCATGTTGGCCAGGCTGGTCTCAAACTCCCGATCTCAGATGATCCGCCCACCTTGGCCTCCCAAAGTGCTGGGATTACAGGCGTGAGCCACTGCACCTGGCCCTGTTGCAATGTTTTTCCAGGGAGGGAAAGAGTTATCTGTATTTCAGCCTGTTCTGTTTTGGGAGTACTGGGGCTGAGGAGAAAGGGCAGGGCCATCAAAGGGCTCACATTGTTATTGTAGTCCGTGGTGGCAGCAGCACCCAGAACCTCGTAGTAGCGCTGCAAGAAGGGCTGGAGGCGACTCTCCAGCCGCTGTAGCTCCTGGAGCACCTCGACATACTCCGCAGGGGAAGGATGGCTGTGGACAAACCCAAGGGGCAATGAGCCAAAGCCTTCCTCAGATTCCCACCCTCACAGTCAACAGGGACCACATGTGCCCTCTTTCTCCCTGGTCTCCCAGAGCCCTGGCCCAATCCTTCTCTGGACCAGCAGAGCTTCTATTCTCTTCAACCTCCGCCTCCCAGGTTCAAACGATTCTCCTGCCTCTGCCTCCCAAGTAGCTGGGATTAAGTTGCCTGCCACCACACCCGGCTAATTTTTGTTTTTTTTTTTTTTTTTTTTTTTTTGAGACAGAGTCTCGCTCTATCACCCAGGCTGGAGTGCAGTGGTGCGACCTCAGCTCACTGCAAGCTCCGTCTCCTGGGTTCACACCATTCTCCTGACTCAGCCTCCCGAGTAGCTGGGACTACAGGTGCCCGCCACCATGCCCAGCTAATTTTTTGTATTTTTAGTAGAGACGGGGTTTCATCATGTTAGCCAGGATAGTCTCGATCTCTTGACCTCATGATCCACCCGCCTCGGCCTCCCAAAGTGCTGGGATTACAGGCGTGAGCCACTGTGCCCGGCCTGTATTTTTTAGTAGAGACAGGGTTTCACCATGTTGGCCAGGCTGGTCTCGAACTCCTGACCTCAGGTGATCTGCCCGCCTCTGCCTCCCAAAGTGCTGAGATTACAGGCATGAGCCACTGCACCCAGCCAAAGCTTCTATTCTTTACTCCCACCCATGAGAGGATAGGGAGAAGAAAATGAACTGCTCCCACCCTCCCCACCACAATCCTGCACCTACAATGGTGAAAGACTAATTCTAAGAAAGAGAGCAGGCCTTCGTGAACTCAGAGGAGAATTCCGATCAGGCTCAGGAGATACCATTTGGATTTCCTTGCCGTAGGGAGAGCAGCAGTTCTTCTCAGCTGCCTGTCCTAGCGTCATTTACCTATACCGAGAGAGCCCCTCCTCGCCCCTCAATGCTAACCCTTCAACTAAGACCTCCAAGTAATCCTTTCCCTCCCTTGCCATGGTTCATTTCCTTCTCCCCATACTTCACTTAGGATTCCCCACCCACTAAAGATTCCCTCCATCTCTCACTTGGGTGCATTTGTTTCCGGGGCAGGTGTTGGGCCCGCTGGGGCTGGGCCAGGAGTGAGCTCCGGGTTCTGGGCTGGGGCACGCTCCTCCACTTCTTCTGCCTCCATGGGCTCCCGGGGAGGTGCTTCACTTTCAACTGGTTCTGATGTTTGAGAGCTCAAGGCTACTGGCTCCGGGGTCACAGCCGGTGGCTGCGGGGGCGGCTGACTGTGCTGCGGTTGGGGCCCTCCTCGACACTGAAGGTAGGGGAGAGTCAGGATACCAAAGGCAGGGTAAGACTGCTGCAGAGGATTACTCTACAGGAGACTGAACAGAGAAAGTATCCTAACTAGACTCCCTGAAGGCATGGCTCTGCAATTTTATCTCCGACTCGCTAGCAACTAGCATAAGACTGACACAAATTAGATGCATAATAAGCATCTGTAATTTTTTTTTTTTTTTTTTGAGACAGAGTCTCGCTCTGTTGCCCAGGCTGGAGTGCAGTGGCATGATCTCAGCTCACTGTAACCTCCGCCTCCCAGGTTCAAGAAATTCTCTTGCCTCAGCCTTCTAAGTAGCCAGGCCTACAGGCGCGTGCCACCACACCCAACTAATTTTTGTACTTGTAGTAGAGACAGGGTTTCACCATGTTGGCCAGGCTGGATTGGAACTCCTGACCACACGTTATCCCCCTGCCATGGCGACCCAAAGTGCTGGGATTACAGGCAGGAGCCACCACACCCGGCCACAGCATCTGTAATATTTGTAAATAAATTTCTAACAAAGAGTAGAGATTGTGGTTTCCTTTCCTCCACAAGTTGGTTTCCCAGCCTCCACAAGTTAAGAGAGTAGAATCCTTTAATTGAAAAGAGATGCCATGAGACTAAGTCTGAAACAAACTCCCCAGATACCAGGCACCAAGAGGATTGGCAGAAATGAGAGAGCCTCACAAAGATACTTTTTCTGCCCAAAAGAATGAATACTGCAGAGAAGACTAGATTATGAAGGCCAAACCCTGTGAATGTGGCCAGTGAAGCCCTAACTCCCAGGCTGAGAGAAAAGGGAGAGGGAGGGTGGAGAGAGACCCTAGCCAGCCTTGCCCACTTACCTCCATCCGGGATAGTAAGGTCTGTATATCCCTGATCATGTGCTGAGCCATCACCAGCCGTACCCGGGGCTCACTCTACAATGAGAGAAGGTTTATCAGGGTAGGTTACAGATGAAGCCATGAGTTCTACCACCTACTAAATCAGGTCCCAGCCATCTCTCAGCCAGGTCCACCCCACCTCCCAGCCTCCTTCTCCCAGATCCCCTTCCCTGACCCTCGGAGGCCCCTCAATACCTGAATCGGGGCCTGTTCCATGTTGATGTGAACATCCACAGCAGAGCCGTCACTCTGGGGAAAGGGTAAGGGAAGTTGTTCTGGGAGAAGCCAACACTAAGGCCTCCACACCTCCAATTCATTCCCTGGAGCCCTACCTCCTTTTCTCCTTAAAGACTGAGACCAATAGCACACCACAGGGCCCCCTGAACCCAATCTAAAGATGGAAGCATCTATCTTATTAATTCCCTGGTGCTACCACAACCAAAGCTACCCACAAAAGCCCTCCCCTGTGGAACATAAGCTTACAGGAAGATTGAAGGTTCCAACCATGACATAGCTGTTGGCATTCCGGTCATGAACAGAGGCCCCAGGCCCCCGAGTACCAGGGGGGGATCCCCCACCATGAGTGGCTGAGGCAGACCCCGTCCCAGAAGATGCCCCAGAAGGGAGGTGAGTCTGAGGAGGAGCCCGTTCCACCAGGTGGATAACCTTTCCCCCAACATCTGCAGAAAAATAGACACACACCAAAACATAGTATGAACAGGTAAACCCATGGCCTCAGTTCATCCCTCCAGACAGTAGCCCCAACCTCTGAACTGCCTCCCCAGCCCCCTTACTGTATTCCTGAAGCTTCTTATCATCTTGCAGAACTCGTCCCTGGTAAATGAGCCGTTGTTTTTCAGATGGGATGCTGACAGAGGCAGCAATGTGCTCCTTAAACTCTTTTACATTCATCTGAAAAGAAGAGGCATGCACAGGAATGGAAAGAATGGAGGAAAGAGGAAGAACAAAGACAGACAACCGAGTTGTGGAGGTGAGGGGTAAAAACCACCACAGAATCACTACCCGTTTGTCTTGACCGTGAGATCATTACTGTGCAAACCCTTAAACTAAAGTAACAGCTGTCAAAATACAGACAATAAATTTGGCTTGGCGCGGTGGCTCACACCTGTAATCCCAGCACTTTGGGAGGCCAAGGCAGGCAGATCACATTAGGTCAGGAGTTCGAGACCAGCCTGGCCAACATGGTAAAACCCCTTTTTTACCAAAAATACAAAAAAATAAGCCAGGCATGGTGGTCGCCTGTAATCCCAGCTACTAGGGAGGCTGAAGCAAGAGAATCACTTGAATTCGGGAGGCGGAGGTTGCAGTGAGCCGAGATCGCATCACTACACTCTAGCCTGGGTGACAGAGAGGGACTCCATCTCAAAAAATTAAATAAATAAACTTAATGAAGCTCAGGTTATAGATCCAGGAAAAATAACACGGATGAAAAACAAAAAAAAACCACATGGACATTATATTATCTGTCTGGCATCCAAGGGAGTATGTGTCTAGAGACATCAGTGACCCCTTTCCAAACACAAGATGATACCAGTTTATTTACCAGACTCTCCTGTGATTTCCAAGATTAAAAAATGGCAAAGAAGATGGGGTCTGGTATCAGGTTACTGAAGAAAGACTAAGAAGATAAGAAAGCAAAAAAGGTCCCAGCACAGTGGCTCACACCTGTAATCCCAGCACTTTGGGAGGCCGAGGCAGGTGGATCACCTGAGGTCAGGAGTTCAAGACCAGCCTGGCCAACACGGTAAAACCCTGTCTCTACTAAAAATACAAAAATTAGCCGGGCGTGGTAGTAGGCGTCGTCTGTAATCCCAGATACTCAGGAGGCTGAGGCAGGAAAATTGCTTGAACCCAGGAGGCAGAGGTTGCAGTGAGCTGAGATTGCGCCCCAGCCCTCCATCCTGGGCAACAAGAGCAAAACTCCATCTCAAAAAAAAAAAAAAAAGCAAAAAGAGAAATATTTTTCCTAACTACAAACTGACTCTTGGGAAGTACCAGAGTATTTATATACATCTAATCACAAGTCTATATATGGCTTTCTTATATCCAGGTAATATCACATTTTAGAAAACCATGGACCACCCCACATGCAATTTGTCTCCAAGTATTACAGGAGTAAAGACACAGATAGCTATGTCCAAGGCTTTAAGCTCAAGAGACTCAAGCTATGCCATAAAAATTAGTAATTTCACTCAACAGTCTATCAAGGACCTATCTCCATTATGGGTTCTGATTTCTACCCTTTAAAAACACAGCATAGACCTGACCAATGTCTATCAGTAAGACACACTTGCTTAGGGTTCCTGTGCTGTTTCCCTTCCCAAAGGCCAGAGCCATGCCTGTCCCTTTGGGTTGGGGTCCACCCATGATGATGACACACAGATTCTTCCTTCCTCTGTATTTCCCTCTGCATTAAGTTCTATCCATGTGGAGGACAGAACAAAATCAGCCTCACTCACAAAACATCAGAAAACGTTCTACTGGAATACGAACAAAGGGATCAATAAAAAGAAAATCTGAGGCCAGGTGCGGTGGCTCATGCCTGTAATACCAGCACTTTGGGAGGCCGAGGAGGGCACATCACCTGAGGTAAGGAGTTCGAGACCAGCCTGACCAACATGGTGAAACCCCGTCTCTACTAAAAATACAAAAATCAGCTGGGTATAGTGGCACACGCCTATAATCCCAGCTACTCAGGAGGCTGAGATAGGAAAATCGCTTGAACCCAAGAGGTGGAAGTTTCAGTGAGTCGAGATCGCGCCACTGCACTCCAGCCTGGAAGACAGGGCGTGACTCCATCTCAAAAAAAAGAAAAAAAAAGAAAATCTGGTGACCAGAAAATCAAGCTCATCTCTCAGGCTAAGGGGCCTAAACGAGGAAAAGCTAAAGGTGTCTTCCAGAACTAGTGAGGTGTCTCACCTGGGCCCCCACAATAAAGGTACGAGTTTGAGAGTCCAAGGTCTTCACCAACACCTCCAAGCTGTCAGGCTCCTCCACAGCGGTACTGGTACTATCATTAGGCTCCATGGCCGACAGGTCTCTAAAGAAGAACGAAGGAAGGAGGGCCCGCTGTTGCCCAGACCAGAGTGTACCCGAAAGACTCCCTAGCATTAATCCCTGCCCCAATACCTAAAAAGTTTCTCCTGCACACACACACATTCACACCTGTCCCCATCCCCCTTCTGATTCCGGGGCACAGGGAGAGAAACACAAAGGGCAGGAGATCGACGGCTTAGGGAGCTGGAGGACGAGAGGTGGGAGGGGCTCCACGACGCCAATCACAATAAGCAGGGAGCCAGTCAGATTAGGAAGGAAGCACGAGACCAGAGACTAGTGTCATCACCGGTCACGGCAGGACAAGCGCCCCAGAGGTCGGAAAATCCTGGGACAACGCGAAAGCGGTGGTCGCCCCACACTCTGCGGAGAAAGTGGTTTCGCGCACGCGCGCCACGCCCATCGAACCCTCCTAACTCACTATAGACCCGAAACGGCACTCACGGGGCGACGGACCTGCTAGCTGACTGCCCGCGTCTACTGCCTTCCCACGGTGTTCCAGCAGAACGGCACAACTAACCCACAGCCAAACACACACACACACACACACACACACACACACACACCCACCCACCACCCCGCGGCTCCGCCCCCGACTTCCCCACGGACCGTCACTTCCGGTCTCCCCCAAACCTGCCACCGACGGCCACTTCCGTTTCCCCGATAGTATTTGGGGATCTCGAAGCGATACTTCCGGCTCCCCCCAGGTCCCCAAGCTTTACTTTTGTGGGGCACGACGAGAAAGTCCGCAGCCCCAAACAGTGAGTTTCTGAGGGCGAGTCGGGCCGGGGCCGGCCTAGGTGGGAGGGAGCCGAGCACCCCGAGGAGCCGCCACCGCTGTCGCCCGGGGGACCGTACTACGCCTGCGTGCGTCGCACTACGGATGCGTGGACACTTAAGCATCGCCCCACCCCCTCCCCCTCTGGCGGCGTTCACGTCTGTGCGCGCGCTGGAGCGCTAGAAGATTGAGGTGGCTACCGTAAATGCCTGAAAAACAGTCACCAGCTGGGACTCTACCACTGCCTCGAGAGGGGCTATGGACGGTCGTATGGACCTTGGACTTTGGAGATGGGGGATTATGCCACATTCATCTATGTTTAAATCTTGGCAGGCTGATAATTTCAGGCGGCACTGTCCTAGCCAGCTAAAACTCTTCTCCACCCTATTGCCCTCGCTGCGCCCTTTCTTCTGTGCCTCCGGAAGTTACTCTTTCAGTAGGCGTTTGGGGGCGGCACTGGTCAATTTTGTTCTCGGTTGCTTGGTTGGGCTAGATTTCGGTTCTGCCGGGTGGGCGTTTTAAGGGCTGTGGGCGTCACATTCGTCGGTGTGTGGCCAAGGGGACATGACACGTTTTAGGAAAAGTAAACGTGCTACTAAGTTGCACGACTTGTCAAGAAAAGAGGCGCTTCCGAGTTTGAGAATTGGGAGCAAATGGAGTCCGAGTGGACAGAAAGACAAGACCCTGACCGTGGGGAATTTAAAGGCCGGCCAGCGTGCTTCCGAAGGCCGGGGGTGGAGGCATTACCGCCTCTCCGTGCCCTCTTCTCTTAACCTGCCCTGGGCCAAGGGCCTCGGCCCCGCGAAACTGCGAGTCCTCCAGAAAGACACATCGCTGTTGGGGTGTCCAACCTTTCTGGGATTCGTAGTTTATACCCAGGTCCTGGTTATATTTTAGTTAAGAGTTCTAATAAGCAGCTGTTTAATGAGCACTTGTGCCAGCCCATATACTACGGGTTTTGTGTATTATTTTAAAAAGCCTTTTAACGAGCTTTTAACATTTTTTAAGTGAGTACACTTAGACGAACATAAGTGTCAGAATTGACAAATCCAGGCCTACAGGACTCCAGATCGAGCACTTGTACTTTACTGCCCCAATAAAAAGCTGTTAACATTTTAGCTTATTTTTTTGAGAGAGGGTCTCGCTTTGTCGCCCAGGCTGGAGTGCAGTGGCGCAATCACAACTCACTGTAGCCTCTGCCTCCCGAGCCCAACCGATCTTCCCACCTCAGCCTCCCTAGTAGGGACCACAGATGCACACCACCACACCTGGCTAATTTTATTTTTATAGAGATGGGGTCTTGCTATGTTGCCCAGCCTGGTCTTGCAGACTTGGCCTCCCAAAGTGCTGGGATTATAGGTGTGAGCTACTGTGCCTAACCACATTTTAGCTTTTTATTACAAAAATTTTCGGCCGGGCGCAGTGACTCACACTTGGGAGGATGAGGCGGGTGGATCACGAGGTCAGGAGTTCAAGACCAGCCTGGCCAAAATGGTGAAACCCCATCTCTACTAAAAATACAAAAATTAGCCTGGCGTGGTGGCGGGCGCCTGTAATCCCAGCTACTTGGGAGGCTGAGGCAGAGAATTGCTTTGAACCCGGGAGGTGGAGATTGCAGTGAGCCAAGATCGCGCCACTGCACTCCAGCTTGGGCAACAGAACGAGACTCCCATCTCAAAAAAAAAAAAAAAAAAATTCAAACATTACACCAAAATAGAACAGTATTAATAAACTCTAATATACTGGTCACCCAAATTTTGTTTGTTTTTTAACTAAATCGCAAGCCTCAGCCCTCGGCAAATTTTTTGTGGCAGTCCATGGGATATAAATTTATCAAGCTAGGTGTGGTGGCTCATGCCTGTAATCCCAACACTTTAGGAGGCTAAGGTGGGCCGACTGCTTGAGCTCAGGAGTTTAATACCAGCCTGGGGCAACATGGTGAAACTCCGTGTCTACAAAAAATTAGCTAGGCGTGATGGCGTGCACCTATACCTCCTACTCGGGAATCATCTGAGCCGGGGAAGTCAAAGTCATGCCTGGGCGACAGAGTGAGACCCTGTCTTAAAAATAAATAAGTAAATAAATAATCTATCGAGGAAGATCCATCTCTCACAGCATTAACTGCTCCAGTCACTTGGTGCTATCCAAGGACAACCTATTTGGCAATTCTTACTGCCTATTATTTGAGAACTTATTACCCACCAGAAACTAAGTGCTTTGCAAACATTACTATTAATTATAGCAAATATATACTTTGGACTTACCATGTGCAAGTCTTTGCTAAGGGCTTTATGTGCATTATTTCATTTAATCCTATAAGATTGATGATTTGCCAATTTTACAGATGAAAAAACAGACATAGCAGTTAGGGGTTGGTGGTGTTTTGTTTGTTTGGAGACAGAGTCTCTGTCGCCCAAGCTGGAGTGCAGTGGCACAATCAGGGCTCATTGCAGCCTCGACATCCCAGGCTCAAGCAATCCTCCCTCCTCAGCCTCCCTAGTAGCTGGGACTACAGGCGTGTGCCACCACATCGGCTAATTTTTGTATTTTTTGTAGAGACAGAGTTTTGCCATGTAGCCCAGGCTGGTTTTGAACTCCTGGGCTCAAGCCATCCGCCCACCTTGGCCTCTCAAAGTGCTGAGATTACAGGCATGAGCTACCTGCCCTGCCTGTAGT
This sequence comes from Homo sapiens, assembly GCF_000001405.40. Classification (NCBI taxonomy): domain Eukaryota; kingdom Metazoa; phylum Chordata; class Mammalia; order Primates; family Hominidae; genus Homo; species Homo sapiens. The sequence goes on from NT_113891.3 coordinate 3,132,535, forward strand.
TAGGGTTTGGACACATTCTGCCTGACACCAACATCTATCCTCTCTAACAGCCAGATTACATAGCCTCTTTGTAGTAATAAATGTTGAGTGAATGTGTCAGTGAACACTGCCAGGGTATACATATTTTTCTAATTGTAAACTAAAGAGAGCAATCCACCGTGCCCCAGCACCTGCATCATACCTGTTCTAAAGCATTTACCAAGTTGTATTGCAATGGTTTGTCTACACAGCTAGTTTTCCCTCTAACGACTTCTTCAAGATCAGGGGCTATGTCTTATTCGTTTTTTTATGTCCCCGGGGATTAGCTAGTTCTTGGGAAACAACTGGGACTTGGGATTCAAAACAGTTTGCTAAGTGAATGAATGAGAGGCCCAGTCAAGCTACTTCCCTTCAGTGCTGCACAGTGCAACAAATAACCAGCTCAGATACAGGTTCAAAGACCACAGGCTTCTCCCTGGACAGCTCAGCTCTCCTCATAACTCCTGAGAAACCCTGGACATGCCAGGGTGTACTATGGAGTGGTTGCATCCGGAAGAGGGGGAGGAAGTCCCAAACACTAAGTAATCCAGGTTTGGGTTGGAAAACAAGGTTGAAGTTACTCATTAGCAGGTGAAAGGGTCAAGGGTCGAACGCAAGGGAGCTGAAAGCAGAGTGGACTGAGCAGCCAGTAGGGGAGAGAGCAGTTAAGGCACACAGAGCACCAGCTCCCTCCTGCCTGAAGATGTTCCACCAAATTTGGGCAGCTCTGCTCTACTTCTATGGTATTATCCTTAACTCCATCTACCAGTGCCCTGAGCACAGTCAACTGACAACTCTGGGCGTGGATGGGAAGGAGGTATGGACTGAGATTGGGGGAAGCCTATGGTGGAGGCTCTGAGGGACTTGGGTGGATGGCCTAGGATGACTGGAGACCATCTTGGGAAAGGAAGAGAGGAAGGGGGTGTGAGTGTTGTGATAATGAAAGCAAGAAGAAAAATATCAGTACTGTGGCCATCAATGCAGAGGCATGGCAGAATTGGGGGGTGGGGTGGTTACCCAGGTTGACTGGGGAGGGGCAAAGAGGAAAAGTCATTTAATGACTCTTTGTCATGGATCCAATCCCCAGTTGGAAAGAGGAAGGCAGCCAACACCTCTACCCCTAAATCTTGCTGTTTTGACTGATGAAGAGGTTGAACCCATCCTGTGCTGGAACCCACCCTCTTTTGCTCCCTTCATTGTCTCTCCAGTTCCCAGAGGTCCACTTGGGCCAGTGGTACTTTATCGCAGGGGCAGCTCCCACCAAGGAGGAGTTGGCAACTTTTGACCCTGTGGACAACATTGTCTTCAATATGGCTGCTGGCTCTGCCCCGATGCAGCTCCACCTTCGTGCTACCATCCGCATGTGAGTGGTAAGGAGGCAGAAGCATCACTGGGTTCAGTCTCTGCCCAAAGTGTGAGAATCCACCCACCAAGAGCTGGCCTCTTAGCTGGTATATCTACTATGCTTGGCCCACGGAATTCAGTGGCTGTATTAATTGCCCTCTGGAGAAAGATGTGCCTAACCAATGCTTGGTAGCTTGAAACCCAAGGAGAGCTGGGCTTCAATAACAAATACAATGGAGTAAATAGAAGCCGGGACAGGCCAGACGTGGTGGCTCACGCCTGTAATCCCAGCACTTTGGGAGGCTGAGGCGGACAGATCACGAGGTCAGGAGATCGAGACCATCCTGGCTAACACAGTGAAACCCCGTCTCTACTAAAAATATAAAAAACTAGCTGGGCATGGTGGTGGGCACCTGTAGTCCCAGCTACTCACGAGGTTGAGGCAGGAGAATGGCGTGAACCCGGGAGGCAGAGCTTGCGGTGAGCCGAGATGGCGCCACTGCACTCCAGCCTGGGCAACAGAGTGAGACTCTGTCTCAAAAAAAAAAAAAAGAAGCTGGGACACTATGGTTGGGGTGATGCTCATTCTTTCCTCCTTGCCACCACCACCTCTGCAGGAAAGATGGGCTCTGTGTGCCCCGGAAATGGATCTACCACCTGACTGAAGGGAGCACAGATCTCAGAACTGAAGGTTGGTTCTTCCCAGCCCTCACCCTCCCTTGAGTTTGGTTCTGCATCTCTGTTCTCATACTTCTCCCACCTGCCTTGACAGGCCGCCCTGACATGAAGACTGAGCTCTTTTCCAGCTCATGCCCAGGTGGAATCATGCTGAATGAGACAGGCCAGGGTTACCAGCGCTTTCTCCTCTACAGTGAGTAGGGATACAAGGCAGGAAGGGTTGGAGGGAAACAAGGGAGGGCAGGAGAACTCCTCACTCTGGGTCCTATGACACCCTCCCAGGAAGAGCTAGGTGCTTCCAGGGGTTTTGACTGGCCTGACCCCACCTTGCCCTTCCAGATCGCTCACCACATCCTCCCGAAAAGTGTGTGGAGGAATTCAAGTCCCTGACTTCCTGCCTGGACTCCAAAGCCTTCTTATTGACTCCTAGGAATCAAGGTAAGGGGTTAAAATCTCATAAAACAGGATTAGGACTCACCAAGTCTTCTGGTGTTACAGGGTGAAAGAGGCTCGTGTGATGTCACCAGAGGGATGTGGCTAAGAGCTGTGATGTCACCTGAGGGAGGCAGGATGGGTTCTGGGCTACTCAAAAGAGAGGTTTCTGAGTTTGCACTGGATAAAGGGGGCAGAGGGTCATACGTGGAGGGAAAAGAGCCTTAGAGACTCCCCTTTGACACAGGGAATGAAAGAACACGTTCTCCCCCACCCCATTACTATCAACTTTGCTTTTCTCCCTGGACTTCCCTTCTGTCCTTCTTTTTCCCTCCCCCCATCACAGAGGCCTGTGAGCTGTCCAATAACTGACCTGTAACTTCATCTAAGTCCCCAGATGGGTACAATGGGAGCTGAGTTGTTGGAGGGAGAAGCTGGAGACTTCCAGCTCCAGCTCCCACTCAAGATAATAAAGATAATTTTTCAATCCTCATCTCATTCTGGGGTTTGTCTCCAGATGTCATTCCCACTCCTCCCATTTCAACATTCCCCCTGGATCCTCTACCACCTAAACTCCCAGCTGGACGGTGTCAGTAAGAACAGAGTGGCAGTAACTCTCACTTTGTAGTGGTATATTTAGGATTTGATGTGACACAGTTATTTATTGCTGAGTGAGCAAACCCCTAGCCCCCAAGTGGGGACTACAGGCTTCAGTGCTTCCCCCACACTGCCTGAGCTACCAGCCCTTCTGCACTGGCCCTCCTGCCAATACTGCCTGCACTGTCCCCACTCCCTCTGGCTCCCATGATCACCAGATCCGCCCTGCAGGCTCCCTGTCACCTGTGGGGCCCTATCCAGACCCCCTAATCCACTTGCCTAGCAGCCCCACTCTTCCCTCGATGGCTCAGATCCTGAGATCCAAGGAACACCCTGGGTTTCCCAACCACTCTCTTACTGCAGAGGTCTGTCTATCCTGCCCTGGTCTCCTCCACCCCAGGAGAGTTTTCAAAGGTAGAGAGGACCCTTTGGTCTTTATTCACCACCATCATACTTTTTTTTTTTTTTTGCTTTTAAAAAGTGGAGGTGGAAAAAAAAAAAAAACTGAAGGTGGGAGAAAAGTAAAAGCAAAAATAACAGCTGGTGAATCCAAGAGCAGTGCCCTCACTGTCCATAAACACAAACACCCTAAATAGTTCTGTTCTCTCCTGTGTATGAAGGGGGGCCCTGCACCCTCGTACTCGGGTTTCTTCCCCATCCCTGAGGTCCCTATGCTTACAATTTGGGTCATGCCTCACACTTTTCTCCTAAAGCCCACACTCTCTTCACCCTTTGCCCCCACCCCACGGTCACAGCCCCTTTCCCGGGTCTCCCCTCTGCTCCTCACCTTCCCTCTCCAACCCCTCACTCTCCCAGTCAGTGGCCGCCTCATCCCCATTGGGCTCCCGGAGGCTGACAGCCAGCACCAAGGCCTGCAGGAGACCAAAGAGGCAGGCGAAGTGCAAAGGGTGGGCAGTAAGTAGGCTCAGAACAGCATGGAGCCCATGCAGGGCAGCCAGGAAGGACAGTAGGCCATGTAGCCAGAGGCCCAGCGGTCCACGCAGGCCCAGTGTGTCCAAGGCTGCCCGCAGTGGTCGTGAGCACAGGGCCAGCAGGGCAGAGGCCAGCAGCTCCAGAAGATGCAGGGTCAGGTTGGTGGAGATCTGCAGACACTCTTCTGGGCCCCCCAAGTACCGGGAGGGAGCTCCTGGTTCCCCCCGCAGCCAGCCCAACAGCTTCTCACGCCTACCAGGTTTCTCCAATGGGGCTCCTGGCCCAGGGACGCTCAGTCCCCCTTCAGGGGACACCCCTGGTCTCCTGGTGCCACCTGAATCCACATGATCCCATCTGAGTTTGGGACTGGCCCCTCCAGCCTCCAGTCTCCCAGACTCTTGAGTGCTAGAGATAGGCTGGTCCCACTTGAGGGAATCCATTCTTTTGCTCCCTAGCTGCTCAACTTGGGGCTCCTCCTTGCTTGGTTCGGAAGCAGCCCTAGAAACCCTCAATGCCCCCGAGTCCTTAGTCTTGGGATGCCCCACATCTTCCATGGTTTCTGGGGCACTATCCCAGTCACTTCCTGAATTCTCCGAGGAGCTGTCCACCCGTCTGGGTTCTGGGTAAGGCGGGTCAGGCCTCATTGGTTTCCGGCGGCCCCAAGGGCGAGGTAGCCAGCCACCAAGCCGTCGCAGGAACATGGCTGGGGTGTGTAATGGGCCCCCAAATTCTGAGGCTGCTTCCTGGCACTACTCAGACTCTCAGGATCTCCTCAGAAGCCAGAGTCTTTCTGGCTCAGAACAGGTATTTGCCTGGTGATGCAGTCCTACTCTGAATTCAGAAGTGGCTCCTCCCTTCTCTGAATAGTCATGCAGCCTCAAGTGTGGCAAGTAGTTTGCTTCCTCTTCAGTTCTGGGGTAAAGGGGGGCATACCCAAATTCATTCACCATCCACACCCCCACAATCTGAGATTCCAAGAATCTCAGATCTGACAAGGCCTGGGTCACCACCAGAGAGTCCTCTCTGCGTTTCCGGATTTCCTTCCCAGCAGGCAGCACCCCAAGTTTCACTCACCAAGGCCACACCCCAAGGTGTCCCAGAAACTGGGGAGGCAGTGCTCCATCCAATAAAGCGGGCAGGAAGGTGGCCCCAGGTCCTAGGTGCTCCTGGATCGTGTAGTCTTTAACTGCTGCCCCAAGGGACCTCAAGGAATAGGAATTCTCTTTGTTAGGAGGTGGAATGAAAGTGTCCAGCAAACTCCAGCCAGCAGCGTTCGTCCCTTGATTTAGAGGGCTATGATTTCTACAAAGTGGCCCGACTGGCCCGCGAACACGCAGCAGAGACGCGGCCTCCACAAGGTCAGAACTAAGATGTCCTCAGAGATCCCCAGTTACGAAGCAAAGCGCGGGCCTACTTCGGGACCTACGCGTCCGGGCGCTGTGCGCGGGGACCGCTCCCGGGCCCAGCGTCGGGGCCGCGGCCTTGGGGAGCCGCCGGGAGCCGCGAAGCCCGGAAGCAGCTGCACCAGGACTGGAAGGACCCGCGGGGGCGGTGCCGCAGCTCATGGGGCGGACCCTGCGAATAGACCGCCCCCGTATACCCCGCGCTGTCTGTGCGCGCCGGACCGCCAAACCGAGATTAGCAAGGACCAGGACCTTAATATAAACCCAGCTCCCCATTTTCCCGGGTTTCTCATGCTTCCCTAAACTTGGTCGCCCCCTACAGCCCCCTGCCCCTGGGTTCTTTTCCACATCCCCCACCACTCCTCCATTTCGCATCCAAGACTTCATGAAAGGCTTTCCCAGAAAAGAAAAAATGAGGAGTCTTGCGACTTGAACAGCCCTCCCCTGCCCGTCTGCAAATTTGAATTCCTGGATTTCACAACAGTGAGCTCTTCTTGTGCCTACCACCCGGCATGAGCAAGACAAGGGGGTGGGTGGTGGGAGAGTGGGGAAGTGTGGGAAAGAAAAGTGTAGACAAATGGGTGGAACAAAGAAGTTTAAAGTTTAGATTTGGGGGCTAGAGTTCTGGTCCCAGTTCAACTAAGTGTACAAGCTTGATAATCGTGGGCCTTCCTATCACACTGGCCTCTTCCAGCAAAACCCTACCCATTCTCATCTCTAGAGGCCTTGACTTCCCTTATCACCCTGCATTATAATATTTGATAACATGGGCCGGGAGTGGTGGCTCATGCCTGCAACCCCAGCACTTTGGGAAGCCGAGGCCGGCGGATCACCTGAGGTCGGGAGTTCAAGACCAGCTTGGCCAACATGGAGAAACCCCGTCTCTACTAAAAATACAAAATTAGCTGGGCGTGGTGGGGCATGCCTGTAATCCCAGCTACTGGGGAGGCTGAGGCAGGAGAATCCCTTGAACTCGGGGGGCAGAGGTTGTGGTGAGCCGAGATCATGCCATTGCACTCCAGCCTGGGCAATGAGAGCGAAACTGCATCTCAAAAAAAAAAGAAAAAAATTGATAACATGGCACTTTCCCTCTCCAGCTGTGAACTCTTTGAGGGTTGGGAATGTCTTTACCTGTATTCTTGGCACATAGTATATGGACTTATGTTTGTGAAATCAGTGAATTGGCTGTAGTCAGGGAACTCCTCCTGGGGGAAGTGAGACTTGCACGAAGCTGGGCAATTCTTGGTCCAGGGGGGTTGAAAGAATAGGTGGGGGACTCCCAGGAGGGTCTGGGACCTGAAAGTGAACCCAGATTGGCAGGGAGGTGACCTTATCATGCCACCTGGAGAGGCTGCCCCTTCTGACTCAGGTGGGACTTGCATGTGGCTCCCAGGCTTCTGTTTGGCTTCCTCAAAATAGCTTCCAGAAAAGTGAATAAACCACAAATGGTTGATTTATTTCTGACTCTCAGCCCGTCTCTCACGAAGACAGAGCCTATTGACCAAAAACTTCAGGATCTGCATCTGAGCAGATCCCAGGAAGGGGAAGTCAAAGGGCCCAGGTCAGAGGCCCAAGTTCAGACTTCAGCAGCAGACTAGGGTCAGACTTTACCAAAGTCAGAACTCGAGGTTCATGTAAGTCCTTAGATCCCGCTCCCAAGCCCTGTCTTTCTCCTCCCTCCTTCTCTCCTCCCTCCAGCTCAGTGTGGCCACCCGAGGGGGTCTCTCCCTCCCAGCCACAGCTCGGGTATCCCAAGCTGGGAAATGTGTCACTCGGGGCTGGGGTGCTGATCTGTAGCCTAGTCCTTCCTGGTCCCTCTTGAGGACAGTGGGGATGGGATTGGCACGGCCCTCACCCCGGGGTCCCAGCCCCATTCCTGGCTCCCAGCCCCCCCTCAGCAGCAGTTTGAAGCCCGGGCTGGAGATGGGCACCCCAAGTGGAAGGTTGGGAGGCTGAGGACCCTGCGACAGTGACAGCAGGTGAGCAGTGGATGTGCGGTGGTTGGAATCTTGGAAGTGGGTGTCACAGTTCTCGCAGTACTGGAGGGAGGGAGTAGGAGACCTGCAGAGAAAGAAGAAAAAGCATTAAGGGCAGGGGAAGGAAAAGGGGAAGAGTTGAGGCCTCAGAGGGGGCTGGCAGGGTAGAATAGGATCTTTTCAGCTTTTCTGCTAAGGAACAAATTGCCAGCTAGGCATAGTGGCTCACGCCTGTAATCCCAACACTTTGGGAGGCAGAGGCGGGCAGATGGCTTTGAGCTCAGGAGTTTGAGACCAGCCTGGGCAAAATGGCAACGCCTGCTTTTTTTTTTTTTTTTTTTTGAGATGGAGTCTTGCTCTGCTGCCCAGGTTGGAGTGCAGTGCCATGATCCTGGCTCACTGCAACTTCCACCTTAGCGATTCTCCTGCCTCAGCCTCCCAAGTAGCCGGGATTACAGGCACATGCCACCATGTCCCGGCAAAGCCTGCTTTCTACAAAAAATATGCTTGAGCCCAGGAAGCGGAGGTTGCAGTGAGCTGAAATCACACCATTGCACACCAGCCTGAGCGACAGAGTGAGATGAGTGAGACTTTGTCTCAAAAAAAAAAAAAAAAAAAAAAGGGACAAATTGCCTTCCTTCCTACTTAACAGTGAGGGATCCAGGCTGGTCCAAAGGTGGTGGTGAGTTATCTGAATTAATTGTTCACTCAGTTACAGATCAAACTCCTTACTCCACTTTTCCCCTCCTTCTCACTACTGCACTTGACTTGTCTTAAAAACAAATTTCTTTAAACCATTGTGGGATCCAGAGCAGAATAGTTGAAAGAAAAAAATGGTAACCAGACCTAGCAAACTCTTGGGCAAGGGGAGGGACATTAGTCATAATGACTATAGCTAACATTCATGTATTGCATACTATGCGGCATGCACTATTCTAGCATTTTACATATATTAACCCATTGAATCCTAACAACAATTCTTACTACCCCCATTTCTAAGATGAGAAAACTGGAACATGTAGACATTAGGTTGTTTGCCCAAGTAAGTGGAATCAGGCTTTAAATCCAGGGAGCTCATGTTTATAACCACTTGACTATACTACCCTGTCAACCTACACATGAGGATAAGGAAAGAACTCTTCAGCACTGTGCTGGGGCGTCTGGTGTGGTGTGGCTGGGAGAGGCAGAACACAATGAGACATGGGTCTGAGCTAAAGTTTCCCCTTACCGGTTTTCCGGGCTCCTTGTCTCTCCATGGCTCTCCCTGACCATGCGGGCTACCTCAGGGAAGCCAGCTTCTTCAGCGAGCTGAGCCGCATCCCTGCCACTCAGCTCACAGACCCCCACCCAGGCAGCCCCACGGCCCAGGAGATAGCTCACAGCTGCCCCCTGGCCCGCTCGAGCAGCACACATCAGTGGGGTCCACCAGAAGGCATCCCGGGCGTTGATATTCCCCCCAGCTCCTCCTGCCTCATGCGGTTCCAGCAGTCTCCTAAGTTCTGGCAGGTCCCCCTCCTGGGCTGCCCTCAGTATCCGGTGAGTCATCTTATCCTCAGCCTCAAGGGATCTCCCTTGTCCATGTCTTCCTGATGCTCCTTCTGCCACTGCTTCTGCTGCTGGTGCCTTCATTATTCTTCTTTTCTTTCTCTTTCTTTCTCTGGCAGGTTCAGTCTGAGATCTCTGGGAGTCAGGAGCGCTGCTCTCATCCCCAATCAGGGCCTCATAGAAAGCTAGGGCTGCAGCCCCATCCAGGGTGGACTCTGGCTTCTCGGGCTGTGGCTGCTGCTGCCCATCCTTCCAGAGGTCGCTGGGGTCAGTGGCTGGGGTGAAGGTGATGAGCAAGGGCCGGGACATGGCTTTTGGGAGAACTGAGAAAATGATACCAGGCAAGGGAAGGATGAGACAAGTAAGCCAAGCTCGTGGTGACCCTGTAGCAACCACAGCCTCAGAGACCTGCTGGGATGAGAAAAAGTAGTCAAAAACACTTTCCTGCCACTAAAGTAACCCCACAACTTAGGACTCTGCAGGGCCTAAGGGAGAGAGACTTTGCGTAAAAACATGGAACCCTACAATACCGACTTTGCTCCTTAGTAAAGATTAATAAAACTCCATGAGACTGTTGTCCAGAGGTCCTGCGTCCGGCCCCCACCCCCATCCTCACCAACAATAAACACCAGCCTCTTTCTGAAACCACTTTCCCACCCCGTAAGACATACCAGTAGGAAAAAAAAATCAGCCTGGCCCTTTAAGTCTTCCGCGATCCCATTTCGGAGTTTCCTCTTCCCAAACAAAAATAGATGGGTCACTCCCTAGAAGATCTCGGGGAGAGTCTCCTATACGTGTTGCTGTGTAGCTTCCGTACCGCAAAATGGCGCCATTCTAATCAGAAGAGTTGACACAATCAAATAGCCACACGGCACGAAGACGCATGCGTGGCGACAACAACAACAAAAACCACAACCCACATTACTTGAGGGCTCGGGCGTGCGCAAAGCTCCGGGTTCAGTTTCCCGCGCTGGAACTTTTTCAATAGTAAACGAGCAAAGCTCCGCGCGCCCAGGTGGCGCGAGCACTAGGATCTGTCGGTTGGGGTCCTACTTTTACATAACGCCCCCACAATGCCCTTCGCCTTCCTCAACGTGGCCCCCGCTCCAAGCCCATTTTCTGGAGCCAGGAATCCACTCTGTGGGTTAGGAAAGGCCCTCAGGAGGCGGAGGGAAACCTGTGGAATGCCGAGAAGCCGTGTAATGAAATAACGTCACGCCTGCCCCTCACCATTACTCTGACCAGGGTTCGAAGGTCACACTTAGAGCCTAAGGGGAAATGGAGAAGTGCAAAGGGACGAGCAGAATGGCTGGCACCACCTCAGGTTAGCGCACTGGGACGTTCCAGTTCTCACACCGCCCACCCCACCCCACCCAAGTCCCTACGCACGGAGCCAAGCCGCACCTCTCCCCTCATGAGGCAGGAGCCCGGAGGAAACAGTATGCCCGTCAAGGGTCTCTGGCGGGACTGATTCGCACTAGGGGCCCAACAGGCAATAAGGACCCAGCGGATTGGCCGAGGATAGGCCAGTCCCCTGGGCAGCAGCGCCTCGCCGGGACTAGAGGGGAACGTGAGGAGAGCTGCGGAAAGAGATCCAGCCTGGCTCCCTCCTTTCCCCGCCCTAAGTCAGCCTCTTCACCCAGTGAGCACAAAACTGTATTGCCCAGACTCCCGGGCCCCGAACGCCATACCTGGCTTCCGCTTCCGGTGGCTTCTCGTTGTGCCCCGCCCGCAAGCGCCCTCCTCCGGGCCTTCGTGACAGCCAGGTCGTGCGCGGGTCATCCTGGGATTGGTAGTTCGCTTTCTCTCATTTAGCCAGTTTCTTTCTCTACCGGGGACTCCGTGTCCCGGCATCCACCGCGGCACCTGACCCTTGGCGCTTGCGTGTTGCCCTCTTCCCCACCCTCCCTAATTTCCACTCCCCCCACCCCACTTCGCCTGCCGCGGTCGGGTCCGCGGCCTGCGCTGTAGCGGTCGCCGCCGTTCCCTGGAAGTAGCAACTTCCCTACCCCACCCCAGTCCTGGTCCCCGTCCAGCCGGTGAGTCTGAAGTCGTCGCTGCTCCGAGTCCCTTGTCGCTGGGAGCGGCACATGGGGTCTCCGGACTTTGATGTGGGGGCGGGGGAGGAAGCGACCAGGTCCGGCACGAAGGAGGGAGAGGTGGCCTGAGGAGCGGAGGGGGGATGTGTGGATTCCGGTGAAAGGGACCTGACAATCGCCCCCAACCCGTGAGAAAAGGAGGAGCCCGGTTCTTGCTTGAGAATGATAAACTTGGAAACCCTTGGGAAAGGCGTGGGGGTCATGCAGAGACTTGTATTGGTAGGGAGCCTGAGTCGAGGTCCCTGCCGGAGTTGACACAGAGGAGAGAGGGCCCTGGCCTTCGGGAGCTCCAGGGATGTGGGTCGGGCTGGTGGGTCAAAGTATCTGTTGGCTTCTTTCAAGTGGTGGGACCCCAAAGAATGTTTAACTTCAAAGAAAAGGGGCTGAGATGTAAATTAGAGGAGCTGGAGAGGAGTGCTTCAGAGTTTGGGTTGCTTTAAGAAAGGGTGGTTCCGAATTCTCCCGTGGTTGGAGGGCCGAATGTGGGAGGAGGGAGGATACCAGAGGCAGGGAAGGAGAACTTGAGCTTTACTGACACTGTTCTTTTTCTAGCTGACGTGAAGATGAGCAGCTCAGAGGAGGTGTCCTGGATTTCCTGGTTCTGTGGGCTCCGTGGCAATGAATTCTTCTGTGAAGTGAGTTCTCTTCAACCTCCCTACTTGCCAGCTTCACATATCTTCCCACCAGACGTTCCTTCACATATTCCACTTCTACACTGTTCTCTTACATGCTATTTGAAAACTTCCTATCAGCAAAGAGTCCCCCCTATAAACCCCGACGAACCTGTGCTAAAGTGGCAAAACTGGGGCCCAAGTCCTGAGTCTGCCACCGTCCAGCAATATAACGTTGGGCTAGTCAATTTGTGTCTTTTTCTTTTTTTTGAGACTGGGTCTCACTCTGTCACCGAGGCTGGAGGGTAGTGGTGCGATCTCGGCTTACTGCCACCTCTGCCTCCCAGGTTCAAGCGATTCTCCTGCTCCAGCCTCCCAAGTAGCTGGGATTACAAGTGCCTGCCACCATGCCTGGCTAATTTTTGTATTTTTAGTAGAGACAGGGTTTCACTATGTTGGCCAGGCTGGTCTCGAACTCCAGACCTCAGGTGATCTGCCTGCCTCGGCCTCCCAAAGTGCTGGGATTACAGGCGTGAGCCATTGCGCCCGGCCTGTATCTTTTGTTACTAAAGTGGCACTGCTAGTACTTGTCTCAGGTGGCCTTTAGGAAAACTGAAATGCTACACATTGAAATGTTTTGTTCAGAAACCATGCTGTTCAGCTTCCACCTTCCTTAGCCAGCTGAGAGGACAAAACTGGTTCCTAGAGACGGGATACAGGAGTGGAGTAGGGACAAAGATCTTGAAAAGAATGTCTAAGAAAAAGATTGCTGTATCTACTTATCCTTAGAAAAGAAAAGCCAAAGCTTTTATGGGAGAGAGTGTAGGTGAACTAGGGAGAGACACAAGTACTTCTGCTGAGTTGGGAGTGAGAAACAAGCACAACAGATGCAGTTGTGTTGATGATAAGGCATCACTTAGAGCATTTTGCCCAGGTCAAAGATGAGGATTTTGATATGGGTTCCCTCTTGGCTTCCATGTCCTGACAGGTGGATGAAGACTACATCCAGGACAAATTTAATCTTACTGGACTCAATGAGCAGGTCCCTCACTATCGACAAGCTCTAGACATGATCTTGGACCTGGAGCCTGGTGAGGCACCCTCAGGGTTGTTTTGTGTGTGTGCGTGCACTATTTTTCTCTTCAAATCTCTATTCACTTGCCTGAATTTTGAAATTTCCTTTGGTTCTCTGATTTCTTTAACCCCAAATTCATGCTTTATTTTGATCCTCCACCTGACTCTTGTCTAGTTTTGTGACGTATATCACTTGTTCTCATGTTTTCTAAATCCGCAATTCAGACCTATTCCAAAATGCGTTTCCTCATGGGTCTGGTTTGTTGTCTGTTTCTCCTGCTTTGCACCTTCCAGTCTAGAGTTTCATCTTCTGCATTGACATTGTTGCAGTTATGTATTGAGGAGGGAGTTGGGAGGGAGAGCAAGGAGCAGAGGCTGAAAAGGTGTGAAGGGAAGGCAGAGCTGTCTTCGTTTGATGCAAGGGTCAGAAGCCCAGGTTTCTGGGTCCCATGCCCAGATGTTGGATGGGGTAAGGCCCAAAAGTAGGTGCTAGGCAAACTGAATAGCCCGCAGCCCCTGGATATGGGCAGGGCACCTAGGAAAGCTGAAAAACAAGTAGTTGCATTTGGCCGGGCTGTGTTTCAGATGAAGAACTGGAAGACAACCCCAACCAGAGTGACCTGATTGAGCAGGCAGCCGAGATGCTTTATGGATTGATCCACGCCCGCTACATCCTTACCAACCGTGGCATCGCCCAGATGGTGAGGCCTCTCTGCTCCTACCTGCCTCCTTCTGAGCAGTAAGAGACACAGGTTCCTGCAGCAAGAAGTCATGTTTAAGCCCTGTTTAAGGAAGCTAGCTGAGAAGAGGGGAAGAACCCCAGAACTTGGGCCTGGGAATTGAATTCTGATTGGGGGTCATCCTGAAGGGATTGTTTTCAGGGAGGGAGACAGACCTTGAATCAGAGAGTTGTGATAGACTGCCTCTTCCTCAAGGAACAAACAACAAATGGCTCTGATGGTTTGTAGCCTGCCTAATTGGAAGAAAGGCAACACAGAAGTTTGAGAGCCCGTCTAGTCCAGAGAAGGGGCCTCTGGACAGAGGTGGGAGGAGTGGGGGACAGAGTGGTATGGGTTGGGCTGCGAAGGGAGTTGCCTCTTCTTTACATCTACCTGCCAACCCCTTCCATTGTATTCACCTCAGTTGGAAAAGTACCAGCAAGGAGACTTTGGTTACTGTCCTCGTGTGTACTGTGAGAACCAGCCAATGCTTCCCATTGGTGAGTGTTGAAGAAGGGAAAGGAAAGCACCGTGTGGCAGTCTTATGGGAAGGAGTTGGGGCTCAACACATTGGAGCCTGAGTCCTGAGGGGAGGTTAGGTAGGAATAGGGGGATACCTGGCCTGCTGAGTCTGGCTGTCTCCCAGGCCTTTCAGACATCCCAGGTGAAGCCATGGTGAAGCTCTACTGCCCCAAGTGCATGGATGTGTACACACCCAAGTCATCAAGACACCATCACACGGATGGCGCCTACTTCGGCACTGGTTTCCCTCACATGCTCTTCATGGTGCATCCCGAGTACCGGCCCAAGAGACCTGCCAACCAGTTTGTGCCCAGGTAGGGAGCAGGGAGAGTCATTAAGGGTCAAAGGAAAGGCCCAAGATCCCCCAGAGAGGGGAGGACAGGGCATGGCCCTTTCTTGAGGTCTGCTTCTCCCAGAATCAGGGCATCTCCCTGCTGAGTGACTGTGGGAAAGTTATTTGATTATCTGTGCTTGAGTTACCTTATTGTAGAATGTTCTTGAGCTGAGAAGTTGGGAACCACGAGGCTTTAGCTCTGAGCAGGTCCATAGAGGAGCTCAGGTGGGGAGGTGGGAATGCAGGTGACTGGCAGGGCCTGGATGGGGCTCATGCTGCTGCCTCTCTGACCTCTGCCCTGGCCTAGGCTCTACGGTTTCAAGATCCATCCGATGGCCTACCAGCTGCAGCTCCAAGCCGCCAGCAACTTCAAGAGCCCAGTCAAGACGATTCGCTGATTCCCTCCCCCACCTGTCCTGCAGTCTTTGACTTTTCCTTTCTTTTTTGCCACCCTTTCAGGAACCCTGTATGGTTTTTAGTTTAAATTAAAGGAGTCGTTATCGTGGTGGGAATATGAAATAAAGTAGAAGAAAAGGCCATGAGCTAGTCTGCTGGTGCTTGCTGTTGGGGAAGGGAAGGTGATGGTGTGTTGGACTCCAGGGGCCCTCATGGCCCAGCCCACCCTCCCCAGATTGAAAACCAGGACAGATTTGTGCTCAGTGGATTGGGTGGTGTTTTTAGTATGGAGCAGAACAGAATTCCTAGGACTGCGTGTGATGAAATGCAAGGTCAAAAGGAAAAGACAAAGCATATTTCAAAGATGAGAAATATTTGTTTGGATATCTATGACTGTCTGTTTATACTGTAAGGGGCTTAATCAGCAGCTCCATCTTTTAGTTTTAGTTCTAAAGGAAAAGTAGCCTAAAGTCAGTATAACTAAAGGGTGGAACGAGGTGGGACAAGGTCCGGAATTGCTGCTCAGTGATGTGTGTGTGCCTGCCGCTGGTGGAGCTGAGACTGCTCATCTCAGAAGGATGGGGATGCTTGATTTCCTGGCCAGGTTGTCCCAGCACAGTGGGGATTGGCCCTGTTGTATGACGAAGACAGCACATGGTGGCAGAGATAGATACTAACCCATGGACTTTCCAAGGGAGGGAATAGGTCTTTGGAGGGTATGCAAGACAAAGGTAGACACTGGATAAAGAACCCGGTAGTGCCCAGGTATTACCCCATCTGGGCCATTACTCCCACACTCAGGAACCAGACGTTGTGGGTGAGGACATGCTGTCCCTCCTGCCAAGTAATAACTTCCTTCCCAGCCAGGATCCTGCCCCAAGTAGGAATATAGCTCTGCATTTACAGCAGCTCCTGCTCAGACCTTGTCAAAACCACCCTGCAGCTTAGGATTAAGGAGCATGGTCACAGGAAGGTGGGGTTTCAGGGCATCCCCTCAGGAACTGCCCATCTCCCCAGAATTCCAAAATGAAGGTCCATATGCTTGTAGGTGTGCTGGTCATGGTGGGCTTCACAGTAGGAAAGGGTAAGTGGGGCCCAGGGGCAGGGAGGGAGGAAGGGGTAACTGAGTCCAGGAAGGGGGTGGAGCGTGGCCATGGATAATCGGGCTTCCTACTGGCCCAGGGTATTTGAGAGTGACCCAGTGCCTCCATCCCTCCTTCTGCCTCCCCAGTTCCTGTTCCCGACATCCGGACGTGCCACTTCTGCCTCGTAGAAGACCCTTCTGTAGGATGCATTTCAGGCTCAGAGAAGTGTACCATCAGCAGCTCATCCCTGTGCATGGTGATCACCATCTATTATGGTAAATAAGGTCCCAGGAAGGGGCTGCTGGTGGGGCAGCCAATGGCTTGGTCTTCTCTCCTCTCACAGATCAGGGCTGCTCCGGGCATGGGGTACAAGAAGAGAGGAGGGGCTGAGTGCAATGGCTCATGCCTGTAACCCTAGCACTTTGGGAGGCTGAGGCAGGTGGATCACTTAAGCTCTAGAGTTCAAGACCAGCCTAGGCAACATAGTGAGACCCTGTCTCTACAAAAAAATAGCCAGGCATGGTGGTATGCACCTGTAGTCCCAGCTACTCGGGAGGCTGAGGTGGGAGATCTCTTAAACTCAGGAGGCATAGGTTGCAGTGAGCCAAGATTGCGCCACCATGCTCCAGCCTGGGTAACAGAGCTAGACCCTGTCTCAAAAAAAACCAGAAGAATCTTGGAAGGAGGGGTCTAAGGTTCTAGGGGGCCAGCAGAGCTCACTTTTCTAGCCTCTTGAAGGACTCTGGGTTAGAAGTAAATTAGGTCTGGGTGAAGGATGGGAAAAGTCAGTAGCAGGGGTTCTTGGACTATGGGAAGCTATTGGAAGGGGTTATCAGCTTTCCCCTCTCCCTCAGATGTCAAGGTTCGCTTCATCGTTCGAGGCTGTGGACAGTACATTTCCTACCGCTGCCAAGAAAAACGCAACACCTACTTTGCAGAGTACTGGTATCAGGCCCAGTGCTGTCAGTACGATTATTGCAACTCCTGGTCAAGCCCCCAACTCCAGAGCTCTCTGCCGGAGCCCCATGACAGGCCCCTGGCCCTGCCTCTGTCTGACTCCCAGATTCAGTGGTTCTACCAGGCCCTGAACCTCTCCCTGCCCCTCCCCAATTTCCATGCTGGGACGGAGCCTGATGGCCTGGACCCCATGGTCACACTGTCCCTGAACCTGGGCTTGTCTTTTGCTGAGCTGCGCCGCATGTACTTGTTCCTCAATAGTTCAGGACTTTTGGTTCTTCCCCAGGCTGGACTCTTGACACCTCACCCTTCCTGAATTCCACAGTGCAAATATCTTTCTGTAACACCCTCAGCATCCTGCACTGCCCTCTCTGAAAACACCCACATTCTTTGGTCACTGTGATTTCTTAGGCCTCCGTCTGTTGTACCACTAGCATCTATATGACTTTTGTGTAATTTTCTCTCTTGAACTCTGGTGCTGTTTTTTTGTTTGTTTGAGACAAAGTCTCGCTCTGTCACCCAGGGTGGAGTGCAGTGGCATGATCTCTGCTCACTACAACCTCCACCTCCCGGGTTCCAGCGATTCTCCTGCCTCAGCCTCCCGAGTAGCTGGGACTACAGGCGTGCACCACCACGCCTGGCTAATTTTTTGTATTTTTAGTAGAGACGGGGTTTCACCATGTTGGTCAGGCTGGTCTCGAACTCCTGACCTCGTAATCTGCCCTCCTCGACCTCCCAAAGTGCCGGGATTACAGGTGTGAGCCACTGTGCCTGGCTGAGCTCTGGTGCTGTTCTTCCCCCTAGAAAAGAATCTCTAGTGTGGATTCTGCCCAGACAGGCTGACCTGAGAAAGGCACAGTGGTTCCTCCATTCCTTCCCCATCATCTGAGTGTTCCAGTATCCCCCATCCCTCTCAATCCAGTCACCTGCCTATTGACATCTAGCTCTGTTTCCCCTGTCTTGTCCATGTCTCTAAGACCCAGTACCAGACTGAACTAGCAGCAAGAAGGACGAGGAGGCCGGGCATGGTGGCTCACGCCGGTAATCCCAGCACTTTGGGAGGCCGAGGTGGGCGGATCACTTGAGATTGGGAGTTTGAGACCAGCCTGGCCAACATGGTAAAACCCGCTCTCTATTAAAAATAGAAAAATCAGCTGGGTGTGGTGGCACACCTCTGTAATCCCAGCTACTCAGGAGGCTGAGACAGGAGAATCACTTGAACCCGGGAGGCAGAGGTTGCAGTGAGCCGAGATCGCGCCACTGCACTCCAGCCTGGGTGACACAGTGAGACTCCGTCTCCAAAAAAAAGGATGAGGAATAGAATTCTGTGCAGATGTCCTGACTTGGCAATTTTGTGTCCCTGCCTCACTGTCTCCACCAACCCCCGCCTGTCCTAGTGTTGTTCTGCCTCCTGTCCTCTCTTGCTCTCTTGTCAGTCTCTGGCTTCCTCGGCCCCATTTCACTTCACTGAGTCCTGACACCCATCTCCCTAGGGGCCTGTGAGAGGAGAGGGAAGGGTCTGTTCTGCTCAGCTCCATGTCCCCCATTTTCCTCCACAATAAACTGGGACTGGGCTAAAACTGTGTCACATTGTTTGTGGGGTCAGGCTCAGGTGTGGGCAGGTAAACACAGATTAAAGAGGGTTAATGCCTGGCGCAGTGGCTCACGCCTGTAATCCCAGCACTTTGGGAGGCTGAGGCAGGCGGATCACCTGAGATTGGGAGTTTGAGACCAGCCTGACCAATATGGAGAAACCCCATCGCTACTAAAAATACAAAATTAGCCGGGCTTGGTAGCGCATACCTGTAATTACAGCTACTCGGGAGGCTGAGGCCGGAGAATCACTTGAACCTGGAAGGTGGAGGTGGCGATGAGCCGAGATTGCACCATTGCACTCCAGCCTGGGCAACAAGAGTGAAACTGTGTCTCAAAAAAAAAAAAAAAAAAAAGGGTTAGTGAGGTTTGGGATCCAAATAGGATTGCAGAGCCCTCTCCATTGCACTTGGCGTTTGTCGCTTCCTCTCGGCCTCCTGTAAAGGGCACACATCCCTCCCCACCCTCTGCTTAGCTGGAGATCAAAGCATGGGGACTGTGATTCTTCCCAGCCTTAAACATACCCTACAAAACCTGGAAAGTTAGACCCTGATGATGCCAGGTCTTTTCACCTAAGAAAAGAAACTTTAGGCCAGGTGCGGTGGCTCATGCTTGTAATCCCTGAACTTTGGGAGGCCGAGGTGGGTGGATCACCTGAGGTCGGGTTTGAGACCAGCCTGACCAACATGGTGAAATCTTGTCTCTACTAAATATGAAAAATTAGCTGGGCATGGTGGCTCATGCTTGTAATCCCAGCTACTTGGGAGGCTGAGGCAGGAGAATTGCTTGAACCGGGGAGGTGTAGGTTGCAGTGAGCTGAGATCACGCCATTGCACTCCAGACAGGGCAACAAGAGCGAAACTCTGTCTTAAAAAAAAAAAAAAAAGCCTGGGCGCGGTGGCTTGCCTGTAATCCCAGCACTTTGGGAGGCCGAAGCAGGCGGATCATGAGGTCAGGAGTTCGACACCAGCCTGACCAACATGGTGAAAGCCCATCTCTACTAAAAAAAAAAAAAAAAAAATTAGTTGGGCATGGTGGCACGTGTCTGTGATCCCAGCTACTCAGGAGGCTGAGGCAGGAGAATCGCTTGAACCTGGGAGGCAGAGTTTGCAGTGAGCCGAGATCGTGCCACTGTACTCCAGCCTGGGTGACAGACCGAGACTGTCTCCAAAAAAAAAAAAAAAGAAACTTTCTCTTTAAACCAGAAAGACTCAGGAACTCAGAGCCACATGCCAGAGTTACCTGCTGCTGGGGCCCTGGACTCCTGCCATTCCTTAGTTCTTTTCAAGGATTCTGGCATCCAGGATGCCCTCTCGAGGGGCCCAATTTGAGGGGCAAAGTGCTGAGAGCACTGATGTTGGGCTGCAGTGGTTGGATCTTCATGCTAATATTTTAATTTTGAAATAGTGCAAACGTATAGAAAGCAAGGATGGATACAACAGCCTTTTCCATACACTGGATAAACATGCTGGACATAACGCTGCTCTGAGTCAGGCTTGGTATTGAGCAGCAGGACTCCCAGATGAGTATAGCCAGGTGTCTGCCCTTCCAAGTCTTGCAGCCCAGTGCTTGGGTTATGAAACCTTTTTCTGAAAAGCAGTGCAGCTTTGTGGCTGGGAGGTCCAATCCCAGCCCCTCTACCACTTGGATATGTCAGTCTCTTCAGCCCCACCTTGGTCACCTGTCAAGTAGGGATAGTGCCTCAGATGATTGAGAAAACACATGTAAATGTGCATACACAAGTAGAAGTTAAGGCCTTTTCCCCCTCAAAAAAATATATTTGCCCTAGAGTCAAATGCATACACAATGTTCAGCTTTTTTTTCTAAGGTTCTTACTATGTTGCCCAAGCTGGCCTTGAACTCCTGGGCTCAAGAGATTCTTCTGCCTCAGCCTCCAAGTAGCTGGGACTACAGATGCACACCACCATGCTCACCTGGCTGATTTACTTATTTTCAAACCTTTTTGGTAAAACATTCAGAAGCTTGCACATATCACAAGATGGATTTTTGTAAACCACACATCTGTGTAACCAGCCACCAAATCAGCGTGAAGACCTTTACCCGCAGCCAAGCCTGCCTCTGTTCCCCTCTCCCAGGTGCTCTTCCCAGCTCTGGGGTAGCCGCTGTCCTGACTGGTAGTAGCTTAGATGAGTTCTGTCTGTGCTTGATGGAAATGGCATCGTACGCATCTGCTTTTACCTATATAGTGTTTTGCACACGTGTTAACAAATCTGTGTGGCCTGTACTCTGACGGAAAATACCAAACCAATGATAATTAAGTCATGAGGCAGTTGGCGTACAAAGAGAGGTACAAACCCTTAATGTGCCCCCCAACCCCCACCTTGCTAAGTCCACCCTTCTCCATGACCTCTGACGTCAGTATAAGACAGAGAAAGGCCCAGGTTTATAGCAGGTCAACCTGGAAGACACCCTCAGAGGCTGAAGAACTTGGCCCAGAATTGAAGAGACCAGGACTCCAATAAGGTCTAACATCTCTTTGAGAGTGGCCTTCTCGGCTCGGGGTGACTCACGCCTGTAATCCCAGCCCTTTGGGAGGCCAACGCAGGCAGATCACTTGAAGTCAGGAGTTCGAGACCAGCCTGGCCAACTGGTGAAACCCCGTCTCTACTAATAAAATATAAAAATTAGCCAGGTGTGGTGGCATGTGCTTGTAATCCCAGCTACTCGGGAGGCTGAGGCAGAAGAATCACTTGAACCTGGGAGGCAGAAGTTGCAATGAGCCAAGATCACACCACTGCACTCCAGCCTAGGTGACAGTGAGACTGTCTCAAAAAAAGAGTGGCCTTCTCACCCACCTCCTTCTACCTGGGCCTGGTCCTTTCGCAGCCCCCTTCCCACCAACATAGCCCTCTAAACGCCCCTAGCCCCCACACAGCTCTGGTCTGACAGCACTGCCGAGGATGCCCACTAACTTTCTGGCATTCACCATAGGAGGGCTTTCATTTCCTCTTTCTCTTTTTGTGTCTAGAGCAAATCACATACCAAGGCAGGACAAGAGGACAGCTCAGCAGAGCTGGGGGTCCCTTACCTGACCCATGGTAGGGCAGTTAGGCAGGTGCACCTCCCTCAGCCTTCACCTCCACCAGAAGAAAGAGACATACCAAACAGTTTACACACAAATTTATTTGGGAGAAACATCCAGGGACTAGGGGACAAGAGAGGAAACCTGGTGGGCAGTAGGGCTGGGGGTACAGAGTAGCAGTAAGTGTGCTGAAGGGCGTCAACCAAGAGGAAGAGCCAAGGCTGGGGTCCAGTGGCTGGAGGGAGGCAAGGAGGGCTGGTATGAGGGACTAGAAGTCCTGGCCAAGCCCAGATAGAAGTCAGGAAGGTGGCTGGAAACTGGTGGAATTTTACACCAAAGTTTGCTGCAGTCACACTAAGGAGTATAGAGCCCTCTGTTTTGAGGGTCATTGCAGAAATCCAGGAAGCAGTATTGAGAGAATATCCAGAAGCCAGACACCGGAGAAGTTCGGGTATTTGAACAATCACTCATCTGCTCCTTACTTCGGCAGTCACTCACCATGACGTCAGAACCGCTGCCTGGGGAGGGACAGTGGGCACCAGTGATACGGAAGTCCCCAGGAAGAGCCCCAAATCCTCTCATCCCCACACTCATAAGTCAAAAAAAAAAGAAAAAGAAAAGATTCCTGTAGTTAGGCATGGGTGGACATGCCCAGTGTTCACCAGCCATGGAACTCCACTGAAGTTCCCATGCAAGGCTGGAGGAAAAGAGCCATATGAAATGTAATGGTTGGAGGGGGAGTTGGGAGTTACTGAGCCAAGTGAGGAGAACTAGCACCATAGGACCATGTGAGAAAAAGCTGGGAAATGTTTTGGAGATTGGGTGGCAGGAAGGAGGTGTATTGTTATTTATTTTTCAGACCAAAAGAGAATAAGATGATGTCTGCTGCTGTTATACATAATAGAGAAAAATCTTTGTGCCTGCATCCCAAGAAGTCATGTTCAGGGATGTTTGCTGCTGCCCTGCTTGAGAGAAATGACCAAAATGCCCATCAATAGTGGGATGGGGAAATCAGCTGTGATATGCGCATGCTATGGAGTAGTATACAGCAGGTCAATAAAACAAGGAAGCTGTTTACAAACTGATATCGGAACATTCAGTTCCCCTAACTTAAATGTGGAATAATGTTTACAGTGGGATGCTACTATCTTGGGTTGGGGCGGGGGAAGAGGTGAAAAAATAGTAAACAGCATATTTGTGCAGGGTGGAATGTGCATAAAAGATTGCAGGAGGGATCATCCAGAAAGTAAAAAAAGTGGTCACATGTGCAGGGGAGCCAGGTGGGTTAGGGTAGTAGCGGGAGACTTTGGTTTGATGGTATTGTATACTCTGATATTTGACCCACATCTGTGCATCGGCTATGTTAAAAGGGTAGTAAGAGGACTTGAACACAGGCAGCTGCATGCAGTGGTTGTTGAGAGCACCATCTCTGGAGCCATCACAAATTCTGGCTCAGCATCTGTGAGACTCAGGCAAGGTTATGACCTTTCTGCACCTGTTTCCTCATCTGTAAAATGCACATAGTAATAATACCTGCCTCAGCGGATTGCAAGTGTTTAGAACAGTGCCTAGCACATATTATGTGTTACGTTTTTGCTAACTTAAGAAAGGTGGGGGGTCGGTGGAAGAGCAGGCATCGGGAAGGAGTCAATTTTCAGCGAGGGAGATGTCCAGTGGTCAACGGGATATGAGGAGAGCGGTTTGACATAACATTCAGATTCAGAAGGAAGTGGTATGTGGCTGCTGGTTGAAGCCAGCAAAGCAGATAAAATCCTCTGCTTTTGAGTATATGAAGTGGGAAGACAGCTAAGGACCAAACCTTGGTGAACATGAACCACTAAGGGTCAGAGAGAAAACGCTCCATGAAGGAGACTGAAGAAGCCGTGGAGGATGCAGGAGAAGAGCAACACCAGCAGTAACTGCAGACAGATGCGGAAGCAGACAGCTTGAGGACAGGCAAGGGCACCTGGAGATCTGGAGGGTCCCCGTCAAAGCTGCGCACCTTGATAGGGTAGAAGCTATTCAGCTACAGATTGAGGAGAGAAGGTTAGTGGAAGTGGAGACAGAGTGTGGCTCTGAAGAAAAGGGAAGAGAGGCTGGGCACGGTGGCTCACGCCTGTAATCCCAGCACTCTGGGAAGCTAAGGTGGGTGGATCACCTGAGGTCAGGAGTTCGAGACCAGCCTGGCCAACATGGTGAATCCCCATCTCTACTAAAAATACAAAAAATTAGCTGGGCGTGGTGGCGTGCACCTTTAATCCCAGCTGCTTGGGAGACTGAGGCACAAGAATTGCTTGAACTGGGGAGGTGGAGGTTGCAGTGAGCCAAGATTGCGCCACTGCACTCCAGCCTGGGTGACAGAGCAGCAAAAAAAAAAAGACAGGATTGGAGCAATGTCTTATGGGATTATGGGAACAAGACTTGGGGTGCAGCTTAGGAGGCTGAGAGAGTTTCCGTTTGGGAGAGTGCTGGGCCCATGACAGGAGAAGGCCACTTACTGTTCTTTTTGTGGAGAGTGATGCAGCTGCTGCCAGCTGGGGTGAGGCAGATGTCAGATCCCAGAAGGCACCCTAACTCCTTGGTCTCCAAGAGGCATCGGTAGCAGCGCAGGTATTTGGGGAATGGAAGTGGTTGAGGGGGTTCCCAATTGACAGGAACAAACTTACCTAGAACACAGAGAAGTGCTGACCCCACTCACACCCCATTCTACCTCACACCCTACCACTGCCTGATTCCAGGCCACTCAGCCCCACTCCTCCCTCCCTTCCTGTCTCAGAAAACCATCAAAGCCCCAATTCTCTGCTTCCTTCCCCAACTGCATACACATACATCCCCCTTTTCCTCTGGTCCTAAGGCCAGACCACATGTTAACAAATCCCCAGACCCAGCAGAGCACTTGGTGTTAGGCAGAGGAAAGTGCTAAACCAACACTTTGAATCCTGTGTCTCTGTGGCTGGTGCTTTGCAGCCAAGTGGGGAGCCCAGCAGGCTGGACTCAGTCTTGTTCTATCCTGTGGATTCTGGTTTTCTCATCCAGCACACTCCCTAACCCTCCCTATTCTATGTTGCCCTCAGATCCAGAGAGGATTCCTTCAGTATCTCTATTCAGGTCACTGCTGTGAAGTGAGACAGCCCTGGGGTGGTCACTAGAAATCTCCTTCAGAGGCTGGGTGCGGTGGCTCACGCCTGTAATCCCAGCACTTTGGGAGGCCAAGGCGGGCAGGTACCTGAGGTCAGGAGTTCGAGACCAGCCTGGCCAACATGGTGAAACCCCGTCTCTACTAAATATACAAAAATTAGCTGGGCTTGGTGGCTTATGCCTGTAATCCCAGTTATTCGGGAGGCTGAGGCATGAGAATCGCTTGAACCCGGGAGGTGGAGGTTGCAGTGAGCCGAGATCTCGCCACTGCACTCCGGCCTGGGATACAGAGCGAGACTCCATCTCAAAAATAATAATAATAATAAATTTTTAAAAATCTTCAGATTGCACATCAGTCCATGAGCAGGCATTCCCTACCAAACCCATCTGTCCCATCTCTCCTCCTGCATGGGTTTACCTGAGCATCCTGGACAGGTGTACCCAGACACTTGGTGTCTGTGGGTTTCTCCATCCAGGCCAGGAGACCCTTCTGAACCCTTGGAGCCACTTACCAAACACCAAGCTCATCATGACCAGCACTATTAAGAGGACCGTGTAGAGGGCTTGGGGGCTGCTGTGGAAGCACAGGGGACCCAGACTCTGGCTCCCTGCAGGGCCTGCCATAAAACGCATGACTGCCTGCTGGCCTCCAGTTTGGGCTTATATTGGTGGAAGAGAGGTTGGCCAAGAGGAAGGAGAGAGGCAACACCAGCTCAGGGTGGAAATCAGTGCCAGACCAGCCAGAGGGGCAGAATGTTCGCACCCACAGCCACTCTGGGGCATAACATCCTGCTTGAGGGCAGGGGACCAGCAATAGGGGAATGAGAAAAGGAACTGTCTTTCCTATTAATTGGACAGATGTTTATTGAATCACTGCATCAGATGCTGGGGATACAACCCTGCACAAAGTCTCCACCCTCACAGGGCACAGTCTAGTAGGGGAGACAAGTCCACCAGCAATGATGTGGGGAGGGCAGAGTGCTGCCAGGAGCACCTCGACAGTTAAACCACTGACCAGAGGGATTTCGGCAGAGGAGTAACTTGATCGGATTTCTGTTTATAAAAGATTGCCATGGCTGCACATTGCATTTGGGTCAAGAGTGGAGGCCGCCGGGAAGTAGGACGCTATTCCCGAGTCCGGTCACAAGATGGCGGACTGGTCCGGCAGAAGACGAGCAGGGACGAGGAAGCGGGGCTAATGAACCTGAGATACAGTTAGAAGACTGGACAGATTTGCTGTTGGACTGAACGAGGGGTGAGGGAACAGGGGTAGGCTTGCACAAGGAAGTGGTACCATTTTCCAAGATAGGAAACATGTGGTCTGTCTCAAAAAAAAAAAAAAAAAAGCAAATAGGGGGTGCCCAGTCCCACTTCTCATACCCTGGGGACACCTGTCAGACATCCTAAAACAAGGACACCTGGATCCCAAGCGATACGTACTCAGCTCAGTGCTCCCTTGGGGTTCCAGGAACCCAGCGCCTTCCCTCACCTCATCCTTTTTCCTGCCCCGCCTGTGCTCAGCTGCGGCTCAGTGGGCCTGAACTCCGGAGCCCACAGAATCTGGCGCTGGGCGTCCGCTCTCCGCGCCTGACCGCACCTCAGAACTCCGGTAGGACGGGGGGGTGGCCCCCCGCTCAAGCTCTGTTCCCTGGGGAAGAAACCTGGAAAGTGCGAACCGCGCGTCGGGACCCAAGCGTCGGGCCCCAGCGGACATCCGGAGCCCGAAGCGGCTCCCCAGGAAGGCGGCGCCGTAGCGCCACTCTCCCTCCCAGGCGAATTCTGGAGACCGCGGCCCCAGGCGTCTCACCCATTTTCTCCGCTGGGGACCCGCTGGGCTCCCCATCCACGCCTACTCGGTCCCCACCCCACCAGCTCAGTCTTGACTCAGAAACTCAGGGTTTTTACTTTTAGGATCGTTGGGCTGTGCGTTAGGGGAGGAGGTGGTCCTCAGCGTCCTGGAACGACACCACCTGCTCCAATTTCCCGTCTGGAGGTTCTGGTCGAGGCTCCGAACTCGGGTTCCCTGCTACCTCCCAGACTATTCAAGAATTATCCAGTCCCAGGATGATAAGGGGGAAGATGGGAAGAAACAGACGGGAGACGCCCGCCCAGAAAGACTGCGGGAAGAAAGAAATTCGAGAGGAAACTGCACGCCACTGAGCGCCTCCCAAAAGCCTTGGAATGAATGAATTTAAAAACTATATTAGGGCCGGACTGCGGTGGCTCACGCCTGTAATCCCAGCACTTTGGGAGGCCAAGGCGGGTGGACTACCTGAGGTCAGGAGTTCGCACCCAGCCTGGCTAACATGGTGAAACCCCGTTTCTACTACAAATACCAAAAATTAGCCGGGCGTGGCGGCTCATGCCTGTAATCCCAGCACTTTGGGAGGCCAAGGTGGGGGATCATTCGAGGTCAGGAGTTCGCAACCAGCCTGAGCAACATGGTGAAACCCCGTCTCTATCAAAAAATACAAAAACATTAGCCAGGTGTGGTGGCGCACGCCTGTAGTCCTGGCTACTCGGGAGGCTGAGGCAGGAGAATCTCTTGAACCTGGGAGGCAGAGGTTGCAGTGAGCCGAGATCGCACCACTGCACTCCAGCCTGGGCGACAGAGTGAGACTCTGTCTTAAAGAAATAATAACACAAAATAAATTGTATTAGAGAAAAGCCAGAGTAGTGGAGAACTGCAGAGGAACGCGGGGCACCTACATAAATGTCTTGAATGAATGAGTGCACAGAGTGATAGACAAAAAGAATCAGAGGGCCGGGCTCCGTGGCTCACGCCTGTAATCCCAGCACTTTGGGAGGCCGAGCTGGGCGGATCACAAGGTTAAGAGATCGAGACCATCCTGGACAATATGGTGAAACCCCGTCTCTACTAAACATACAAAAATTAGCCAGGAGTGGTGGCGCCTGCCTGTAGTCCCAGCTACTCAGGAGGCTGAGGCAGGAGAATCGCTTGAACCCGGGAGACGGAGGTTGCAGTGAGCCGAGATCGCGCCACTGCACTCCAGCTTGGCGACAGAGCAAGACTCCGTCTCAAAAAAAAAAAAAAAAAAAAAAAAAGAGAGCCAGGGGCTCCTCTTGAAGCGAAGAGGGCAAAGGGCAAAGGGGAAGCACAGGGGAACTTCGCGGCGCCCTCTGAAGCTCCCTCTCGAATATAATCGCAACGAAAAGGCCAACGACTAGAGGCTTTGCGAGGCTGAGGCTGGGCTTCGGGAGGGGATTGCCCTGAGAGGTCCGGGAGGACTTGCTGTGGAATTCAAGCGACCGTGGGCCTTGAGGGAACCGGGGGGCAAGACACCCACCCAGCATTCGCGGAATATTTCCTCGAATTATTTCGGGGAGGGGTGAGGCCGGGGCAGGGTGGGGCCTTCTTCGGAGGGGGCGCGGCCTCCGAGTAATTAATCCCGTCTTTGTTGCGTTTTGCTCCTCTCCTGTCCACCCAGCAGGGCCAGCCCAGGGCGCGCTAAGAGTCCAGAGAGTTCGTTTCCATGGTGACGGGTTCCGCGAAGGTTTTCCTGGGGTGAAGAGGCAGGGCGTTGAATAATCGCCATGGCGACAGCAGCAGATGACGGTGTCCCTTCTGAGTGCTCCTACCTAGAGTTAAGGGATACCTGAGGGTAAGCAACCGAGTGACGAAACAAAGAAGGCGGGGCCTGAGGACAGAACGCCAAGGTTAGGGGAATGGAGCCAGGCAAACGAGGGGCGGGGCTGTAGATGACCCGGTCGGGAGAGGGCCACGGTTTGTTGGGGGAGCGGCTCGAGATTGCGTTCTAGAGAGGAACCAGAGAGAGGGTCTTTAACCTAAATATAAATGAATGACTGGATTCCTGAAGAATCCGGAATGGCTTGTTGATTGGATAGATGGATGGATGGATGGACGGACGGACGGACCGATGGATGGAAATCTGGCTATCACTGACGCCTGAGCTCCCCACCCTCTTGGGCCCTCCACCTCCGGAGCCCTCACTCGCTTGTGACAGCTGTACGAGAAATACATGCCTCTCCTAGGAGCAAACCCTCAACCCAAACAGGCAGCACAGAGCCAGTCCAGCACCTCACACTGGAGGCACTCAGGGTGGAGCCCAGGTCGATGAGACGGCGTAGGATGAGGCTTTTTGGCCCAGCTGGGAACCACTTCTTTCCAGATTTCCCGTCCAGAGTCTAACTTTCCTTTCTCCCAGCGCCATCTTTTCTGCTAGTTTGCCCAGCTCCTCAGGGTGCCTGGACTTTCAGGCCTCACCTTGTGTCCAGTATAGCAGGGTCCAGCGCCCCAGCAACTGGGAAGGTCTGCATCTCTGCTGATCATCCCCTGGAACTGCTGGAACTTTGCTATATAGGGTGAGGAGTGGACAGGGGCCTGCTTCCACCCCTGGGTGGGGATTAGTTCTGAAAACAAACACAGCTGCTCTGAACCTTATTGCATAGGGAGTAATCTGAAGTAGGCTGAGGCCCCTGGATGGGGGGGTTCAGAATTCACATGTTGAGCCTACCTTTCTTTCCCTACCCAATTTCAGGTATCTAAGGGCCCCTCAGGTCATCCACTGTTGTCTACAATTACATGCAGTAAGATGGGGGAAAGTGGCAGTAGGGGCAGTTCAGCAGAGTCCCTAATGGCCATGTCCAGGGAGGGGTGTCCTTTGTCCCCAGGGTATGGGAGGTGAGACTGGGCACCCCTATTTGCTTTTTTTTTTTTTTTTTGAGACAGAGTCTCACTCTGTCACCCAAGCTGGAGTCCGGTGGCACGATCACAGCTCACTGCAGCCTCAACCTACCGTGATCCTCAGCCAAGCGATCCTCTTACCTCAGCCTCCAGAGTAGCTTGGAACACGGGTGCATGCCACCATGCCTGGGTAATTTTTAAATTTTTTGTACTGATGGAGTCTCCCTATGTTGCCCTGTCCAGTCTTGAACTTCTAGGCTCAAGTGATCCTCCTGCCCCAGCCTCCCAAAGTGCTGGGATTACAGATGTGAGCCACCATGCCCAGCTCCTCTTTGCATTTAAGGAGCTTCCCTTAGCTGAACAAAAATTTAGTTTTCAGGGGATTAACTCTTCTGTTGGATCTGGGAGGATGGGATTCAGAACTGTGCAGCTGGCTCCAGAGCTTCATGTTCCACACTTCCCATCGTTTGCCCCCCTGGAATGGGATAGAGGAGAGGGCACCAGTATCAGCTATCCACCTGTTTGCTAACGGTGGAGCATTATGGAGCTGTGGTCACCTGCCTCTTCTAACTCCAAATTTCAGGCATCACATCACCTGATTAAGTCTCAGATCTCCACTTCCAGTGGAGACTCAGTATATCTTCCCTTAAGGAGTTGCAGCGCTAATGGGGGCACACACAGCCTCTGCCCTGGGGTTTCAAGAAGAGCTTCATGCACTGGGTTTGGAGAAGACACAGAAATTTAGCCAGAGACTCCATCTAGGACATTAGAACATTGTCGCCCACGTTAAGTATCTTGCTCAAAAGAATGGAGTTGGCCGGGCGCGGTGGCTCACGCCTGTAATCCCAGCACTTTGGGAGGCAGAGGCGGGTGGATCACGAGGTCAGGAGATCGAGACCATCCTGGCTAACACAGTGAAACCCCGTCTCTACTAAGAATACAAAAAATTAGCCAGGCGTGGTGGCAGGCGCCTGTAGTCCCAGGTACTAGGGAGGCTGAGGCAGGAGAATGGCGTGAACCCAGGAGGCGGAGCTTGCAGTGAGCCGAGATTGTGCCACTGCACTCCAGCCTGGGTGACAGAGCGAGACTCCGTCTCAAAAAAAAAAAAAAAAAAAGAATGGAGTCGGCTGAGGTGGGTGGATTGCCTGAGCTCAGGAGTTTGAGACCAGCCTGGGCAACATGGTGAAACCTGTCTCTACTAAAATACGAAAAATCAGCTGTGTGTAGTGGCACACACCTGTAATCCCAGCTACTTGGGAGGCTGAGACAGGAGAATCGCTTGAACTTGGGAGGCAGAGGTTGCAATGAGCTGAGATCGTGCCACTGCACTCCAGCCTAGGCGACAGAGTGAGAATCCATCTCAAAAAACAAACAAAAAACCATCCCCAACAAAATAAAACAAAACAAAAATGGACTCAGGGCGATAAACTTTGGGGTCTTTCATCTGGAAAAGAGAAGTTTCCAAATGAAGAAAGTGGCCAGCGGCCAGGCGCAGTGGCTCACACCTTTAATCCCCAACACTTTGGGAAGCCAAGGCGGTTGGATCACCTGAGGTCAGGAGTTCGAGACCAACTTGGCCAACATGGCGAAACCTCATCTTCACTAAAAATACAAAAATCAACTGGGTATGGTGGCGCATACCTGTAATCCCAGCTACTAGAGGGGCTGAGGCTGGAGGATCACTTGAACCTGGGAGGTGGAGGTTGCAGCAAGCTCAGATTGTGCCACTGCACTCCAGCCTGGGCAACATAGTAAGACTCCATCTCCAAAAAAATAAAAAAAACTGCCAGGCAACAAACCAATGGGTGGAAGAGGGATTTATTCACTGTGTTCCACAAGGTCCAAAGTTAGAGATAGATGGCAGTTATAGGGAACCAATTTCCTCAGGTACAACCTAAGCATCTTCTCCTAACAGAGCCGTCCAAAAGGCAAAGTATGGCTCTGAGAAGACATGAGTCCTTGGCACCTGGCCCTCCGTCCCTGGCAGGGCCTGTGTTTGTTGAACTGCAAAAAGGCTGTGAGGACAGAGACTTGATGACATGGCAAGGTGGGTGTGCAGGGTTTGCTGCATAAGACGTGGGGAGCAGGCCCTTCCTCACTCTTCACCAAGATAACAAGAGGTGAGCAATGAAAATTGGGGGTACTGCTAGTAACACCATGCAGGTTGAACCTGGAAACCAGCAGAAGCACTGGGTAGGTGAAATCGGATCCTAGAAAGCTCATGAGCCGTAAGCAGGAGGGGGCAACCATGGGCTCCTGGGGTGGTTGTATGCAGGAAGAACTGAAGAAGGAGGCGGGAGGGGCCAGGGAGGCTGCACAGTTGTGATAACAGTAGGCACATCAGGGACCGGGGAGGTTTGGGGACCTGCTGCCTGAGGAAAGCTCAGGTTAGGGGCTGAAGGCCTAGGGGGACACAGAGATGGGAAGGGTTAGATTAGCTAGATTGTCTAGAGTTAGGGTTTCCCAAAGCCCAGCTCTTTGGGGCCTCTGCTCTCCCCACTACCTGCCCCTGGCTCCCTGGACACTTGAGAAGTTATACAATTAGCCTGATAGTAGAAAAAATACCTTTTTATTAATTATTAGGAATAATCCATTCATGTAATGCAGGATGTATGTTGGAGAAGGTTAAGTACAGCCACATGAATGAGGGGAAACGTGCAAGAGGAACAGTGGTGAGAAGGGGGATGGTCCCCCACTTTCCACAAACTATAAACAGCAACATGAACACAGAGAATCACAAATAAGAGGGTCTTTCCTCATGTCTCCTCTCACCCCATTCTTCCATAATGAGTCCCAGTTGGTCCCTAGAGGTGCCAGGGCATCTGGAAGTTCTGGGCTGGGAGTGGGGTGCAGTGAGTGGCCTCAAAGTTGTGCAGATGCTTCCGAGCCTGAGGAAAGGAGGTGGGACAGGTGGGGTACAGAGCACTGTTGGGAGGGGCAGCCACTGGACTCCCTCCCCACCCTCCACTTCCGCATCCACCACCCACTCTACAAAAGCTGCCACTTCCAATGCTTATAGGGTATCCCCAGTCCCCCTATGTGAGCCCTGGCCATTCAAGAACCCTTCCCACTTCCCACTCCTTAGCTCACCAGAAACAAAGCCAGCTGCCGCCGTCCATCTGCACTCATGTCCTCCCCTGCAGAGAGGAGGCGCTCAAAATAGGCCACACATCTGGGTATTCATCCCCTTCCTAGGCCCTTCCCACCCTCTCTCCTGCCCCAGGAGCTCCTTACCCACGCTCCAGGGGAAGTCGGGCCCGTGTTCTGCCTGGTAGGAGCGGAGGACAGACAGACACCAGTCCTCTTCCACCTCCCATCGGCTATAAATTGAGGCTGGTCAGGGAGAGAGATGACAGCCAGTCAGCAACCTGACCTTGCTGGGCCCCCGCCCCAAGCCTCACTGGATCCCTTCTCACCTTCCTCCAGCTGTGAGGAGGCCTCCAACCACTGCCTCACCACTCGAAGACCCTCCTCTGCCATCACCCGGGGATACCTACGGAGGAAGTGCCAGGACAGGTCAGGGCTGATTTTTTTTCATTCACCATCCCTGAACCTTCCTCCCTCCTTCCCTGTGCTGGTATCAGTATCTGTGTGTGTACACTGCCCCCAGCGCGCACACACCCTGGCTCTCACCGATGCTGCAGGAGCTTCAGCAGGAGGTCATTGCCTCGGTTGGACATGATGTCCTCAGGAACCCTGGGGGTGAGAAGAATGTACCCTGGAGGGGCTGGAGGTTAGGAGGAAGGGTCTAGATACCCAGGTTTCTGGTGGGCAGAGGTAGAAGGGACAAGTTCCTGGCCATCTCTGGGGTTCCTGAGGGCCGAGATTCCCACGCACTCACGTGGTGGTGATGATCTCATCCTTGGTTCTCCGGATCAGCAGTACAGGACCCTGGTATCTTCAGAGAACAGAGCAGTGGGAAGGGAGAGCTCAGAGGGAGACGGGTGACAACTGGCCCACCCCTATCCCTGCACTGGTAGCATTCTTACCCTCCCCTTGCTATAGCACAGCCCTTGACCTAGCCCTTCACTCAGGGGTGAGAGGGGATTATTTAAGGGGCATGGTTCAGTCTGGCCCTGCTGGGAGACCCCTGCCGTGCCAGGCCTTAACCCTTTGGTTGCCAGATCCTGAGGTGGTCCAGAGTCCCAGGGGACCTGGGAGGGGTTAGGCCAGTTGAGGTGGTGGCAGGGTCACTCAGGATGTGAGCCAGTGGCCTTTTACCAACTTGCACTTTAGTACTAGTTTCAGGGTTTGAGCGCCCAGCAGAGCTGTATGGGGGGCAGGTGTTCAATGCCGGACGCTGGCCGGCCCTCACCTGCACAGCTGCTCCGCGTTGTTTAGATTGAGATGCTGCCTCACGGTCCTGGTCACCAGGCCCCCTAGAGTGGGATAAAGGTGAAGGGATGGCAGAGACAAAGCCCTTGCCCAACATAAAGGTCCTCACTATTCACGGAGAAAGAAAACTGAGGCCCCCAGACAAAGGAGTCCTCCTGCTTCCAACAATGGGGCGACTTACTCCCCACCCAAGAAAAGGGAGCCATCTCAGAACAGTTCCCAGTTCCAGCCCACCCCTTCCCAGGAAGGGCAGGCCTGGGAGCTGCACTCACTCCAGCTGTCTGGCATGACCTTCAAGGCCAAGGGCACCAGGTCATCAAAGGAGGCATCCAGGATCATGGCACTAACATCTGGGTAGGACATGGCTGCCCACGTGGCTGGTACCAGGGCAGGGAAGAAGAGTAAGAACTGAGAAAGGCTCCTTTCTCCCCACCACCCATGCTCTCATCCCACTGACCCTATAGGCCAACCCCATTCCCCCTATGTTATCCCTTGTTTTTTTCTTAACCTACTTCACTTGGTTAGGGAACTATCTGGAGAGGATGGGGATAGAACACTGGAGATAGTGCACTGAAGATAATGGGCAGGAAACATTCACTTTCCCTGATCTCCCCACCCAGGACCTGGGTCTGCTTTTCCTTTTAATGACTGGGCACAAGAGGGGAAGGAAAGGTGAAGTGTATGCAAATAGGATAGCTTCTTCCAGGCCCACTCAGAGATTCTACTTCCTCTCTCTTCTTCCTTGAGCCTCCACCCCACCCCATTTCCCCACCTCTCCCGGGTGGGGCTGGGTGGTCATGAATGTGTCTACAGTGGGGGATGGGAGGGAGGCTGGTACCAGTGAAGCCGCCGATGGACCAGGCGTAGATGATGATGTCCTGGGGCTGGAAGCCCAGGCGGTGGATGGCAAACTGGACCACCACATCCATGGCATTAGCCTCATTCTGCGGGAATGGCACCCCCTGCAGGAGAAAGGGCAAAGTCAGGAGTGTGTCAGCACCAAAGGCCAGCTCACCTGTCCCTCCCAACGTGGACCCCTCCTGCAGCCACCTATGACAGGCAGAGAAGGTGTAGAAGGAAGGGATGGTAGGAGAGGTTGTTCTCTCCAGAAGACGGATGTGTACAATGAGATCTACCTCCTCCTCTCCTGCTAGCCCCGCACTGTGGGGATGGGGGCATGGCTCCCAATGCTGCCTTCACAACCTCCTAGACCCCAGCCCTCAGGTGAGTGGGACGCCTTCAAGAAATCCACAGCCCCTCTCCTCCCTCCAATGGCTGACCAGAGGGAAACAGACATAATTCAGGAAAAGGAAGGGATTCCTGAGATGGTCTCACCGTGCTTCCAGCAAAGCCTGGATGATTCCAGCCCAGGACTGAATATCCAGCTGTAACACAGGGGGAGGAGGGACTGAGACCTTGTGGCCCACAGCCCTTTCTCCATCCCTGGGGGAAGGAAGAGCAGAAGTACCCCCCAGCTTAGATGCAAATAACTCCAAGCCTTCCCAGAAATAGGAGATGACACCAGAGGTTCTGAGGCAGCACAGGGAGCAGCATGTGATTGTGTGGGGTGTGTGGTGGGGGAATGGAACAGAATGAAAAGCATAATAGCTAGGGACACAGGCCAGGGGAGGGATGTAAGGTTATCAAAGCAAATGGCGAGTGGACTTTTCCCTAAAGCTGAGAGACTCAAAACCTCACCCAGAGAAAGCAGAGGCCAGGGGAGGTCAGGTCAGTGTGGGAGGCAGGGACATTCCCTTTCAAAGGGCGGAGATAAGGAGGCTGAGTCACCGTCCTACCTTCCAGGGGCGTGGAGACGCAGCCCACCTCATAAAACCCAGCATTCCCCTCACAGCAGATCACCTAGGAAGGAGGCAGGAAGGAAGGGCTGGGGGGCCAAGTTGGGACTGAAAAACTCCCTTTGGGCAGGGAGGGCAGCCCATGAAGAGCTTTGCAGGGAAGAGGAAAGGGCAGGTTTCTGTTTTCTCCAAGGGGAATGGAAGCTTCTCATTCCACAGGGTCCATAAGAGGAGAAGCAAAGGGATTACAAATACTCCTCAGAGGCTGACCTGCTCGACCACCCAGCCATGTCTTTTCCTTGGAAGATTACCAGCTGGATCTCTTTCAGGAAGGGGACTATGGAGATGTTTTTCCTTTCTCGTTTTCGGGTCTGTTATCTTCTGTGACCATTGCTATTGTGTGGTATGCTGATTGCTCTCCCTATCCCTCTCTGAGCTCCAGTCTTATGGTCAGATAAACTGTAATGCCATGGCGCCCCAAGCTGAAACCCACGAATGGTGGGATTTGCATGAACTCTCATAACAGATGGGCAGAGCCAGGACTAGAACCCAGCTCCCTAGACTCCTGGCTTAGCGCTCTTTCCACGGCTGCTTCATGGAGGTAGGAGACTTTGAGGCCAGGCTGCCTGGGTCCAAATACCAGCTCTACCACTTACTGTGAGGTCCAGGAAAGGTTTTCTGTGCCCCAGTTTCATCTCCTGTAAAATGGGCTAATATAAGCAGTACCTATCTCACGGGATTCTTTTGAGAATTAAATATATATGCTTCATATATATATGAGAATTAAATATATATAAGTGTGAAGTGCTGTCAAAGTGGTAACTATTAATATTAGTTTCTCGTCCTTGAACGTCTCTCCTACTTCATCTGTTTCTCTATCACAGGGTTTCACTACATCACAAGGTCTTTAGCGTGGAGCTAGGACATGAGATTATCCCCAGTAGTGGTTCCTTCAGGGAGGTGCTATAGCATTGGGGTCCCCAGACCTCTACTGCCTTCCTCACACTCACCCCACCTCTGGGCTCTCTGCTCCCTCTTACCAGCTTCTGTCCCTGGGGCTCAGCTGTCCCCCGCCGGTCCACAAACATGGTGTCAATCTCATTGCCATCACAGGCCAGCAGCTTTGCCCGGCGCCCATTACACTGAGTACGGAAGACGCAATGGCCAAGATGCAAGGGTCAGGAGGCCACATCACAGGGGTGGGGCGGGGTGGGTGGGGGTGAGAGGGGAGGGCTTTAGGGGATGTGCGGGCAGGGAAGCCTCACCTCTTCCACCAGTCGGGCCTGGCCCTGCAGCAGCACAGGCATGAGGGCCTTCTGCAGCAGGTACACAGAGCCTGGATACAGCATCCGGCGCCCTAGGGTGTGCGCCACCAGGTAGCTGTGGGGAACACAGGTTAACAAACCCCAACCCTGTTGAGGCCTGGGGACTGTGCTGGGGACCATCCCAGCCCTAGCACTCACAGACTGTAAGGCCTGCTTTACCCCTGACCTTCACAGCTTTACTTTCCTCTTTCAAGCCTTAATGAAATATGTACCAGGCTAGTGTTTTGCAAACTTTTCTTACTGCAACCTTTGTAAGATAAACATTTTATATTGTGGCTCAGTGCACACATATCCTGTATGTACAGAATTCTGAGAGTTTTATGATGTAACTGTCTATACATAATAAGTAAATGCAAAGTTATCATCAGATTATGATTCTGTTAAAATATAAGTACAACATATTAAAGGTCCCCAAATAAATAATGCTTTAAAAAATGATGGTTATAATTCAAAACCTCAAATATGGCTTGCCTCCCTGACTAATTAGCACACTGTCAACAACCAACCACTAAGTCCACCCTGTTCCTTGGTATTCTAGAAGCTGCCTCCTAACTCCCAGCAAAAGAAAATTCCCAGTGTCTGTTCCACTATAAGATATAGGTGGTTATTTCCGTTCCTTCTGACATCATCAGTACCCACGACTGAGCTTTATTTGGGATTTACCATGTGCTCTCAAGCACCCAGGCAAGGCAGGAGCCCTTCAGAACATGTTACCTTACTTAATCTCCTCAGCAACCTTGCAGGGCAGGTTCATCACAGGTGCAGACACTGAGGCACACAGGGGCCCGGAGCCAAGGTGGAATAACAACAGGGCAGAGGGGCCACGATGGGTACACAGATGCTACCAGAGCCTGCCCTAGCTACAAG
Organism: Homo sapiens; assembly: GCF_000001405.40. Taxonomy (NCBI): domain Eukaryota; kingdom Metazoa; phylum Chordata; class Mammalia; order Primates; family Hominidae; genus Homo; species Homo sapiens. The sequence continues at coordinate 3,170,021 of NT_113891.3, forward strand.
TGTGTGTCCTCCCCACCCCCACCCCACCCCCACTGCTCCTTTTCAGCCTCACTGAAGGAGCTTTTGTTCATATCCCAGTTCTTTACTTACTACATTTGAGACTCCAGACCTCTCTGAGCCTCTTTTCTTCAAACATAAATATGGATAAAAATGACTTTGCCATAAATGATCTACACAAACCATACAGCACTAGGCCCAATGAGTGACAGCTATTTTACAATGGAGCGCCCACTCCCAGAGCACTCCTGAAATGGCCCCTCCACCCCAGTGGGCCTCTCCTCGCTGCTGTTTCCCACCTGGTGATCTGACAAGGCAGCTTCTTAACCCGGTTGAGGAGGGTGTCTGCTGTCCCCCGGTGCAGGGGCTCTGGGCGAAGCAGGGCCACACCCCGGCGGGAAGGGCCCCCTCGAGACTCCTTCCTGAGGAAGGGAAAGATGCAGGGAAGGATAGGGTCAGGAGCAGCAAGCTGGATGTCTGAGGTCTGGAGAACAGTGGGGTCTAGGAACGACATAATGGCATTGGAAGGCAGGCACTGTGACCTGAGAGGGCATGGAGGTGGGAGGGCAGAGCAGAGATTTTCTGGAATGGTTCTAAGGGGAGAGATACAGCAAAAGAACTGGGGCCTCACCGGCTGCTGGGTTCTTCCCAGTGGAAGTCGACTGGCCAGCTCCGGAAGTCAAAGTTGTAGTTGGCAAGCTGCCTCTGCAGTGGGCACGAGAGGCAAAGGGGTACTGAGAACTCAGGGGAGGCTCTCCTACCCACCCTCAACAACACCTTCGTTATCCAGGGGTCTGATCCCCACACATCATGGGGAAACCAAGCGGAGGTCAATACCCTCCCAATTCTCAGATGGAAAATTCTAACAGGACCAGAAAATCAGGGGAGATGGTATGCCCCATCAGGTATCAGGACTGGCCTGTCTGCCCTCTTCCAAGCTAAGAACCTAACACTCTGCTTTTCTAAAAAACTAAGTCTGACCCATCCCCAGGAGGAGTGGCTGAAGGTGCTAGTGCTTTTGAGTGACGGGTAGTAGGGGTCGCTGGCTGGTCACGGTCTATTCCCCACCTGGGTCCCTTATAGGGTGCTGTCTTAGAAGCTTAGAAATCTCCCAGCAGATCACACTGACAGACCCAAGGTTGAGTGAGACAGAGAGGAGGGAAGTCACGCCCACAGTGGGCTCCTCTGCCATGTGGGGCCACCCGTTGAAGGAAGCTCTGACTTCCATCCTCACAACTACATCCCTTCCTCAACTCCTGCAGCCATGGATCAGTGTTGCCCTACAGCCCATCCGAACCTCGGGCCACCCCACTGAGCCAGTCCACATGCCTTTTTTTTTTTTTTTGAGGCAGGGTCTCGTGCTGTTGCCCAGGCTGGAATGCAGTTGGTGCAATCATAGCTCACTGCAGCCTCAAACTCCCAGGCCCAAGTGATCCTCCTACCTTAGCCTCTGGAGTAGCTGGGACTACAGACATGTGCTACCATGCCCAGCTAATTTTTAAAATTTTCTTTAGAGACAAGGTCTTACTATGTTGCCCAGGCTGGTCTCCAACTCCTGGGCTGAAGCGATCCTCCTGCCTTGGCTTCCGAAAGTGCTGGGATTATAGGCATGAACCACCTCACCAGCTCCACGTTTTTTGACGGCAGTGGGAGCTGTGTCTTTTTTTTTTTTTTTTTTTTGAGATGGAGTCTCACTCTGTCGCCCAGGCTGGAGTGCAGTGGCACGATCTCGGATCACTGCAAGCTCTGCCTCCCGGCTTCACGCCATTCTCCCGCCTCAGCCTCCAAGTAGCTGGGACTACAGGTGCCTGCCACCACCATGCCCGGCTAATTTTTGTACCTTTAGCAGAGATGGGGTTTCACCATGTTAGCCAGGATGGTCTTGATCTCCTGACCTCGTGATCCACCCGCCTCGGCCTTCCAAAGTGCTGGGATTACAGGTGTGAGCCACCGCGCCCGGCCTAGCTGTGTCTTAATACTTGACTATATTCGTCCCCCACCCCCTGAGCTCCTAGCACTCTATTTTGAGGGTTTTTATTTTCTGCACAGAAATTTTTTGACATTTCAAAAATAATTTGACTAACAGAGAGCAATAGAAAAATTATACAAAAAGGTAAATGGCAAAACAAAACAAGATGACTAAAAGCAAATTTCAGGCAGGCTTTGCTCAGACCTGCTCTCAAATCTGGACTTAGCCACTTTCTTGCTCTATGACTCCGAATGGGTCACTTAACCTCTTTTTGCCTCTGTTTTCTCACATTTACAAATAAAGGTAATAATGCCACCTCACTCAGCTGTTGTGAGGATCAGAAAGGGTGTGTGCCAAATGCTTCAGCCAGTAGCATAGTACAGGGCATCATTACGCAGCTCCATAGTGTGGAGTAGCCAGGAATGTGATGATGGTGGTCATAGCTGTTTGATCCTAGAAACCTCCCATAACAGAAAAGAGCTCTATGGGGCCCCAAAGCCCATCCTCAAAGATAATCACAGTCCAGCACCAGCCGGCTTGGCATAATTCCCAAGACACTGAGCCCTAGCTTTTCTCCCTCCTGGCACCATGCTGTACTCCCAGGCATAGGAGTGGACACACCTGTCCACCTTGTCCCATCCACAAACAAGGATAGCATGGTATTCAATGCATACAACAAAATTAAACATTTATAGAACTGAGCTGCTGTGATACAGAGAAAACTACCTTCTAAGAAACATTGTGGGCTGGGTGCAGTGGCTCACACCTGTAATCCCAGCACTTTGGGAGGCCAAGGCAGGTGGATCACCTGAGGTCAGGAGTTTGAGACCAGCCTGACCAACACAGCTAAACCCCATCTCTACTAAAAATACAATATTAGCTGGGCGTGGTGGCGCATGCCTGTAATCCCAGCTACTTGGGAGGCTGAGGCAGGAGAATCGCTTGAACCCAGGAGGCGGAGGTTGCAGTGAGCTGGAATCATGCCATTGCACGCCAGCCTGGGCAACAAGAGCGAAACTCCATCTCAAAAGAAAAAAAAAGAAACACTGTGGGCCAGGCACAGTGGCTCACACCTATAATCCCAGCACTTTGGAAGGCCAAGGCAGGCAGATCGTCTGCAGTCAGGAGTTCAAGACTAGCCTGGCCAACATGATGAAACCCTGTCTCTGCTAAAAATACAAAAATTGGCCAGGCACGGTGGCTCACGCCTGTAATCCCAGCACTTTGGGAGGCCGAGGCAGGCGGATCACAAGGTCAGGAGATCAAGACCATCCTGGCTAACATGGTGAAACCCCGTCTCTACTAAAAATAAAAAAATTAGCCGGGCGTGGTGGCAGGCGCCTGTAGTCCCAGCTACTCAGGGGGCTGAGGCAGGACAATGGCATGAACCCGGGAGGCCGAGCTTGCAGTAAGCTGAGATGGCGCCACTGCACTCCAGCCTGGGCGACAGAGTGAGACTCCGTCTCAAAAAAAAAAAAAAAAAATTAACTGGGCGTGGTGGTGTGCACCTGTAATTCCAGCTACTCAGGAGGCTGAGGCATGAGCATTGTTTGAACCCGGGAGTTGGAGGTTGTAGTAAACTGAGATTGTACCACTATACTCCAGCCTGAGTAAGAGTGAGACTCTGTCTCAAAGAAGAAAAAAAAAAAAAGAGGCCAGGAGTGGTGGCTCACGCCTGTAATCCCAGCACTTTGGGAGGCTGGGGCAGGCAGATCGCCTGAGGTCATGAGTTGGAGACCAGCCTAGCCAACATGGTGAAACCCCGTCTCTACAAAAAATACAAAAATTAGAGGGTGTGGGTGGTGCGTGCCTGTAATCCTAGCTACTCAGGAAGCTGAGACAGGAGAATCACTTGAACCTGGGAGGTGGAGAGTGCAGTGAGCCGAGATCGTGCCATTGCACTCCAGCCTGGGCAACAAGAGCGAAACTCCATCTCAAAAAAAAAAAAAGAAAAAGAAAAAAGAAACATTGTGGAATGTTTCTAGTTTAGCCAGTTCTTACAGGTGAGGGAGGGGGAAGATTGTTCTAGCAGAATATTCCATTAGAAGTGGTAGGGAGGAAAAATTCCTCAGGTGGACAGTTCACTAATGGAGGTGAGAAGGGATACAGCAATGTGCAAGCAAACACCCAGTGTGGTGGGTGGTAAAACACACCTCCTCTTCCTGCAGAAGCCAGTGTCTGGTGCTCTGAGGGACAACTGAGAAAGCTGCTATTGGGTGCCTGTGTGGCACTTTTCCTAGGGCCTCTCACCTTGTTTTCTGAAGACTGGTTCCGATGTGTTGCTTCCAAGATGGTGATGAACTGCCGGTACTGGGGGTTGGTCCAGCGGCCAATGCCTGGTAGAAAAAGGACAGGAAACAGTGCTAGGAAAACTGGGAAGCAGAAAGCCTAGGTTTTAGGAAAAGAATTGGAGATGGGCTAGAAGAAGGCCCTGTAAGAAAAAGTGAAAGAAAAAGGAACTGAGGGCATAGGATGCGGAGAAATAGATGTGAGCCAACCCCCTTCCTCCAAATCCAGCAACTGGCTACAGGACGCTTCTTCTCCCTAGCTTCTGCAGTTTGTGTCTTTATAGACAATCCTTAACCTACCATCTTCCAGAATGTTCCTCTTCCTCAGTCTTTAAACACTGTCATATAACCTATTAAATGACACTATTAAACACTATCATATAATACTATTCTCCCTTGCGAATATCAAATTTCTCTATTTTTCACTGCCATTCTTCTCCAATGTTTGCTTTCTGCCTCTTTTCTGTATATTCTAGCCCCTTGCCATCTGGCTTCAGAGTCTCCGACTCCTGCCCATAATTACTTCCTCACTGAATTCCTGACTCTTCTATCCTCATTCTCTTCAACTGTACTACTCAGCATTCTCCCTGTCCCTCAAGATTCTTCCTGCCTCTGCTTCCTGGGCCCATCCTTGACTCCTTCCAGTTCCTGAACAGTTCCTCTCCTGCCTCCTTTCTGCTTTCCTTTCTGAAGCAGAAGCAACTCTCAGTGCTGACTCTCTCTCCTCTCTCTTTTCACTTACACAGTCAGTGATTGCATCCACTCTCCTTTCACTGCTGAGCCACCTCAAACCCTAACTTCTCTCCTCACTGACTTGGCAGGTGTCGTGTGTCAGACAGGCACCGTACTACACACGGGAGACTCAGCAGGAAATGAGATACACAGCTCCTGGCTCTCAGAGAGCTGGCATTCTGGTTGGGGTTAGGTACAGCCAGGAGAAGACAATAAACAACATTTCAGAGAGGGATAAGTGCTACAGAGAAAATACAACAAGAATGAACCAGAACTTTATGTGTCATCAATGGTATTCCCCCAAAACGATATGATGAGAGAATGATGTGTGCTGCAGAATGATTTGTACAACATTTATGCCAAAAATGTAAAATGTGCAAAATAATACATACTGCTTATAGATACCATATTTCATAGATTCTAAAATGTATATTTTTTAACCCTTGAAAACTCTGAAATTAGAATTCATTTTACAATTGATGGCAGCTTAGACTTGAGGAACTGAGGTATATGTTTCATAAAAGTATGTGCCAGAAAAAAAAAAAACCCACACCAAATGACAATTATTACTTCTGAGGAAAGAGGAAGATGGGACTGAAAGGATTCCAATGGGAACTCCAACCCTAACTGTGGTGCTTTAGTATTTTGTTGACAGAAAGCATTTAAAGCAAATATCACAAAACTATATATAAAAAAAAAATCACAAAACTATACATCAAAAAATTTAAAAAGGCTTTTATATTTTGTTCTCTGGACTTTTCTGTATTTTTTCTTTTTTCTTTTTTTTGAGACAGAGTTTTGCTCTTGTTGCCCAGGCGGGAGTGCAATGATGTGCTCTCGGCTCACTGCAACCTCCGCCTCCCGGGTTCAAGTGATTCTCCTGCCACAGCCTCCCAAATAGCTGGGATTACAAGCGCCCGCCACCATGCACCGCTAATTTTTTCTGTATTTTTTCTAAATTAAAAATAAATAAAATAAAAAACTAAGACAAAACTGAGCAGTGGGAGCTACTTTTAGACAGGGTGGTCAGGGAAGGCCTCTCTGAGGAGAGAGCCCAGCCCTGCAGAGATCAGGGGGCAGAACACCTCAGGCAGAAGGTCCTGGACCCAACTGCGACCATCCAGCCCTGACCCCACCACCCCCATGTTGAAGCATCGCCCATCACCTGGTTGTCATCTTATGTACCCACTAGGGGTAGGTGATCTGTCCTCTTTATTTTTTTAAATTGCGAGATACAACATATGTACATAAAACATATATTCAGTTTAAAAAATACAAAGCAAACATTCATGTGACTATCACCTAGGTCAACAAAGAGAACACAGCCACCTCTCAGCAGGGCTCTCCCCCACTCTGTTCTCCCCCACCCCAGGTAATCACTCTCCTAACTTTTGAGAAAACCATGCCCTTGCTGGGCGCGGTGGCTCAAGCCTGTAATCTCAGCACTTTGGGAGGCCGAGGCGGGTGGATCACGAGGTCAGGAGATTGAGACCATCCTGGCTAACACGGTGAAACCCCATCTCTACTAAAAAATACAAAAAAACCTAGCCGGGTGTGGTGGTGGGCGCCTGTAGTCCCAGCTACTCGGGAGGCTGAAGCAGGAGAATGGCGTGAACCCGGGAGGCGGAGCTTGCAGTGAGCCGAGATCGCGCCACTGCACTCCAGCCTGGGGGACAGAGCGAGACTCCGTCTCAAAAAAAAAAAAAAAAAAAAAGAAAACCATGCCCTTGTTGTCTTCGGTGTTCTACCTCAAACATGCACATCCCTTTTGAATTTTATATAAATGAAAACATACTGCATACATTATTTTGTGGTTAGCTTCTTCTATTTAACACAACATTTGAGAAATTCATCTGCATTGCTTTTGTTTATCTGGAGACAGAGTCTCGCTCTGTCACCCAGACTGGAGTGCAGTGGTGCTATCTTGGCTCACTGCAACCTCTGCCTCCCAGGTTCAAGCAGTTCTCATGCCTTAGCCTCCCAAGCAGTTAAGACTATAGGCATGTGCCACCATGCCCAGTTAATTTTTTGTATTTTATTTTTTCTGAGATGGAGCCTTGCTCTGTTGCCCAGGATGCAGTACAGTAGCGCAATCTTGGCTCACTGCAACCTCTGCCTCTTGGATTCAAGCAATTCTACTGCCTCAGCCTCCCGAATAGCTGGGATTACAGGTGCTCACCACCATACCTGGCTAATTTTTTTTTGTATGTTTAGTAGAGACGGGGTTTCACCATGTTGGACAGACTGGTCTTGAACTCCTGACCTCTGGTGATCTGCCTGCTTCAGCCTACCAAACTGCTAGGATTACAGGCATGAGCCACTGCACCTGGCTTCATCTGCGTTGTTGAGCGTAGCTACAGTTTGTTCATTTGCATTGCTATATAGTGTTCTCTTGCATGGCTATTGCATGGAACTTTTTTTTTTTTTTGAGACGGAGTCTTGCTCTGTTGCCCAGGATGGAGTGCAGTAGCGCAATCTCGTCTCACTGCAACCTTTGCCTCCCAGGTTCAAGCTATTCTCCTGCCTCAGCCTCCTAAGTAGCTGGGATTACAGGCACGTGCCACCATGCCCAGCTAATTTTTGTATTTTTGGTAGAGACGGGGTTTTACCATGTTGGTCAGGCTGGTCTCAAATTCCTGACCTCGTGATCCACTGGCCTCTGCCTCCCAAAGTGCTGGGATTACAGGCATGAGCCACCACACCCGGCCACACAGAACATATTTTATCCATCCTACTATTTGTAGCCACTGGAGTTGTTTCCAGCTTAGGATTATTACAAACAATGTTGTATGCTGTATTCTTGTACATCTATATTGTTTATACATGTGCAGGAGTTTTCCTAGTATGTATACATATATAGAATTGTTGTAGGGTATATGCATCTTTTCTAGATAAAAGCAGCCAGGCATAGTGGCTCACATCTATAATCCCAGTACTTCGGGAGGCTGAGGTGGGAGGATCACTTTGAGTTCAGGAGTTTGAGACCAGCCTGGACAACATGGTGAGACCCTATCTCTTAAAAAAAAAAAAGCAAACCTTTTTGTTACTTTTCAGTTATTTTTTCATATTTATAACCCAAGTCTTTTAAGGAAAAGATCATGCCTTAAACCATTCTCAATGATTCCCTCTCGGAGGCCCATCACTAAAATGTATTTGCACAAGGTACTTAATTTTTAACCAGTGACAGTGACAGATAAGATTCAAACCAGGTTTCCTCTCCACCTACCTCGGAGGCAGGCCACACCTGCCAGAAGTAGCAGCAATGTCCCAGCATAGTGAGAAAACGGCACCACTTTGGACAAACTCAAGTAACCTGGGAAGGGAGAGGGACAATGTGAGACCCTCTCCGCAATGTCCCTCAGCTCCTCTTCCCAGTTCAGCCCCAACCTCCACCCCACACTCCCTGTTTGGAACAGCCATACCCTAAGAGGAAGAAGATGCCTGATGGAAGAGGGAAGCCAAGCCATCTTCACAGGTCCCCTCTCCTCTTTAGGGAGCTGGCTCATCTGCCAACAACCTGCCCATTTGCTACCCCACCACCTTTGAAACCACACTGACCTTTCCTGTACAAGTAGAAGAAGGCGAAGGGAGAGGAGTAATAAGAGATGGACCAGAATACTGAAGCCTGCAGCAGAGAGACAGGGACAGGCAATCAATACACACACACACACACCTGCCATTCCAGGCATATACTATACACTCTGAGCAAGATGGACAACCTGAGGGATATCATATCATATTTGGTGTATGACACCATGAATACAGTAGGTGCTCAGTATTTGTTGAAAAGTAGTGTGTCAATGTAATGGAGGCTGGGAAAATTTGGTACAGGCTCTATTTTCTTCCTCTGGAATTATGGAAGAATTATGTCTTCCATCTCCAGACATAATTCCATCACATTTAAAGGCAGTCTCTCTGTCTACTCAAGTTAATCAAGCCTTTTCAATTGGCCCTGCTCAGGACAGCCCCTGGCCTGGTCCCCAAGAGATGCGCAAACGTCACCACAGGAACTGTGCCAGAAAGAACAGCTGTCCCTGCAGCCAAAGAGGTTAGTTGCCAGGGAGGACAGGTCACTGGGGAACTGCAGGACTTAGCACCTGCAGATGGTCCCAAGAGTAAACATGTTTTCCTTACGGCTCAGGTTGCCCCCAGAGAAAGCAGTGCTACATACCAAAGGGGAGTGCCAAGTATGCACATTTAGAGTGTGCCTGTGTGTCTGTGTTGGAGAGGTCTGCTGCAGAGCCCAGGGCATCCCCCAACCCCAGGGCACTGTTGCTCCCAAGTTAGGGAGGGCTAAGTTCAAGAGGACAGGTGGGTCTGAAAGATGCAGAGTCCCAGATGCCAGGGTAGACATACCAGTGCCAGGATGCTGTCAGCATGTTTCTCCAGGGCACGGGGCTGATAGTACGTATCCTGCCAAAACAGATGGCCTCCTTAAGGACCCTGCCCACTGGCAGGTCCTTTCCCTTCCCTTTCAGAAGCCCTGCTGTGTGTCCTCTGGTTCTAGTCTCGTTGACTATCTCTCTTGAAACATCCCTGGCCCCCACAGAAACTCCTCTTCCTCACCCTCACTCTGAACCTAATTTCCCACCCCTGACCATGGGAACAAACACAGGGAGCTGGATTTGGAAGCAAAAGTGAAAGCAGCATTGGACGATTTTTGCTCCTTTTCCACAGCCTAGTTTCAAATGGATTGCAGGCGCGTGCATGTGGGGAGAAGGGTTAGTTTGAGAAGAAAGAAAAGACACCTAGACAATCTAAGAAGGAAAGAAAAGCATCAGAAATAAGAGTAGTTGACTAAGAAGAGAATGTGGGTAGGAGCGGGCAGTTTGTAGGAGACAGTAACACAATGAGACAACTGATAAAAAGGAAGAGAATATTTAGAACAGCCTACCACCACCCGCCAGCTCTCCAGAATACAATGACTCGGGTCTCCAGGCTAGGTTGGGCGGGGGTTGAGGGGAGGACCGACGGATACAGGATCTGTAAAAGTCATTCTGAAATTCAAGGCGAGGGTAAAGGGAAGATAAAAACAGAGCCGGGGGAGGCATGAAGAGGCACTGAAGAAGAGGAAACTGGGAGTCTGACAGCAAAATTCAACGGCTCCCCAGTCCGCGCAGGGTCTCTTCCCGGGACTCAAGACTCAACTGGGACCGGCACGAACCACGACACACAGGGTCGGGGGGACGCGGAGAGGAAAGAACAAAGAGTGGCAGTCGGAATGAGAAAGCGGTAAAGAGCGAAAAAGAAAGGAGGCGGCCAGTCCGTAGGCGTGACTTTAACTCAGGAAGCACACAGAGCGCAGATTTTGCGGATAACTGGCTTGACAAGCAGGCTCCCCTTATTTCCCATTATGGGCACTTCTGGGGAGCAAAAGGCCGTAAAGGGTTTGGACTGTACCACGTTCTTCGGTGGGGAGGAACTCGACTCACCCAGGAGCTGGAATGGGGGGCAGTGACTGCCGTTGGCGTCTCAGGGACGCTGGCCGGGGCCCTTTCAGAGTCCCTCTCCCGGTAGATTTTGTAGAGCCGGGGGCCTAGGACGCAGCTCAGCAGCTTCGCCATGGCCCCGGCTCGGGCCGCTGCTCTTCCAGCAGCAGGTCCCCCTGCCGGCCCCGCCCTCCCTGCCTCTGAGGTGTTGTGTGCCCTTGACGTCAGCCCGTACCGGCTCCGCCTCCGGGCGAGTTGCGACATTTTCAGTGCTTCCTGAGAAGAGTTTCGCGCAGTTGGAGCTACGGGTACAGCAGTGGTCCGAAACTAGTGGAAGACCACTAGAACGCGGAGAATCAGAAAATTACCGGGCATGGTTCAATAATTTTTTTCTGTCTCATTATTGGCAGACTCTAGAGCGACAGCGGAAACGAGGGGTGAGATTAGGAGTACTTGATAAGAGTAACCGAAAACATAAGGTGTCTAGGAATGTATCTAGTACAAGAAATGCAAGGTTTTATGAAGAAAACTATAAAAAGTTATTGAAAAGGCAAACTGGCCCGGCCCGGCGCAGTGGCTCACGCCTGTAGTCCTAGCACTTTGGGAGGCCGAGGCGGGGGGATCACTTGAGGCAAGGAGTTCGAGACCAGCCTGGCCAACATGGTGAAACCCCATCTCTACTAAAAATACAAAAATTAGCCTGGCATGGGTGGTGCGCGCCTGTAATCCCAGCTACTCGGGAGGCCGAGACGCGAGAATCGCTTGAACGCGGGAGGCAGAGGTTGCAGTGAGCCGAGATCTTCCCACTGCACTTCAGCCTTGGTGACAGAGCAAGACTCTGTCTCTAAATAAATAAATAAAGGTAAACTGGCCCAGCGCGGTGGCTCACGCCTGTAATTCCAACACTTTGGGTGGCCGAGGGATGATTGCTTGCGTCCAGGAGTTCCAGGCCATGGCTCATGCCTGTAATTCCAACACTTGGGGTGGCTGAGAGAGGATTGCTTGCGCCCTGGAGTTCCAAGCCAGCCCAGGCAACATAGTGAGACCCCATCTCTACACAAAATACCAAGGGGGAAAAAAAAAAGACCTAGCAGGGTGTGGTGGTGCCCACCTGTAGTCCCAGCTACTTGGGAGGCCAAGGTGGGAGGGTCGCTTGAGCCCGGGAGTTTGAGATCGCTCCATGCACTCCAGCCTGGGTGACAGAGCCAGACCCTGCCTCAAAATAATAACAATAATAATTGAAAAAATAAAAAAAGAAAGAGGTAAACGAAAAGCTTTTCAATAAATGGAAAGCTACACCATGGTCCTGGATACGAAAATTCAGCACAGTAAGATATGCGGAATATTTGTAAAAAGAAAATAAATGAATCATTACTGTTATGCATGAACTGGATCTTAAAACCATGATGCTGAGTGAAAATAGAAAGCCACAGAAGAATGTATACGTGATACTAGTATATTAGATTCAAAAACACATAAAATTTAATGATAAAGCAAGTGGAGAAGAAAGAGAAAATTCAGAATTGTGGTTACACAGCATAGAGGATCTCTGACTGAAACGGAATATTCTTTTTTTCTGTTTTTTTTTTTTTTTTTTTTTGAGACAGGGTCTAGCTCTTTCACCCAGGCTGGAGCACAGTGGCACAATCACGGCTCACTGCCCTGATCCTCCACCTGCTGGGCTCAACCATCTTTCTGCCTCAACCTCCTGAGTAGCTGGGACTATAGGCCCACACCACCATACTCGGCTAATTTTACAAGGTCTCACCATGTTGCCCAGGCTGGTCTCGAACTCCTGGGCTCAAGTGAACCTCCTGCTTTGGCCTCACAGAGTGCTGGGATTACAGGCATGAGCCACTGTGCCTGGCCTGGAATATTCTATTTCTTTTTCTTTTTTTTTTTTCGAGACCGAGTTTCGCTCTTATTGCCCAGGCTGGAGTGCAATGGCCCGATCTCGGCTCACCACAACCTCTGCCTCTGGGGTTCAAGCGATTCTCCTGCCTCAGCCTCCCAAGTAGCTGAGATTACAGGCATGTACCACCATGCCCTGCTAATTTTTTTATTTTTAGTAGAGATGGGGTTTCTCCATGTTGGTCAGGCTGGTCTTGAACTCCTGACCTCAGGTGATCCGCCTGTCTCATCCTCCCAAAGTGGTGGGATTACAGGCATGAGCAACCGAGTCCGGCCTGGAATATTCTATTTATTTATTTATTTATTTATTTATTATTTATTTATTTTTTTGAGACGGAGTCTCGCTCTGTCACCAGGCTGGAGTATAGTGGCATGATCTCTGCTCACCGCAGCCTCTGCCTCCTGAGTTCAAGCGATTCTCCTGCCTCAGCCTCCTGAGTAGCTGGGACTACAGGCATCCACCACCACACTCAGCTAATTTTTGTATTTTTAGTAGAGACAGGGTTTCACCATGTTGGCCAGGATAGTCTCGATCTCTTGACCTCGTGATCCGCCTGCCTCAGCCTCCCAAAGTGCTGGGATTACAGGCGTGAGCCACGGCGTCTGGCCTTTATTTTCAGAGTTGGGGTCTTGCTCTGTTGCCCAACCTCAAACTTCTGGCTTCAATCAACCCTCCCACCTTGGCCTCCAAAAGTGTTAGGATTGTAGACATGAGCCACCATGCCTGGCCAGGCTTCTTTTACTCTCATTATATTGTGAGATTCAACTTTGTTGCAAATCACTAGGTTTGTTCATTCTCATTGCTGTCCAGTCTTCTACTCTGTTAAGCATTTATCCATTATATAGTTGTACTTCATATAGTTTTTGGTATGTATGGAATATTTCATCAAAATAATTTTAAAAATAAATAAATTACACATTAAAACTGTAATAACTGCATGAAGATCTGCCTTAGGAGTTTTTGCCGTTCAGAAGGATGAATCAGCCCGTTAGCCTTGTCCCTGAGTAATAATTTAATACACTTATTAGGGTTTCAGGAGAGGTCCGGGGTATGCCAGACAACCACAGGGAAAGTCATTCCAAATCATTTACGGGACACTGACTCGATACACAGTCTTGTGCTGGGTTCTGTGGAGGACCAACATAAAAACTCAAACTCAGTTTCTTCACTCATAGCTGACATTTCTTTTCTTTTCTTTTCTTTTTCTTTTTTTTTTTTTTTTTTTTTTTTTTTTGAGATGAAGTCTCGCTCTGTCTCCCAGGCTGGAGTGCAGTAGCACGATCTCGGCTCACTGCAACCTCCACCTCCCGGGTTCAAGCGATTCTGGTGCCTCTCAGCTTCCTAAGTAGCTGGGATTACAGGCACATGTCACCACGCCTGGCTAATTTTTGTATTTTTTGTAGAGACAGGGTTTCGCCATGTTGGCCACGCTGGTCTCGAACTCCTGACCTCAAGTGATCCACCCAACTCATGGCTGACCTTTCTTAGGAGTGAAAGAGACCTCAGAATGTACTTCCAGACTGACAAGAGCTAGACAGGCAGGACCACTTCTCTGCATGGTTTTTTGCATGGAAAGTCTTTATTTGAGCCCCTTAGCTGATGTGGAATCAGAAGAGCAAAAAGGTCATCTTCAGAGTGGCCTGGGCTGGGTCCTTTTCTCTCCAGGATAGAAAAGTGGTGGTCACTTTATCCCTAGTAGACATGCTGCTGGGCTTTATCGCCCCAGCATTCCCATCCCCTCCAGAGCCCCTTGTCACTCCAGACCAGCGAGTGTGGGCCTTTATCTGGACTCTGCTTCCTCCCTGGGGACACCAGGTCTTGGAGCAAGAGAACTTGGCAGGCTCTCCCCATGGCAGTCTTATTCCTCCTCCTGTTCCTATGTGGAACTCCCCAGGCTGCAGGTAAGGGGCAAGAGGTACGGGATTCCTTAGCTATTTGCAAGGTTGGGGAGGGACTACTGCTCTTTCTCCTAGGAGCCTGGCGAAGGCATCTGACTCAAGAAGATAGAATTACCCCAACCAACCTCCTCCTGCCTCTGACACTAGGGAAGACCCAGAGGCAACGAGGGTCCAGGTTATGCAGTTTCCTTTATAAAATAAGAAGAATGAGTAAATGCTTCCAGAAAAGTAGAAATGAGTAGAAGAGATGTGGGCATTTGCCAACTTTCAGCCTTTTCCCTCTTGCCCTCAGACCCCCTCACTGGCTGGGGGAGAGAGGAGGAAAGCCCTTACCCTCTTCTCTCCACCTGTCTTATTTTTGTAGCTGTCACTTGAGAAATGTGGTCACCAGCCAGGCCTGTGCTGGGGGACCCCAGAAGGGAAGGAAGCCAGGGTTGAAGATCAAATGGGGGGTTATTGATCTGATGGAGGTCTCTGGCCTCATACAACCCTCTTCCCACAGACAACATGCAGGCCATCTATGTGGCCTTGGGGGAGGCAGTAGAGCTGCCATGTCCCTCACCACCTACTCTACATGGGGACGAACACCTGTCATGGTTCTGCAGCCCTGCAGCAGGCTCCTTCACCACCCTGGTAGCCCAAGTCCAAGTGGGCAGGCCAGCCCCAGACCCTGGAAAACCAGGAAGGGAATCCAGGCTCAGACTGCTGGGGAACTATTCTTTGTGGTTGGAGGGATCCAAAGAGGAAGATGCCGGGCGGTACTGGTGCGCTGTGCTAGGTCAGCACCACAACTACCAGAACTGGAGGGTGTACGACGTCTTGGTGCTCAAAGGTGAGTGGGGGCATGCAGACCAGGGGCTACTGTGGCCCAGGAAGTCCAGGTGAAGAACTGAGGAATCCCTCTCTCCCCTACAGGATCCCAGTTATCTGCAAGGGCTGCAGATGGATCCCCCTGCAATGTCCTCCTGTGCTCTGTGGTCCCCAGCAGACGCATGGACTCTGTGACCTGGCAGGAAGGGAAGGGTCCCGTGAGGGGCCGTGTTCAGTCCTTCTGGGGCAGTGAGGCTGCCCTGCTCTTGGTGTGTCCTGGGGAGGGGCTTTCTGAGCCCAGGAGCCGAAGACCAAGAATCATCCGCTGCCTCATGACTCACAACAAAGGGGTCAGCTTTAGCCTGGCAGGTAAACTGAGGAAGGAGACGGAAAGGGATGTTCTTTCACTTCAGCCTCCCAAGTAGCTGGAATTACAGGCGCCCGCCACCATGCCTGGATAATTTTTTGTACTTTTAGTAGAGACGAGATTTCACCATTTTGGCCAGGCTGGTATCAACCTCCTGACTTCTAGTGATCTGCCTGCCTCAGTCTCCCAAAGTGCTGGGATTATAGGCATGAGCCACCGCACCTTTAAATTTTTTGTAGAGACAGGATCTTGCTATGTTGCCCAGTCTGGTCTCAAACTACTGGCCTCAAATGATCCTCCTATCTTGGTCTCCCAAAGTGCTGGGGTTACAGGCATGAGCCATCACATCTGGCTATTTTTTCTTGAAAGAAAGGGTGAATTACTATAAAGGGTGTGAGGGGAAAGTGTGGTTATGGCTGGTGGTCTGCTCTGTAGTTGGTTGCCCATGCGTGAGCAGGGGGCATTGCCATTCTCTACTTTTTATTTTATTTTATTTTATTTTATTATTATTAGGCCAGGCATGGTAGCTCAATCCTGTAATCCCAGCACTTTGGGAGGCCGAAGCAGGCGGATCACTTGAGGTTGGGAGTTCAAGACCAGCCTGACTAACATGGAGAAATTCTGTCTCTACTAAAAATACAAAATTAGCCGGGTATGGTGGCACATGCCTCTAACCCCAGCTACTCGGGAGGCTGAGGCAGGAGAATCACTTGAACCTGGGAGGTGGAGGGCGCAGTGAGCCAAGATCACGCCATTGCACTCCAGCCTGGGCAACAAGAGCGAAGCTCTATCTCAAAAAAAAAATTGTATTTTTAGTAGAGACGGGGTTTCACCATGTTGGCCAGGATGGCCTTGATCTCTTGACCTCATGATCTGCCTGCCTCAGTCTCCCAAAGTGTTAGGATTATAGGTGTGAGCCACCACGCCTGGCCTTTTTTTTTTTTTTTTTTTTTTTTTTGGGATGGAGACTTGTTCTGTTGGCCAGGCTGGAATGCAGTGGCACGATCTTGGCTCACTGCAACCTCTGCCTCTTGGGTTCAAGCTATTCTCCCATCTCAGCCTCCTGAGTAGCTGGACTACAGGTGCCTGCCACCACGCCTGGCTAACTTTTGTGTGTGTGTGTGTGTTTTTTTTTGTTTTTTTTTTGAGACAGAGTCTCTCTCTGTCGCCAGGCTGGAGTGCAGTGGCGCAATCCCGGCTCACTGCAACCTCTGACTCCCTGGTTCAAGTGATTCTCCTGCCTCAGCCTCTCGAGTAGCTAGGATTACAGGCATATGCCACCACGTCCAGCTAATTTTTGTATTTTTAGTGGAGCCGGGGTTTCACCATGTTGGCCAGGATAGTCTCAATCTCCTGACCTCGTGATCTGCCCGCCTTGGTCTCCCAAAGTGCTGGGATTACAGGTGTGAGCCACAGCGCCCGGCCTCTTTTTTGTGTTTTTAGTAGAGATGGGGTTTCACCATGTTGGTCAGGCTGGTCTCAACCTCCTGACCTCAGGTGATCCACCCACCTCGGCCTCCCAAAGTGCTGGGATTACAGGTGTGAACCACTGCGCCTGGCCTCAATTTTTATACTTTCAGTAGAGATGAGGTTTCATCATGTTGACCAGGCTGGTCTTGAACTCCTGACCTCAAGTGGTCTGCTCGCCTTGGCCTCCTAATGTGCTGGAATTACAGGCATGAGCCACTGTGCCTGGCCGCCATTCTCTATGGGTCAGGGTGAGAGGCCTGGAAAGGGGCAGAGTAGGGTGGAGGATATTGTGGGCAGGGAAGCTTACAAAGTCTTCTGTTGGAAGAGCCCACCAGACTGTGGAGGGGAAGCCTCTCTTTGGGGCACAGGGACAGGGCCCCTCACTACCTCCCTCCCATCCCTCTGGTCTGGCCCTTACTACAGCCTCCATCGATGCTTCTCCTGCCCTCTGTGCCCCTTCCACGGGCTGGGACATGCCTTGGATTCTGATGCTGCTGCTCACAATGGGCCAGGGAGTTGTCATCCTGGCCCTCAGCATCGTGCTCTGGAGGCAGAGGGTCCGTGGGGCTCCAGGCAGAGGTGAGTCCCTCCCTCCCCGGGGAAAGAAGAGGGCACATGGGTGGGAGGCAAAGGGCTAGGCTCACACCCCGCCTCTGTACCCCACCTCCTCTAGGGGAGGGGGCGAGGAACACGGCTCTAAGTTGTCTGCTGACTTCTCTTCTGTATCCCTGATGGCTCCTTCTCCCCAGATGCCTCGATTCCTCAGTTCAAACCCGAAATCCAGGTCTATGAGAACATCCATTTGGCCCGTCTTGGGTGAGGAACAGCTAGGGAACAGAGGCTTAAATCCTGGAGGGGACTGGGGATGGAGAGGAAACACGGGTTGGGTTGGGGATGGGCCCTCGTTCCTGAGGATGTGAAAAGTAGAGGTATCCTTAATCTGTCTCTCTGGAAAACCCCACAGCCCACCTGCCCACAAGCCCAGGTGATTTTGGTGACATCTGCTGGGAAGTGTGACCTGCTGTCTCGCTGGCCATCTGGCACCTGGAAGATTCCTCGACAACCTTAGCAAGGGGGGCGGGACTGAGAGTTCGACTTCACCATCCAGCTGGCCTCCAGCAGCCACCAAGCTGTGTATGGGGAGGGGTGGGGGACTGAAGGAAAGGAGGAGCATTATTCTGTGATGTAACCTACAAAAAGGTTTGGTCTCCTGTCTTGTAGCAGCAGTGGAGGGATGGCCCTGAGCCCATAGTACTGTGGGGTTGAGGGGAGCCTGAGGTTGCTGGTGGGGGCAAGGAGGATGGGTGTGCACAGGGAGGAGACAGGAATCTGGAGACTTGAGCAATGGTGAGGAATCCATTGCAGTGGAGCTGAAGGACAAATGGGGAAAACGGGGGAAGAGAGAGAAGGGAAGAGACTCAAGTCAGAGAAAGTGGAAAGAGATGGACAGAGGGAGAAAAATAGAAGCACAAAGTGGGAGGATGGAGGGACAGAGAAAATGGAAAGCCTCAACCCATCTCTAAATTAAGCCAGACCCCCACTACCCCATGTCTCATCCTCACAAAGAAGAGAGGGAACAGGCATATTTAATCAACCCCAGACTTCCTCACATGCAAGGGGAGGGAACTGAGTCAGGATAGAGATGCCTGTGCTCAGCTCCCACCCGGGGCCCCCTCCTTATCCTTCCTTATCCTAGGCACACACTCTTCCCTGTGGCGCCTTACCGGGGCATTCAGAGCATGTGAGCAGCTATCGCCACTCTGGCACTTCCTTCCTGCTGCCCTGAGGTCACACCCTATTTCTCGGGGGCAGAGGGAGTGTCTACTCAGGCTGGCAGGCCCAGTGGGGGTATGTTATTTATTGGGCCGGGGCCATGCTGGGATGTCTGTGAACCATGGGCGAGTCTGGGCTGGTGAAGCGAGGGAGGATATTGATGCTCCCAACTTGGCCATTCCCTAGTCTCAGGCAGAAATGAGCTGAGCTCCAGCCACACCCTCACAAGCAGCTCCACTGGGTGCCCTTTTGTGTCTCTGCTCAAGCTTGGGCCTTACTGGAAAAAAGCTTTCTCAGAAGTCTCACCTAAAGGCTTCAGGCTGCAGGGGCTTAAACTAAGCCATTGGCAAGAAAAAGGACGAAAATGACACAGATGGAGAATGAGGGGAGTGCCGTGGTCCAGGTTCCAGCTCCAGCCCAACCCACCAAGCAGCTACAGTTTGCTCTTAGAGCACACACACACAGACACACACACACACACACACACACACACACACTGCAGTATCTGCAGTATTACTGGACTCCTAGATAGACCTTTTATTAAAGGTACTCTTCATAGTCCCCCAAGCCCTCCATCCTGAGTTCCCGACCTACCACATTAGTCTTTCCTAGCAAGACTCTCCTCCTTACCATACCTGATGCTCCTTTGATCCCCTTGCCTGAGATCCACAGTGTCATCAAAATGCCTGCCTTGCCAGTGACCTGGGCTGACACGGGGCATCAGCAATGGGCATCTAGAAAAGACAAAAGACGCAGAATAGGTGTTCTTTATGAGGTTGGACTCTGGGCAGGTGCCTCCCCAGGCCTTGTGAGGGGTCTGTGAGGGGTCTGCTGAGAGATCTGGGGTCTCTGTACAAAATTAGGTTCTCGGGCATGTCTCAAAGTGTCTGTGCAGGTGTTTCCAGGGCCGCAGTGATGGCGGGGGGTATCCTGGGTTGGGGGCTGCAGATCCACGGAAGCTAGTGGAGGAGGTGTCCTCTCCCAGCGAAGCTGGCCACAAAGAGGGGCAGGGAGGCGAGGAGGCTGGTGAGCTGCTGTGGGGAAGCGGCTATGTTGCACAGGTCCTGCTCGCAGCAGTGGTGCCACAGAGTGTAGGAGTGCAGCCAGTAGGTGGCATAGCCTGGCAGAGGGCACTGGGCCCTTGAGAGGCAGCTTTTTCACTCAGTGATCTCACTCTGGTCTGTGGGATGAAAGAGGCATGCTGAGGCGGGGGCCACAGGAAAGGCCGGATGGATGGAGGTAGGGAGCCTCCTGGAGAAGGGCCATTGGACCAGAGTCCTACCTGAAGTGCCAATACTGATGCCACAAGCTTCATCGTCCCGACACTCGGTGGGAACAGGGTGGCAGGGTTTGGTGAAGCCACAGATGTAGCAGCGGAGCCTTCCCCGGGCAGGGGACATGGTGAGACCTGTTGAGGCAGCAGAGATTAGGAGAGCAGGAGAGGCAAACCCTCCCTGTGGGGCAGGCAGAGGCCAGATCCGGAGAGGGATCACAGAGAGAGGTGACACATGAAGCAGAGAGAGGAAAGCTGTGGAATAAGGGAGGAAAGCTGACAGAAGTAGAAAAAATAGCTGGGCGCAGTGGCTCACGCCTGTAATCCCAGCACGTTGGGAGGCCGAGGCGGGCTGATCATGAGGTCAGAAGATTGAGACCATCCTGGCTAACACAGTGAAACCCCGTCTCTACTAAAAATACAAAAAATTAGCCGGGCATGGTGGCACATGCCTCTAGTCCCAGCTACTTGGGAGGCTGAGGCAGGAGAATCTCTTGAATCTGGGTGGCTGAGGTTGCAGTGAGCCGAGATCATGCCACTGCACTCCAGCCTGGGTGACAGAACGAGACTCTGTCTCAAAAAAAAAGAGGGAGACGATGCAGGAAAAGAAACAGAGATGGAGGCAAGAGGGGTACAGGGATTGAGAGATGCGCAGACATGAACAGAAGCCACAAGAATCAGAGACCAACATAAAAAGAGTGAGACAAAAAGCCAGACCCAGCAGCAGGGAAGTTGAGGGGGTCAGTGAAAAAGTTAAGTAAATGGCACCAGAGACAGATAGGAAAATAGAAATTGACATTGACCAAAGGGCCCAGCACAGAAGCAACACGTGAAATAAGGGATAGGGGAGACAGGGGCGGATCAAAGATGCAGCAAGGGGGAGACAGTTATTCTCAAATGCCTTGAAAGGAAACTCTTCCTTTCCCACCTCATCAGGCTGGCCTTCCCAGTGGCTGGTCTCCCTGAAGTCCCCCACTCCCCCAGCTCTCTTCTTGGCCTCTTCCAGCACCCACACCCCTCTCCTCCCCAGCCCTCAGGTTCCTCCACATGCCCTTGTCCCCACCCCCAGCCCCCTGACCACTGAAGGTTCCCCAGCCCACCCTTACCCAGTGCCCCACAGAGGAACAGCACGCAGAGGAAGATGCTGGAGGTGCCCATGGCCAGACACAGGCTCAGGAATCTGGGAGAGGTGATCTGCACCCCGAGATCCCGGGATTTGTAGAGTTGGAGCATTTGAGCAAGACAGTGAGGAACCAGTAAACAAACACACCTAGGGAGTGAATCTGGGGGGCGGAACCATGACCAGATTCACCAGCCTGACCCAGCAGGCAGCGGGGGCCCCCAGCCTGCCCCTGCAAGGAGTCTGCCCTTGCCTGGAGGGTCTCCTCTGCTCTCTCAGCATGTTGTCTCTGTAACTTAGCTTCCTCTCCTGCTCCTGAGTTGTGTCTGTCGCCTTCCCTCCTACTCCTCCCCCTCCCTCCCCATGTCTCAAGCTGCTCCCTGGCTCTCTCAGCTTCTCTCTGTCTTTGTTTTCTCTGTCTTTCCCCCTCAGTGCTTTCATGTCTCTCAAAGTCACCCTCCTAAACAGCCCCGGCGTGGATCTGTTTGAGTGTAGAATCAACAATACCCCCACCCACACACCCACATGCACACACAAAGCCCAGCTGTGTAAGGGCGGACCCCACCCAGCTTCAGATCCCTTTGATCCCCCCAAGCTTCAACATTCCTACCCTGTAATTATCCCTGCCAGCTTTACTACCTTGGAGGAAAGAAATAACCACGGGTGGGGCTGGAGGGCCTGCTGATGTGCTTGCACTGGGGAGAAATCACTAGAAAGGAAGGCATGGATGGGATTTGGGGTAGGGGGGTGGTGATACAGCCTGGAAGGCTGGGGTTGAAGAGACTGGGAAGGAGGAAGGCCCATCTGGGGAATCAGAGCCAGCATGTACCAGGAGGAGTAAGACTAGGAACAGGGAGTGAAGATAGGGGAGACACAGGTGCCCAGGAGAGCAGCTCTTTTCAAAAATATTGATCTCAGGACCTCTTTACACTTTTCAAAGTTACTTAAGACTCTGAAGAGCTTTTCTTTATGAGGTTATATCAATATTTACTACATTAAAAATTAAAACAGAAAATTTAAAGTAGGTATTTATTGATTTATTTAAACAATAAAAATAATAAAGTATTACATGCTAACAAAATACAGTTTTGTGAAAAATAACTATTATTTCTCCACAGCACAGTGAGAAGCTGAGCATTGCTTTACATTTTTGTGAATCTAGTGTCAGGCTTCGTGGGAGATGCCTGGGTTTTCCTATCTGCTTCTGCATTCAGTCTGTTGGGATATGTTGTTTTCGTTGAAGTCCAGTATATGAAGAAAATCTGACCTTACACAGATAGTTGCAAAAGGAGGACCCTCAAGGACCCTGTGAAAGGGTATCAGGGATCCTCAGGGGTTCTTGTTGGTCCACAGACTGCTGCTGAGGATAAAGGAGTTTGAGGACTCCAGAGGATGCTGAGAGCATGCTGTGGGGCCCCTCCCTGTCCCCACTGGGGCCCTTGGTGCCTGCTGGGGGAGACTCTTTCTTCCTTTTTTATAGCCCTATAAAGCTCAAGGCACGGGGGATATAAGGCAGGCAGAGCCGGGCTGGGGAGGGGGGTGGGCAGGAGGTAGAGGCGGTCCTGACACGGGCAGACTGCGATGAAACCCCAGTTTGTTGGGATCTTGCTCAGCTCCCTGCTAGGGGCTGCCTTGGGTAAGGAGGCGGCCAGCTAGCTTCTCACACAGGCCTTCTGCCAGCCGGCTCCACCGAGGGCCCAGGTCCAGCGCCTCTTTTCTCCTGCCAGGAAACCGAATGCGGTGCTACAACTGTGGTGGAAGCCCCAGCAGTTCTTGCAAAGAGGCCGTGACCACCTGTGGCGAGGGCAGACCCCAGCCAGGCCTGGAACAGATCAAGCTACCTGGAAACCGTGAGTCCTCAGTTTCTCCCTCTTCCAGCAGCCTTTCCCTGCCTCCAGCCCCATGTCAATCCTTCTGGCTTCCAGAACCCTCCAGGCTCAGTCTGGCTCTGGGCAGATGGTGCAGCTGTTAGAGGAGAGCAGTCTGTACCCCTTCTGGCTCCTGGCACGGAGCCCCTGAGAGGCCCACAGTCCTTGTGCCCCCACTTCCCCACCTCCTTATTCTCCTAAAAGAATCTCATAGGCCCATTAGCTCACAAATGAAGAGCTCTGGCCCTGAAAGGCCAAAGTTAAAACCAAACTTCAAATTTTCGGCATTAGTTAAGGACCAGGGAGGGGTGTGTGTGTGTGTGTGTGTGTGTGTGTGTGTGTGTGTGTGTGTACATGTTTTTAATATTTTATTTTAACATAATTTTGGATTGACAGAAAAGTTGCAGAAATACTCAACTTCTCCTAATGCTAACATCTTACATAACCATAGCACAATTATCAAAATCACAAAATAACTGATACAATACTACTAACTAATCTACAGACTTTATTTGATTTAGCAAGATCCTACATTGCATTTAGCTCTCATGTCTTCTTAGTCTCCTCTGATCTGTGCCAGTTCTGTTTTTCTTTGTCTTTCATGACCCTGACACATTTGAAGAGCCCTGATAAATTATTTTATACCTGGAGTTTAAAAAATTACTTTTAGGGCCAGTGCAGTCACTCGCACCTGTAATCCCAGCACTTTAGGAGGCCAAGGTGGGAGGACCACTTGAGCCCAAGAGTTGAGACCAGCCTGGGCAACATAGGGAGACCCTGTCTCTACAAAAAACAAACAAACAAACAAACAAACAGATTAAAAAATTAGTTGGGTGTGGTGGCACATGCTTGTAGTCCTAGCTACTCAGGGGGCTGAAGAGGGAGGATCGCTTGAGCCTGGGAGATTGAAGCTACAATGAGCCATGATCACGCCACTACACTCCAGCCTGGGGAACAAAATGAGACCCTGTCTCAAAAATAATAATAATAATAATTTTTAGGCTAGGCTTGGTGGCACACACTTGTAATCCCAGCACTTTGGGAGGCCAAGGCTGAAGAGTCACCTGAGGTCAGGAGTTTGACACCAGCCTGGGCAGCAAAGTGAGACCCCCATCTCTACAAAAAATGTTTTTAAAAAATTAGCCAGGCATAGTGGCACACACCTGTAATCTCAGTTTCCTGAGAGGCTGAGGCAGGAGGATTACTTGAGCCCAGGAGTTTGAGGCTATAGGGAGGTATGATTGCACCACCACACTCCAGCCTGAGTGAGAGAGCAAGATCTTTTCTCTAAAATTAAATAAAATCATTTTTAGATTAAACAAAAATTACGTGCCGGATGCAGTGGCTCACGCCTGTAATCCCAGCACTTTGGGAGGCCAAGGCGGGTGGATAACCTGAGGTCGGGAGTTCAAGACCAGCCTGATCAATGTGGAGAAATCTCGTCTCTACTAAAAATACAAAATTAGCCGGGTGTAGTGGTGCCCGCCTGTAATACCAGCTACTCGGGAACCTGAGGCAGGAGAATTGCTTGAACCCAAGAGGTGGAGGTCGCGGTGAGCCGAGATCACACCATTGCACTCCAGCTGGGCAATAAGAGTGAAACTCCGTCTCAAAAAAAAAAAAAAAATTACAGATACTTGAAATACTAAAAATTATTTTATAGAATGTCCCTCGATATTTATTTATCTGATATTTGCCATGATGAGATTGAGGTCATGCATTTTAAGCAAGAATACTGCAGAAGTGATGTTGCATCCTTCTTGCTGCATCACATCAGGAGTTTACAAGGTCAATGCATTAACTTTGATCACTTGGTTTCAGGGAGGTGTTTTTTGAGGGGGCTGAAAATCCCTTTGGGCTCCTTGAAATCACATCTGCTCTGCCCCAGAAGGCAAGTCCTGAAGCCAGGAGTCCAACACCCCAGTTTCATTCTCTCTCTCAGCCCCAGTGACCTTGATTCACCAACATCCAGCCTGCGTCGCAGCCCATCATTGCAATCAAGTGGAGACAGAGTCGGTGGGAGACGTGACTTATCCAGCCCACAGGGACTGCTACCTGGGAGACCTGTGCAACAGCGCCGTGGCAAGCCATGTGGCCCCTGCAGGCATTTTGGCTGCAGCAGCTACCGCCCTGACCTGTCTCTTGCCAGGACTGTGGAGCGGATAGGGGGAGTAGGAGTAGAGAAGGGAACAAGGGAGCAAGGGAACAAGGGACATCTGAACATCTAATGTGAGAAGACAAACATCCTTCTGTGAGTCATTAAAATCTATGAACCACTCTACAGCTGACTGGAAAATTACATCTATCTTTGGTTGATGGGAGGGCTAAAAGCGTAATATGGGGCATCCAGGTTCTAGTTTGGGGGTTACCAAGCAACAGCGGGCTTAATTACAGTGGTGCACTCCTTAACCAACTAAACCCCAAAGGGCAATGGCTTATCTGCCTTCTGTGGCTCCTGGATCCTGTTGCTGGGTTGAATCTTCCTTAGCAATGAGATTCATTGAGTGGGGTTGCCAGGGTTTTGTGAGCCTGAGTCTGGGTTTGCTCCCCTATTTCCCATTTGCAAGTTGGCTCCCAATAGGACTATTTTGAATTGAGAAAAGAAATGTAAAAACTGTGATAGGTAAAAACTGCTTGATGCCCTACTTACTAACTAGGCTAGGTGAGGCCTTTGACTCTAACCTGAGAGAAACTGAAGAAACAGGGTCTCAGGCCCCATCTCCATGTACCTCTCCTATCCTTTCTGGAGAGCCCTCAAGCCAGGCCGCACCTTCTTCTTGGCAATACATCAGGGGTGTGGCCTAAATTTAGGATATGAGTTGTTGTGTGCCACCTGGAGACACTGGAAGGGAGGATGAAGACCTGAAAAACCTGTTTCTCCATTTTCCCCAGCCCAGCCTCCCAGGGAACCTCCCTGAAGGATTCCTGTGTAAGGGAGGGAGATTGAGAGTATTATTTCCTGGGAGGTGACCTGACCCTTAGGTCTTCTTATAATAAATGTACATTTTATCAGACTCAGACATTTATTACTCAAAATGGAAAGAGGTGAGTATGGGGGATGGGGTACATATGGGAGCCTGGGTTTGGGGAGTCAGCTCTGTACAGTGAGGTCATCAGGTCCTTGTGGGAGCCTTCACTGGGGACAACACAGAAGCCCCATTTCAGGCCCAGATCCCAATCCCTCCTCAAGTAGGGGACAGCAGAGTATAGGAAGCAAAGTGGGGAGCCCTTCTAGGAGCCAATGGAGGTCCTGGAAGGAAGTGGGAAGGGACCCAGAAAAAGGAGAGTGAAGGGTGTGAGGTGGGAAGGATGGATGAGGAGACCACTCGGAACAGTGTTTAATTAAAGAAATGGGAGCTAGGGAGAGACGATTCTGTAAAGCCAGGGGATACAGAGACACAGGGAGAGAGGCTCAGGCCAAGGCAGGTGGGAGGAGGGGCAGCCAATGGAATGAGTCTCAGTGCAGCAGCCAGAGGCCAAGGCCAGCCAAGGAGGTAAGGAAGACAAGGCCCAGGGCTGGAGTGGGCCGGGGTCCTGCGCTGTTGCAGTTGTCCTTGTTGCAGCAGGTGGTGTTATATGTCAGACCCAGCTTGCGGTTGGTTTGGTTGAAGGCCTCCTGACAGGGCTCTTCTGGTGTGCCACAGCGCAGATTGGAGAAAACCCACATCTTACCTAGGGGTGGGAATGGGCAGGGAATCGGCCAGGATGGGCACCTGGCATGCCTGTGTCCACCTCCCCACCCCATCCACCCACCTAGGCTTCCTTCCTTCCCAACTCTGTCCCTGGCCCTCCCCTTCTCTTTTCTTAGTCTGATCTTCCTTCTGCACATCCTTACCCACCACTCCCCCAGTCCTGGTTCTATCACTTGCTGGCCATGGACCTGTTACTGTCTCTGTTTTTTGTTTTTTTGTTTTTTCCAAGACAGAGTCTCACTCTCGCCCAGGCTGGAGTGCAGTGGTGCCATCTCAGCTCACTGCAACCTCCGCCTCCCAGGTTCAAGCGATTCTCCTGCCTCAGCCTCCCGAGTAGCTGGGATTACAGGCGCCCACTACCATGCCTGGCTAATTTTTGTATATTTAGTAGAAATGGGGTTTCACCATGTTGGCCAGGCTGGTCTTGAACTCCTGACCTCAAGTGATCCAACCACCTTGGCCTCCCAAAGTGCTGGGATTACAGGCATGAGCCACCATGCCCGGCTGTGTTACTGTCTCTTTTTGAGGCCGTTTTCTCAGTATAATAATAGCACCCACATCACAGGGTTGTCATGAACATTAATTGAAAAAAAGGCATGCAAAGACATAGGATGTTGCCTGGCACACAACCATCTTTGGCCAAATATTATCATTGCTATAATCCTCTGCTTCTCCATCTCAGTCTTAGACCCATTTGGGCCTCAGTCCTGGTCATAGAGGCTCCCACCTCCCTGTTCACCCCACTAAGGAAGGGGATGTTACCAAGGTATGCATGTGTTGTCAGGCATTGCTGTCCTGGCTCCAGGCGGCAGGACTGCCGGTCCACACAGCCCAGCACAGGGACCTTGTAGCAGGAGTGACAGCGAATGTCAGCTGGGAAGACACAAGTCAGGCTGAGGTGATGGGGTCTCTGACTTACCTGGGGATAAGCTGAGCTGGGGGCAGGGGTGGAGGGTGGAGAAGAGCCCATCCCGTAGGTGCTCCAACCTGTTTGGCTGTTTGGTCTAGCAAGCACAGAGCAGGTGAGTGATGCAGGGAAAATGGAAAGTGGGCGGCAGGTAAGGGTAGAGCTGTTGCTTTGTGAAAGGCCCACGCCCTACATATCTTCCGTCACTCCACCCCGTTTGGAGGTGAGTCAAGAGGGACAGAACTATGAAGAAAAACATGGGGCTGGAGATAGATGGAATGTGAGGAAGATACCATGGGGAAAGAATGTGGATGGTGAAGGAGGAGATGGAAACTTGAAAGAAGGAGAAATAATAAAAATGAAAATCATGAGGGTTACAACACTGTCAGAAATGCCTTGGAACTTGAGGCTGGCGAGAAAGCCATCTGTGGCCAGCTTTAGCAATTTACAATTTACTCTTCACCTCCTGGAGCTGGCAAGAGTGTGGCAAGAGGAACCAGACCTGAATAGAATCCTCTCACCCCAGTAGCTCTTCAGCAGAAAGGAATGATACCTGAGAGACAGATCACCAGATTCCATCTTAGCACCTTATCAAAATGGAGAGGGTGGATACAGAAGGTGGCACCCCAAGTTTCCTGCTTCAGTTAATTCAAGGTTTGGGCAGGCAAGATTTGGTGACGCAGGGTCCGAGGGTGGAAGAGCCTGGTAAGTGTACCTCAGTGAAATCCACTTCACCCTGGAGGTAAGTGGCCCAGTTGTCCCCTCTTCAGAAGGCTCAAGAAAACGCTCTGTTTCCATGGAGGCTCTTAGATGTCACTGCAACCATCTAGAAAGTTTGTATCCCCTGTATGGGAGGAGGTATGCAACCCAGGAGGGGAGTAGGGGGTATCTAGGAAAGGCCATGGCTGAGAGACTGAACATGTGAGTCCCTGATGGAGTAGATGGGGAGGGTAGGTTACAAAAGGAGCCTGGGGCTGGATGCCTAGGTCTTCGAGAGGACACCTTACTGAGCACAGCAGATAGAGGAGAAGGCAGGTAAGCTAGACTCTGGAGAGTTGCATATTGAAGTGGGGCTGGTTGGGGAACTGGATACCAGAGTTTCCAAGGAGGAGACACCTTGGAGTGGGGAACAGGGGACCCAGAGCCCTGGCAGGTGAGAGAAATGGGTCTTTCTTGGAGGTGGGGAGGATGGATGGAGACCTGGCTTTTTGAGAAATAGAGCAAGGAGGCTGTCATAGGGAAGCCTGGTCTTGGTGGCACAGGAGAGCTGAGCCAGTTGGGGCTGGGGGTGTTGGGATCCCGAGTGGTGGGTAGGGCCGGGAAGTGGGTAGAGCAGGGTGTAAAGGTCCTGACCAGGCAAACCAGGTCTTTGGGGCCCCCAGGTGCTCACCTGAGACCCAGCAGAGCAGAACAGACAGGGTGAGCAGCATAAGGGCTTTCATGGCGAGGGTCCTGAGAATGGTGGCAACCACAGCAGCTGATAGAGTAGATTTTCAAGGATCCAGCTCTAGGAGTTGAGTGGCCTTTTTGGAATTTATAAACCCAAAGGCTCCTCCCTTCCCTGCCTCTGGTAGCCCCTCCCTTCTCACTTACTACGCAGCTGACCAGAGAAAAGACAAGGGGTGGGAAGGCACTGAGCAGGACTGAGTGGGGAGTAGGGATGGGAGAGAGGGATGGGGGAAGG
This sequence comes from Homo sapiens, assembly GCF_000001405.40. Classification (NCBI taxonomy): domain Eukaryota; kingdom Metazoa; phylum Chordata; class Mammalia; order Primates; family Hominidae; genus Homo; species Homo sapiens. Next base: position 3,199,210 of record NT_113891.3, read on the forward strand.
CAGGTGCCACTAGTGGCCAATGCCATTGTGGTTCTTGGTTTCAGGCCAAGATGCCCTTCCTGGTCCCCAGCTAAGAGTCCTGCTGCTCAGTCCTCTGAATGAGCATCATCAAAGGCCTCTGTGATTTACAGTGTCCATGGTGGCAGCTTCTGCTGGTTCCTGGAAAATGGACAAAAGGATGTGGCCCAAATTAATTGCTGAATTTGGGTCCCTGGGTCCCTGCTGGGCATTGATAGGGGCATGCTGGTGGAAATTGGGGGAGGAATGGGTCAAATTAATCTCCATTCAGCCCCCACTCGGTCTTTCCAATGCCTGCTCAGCAATAAGTGACTCACTGATGGCTTCTGTGATGCCACAGCAGCAGAGGCAGGGGCTGGGGCTACTCATCCAGGAGAGCCACCACAGGTCTGCTAAGTAGGGCTGCCTCAGGCTCCCATGAAGGTTCTCAGGATGTCACCCGTGCTCCACTTGCGCTTGGTGTGGCCTTGTTGCTCCAGTCCAGCAGCAGCAATTGTCCTAGGTGTGGCTGTGTGCACCTGCTCCAAAGCACCTCCCCAGTCAAAACCTGCCAACTTGGGCAGGGTACCAAGCCAGGAGGAACAGCATGGGCACAGAGAGGTGAGGTAGAAGCTAAAATAAGAATAGAAATAGTAGGCCGGGTGTGGTGGCTCACACCTGTAATCTCAGCACTTTGGGAGGCCGAGGTGGGTGGATCACAAGGTCAAGAGATCGAGACCATCCTGGCCAACATGGTGAAACCCCATCTCTACTGAAAATACAAAAATTAGTCAGGTGTGGTGGCATGCACCTGTAGTTCCAGCTACTCAGGAGGCTGAGACAGGAGACTCACTTGAATCCAGGAGCCGGAGGCTGCAGTGAGTCGAGATTGCACTCCAGCCTGGCCACAGAGCAAGACTCTGACTCAAAAAAAAAAAAAAAAAAAAGAATAGAAATAGTAATAATAATGGCAAGCACTTACATAGTGATCCTATGTATTCTAAGCAGTTTACATGTATTACTTTATTTCGTTATCACAATCCCCTACAAAACAGGAGTTTTTGTTGTTGTTGTTTTTGAGACAGGGTCTGGCTGGCTCTGTCGCCCAGGCTGGAGTGCAATGGCCTGATCACAGTTCACTGCAACCTCGACCTCCTGAGCTCAAGCGATCCTCCCTCCTCAGCCTCCTAAGTAGCTGGGATTACAGGCGCACCTGAAAAGTTAAGCAGGCCAAAGCATTTGTGTAAATGGCCCGAGCACACATTTTAAGTGAGAACCATTTGAAGACTCCGAGTTTGCCTGCGAGGATTCCCAAAGGGATCTGGGCAGCTGGTGGCCCCGCCCCCTCTCTTATCGGAGCCCCCCAGCCCCTCCGTTCTCCCCACGCCTAACTTCCCTCCGGTCCCCCCCCAACCGGCCCCACGCCGCTGATTCGCTCGCAGCTTCTCCTCACCACATCCTAACCATGGCTGTGTTTCTGCAGCTGCTACCGCTGCTGCTCTCGAGGGCCCAAGGGAACCCTGGGGGTAAGCGATCCCTGGGAGAGTTGTGATAGACGCAGAGGGGCTGAAGCAAGATAAGGGCCGCCTAGTAGGGTGGGTTGTGTGTGGGAAGATCCAGGATGGCTGGAGTGCAGAACAGAGAAGAGAAAGAGGAGACGGGATGGAGGGTCGTCTTGCCCTGTGGACGTGCCCTAACCACAGCCTCCGGCCTCTCCTAGCTTCTCTGGACGGCCGCCCTGGGGACCGGGTGAATCTCTCCTGCGGAGGAGTCTCTCATCCCATCCGCTGGGTCTGGGCACCCAGCTTCCCGGCCTGCAAGGGCCTGTCCAAAGGACGCCGACCGATCCTGTGGGCCTCTTCGAGCGGGACCCCCACCGTGCCTCCCCTCCAGCCTTTCGTCGGCCGCCTACGCTCCCTGGACTCTGGTATCCGGCGGCTGGAGCTCCTCTTGAGCGCGGGGGACTCGGGCACTTTTTTCTGCAAGGGCCGCCACGAGGACGAGAGCCGTACAGTGCTTCACGTGCTGGGGGACAGGACCTATTGCAAGGCCCCCGGGCCTACCCATGGTAGGTGCAGGCCTGTGCGCACAAGGGTACTTAACTCCGACACATACCCGGAGGAGGGAAGAGGGCCTTGGCTGGGGGTTCTTGAGCGGGACTGCTGGCTGTCCCTCGTCAAACCCCTGACCTCAGCATCCCTCCCCGCCACGCCTTTCCCCCAGGGTCCGTGTATCCCCAGCTCCTGATCCCGCTGCTGGGCGCTGGGTTGGTGCTCGGACTGGGAGCTTTGGGCCTGGTCTGGTGGCTGCACAGGTGAGCAGGAGGGACCCGGCCTCGTTAAATGGGGAGTGACCAGAGGTGGAAGGGGCAGGACCAGAACCTTCGCAAAAGAAAGAGCTAGACCTAGAGCTCTGGTCCTGGCTTGGCGAAGAATGGGAGAGGTCAAAGGTGGGAGCGAGGCCGCTGGCTGGTGAGTAGAGCCCCACCAGAGCAGATGAGCTGGAAGTGCAGCAGAGTTAGAGCCTGGGCTGGACTGTCGGTGGGGTAGAGTCTAAGTTGTTTCCGGTCTGAGCCTTCAAGTTGCTGGGCTGTCCTTGGCGTGGCGAGTCCCAGGAGAACCAGTGAGACAAGACTGGTGGTTCTCAAAGACTCATATGTCCCTTACAGGCGCCTGCCCCCGCAACCGATTCGACCACTCCCTAGATTTGGTGAGACTAATTCCACCCCATTTTCTTTCTCCTACATGCCCACTCCCCACCCCTCAATTCCTGAGTCTGAGCCCTTGCTGGGAGCAGACACGTTGGTCACCTTCTCTCCATCCTTCAGCTCTGTCCCCCCCACATAGCTCCACTTGTGAAAACCGAGCCCCAGAGGCCAGTAAAGGAGGAAGAGCCCAAGATTCCAGGGGACCTGGACCAGGAACCGGTAAGGGCATGGGGATGGGAAGGGGATAGCCAGAATCTCTGAGGAAAATGGACCAAAAAAAAAAAGGCCTGAACCCCAAGGAAGACTGTGGAGACCATCTTGTCTTCCTCCCCTTCCTCCTCCAGAGCCTGCTCTATGCGGATCTGGACCATCTAGCCCTCAGCAGGCCCCGCCGGCTGTCCACAGCGGACCCTGCTGATGCCTCCACCATCTATGCAGTTGTAGTTTGAAGGGAAGCCCTTACTCCAAACCTCCCAAGCTAGGGGATCCCAGCTCCCCATAATCCCTCTCCCCTCCTTGGTTCCTCACCTGGAAGAGGAAGGCACCATGGTATAGAAATAAGTGCTAGACTGGGAGTTGGGAGACCTGGGTTCCAGGCTGTCTCTGCCACTGGTCTTACTTCTAAACTTACTCCCATCTCTCCTATAACCTCCATGTCTCCCTCACCACCAGTGTCCTCTCTATACCCAATCAAGCCCTAGCTCCTTTTTTTTTTTTTTTTGAGACGGAGTCTCGCTCTGTTGCCCAGGCTGGAGTGCAGTGACACCATCTCCCTCACTGCAAGCTCCGCCTGCCGGGTTCACACCATTCTCCTGCCTCAGGCTCCTGAGTAGCTGGGACTACAGGCGCCCGCCACCACGCCCAGCTAATTTTTTGTATTTTTAGTAGAGACGGGGTTTCACTGTGTTAGCCAGGATGGTCTTGATCTGCTAACCTCGTGATCCACCCGCCCCGGCCTCCCAAAGTGCTAGGATTACAGGTGTGAGCCACCGCGCCCGGCCTGATTCTTTAAGCTGTTTTTCTTTGTTGCTGGTGTTTTCTTTTTGGACTCCTCTTCCTTGCTCCATATCCCTACAGTATTTCCCACCATTCTAGGTTTGTCCCTTTCTCTTCTTCTGGGACACTCTCATCAACAGTCAGTCCTCAGCCCCCTCCTCTGCAAATGACACTCAGAACTCTCTCTGGCTCAGATCTCAGATTTGGGATTAACAAACTTCCACTTAGACATTCTGCCTGACTGACCTCAGGCATTTCGCACTCTGAATGTCAAACCCAACTCATTGTCATCTCTGAAGCTGCTCACTTAATTCTCCTCTGTATTCTCTTTAACAACCCAGTTGCCCAACCCAGAAACTGGGAGTCACGCAGACCTCCTTTCTCTCTTACTCCCACACAATGAGCCATGAAGTCCAGTCTTTCTATCTTAACATCACTGTCAAACCCACACTGTATTCCATGCCCAGCGCTGCCACGTGAATGTACTCTGCTCACTTCCTTCCTGGATTACCCATAGCCCCACCTCATCCTCCTACCCTTGCTTTCCTCCCTGAAGTCAGAGAGATCCTACTCAAGAGATAACTGCTCCTGACAGCCCTTATTACAGAACTGAAGTACTCTCCTTAGCTTCAGCTCTGTGCCCACGTGCCTTGGCTTTGGATACAAGGTACTACAGCACTTTGTCCACTCTCCAGGCTTACCTGTGTCATTCCACATGCACATCTTAGAAAATGCCAGCCTTAGAGAATTCTCCCTAGCCCCAAAATGTCTTTGCCCAGTGCAATTCCTTCTTCCTGTATTACCCCTTTCCCTCCTTCACACTATCTGCCTGGCTAATTCTTATTTATCCTTAGTTCAAGTATGGCCTTTTCTGGGAAGGTGACCCTCCTTGGCCACCCCTTGCATATACTTTGATGCCCTAGGGCACACCCCCTTTATTTCCCTCATAGAAACAGCCTTCTGTAAATTGTTCCATGACAACCTGTATTTCAATTTGTAAGAAATTTGCATGTACTGTGAGCTCCCCAACGTCAGGAGACTGACCCTTTTGATATCATTGCTAAGCCTCATTAAATGAATGAATGAAAATGAATGTCCCTGGAAGTGTCATTTCTTTTTCTTTATCAAATAGGGGTGGACTGGTAATCTACCAGTCTCTGAATCATCTAACATTTAGATAAATTCAGTGAGCAATCCACCCATACACTCTTTTCTCTGCCCTGGACACACTTCCCATGATAGAAATTCTGTCTTGTTCATCTTGTGCTCAAGTACCTATGACATGGTTGGGCAATGAGTTGATAAGTACCTAACAAGATTTTTGAATAAGAGGCCTTCTTCCCTGCACTGACCCCAAACTCAGGTTTCAGCCCTGCCCTATCCCTTTGCCCCAGTAAGACACCAGTCACAGCCCAGTCTAAAAGGTCAATTCTATTTTATTGGTTCTGAGAGGGAGGATTCACCCAGTGGATCCTTTTCCCTACACTCTCCCCTCCCCCAATATTGAGGCTCTCTCCCAACTACTGCCTATTCAGCATTCTCTATCTAACCCTCCTTCCCCTTCTACTTCCTATACTATCCTACCCCTGGCCAGCAGTACCCCAAGGCCAGGCCCTCAGCTGTGGGGGCGTGTGCTGAGCACCAAGCAGAGGGAGCTGAGCCCGGCGCCAGCCTTCTCCAGTTCTGAGCAGGACACAGGTACCAGGGTGACATCAGAGAGCTTCTGCAGTGCCTGCACAGGGAAGACATGGAGTGGGGAGAGGGGAGTGAGACCTCAGGCTGAGCCAGGCCACTCTTCCAGCCAGCTCAGAGTGGCCCCACCCAGGCTTCTAGAGAAGGTACCCTTCCTTCCTCCCACTAGGAAAGCCTGAAACTCTTTTCTCTGATGGTGCTTGGTGTTGGAGTTCCTGCCCTCTCTCACCTCCTGGCTGTTGGGCAGATCCCCACCTCCACGGTGCAGGAGGAAAGGGGGCACACCAGGCAACCCAGGACGAAGAAAGAGACAGTCAGCAGCTGCGTCATCTGGGAGGGTCAGGGAGGCATATGGGTGATCTGTCAGCACTGCCATTGCCTAGAGGAAAGAGGAAGTGTTCGAGTCTCAGAACCTCTCCACAGCTGTGTCTGCCTGCTCAACCACCACTAAGGGCTGGGGACGGACTGACATTTGTGGAAAATAATGACAGCAAGCACATAGAGCTTACGATATGTCAGACACTAAGTACTTTAGTTACCTTTGCTAATTTCCACCTTGGAATCACATGCAGTTATTTTCAACCCCCTACCTTCCCCAGCCCCTCCTATCTGTCCTACCCATCCTTAGAGTCACAGTTTAGGTGCCACCTTTGGGGTTTCCTGAAACTCCGGAAGAGCAAATTAATCACCCCTGTTCCCAGTCCTGCTGTTGTAACTTCTTATTTTCTCCTGTGTTCTTTCATGTAAGATGGACAGCCCATTGAGGGCAGGGGTTAGGGCTAATTTCCTAAGCCTCCCAGCTCCCGGCCTCCCGGGCCCAGAACTGCGCCCACTTTCGTTGGCCCCGCCCCCTCCTCACCCGGACAGCCTTTTGGGCAGCGTCGCTGCTGCCTGCCACAACAGTGCGAGGTCCCCCCATGCCGCAGAGACCGCGCAGGTGGGAGGGACCCGAGACTGGCACAGTGGAGACGGCGAAGTCCTAGGGAGAGCGAAGGGAGGTATTCAGGGGCGCGGGAGGGGTGATGGGGTATCTTCAAACATAGGCTGCTCTCTGCCTCTCATTTCCTCAGCGGGCGCCCAGGCCCTTCCGACCCCCACCTGCACCCCCTCCCTCCCTAGGCTGGTCCCGCTCCGCACCCGGAACGTGTCCGCCACGATCTCAGCTCCTCGGTGATTGGTCCATTTGGAGAGGCCTACGAAAAACTCCCGGCCTGAGTCCGGGAGGCCGCGGAGGTTTGAGGGCGGGAGTGAGTTAGAAACAAGGCTCCAGACGGCCGAGTCTCCCAAACTCTACTTCCCTGTGCCAAGACCTATGCCTCCCCCCAGCCTCACCGGTGAAGAGAACGTCAGTGCCATCCAGCGTCGCGTTCTCGTCTCCTATTTCCACAATTCGGAGCCCCAGGTCTTGCAGGGCTTTGCGGACTCCATCGACCTTAGGATAGGAGAAGAGGGCACGGAGCTGTGACACCCCCATCCTCAATTCTTCCCCAAAGCCCCGACATCCAGTTCCTTCTGCCTTTCCCCATACCACACCCGCGCCACGGCGCTCACCTCTGGCCTACGAGCGGGGCTCCAGGGCCGCGTGATTAGGGCCGTGTCCCCTTGGATCACGGCCGTGTCGCCAAGCAGCGGTCCCAGCGGCAATGACTCCTCAGGTGGCAGTTCTAGCAGCTGTAGCCCCAGTCGTTGCCTCAGTTTACCTCCCAGCACCCCGTGCTCCCTTTGAGCTTTGGCCAGATCCAGAGCGGGAAGGCCAGCCCCCGCACCTTCCCCCGACGCCAGGCTCTCTGGGACTCCCCGGATCAGGGCATGGGAGCAGCGGCCCAGCCCCTCCCCCGGCGTCCCCATCCCATCCACACAGACTCCCCCTCCAACCGCTCGGATTTCTTAGTTTTCTTGTTTCTTCACCTGTCTGGGAGAAGAAACAGAAAAGGAGGAGACAGAGAAAAAGACATGCAGACAAGGGCGTTGGGGGTGGTTAAGAGCGCCCAGGTCTTCCTCCTGCCATCTCTAGGCGTCCCTCCCACTCCGCCCCACCCACTCCAGACCTTCCGCTCCTGTCGACCTCACTCTACCCAGCACCCTCAGGGGTCAGATTCTTTAAGAGGAGCCTGAGGAACAAGGCTAGGGTCTCTAATCTCCAAAACACCTGTTGCCCCTGCTTGGGGGCTTGTGAGGTCCCTGTCGGGCGCCCCTCTTGGCAGCCACTAGGATGCGCTCACTCCCCAAAAATGCAGCAGCCCCGCCCCCTTAACCCTCAGCTGCTCGCTACCGCAGGGACTGGAAGTCCAGCCCGGGACCCGCAGGGGTTATGGGACAGAAGGAGAAAGCTGGAGAGGCAGGGGCTGGGGAATGGAAGTCCTGAATACCCGAACGAGAAGGGAGAGAGGTGGGTAGGAAGGGAGGAGTTCGAGCCTAAGGAGTTAAGCATCCTCTCTCCGCCCTGGCTGGTCACGCTGCCCCTAGCACGACCTAGTATAAACCAGACCGAGTCCCGAAGGACTGGGAGAGGTCTAAAACGAAATGCGAGGGGCGGGGTAACAGGGGGCGTGGTTCCGGGGCGCTGGCACTACTCCCGGCTCCAGGACCCGGTTCCCCGTCTATGTCCCAAAGTCCACCCCGCCTAGCTCCGCGCCCAAATACCGGCTCCCCATACTCTCTGTCTGGTGCAGGCATGGGCCCGGCACCCCCAAACTCCGGCCCCCACACGGTTCAGGGCCCCCCACGCAAGACTCACCTCCAGCGGCCACCCCCACTCCTGTCGCGCTGTGATCTCGGCTGGGGCCCCACCCCCCGAGGACAGAGTTGGTGGAGAAGGGAGTCCCCGTCTTCAAGCCTCGGGGACTGGGAGCTCTGGCTTTTAGCGGGGGTCCTTGTGTAGGCGAGCTCATATACTACGATGGGGCAGGGGCGCGACGGTCTGGCGGCTCCGGGGCATTGTCTAAGCGGGACGGGGCGGGGCTTCTTCGGGCCACGCCCATTCCGCCCTGCTAAGCCGCGCCCATTACATCCAGACTGCGCCCCCCTTGCCAGAAATCGGCACCGCCCAGCGAGCGCTGCCCAGGCCCACCCAGATCTGGCCGGCCCTGGCGACGGGGCTGCAAACGCTTCGTAGACCTCAGAACAGCGCAACGGCGGACCGGCGGACCGGCACGAAACATAGCAGCCCCACCACAAACATTTCCCTTCTTAATTCCTGGCTTCTGCCCTGAGCTCAAGATCACTGACCCACCCCTCATTCCATGTCGCCCACACTTTAAACCCCCATTGCGTAAAAACACTTGATTTTTATTCTGTATTTTATTACTGAAATATGTTGTCCTACTCATCCCACCCCACAATAAAAATCTGACCCAGGCCCCCCATTTCTTTCCCTCATCCCCTCTTCCACCACACCATCCCGGAACAAGTGCTCCAGGATTCCCTGCCCACTGGCCATTTTGGAGTGTGTCCATTGGGTAGCAATGTGGAAACCACCAGGGCCTTTGTGGAGAAAATGGAGGGGGTTGAGGGAGTCCCAGGAGGGGCTTATTTGAGGGCCTTTGCCACTTGCTCATAGGCGAGCTCGATCTCCTCATCATCTGGACAGGTGGAAGCGAATTCTTCCCGGGCGTAGGCATTGCTCAAGTACCGATGCACTCCCCGGAAGGCCTCGGGGATGGTGAATCCCCGGTACTTCTTACACACCACCTGAGGATGGGGAGAGGAGAGGGACCAACATGTTAGACCCAGGGAAGCCACCTTGGCTTTCCCTTCTCCCCAGGCCGACATGATAAAACCAGCTCAACTCCTCACTGTCTTGTACTGTCGTTAGCCTTCCTTCTCACTTACTGAAATCCTGGCTTTTAATAACCAGCCATTTTTCCTGAGTTTTTAAAACTTGAGATATAATTTACTTATAAAATTCTCCTCTTGAATTTCCACAGTGACTTTTTCCCCCTATACCACTTCAGGCACTGACACAGGTGACTTTTGTCTCTATATTTTTCATCAGACTTTTTTTTTTTTGAGATGGAGTCTTGCTGTCACCCAGGCTGGAGTGCAATGGCGCGATCTTGGCTCACTGCAACCTCCGCCTCCCGGGTTCAAGTGATTCTCCTGCCTCAGCCTCCCAAATAGCTGTGATTACAGGTGCCCACCACCATGTGCGGCTAATTTTTGTAATTTTAGTAGAGATGGGGTTTCACCATGTTGGCCAGGCTGGTCTCGAACTCCTAACCTCAGGTGGTCCACCAGCCTTGGCCGCCCAAAGTGTTGGGATTATAGGCGTGAGCCACCACGCCCGGCCCATCTGACTTTTCATCATATATTCTTAACTTTCATGTGAATATTTTATTGTCTCAGATTTCAACCCTTTGAGAGCAAGGCCCAGTCACCATACACTTGTGTATCTTTCAATGCTTAGTACACAGATGTTCACTACATAGTTGTGTGGCAGACTGATGTCAGGCCCATGTTGCACAAACTAAACCATAGCTTTGAGACTATGACAAAAACATGGGAACCAGCAGTTTTGATCTTCCACAAGAGGAAGTGAAGACTGAAGTTATAAAGAAAGTTAAAGCTTTGACTTTAGGAAAAGCCTGCTCTGTCTAATCTGGGAATTTGGCAGTGATACCGAGACAGGAAGAGCATTCTTCAAAAGTAATACTGGGATGTATTCCTCTTTGCTAGTCTGTTTGCACCCATGACTTACATCATGGAATATAATTATCTCAAGCAGTGGTCTTGTTAGCAATGACTGCTGCAAAGGACTGGGGTGGGGTCTGCCATTGGTAGCAATTTATGAAAACCACCCTAAGAAAGAAATCGTCTTTAGAGTGGTTGTCAGGGGAAGCCCATGTGGGAGCTCCTTAAAGGGCCACTCCAGTGGTCATCCTCTCCTCCCGCAATAACCACACACCTGTACTATGTGTAACTTTGGCAACAGGTTGCAGTCAGCCAGGGTGAGCTCGTTGCCATCCAAAAACTTCCTCTGAGAGACACCTTCATCTTCAGCACTGGTTTCATCCACTTCTTCTGGGAGGGGGGATGTTAAGTAATTGTCTAAAACCTTCAGGGCTTTCAGGAGTCCCTTCTCCAGATCTGTGCAAGAGAGGGAACTGATTAGAACTTCAGGAAAAGATTGACATAGTCCGAAAAGGCCCGTTGGGGGTGGATACTAATGGTGAGTCCAAAATAATAATAGCTAACACTCATGTAGTTACTTTTCTATGTGTTATTCTAAGCACTTTACATTTTATTTTATGTTAGACGGAGTCTTGCTCCGTTGCCCAGGCTGGAGTGCAGTGGCATGATCCCGGCTCACTGCAACCTCTGCCTCCTAGATTCAAATGATTCTCCTGCCTCAGCCTCCTGAGTAGCTGGGATTACAGGTGCCTGCCACCACAACTGGCTAATTTTTGTATTTTTTTCAGTAGAGACCAGTCATGTTGGCCAGGCTGGTCTCCAACTCCTAACCTCAGGTGGTGCGCTAGCCTCGGCCTCCCAAAGTGAACACTTTACATTTTACAAACTCATTTATATCGCCGGGTGCAGTGGCTCACTCCTGTAATCCCAGCACTTTGGGAGGCCGAGGCAGGTGGATCACCTGAGGTCGGGAGTTCAAGACCAGCCTGGCCAACATGGTGAAACCCTGTCTCTACTAAAAATACAAAAATTAGCTGGGCGTGGTGATGCACGTCTGTAATCCCAGCTACTCAGGAGGCTGAGGCAGGAGAATTGCTTGAACCCGGCAGGCAGAGGTTGCAGTGAGCTGATTGCACCACTGCACTCCAGCCTGGGCGACAGAACGAGACTCCATCTCAAAAAAAAAGAAAAAAAAAAATTTATATCAACCCATGAAATAGGTATTGTCATCCTAATTTTGTGGATCTGGAAATGGACTTACAGAGAGGTGAAATGATTGCTCAAAATTATACGGCTAGTTGGATTTGTACTCAGGTAGTCTGGATCTAGAGTGATGACTGTTCTTAAGCATGACCCTATTCTGCCAGAAAACAGGCCAGCAGCCAACTAACGTCCTCAGTGGGGCAGAAGAGGCTAGGGAACAAATGAGAAAAGCTTAAAAGTCTTGGCCAATGAAAATGCAGGGAAATATAGAGGTAAAGCAAAAATGGGAAGCTGGGGGAAATTTACGAACATCTGCTTCATCTCCCTGATATCTGAACGTCCAGGTGCCCCTAATGTCTCCTACCCGCTGGGTCCTCTCTATTCCTCCCAGGACCCAGGCCTCTGACCCACAAGACTCACTGTCATTGAGTGCTGGGTTTGAATTCTTGATGTAGGCAGAAAATTTGGCAAATATGTCCAGCCCAGCTGTGTTGGACTCAGGGTTCAGAGCTGCCAGCTTGGGGTACCTGAAAGCCAATGGGAAAAATGAGGTAAGATGTCTTCCTGGGAGGAACCTCAGCTAGCTCTCCTGCCCCAGCCCCACCACCATCTCTGTTTTCCATTTCTGCAAACTGTCTGTTTCCCAGAATCTCCCTGCTCCACCTCTCCACTTTCTGAGTGCCCCTATACCTGGGAGGGCACAGCACTGCCTCCAGAAATTCCTCAATCTTGTTGGTGTCTGTGTGCACTTCAGTGCCATACAGCAGGAATGGGAGCTGCCCCCCTGGGCACAGCTTCTGCACTGTCTCGGTCCGCCTGGAGAAAGGATCAGGAATCAGGACTGGAAATGGGGGTCAGGAAGAACCAGAAAGGGGGAATGGAGGACGTGGGATAAGAAAGGGACTCCAGGGGGAGGGCAAAAATGTTCATGACAGAAGGACTCGGGTGGGTGTGTGTTTGCACACATGTGTACACCAGGGGTGTTTCAAGGAACATAAGCAGGCCTACCTTTTGGTGTCAACGGTGGTAACATTGAAGGTGACTCCCTTGAGCCACAGTACCATGAACAGTCTCTGGGAGAATGGGCAGTTCCCAATCTTGGCCCCATCACTGCCAGCCTGAAAAGTAACCCCAACCCAAGGTTATGCCTGATGCACCCCACCCATCCCTAGGCCAGTCCCTGCATTCCCACTCCCAGACCAGCTGTTTTCTGCCTAGTCATGACACATACACTGTCCCCTCACTATGGGCTCTTTGCCCTTGGGCCTGGGTCAAACCTAAGGCAGATCAATGGGAAACTGTTTTGCAAAGGCAGGCTTCTGGTTCCCCAGACACTGAGGACAGGTGGGAGGTAGGTAGAGGGAGGAGGTCCTGGAGAACTTGGGAGGATCTGAATCCTAGAGAGGGAAGGGTGTGGAACTTCAGTGAGGCCAGAGTTGTAGGCTAGAAGCCTGGATTTCTGGGTTCCTGAAGGGAGTAGAGTCTGAAGACAGGAGAGGTGGGTGGGGTTTGGGAGCCAGAGTTTTGGTTCTCTACACCTCCAATCCAAGGTGTCTTTGGGTGGGGAGTCTAGTCAAGGGGCCCTGGGCCTCGCGCTAGAGATGTGGAGGGCCCTACAGAGAGGGGCTGCCCTCTAATTAGCAAGTGGTGACCTCATTGGCCCAAGGGACACCTCCCCCTAAGCTGAGGGTGATTCATCTCTCTGTCTCCGGCTTCCTTCCTGTCAAGGATGTGGGGGAAGGGACAGTGAGGATGAGGCCTGGGCAGCTAAGGCTACCCCTAACCTGCTGCCAGGGTCTCCCAGCACAAGTCCTCTGACTGCAATAACCATCCTCTCACAGGACACAGGGCCGGAATCTCTGCGGCACAGCCTCACCCACGAGTAAAAATAGCCCCGGAGGCGAATGTGAGAGTGAGGTGGGGACCACACCTAAGGGGGCGGACCCAAGCAGGCTCCGACTTCCCTGGGCCCAGGGAGAGGGAATGGCTGCCCGAGAAACCCAAGCAGAAGGGAGAGGGAGACACAGGCAGAGACACACAAAGATGAGAGAAACAAAAGGGGGGAAGGGGAAAGAAAGGCGGCAGGAAAGTGGAGAGTGGGGAGACGTGCGTGCCAACGGAGAGACACAAACGGAGCGGGGAGAAGAGGACACTGTTAAGGAAGGGAGGGAGGGGCACAGCCAGGAGGTCCCAAGACTGGGAAATGAATGCAGCAGCGGTAGGGAGGGGAGCGGCCGCTGCAATCAGAGGGGGGCTGGGTGACACCGAGAAGCCTGCTGCCTGCAGTTTTGCTACCCAAATGCCATAGGACCATCTCTCCTTACCCACACCCGCAGAGAGAGGAGAGAGTTGGGGCAAGTCTTCTACTTCTCCAACCCCCAAATCCCAAAATGCCCTAACCGAGCTCTTCTCCTCCGTCTGATCTCTCTCCCACCCATCCTTGTGGTAGCTACGTTAAACTCACGTCTTCTTGCCACCTCCCCTTCTGTCCCTTTCCCCAGTCCTGGGGATATTCAATGCCACCCGATCACCTCTCCAGCTCTGCTTTTCAAACTCCGATCCCAGTCTCCTGTTTTGTTCCGCCCCTCCAAAGCTTCCCAATTTACTTGCTCTCACTCTCAGGCCTCCCTCAACACACCGTCTTCCCTGAAGCGTCTCCATCCACACACACACACACACACACACACACACACACACACACACACACACCTCTCCTACTGCACTACTCACCCTCAGATCTTGTAGGGACACATGTCCTAACTGAGGTTCCCCTCTGTCCCTTCTAAACCCTGCTGGGCCCCCACTGTCCCTTCACCAGCTCGCCCTCTAACCCCACCCCAGTCTCACTTTTGGGAATTCTCCTTTTTCTCCACTTCCCTTCCTTTAGTCTGCTAGAAACTTGCACTTTTACAAACTTTTCAGGGTTGATCCTAGAATTCTCATTACTTGCTAACAAGTTAATGTCTTCCCCTCTCAAAACCACCCCTCAACCAAAGAGTGCACGTGGGATTGGGGGTGGGAGTCAAGGAGGGAAGGGATTGGGGAGTTAAGGCTGGACCGGGGGAAAGGTGAGAGTTGGCTTCCAGGAATTTGGGTGGCTGAGGAGAGAAGTGTTCTTACCTTCACGAACAATTCGACCTGCGGTTGTTCTTCAGCCATGGTTGCGTCGGGGACCAGGAAGTGGCCGTCCCTGGGGGAACTGGGAGGGGCTGGGACCGGGGAAGGCGGGTCTCACACTCAGGGACTCTCTCCCCTAGACCCAGGGCTGTCCCTTCAGCACAACACAAGCTCAATCAGACCTACTTGCACCCAAACTAGGCCTCCCCACCAGCCCAACGCACCCCACACCCAGCTCCTCCAGCTCGGTCCTCTCCCTGGCTGGATCAGAGAGCCGCTGACTCACCGACCGGCCCCGCCCTGAACCTGGGGAGGGGACTGGAGGGGGGCGGGACTCGACGATGTAGGGAGTGAGTCCGGAAGGGGAATCCTCGGATCTCCCACAGGATGGGGATGGGGGTGTTAAGGAGGAGTCCTGAAAACCTCCTTGTTTCTCCGACCTCTCCTGAACACAGGACTCTTTTCTGCCTCAGTTTCCCTGCTTCATTAATCTGAGTACAACCCGACTGACCCTCATATAAAAAACTTGACACTAACAGCTTGGGCACACCCGTGAAGATTCAGGGATGGGGACTTCAAATGGAAAGGTGGTCGTTTAATCATTCTGCATTTCTTCCAGACTCCAATCCAAATTCTGGGTTGCTGGGACTGTGGTCTGAGAGAAGAACTCGGAAGTGGAAGGCTGGGACTGCAGATAGGAACCGTTAGCCATGCAGCCTGGGATTAGGGAAGGGGTGACGCCAGCACTCCCTGAGCTGCCCAGACTGGTGTCTCAGTAGGTCCTGTGCCCCCCGCAGTCTACTGTCTCCGGGCCCAGCTCAGCACTAGGACTTGCAGTCCTTGTGGCCTACACTTGGGATTGGGCATAGGAAATAGAGTTAGGGGCCGGGTGAGGTGGCTCACGCCTGTAATCCCAACACTTTAGGAGGCCAAGGGGGGTGGATCACCTGAGGTCAGGGAGTCAAGACCAGACTGGCCAACATGGTGAAACCCTGTCTCTACTAAAAATACAAAAATTTGCCAGGCGGGGTGGTGGGCACCTGTAATCCCAGCTACTTGGGAGGCTGAGGCAGGAGAATCAATTGAACCCGGGAGGTGAAGGTTGCAGTGAGCTGAGATGGTGCCATTGCACTCCAGCCTGGGCAATAAGAGCGAAACTCCATCTCAAAAAAAAAAAAAAAAGAAGAAGAAGAAAAGAAAAAGAAAGTAGAGTTAGGGATGGGAAGGGAGATGACGAAGTCTTTTGCGAAGGAAACATAAAGCCGAGGCAAGGGGCTTTGTTGCAGGGAGGGGTCTGTTCCTGTAGCTTGGTCAGCTTTGTGCTTCCACTTATGTTTCCTATTGGGGCCCCTTCCTGTGCCCTTTGTCCTCGTCTCACTGACAGGTTGCCTTGGAGATGGGGCAGAGGGGTGGGATTATCATGGCCCGATCCTGAAGTATGTGTATAGGGGGTGGGGTAGGGGTGTTGTTAGCTGGTCCTGTCATGGGGATAAAGAAAGATCAGACAGAATAGTGGGAGTAGAGTCCTTGGGGACACCTAAATAAATAAGCAGGGAGGACATAGGAGGAGCAGCTCTCTCTCCAGTAACCTTGATTTCTATTAAACCTTTATGACCTGCTGAAAAAATAAACCCAGAATTCCAGCCTCCATATCCTGAATTTCTCTCCTGTCCAACCATCCCTTCTCTATCCTCCTCATCACCCTCTGTCCAACAAAAGACCTACAGTTCCAGAAAACCATGGTGGAGTGCAAGAACACAGAACTAAAACAGAGCTTGAAACTTAAAGAAAGGGAGAGACTTGGGGGAGGAGTGGGGTGGAGTGATGTGATGTGCTGCTGGAAACCAGCAGTTGGTGGTTTCCTCTTGTGCTTCCTCTTCTGTGGGTTTTCTCCTGCTTGTGGGAGGGCCTTTTTCTCTCCTCCCGACAGAAAGGCTATCTTTGGTGTTCGTTCCCTTGAACTGTAACATCCTGTAAGGGTATGATTCCATGCCTCTGTGTGGGTGTGAATTCCCTCATGGTGACCCTCAAAATCTGCACACAGGACCCCTTCCCATTGAGGGGAGGGGATCAAAACAACTCTACTTCTCAGGGTCCTCTCCTGTTCCAACTGGTCTGTGTCCAAGAGAAGCCTTAGGTAAATGGGGCCAGCTTGAAGATCAAACAGGTTTGGCAGCCTCTCCCGGCCTCTCTTTTCTCTCCTACAGCTTTATAGCTACAGCTGCCTTGATATCAATATTGACTTTGGCTGGCTGGCATGACTACCCACAGGGTATCGTGCCTTAATTTACCAGGTGACAGGCAACGCTGCCCTCTCCTGGAACCATCCAGCAGAGCCAGGGCTGTACCCCCAAATCCTGCAACAGAGGTTTCCCTCCATCTCACCTCCCTGTCCCTGCATTTCTCCTATCTCAGTAGCTCCTCTTTCCCTCTCTGGGCTTCTCTTTCCACTCCCTCCCCTTCCTGGGCTTGGTAAACTAGTCCCTAATCTCTTCACACCCCAGATTGGAAGGTGGGTCCCTCCCTGACACTCCCCAGAGCTGTCACCAACCTCCTCCAAGTTTCTATAGCTCCATTGCTCAACAGATTTGCCAGGGGTAACCATTAACCCAGCCCTTAACTCTGTTCCCCCACCTTTCTTGCTGGAGGGGATTTTCCAATTACTGGTTAGCACAGCTAGGTCATCTCACCCCCACCATCTTTCCTAACTTCTTGGGTTGGGGGGCTGGGGAGGAATCTCCCCATCTCAGGGTACTAGGAACAAAGCTGGGGAGGATGGTGCATTTAAAGGGATTATATATATATATATATATTTTTTTTTTTTTCTTTCTCCCTCATAACCCCACCCCCGCAACACACACACACACACACACACACACAGACGCACAAATAAGCTTTATGGAGCAGTGACTTCATTATGTTCACCGCTTTGAGTCCAACCCCTGGCCCAAAATAGGCACTAAATAGTTGCCGAATGCATGAATGATAGATACCTCTCTGTCTTCAGGGGTGTGTAGAAGTGCGAAGGGGTATGGGCATGTCCCAGTAGGGGTGTGAGTGTTCTGATCAGAACTACTTCTCTCTGCCAGAATTTGATGTAATTCGAATGCTTCCACCTCTGCTTGAAGGGTTTAAATAATAAATTAGGCCCTGTCGTGCCATTATGGGGGTGGTCATACCCTGTACCCAGGAAACAGGCACGGTAGGGCTGAGACAGAAGTCCTGCTTGTTTCCGCTTATTTATTTGAAACACCGCTCATTTAGGTCTTACTTTGTTTGCCAGGCACTGTTCTAAGCTCTGTATAAATATTAACTCAGAGGGTACAAATATTAACTTAAGAGTTGTTGCAGGAAAAAAAATAAGCGCCTCTGGCTCTTTAAGTTTGGCCTCCCCCTCAAAACCCCCGCAACGGTCCCAAACCCCTTCCAGGGACTGGGACTACGGACCCTGGTCCGACCTTCTCGCGGGCTTCCCACTGCGCCAATCAAATCCCAGAAACAGTGAGTGCTAGAGGCCCGGCTGCTAAGCAACGGCAGAGGGCGGGAAGTTTGAACGTTCTGGACCCGCCCCGAAGGCAAATAGGCCAATCAGCGTCCAGACTCTTCAGCTACGGCAGTCCGCTTCTCCTCCTCGCCCTGTCGGATCTCTAGGCTGGATCCGGGCCTCTCCAATCAACAGCGGCTAGGAGGGCGGGGCGCGTGCGCGCGCACCTCGCTCACGCGCCGGCGCGCTCCTTTTGCAGGCTCGTGGCGGTCGGTCAGCGGGGCGTTCTCCCACCTGTAGCGACTCAGGTTACTGAAAAGGCGGGAAAACGCTGCGATGGCGGCAGCTGGGGGAGGAGGAAGATAAGCGCGTGAGGCTGGGGTCCTGGCGCGTGGTTGGCAGAGGCAGAGACATAAGACGTGCACGACTCGCCCCACAGGGCCCTCAGACCCCTTCCTTCCAAAGGGTAACCTCCGCGTGACAGGAATGAGGGTGGGGCGCGTGGAGTTTCCCACAATCTGTACTTTAGTTAAATACCCGAGAATTCACCTCCTGTGTCCACAGCTCTCCACGCCCCTCAGCCCTGCCCCGCAGCCCTGTAGCAGAAGTACTTAGTGCTTTGCATTCTGCGCGCCACCCTACCCCGGCCTCCTCTGTGAATCGTTGCTTCCGAACCGCCCTCACTTTTTGCATCCGCAGAGCCTCCAAGCTCATGGCCTCCTTAGGAGCGAACCCAAGGAGGACACCGCAGGGACCGAGACCTGGGGCGGCCTCCTCCGGCTTCCCCAGCCCGGCCCCAGTGCCGGGCCCCAGGGAGGCCGAGGAGGAGGAAGTCGAGGAGGAGGAGGAGCTGGCCGAGGTCTCTGAGGGGAGTAGAAACTTGAATGGAGAGTTGATGGGAAGTTAGAATAAAAGAGGGTTGGGAGCCGGGAGCGGTGGCTCACACCTGTAATCTTAGCACTTTGGGAGACTGAGGCGGGCGGATCACCTGAGCTCAGGAGTTGGAGACCAGCCTGGGCAACATGGCGAAACCCCGTCTCTACTAAAAATATAAAAATTAGCCGAGCGTGGTGGCACGTGCCTGTTATCCCAGCTACTGGGAAGGCTGAGGCAGGAGAATCACTGTAACTCGGGAGGCGGAGGTTGCAATGAGCTGAGATTGCTCCACTGCACTTCAGCCTGGGCGACAGAGCAAGACTCCGTCTCAAAGAAAGAAAGAAAAAAAAAACAGGGTTGGGAAGAGCTGGGCAAGTCTCTTACCTCCTGAGTGGCTGTTTCACATTCACTAAATGGGGGTGATGATGCCTATCTCAGAGATTTGAGAAAATGATTAAATTATATAAGACATGGTAAACCCTACACTTATGAGTGATTCTAATAGTGATTTCCTTTCTTCCTTGCTGGACAGATCCATCTGTGTGTGCTGTGGAATTCAGGATACTTGGGCATTGCCTACTATGATACTAGTGACTCCACTATCCACTTCATGCCAGATGCCCCAGACCACGAGAGCCTCAAGCTTCTCCAGAGAGGTGGGGATGGAACCATGAATTCCTCTGCTCTCTGGGATTGCAGATGTGTTACACACACACACACACACACACACACACACACATATTTTTTTTTTCTAGACAGAGTCTTGCTCTGTTACCCAGGCTCAAGTGCAGTGGCGCAATCTTGGCTCACTGCAGCCTCCACCTCCTGGGTTCAAGCAATTCTCCTGACTCAACCTCCCGAGTAGCTGGGACTACAGGCGTGTGCCACCACACCCAGCTAGTTTTTTGTGTGTGTTTTTAGCACAGACGGTGTTTCACCATGTTGGCCAGGGTGGTCTCAAACTCCTGACCTTGTGATCCGCCCACCTTGGCCTCCTAAAGTGCTGGGACTACAGGTGTGAGTCACCACGCCCAGCCATGTTTTACTTACATTAACTCACCTCACTGTCTAGCATATTTTGTGTTGCTGTAAGGAAATACCTGACTCTGAGTAATTTGTTAAAAAAAAAAAAAAGTTTTATTTGGCTTATGGTTCTGGATGGTTGGAAAGCTCAAAATTGGGCATCTTCACTGGTGAGAGCCTCAGACTGCTTCAACTCATGGAAGAAGGGAAGGCAGGGTGTGTAGAGGTCACATGGCAGAGAAGAAGCAAGGGGGAGGGAGATGCCAGGCTCTTTTTGACAACCAGCTCTCTCAGGAACTAATAGAGTGAGAACCTCTCACTCATACCCACCAGCACACTCCAGGAAGGGCATTAATCTGTTCATGAGCGATCCACTCCCATCACCCACACACCTCCTGCTAGGCCCTACCTCACAACACTATCACACTGGGGATTAAATTTCAACACGATATTTGGCAGGGACAAATCACATCCAAACTATAGCACTGACTCAATATATTTTACAGTTGCTTCACAGAGGCTCCCTCTTTTGTTTTTATGAATTCATTTCATTATTTAACAAATATTTGTGAGGTTGTTTTTTGGTTTGTTTGGTTGTTCTTTTTTGAGACAGTGTCTTGCTCCGTCACTCAGGCTGGAAGTGTAGTGGTGCCATCTTGGCTCACTGCAACCTCCGTCTCCCGGATTCAAGCAATTCTCCTGCCTCAGTCTCCCGAGTAGCTGGGATTACAAGAATCTGCCATCACGCCTGGCTAATTTTTATATTTTTAGTAGAGGCAGGGTTTCACCACGTTGGCTAGGCTTGTCTTGAGCTCCTGGCCTCCAGTGATCTGCCTGCCTTGGCCTCCCAAAGGGCAGGGATTATAGGCATGAGCCACTGTGCCTGGCCACAAATATATATGACGTATTTACAATGTTTCAGGTGCTTCAGATTCAGCCCTGGGCAAATCAGTCATGTCTGTTCTCCAGGGGTTTACAGCCTAGTGACAACATCCAGAACATCCCACTTCCCTCTCACCATCCCACCACTCTTAACTACTTTTCTAAATCTCAACTTCTACCTGTGTTCCCACTGTGCAGAGCACTCCCTACTCCTAGGGAGGAAATGTTTTTGAGAAGGAGAGGGGTAGGAAGAGGAGGGCTATGGGTTTTCTCTTAGTCAAAGACAAAGATCCTTTAACTCATTTGATCTCTGTTCTCCTTCCAAGTTCTGGATGAGATCAATCCCCAGTCTGTTGTTACGAGTGCCAAACAGGATGAGAATATGACTCGATTTCTGGGAAAGCTTGGTAAGGACTTGGTAAAGGATAGAGGGAAAATGGGGAAGGACTAATATATGGAATATTCCAGGGGGCTAGAATTGGGTGAGAGGGAGTGTCAGACAGAGGTAGAAGGACTGAGATGTAAAGAATGATAGCCTTTTCTTTCCTCCCCCACAGCCTCCCAGGAGCACAGAGAGCCTAAAAGACCTGAAATCATATTTTTGCCAAGTGTGGATTTTGGTATCTCCTTCCTTTTGCTTTGCCTAACTCCCTGTTCCGGTGTCCCATTCTTTCCCCCAACTCTACCTTCATCATCACAGATCTCCCCTCTGCCTTATGTCATCCTAAACCTTTGTGCTCCTCATGCCCTATGACCTGTCCCCCCAAGATCTCTCCTGCTCCCTACCCTTTAATAACCTGCAGCTTATTGGGAAGCCTCTGCTTAAGTCATGTCTAGGGATGAGGGCCTCCCCTGAGGAGTGGTGACACTTTTTGGACAGGGTTTTATTGTTGGAATTCTCCCCATTAAGTTAAAGCCTTTTATCACCAAACCAAAAGGCACTGCCTCAGTGACCCTTATTATGATCCATAAGGCACTTCTATAACTTTCCTAGGTTTACAATAAGAACAGGAGTGTACTATCCTAATTAGATATTAAGGCATTAGTGTTACTAGTTCTATTAATACCATTATTTTGACCAAAATCCTCAATTCCAGACAGATGTCTACTTTCCTCAGCCATTTATCTTTCTCAGGCTGTGCTTTCAGACAAGTATCTTTATATTATATGTAGAATAAAAAGAGAATTAGACTAAGAGTCTGAAAATTTGGTTCTTGCTCTAGCTTTCCATTAACTGCCTGTGTGAGCTTGGGCAAGTCAAATAATCTCTCTTGCTTCTATTGTCTCATTCTTAAAATGGGGTGAAAAAATTGAGCTACAAGACCGTTCCCTTTGCTTGCCTCCCTCAAATAGGTCTGGAGATAAGCAAACAACGCCTCCTTTCTGGAAACTACTCCTTCATCCCAGACGCCATGACTGCCACTGAGAAAATCCTCTTCCTCTCTTCCATTATTCCCTTTGACTGCCTCCTCACAGTGAGATTGGTCCTGGGGGATAAGGGCTGGGAGGCGGCACAAGTGCTAGGGCTGAATTCTGGGAGGTACTGGCCTAGCCCTGGAAAATAGTAACTTTCCCTGGTGCTCTGCAGCCCCCAGGAGATTTAAGATTTACCCCGATTCCACTGCTGATCCCCTCCCAGGTTCGAGCACTTGGAGGGCTGCTGAAGTTCCTGGGTCGAAGAAGAATCGGGGTTGAACTGGAAGACTATAATGTCAGCGTCCCCATCCTGGGCTTTAAGAAATTTATGTTGTAGGTGATTCACCCCAACCCCAACCAAAGTAATGTGGGATTGGGAGGCCTGAAAAGTAAAGTGGGGGTGGGGTGTGGATGTGGCTGTGACCCAGTGGGTCAAGTGCTCTAGGACACCCAGGAGAATCTAAGGGCTAATGAGACTTTGGGAAGAAGACTGGGACAATATTCAGAGAGGGGGACAAAGGAAGTGGAGTTGTGGAACGAACTCAGACTGCTTCCTGCTTTTTTGTTTTCTGTCCTCAGGACTCATCTGGTGAACATAGATCAAGACACTTACAGGTAAAGAGGTGGAGGCATGCTGCTGTCTCTGGGGAGGGAGAAGGATTAAGTTTAATGCCCCAATAATCCTAATGAGGCTCTAGTTTCCCTAATCCTGGGGCTATTAAGATCTCTCTCCTTGAAGGAAAGGGAAGGGGGGTTTTGAGGGAAAGAGAGGAAGAAAAGCATAAAGATACTAGCTTTCTTTTCTATAGGGAGAAACTGAGGCAAAGAAAAGTAAGGGACAAACCTTACATCAAGATATGATCTCGGCTGGGCGCGGTGGCTCATGCCTGTAATCCCCGCGCTTTGGGAGGCCAAGGCGGGTGGATCGCCTGAGGTCAGGAGTTTGAGACCTGACCAATATGGTAAAACCCCGTCTCTACTAAAAATATAAAAATTAGCTGGGTGTGTTGTGCGCCTGTAATCCCAGCCACTCAGGAGGCTGAGGCAGGATTGCTTGAATCCAGGAGGCAGAGGTTGCAGTGAGCTGAAATTGCACCACTGCACTCCAGCCTGGGCGACAGAGCGAGACTCCATCTCAAAAAAAAAAAAAAAAAAAAGACGTGATCTCAGGAGGATATCCCCTGTCCCCATTCCATTTATCAGTCCTCAATTCTTATTC
Source organism: Homo sapiens (assembly GCF_000001405.40). Lineage (NCBI taxonomy): Eukaryota > Metazoa > Chordata > Mammalia > Primates > Hominidae > Homo > Homo sapiens. Next base: position 3,222,451 of record NT_113891.3, read on the forward strand.
CCTTCAAAAGTCCAAGTTACCCCAAACTCCTCCATTTCTCCTCGACAGTGTTCTACAGATTTTTAAGAGTGAGTCTCACCCCTCAGTGTACAAAGTGGCCAGTGGACTGAAGGAGGGGCTCAGCCTCTTTGGTAGGTGTGCCCCATCCCTCATCTCACATTACAAAGACCTACCAGAAAAGCAATTGGCTCCAAAGATGTGTCCCAGCCTCCCTTCCCACTTCACTCCCATTGTCAGATATCTCTTTCATGCCAATCCAAATTTCTTACCTATTTGTACCCCCCGCCCCCCAAGCTTGAGCATCTTCCCATACTTTGTGGCTGTACAGTGTTGTTGCATATCAGCCATTACTTTACCAATTCTGTGTTCCTTCCCTGGGTTTGTATGAATGTTTCTACTAGTTGGGTACCTGTTAGGGACTTTGGGAGACCTTGTGTATAGAGAAGAGTTTTGTAACTGCATAACTGCCTATTTGATTTGTATAGAGTCTTTATCAGTTGTCTCTGGCTTTAGGGTATATTAGGGACATCTCCGCAAATATCCATATAGTTTCATATCTCAGTAAGTTGTGTCCAGGTTTTTTTTTTTTTTTTTTTGAGACAGAGTCTCGCTCTGTCGCCCAGGCTGGAGTGCAGTGGTGCAATATCAGCTCACTGCAAGCTCTGCCTCCTGGGTTCACACCATTCTGCTGCCTCAGCCTCCTGAGTAGCTAGGACTACAGGTGCCCACCACGATGCCTGGCTAATTTTTGTATTTTTAGTAGAGAACGGGTTTCACTGTGTTAGCCAGGATGATCTCGATCTCCTGACCTCGTGATCCGTCCACCTCGGCCTCCCAAAGTGCTGGGATTACAGGCGTGAGCCACCGCGCCTGGCCAGTTGTGTCCAGTTTTGTGTGTGTGTGTGTGTGTGTGTGTGTGTGTGTGTGAGACGAAGTCTCGCTCTTGTCCCCCAGGCTGGAGTGCAATGGTGCGATCTCGGCTCAATGCAACCTCTGCCTCCTGGGTTCAAGCGATTCTCCTGCCTCAGCCTCCTGAGTAACTGGGATTACAGGCACCTGCCACCACACCCAGCTAATTTTTGTATTTTTAGTAGAGACGGGGTTTCACCATGTTGCCCAGGCTGGTCTTGAACTCCTGACCTCAGGGGATCCACTCGCCTCAGCCTCCCAAGGTGCTGGGATTACAGGCATGAGCGACCGCGCCCGGCCGTCCAGTTTTTTACATATGTGTGTTGGGCTCTTGAGTTTTTTGTTTGTTTGTTTGTTTTTTAGATGGAATCTTGCTGTGTCACCCAGGCTGGAGTGCAGTGGTACAATTTAGGCTCACTGCAACCTCCGCCTCTTGGGTTCAAGTGATTCTTCTGCCTCATCCTACCTCAGCCTCCTGAATAGCTGGAACTACAGGCCTGCACCACCATGCCCAGCTAATTTTTTTGTATTTTTAGTAGAGATGGTGTTTCGCCATGTTGCCCAGGCTGGTCTCAAACTCCTGAGCTCAAGTGATCCTCCTGCCTTGGCCTCCCAAAGTGCTGGGATTATAGGCATGAGCCACCCTGCCCGGCCAGCTATTGAGTTTTTGTATTTTTGGAGGGGCGGGAGGGCTCTTGAGTTTTTTGTGTTTTGTTTGTTTGTTTATTTGTTTCGTTTTGTTTTGAGACGGAGTCTTGCTCTGTCACCCAGGCTGGAGTGCAGTGGCGCGATCTCCGCTCACTGCAAGCTCTGCCTCCCGGGTTCATGCCATTCTGCTTCAGCCTCCCGAGTAGCTGGGACTACAGGTGCCTGCCACCATGCCCGGCTAATTTTTTGTATTTTTAGTAGAGACTGCGTTTCACCATGTTAGCCAGGATGGTCTCGATCTCCTGACCACGTGATCCGTCTGCCTCGGCCTCCCAGAGTGCTGGGATTACAGGCGTGAGCCACCGTGCCTGGCCAGTTCTTGAGTTTTAACTAGGTCTGCTTTGTGTATTTTTCTGGCTAAGTGTCCCTGTGAGTGTCCATCCCTTCCCCCATCTCCATGTACGGTAATCCCAGCTCATATTTGTGGCCAGGCACCAGCTTTGGCTGCCTTTGTGCCCTCCCAGGCCAGCTTCCTCAACAACCAGCACCTCTGACCTGGATGCCTCAGCTTAGACACATAAACACATTCCATTCCCTGTCCCTGCCTTGTAACAAGTTCACTCCCTGCCTTATCCCTCACAGGAATCCTCAACAGATGCCACTGTAAGTGGGGAGAGAAGCTGCTCAGGTGAGTGGGTCCCACACATACTACACACTAATGCATGAATTCCATATGCACACTACATACTAAAGCCTACTAATGGCAGTATACAGATTCTCACATACACCACCCCACCTAGTAGTAGTAAAGCAACTGCCCTTTACTGAGCACTGGCTAACTGCATTTCATCCTTATAACAGCTTTGTGTAGTAGCTGATATGCATCTCATTTTTTGTTGTCAGCGCAGGTACACATATACCCATTGATGATACACAGACTTGCACACATACAAGCAGCAGGAAAAAACACAAAATGTAAGGCCGGGCACAGTGGCTCACACCTGTAATCCCAGCACTTTGGGGGGCCAAGGTGGGTGAATCACTTGAGGTCAGGAGTTTGAGACCAGCTGGCCAACATGGTAAAGCCCCATCTCTACTAAAATGCAAAAATTAGCCAAGCGTGTTGGTAGGTGCCTGTAATTCCAGCTACTCAGGAGACTAAGGCAGGAGAATCGCTTGAACCCAGGAGGTGGAGGTTGCAGTGAGCCAAGATTGTGCACTGCACTTCAGCCTGGGCAACAGAGTGAGACTCCGTCTCAAAAAAAAAAAAAATGCTAATGTAACACATGGCTATGTTAGCATGGTTATCTTTAGTTATAGAAAACACACTTCACATTTCTGTGATGACTCTCAAATTTGCGTCTCTAGTTTTGAACTCCGTATGTGAATGTTAATTGCATATCACCACCTGCAGTTTTCACAGGCAGCTCAAACTCAGAGCATCCAAACTGATGCCCACCAGATCTGTTCCTCTTCCTGCATTCCCTTTGCTGGTTAATGGCATTGCTGGCAGTACACCTTCTCAAGCCATGAACCTTGGATTGATGCTAGAAACAAAAAACCTGTCATTCCAAAACAGAGATCTAAGCATGTCACTCCTTTTTTTTTTTTTTTTTTTTTGTGACTGAGTTTCGCTCTTGTTGCCCAGGCTGGAGTACAATGGCACGATCTCTGCTCACTGCAACCTCCACTTCCCGGGTTCAAGCAATTCTTCTGCCTCAGCCTCCCAAGTAGCTGGGATTACAGGCGCCCACCACCACACCTGGCTAATTTTTGTATTTTCAGTAGAGGCGGGGTTTCACCATGTTGGTCAGGCTGGTCTCGAACTCCTGGTGATCCGCCCACCTCGGCCTCCCAAAGTGCTGGGATTACAGGCATGAGTCACTGCGCCTGGCCGTCACTCCACTTTTTAAATAGCCTAAGTAGAAAGAAAATAACATAAACCTTAGGAGGTTTTCCCATTACCTTCAGGATTAAGATTAGCATCTTAAGCAGTATAATGATGTTCAGGGTCCATCACGTTTACCCCAGTTTTAATTTCCAGACTCACCTTCCAAAGCCCCTTCTAAGTCCTTTCCTACTGGATCTACCTTATATTCTAGTCATTTAGGGCCACTTGCCATTATGGAAACATGTCATGCCTGTGTTTATGCTGCTCCTTCTGGAAAGTCTTTTTTTTTTTTTTTTGAGACGGAGTCTCCCTCTGTCACCCAGGCTGGAGTGCAGTGGCGCGGTCTTTGCTCACTGCAACCTCCACCTCCCAGGTTCAAGCAATTCTCCTGCCTCAGCCTCCGGAGTAGCTGGGATTACAGGGACCCACCACCATGCCTGGCTAATTTTTGTATTTTTAGTAGAGATGGGATTTCACCATGTTGGCCACGCTGGTCTTGAACTGCTGACCTCGTGATCTGCCCACCTCGGCCTCCCAAAGTGCTGGGATTACAGGCATAAGCCACTGTGCCCGGCCTGGAAAGTCTTTTCCTTGTTCTGTACCTATCAAAATCTTACATCCAGGTCAGGCGCGGTGGCTCACGCCTGTAGTCTCAGCATTTTGGGAGGCTGAGGTGGGTGGATGATTTGAGGTCAGGAGTTCAAGACCAGCCTGGCCAACTTGGTGAAACTTCACGTCTACCGAAAATACAAAAATTAGCCCAGCATCATGGCGCATGCCTCTAGTACCAGCTACTCAGGAGGCTGAGGCAGGAGAATTGCTTGAACTCGGGAGGTAGAGGTTGAAGTGAGCCCAGATTGCCCCACTGCACTCCAGCCTGGGCAACAGAGTGAGATTCTGTCTTAAAAAAAAAAAAAAGTGCATCCTCTTCAAGGTGCAATCCAACTGTTACCCTTTGGCTTTTACAGGTACCTGTAAGGAGTTGATGTGCACCTTCTTTGTGCTCACATAGTGCTTGTTTATGTTTTTCTAGTTGCACTGTCACATCATGTTAGAATTAGCAGTCAGTGAATCTGCTTGCCTCCATAGCTATGAACTCTATCTAGTAGCTATACCTGTTACCTCAGTGTCTGACACATGGTCTTGTACATAGTAGCACTCAATGTGTGAACACAACGCAAATGTAAACGCACTGGTGACATCATCTCTAAACAGAGTGGAAACCTTTGCTAGCCTCAGGTGCACAATCCTTCCCCTACCTCACCTCCCGCTGCAATGTGTATCTTGTAGGAGTTAATTTAGGATAATCTCTGAGGTCATCTCCAGGTAATCAGCATCTCCAGGAATCGGCAGGGTAATTTAATTACCCACACATTCTTCAGTGCTTCAGGTGCAGATCTTTAATCTCAGCCACAGATGGGAGGGAGAGAATTCTCAGTGGAGAAGAGAGCTGGATTTAAGGTCGGGGAGGAATGCGTATTCCCCAAATGGAATCAGACAGGGCATGAGATCATATAACTTGAAGAATCATCATATAATCTAATGAACTAAGGACAGGTGACATATTTATTAATATTTCTGTATACGAATTTATTTTAATTTATTAGGAAATACCTCTAACGTACAAAAAGATGTAAATAATAATATAGGGCCAGATGTGGTGGCTCACGCCTATAATCCCAGCATTTGGGAGGCTGAGGCAGGAGGATTGCTTGAGGCCAGGAGTTCAAGAACTAAAAGCTGTACAGGCACCAAGAATATGACTGAATGTCACAGTATGCTCTAAAGGGCACTGTCCTAGGAGTCTGGAGACATGATTTTGAGACTTAGCTGTTCTCATTGGCGGTATGACTTTGGGCAAGTTGCTTATCTTTTAACGGTTTCATTTTCTCAGTTGTTAAATTTACAGTTTGGTTTAACTAAAGTCTCTCCCAGTACGAGCAGGGCGTGAGTCAGAGATACCTAAGTGTTTAGTGCAGCGGATGTGCTTTCTAAAGTGGGGATGGCTATTTACAGACTGGCCTACACTGTTCTGGTGGGAGCCCTCAGTGACCAAGGAGCAGAGGTACCTGAAACCCACCCTTGAAGCCATCTGGATGCTCCGCTTCATTCAAATCTGGGGTGTTCTAACCCAAAGTAACTGGCCACAGACTGCAATGTAAGATACAAATCTTCAGGACCTAGTGTGTGCACATGTTGGCTCTTATATAAGATGGCATCCTTAGTACTTGTTCTATGTAGAAAAGAATTTGTGGGCTCACAAGTCCCTACAGAGTCTCACACTCTCATGGCCAATAAGTATACAGGGATACCCGGAATTAGACAAACACAGATGAGACATTTATTTCTGTATATGAATTTATTTTATTTATTTATTTATTTTTTGAGACAGAGTCTCACTCTGTCACCCATCCTGGAGTGCAGTGGCCTGGCTCATTGCAAGCTCCACCTCCCGGGTTTACACCATTCTGCCTCACCCTCCCGAGTAGCTGGGACTATAGGTGCCCGCCAACACGCCCGGCTAATTTTGTTGTGTTTTTAGTAGAGACGGGGTTTCACCGCGTTAGCCAGGATGGTCTTGATCTCCTGACCTCGTGACCCGCCCTCCTTGGCCTGCCAAAGTGCTGGGATTACAGGCGTGAGCCACCGCACCTGGCCTGAATTTATTTTCATTTATTAGGAAATACCTCCAACACACAAAAAGATGTAAATAATTAGCCGGGCGTGGTGGCTCATGACTGTAATCCCAGCACTTTGGGAGGCCGAGGCAGGTGGAACACCAGAGGTCCGGAGTTTGAGACCAGGCTGGCCAACATGGTGAAACCTCATCTCTACTAAAAATACAAAAATTAGCCGGGAGTGGTGGTGCACCCCTGTAATCCCAGCTACTCCAGAGGCTGAGACACGAGAATCGCTTGAACCTGGGAGGCGGAGGTTGCAGTGAGCTGAGATCGCACCACTGCACTCCAGCCTGGACAACAGAGCAAGACTCTGTCTCAGAAAAAAAAAAAAAAGATGTAAATAATAATACTATCGGGCCAGGTGCAGTGGCTTATGCTTGTAATCCCAGCACTTTGGGAGGCCATGGCAGGAGGACTGCTTGAGGCCAGGAGCTTGAGAACAGCCTGGGCAACATAGCAAGACCTCGTCTCTATAAAAACTATTAATAGTAATACAAATGGCCAGGCGCAGTAGCTCATGCCTGTAATTCCAGCACTTTAGGAGGCTGAGGCAGGCAGATCACCTGAGGTCACGATTTTGAGACCAGCCTGGCCAACACAGCGAAACCCTATCTCTACTAAAAATACAAAATTTAGCTGGGCATGGTGGCACACACCTGTAGTTCCAGCTGCTGGGGAGGCTGAGGCAGGAGAATCACTTAAGCCTGTGAGGCAGAGGTTGCAGTGACCCGAGATCCCGCCACTGTACCCTAGCCTGGGCGACAGAGCAAGACTCCATCTCAAAAATAATAATAATAATACAAATATCTATATATCCATCAGCCAATTTAAGAATAAGACATGCCGGGCGCGGTGGCTCATGCCTGTAATCCCAGCACTTTGGGAGGCCGAGGCGGGTGGATCACAAGGTCAGGAGTTCAAGACCAGCCTGGCCAAGATGGTGAAACCCCGTCTCTACTAAAAATACAAAAATTAGCTGAGCACAGTGGCGGGTGCCTGTAATTCCAGAACCTGGGAGGTGGAGGTTGCAGTAAGCCAAGATTGTGCTACTGCACTCTAGCCTGGGCGACAGAGCAAGACTCTATATAAAAAATAAAATAAAAAAAAAGAATAAGACACTATTGGCCGGGTATGGTGACTCACGCCTGTAATCCCAGCACTTTGGGAGCCGAGGCGGGCAGATCACGAGGTCAAGAGATCGAGATCATTCTGGCCAACATAGTGAAACCCTGACTCTACTAAAAATACAACAATTAGCTGGGCATGGTGGCGCATACCTGCAGTCCCAGCTACTCGGGAGGCTGAGGCACGAAAATCACTTGAACCCGGGAGGTGGAGGTTGCAGTGAGCCGAGATCGCATCACTGCACTCCAGCCTGGCGACAAAGCGAGACTCTGTCTCAAAAAAAAAAAAAAAACGAAAGAATAAGACATTGTTGTTGAAGCCCCTTAAATGTCCCTCCCCAATCCTTTTTTCTCTGCAGTGTTGACCATTATTATGAATTAAAGCTTATCATCCCTAATGGGACAGTTATGTTTTCACAGGAAGAATATGAAAAGATGAATGTCTGTTGCTGTTACCCAGAGACACTTTCACAGCTAAAAAGACATACAAACTCATACTGACTCACCGTCTCTTACTCAGCCTCAGAGTGAGCTGCAGTGTTGGCACACAAATACCTCAACACACTGCTCTCCTTCTAAAATATTGACAAGCTCCGTTACTTATATACATGGAATGACACACGGTCTTATCCGTTGAAACTGTGATATGTAGACACAATTATGCTCACATCTAGCAATTTTCAGTAGATACATGTAAACACACCTGAATGGGTAGGACACTGCACTTGCCACTACATTCCCATAGCACATCGTGGATACATATTGCCACAATCCCCAGGGACTGCAAGCACACTTTTTGGCAAACTGAGATCAAGATAATAGATGTAACTTGTAGTACCCCCACCCAAACCCTCACTTCCAGGCTATGGTTCACACGTCCGACTCATGACCTGGGGGAGCTCAGTTCTCGTCTGGACGTCATTCAGTTTTTTCTGCTGCCCCAGAATCTGGACATGGCTCAGATGCTGCATCGGCTCCTGGGTCACATCAAGAACGTGCCTGTGAGCCCAGGGTGGAGGGCAGGGAGGTGGGGAAGGAGGTTGAGGGCTGATACTGGGCAGTGGGCTTCTTGAGGGGCATTAGAGTGAGGGAAGAGAAAACAGCGGCTGTAACCTTGTCTGACTGTAGCTGATTCTGAAACGCATGAAGTTGTCCCACACCAAGGTCAGCGACTGGCAGGTTCTCTACAAGGTAAGGCCTTCCTTCTTGAATCCCAAAAGTCCAGGTAAAGGCCCTCAGCCTGTATTCCAGACTGTCTGTACCCTAGACATGCTGTCCAATTTTATTCTACCCTCTTTTTTTTTTTTTTGGAGACAGCCTCGCTCTGTCGCCCAGGCTGAAGTGCCATGGGGCGATCTTGGCTCACTGCAACCTCCGCCTCCTGGGTTCAAGCAATTCTGCCTCAGCCTCCCGAGAAGTTGGGATTACAAGCGCCCGCCACCATGCCTGGCAAATTTTTGTATTTTTAGTAGAGACAGGATTTCACCATGTTGGCCAGGCTGGTCTTGAACTCCTGACTTCAGGTGATCCACCTGCCTCAGCCTCCCAAGGTGCTGGGATTACAGGTGTGAACCACCAGGCCCGGCCTCCCTCTTTTTTTTTTTAACTTTGTATTCAGGAAAATGTAAAAAATATTTAGAATAATATAATTAACCCCCATGTACCCACCATGCAGTTTCAACACTTTAACTTACGCCAATTTTTTTTTATTTCTTTTTCTTTTTTTTTTTAGACAGAGTCTTGCTCTGTCGCCCAGGCTGGATTGCAGTGGTGCGATCTCGGCTCACTGCAACCTCTGCCTCCCAAGTTCAAGTGATTCTCCTACCTCAGCCTCCCAAATAGCTGGGATTACAGGTGCCCACCACCACACTGGAGTGATTTTTGTATTTTTAGTAGAGATGGGATTTCACCATGTTGGCCAGGCTGGTCTCAAATTCCTGGCCTCAAGTGATCTGCCCATCTCGGCCTCCCAAAGTGCTAGGATTATAGGTGGGAGCCACCGTGCCCAGCCTAGTATGTGTCATCTATATCTTTTTCTACTTTCCCCTCTTGGATTATTTTGTGGGTTTTGTTGTCGTTTGTTTGTTTTTTTAAATAAGGTCCTGCTTTGTCACCCATACTAGAGCAGAGTGGTGCAGTCATATTTCATTGCAGCCTCTAACTTCTGGGCTCAAGCAATCCTCCCACCTTAGCCTCCAGAGTAACTGGGACTATAAGCCTGAGATGCTGCACCTGGCTTTCTTGGATTATTTTGAAGCAAGTCCCAGCCATTATATCATTTCATCCATAAATATTTCAGTGTAATTTCTTTTTTCTTTTTTTTTTTTTTTTTGAGATGGAGTCTCACTCTGTCACCAGGCTGGAGTGCAGTGGCATGATCTCGGCTCACTGCAACCTCCGCCTCCCAGGTTCAAGCGATTCTCCTGCCTCAGCCTCCCATGTAGCTGGGATAACAGGCACATGCCACCATGCCCAAGTTTTTTTTTTGTATTTTTAGTAGAGACAGGGTTTCACCATGTTGGCCAGGATGGTCTTGATCTCCTGACCTCGTGATCCACCCGCCTTGGCCTCCCAGAGTGCTGGGATTACAGGCGTGAGCCACCTCACCCGGCCAATATTTCAGGGTAATTTCTAAAAGAAAATTATTTTTTAAAAAGAATAACAGTATTGTTATCTTACTTTAAAAATTGTATTATTTGGTATCATCAAATATCTGAAATTTTTCTTTTTTGAGACAGGGTCTCACTCTGTCACCCAGGCTTGAGTGCAATGGCACAATTGTAGCTCACTGCAGCCTCAAACTGTTGGGCTCAAGCGATCCTCCCCCCTCAGCCTCCTGAGTAGCAGGGACCACAGGTGATGGCCATCACACCGAACTAAGTTTTTATTTTTTGCTTGCATTTATTTATTTATTTATTTATTTATTTATTTTTGAGACGGGATTTTGCTCTTGTAGCCCAGGCTGGAGTGCAATGGTGTGATCTCGGCTCACCGCAACCTCCACCTCCTGGGTTCAAGTGATTCTCTTGCCTCAGCCTCCCAAGTAGCTGGGATTACAGGTGCGTGCCACCACGCCCAGCTAATTTTGTATTTTTAGTAGAGACAGGGTTTCTCCCTGTTGGTCGGGCTGGTCTCGAACTCCCGACCTCAGATGATCTGCCTGCCTCGGCCTCCCAAAGTGCTGGGATTACAGGCGTGAGCCATTGCACCTGACCAATTTTTTATTTTTTGTAGAGACAGGATCTCACTATGTTGCTCAAGGTGGTCTCAAACTCCTGAGCTCAAGTGATCCTCCTGCTTGGGCCTCCCAAAGTGCTGAGACTATTGGTGTGAGCCACGATGCCCAGTCAGATGATGGCCCTAGTCCTTTTTAATCTACCGGTTCCTTCTCTATCTTTTCTCTCTTGTTCTTTCTTTCTTTTTCTCTTTTTCTTCTCCTGGCAATTTGTTGAAGAAACTAGATTATTATTTGTCTTATAGTGTTTTCCATTAGCCTGGATTTTGCTGTTTGCATTTCCTAGATGTTTTTGGCACATTTCTCTCTCTTCTATAGTTTCTGTAAATTAATATTTAGTTCTAGAAGCATGATTAGGTTCAGAGTTTTTTTTTTTTCAATACTGTTTTAGAAGTAGAGGAACATAATGTCTGATATGTCCGATTGTCTCTCTTTTTCTGATGTTGGCAAATGTTCTGATGTTTAATACCTAAATCTATTATTCATTTATTTATTTATTTATTTAGTTTGAGGTGAGTCTCCCTCTGTCGCCAGGCTGAAGTGCAGTGGCACGATCTTGGCTCACTGCAACCTCCGCCTCCTGAGTTCAAGTGATTCTCCTGCCTCAGCCTCCTGAGTAGCTGGGACTTACAGGCGCACACCACCACGCCCAGCTAATTTTTGTATTTTTAGTAGAGACGGGATTTCACCATGTTGGCCAGGATGGTCTTGATCTCTTGACCTCAGGTGATCCACCCGCCTCAGCCTCCCAAAGTGCTGGGATTACAGGCGTGAACCACTACACCCAGCCATCTATTAATTCTTTAGCAATTACAAAGTAGTAGCATTTAAATCTCTGATTCTTTCTTCATTTATTAGCCAGAAATTTCTGTAAAGAGAAACTTCCTTTTATGTACTATTTGGTTGCCAAGTGATAGAAATCATATAGAAATACAGAAAATTGCTTGATATTTCCCCCACTCTTTTTTTTTTGAGACAGAGTCTTGCTCTGTCACCAGGCTGGAGTGCAGTGGCACAATCTTGGCTCACTGCAACCTCCACCTCCCGGGTTGGGTTTCAAGTGATTCTCCTGCCTCAGCCTCCCGAGTAGCTGGGACTATAGGCGTGTGCCACCATGCCTGGCTAATTTTTGTATTTTTAGTAGAGACAGGGTTTCACCATGATGGCCAGGATGGTCTTGATCTCTTGACCTCGTGATCCACCCGCCTCGGCCTCCCAAAGTGCTGGGATTACAGGTGTGAGCCACCATGCCCAGCCCTTTTTTTTTTCCCCAATATGGAACGCTTCTTGAATTTGTGTCATCCGTGCCCAGTGGCCGTGCTAATCCCTGTAACCTTCGAAATTTCAGTATATGTGCTGCAGAAATGAGCACCCCCCACCTTTATTTACTAGCTATCAATATGGTAAATTAGTTCCCTAACATTCTCCAAGATAGCCATGAGATTTTTTTGTTTTTTGTTTGTTTGTTTGTTTGTTTGTTTGAGATGGAGTCTTGCACTGTTGCCCAGGCAGGAGTGCAGTGGCGCGATCTCGGCTCACTGCAAGCTCTGCCTCCCGGGTTCGCGCCATTCTCCTACCTCAGCCTCCTGAGTGCCTGGGACTACAGGCGCCCGCCACCACGCCTGGCTAATTTTTTGTACTTTTAGTAGAGACAGGGTTTCACCCTCTTAACCAGGATGGTCTCAATCTCCTGACCTCGTGATCCACCCGCCTCAGCCTCCCAAAGTGCTGGGATTACAGGTGTGAGCCACCGCGCCCGGCCCTGATAGCCAATGAGGTTTTTTTGTCATTGTTCTTCTTGTATCATTACAGACTCATGGCCTTTTGTAGCTATATTTCTCTTTCTCCCGACTCTGTACAAACTCCTTTGTTTTAGAGTTTGCACAACCCTCTATCAAAGCACCTACCACCTCACTTTTAAATCTTCTGCATGTATTTCTGTCTTCCTTCCTAGACTGTGAGCACATCTGGGACAGGGACCATATCTTTTTTTGTTTATTTGTTTTGTTTTGAGACAGAGTCTCGCTCTGTCGGCCAGGCTGGAGTGCAATGGCGTGATCTGGCTATAACCTCCACCTCCCGGGTTCAAGAGATTCTCCTGCCTCAGCCTCCCAAGTAGCTGGAATTACATGTGCATGCCACCAAGCCCAGTTAATTTTTGTATTTTGAGTAGAGACAGGGTTTCACCATGTTGGTGAGGCTGATCTCGAACTCCTGACCTCAGGTGATCTACCCACCTCAGCCTCCCAAAGTGCTGGGATTACAGGCATGAGCCACTGTGCCTGGCCAGGACCATATCTTAATTGTCTTTGTAGTTTCAGTGTTTGGTACAGTGCCTCTCACTGTTTCTTTTTGCCTTTGAGATCTTCCCTCTTTGTTACTGTGATCTTCCCTACTGGTCTTTGTTCTTCTGAGTCTGTCCCTATCACCACCTCAACCCGAGCTGGATGTGGCCTGTCCTCCTTTTTGTGTTTCTCTCACAGACTGTGTACAGTGCCCTGGGCCTGAGGGATGCCTGCCGCTCCCTGCCGCAGTCCATCCAGCTCTTTCGGGACATTGCCCAAGAGTTCTCTGATGACCTGCACCATATCGCCAGCCTCATTGGGAAAGTAGTGAGTAGAAGGAAAAAGGGAGTGCACCCAGGGAGGTCAGGGAGAGAGAATGCAGTGTGCAAGATGGGGAAACATGGAAGATATTGAGGTCAATTGGATAAAGAATGGGATGGTGGGAGGAGGCAGCAGAACTTCAGGGAAGTATCTGGAGGGTGAGAGTTAAAGGAGGACTGCAGGGAGAACTGGGGCCCAAGGAGAGCTGAGGAACAGGACAGAGGGTGCCAGGTCCTAAGAAACAGTACTTATCTCCTCAGGTGGACTTTGAGGGCAGCCTTGCTGAAAATCGCTTCACAGTCCTCCCCAACATAGATCCTGAAATTGATGAGAGTGAGTGTTGGGTGTGGATGGGCCTGTGAGCCCTGCGCAGTGATGGAGTACCATCCTTGGCAGGTGGTCACCACAGCTGGGGATCTTCATAGCAACCAGGGCAGGAGACTCACTTTTGATAACCACGTGTCTTCCACCCTCGTAGAAAAGCGAAGACTGATGGGACTTCCCAGTTTCCTTACTGAGGTTGCCCGCAAGGAGCTGGAGAATCTGGACTCCCGTATTCCTTCATGCAGTGTCATCTACATCCCTCTGGTGAGGGCAGGAGAGTGGGTGTAGCCTTCAGATGTCTTTTGGGGGAGATATTAGGCTTATGAAAGACATACTGGTAGATAAGAAAACTTGTGGGGCAGCCTGAAGAACATGAACACTTTTTTGTGGGGATACAGGGATCTTCTAAGCTCCCTCTAGGGTGGGGAGGTGTCCAGTAAGTCTCCAAGCAGGAGAGTAGAGTATCTCCTCTTTACTCTCCCCAGATTGGCTTCCTTCTTTCTATTCCCCGCCTGCCTTCCATGGTAGAGGCCAGTGACTTTGAGATTAATGGACTGGACTTCATGGTAAGACCCTCAACCTCTGTAAGGTGAGTGATGAGGAAAATGAGTCAGCAGCTGAGGAAGAGCGTTACTCTACAGCAGCACTGCCCAATATGGGATCTCTCCTCTGTAGTTTTACTCTGAGCTTTACCAGCACTGAGACAAAGGAAAGAGAAGTCAGAGTTAGGGGCTGGAGGTGGGGTTAGAAAGATGGGGAAGGAGAGGAGGACCAAGAGATGCAAAGTCCACAGCTTTGAACCCCTGTACCCAGTTTCTCTCAGAGGAGAAGCTGCACTATCGTAGTGCCCGAACCAAGGAGCTGGATGCATTGCTGGGGGACCTGCACTGCGAGATCCGGGGTGAGGAAAAGCCAGAGGTTATATGCATTGTAAGATGTTTAAAAAAAGCAGCAGCCAGGGGAAGGAGGGGAGTGGGCAACTTGGGGATGCTTCCAACAGGCCCCTCCTCTTCCTGCTCTCTGTCTCGCTCACTCTGACTCTATCTTTTCCTCTGAATGTCTTGAGGTCTCAGATTGTATCTGCAGCCTGTTTCCAGATCCCCCTAGGGGCCTCTGCCTCTCCTTCACTTTCCCCTGGAACTGACCTCCAGCTCCCTTCCTCACCCACTCCCAGACCAGGAGACGCTGCTGATGTACCAGCTACAGTGCCAGGTGCTGGCACGAGCAGCTGTCTTAACCCGAGTATTGGACCTTGCCTCCCGCCTGGACGTCCTGCTGGCTCTTGCCAGTGCTGCCCGGGACTATGGCTACTCAAGGCCGCGTTACTCCCCACAAGTCCTTGGGGTACGAATCCAGAATGGCAGGTAAGAATAGAGGCGGGTGGAGGAATAGACATGAGGGGCCCAAAGGCTACATCTTCTGGGGGTTCATCTATCTTGATCCACAAGCCATGCGAGGTGCCTCTCCGCCCACTGCAGACATCCTCTGATGGAACTCTGTGCCCGAACTTTTGTGCCCAACTCCACAGAATGTGGTGGGGACAAAGGGAGGGTCAAAGTCATCACTGGACCCAACTCATCAGGGAAGAGCATATACCTCAAACAGGTGAGGAGAAGCCCTGCAGCCTGGGCCTCTGGCGTCTCCTGCATCTACTCCACCCCTACTTGCCAGCCAACTCAGGCTCCTGCAGCTCTTCTCCCATTTTCTGACCCCGCTCTTCATGAAAGGACCATCACCCACATCCCTGTGCTTCCACCTCACATGTTCTTATTCTCCACTGGAGAGCCATGCTCTAATGGAACTTTCCGTGGCCCAAATTCCTTCACCTGCCTCTGAGTAGGTACACACCACTCCCAAGTATGTCTCTGCCCACGTCCCGTGCCTCTTCACTGATTCTAAATTAGCCCACAGGGCTATGGTCAGGATTCGGGGAGGAGAGACAGAGTCAGTGTGTCTGTTACCTATTTCTCCTGTTTCACCCTGTCCATTTCTCTTTGATGTGCCATTCATGCCTTGAGCCTCACTTTCACCTCAGCCCACGGCACCAGGCCCCAGGCCCTGTCTCCTTCCCTATTCAGGTAGGCTTGATCACATTCATGGCCCTGGTAGGCAGCTTTGTGCCAGCAGAGGAGGCCGAAATTGGGGCAGTAGACGCCATCTTCACACGAATTCATAGCTGCGAATCCATCTCCCTTGGCCTCTCCACCTTCATGATCGACCTCAACCAGGTCAAAGGGAACAAAGGGAGGTGGGATTGAGGAAGGGGATAATGGGAAAGGAACCCCTGAAAATGCTCATAACAGGAAAGCATGCCCTCTGCTGCATGCCCTTTATACTAAAAGTGGGGAGCACTAAGGTCAGAGATAAGAAGAATCAATACCATAAACATTTCTTGAACCCTTGTTTCATGTGAGTCACTGTTGGCAAAGAGGATGAACAAAGCGTGCACCTCACCATTCAAGAACTTGCAGTGCAGTAGGGAGGGCATGTATACAGCTTTATTCACAGGCCAACTGTGGTCAGTGCGTTACGGGCTTCCAATACTAACTTTCCCTTGTCCACCTTATACCCAGCAGGTGGCGAAAGCAGTGAACAATGCCACTGCACAGTCGCTGGTCCTTATTGATGAATTTGGAAAGGGAACCAACACGGTGAGGGGAGAAACTGATGAGGGGAGAAACTAAGGAGGGGAAAATGGAGGAGGATGAAGGAGCATGACAGTGAGGCTGGGCCTCTGGAATGGAATAGGGCTGTGTGGGCAGAAAAGAAATAGAACACGAGACAGGGAAAGGCAGTGCAAGTGCAGAGGGGCATATGGGGTCCCCATGGCTCCGAATGCTAACCTCTGCCCTCTTTGCAGGTGGATGGGCTCGCGCTTCTGGCCGCTGTGCTCCGACACTGGCTGGCACGTGGACCCACATGCCCCCACATCTTTGTGGCCACCAACTTTCTGAGCCTTGTTCAGCTACAGCTGCTGCCACAAGGGCCCCTGGTGCAGTATTTGGTGAGGAGACCAATCTAGCTCCTCGGGGACCCCCAGGCTGGGCATTTCCCAGAGGTGGGGATTGGCTCCTCTATCAGAACAAGGGCTCCCTCAGCACAGAGACCACATCCCTTCCCTTTTCTCCCTCCCCACAGGATTGGCCAAGGGTTTCAGGACAGGAAGGAGGTGATTGATGATACACTGTCTTTTATTCTCTTTTAAGACCATGGAGACCTGTGAGGATGGCAACGATCTTGTCTTCTTCTATCAGGTTTGCGAAGGTGTTGCGAAGGCCAGCCATGCCTCCCACACAGCTGCCCAGGCTGGGCTTCCTGACAAGCTTGTGGCTCGTGGCAAGGAGGTGATGAGATCCAAATGTGCAACCACCTCCACATCAGAGCTCCCTTTCATTCCTAGTCCTACTGGGCCTGGGTCTAGGTCCACAGGATTTCTGACCCTTATTTCCCCTTCTCTTCCCCACTCCCCTTACTCCTCCCACCTTCTTGCTTGTTCCTAGGTCTCAGACTTGATCCGCAGTGGAAAACCCATCAAGCCTGTCAAGGATTTGCTAAAGAAGAACCAAATGGAAAAGTGCGTATATGGCCCCAGTGTCTTTACCCTCTCTGCATCTTCTCCTGCAACTCTTCTCCCCTTTTCAGGGACTCAGCCTTCCTCCAGCACTTTGCCCTTCAGAAACCCACCATTTCTTTCTGAAATCCCTAAATCTTCAAGATCCCAGGTTTTCTGTGCCACAGCCTCTCCCCTCTGCCCAGGGATTTGGTTGTCCATTCTGCCATAAATCTTGCGATTTTCTCTCTTCTTCAGTTGCCAGACATTAGTGGATAAGTTTATGAAACTGGATTTGGAAGATCCTAACCTGGACTTGAACGTTTTCATGAGCCAGGAAGTGCTGCCTGCTGCCACCAGCATCCTCTGAGAGTCCTTCCAGTGTCCTCCCCAGCCTCCTGAGACTCCGGTGGGCTGCCATGCCCTCTTTGTTTCCTTATCTCCCTCAGACGCAGAGTTTTTAGTTTCTCTAGAAATTTTGTTTCATATTAGGAATAAAGTTTATTTTGAAGAAAGATATTGTTTCTTTAGTCTCAAAACAAGAGACTAGGAAAGATCCAAAACACAGAGCAGGAGTCCACAGGGGAACCTGCCCTGCCTCAGTAAAAATACAGTGTTGTTGCTGTAGGAAGACTCCCGGATTCTACCCCAGGATACTTCATGAGAACGAACCCCTTCAGAGAGGCCCTACAAAACAGATTAGAGGGAAGACAGAGGGGTCCAAGGGAGATGGTCTCTCTTCTCAAGTAGGAACACCCCAGCCTCAGACAGACACAGCAGGAAGGGGCCTGAGAGGCTGACAGAGGCAGGATGGGTGCAAGGCAGGGGTGGAGGGGAGGGACCAGCCCGGGCTGCACCAGTGGGAGTGGCTCCACCCTTCCCACCTCAGAGCCATGGGGAGCCAGGGCTCTGGCGGGGTGCCCTTGGTGCAGGCTCCCTACACAGTCCTGCTGCTGCCGCTGGGGACAAGCCGCCAAGACCCAGGGGCCCAGAGCTTCTTCCTTTGGGTGAGTATCAGCCCAACAAGAGGTCCCAGGGGAACTCTCTCAATAGATCTGCCCTTTATATTTCCATTCAACTTGAGGGCCCACAGTGTTCCCGCCTGCCTCCCCTTGCCCTCCAGGTCCTCAGTGGCCAGTCTGGGTTCACACTCAGTGACCACACAGTGAACCCAACTAGGGGTGGAGAGAAAGGGCCATAACCCAGAGCCCTACTGTGGCGTGAGAGTCAGCCTCTGTGATTGCCTTTCCCAGCTACGCAGGATGCAGGCTCTGGAGAGAGAACAGGATGCCCTGTGGCAGGGTCTGGAGCTGCTACAGCATGGCCAGGCCTGGTTTGAAGACCATCTGAGGGAGGCACAGCGACAGCAGCTGCATCTAGGGGCCCTTGGTGAGGTATGGGGGCTGCCCCTCTGTGTGAATGGGGGGAGGACCAGGGAGGGAGGAACAGGGAATGTGTAGACACAGCCTGAGACCACTCTGGAGAGGGGAGAGTTAATGGTCAGGGATCATGAGTTGGAGGCAGCATCGTAATGACAGGATGCCACCAAGTGTTAAGTTGGTGTTCATTGTTGGGGCTGGAGGAAGCTGGTCTGCATTCCATTCAGAGGGATTTGGATCACTCCATGGAGATGAGGGTGTGGCCTGGATTATTCCAATGGGGCAGGGATGGACAGGGAGGCTCCATGAAGAGTAGTGAAAGGGGGTATTGTGCTATTTGAGGGAGATGGAGGAACTGATGTGCTAAAGAGATGGAGGTGGAGAGTACTGGATTTTCCCACCTGCCTGGGAGGGTACTGGGACGAGGGGATCCAGATGAGAGGGATGGCCTGTGGTGACAGGAATAGAGTGGCAGACGACCTCAGGTTTTCACCATGTTGTCAGCCTCCAACTCCTCCTCTAGAATTTTCTAACAGATTTACACTCAGAGCCTGGTCGCCCCCCGTTAGCCCAGATTCAAAAGGTGAACATCTGTTTGCAGAATCTGATTCATGAGAAGGTGAGTTTATTGTTTTCAGTTTAGACTTTTGGGAAGTTGGACTAGAGAGGGGAGTTGTTGGGGTCAGTGCTGGCTTAACAGAAAACACAGCGAATTTCCCCTCCAGTTCTCCCCAAGT
Source organism: Homo sapiens (assembly GCF_000001405.40). Taxonomy (NCBI): domain Eukaryota; kingdom Metazoa; phylum Chordata; class Mammalia; order Primates; family Hominidae; genus Homo; species Homo sapiens. The sequence continues at coordinate 3,241,535 of NT_113891.3, forward strand.
CCACTGAACAAGGCTAGTTCCTGCACCACCCAGGATTCAAAGGAAAGACGAAGGGAGCAGAACTTGTGGCAGCAACAGGTAAACTTCAAGAAGGAGGGCAGGAGCCCCACCCTACAGGGCTGGGAGGAGCCCAGAGGCCCCATCTGTTTCTCCTCCAGGAGTTGTCAAGGCAGCAGAAAGGAGTCACCCAGCCAAAGGAGGAGATGGCTCAGCGGGGCTGCACCAAGGGGCCAAGAGGCCCTACCCGTGTCTAAACCCTCCTCTCACTCCCCTAAGCCTGGTGAAAGAGTCAGAAGCCCCAGGCTCCTTTTTCTGTTTCTTAACTCAACAGCTAAAAAATGGCTCCAGGTAGTGAGTCAATGAAGTTCAGACATGTTGGTGTAAAGTTTCTCCTCTGCTCCTGAAAACTTCATCTTCTTGGTGTCTCATGTCCTCATTCTCCCCTATATGACATGCAAAAACGATCTTTCTTTGAAATCCCTCTGGGAAGAAGACATGTTTATTGAAACTGTCCTTCAGCCTTAAATACAAAAATAAAACTGAAACTGCTCCAGAAAGCAGCTTTCTCCAAAAATGTCTTTGGTTTGTTTCTCATAGGGTTAGGAAAAGTGCATTGTGGGAATATCCATTGCCCTCTATCCCAGTCTTGCAGGGTGTTTTGTTTTGTTTTGTTTCTGAGATAGGGTCTCACTGTCGCTCAGGCTGTAGTGCAGTGGTTCGACCACAACTCACTGCAGCCTCAACCTCCTGGGCTCAAGTGATCCTCCTGCCTCAGCCTCCCAGAGTGCTGGGATTACAGGCGTGAGCCACTGCACCCAGCCCCAGTCTCGAAGTTTCTAAGAAAGGAAAGGGATGTGATGGAGAAAGAAAACCTTCATTGGCTGGGCACGGTGGCTCACGCCTGTAATCCCAGCACTTTGGGAGGCCGAGGCAGGCAGATCACCTGAGGTCAGGAGTTTGAGACCAGCCTGGCCAACATAGTGAAACCCTGTCTCTACTAAAAATACAAAAAATTAGCCGGGCGTGGTGGCGGGCACCTGTGATCCCAGCTACTTGGGAGGCTGAGGCAGGAGAATCGCTTGAACCTAGGAGGCAGAGGTTGCAGCGAGCCGAGATTGCGCCGCTGCACTCCAGCCTGGGCAATGAGCAAAACTACATCTCAAAAAAAAAACAACAACAACAAAAAAGAGAAAACCTTCATCCCAGCTAGGAGAGGTAAGGTCCTAAGACCTATGTGACAAATGTGTCCCAGGTCTTCTTACCAATGGGGCAGGTTGAAAATAGTGCTGGAGACCCATCCCTTTAGAGCCCGTTGTGTCACCAGGAGGCCAGGCCTAGCAGAAGCAGCACCCCTCCAACTGTGCCCCACCAGGGGCTGCCCGCAGCCAGCCCTGCCCCAGCCCTGCCTTGAGCCACCAATGTGAAGGGGGAAAAGGCAGGGGTGGCCGTGGTGAGGATCGGGTCAGATGAGCCGGTAGGGGTGGTGTGCCGGTCCTGTGGGGAAAAGGAAGAGAATGACAGGGTGTGCTAGAGCTGTACTCAAATTAAACCTACACCACCCTCCCCGGCCTTGCCCACCCTGTGATGGAAAGTAGTGGTTCCTCACCTGCGGGGCTGGGGCCGATACCAGGAGCCGGAGGAAAGCATGAGTCGGGGGTACTGGGTTGGCTTCTCGTCCCCCTGCAGTCACAGTCACCATCACCACGGAATCCGGGGCCGCTGAATCTGGGACCTCCAGCCACAGGCGGCCCCAGGCCGACTCATTCAGTTCCAGGTGAGCCCTGGAGAGAGGATATAGGCGTCGCTAAAGCTCCAGGCTGCCCAGAGCCTAGAGTCGGGACGCCTGCAGGGGCACGGGAGCGGAGAGGAGGATTCTGAGGGCCAGTCGGAGGGGGACGGGCAGGGCTTGGGATAAGCATTGGCCGGGCAAGATGCCAGAGGGAGCTGGAGGGTTCATGAGCCTCACCTGGAGAGGTTGGAGGTGAGGGAGAAGCTGGGGTTGACGAAAGTCCTAAGGTCAAGATCCTGAGGGCCCGAGAAGCTGGCGATGCGGAGACTGAGCGGGACTTTGCTGCCCGGGGCCAAGAAACCCGAGGGGCCACTAAGCTGCAGAGAAGGGTTCTTCAGGGAAGGGGCCGCTCTAACTCTCTCCAGCCCCAGCCGCACTTTCCCCTGGCGTCTCACCTCCAGAAGGACAGGGACTACAGTGCTAGGCTGAGGGGCAGCCCTGTGCAGGCGCCGCCCCGCTGCGTCCTGGCCAATCAGCTCCAGGGAGAAGGGTCTAGGGGTTGACAGCAGCGTGGGCGACAGCGAGGCTGCGAGGAGACCTCGCTCCGGAGGTCCCACGGGCTCCAAGGGCACCTGGCCTAGTTCGGCACCCTCTGGGACCCCTCGAAGGATGACGTGGGAGAAATGCGGCTGAGGATCCCCAGGATTGGCTCTGGAACCCAACCCTGTCACTTCTACCAGCAGCTGGGTCTGAAGACCTGGGACAGGGGCGAGGAGGGGAGAACATTGTGAGATTCGGAGACACAGGGAGAAAAGAATTAATGGCCTTCAAAATAGGGGTTCCCTCTGGGGAGTATGGATGGGAAAATAGGTTACCTTCGAGGGGTATTGATGGGGAGCATCAGGAGGGAGTTCTGGGGTGCTGGAAATGTTCTATATCCTGAACTGGGTGTATTATATGAAATCCATCAAACTGTACACTTTAGTGCACATTATGTAAATTATAACTCAATATAAAAGTTATGCATATGCACAGATGTATGTATACATATATACATTATATATATAATATATATATTATATATTATATATTTTATATATATATATAAAACTGGGGGTTAGGTGGGTGGGGGCTCAGGGAATAAATGTACCTGCAACTGGCTGAGTCAGGGGGTAGAGGCCAGGGTGGGGTCCATCCTCCATGGGGATCCCAAAGTGGAAGAGGAAGTCCAGGGAGGTCTGGGCTGGGAAAGGGCAAAGGCAGTCAGAGCCCTTCCTGAAAGGAATGTGACTGATCGTGTTCTCTGAGGCCTGCAGTCTCTGCTTCCCCTTCCCAGGAACACCTCCCTCCTTACCTTGCACTCTCACCCCAGGGGTGTCCTCAGCTGTGACCTGGATCTCCCAGGTTCCTGTCTGTGGAGGGTCATCCATGGTCACCATCCAGAACTGCCCAAAGCGGCGAGTGTGACCTAGAGGACCCCCGCCTTCCTCCTGGCCCTGGGAGACCCCTGGGGTCAGGGAAGAGATTGTCACATGAAGCACTTGCTCTCCTTGAGTACATCCCCTCGATTGTCTATTCCCCGGTCCCCTCTCTTCCCTCTACCTTCAGAGGTACCTGCAGGGTTCTTGATCCAGAAGCTGCTGATGTCTCCGTGGATCCGGACTGTGATCTTCTGGAGCAGCCCATCCACGCTGAACACAAGTGGCTGCCCAGGCACCACAACAGGAGGGTCCAGGGGAAGAGTCACCTTGAGGGATTGGCAGGACCAGAAAATGGGGAAGAAGATGAGGTATGGGATGAGGAACAAAGAAGAAAGGGGAGATAGAAAGAAACCACGTCATTGGGCCGGGCGCAGTTGGTCACGCCTGTAATCCCAGCACTTTGGGAGGCTGAGGCGGGTGGATCACAAGGTCAAGAGTTCGAGACCAGCCTGGCCAACACAGTGAAACTACATCTCTACTAAAAAAAAAAAAATACAAAAAATTAGCCAGGTGTGGTGGTGGGCTCCTGTAATCCCAGCTACTTGGGAGGCTGGAGCAGGAGAATCGCTTGAACCCAACAGGCAGAGGCTGCAGTGAGCCAAGATTGTACCATTGCACTCCAGCCTGGGCGACAGTGCAAGACTCTGTCTCAAAAAAAAAAAGAAAGAAAAAGAAAAAAGAAAGAAACCACGTCAAACAGGCAGAAAGGGATACCAGTAAGAGAGGGGCACGGGGCCAGGGATGAAGTTATTATGGTCAGAGACAAAGTTGGAGGCAAGGGATTCAGGATGAGACAATCACATCTTGTGCCCCATTAAAAGATGATAGGCCAGGCGTGGTGGCTCATGTCTGTAATCCCAGCACCTGGGAGACCAAGGCAGGAGGATCACTTGAGGCCAGGGGTTCAAGAACAGCTTAGTCAATATAGCAAGACTCTGTCTCTGCAAAATACAAGCCACCTCCCCAAAAAGATGGTAGGACTTCCTGTGGTAACCCTGGAGGCAGAATACTGGAAGCCAAGTGGGGAGAGGTTTACTGATATAAAAGGACAATGCAGGCCAGGCGTGGTGGCTCGCGCCTGTAATCCCAGCACTGTGGGAGGCCAAGGTAGGCGGATCACTTGCGGTCAGGAGTACGAAACCAGCCTGGCCAAAAAAACGGTGAAACCCCGGCTCTACTAAAAAAATACAAAAATTAGCCAGGCCTGGTGGTGGGCACTGGTAACTCTAGCGACTTGGGAGGCTGAGGCAGGAGAATCCCTTGAACCCGGGAGGTGGAGGTTGCAATGAGCCGAGATTGTGCCACTGCACTCCAACCTGGGTGACCATAAGACTCCATCTCAAAAAAAAAAAAAGAAGTGGCTAGTCATGGATCTAAGAGGAAGAGAAACTTCCTTTCCTGCCCCGTGACTGGAAGAACAACACAGCAGTGAGAGTGATTCCCCTTTCTCCTATAAGAAGAGAGGTGCAGCCTGACCACCCTTCAGTTCCTAAGTGAGGGCCCTGGCCCCCACTTACCAGGGCAGCCATGCTCTCCCCAACAATGGCTGCCACGTCTCGAATGTGCTGGTCTTTGGTGAAGATCACCTCTCCTCCTGAGGCCAGGGCCACTGCTTTGTATGGCTCAAAACGCAGAGGGGACAAGATCTCACGCCGAGCTCGACCCTGAACCCTTGATGTATCTTCAGTCACCAGGAATGTTACCTGTACCCAGAAGAGAGCTCAGTGATTGGGGTGTCCAAGTGCCATCCACTATTATGAATGAGAATCCCTGTGCTCAAGCTTTCTCCAGAGCTGATGGTTTGTGATAAGGTCTCTGCCTGCCTTCTGGCTGCTGGGGTGGGGAATCCCAATGACAGAACCCCCTGCCTTCAGTTAGTAGTTGGCCACCCCCTTGTAACTGTCACAGTGGATTTTTGGCGACTAGAGCCCCAGTTCTTCACATTGTTTATTAGGCAGGGTCAAATAAAAATTCAGCGTTATTAAGGGTAGGGCCTCTTACGTATATCATTAAAGGTATCAGGAAATGTTCCACTCATTGTCTGCTTCTCCCACCATATACCAAGGCTTGTTGGGCCACCATAGTGTGGTGCAACCCTCGTTATGAGATTGTCATCACAGGGTCTCTCACATCCCTGGGAGGCTAACACTGGGTCTCCCACTAGCTCTGCTCACCCGGCAGCGCCGCTCCTGAGTCAGGGATTCCACCTGGTTGGTGAGAAAGGCATCCTTGGGGGAGGCATCCGTGAAGACAAAGATATCTGAGAGTGGAGGTGTGTGCAGCAGGGCCAGCTGGCAGGGAAGGCAACGACCAGTGTTAACAATGGCAGTAGGAGGGGAATGGGTAGAGCCACGGAGGATGAAGCAGAAGGGAATATGGCCCGGGAACCCTACAGTGAAGCTAGTGGATCTAGGTGCTGAAGGTGGTGGGGAGCCCCAGGAGGGATCTAGCTCCCCCTGGTGGTGGGGCCAGGAAACGGGGAAGAAGGGAGGGGCCAGACCTGCAGGGCTGACAGGCACATCTCAGGCTCGTCTCCACCCCCCAAGGCATGGATCTCATTAAGCTGTTGCCAGAAGCTGTCAGGGTCACTGGTTGTAAAGACAGGGCCGAACCCTGGGAAGGGGAAAGGAGGTTAAGATAAGTGAGGAAAGAGCTCCCCTCATTCTTACCCAGAGCCACCTCCCCAGTTGAGGGGCCTGGTGTGCTTCTGGAGCCGACAGGTATTGAAATAACAATACTCCATTATAAGACTCATACTTGGCCGGGTGCGGTGGCTCACACCTGTAATCCCAGCATTTTGGGAGGCCAAGGTGGGTGGATCATGAGGTCAAGAGATCAAAACCATCCTGGCCAACATGGTGAAACCTCGTCTCTACTAAAAAATATAAAAATTAGCTGGGCATGGTGATGCATGCCCGTAGCCTCCCCAGTAGCCTCCCCAGAGGCTCCCCAGTAGCCTCCCCAGCTACTGGGGAGGCTGAGGCAGGAGAATCACTTGAACCCGGGAGGCAGAGGTTGCAGTGAGCCGAGATCGTGCCGCTGCACTCCAGTCTGGCGACAGACTCCATCTCAAAAAAAAAAAAAAAAAGTCATACTTGTCAGTGCAGGGCGGGGCAGGGCGGGGCAGGGCAGGGCAGACCTAGGTGTCCCTGGTGGGAAGGTGGCCTCCACTCCCTGAAAAAAATGGTGGCATTTCCTGTAGGCCTTTATTGGCTACATGTGCGTATATAAAAAAAAAAATGGTCACACCTATTATCCCAGCACTTTGAGAGGCTGAAGTGGGAGGATCACTTGAGCCCAGGAGCTCGAGATCAGCCTGGGTAACATAGTGAGACCCCATCTCTACAAAAAAATACAAAAATTAGCCAGATATGGTGGTGCTCATCTGTAGTCCCAGCTACTCAGGAGGCTGTGGCAGGAGGATTGCTTGAATCGAGGCTGCAGTGAGGCATGATTGTACCATTGCACTCCAACCTGGGTGACAGAGTGAGACTCTCCCTCTCTCTCTCTCAAAAAAAAAAAAAAAAAAAGAAAAGAAAAAAAAAAACTGGGTTTCCTCATAAGAAAAGAGACCGAATAGCACTTACCTCAGAGGTTTATTGGGAGGACTAAATGAGTTGATTTTGCAAATCTTAAGATAGTGCTTTGACACATAAGTGCTAAGTTCTTAGTTATACCTTTATTTATATCTTCATCAAACATAATAAGTCTATTAAATGCCAGCCACTGTAGGATGTATGCAGGCAAATAAGACTCAAATTTAGGCAACTCTCAGTCCAGTAGGCATTTTATTTGATCATCATTTCAACTCTGGGAGTTAGGCAGGATGAGGGAGGTGTCAGTCCTCTGAGCCCAAGCTAACCAATCATATCCCCTGTGACTGGCACTTATACATCCAGATGGCCTGAAGCAACTGAAGATCCACAAAAGAAGTGAAAATAGCCTTAACTGATGACATTCCAACATCCTGCCCCACCCTGATGTGATAACTGATACCCATTTTACAGATGATGAAATCGAGGCAAAGAAAGTTTACATGACCAGCCTAAAGACACACAGTCAGACTCAAGCCAGAGAGTCTAACTTCTAATCAATGGAAAAGGAATACAATGTAGCTAGTTATCTCAGATGCTTCCCAGAAGCCTGGCCCCAACAACCCCATCTTGATACCAATCTCTGTCTATAGGAAATGGAGAGAATTGAAAATGGCGGCCGGGCACGGTGGCTCACACCTGTAATCCCAGCACTTTGGGAGGCCGAGGCGGGCGGATCACGAGGTCAGGAGATGGAGACCATCCTGGTTAACACGGTGAAACTCCGTCTCTACTAAAAATACAAAAATTAGCCGGGCGTGGTGGCGGGCGCCTGTAGTCCCAGCTACTCAGGAGGCTGAGACAGGAGAATGGCGTGAACCCGGGAGACGGAGCTTGTAGTGAGCCGAGATCGCGCCATGGCACTCCAGCCTGGGCGACAGAGCGAGACTCCGTCTCAAAAAAAAAAAAAAAAAAAAAAAAAAGAAAATGGTTTATTAGCATGAAAGCCTAAGAAAGCAGAGGCCACGTGCCAAAGCATGAATCATGCATTAAACTCATGGAAAGTGCTGCCATTTTAGAAAGAGTGGGAGGCAAGTCTGCTAGTTATCTTTTTTTTTTTTTTTAGAGACAGGGTCTCACTGCGTCACCCAGGCCGCTCTGGAGTGCAGTAGTGCCATCACGGCTCACTGCAACCTCAGTCTCCTGGGCTCAAGTGATCCTCCTGCCTCAGCTTCCCAAGTAGCTGGGACTATAGGCATGTGCCACCACACCCACACATAATTTTTATTAATTTTTTTGTAGAGACCTGTGTTTCTCTGTGTTGCCCAGGTTGGTCTTGAAATCCTGGGCTCAAACGATCCACCCACCTCTGCCTCCCAAAGTGCTGGGATTACAGGTGTGAGCCACCCCACCCAGGTTGCTGCTAATTTTCTGTATGCACACAGTAGAGGCTCACTCGGGACTACAGGAAGTGCCACCCCGAGCCCACTTCCTCACCACAGGCCTTTATCCCTTACCTTTTTATCTTTTCTTTTTTTTTTCTTTCTTTTCTTTTTTTTTTTTTTTTTTTTTTTTTTTGTGACAGAGCTTTTTGCTCTTGTTGCCCAGGCTGGAGTGCAAAGGCACGATCTCGGGGCTCACCACAACCTCTGCCTCCTGGGTTCAAGCGATTCTCCTGCCTCAGCCTCCCGAGTAGCTGGGATTATAGGTGCCCACCACCACGCCCGGCTAATTTTGTATTTTTAGTAGAGACGGGGTTTCTCCATATTAGTCAGGCTGGTCTCAAACTCCCGACCTCAGGTGATCCACCTGCCTCAGCCTCCCAAAGTGCTGGGATTACAGGCGTGAGCCACCACGCCCAGTCTATCCCTTACCTTGAATTTTCCTCCCCTCTACTGTCCTAGCCAGACCACACTTACCTGGGTCATGAAAAGGCACCAGGACATAGTGGACAGGCTCCATGGGGCTGCCTCTCCGCTGCTCCACAAGGTGGCGAGCCTGGATTTTGGCAGCGTTGATCTCCTCACCCATGCTGCCCGTGGTGTCCAGGACAAAGCTCAGGCTGGAGGCTGGGGTGATGTCCAGCAGCCTGGGGAGCAAGCCAGAGACACAGTGAAGGGCCTGCACGTTTGTCCCCAGCGCCTGGTTTCTCCCTTCCCGCAGGAGCGCCTCCCCATGAAGGGGTCCATCCCCAGGAGGCCACTCACCTGGAGAAATCCCTGTCTCCCAGGCGGCTTCGCAGAAGGCTGAAGGCCTGGATGGAGGCTAGAAGGGCCAGTTTTGCAGCCTGGAGGTGCAGCATGTGGTGAGGGGAGAAGCCTGGGGATGTGCTGTCCTTGTTGATGCCTCCCCTCGGTGGCTGGGAGCTGCTCCGGTCAAAATGGCCCCCGTGGCTACATTTCCCTGGGTTGGGGAAAGGGATCTGGAGAGTGGAGGTCAAAAACCCACTGCCTCCTAAGAAAATGAGGCCCTTTCAGGCCTGGCCTGACCCTCTCACCCCTCAGCAAGGGTTCAGCAAGAAATGATGACGGGGTTGGCGCGGTGGCTCACGCCTGGAATCCCAGCGCTTTGGGAGGCCGAGGCCGGCAGATCATCTGAGATCAGGAGTTCAAGACCAGCCTGGCCAACATGGTGAAGCTCTGTTTCTACTAAAACTATAAAAATTAGCCAGGTGTGGTGGCGCGTGCTTGTAATCCCAGCTACTTAGGAGGCTGAGGAAGGAAAATAGCTTGATCCCAAGAGGCGGAGGTTGCAGTGAACCGAGATCACGCCACTGCACTCCAGCCTGGGTGGCAGAGCAAGACTCGGTCTCAAAAAATAAATAAATAAATAAATGATGGCTGGGCACGGTGGCTCACACCAGTAATCCCAGCATTTTGGGAGGCTGAGGTGGGTGGATCACCTGAAGTCAGGAGTTTGAGACAAGCCTGGCCAACATGATGAAACCCTGTCTCTACTAAAAGTACAAAATTAGCCGGGCGTGGTGGCACATGCCCGTAATCCCAGCTACTCGGGAGGCTGAGGCAGGAGAATCGCTTGAACCTGGGAGGCGGAGGTTGCAGTGAGCCGAGATCGTGCCACTGTACTCCAGCCTGGGCAAAAAGAACAAAACTCCATCTCAAAAAAAAAAAAAAAAAAAAGGATAAAAAGGATGGTGCTTTGTGGAGGGGAATTCTGGAGTAAATCTTAGGGCGTGGTGGTCAGTCACCACAGCACATGGTGGATCCCCTGATCCCTCCAGCCAGTCCCCCAAAGCTGCCTATGACAAGGGAGAAATCCTATCAGCGGAGGAAGAAGTTGCTCCCCTACCTCAACCCCACCACAGCCTCCTCAGGGGACTTTCCTCCACCCACCCTGTTCCCAGCATCCTCTCCTCCTAGGAGGAGATGCCATAGCAAAGGCATACGGGCCTACAGGACAGAGATCCTGTAAGGGAATGACTTTCTCCCCTTACTTCTGGGGAACTTTCTTGTCTGGTACCTGGAGGTTTCGGGGGATGAGTTCCAAAGTAGCCAGAGGTGAGGAGTGTGAAGCCCAGCCAATTCCTGGGGCAGCTCAACTCCTCGCAATCGGAGCAGGTAGGATCGGCCACTGGGAAGAGAGGGCAGGGCTAGAACCCAAGATTCTGCCACCCCCAGCCTTTATCCCCACCCACCCAAACCTTTTCAGCTTCTCCTCCCAGCTGGGATGAGGCGAACACCCAGAAGTTCCCTAGCAAAGCTTTCTGAACTAAAACCTAGGATCATGGGCCCGCAGTGAGCCTGAATGTTTGAAACTGGGGCTGTGCTGGAAAACACAGCACAGGCTGGGTGCGGTGGCTCACGACTGTAATCCCAGCACTTTAGGAGGCTAAGGCGGGCAGAGCAGCCTGCGCCACACAGTGAGACCTCATCTCTAAAAAATAAATACATAAATAAATAATAAGAAAAAAACAAACACAGTACGTGTAGGGACCAATCCTATGGGGATTATGCCCTCTGTGAGTTGTGGACAGGAGGCAGCTTCCAGGTGAGAGGGTGAGGGGGCTGTGAGAGAAGGCCCCATGGGAGTCAGTGCGGGGAGGAAGCCACACTTAAGACGGGACTGAGGTCTGGAGACCTGGTCCTAGCTACTTTTCCCTGTGTGACCTTGGGGAAGCTGCTTAACTGAGCCAGGCGTTGCTTGGACTGGGGGACCTCAGTCCTTGTGGAGATTAAGTAACATCATACCCTCTGGGACTTCAGAATGTGACACAGTGGCTGGGTGGACTGAGGTGGCCCTGTGGACTCCTGCCTCACCACCAGGGTCACAGCCATACCTTGTGCCAGGTTCTGGAGCTCCTGCCTTGGCCAGAGGAGGTGAGGGTGTGGCTGCTGCTCGCCCAGCTCCACCCAGTTGCTATGACTGTAGAAATCCTGGTCCGGAGGACAGGAGAAGGGGAGTGAGGCACTAGTCTGGCCTTTCTCACCATCTCCAGCACTAATATGCCACTCCTTTGAGTTCCCCATCCCGAAAGTCCCCTCCCACCCCTACTGCTCCCACCAGACACCCCAAGTCCCCTCCACTGCCCTCTCTCCATTGCTCAGAGCAGAGCTTTGCCCAGGTGGAAACTGTCCCAGCATCTCTTCCCAGCTCAGAGTCTAACCCAAGGCCTCTCTCGGCCTGCAGAGTCCTGCTGCGTGTGCTGCTCCCTCAGCTCTCTGACCTCGCAGCCTTCCTCTCTCACCCTCACTTCTCTCCAGCCACAGCGCCCTCCTTGCTGTTCCTACAGGAAGCACTGCCAGCTTGGAGGTGGGGAACTGGGACACAGCCTCGGGGCACCGCGTGCCAGTGCCCACCCCTTCCAGAGTGGAGGAGACATGATCAAGAAGGCACCATAGGACGCGCTCCATCCCGGACAGGCACGGAAGTGAAGACCCCTCTGACCATCAACCCAACCCTGTTCTCACCTGCAGGGCATGAAGTGCAGCCCCGAGGCGCTGGCGAGCCAGGGTGTGGTCAAGGGCCCTGGCTGCCACCACGGTCTCCCGCAGAGCCCCTACCAGGCGCGCGCGTCCCTGACCCAGTCGCTCAGCATCAAAGTGCAGGTCGGGGTCATTCCTGGAAGTTGGCAGGAAGTCCTGGGCTGCATTGGCACGAGACACCTCACCTAAGGCTGCTCGGAACCGCCGAGAAGAACCAGGTCCAAAGTAGGCGGCAAAGAGGTCATCAGCAAGGAGTGTTCGACCCTGGGGAGAATAGCGGGCGACGGGGCTCCAGGGAGGCCCTTTGGATTGACTGTTGCCCACCTTATCTCAGCAACTGACACTCAAGGCTGGGTATGAGGGTCCTGAGCCCCACAAAGGAGGGACAGTCCCGGACCTTTCTAAGGAGGGGGACTCCTAATTTCAGGACCAAGACTACTGGGTATTATTGCTGCAGGGGTGGGGCCATGGGTGTCTCTTCTCTTGGCAACCAGAGCCCTCAAGGAGTAGAGGCCCCATGGAATTGGGGACTCTGGCAGGGGTGTGACAGGACCCTGGGATGCTCACCAGGAAGTCCTCAAGACGAAGAGGGGGGCGGCCTGGGGGTGGCTGCTCCAGGAAGAGCTGCAGGGTGACGTTGAGCGCTGCCTCCTCAGTTAGGTCTTGGTGGGTGATGGAGCCAGGGGCAGCCAGCAGGCTCCAGATGTTGGGGAAGAAGGCAGATGTGGGGGGCAGCAACAGCTGCAGCAGAAGCAACGCTGAGGGGCCCGGGTGGGATTGGGGGACCTCCGTGGGGAGCATGGCTGAGACATGGACCTGGGAGACAGAAGGCTCTCAAGGGAGGAGGAAGCAGCCGCGATTCCAGGGCAGGCCGGCTCTGCGGGTCTCCATGGGAACCTGCTTTACCTCAAAAGTCGTGTCTGCTCCAGCCTGGCTTCCCCACCCTCTCGCTGTCACCCAGACAACCTGAGGGCCTCATCGGACCATTAGGGACATACACACCTGCCAGGAGAGGGGTCCAAGGTTCCTCCCCCACGCCCCCCTCCCCAGTCCCTGGCTGCGTCCCCAGCCCTGCCGCAGAAACACTCCCCATGCTCAGGAAGCCTGAGTCCTCTCAGGCCCTCCCCTACCTGGTTGCTGGGTCTCCTGGGCAGGGCTGGCCCGGGCTTGACGTCACAGGGCACTTAGGTCAGAGTTATAATTAACCGAGGCTCAGCAGAGGGGGAGGAAGGCCTCAACAGGGTGGGGGAGGACAGGCAACCCCTGGCCCTTTCGCTCCTGCCTGCCCAAAGCCACAGGCAGCAGCCCACGCCAGGGCGGGCCTCCCTTGGCTGCAGTGCGGAGGTGAGTGAGAGCTGGGGAGGAGGAAGGGAGTAAGCAGCGTGACTCAGGCCTGGCACAGTGCCAGGGACAGACCCAGATAGACGCACCCCTCTGCCCTCCAGAACCAGGGCCTCACTCCCACCCTGCAGCCCCCAAGGATTCAGGCACCCAGCCCCTCTGCTCCCCTCTCTGCCCCCACCACAGATGACAAGAGGATTTTGTGGGAAAATATTTTATTGCTGCCATCCCCATGGTGAGCCGCTGGGGGTGAGGGGTGAAGCTGGGTGGTGGATCACAGCATCTTCTGGAATAGGGCGATGGCCTCATCCACCTTCCTGAGCTCTGCTTCTGTCTGTTGGAGCTGGAGTGGAACCAGGGGGTGGGTAAGGACCCAGGTCCAAGTGAAGAGACCCCCAAACACCCAGGACAACAAAGTTGGAAAGATGAGCGAGGACCATGGGAGGTCAGTAGCTCAGAGGAGGCGTGAACCTGGCTGGCCTGGCTCCCCACCCATTCCCACCAGCACCCCCACTTCCACCACCACCTCTTGGGTCTTGCCTTTTTCCACCAAGTGGTGAGTCCCCAAGAACAAAGGAACCTCAGAGCCTACGTGTTCCCCATTCAGTGTCCCCACCTAAGCAGGAGAGCACAGTCTCCCAGGCCGGTCACTTCATTTGTCAGATGATGATGATGATATTGCCCCCCTCCCAGGGCTCTTGGGAGAACCAAGTGAGATTAACCACGTCCACTCAAGGCTCTCTAGCTCTTGGCCTCCATGACTGGTTTTCTCTGTGTCTGTGCAGTTTACTCCACTGCTTCTCTCTGGCGGAACCCAGGAGGCAGGGGACAAACAAGACTGGCCTTCCAGGGTCAGCCCAGTAGGCTTGAAAGTAAGTGGTGGGAGGCCCAGGGCTCCCCGACTACATGTGGACCCCAAGCCCAGCCCCAGGCATGCAGGTTTCCACATTTTGGGCAGCTGGGTGGGGTACGAAGGGTCTGGCTGGGAGATAGGATGCCTGGTTCTAGGTCAGCCTCCGTCTCCCACCTGTTGTGTGACCCTGGGTTGTGCCCAGCCCCCAGCTGCTCCCCATGTGTAAGGGGAGGGCCTTCTATGGTCCCTGCTCAAAGCGCCTGGGCTCCATGCTCCCCAGTGGATTCCCCAGGGTTGGGTACAGAGTCCAGCTTCCAGACCAGGATTGGTTTTTGTTTTGTTTTGTTTTTTTTCCAGACAGGGTCTTCTCTCTGTTGCCCAGGCTCAAGTGCAGTGGCATGATCTCGGCTCACTGCAGTCTTGACCTCCCAGGCTCAAGCAATCCGCCCACCTCAGCCCCCCGAGTAGCTGGGACCCCAAGTGTGTGCCACTATGGCCAGCTAATTTTTGTATTTTTGTTGTAGAGATGGGATTTCACCATGTTGGCTGGTCTCAAACCCCTGGGCTCAAGTGATCCACCCACCTTGGCCTCCCAAATTTCTGGGATTACAGGTGTGAGCCACTGAGCCAGGCTGTTTTGTTTTTTAAGGCTAGTGGGAGTGGAGAAGGAACAAAGAAATCTGTAACTGGTTACGATCAATTAGTTGTCAACACCACTGCACTCGGACCAGCCCAGACCAGGGTTTTGATGGAGGAAGGGGATGGTGTGGGAAATGCCCACCCAGGCCACACACCTTGGCTTCATCTGCCTCCTGGACTTCGAGCGGCACCTTGACAGGATAGCCCGAGGCAGCACGGCGTTCCCGCAGACGCTGGGCCTGCCGCTGGGCCTCAACTCGCTTGGCTTGCAGCTTGCCCAGCTCCCGTGCAGGGTCCACCAGCCCCTGAAGCTGCAGGTGGATGGAGCAGCGATCAGAAGCCAGAGCCACAGCGCAACCCTGGGGGGCGGGAGCCCCCAGGGCCAGAACAGCCACCACACCTGCGCTGGCCAGGGCCTGCACGTAGCCCGACACCGCCGATGCCAGGGCGCCCGTGGCCTCATCCGCCACTTCCAGGAAACCTGCCAGGGAGGGAGAAAGGTGAGGCCTAGCTCCATGGAGACAGGAAACCAAGCAGTCACTGCCGGACACTGGGTCCCAGAGTAGGCTGAGGGGACAGTGGGATGGGGCGGACATGGGGGCCTGAGGCTCACAGTCAGGCCGGATCCGGGTGAGGTTGTAGTCGGCCCGCAGGGAGCGCACGGCTCGCGTGATGCTTAGCGCCAGCTCAAGGGCGGCTTCTGCCTCGGGGTCCTTCCAGGAGCACTGTGGGGTGGAGGAGGGGGTGAGGGGGCCTGGAGGGCAGGTCAGACTCCCCTCTCCAGGCCATGCCATACCTCTGAGGGCTCCGGGTAGGGGGTAACACAGAGGCTAGGGGGAGCTTGCGGCATCCTCCGGGGCAGCCTCTGGAACAGCTCCTCCGTCACGAAGGGCATGAAGGGTGAGAGCAGCCGCAGGCCAACGTCCAGGCAAGTGTACAGGGTCTGGCGGGCACACTCAGCTGCCACCTGGTCCACCCCATTCAGTACAGGTTTCAGGCACTCCTAGGGGACGAGAGGTACAGGGCTCACGGCTGGAGGTCTAGCCTTGAGCCCTCGCTGTGCCTGTGAGGACTGGGAAGGGGATGGGTTGGCTTAGGTCTCAAGGCCAACTCTGGCAAAACTGAGCCCAGGGCTCTGCTGCCCACCTGCCCCCACCATCCCCTGCCCCGCTGTGCTCCTTCTCACCAAGTAGACATCACAGAGCTCATAGAGCCAGAAGCTGTACTGGGCAGTGGTGACGGCCGGGAAGTCGTAGGCCTGGAAGCCTTGATTGCTGAGCCTCACAGCCTCTGTCAGGCGGCTGCGGATCCAGCGGTCCACCAGGCTCTCATGGCCTCCGGGCTTGGGGAGAGAGGGTGTATCAGCCGGCGGGCCAGGGGAGGGTGCCAGAACCCCATGGGGGCAGGAGTCATGGGCAAATCTTCATCCAGAGTCTGATGAGTCCAAAGCAACCACCTATGTGCCAGGATCTGGGAAGAAGTGACAGGCCCCAGCCCCCAATGCGCTGGGCTTTCCCTTTAACTGTCTGTCTCTGTGTCTATCTGTCCCCCCAGCTACATGGAGGCTGCTCCGGACAGGGGTACAGCCTGTGTGAGTGCTGCCAGCTTTGCTGCCCACCAGGCCCTTACCTGGGAGGTGGGTGAGGGCACAAAACCCTTCCCAAGGCCACGAAGGGCAAACTTGGTGGCATTCCAGAGCTTGTTGCAGAAGTGGCGGTAACCCAGTATCCGGTTCACATCCAGGTTGATGTCACGACCTGGGTCGGGGGTGAGATGTGAGTCCTCATCACCCTCTTCCCAGCCCATGCCCACCAGAGGCTCAGGGTGGAGAAGAGGGATGGGCCTCACAGAAGGAGGAAGGAGTGGCTGGGAGGGACGCTTTGGGGGCCATACCCTGGGACATGTAGGCACATAATCCAAACCGGAGAGCATCGGTGCCACATTCAGGAATCCCCGCTGGGAAGTCAGCTTTCTACAGGGAAGAGGCAGGGGGAGGAGCGTCCTCAGCCAGCCCCATCCACGCTGTGCTCCTGCTTAGCCCAGCCCAACCCTCCATACCTGCCCTTCTTTGGCCTTCTCCACCTCGCTGGGATCCAGGTTGCTGTTCAGCAGCTGGTTGTGGAGGCCCTGAGGGTGGAGTGGGAGCAGTCAGGTGGCTGTGACCACAGCCCCACGGCCCTTCCTGGCTGGCCCAGCACCCAGCCCACCTGCAGGGAGATTCCATAGATGACGTCCAGGGGATCGATGACATTGCCTAGAGACTTGCTCATCTTCCGGCCGTGAGCATCTCGCACGATGGCATGGAGGTAGACCTGCAGAGCAGGTGGGGAGGCCCATGAGACTCAGTCCTCTCCTTCCCCGGCCTCAGTGCCCCGACCAGGACTGTGTCTGGTCTACCCCACTGTGAACCTCAGGTCCCACTGAGTGTCCCCAAGAGCTCGTTGAGCGCCTTTATGTGAATCAGAAGCACTCCTTCCTCTGGGAAGATGAAGCCCTGGGCACAGGAATCACTGAGCAGGGCCCAGGCTGGATTTCAACCCCACACCAGCCCCCAGGTCAGGCCTGCCCACAGCTAACCCCATGCCCCAGCCACGCAGGGTCTGCGCTGCAGCACAGGACGGTAGGAGAGGAGGCTGGGGGCGATGGGAGGGTCTCGGCTGTCTCCGCACCTCTCTAAAGGGCAGCCTGCCCGTGAGCTTCAGGCCCAGCATGACCATCCGGGCCACCCAGAAGAAGAGGATGTCATGACCGGTCTCCAGCAGTGTCCCGGGGTAGAACACACTCAGGTCTTCTGACTGAGGGCAGACCAGGGTGTGAAGGGGAGCCAACACCCACCCTCCAGTCCCCTGTCCCGCCAAGCCCCGGCCCCAGGAACACACCTGGTTGGGCCAGCCCAAAATGGATAAGGGGAAGAGGCCAGAGGAGAACCAGGTATCCAATACATCCTCATCTGAGAGAGGCCAAAGGTCAGAGGTCAGAGGGAGTGGAGCTCTGCCCCCCACAACTCCCTCCAGACCCTCAAAGCCCCGCCTTGCCTTGCTGGAGACTGATCTTGTCAGGGGACACTCCGAACTCCTTGGCTGCCTTCTCCCGGGCCTCCGCCTCATTGCGTCCACTCACCCAGTACCGCCCATCAGGGTCCTGCCACAGGTGCAGTGATTACCCAAGGGGGTGTGTCTGCTTCTGGCTCACCCTGCCCCTCCCCCCACCAAGGACCCAGTAAACCCACCACTCCAGCAGGGTGTCCCAGCAGCTAGCTCTGGCCCTCTGCTCACCTCCCCAGGGGGCACCGCTGGGTCACTGACAGTGACAAAGTAGGCTGGGATGCGATGGCCCCACCACAGCTGCCTGGAAATGCACCACTCCCTGCAAATGTCGGGGAGGAGAAATCAGGGAGGGCCTGATGGAGCCTGGCCCGAGTGAGCCCTGCTCAGCCCTCGGCAAGCCCCTCCCACACTGAGGACCCTACACACCGGATGTTGTCCATCCAGGCATGCCATGTGCGCTGATGGGCCTCAGGCAGGATGCGGAGGTCACCCCGAGTCACAGCGGCGCTGGCAGCCTGGGCCATCTCCCCGCAGCGAACGTACCACTGCGGCCGCAGCAGAGGCTCTACCACGTCCTTCGACCGGCTGGGGGTACACGTAGGTGAGAAGGCCAGGCGGTAAAACCCTGAGGAGCCCTCCATCTTCCTCCCGTCCCAGGCCCCCACCCTCACTTGCAAAGTGGCACCACCATGGGGTTGTCCTCAATGCCACGGAACAGTCCCCGCTCCTTCAGCGCCACCAGCACCGCTTTCCTGGCCTCAAACCTGGGCAGGCCCTGGGTAGGAATGAGGCCTCATCATGGCGATGCCCAGCCATCCCTCCATCTCCCTGACCCGGGCACTCTTGCCTCAGGCAGCCTCACCAGGAAAGGCGGAGGCACATTGATGAGGGCCCCCCGGGAGTCCATGATGCTGATGGCCTCCAGCCCGTGCCGCTGCCCAACTTCATAGTCATTTTGGTCATGTGCGGGGGTGATCTTCACAGCACCTGGGTGTACATCAGGATGCCCAGGTCATGAGGGACTCCACGGAGTTCCTTCCTACACTCACCTCTTTTGCTGAAGGATGTAGCTCCGAGACCACTCCTGGCCCCCACTTGTCTAATACAGTCCCTTGAGAACCACCCCAAGCTCTGTCTATTTGGCTGAAGCTTATTTTCTTTTTCTCTGAGAGAAGATGGACAGCTAGGGTGCAGCTCCAGTCTTTTCCTCTCCCCACAGGACCAGCCCCTTGCCCACCTGTGCCAAAGTCCATGTCCACAAATTCATCGAAGACAATGGGAAGGCTCCGAGACAGGAATGGGTGGATCACGTTCTTCCCCTTCAGGTGCTGGGGGCGGAAAGATACCAAAAACGCATGAAGCAGGGCCAGACGCCGTGATTCCCACCTGTAATCCCAGAACTTTGGGAGGCTGAGGTGGGCAGATCACTTGAGGCCGGGAGTTGGAGACCAGCCTGGCCAACATGGGGAAACCTAGTCTCTACTAAAAATACAAAAAAAAAATTAGCCAGGTGTGGTGACGCGTGCCTGTAATCTCAGCTACTCAAGAGGCTGAGGCACAAGTACTGCTTGAACCCGGGAGGTGGAGGTTGCAGTGAGCCAAGATGGTGCCACTGCACTCTAGCCTGGGCGATAGAGTGAGACCCTCTCTCAAAAATAAATAAATAAATAAAAGCATGAAGGGGCCTGGTGCCATGGCTCACATCTCTAACCCCCACACTTTGGGAGGCTGGGGCAGGAGGCTTCCTTGAGGCCAGGAGTTCAAGATCAGCATGGTTAACAGAGTGAGACCTTGTCTCTATTTAACTTTTTTTTTTTTTTTTGAGACGGAGTCTCGCTCTGTCACCAAGGCTGGAGTGCAGCAGAGTGATCTCAGCTCACTGCAACCTCCGCATCCCAGGTTCAAGCGATTCTCCTGCCTCAGCCTCCTGAGTAGCTGAGATTACAGGCACCCGCCACTACAACTGGCTAATTTTTTGTATTTTTAGTAGAGATGGGGTTTCACTATGTTGGCCAGGCTAGTCTCGAACTCGTGACCTTATGATTCACCTGCCTCAGCCTCCCAAAGCGCTGGGATTACAGGCATGAGCCACCGTGCCTGGCTATTTAACTTTTTAAAAATGCACGAAGGGCTGGGCCCAAGTCCTTCCTTTCCAGGGCCCTGACTATCCCAACACTTGAACTCCCCCAAACAGTCCCCAATAGCTCTACCCTCAGAGCTGGGAAAGAAGCTGAAGACCAGTTTCTAACCCAGTTTCCTCTCCTCAGCCAGGGGCCTAAGTCCAACCCCTCCACCCCATAAGGATGGGAGCCCTTTTTGGCCAGAACTCCTTCCCTAACTGTGGACAGTCCCCCACCTGGTATCTGGTATCTTTGGGGTGCACAGCTACAGCCACATCTCCCAGCATTGTCTCGATCCGAGTTGTTGCCACCACCACCTCCTCGTCGCTATCTGGGGTGACAGAAGGCCTTGTGGTCTTGGCCTTGGCCCCTTCCTGCCACTCCCAGCCCAGGATCCTGGTGCCCCTGGCTCCTACCTGAGCCTTGGACCTTATAGGCAAAGGACACGAGGACCCCGAACTCCACCTTCTCCTTGTAGCCAGGCACGGAGAGCAGGGTGCGACCTGTCAGCTCCTTCTTATCCACCTGTAAAATGGGTATTTAGAGGCGTGGCCCAGGGGCCAGGGCCAGGGCCAGGGTAGATTGGAGATGGAGACAGGCCAGGTTGGGGGGCGCACCTCAATGTCAGAGATGGCGGAGTTGAGGGTGCAGGACCAGTTAACAAGGCGGGTACTGCGATAGATGATGCCTTCCTCGTGAAGCCGGACAAAGGCCTCTGTCACAGCTGCTGAGAGTTTCTGGGGTGGAGGAGGGAGAAGTCAGAGAGATGGGCCTTGTGCCTGGAGGCCCAGGCAGACACCCAGGGCTCCAGTGAGGCCTTGCCCATACAGAGTCCCACTGGCCAGCACAAAGACCCCTCTGAGGGGAGTACTTTCCTTCTTTCCTTGAGGGGGAGAGAGGACTAAGGGAACACAAGAGCAGGCAACAAGCCTTGTAATGCTGCAGATGGCGAGGAAGACAATCAGCTGGGGACAAGTACTGGTGCAGAGGACACTGGGAGTTCAGGCTCCATGGGAGACGGGGTCCTGATCATGTGCCATCTGGAGGAATCTGGAGCTCCCAGAGCCAAGACAGGGAACATGAAGGGCCATGATATGGAAAGGGCCATGGCGAGGGGTGGGAAGTGGCATTTGCAGCTGAGCCCTCCATGGTGTTTTACATGGGCCAGCTCCTGAGAGAGGGCCACAACACCTCTGCTTTCTCCTGTGGGGGTCCCACCCTGGGGAGACTCCTACTCCTGCCCCAGCTTTGACACTCCTCCCACGCACAGGGTCCATGGTGAAACAGGCTCGATCCCAGTCCAAGGAGCTGCCAAGCTTCTTCAACTGGTGGTAAATCCGGTCACCTTTCCTGGAAGCAGACAGGCTGAGGTCAGCACTCGTGCCTGGGCTAGAGGGAGACATCAGGTGGCTGACTGGGCAGTGTGGAGATCACCCATCCCCCTGAAATTTACCTGGGCCCTAGAGCCAACTGACTCTGCCTCTGTGGGAGGGTCTGACCCTGTGGCCAAGGGGTTACAGGTGACAGAGGTCTTCTGGATAGGGGACAGGGAGGCAGGGCTGCGATGCCCACAGGGATGCTGCATACTCACTCCTCCTTCCACTTCCAGACTTCCTGTAGAAAGGCCTCGCGGCCCAGCTGGTGCCGGCTCAGTCCCTGCTCACGCCATAGCTTCTTCTCCACCACCACCTGGGTGGCAATACCTGCATGGTCACAGCCAGGGTTCCACAGGGTGGTCTCCCCACGCATGCGGTGCCTGTTAGGGGGCATGGAGGACCAGAGGGTGAGCCAGGCCAGTGGGGCCTGGCACCAAAGAAAGCAGAGGCTTCAGGCAAGGAGTCAGTGGACTAAATAAAGAAGCAGGGAGGCCGGACGCGGTGGCTCACGCCTGTAATCCCAGAACTTTGGGAGGCTGAGGTGGGTGGATCACCTCAGGTGGGGGAGTTCGAGATGAGCCTGGCCAACATGGTAAAACCCCGTCTCTACTAAAAATACAAAATTAGCTGGGCATGGTGGCATGCGCCTGTAATCCCAGCACTTTGGGAAGCCGAGGTGGGTGGATCACCTGAGGTGGGGACTTCAAGATAAGCCTGGCCAATATGGTAAAACCCTGTCTGTATTAAAAATACAAAATTAGCTGGGCGTGGTGGCATGTGCCTGTAATCCCAGCTACTTGGAAGGCTGAGGCAGGAGAATTGCTTGAACCCGGGAAGCAGAGGTTGCAGCAAGCTGGGATCATGCCATTGCACTCCAGCCTGGGTGACAGAGTGAGACTCCGTCTCCAAAAAACAAACAAAAAAAAAAAGAAAGAAGCAGGGGTGGAGCTGGAACCCTTGTGATTCTAAAGCTAGTCAAGGAGAAAAGATTTGAAGGAAGAGCCAAGGCAATATGGAAAAAGAACAAAGACAGGCATGCGTGGTGGCTCACACCTGTAACCCCAGGACTTTGGGAGGCCAAGGCGAGTGGATCACTTGAGGACAGGAGTTCGAGACCAGCCTGACCAACATGGCAAGACCCTGTCTCTACCAAAAATATAAAAATTAGCCAGGATGGTGGTGCATACCTGTAATCCCAGCTACTTGGGAGGCTGAAGCACGAGAATCGCTTGAAGCTGGGAGGGGGAGGTTGCAGTGAGTTGAAATTGTGCCACTGCACTCCAGCCCGGATGACAGAGTGAGACTCTGTCTCAAAAAAAAAAAAAAAAAAAAAAAAAAGAACGAAGAGGAGGCTCCTGCCAAACAGGATAGCAAAAGTTCTAATTGTTAAAATAAGTTACTAAACAGGAACAAAATAGTACCTGGAAACAGATACAAGCAAATTTAGTGTTTGTGAAAGTTGGCACTTCCTATCAGTAAAATAAGGATAAACTATTCAAAATGTTTGAAACAACTAGCTAATTATTTGGAAAAAATCTCCCCCTTACCAATAGTCACAAAAAGAAACTTTAGATAGATTAAAGAATTCAAGCCAGGCACAGTGGCTCAAGCCTATAACCCCAACACTTTGGGAGGCCAAGGTGAGAGGACTGCTTGAGCCCAGGAGTTGCAGACTAGCCTGGGCAACATAGTGAGACCCAGTCTCTGCAAAAAAAAAAAAAAAAAAGCCAGGCATGGTGGCGTGCACCTTTGTTCCCAGCTACTTGGGTGGCTGAGGTTGAGGCTGCACCAAGCTATGATTGTGCTGTGATCATGCCGATGCACTCCAATCTGGCCAACACAGTGAGAGAGACTCTGTCTCAAAAATAAATAAATAAACAAATAAATAAAAATAAAAAGTTGATATAACTCTATTCCATTAAAGTAATGGGAGTGTCTCACATTTTATTTAAACCACGTTCACTGGAAAAAAAATGTGGCTACCTTAAGAGTTTTATAAGAAGTATGTGGCCAGGCACAGTGGCTCACACCTGTAATCCCAGCACTTTGGGAGGCCGAGGCAGGCGGCTTACTTCAGGTTAGGAGTTCAAGACCAGCTTGGCCAACATGGCAAAACTCTGTCTACTAAAAATGCAAAAGAATTAGCTGGGCGTGGTGGTGCGTGCCTGTAGTCCCAGCTACTCAGGAGACTGAGACACAAGAATCGCTTGAACCCAAGTGGTTGAGGTTGCAGTGAGACGAGATCGCGTCACTGCACTCCAGCCTGGGCGACAGAGCGAGACTCTGTCTCAATTAAAAAAAAAAAAGTAGTCATTCTGTTTTCATGTAAACAAACTTGGAGGCCAGGTATGGTGGTTCATGCCTGTAGTCCCAGCACTTTGGGAGACTGAGGCAGGAGGATTGCTTGAGCCCAGAAGTTCAAGACCAGCCTGGGCAACATAGCGAGACCCTCTCTTGATTTTATTAAAAAATTGAAAAACAGGGCCGGGCGTGGTGGCTCACGCCTATAATCCCAGCACTTTGGGACGCCGAGGTACGCGAATCACGAGGTCAGGAGATCGAGACCATCTTGGCTAACACGGTGAAACCCCGTCTCTACTAAAAATACAAAAAAAATTAGCCAGGCGTGGTGGTGGGCTCCTATAGTCCCAGCTACTCAGGAGGCTGAGGCAGGAGAATGGTGTGAACCTGGGAGGAGGAGCTTGCAGTGAGCAGAGACTGCGCCACTGCACTCCAGCCTGGGTGACAGAGCAAGACCCCATTTCCAAAGAAAAAAAAAAAATTGAAAAATTGAAAAAACAAAAACGCAAACACAAACGCAAACAACTTGGCCATTGTATGTTATGTGTATTTAACAGAACTGTTGGCTGGACGAAGTGGCTCATGCCTGTCATCCTAGCACTTTGGGAGACCGAAGCGGGAGGATCACAAGGTCAGGAGCTCGAAACAAGCCTGACCAACATGGTGAAACCCCGTCTCTACTAAAAATACAAAAATTAGCCAGGTGTGGTGGCATGCGCCTGTAATCCCAGCTACTCAGAAGGCTGAGGCAGGAGAATCGCTTGAGCTCAGGAGGCAGAGGTTGCAGTAAGCGCGCATCACTGCACTCCAGCCTGGGAAACCGAGAGAGACTCTGTCTCAAAAAAACAAAAAAAACAAAAAAAAAAAACAGGCCAGGCGCGGTGGGTCACGCCTGTAATCCCAGCACTTTGGGAGGCCGAGGTGAGCAGATCATGAGGTCAAGAGATCGAGACCATCCTGGCCGACAGGGTGAAACCCTGTCTCTACTAAAAAAAATACAAAAAATTAGCCAGGCGTGGTGGCGGGCGCCTGTAGTCCCAGCTACTCAGGAGGCTGAGGCAGGAGTATGCTGTGAACCTGGGAAGCAGAGCTTGCAGTGAGCCAAGATTGCGCCACCGCACTCCAGCCTGGGCGACAGAGAGAGACTCTGTCTCAAAATAATAATAATAATAATAAAAATAAAAAAATAAAACATATAACTGTTTTCCTAGCTCTCAGTTACTTGCAAAATGCACAATCAAACATTATATTCCCAGTGCTCAGAGCAGAGGTGGCACATAGTTGGGCCCAGTAAATATTTTTTGACCACATTAATTTAGTACATAAGACACCAGAAAAAATTCTCAAAATTTAAATATAATAAACCCTGGTTTCCAAAAATGGTAAAGTTATTTTAAAATACTTTTTAAAAAGATTTGTCACCTAGAATATTACTTTGTATTTATCACTAATTAAAATATTAACAGTGAAAACAAATAGTAACAGAAAACAGGAGAAACATTTACAATTAACAGGAAAACTACCACACAATAATACAACAAAAACATTTACAATATTTAACAAAAAAATTGATACCCAGAACAGGTAAAGAATTCTCAAAAAAAAAATTAAAAAGAAAAAGAACGAAGAATCAATAGAAAAACGGGGAAAAGATAGATACAGACAATTCACATATGGGTAAACCTGACTGGCCAAAAAACATGAAAATAGGCACAACTTCAATAGCAATCAGAAAGGTACAAAGTAAAACAACAGAGGTATTTTTTTGCCCATCAGATTGGCAAAACTAATTAGGCAACCCTAATGCTCAGGCTTAGCAAGGGTGGGGAAATGAACACTCTCAC
Source organism: Homo sapiens (assembly GCF_000001405.40). Taxonomy (NCBI): domain Eukaryota; kingdom Metazoa; phylum Chordata; class Mammalia; order Primates; family Hominidae; genus Homo; species Homo sapiens. Next base: position 3,266,742 of record NT_113891.3, read on the forward strand.
AGCAATTCCTGGAGGTATCAATCAGCAAAGCCATTCTGCAGGGCAACTTGGCAGCTTCCGTTTGTACTTAATATAGGTGTGCCCCTGCCGACCTAGCAGTTTCACTTCTTGATAGCTACACCAGCGAAACCCTTCCACACATGCTTCAGCAAGCATATAGAGCAGGGGTATCCAATCTTTTGGCTTCCCTGGGCCACATGGAAGAATTGTCTTGGGCCACAGATAAAATACACTAACACTGGCTGGGAGCAGTGGCTCACGCCTGTAATCCCAGCACTTTGGGAGTCCGAGGCGGGCGGATCACGAGGTCAGGAGATCGAGACCATCCTGGCTAACATGGTGAAACCCCGTCTCTACTAAAAATACAAAAAAAAAATTAGCCGGGCGTGGTGGTGGGCACCTGTAGTCCTAGCTACTTGGGAGGCTGAGGCAGGAGAATGGCGTTAACGTGGGAGGCGGAGTTTGGAGCTTGCAGTGAGCCGAGACTGTGCCACTGCACTCCAGCCTGGGTGACAGTGCAAGACCCGTCTCAAAAAATAAATAAATAAATAAATAATAAAAATAAATTTAAAAAAATACACTAACACTAACGATAGCTGATGAGCTAAAAAAAAAAATCGCAAAAAAATTCTTAAATGTTTAAACAAAGTTTACAAATTTGTGTTAGGCTGCATTCAAAGCCGTCCTGGGCCGCATGTGGCCCACAGGCTGCAGGTTGGACAAACTTGATATACAGGGATGTGCATTAGAGTAAGGTTTTCAACAGAAAAAAAACAAAAAACAAAAAACAGAATGAATCATTAATTAAAAAGTGACTCCAGGCCGGGAGCAGTGGCTCACGCCTGTAATCCCAGCACTTTGGGAGGCCGAGGCAGGCAGATCACCTGAGGTCAGGAGTTTGAGACCAGCCTGGCCAACATGGTGAAACCCCATCTCTACTAAAAATACAAAAATTAGCCAGGCGCGGTGGCAGGTGCCTGTAATGCCAGCTACTTGGGAGGCTGAGGCAAGAGAATCGCTTGAACCTAGGAGGTGGAGGTTGCGGTGAGCCGAGATCATGCCACTGTACTCCAGCCTGAGCAAAAAGAGTGAAACTCTGTCTCAAAAAAAAAAAAAAAAAAAAAAAAAAAGAATGACTTCACTATGGTACAGCCACACTATGAGATATTATGGAACAATTAAAAAGAAGGAAGTCAGTATGTGTGGTATGTGTGTAAGGACAAGGAAAGATCTCCAAGAGAAAGTATTAAGTGTAAGAAGAAAGCTAGATCATAACAAGTGTAATATGAACCCTTTATGTTAAAAAATAGAAAAGACTCACCCAAAAGGAGAACTATAAATTTCTATGGGTACGTGTATATGTAAGTAAATAGGAAAGATCTGGGAAGATACACATCAAAGTGATAACAATGGCTAAATCTTAGGAGGAAGTAGGTGTGGAGGGGGATGGTCAAGGAGATTTGAAACTTTAAATTTCTTACAAGAATATATTCATATATTTTGGTCAGTTGTGGTGGCGCATTCCTGTAATCCCAGCTACTTGGGAGGCTGAGGCAGGAGAATCACTTGAACCCAGGAGGCAGCGGTTGCCATGAGCCGAGATGGCGTCACTGCACTCCGGCCTGGGCAACAGAACAAGACTCTGTCCCCCCAAAAAAAAATATATATATTCATATGTTCCTAATTAAATTCAAAATAATGTTATTGTTACTAGAAAAAGAAGGGAGAGACTGGGTGTGGTGCCTCACACCTATAATCCCAGCACTCTGGGAGTCTGAGACAGGAGAATCACTTGAGCCAGGAGTTGGAGACCAGACTGAGCAACAAAGTGAAAACTCATCTTTACAAAAAATTAAATTAAATTAAATTAAAATTAAATAAAGAAAGAAGGGATAGAAGAGAGTCTGCAAGTGGCGGTGTTGCATGGGAGTACTGGACTAGGAGAGGAAGCTAAATGATCAGATTGGAATGACAGAGAGAAGTGTAGCACCACTGGGGGCAGAAGTGAGCACCAACCCAGAAGGAGAGAGGCTCGGGGGGCTGTCAGGGAAAAGGAGAGAGCCAGACTAGGCAGAGGGAACCAGAGGAAGGTGCAGATAGAAGCTCACCATCGAGTCAGGGAGTCCTGGATGGCGTTGGTGAGTGCATGGCCCAGGTGCAGGGAGCCTGTCACATTGGGGGGTGGGATGCACATCATGAAGACACCTCGGGGATTTGCTGCTGACACATTAGGACGCTGATGGTGGAGAAGGATGGCACATGTTTAAGGCCTCAGGTCACCTCTCCCAGCCCCTCCCAGGCAACACATCCTTCAGTCCTGCCCTTCCCCACCCCACCCACTCTGGGCCTGGGCAGCAGTGCCTACTCACCCCATACTCTGGCTTGAAGAAGCCCTGCTGCTCCCACCAAGGGTACCAGGCAGCCTCCACATACCGAGGGCTGTAGGAGTCGGGCATGGGGCCACTGACATCTGGGGGAGAGGAAGGGAGGGCTCAGTGCCGTGGCTGGGAGCACTCTGGGAAGGAGACGTGCTGGCAGAGAGGGATCGGGATCTCCGTCACTCACATCATAGGACAGGCATTTGAGGGGCCTAGAGGCAGGGCAGGGGGTCTGCAATTCCTCACCAAACAAAGTGGTGAGAGCAAGAATAGAGCAAGATAGGGTGAAAACTTAGAAGGGGCTGCTGAGGGGTGAGCCCCTTCCCACTCCTAGTACCTTTCTTTTCCCCGGGTGGGGTTGGGAGGTCATAGGTAATGACCCCAGGATCCCGTTTCTCCCTCTTCTCTGGTTTTGGTTTCTTCTGCTTGGGAGGGAGAAGACATAGGCCCAGGCATCAGCCAACCCATCACCGCACACATCAACTTTCCTTCCAGCTCCACCCTCGCCTCACCTCCCCTGGAGGTGGCTGCTGCTGTTGGATCTTCTGCTTCTGTTGGAATTTCTCTAGCTTCTCCCGTTTCTTTGCCTCTTTCTTGAGCTGAGCAGCTGTCTTTGGGAGGGCAGGAGCCTCGGGGCCTAGAGAGAGGTGCAGAAATTCAGACTCAGCCAGCTGGGGACCCTCTTGGACGGCCATACTAGGTTTCAGATGGGGTATTTTAGATGCCCGAGGTCTTGCCCATGCTGACCTCCCCCCTCTCCCTCCTCTCCCGCAGGACCCTGCCCCAGTGATTCTGCCATTTCTAGGAAAAAAAGAAAGTGAGTTGCATGGAAGGCCCCAGGGAAGCCCCTATCCTCCAACTCCTCGCCCTTCCTCACCTGGCTGATGAGAGAGAGGCCTGGCTCCTGAGTATAGAACCACTTCTCCTAGCACGGCTCGGAATTCTGGCTGCCGGACACACGTGACAAACCAGCGAGTCACATTATTCCAGATCCGGCGGGCAGGTGGGTCTAGGACCTGGAACAGGAAATAAATGACTCTTCTCAGTCACCCTACAGTGAGGTCTGAGGAGAGCAGTCTTGTTCTTCCCCAGGCCTGGTGACTCACGTATCGGAAAGGCAGCAGCAAGGCTGTGACAGCCGCCAGGTCAGCCAGAGTGGGGGCCTCCCCGGCCAAGTAGGTGTGCAGCCGAAGCCACTCCTCCAAGGGGCTCAGGGCCCTGCCCAGGGCCCCCAGCACAGCCTGGCAGGAAGGGGAAGAAGTGTGAGACAAGGTTTGGCCCACCTCCATCTCCCACCACAACCCAATCCATGTGGCCTCCCTCCACCCCACTCTCACAAATCACCACCTCTGAGTCCCATTTCTTCACTCAAATAGTCACAATAAAAATACTTCTGGGCGGATCACGAGGTCAGGAGATCGAGACCATCCTGGCTAACATGGTGAAACCTCATCTCTACTAAAAATACAAAAAAAAAATAGCCAGGCGTGGTGGCGGGCGCCTGTAGTCCCAGCTACTCGGGAGGCTGAGGCAGGAGAATGGCATGAACCCAGGAGATGGAGCTTGCAGTGAGCCGAGATCACGCCACTGCACTCCAGCCTGGGCAACACAGCGAGACTCCGTCTCAGAAAAAAAAAAACAAAACACTTCTGACTCATCCAACAAATCCCTACTCAATACTTATGTGTTAGATGCAATATGTTAAGCATAGAAGTAAAGATTATATGAGGCATCTCAATAACTGCCAGGTTCAGAACATCAATAAATATGTATTAAGTACTTCTCCAGGGAATGAGAGGAAAACACGAACAGATGGACAGAACCCTGACCTGGTAGAGTTAACATTCTTGTAGGGGAACAACAAATGAGCAAATATAAAATGAAGTGCCCTATTTTTCTTAACTCCTATGAAGAAAAATAAAGCAGAATGAGGGGAACAGGGGCCAGGCGTGGTGGCTCACACCTATAATCTCAGCACTTTGGGAGGCCGAGGCGAGCAGACCATCTGAGGTTAGGAGTTCGAGACCAGCCTGGTCAACATGACAAAACCCCATCTCTACTAAAAATACAAAAAATTAGCCGGACAAGGTGGTGGGCGCCTGTAATCCCAGCTACTCAGAAGGCTGAGGCAGGAGAATCGCTTGAGCAGTGAGCTGAGATCGCACCATCGCACCGTGGCACTCCAGCCTGGGCAACAGAAGGAGATTCCGTCTCAAAAAAAAAAAAAAAAAAGAAAAGAAAAGAAATAAAAGAGGGGAACAAACAGGGAATTCCAGAAGAGAGGGACTCTATTTTATTTGTTTGTTTGGACAGACATTCTGAATGCAAGGACTCTATTGTAGATAGGGTGATCACAATATGAGGGAGCAAGTCAGGGTCTGCCACATTCATTCATCCATTCAAGAAATACTAATTTTCCATCATGTGCTCAATACCATGCAAGGAGGCAGAGTTGAAAGTACACCAAGGCACAGGTCTCCTTTGGAAGGACTGATAGTTACAATCTGGCAGGGTTATCTCTCCTCTCACTTACCTTCCTCATTTCATTTCTCTTTTATCTCCTCCCAGCAATTGTCATCTCTCCCTCACCCAGTCTTTTCCTACAATTCAAATAACTTCTATCCTCATCAATTTCAGACTCATCAAACTTTTACTAAGAGACTTTAAAAGTGCCTGGCACTAAACTATGTGCTCTGCGCACATCTTTTAATCCTATTAACTCAGTGAGGCAAGCATTACATCAACTTGCCTGCGTGTTCATAGACATAGGAAGACCAAGACACAGCGGGTCTATGAAACGTGCCCAGGGTTACCATACCAGTTGGCAATCTGGGATTTGATCACTCTTTTCCCACATCTGATGTACTACCTTCTTGTCTCATTGTCCATTCCAGTCCTCGCTTCCCTCCTCTGAATTTCTCCCCTCCCCCTCTTCTGTACAACCCCCTCACCTGGGGGTCCTGGGCCGAGCTTCGGAGTCCCAGGGCCGGCAGCGTTGCTCCACAGGCAGCTGGTATTAACTCCGTGTCGGCGTAACTGACCCACTGTTGGACAAGGACAGCCGCCCGGCTGCCCCCTGGGCCCCCCAGGCCTGCTGGCCACAGCAGCTGGGCCACAGCCGTGGCCCCCCACACCCAGAGCCCACCGGGCCCCTGCTCCAGGGCCGGCAGGCGGGGTGGGGGAAAGGGAGTCCTGCTAGTCGGGGGTGGCTGGAGACAGATGCGGGGGTGGGCTCCTCCCCATCCGGGACCCTCCCCAGCCTCCCCATAGCGAGCGGCTATGAGGGCTCGGAGGCTGGGGAAGGCATCTGGGTGAGGGGAGACGTAGAGGGTGGACATAGTTATGAGAAGGTCCGAACGAAGTGGAAAAACCTAAGGAGAAAGAGAGACAGGGGAAGACTGCGGGATCGAGGTGGGTCCTATGTTTGAGTAGAGAGGGGACCCTCACGGGAGCTCCTTCGCCGCAGACACCCGAGTCCCATAGGACTGAGGGTCTGACCAGGCAGGCTGTCAGGAGCCGAGGACCTGGCTCTCAGAGGGGCAGTGTCAGTGGGGAGTTCCTGGGGAAGAGGAACTATCCACCATCGCGGGGCTTCGGGGAGTGTGGAAGGCTCTCAGGAGCGGGTCGGCGTCTGGTTGGATGCGGGTTCGAGCCGCGTGTACGTACTGGAGGGAGATGGTCAGACTGGGCCGGGAATCCACCTCACAGCCAGGCGCCGGCCGCGGCTGGACCGGCCGAGCGGCCCGGGCGGAGGAGTCGAGCGGGCAGAGACGGTGGGCGGCTCTCCAGGTGACCCTAGTTCCCTAAGATCGCCGCCCCGGCAGCCGGCGCCCACGTGTTCCCCCCTTTGTGACAGGGAGCGTTTCCGGGCCTGCGGGTCCTGGCGGGGGCGGCCGTGCCCCGCCTGCGAGTGCGCGCCCGCCGTGTCCGACACTGCCCCGGGGGCCGCGCGGCTCGCCGCCCGCCGGTCTCACGAGGAACAGCGCGGGGCGCGGGGCGCTGGGCGCGGACGCAGGACGAGAGGACACCCCTGAGCACGACGCTCCCGTCAGGCGCCGCCACGGGCACCTTGTGCGGGTCCTCGGCCGGGTGGCGAGGGCGGCGCCCAGCGGGCAGCTAGGGAACTGGCCCAAGAGGGTCGGCCGGCCCTGCCGGTGGAGGGCGTTCCCCACCCGGTAGCGGGGAGGTGCCCAGCAGGGAGCCGCCTGATGAGGACCGAAGGGGAGGTCCATTTGCCGAGGCCCTGGCGTCCAGCTTCCTCTTTGAGCCTCATCTCCTCATGTATGAAAAAAGGGTGACGGCCGGGCGCAGTGGCTCACGCCTATAATCCCAGCACTTTGGGAGGCCGAGGTGGGCGGATCACCTGAGGTCAGAAGTTCAAGACTAGCCTGGCCAAGGTGGTGAAAGCCCGTCTCACGCCTGTAATCCCAGCACTCTGGGAGGCCAGGGCGGGTGGATCACCAGGTCAGGAGTTCAAGACCAGCCAGGCCAAGATGGTGAAACCCCGTCTCTACTAAAAATACAAAAATTAGCCAGGTGTGGTGGCAGGCGCCTGTAATCCCAGCTACCCCGGAGCCTGAGGCAGGGAATTGCTTGAACCCTGGAGGTTGAGGTTGCAGTGAACTGAGATCGTGCCACTGCACTCCAGCCTGGCGACAGAGCTGCAGTATTTGTAAAAATACAAAAATTAGCCAGGCGTGGTGGCACACACCTGTAAGCCCAGCTACTTGGGAAGCTGAGGCAAGAAGATCACTTGAACCTGGGAGGCGGAGATTGCAGAGCTAAGATCACACCACTGCAGTCCAGCCTGGGTGACAAAGTGAGACTCCATCTCAAAAAAAAAAAAAAAAAAAAAAATTAGCCGGGCATGGTGGTGGGCATCTGTAATCCCAGCTACTCAGGAGCTGTGGCAGGAGAATCGCTTGAACCGGGAGGCGGAGGTTGCAGTGAGCCAGACCAAGCCAGTGCACTCCACCCTGGGCAACAGAGTGAGACTCCCGTCTCAAAAACAAAAAGGAGGGTCACACTAGATGGTCTCTAAGGGTCCCTTAAGGCTGAGAAGTCTCATCTGTATCATGAACTCATATTTGCTGAATGAGTGAATGAAGTTTAGTAATTCCCAGTCACAACTTTTCTCTAAAATATAAATTACATCACTTGTATTTATCTTCTATACATATTCAGAAAACATGAACTGATTTGGTTGGATTGGTGAAGTCTGGTAGCATGAAATGTATCTTATGACACTATCACATTAATGGAAGGACAGCAAGCACTCCAGTTGCAGGTATGGTATAAGCAAAAGGCCACAGGGAGAACATACAGGTAGGGACATGTTGGGGAAACATGGTGTAGAGCAACTGTATTATATGCTTTATACCAAGGAGAGTAGTGGGAAGCTGAGTTGGATTCTTGGCTGGGTTAACGCAGAGTAACAGGGGCTTGGATGAATTCGACATCCTTTTCCATGTCCCAGCCCCCTGCCCAACACATAGTAACAGAACCAAAACACAAATTTGCATCATAAATTTTATTCCCGATGCGGGACAGATTCCTTCCATCCCCAAATGAATCACATGCTGCCCTGGAAAGACCTAGGAAACTCTCCTACCATCTCCAGAGAAGTAGTGAGAAAGGCAGGTGCTGGGGACTGGGAAGGCTTTGAAGTTTCCCAGCCTACTTATCCTCCCCTTCTCAAGAGAGGATAGCTGTTCCCTATTACTCCTCTCATCCACTCATCCCTTAAAAAAAACCCACAAAACCATCATTAGTAAAAAAACAAAACCCCTTCAAGTATTGGGGGTTAGGGGTTCTGGGCTGGGACTTGGGGTTATGGGTCACCAATGAAAGAGGGAGGGGAAGAGGAGGAGGAGCCATCACTGTTTCTGCTGCAGGGCTTCCTTCCTTGCCGCATCCTGTAGCAACTGTGTGTCGACCTCATCTGCTGGCAGCTGCACGTATCGGACCACTGAGCCCCGAATGAAGCAGTTCTTCACTGATAACTAGACAAAGATGGACAAATATGAAAACACCCTTAAAAATGTCCTCTAACCACCCAGGGGCCTCCTGCTTTAGAGGTGTTTCCTCTTCTCCACAGACCCCAACTCACCATGTGAGGGTATTTCTCAGGGTCTGTGACACTGATGTCAGTTAGTTTGATGTTGAGATACTAGGAAAGGAAGATGAACACCATTATTATTATTATTATTTTTTTTTTGAGACAAGAGTTTTGCTCTTGTTGCCCAGGCTGGAGTGCAATGGTGCCATCTCGGCTCACTGCAATCTCCGCCTCCTGGGTTCAAATGATTTTCCTGCCTCAGCCTCTCAACTAGCTGGGATTACAGGTGCCCACCACCACGCCCAGCTAATTTTTTGTATTTTTAGTAGAGACGGGGTTTCACCATGTTTGTCAGGCTTGTCTTGAACTCCTGACCTCAGGCCTCGGCCTCTCAAAGTGCTGGGATTACAGGCGTGAGCCACCGTGCCTGGCCGACGAACACCATTATTAACCCTAGAGACATGATGTAAGAACCCAACCCTTAAGTCTCCCCTCTCCTTCTCCAGGAACCAATTCTGGGGCCCGTGCTATATCTCACCTGATCCACAGAATGGAGGGTTCCACAGATGCTGTCAAGGGCAGAGGGAGAGAAGAATCAAATTAGTTTATAACAAAGTCAACATAGAGGTGACTTCAGAGCTGGGATGAGAACATGACTGGGAGAAGTCAAGGACTTGAGGATGTCAGAAAAGGTAGAACCAAAAGGGGGCATTCCTAAGCCCTGGAGTAGGAAAGACAACTAACAGAGTAGTTTATTTTCAACCCCACATCTCCTCTCCCTAAACCAATCCATTCTTTTTTTTTTTTTTTTTTTTTTTTTGAGATGGAGTCTCACTGTCAGCCAGGCTGAAGTGCAGTGGTGTGATCTTGGCTCACTGCAACCTCTGCCTCCCAGGTTCAAGCGATTCTCCTGCCTCAGTCTCCTGAGTAGCTAGGACTTCAGGCGTATGCCATCATGCCCGGCTAATTTTTTATTTTTAGTAGAGATGGGGTTTCACCATGTTGGCCAGGCTGTTCCTTAACTCCTGATCTCAGGCGATCTGCCCACTTCAGCTCCCCAAAGTGCTGGGATTACAGGTGTGAACCACTGTCCCCGGCCAAACCAACCTATTCTTAACAGCTACCATTAAACAACTGGTAAAGGCTAGACCTGTATTCTATATAGTATTTGTAATCTTTACAGCCATCTTTCAAAGTAGTTATTACCTTCCAGGGGCTCAGAGAGGTTGTTTTAAACTTTATGAGTTTAGAACAAATGGGAACTTCAGTCCAAGTCTGTGTGACTCCCAAAACCATCAGCTATTTTTTTTTTATTTTTGCGACAGGGTCTCACTCTATGGCCAAGGCTGGAGTGAAATGGCGTGATCATGGCTCACTGTGGCCACTTGAGTAGCTGTGATTACAGGCTTGAGCCACCATGCCCAGCTGATTTTTTTTTGAGATGGAGTCTCGCTCTGTCGGCCAGTCTGGAGTGCAGTGGCACAATCTCGGCTCACTGAAAGCTCCATCTCCCAGGTTCACGCCATTCTCCTGCCTCAGCCTCCCGAGTAGCTGGGACTACAGATGCCGGCCACCACTCCTGGCTAATTTTTTGTATTTTTAGTAGAGACGGGGTTTCACCGTGTTAGCCAGGATGGTCTCGATCTCCTGACCTCATGATCTGCCCACCTCAGCCTCCCAAAGTGCTGGGATTACAGGCATGAGCCACCATTCCCGACTTTTTTTTTTTTTTTTGTAGAGAAAGGGTCTCACTGTGAATGTCACCCAGGCTAGCTATTTTCAAACATTTATTGCTTTGGAACCAGAGCCCATATGTGGATAAAGGTAGGTAGCATTACTCTTGATGATGCAGGCATGAGTGATGTCCTCTCCATTCCCCAATCCTCGAGCCCCTTGAAATGCTATTTGAGGAATGCTATCAAAACACCAGTGCTCTTTGAGAGAATGGTGCAAAAATTTAAAAAAAACAGCCTTTGGCTGGGAATGGTTGTTCACGCCTATAATCCAAGCATTCTGGGAGGCTGAGGCAGGAGGATCGCCTGAAGCCAGCTGGAGAACAGCCCAGACAACATAGCAAGACCTCATCTCTATTTTAAAGTTATAAAATAAAATAACTGTGGCCGGGCACGGTGGCTCACGCCTATAATTCCAGCACTTAGGGAGGACGAGGCGGGCGAATCACGAGGTCAGGAGTTCGACACCAGCCTGGCCAACATCGTGAAACCCCATCTCTACTAAAAATACAAAAAATTAGCTGGGCATAGTGGCAGACGCCTGTAATCCCAGCTACTCGGGAGGCTGAAGCAGGAGAATCACTTGAACCCGGGAGGTGGAGGTTGTAGTGAGGCGAGATCGAGCCACTGCACTCCAGCCTGGGTGACAGAGTGAGACTCCATCTCAAGAAAAATAAATAAATAAAAATAATCGTAATAAATAGCAGTTTTAAAAACGTCCTTATCTTGCCAAAAATAAAGTTGGCAGTTCTCTGCCCCAATTTTTGTAAAATTCTGAAAGTCTTTAAAACCCAGCGTCTAGGCCATGTGCGGTGGCTCATGCCTATAATCCCAGAACTTTAGGAGGCCAAGGTGGGCGGATCACTTGAGGCCAGGACTTCAAGACCAGCCTGGCCAACACGGCGAATCCCCATCTCTACTAAAAATACAAAAATTGGCCGGGCGTGGTGGCTCACGCCTATAATCTCAGCACTTTGGGAGGCCGAGGCGGGTGGATCACGAGGTCAGGAGATCGAGACCATCCTGGCTAACACGGTGAAACCCCGTCTCTACTAAAAATACAAAAAATTAGCCGGGCATGGTGGCGGGCACCTGTAGTCCCAGCTACTTGGGAGGCTGAGGTAGAAAAATGGCGTGAACTGGGAGGCAGAGCTTGCAGTGAGCGGAGATCACACCACTACACTCCAGCCTGGGTGACAAAGCAAGACTCCGTCTCAAAAAAAAAAAAATACAAAAATTAGCTGGGCATTGTGGTGTGCACCTGTAATCCCAGCTACTCAGGAGGTGAGGCACGAGAATCACTTGAACCCAGGAGGAAAAAAAAAATTTAAAAATAAAATATAAAAATACAACAATTAGCTGTGTGTGGTGCATGCCTGTAGTCCCAGGTATACAGGAGGCTGAGGCACGAGAATCATTTGAACACAGGAGGTAGAGGTTGCAGTGAGCCAAGATCATGCCACTGCATTCCAGCCTCGGTGACAGAGTAAGGATCTGTCTCAAAAAAAAAAAAAAAAAAAAAAGACCCACTTAAATATGCTCTAGGAAATTAATTTAAATGAACTAGTACTAGGCAATCATTATTTTTTTTGAGACAGAGGGTGAGTCTCTGCCTAATAACAAAAACAAAAACAAACACCCAGTATCTGAAACCCACTGCCTCAGTAATGTTCTCACCATATTGCTAGCTGCTGAAAAACATTTGACAGCACCCCACCATCTCCAGCAGTGAAATAACATTTGGGAATTGTACAAAGTGGTGTCATTTTATTAAGTCCCTTAAGGAGGGGGAGATACATAGCACAAAAGTGGTCTGACAACAAACATAAGAGAAAGAACTTTTGGCCAGGCGTGGTGGCTCACACCTGTGATCCCAGCACTTTGGGAGGCTGAGGCAGGAGGATCACTTGAGGTCAGGAGTTTGAGGCCAGCCTGGCCAACATGGTGAAACCCCATCCCTACTAAAAATACAAAAAATTAGCTGGGAGTGGTGGCATGCACCGGTAATCCCAGCTATTCGGGAGGCTGAGGTGGAAGAATCACTTGAACCCAGGAGGCAGAGGTTGCAGTGAGCCAAGATCGCGCCACCGCACTCCAGCCAGGGCAACAGAGTGAGACCCTGTCTCAAGGAAAAAAAAGGAGAAAGATCTTCTTTCTCATCCCAACAGAAAAGTCACTTTAAAGCCACACACATATTGGCTCACACCTGTAGTCACTGCACTTTGAGAGGCTGAGGTGGGAGGATCACTTGAGTCCAGGAGTTCAAGACCAGCCTGGGCAACACGGCCGAGACTCTGTCTCTATGAAAAATTTTAAAAATAATATAAAAAGGCCGGGTGCAGTGGCTCACGTCTGTAATCCCAGCACTTTGGGAGGCCGAGGCAGGTGGATCACGAGGTCAGGAGTTCAAGACCAGCCTGACGAAGATGGTGAAACCCGATGTCTACTAAAAATACAAAAATTAGCCAGGTATGGTGGCAGGCACTTGTAATCCCAGCTACTTGGGAGACTGAGGCAGGAGAATCACTTGAACCCAGGCAGCAGAGGTTGCAGTGACCCGAGATCATGCCACTGCACTCCAACCTGGGTGACAGAGTGAGACCCCATCTCAAACAAAAATAAATAAATAAATAGAAAAAAAAGAAGGCTGGGCGCAGTGGCTCACACCTGTAATCACAGTACTTTGGGAGGCCGAGGTGGGCAGATCACAAGGTCAGGAGATTGAGACCATCCTGGCCAACGTGGTGAAACCCCTTCTCTACTAAAAATACAAAAATTAGCTGGGCGTGGTGGTGCATGCATATAATCCCAGCTACTCGGGAGGCTGAGGCAGGATAATCACTTGAACCAGGGAGTCGGAGGTTACAGCACCACTGCACTCCAGCCTGGCGTAGACTCGACCAGAGCGAGACTCGTCTCAATAAAAAAAAGAAAAAAGAAAAAGAAAAGAAATGTTACTACGGCCGGGTGCAGTGGCTCACACTTGTAATCCCAGTACTTTGGGAGGCTGGGGTGGGCAGATCACGAGGTCAGGAGTTGGGAGACCAGCCTGGCCAACATGGTGAAACCCTGTCTCTACTGAAGATACAAAAAATGAGCCAGGCGTTGTGGCGCATGCCTGTAATCCCAGCTACCAGGGAGGCTGAGGCAGGAGAATCACTTGAACCCGGGAGGCAGAGGTTGCGGTGAGCCGAGATCACGCCATTGCACTCCAGCCTGGGCGACAGGGCAAGACTCTGTCTCAAAAACAAAATAAAATAAAAAAAATAAAGGTACTTTAGGGCCTAGGGTTATAACACAACAGTTAGGCTTCCCATGTAAAAGGCCCAGGAAGGAGAAAAGAGGAGAATCAAAAACAAGTCATCACACCAAATTGCCTAAGACTGATAGTGATTACCGTACTTGTCTTGCTCTGTGGCCCCAATCTATACACATCAATATCACTTGCATTGCCAGTGCTACAAATGGAAACCTGTGTTCTAAAACGCAAAGGCCCTTAAGTCCCTCTCCTCACCATTCCCTGCCCTGTCAACGTGTAACCCATGAAAAAATTATCTCACATAGAAATGTGGAAGACAGCCAGACACAGTGGCACACACCTGTAATTCCAGCACTTTGGGAGGCCAAGGTGGCAGGACTGCTTGAGCCCAAGAGTTTCAGACTAGCCTCGGCAACACAGTGAGACTCTGCCTCTCCAAATAATTAAAAAATTAGCTGGGCATGGTGGCATATAGCCCCAGCTATTCAGGAGGCTGAGTGAGCTATGGTGGTGCCACTGCACTACAGCCTGGACAACAGAGTGAGACCCCCATCTCAAAAAAATAAATGTGGAAGACGCTTTTGGGAAGAGAATACAATTGATCCCATCTTTCTAAAGGATAATGAGGTAACAGGTATCAATATTTTAAATGTACTTTTTTTTTTTTTTTGAGATGGAGTCTCAGTCTGTCGCCCAGGCTGGAGTGCAGTGGCCTGATCTCAGCTCACTACAACGTCCGCCTCCCGGGTTCATGTGATTCTCCAGCCTCAGGCTCCTGAGCAGCTAGGATTACAGGCGCACAACACAACATCTGGCTAATTTTTGTATTTTTAGTAGAGATGGAGTTTCACCATGTTGGCCAAGCTAGTCTCAAACTCGTGACCTCAGGCATCCACCCGCCTCGACTTCCCAAAGTGCTGGGATTACAGGTATGAGCCACCGCATCTGGCCTAAATGTACATATTATTTAAAGGACTGTACAGATAAGTACAGGGCCAGGTGTGCTGGCTCATGCGCGTAACCCCAGCACTTTGGGAAGCTGAAGCAAGAGGACTGCTTGAACTCAAAGAATTTGAAACCAGCCTGAGCAACAAAGTGAGGCACTGTCTCTAATTTTTAAATAAATAAATATTATTTTAAGAAAGAAAGTAGGACTAGGCGCAGTGGCTCACGCCTGTAATCCCAACACTTTGAGAGGCTGAGGCAGGTGGATCACAAGGTCGAGAGTTCAAGACCAGCCTGGCCTAGATGGTGAAACTCCATCTCTACTAAAAATACAAAATTTAGCCGGGCATGGTGGTGGGCACTTGTAATCACAGCTACTAGGGAGGCTGAGGCAGAGAATTGCTTGAACCCAGGAGGCAGAGGCTGCAGTGAGCCGAGATTAAGCCATTGCAGTCCAGCCTAGGTGACAGACTGAAACTCCATCTCAAAAAAAAAAAAAAAGAAAGAAAAAAAGCTGGACAGAATCATATTTCAGTTGTGTCACTTACTAGTTTTGTAGACTTGAACAAGTGGTATAGCTGATCTAAGCCTCAGTTTCCTCGTGTAAAACAGCAATAGTATATATTACTTAGCAGTGTTTGAGAAATCAATCAATAAATGTATTCAGAATAGTGGTTAGTCAATACGTCTTCGGATATTATTTTTCTTTCTTTAAGCACCTATCATATAACTGGCCTATGCTAGGTATTAGATACACTACATGGTTTCACCATGTTGGCCAGGCTGTTCTCGCTCTCTTGACCTCGTGATCCACCCGCCTCAGCCTCCCAAAGTGCTGGGATTACAGGCATGAGCCATCGTGCCCGGCCTATGGCCTGTTCTTTTTTTTCTTTTTTTTTTTTTTTTTTTTTGAGACGGAGTCTTGCTCTGTCACCCAGGCTGGAGTGCGGTGGCACCATCTTGGCTCACTGCAAGTTCCGCCTCCCAGGTTCACGCCATTCTCCTGCCTCAGACTCCCAAGTAGCTGGAACTACAGGAGCATGCCACCACGCCTGGCTAATTTTTTGTATTTTTAGCAGAGACAGGGTTTCACCATGTTAAACAGGATGATCTCAATCTCCTGACCTTGTGATCCGCCTGCCTCGGCCTCCCAAAGTGCTGGGATTACAGGCGTGAGCCACCGCGCCCGGCCTGGCCTGTTCTTTTTTTGAGACAGAGTCTTCCTCTGTCAACCAGGCTGGAGTAAAGTGATACAATCATGGCTCACTGCAGCCTTGACCTCCTGGGTTCAAGTGATCCTCCCACCTCAGCCTCCCGAATAGCTGAGACTACAGGCATGTACACTACACCTGGCTAATTTTTTATAGAAATAGAGGTCTCATCACTATGTTGCCCAGACTAGTCTCGACATCCTGGACTCAAGTGATCCTCCTGCCTCAGCCTCCCAAAGTGCTGAGATTACAGGTGTGAGCCACCATGGCCAGCCTAGTACTTACTTTTTTTTTTTTTTTGAGACAGAATCTCACTCTGTCACCCAGCTGGAGTGCAGCAGTGTGATCTCAGCTCACTGCAACCTCTGCCGCCCAGGTTCAAGCGATTCTCCTGCCTCACCCTCCCGAGTAGCTGGGATTACAGGCACCAGCCACCGTGCCCGGCTAATTTTTGTATTTTTAGTAGAGACAGGGTTTCACCATCTTGACCGGGCTGGTCTTGAACTCCTGACCTCGTGATTCGCCCACCTTGGCCTCCCAAAGTGCTGGGATTACAGGCATGAGCCACACGTCCAGCCCGTGAGCCACTGCGCCTGACCTGTATTTACTCTTTAAACTATATATTGCTTTGTATTGTTTTCCAATACACGATACAATCTCTAAGCTTATCTGTAAATTTAAGGCACAAGGCATTTATTTATTGCTAAATTTTAAAATTTTTCTTAGAGATGGGGTCTTGCTCTATTGCCTGGGCTAGAGTGCAATGGAGTAATCACTGCTCACTGCAGCCTCAAACTCCTGGGCTCAAGCTTTCCTCCTTCCTCAGCCTCCCAAAGTGCTGGGATTACAGGCTTGAGCCACTGCACCCTATCCATTTATTTCTTCTGTACATCTTCCACCTCGCCTAGCCCTGAAATATTTCTCAAATTAAAGAGGTTCCAGGGCCCTGGGCACACCCACCCCCAACAGACTTGTTGGAACAGGTACCTACCTCAGGTCATTCTTTAGTTCCACGACCACATCCTTGCCCACAAGGGACTTGAAAAAAGAATAGAAGAGCTATTGGGAGAGAGGGGGAAAACCATCATGTGGGAAGGAGCATGGTAGGGAGGAGTGTCCTTTGACAGTATTACCAAATACTGGTATTGTGAACCCCACTGCATCCCTGACAGTTCTCAAAATTTCACAGGAAAGAATAATTGGTTGACAGAGCTGAAAGGCTGGAGCCCAAATTATTCTGCACACTGCACTGAGCCCATCACTTAAAGTCCCAGAGAGACTCTGCCCTGCATACGTCGGCCTCCCCACTGTGCTCTCTCAGTCGACCACCTTTCTCGGGTACCTGCCCACTCCTTTCAATGAATTGTAGAAAATATCCCACCCGCACCCTGCCGAAGCTTGCCTGGCAGAGAAGTGCTCTGAGGTCTAACTTTTCCGTCTCCCGCTATCCTCACTGAATCTCTCTCAGGGTTGGGGTTTTTTCCCTCATCATGGAAAAAATATCCCATTTGTTCTCAGTGCCTCCTCAATGAACCTGAGAAACAGTACAGTACTAAAGATGAAGATAAAAACTCCGGACCTAACTCCAGCCTAGGGGTACAAAGGCCAGATCCCCCGCCCCAACCATGCGAGGTCCCCGAGGGCGCCCCCTTTTGACGTCACGGTACCCACCATGGTGCTGGCGCCGCGGGCAGCGGGCCGGACCGGGAAGACAGCAGGGTGCTGCGAGCAGGTCTGGGGAAACCGAAGCGCGAGCCCGCGCGTGGGGCGAGGCGGGACCGCGCAGGCGCAGCGGGAAGCGACGCAGAAAGCTCCAAGCGCTGACGGGCAAAGCGCGGCCGACTTGCGGCTGGGGAGCGCAAGCTGGGTAGAGTAGAGGGGAGGAGGAAGCCGGGAAAGGGGCGGGGTTTCCTTCATTCCGACTTCCTCCCTGGCCGGCCGGCTCCCATTGCGCAGGCGCGGACCCTAGCCTGGGCTGCCAGACGGGTGGCGGGACTCAGCGCCTGAGCTCAAAGGATTTTGTTCTTTTCCAGAATCCTGCCATCTACAGCGTGATGTGTTTGTGCCCTACACACACTTCCTATCGAGAATTGTGGGGAGTTTGTTAAGATTATGAAGTGTGCACTTTTCTATATTTGTTAAAGTAAAAACATAAAATTTAAAAAATAAAATTAAAAAATGTTTTGAATCTTAAATTCAGCTGATAAAAAGAAAAAAAGGCCGAGGGCCGTGGCTCAAGCCTTTAATCCCAGCACTCTGGGAGGCCTAGGTGGGTGGATTGTGTGAGGTCAGGAGTTCGAGACCAGTCTAGCCAACATGGTGAAACCCCATCTTCACTAAAAATACAAAAAAAATTAGGCGTGGTCGCAGGCTCCTGTAATACCAGCTACTCGGGAGGCTGAGGGAAGAGAATCGCTTGAACCTGGGAGGCGGAGGTTGCAGTGAACCGAGATCGCGCCACTGCACTGCAGCCTGGGCGACAGAGCAAGACTCCGTCTCAAAAAAAAAAAAAAAAAAAAAATGACCGGGAGCAGTGGCTCACACCTGTAATCCCAGCACTTTGGGCGGCCAAGGCAAGTGGATCGCCTGAGGTCAGGAGTTCGAGACCAGCCTGGTCAACATGGCGAAATTCTGTCTCTACTAAAAACCCAAAAATTAGCCGGGTGTGGTGGCACGCGCCTGTAAATCCAGGAGGCATAGGTTGCAGTGAGTGGAGATCTTGCCATTGCACTCCAGCCTGGGCAACAAGAGCAAAACTCCATCCCAAAAAACAAAAAATGTTGAGGCCTGTAAATCCCAGCATTTGGGGAGGCTGAGGCAGGAGGATCATTTGAACCCAAGAGTTACAGTGAGCTACAATCTCCCCACTGCATTCCAGCCTGGGTGACAGAGCGAGACTCTCTCTAGAAAAAAGAAAATTATAAACAAACAACGTTGAGCAGTCCCAGAGATAAGGAGGAGCTGGAGCACAAATTTTGATTTTATCAAAGGTTACCAATAAATACATTTCTCCAAAGGAGCCAACCTCAATCTCCGCATTTCTTACACACTTTTGCCAAGACTGTCCTGTAAAGGACTGTGTAAAACTAAAGAGACTGTGGCTCACAGATACAAATAACCCAGTCTAACATTTCACTGTTAAATGTTTCAAACACAAACAGACAGAAATGCAGTTACATATTATTCTAACTCATATCCCCCAGGTTTTTATAAATATGTATTAGGACACAGGTAAAAGAAAAAAATGTTTTTGAGATGGAGTCTCGCTCTATCACCAGGCTGGAGTGTGGTGCCACGATCTCAGCTCACTGCAACCTCCACGTCCCGGGTTCAAGCGATTCCTCTGCCTCACCCTCCTGAGTAGCTGGGACTACAGGCACGCATCACCGTCCTCAGCTAATTTTTGTATTTTTAGTAGAGACGGGGTTTCACCATGTTGGGCAGGATGGTCTCAATCTCTTGACCTCATGATCCGCCCGCCTCGGCCTCCCAAAGTGCTGGGATTACAGGCGTGAGCCACTGTGCCCAGCTGGTAAAAATATTTTTTCATGGACTGAGACTTCATAAAACTTGTATTTGTCATCTTGCATAGACATACTTATTTGTCAAGAGTTTGTTATAGAAATATTTTCTGGGGCTGGGCACGGTGGCTCACGCCTATAATTCCAGCACTTTGGGAGGCTGAGGTGGGTGGATCACCTGAGGTCAGGAGTTCAGAACAGCCTGGTCAACATGGTGAAATCCCGTCTCTACTAAAAACACAAACATTAGCCGGGCATGGTGGTGAGCGCCTGTAATCCCAGCTACTCATGAGGCTGAGGCAGGAGAATCGCTTGAATCTGGGAGGCAAAGTTTGCAGTGAGCCGAGATCGTGCCATTGCACTCCAGCTTGGGCGACAAGAGCGAAACTGTTTCCAAAAAAAAAAAAAAAGAAAAGAAATATTTTCTCCATGTAATGGATGTAAACAATGAACTCTGTGAGTGCATAGATGCTGAATCTCCTGGACCTTACCTATAAGTGACATCAGGACATCAAGCAGGATTTGTCCCTCCACCCCCAGTTGAGTCCTAAACTCCAAAACCAGCTTGTAACTGATTAAAAGCAGTTATAGTTTGCCATCTGTTCCATCTGTGCTAAAGGTGTCTGAGGATCAAAAATTATGTGGCTGATTGAAACAATGAGTTCATGGGCCGGGCACGGTGGCTCACGCCTGTAATCCCAGCACTTTGGGAGGCCGAGGCGGGCGGATCACGAGGTCAGGAGATCGAGACCATCCTGGCTAACACAGTGAAACCCCGTCTCTACTAAAACAATACAAAAAATTAGCCGGGCGTGGTGGGGGGCACCTGCAGTCCCAGCTACTCGGGAGGCTGAGGCAGGAGAATGGCGTGAACCCAGGAGGCAGAGCTTGCAGTAAGCTGAGATTGTGCCACTGCACTCCAGCCTGGGTGACAGGGCGAGACTGTCTCTCAAAACACACACACACACACACACACACACACACACACACACACACACACAAAATGAGTTCATGAAAATTCAAATACTTTACCCTTACCAATTTAATCATTCACAGTGACCTCACAATCAGAGAACACATGCTCTCTCCATGAACTCTCCCCTTCAAGGTACATTCACAGCCTAAATACCAGAAGTAATTTTCTTTACGAACAAATTTACTGATTGACAAATAAGCATCCACACAGGAAGAAGAATGTTAGGGTGGCTGGAAATAACAGACATTCAAATACATCACACGGTTTAAAGAGGGGCCTAGTTTTCCTGAGTCCATTCCAAAGTCAGAAACAGGATGTGAGGGAGTGTGATAGGTGGTGCATGAGACTCCTTCTCCAGAATTTCCAAGGGATGGTAACTTAGATTCAGGTCTGGTCAAGAATAATAATGATGTTTGAAGATGAGGGGAATGAAATACATGTAGAGGCATCCTAGGATGCTTCAGTTCTAAAAAGAATTAATCTACTTCTTCAATTGTGGGGCCTGTGGCAGGCCTTCCAGGCACATACCCTGTTCCGCAGGCAGGCCCAGTGCATCCTCCTTGGTAGAGTTTTGTGATGATAGGGTTACACATCTGCTCCAATTCCTTTCTCTTATGATCAAACTCATCTTTCTCTGCCAGTTGATTGACCTCCAGCCACGAAAGGAGCTCGTTGCATTTATCCAATATTTTATTTTTATCAGACTCACTAATCTTGCCCTTCAAACCTTCATCACTCACAACACTCTTCATGTTAAAAGCATAGGATTCTAAGGCATTCTTTGCAGCAATTTTCTCCCTCTGGACCTCATCTTCAGCTTTATATTTCTCAGCATCCAGAACCATGCGCTCAATCTCCTCCTTGCTCAGGCGGCCCTTGTCATTGGTGATGGTGATCTTGTTCACCTTGCCGGTGCTCTTGTCCATGGCTGTGACATTGAGAATACCATTGGCATCAATGTCAAACGTCACCTCGATCTGAGGAACTCCCCTGGGTGCTGGAGGGATTCCAGTCAGGTCAAACCGCCCCAGCAGGTTGTTGTCCTTTGTCATGGCCCTCTCGCCCTCATACACCTGGATCAGCACCCCGGGTTGGTTGTCAGAGTAGGTGGTGAAAATCTGTGTCTGCTTGGTGGGGATGGTGGAGTTGCGCTTTATCAGGGCAGTCATCACGCCCCCAGCCGTCTCCAGCCCCAGGGACAGGGGAGCCACGTCCAGCAGCAGCAGGTCCTGTACCTTCTCAGACTTGTCCCCCATCAGGATGGCTGCTTGTACCGCAGCCCCATATGCTACGGCCTCATCAGGGTTGATGCTCTTGTTGAGATCACGTCCATTGAAGTAGTCCTGAAGCAGCCGCTGCACCTTGGGGATGCGGGTGGAGCCCCCTACTAAAACAATGTCATGGATTTTAGCCTTATCCATCTTGGCATCCCGAAGCGCTTTTTCTACAGGCTCCAGGGTACCCCTAAACAGGTCTGCACACAACTCTTCAAATCGAGCTCTGGTGATGGATGTATAGAAGTCAATGCCTTCATAAAGTGAATCAATTTCTAGGTTGGCCTGGGTGCTGGACGACAGGGTCCTCTTGGCCCTCTCGCAGGCGGTGCGCAGCCGCCTCACGGCTCGCTTGTTCTGGCTGATGTCCTTTTTGTGTTTCCTCTTGAACTCCTCCACGAAGTGGCTCACAAGCCTGTTGTCAAAGTCCTCCCCACCCAGGTGAGTGTCCCCAGCAGTGGCCTTTACCTCAAAAATCCCATCATCTATGGTCAGAATTGACACATCAAATGTGCCTCCACCCAGATCAAAAATCAGGACATGTCGTTCTCCTTGACCTCCTTTATCTAAACCATAGGCAATGGCAGCAGCCGTGGGCTCATTGATGATTCTTAGCACATTAAGTCCAGCAATCACACCTGCATCCTTAGTAGCCTGACGTTGAGAGTCATTGAAATAGGCTGGCACGGTAATCACTGCATTGGTGACAGGGTGGCCCAAAAAGGCCTCAGCAGTCTCCTTCAACTTAGTCAATACCATCGAAGAGATTTCCTCAGGGTAGAAAGCTTTATTCTCCCCTTTGTAGGACACAAGGACTTTGGGCTTGCCTCCTTCATTAATCACTTGAAAAGGCCAAAGTTTCATATCTGCTTGTACAACAGGATCATTAAATTTCCTGCCGATCAGACGTTTAGCATCAAAAACAGTGTTCTGGGGATTCATTGCTACCTGGTTCTTGGCCGCATCCCCAATGAGCCGCTCGGTGTCTGTGAAGGCCACGTAGCTGGGGGTGGTGCGGTTGCCCTGGTCGTTGGCGATGATCTCCACCTTGCCGTGCTGGAACACCCCCACACAGGAGTAGGTGGTGCCCAGGTCGATGCCTATGGCGATTCCCTTGGCAGTAGCCATGGTTCTCTGAGGCCTATGGAGAAAGAATAAGATACTGTTTTGGGAGAGTGCTTTTCAATGTTATTTATTTTTTTGAGACAGGGTCTTCCTCTGTCACCCAGGTTGGAGTGCAGAGGCGCAGTCATAGCTCACTGCAGCTTTGATCTCCTAGGCTCCAGCAATCTTCCTGCCTTAGCCTCCAGAATAACTGGAGACAACATGCCCGGCTAATTTTTTTTTTTTTTGAGACGGAGTCTTGCTTTGGACTGCAGTGGTGTGATCTAGGCTCACTGCAACCTCCACCTCCTGAGTTCAAGCGATTCTCCTGTCTCAGCCTCCCGAGTGGCTGGGATTATGAGGGCACCACCACGCCCAGCTAATTTTTGTATTTTTAGTAGAGATGGGGTTTCACGGTTTCACTATGTTGGCCAGGCTGGTCTCAAACTCCTGACCTCAGGTGATCCGCCCGCCTCGGCCTCCCAAAGTGCTGGGATTACATACGTGAGCCACCGTGACCAGCTCTCTGCCTGGCTAATGTTTTAATTTTGTGTACAGATGGGGTCTCCTTATGTTGCTCAGGCTGGTCTCAAACTCCTTCAGGGCTCAAACGATCCTTCAGCCCCAGCCTCCCCAAGTACTGGGATTACAGGAGTGAACATCTCGCCCAGCCTATTTTTTATTTTTTATTGTGGTAAAATACATACAAATTGTACCATCTTAACCATTTTTAAGTGTAGAGTTTGGTAGTGAGTTCAATCACAGCGGTGTTCAACCAATTTCCAGAATTCTGTTCATCTCGCAAAACTGAAACTGTATACTCATTAAGTAACTCCCGTTTTCCCCTCCCTTTATCGCCTGGTAACAACCATTTTTTTTTCTCATTTTTTAGAGACAGGGTCTCGTTTTGTCACGCAGGCTGCACTGCAGTGGTGTAATCATGGCTCACTGCAGTCTTGACCTCCCAGGCTCATAGGATCCTTTTGTCTCAGCCTCCCAAGTAGCTTGGACCACAGGTGAATGCCACCACACCCAGCTAATTTTTTATTTTTTTGTAGAGACCAGGTCTCCCTGTTGCCCAAGCTAGTTTCTCACTCCTGAGCTCAAGGAAACCTCCTCCCACCTCCAAGTCACCAAGTGTTAGGATTATAGGCTTGAGCCAAGGCGCCCGACCTCTTTTTTCTATCTCTATGAATTTGACTACTCTTGTAACTTCATATAAGTGGAATTATACAGTATTTATCCTTTTGTGACTTTGCTTATGTCACTTAGCTTATGTGCACAGGTTTCATCCATGTTGTAACATGTCACAATTTCCTTCCTAAGGCTGAGTAATATTCATATTTATATACCACTGTTTTTGATTTTGTTTTGAGACAGAGTCTCACTCTGTTACCCAGGCTGGAGTGCAGTGGCATGATCTTGGCTCACTGCAACCTCCACCTCCTGGGTTCAAGCTAATTCTCCAGCCTCAGCCTCCCGAGGAGCTGGGACTACAGGCGTGCACTGCCACGCCCAGATAATTTTTGTATTTTTAGTAAAAACAGAGTTTCACCATGTTGACCAGGATGGTCTCAAACTCCTAACCTTAAGTGATCCGCCCGCCTCGGTCTCCCTAAGTTCTGGGATGGCAGGCATGAGCCACCACCGCACCCGGCCTATATACATTTTGCTTATCTATCTCTCGATGGATACAGATTACAGAATTTACAGAATAATGTTGCTATGAGCAAGCCTATACAAATACATGGAGACGCTACTGTCATGGCAGACTGCTTTTTGGACAGGGTAGACAAAAGTATTCTCAGCTACTCAAAGAAGTTGGGAAGCAAGTAGCTGTATATTGTTTTCAATTTCCCAAGTGACCTAATTCTACTGTCCTGTTCCTATATATTTTACTGTGGGATTCTGTCTCTTTATGACCCAAGAGTAGTGTACATTCTGGTCTCTTCAAGAGACATCAGCCTCCACACTTGAGTTCTGCTGCCTTCCTGGGATAATATTCTCTATTAGGGGTTCACCGGCAGTAAATTCCAGTCAGGCTGAAGATGACTGCTAGAAAACCACAAGCCTTCCAGTTTTCTCAAACGACATGGCACTCCAGACAGTATCTGTATCCTTCTCCTAAATAAAACTCCTGTTTTCTGGAGCCAATAACTGATCAATAAAGGGTTTAAGGGCGGGGGGCGGTGGCTCACGCCTGTAATCCCAGCACTTTGAGAGGCCGAGGCGGGCGGATCACGGGGTCAGGAGAACGAGACCATCCTGGCTACCATCCTGGCTAACACGGTGAAACCTCGTCTCTACTAAAAAATAGAAAAAATTAGCTGGGCGTGGTGGCGGGCGCCAGTAGTTCCAGCTACTCGGATGGCTGAGGCAGGAGAATAGCTTGAACCCGGGAGGTGGAGCAATTAGCCGGGCGCGGTGGCGGGCGCCTGCAGTCCCTGCTACTCGGAAGGCTGAGGCAGGAGAATGGCCTGAACTCGGGAGGCAGAGCTTGCAGTGAGCCAAGATCGTGCCACTGCACTCCACCCTGGGCGACAGAGCGAGACTCCGTCTCAAAAAAAAAAAAAAATTAAAAATAAATAAATAAAAATAAAATAAAGGGTTTAGTGTCTATCCCTCTCCACACCGCAGATTCCTAGGCCGCACTCCCTTTCCCCCGCTTCCCAGTTACCCCGCCTCCCCCTTACCCCGCCTTCCCCGCCTCCCCATTTCCCCGACAGGCCGCACTCCCTTCCCCCGCCTCCCCCATTCTGGCTGCTCCGACCAATCAATCTGAAGCCATCTTAGCTTTCCCCAAGTGCTCCTCCTACCCGGATCAGCCAACGCCCACATACCTCAGGCTTAAACCAACTAGGGAACTTTCCAGTACTTTCCCAAACAAGGACCTACTGAGCCTTTCAGGTTCACAATCAATCAGATCCCTACTGGCTCACCTAGTCTCCCGACGCCTTCGCTTCAGTTTGGAAACGTCCAGATTACGCAGCCCCAGCGAGTAGGTGGGGGCTCCCTCAATATCAAACTGCACAACCGGGGTCCCCCCACCCCCCACCCCGTCCCTCCCTGCAAATTTGAGACGGCTCCAACTCAGTAATCTTTTTCCAAACTGGCCCATGAGGTCAGAGACAGTATCTCCATTGTAACGTGGCCGGGCGGTGTCAACACAAACGCCCCCACCCTCCCCTGGACGCGCGTAACCCGCTCCCCGCACCAGCCCCCTGCCCACAACTGCGCAGGCCCAGCAAGCCCCCACAATTAAAAGCCCAGCGCCGACCCTTCCTGTCAATTAGGCGCTGAAGCGCAGGCGGTCAGCATCGCCATGGAGACCAACACCCTTCCCACCGCCACTCCCCCTTCCTCTCAGGGTCCCTGTCCCCTCCAGTGAATCCCAGAAGACTCTGGAGAGTTCTGAGCAGGGGGCGGCACTCTGGCCTCTGATTGGTCCAAGGAAGGCTGGGGGGCAGGACGGGAGGCGAAACCCCTGGAATATTCCCGACCTGGCAGCCTCATCGAGCTCGGTGATTGGCTCAGAAGGGAAAAGGCGGGTCTCCGTGACGACTTATAAAAGCCCAGGGGCAAGCGGTCCGGATAACGGCTAGCCTGAGGAGCTGCTGCGACAGTCCACTACCTTTTTCGAGAGTGACTCCCGTTGTCCCAAGGCTTCCCAGAGCGAACCTGTGCGGCTGCAGGCACCGGCGCGTCGAGTTTCCGGCGTCCGGAAGGACCGAGCTCTTCTCGCGGATCCAGTGTTCCGTTTCCAGCCCCCAATCTCAGAGCCGAGCCGACAGAGAGCAGGGAACCGGCATGGCCAAAGCCGCGGCGATCGGCATCGACCTGGGCACCACCTACTCCTGCGTGGGGGTGTTCCAACACGGCAAGGTGGAGATCATCGCCAACGACCAGGGCAACCGCACCACCCCCAGCTACGTGGCCTTCACGGACACCGAGCGGCTCATCGGGGATGCGGCCAAGAACCAGGTGGCGCTGAACCCGCAGAACACCGTGTTTGACGCGAAGCGGCTGATCGGCCGCAAGTTCGGCGACCCGGTGGTGCAGTCGGACATGAAGCACTGGCCTTTCCAGGTGATCAACGACGGAGACAAGCCCAAGGTGCAGGTGAGCTACAAGGGGGAGACCAAGGCATTCTACCCCGAGGAGATCTCGTCCATGGTGCTGACCAAGATGAAGGAGATCGCCGAGGCGTACCTGGGCTACCCGGTGACCAACGCGGTGATCACCGTGCCGGCCTACTTCAACGACTCGCAGCGCCAGGCCACCAAGGATGCGGGTGTGATCGCGGGGCTCAACGTGCTGCGGATCATCAACGAGCCCACGGCCGCCGCCATCGCCTACGGCCTGGACAGAACGGGCAAGGGGGAGCGCAACGTGCTCATCTTTGACCTGGGCGGGGGCACCTTCGACGTGTCCATCCTGACGATCGACGACGGCATCTTCGAGGTGAAGGCCACGGCCGGGGACACCCACCTGGGTGGGGAGGACTTTGACAACAGGCTGGTGAACCACTTCGTGGAGGAGTTCAAGAGAAAACACAAGAAGGACATCAGCCAGAACAAGCGAGCCGTGAGGCGGCTGCGCACCGCCTGCGAGAGGGCCAAGAGGACCCTGTCGTCCAGCACCCAGGCCAGCCTGGAGATCGACTCCCTGTTTGAGGGCATCGACTTCTACACGTCCATCACCAGGGCGAGGTTCGAGGAGCTGTGCTCCGACCTGTTCCGAAGCACCCTGGAGCCCGTGGAGAAGGCTCTGCGCGACGCCAAGCTGGACAAGGCCCAGATTCACGACCTGGTCCTGGTCGGGGGCTCCACCCGCATCCCCAAGGTGCAGAAGCTGCTGCAGGACTTCTTCAACGGGCGCGACCTGAACAAGAGCATCAACCCCGACGAGGCTGTGGCCTACGGGGCGGCGGTGCAGGCGGCCATCCTGATGGGGGACAAGTCCGAGAACGTGCAGGACCTGCTGCTGCTGGACGTGGCTCCCCTGTCGCTGGGGCTGGAGACGGCCGGAGGCGTGATGACTGCCCTGATCAAGCGCAACTCCACCATCCCCACCAAGCAGACGCAGATCTTCACCACCTACTCCGACAACCAACCCGGGGTGCTGATCCAGGTGTACGAGGGCGAGAGGGCCATGACGAAAGACAACAATCTGTTGGGGCGCTTCGAGCTGAGCGGCATCCCTCCGGCCCCCAGGGGCGTGCCCCAGATCGAGGTGACCTTCGACATCGATGCCAACGGCATCCTGAACGTCACGGCCACGGACAAGAGCACCGGCAAGGCCAACAAGATCACCATCACCAACGACAAGGGCCGCCTGAGCAAGGAGGAGATCGAGCGCATGGTGCAGGAGGCGGAGAAGTACAAAGCGGAGGACGAGGTGCAGCGCGAGAGGGTGTCAGCCAAGAACGCCCTGGAGTCCTACGCCTTCAACATGAAGAGCGCCGTGGAGGATGAGGGGCTCAAGGGCAAGATCAGCGAGGCCGACAAGAAGAAGGTGCTGGACAAGTGTCAAGAGGTCATCTCGTGGCTGGACGCCAACACCTTGGCCGAGAAGGACGAGTTTGAGCACAAGAGGAAGGAGCTGGAGCAGGTGTGTAACCCCATCATCAGCGGACTGTACCAGGGTGCCGGTGGTCCCGGGCCTGGGGGCTTCGGGGCTCAGGGTCCCAAGGGAGGGTCTGGGTCAGGCCCCACCATTGAGGAGGTAGATTAGGGGCCTTTCCAAGATTGCTGTTTTTGTTTTGGAGCTTCAAGACTTTGCATTTCCTAGTATTTCTGTTTGTCAGTTCTCAATTTCCTGTGTTTGCAATGTTGAAATTTTTTGGTGAAGTACTGAACTTGCTTTTTTTCCGGTTTCTACATGCAGAGATGAATTTATACTGCCATCTTACGACTATTTCTTCTTTTTAATACACTTAACTCAGGCCATTTTTTAAGTTGGTTACTTCAAAGTAAATAAACTTTAAAATTCAAGTGATGCCTTTTATTCCTTTATTTGGGGGTCAGTAGGGTCTGCATAGGTTGTTTTTCCCATAGCGTCTAAAATGGAATGGCATTTTTGCTTCCAGTAAGGGCAGATTTTGCAGAGGTGTGACTATTGTAATGTGATCCATTTGTGTTAGACAAATGGTATCCTCCAGTAAAGCTTCTTGATTCTGGCCAGGAGTGGTGGCTCAAGCCTGTAATCCCAGCACTTTGGGAGGCTGAGGTGGGCGGATCACTTGAGGTCAGGAGTTCCAGACCAACCTGGCCAATGTGGTGAAACCCTGTCTCTACTAAAAACACAAAAATTAGCTGGGCGTGGTGGTGCGTGCCTGTAGTCCCAGGGAGGCTGAGGCAGGAGAATCGTGTGAACCCAGGAAGCAGTGGTAGCAGTGAGCCGAGATCACGCCATTGCACTCTAGCCTGGGCATCACAGCAAGACTCCGTCTCACACACACACACAAAAAAGTAAAGTTTGTTGATGCTGATTGGGTTTAGCCTGAGGGTACAGAAAAAGTTTAACACCTGGGAGGGTAGCCTTAAAGTGATGTTTGTGTAAGATTGGTCTCAAAAGAGGTGGGAGGGGGGCGGGGATGTTTCTGCAAAAGTGGTCAAAAAGAATGCAGTTAGATGGGAGGCCAGCGCTCCTACCTCCTGTAGGTACACCTGATATGCTCATGGACTTGATACTTAATCTAGATTCAACATGGAATGGAAGGAGTGTCCTAAATTTCAAAGTGAAAAAACGGGTACATTCACTGGCTTGCTGAGTTATACACATGTGCTTTAGTTGTCATCTTTTAAAATGGAAGGGTTTGGCTCGATGCCTCTCTCATGACTGAAAGCATACTGAAATAGAAATGTCACATTCTTAGCAGTTATCACCTACAATTTAAGTACGCCAGTGAGCACCCGGGCCAGGAAGACCTACAGACTTCACTCCCATGCACTTTCCCTTGGAGATGCTTCATGCCCCAGCCGCTAGCATCCTAGAAGTAATTCCCTCCTCCTTGGAAAACGCCCACTACAATCCTTAAAGCTCCCGGAGTGAGCCCTTTTAAAAATGAATTGTATCTGGCCGGGCGTGCTGGCTCATGCCTGTAATCCCAGCACTTTGGGAGGCTGAGGCAGGCGGATCACCTGAGGTCAGGAGTTCGAGACCAGCCTGGCCAACATGGTGAGGACCCCCCCCACCACCCACCTCCTGCACTAAAAGTACAAAAATCAGCCAGGCGCGATGGTGTGCGCCTGTAATCCCAGCTATTCGGGAGGCTGAGGCAGGCGAATCGTTTGAACTCAAAGGCAGAGGTTTCAGTGAGCCGAGATTGCGCCACTGCACTCCAGCCTAGGTGACAGAGCGAGACTCCATCTCAAAAAATAAAAATTGTGTCGGCCAGGCGCAGTGGCTCATGCCTGTAATCCCAGCACTTTGGGAGGCTGAGGTGGGTGGATCACCTGAGGTCAGGAGTTCAAGACCAGCCTGGCCAACAGGGTGAAACCCCATCTCTACTAAAAATACAAAAAATTAGCTGGGCGTGGTGGCGGGCACCTATAATCCCAGCAACTTGGGAGGCTGAGGCAGAAGAATCGGTTGAACCCAGGAGGTGGATGTTGCAGTGAGCCAAGATCGTGCCATTGCACTCCAGCCTGAACAATGAGTGAAATTCTGTCTCAGTGAATAAATAAATAAATAGTATCTAAGGGCGATGAAAATGTTTTGGAACCAGAGTTGACGGTTGCATAACATTGTAAAGGTCAAGGCTGCAGTGAGCCATGACTGTACCACTGCACTCCAGCCTGAGCAACAGAGTGAGACCCTGTCTCTAAAAAAAAAAAAAAGAAAAAAAAATCAATTGTATCAATATTACATTAAAGCACTTTATGAGCTTATGTGTACCTCAAAGCCCATCAAACCATTCACTAAATACTTGTTAATGAAGAAAATCCAGTGTTATGGGAAATGATACATAAAGGTAGACCTTGCTTTGGAAGTTTGAAAATAGAAAATAAATATGAAATGCTTAGGTTTCCAGGCCAGTCTACAGAGGAACATTTATCTCTTATGGTAGTTAAACTGTAGTACTGTGGACTCTGGCCACAATGTAAATCAATCTTCATGGGAATATGCCTTTGCTATAGGACCTCCTCTCCCCTTCAGAGCTGCAGTAGCATTTGTGACTCTGATCTGCAGACCCTGTAGTGACTCTAAACCAGGAGCAACTACCACTACTGTGGCATGGAGTGGGGAAAAAGGTAATTGGAAAAGGGTGGAGATGGGGAAGGACCTACCAAATGCCTTTGTTGACACAGTAGAGAAGTCATCAGACATAACATTGAATGGAGGCAATAAGAGAGTTCCTATGGCCCTATCAAGCTTATTAGTAGGTGTTTTAACAAGAAATATGTAAAAATTATTACTTGTCGGCCGGGCGTGGTGGCTCATGCCTGTAATCCCAGCACTCTGGGAGGCCGAGGCGGGTGGCTCACTAGGTCAGGAGTTCAAGACAAGCCTGGCCAAGATGGTGAAACCCCACCTCTACTAAAAATACAAAAATTAGCTAGGCGTGGTGGTGGGCGCCTGTAATCCCAGCTACTCAGGAGGCTGAGGCAGGAGACTCACTTGAACCCGGGAGGTGGAGGTTGCAGTGAGCCGAGATCGTGCCACTGCACTGCAGCCTGGGCGACAGAGCAAGACTCCGTCTCCAAAAAAAAAAAAAAAAAAAAAAAATTGTTTGCCTGCATACCCTAGCACAGAGTACTGTACCTTGAAATATTCACTTTGTAACCTCAAGAAAAGACGTTGAGGGAGCTGTGGAATTAGCAAAGAGAATGCAGTGCCACCCATAAACGGAGTGATGTTTTGAGGAGCAGAGGAACTTTGAGGGAGGAAAGTGCAACAGGAAAAATAACTGCAGGTGTGGAAAAACAAATATAAATATCTTCTCAATTCCAATCACCTCCTACCTTCCTATACCAGGCCTCAGAAGGCAGCAGGCTATGATAATAAATTTGATTTTATATGGCTTTGAACCCAGGATTTTATTTTATAACATATACACTTACTGTTATTCCTGGTCTTCAAGAGTTCTTGTCATCCTCAAAAAGACAAAAAAGGTACCAAAACAAAAAATTAACTACAGTATTTTATAGATGTGAGAGAAGTGGGCAGAAATAATACGGCTTTAGGCTAAAAAAGGAAATGAGGTTATTTCTTGGGGGAGCCAATATTGGCGATTTCTGAGGGAGCGATCCTTACGTGAATATAAAAAATTGTGACAGCCACCATTCCTCCTGCTAACTGATCTAAATCCATCCCCTTGGGAAACGCCCCTGAGGTATCTATCAGGTGTAGTTCAGCCAGAGGGAGTAAACCCACCGGGCCCTCGTCCTTTCCTAGCACCACCATTTAAAGGGATGTTTGAGGGGTAGGGCAGCGGAGCATTCCAGACACGGAGTTAAACCCGCCCCACCCCGCTGGCCCACGTCCAGCCCGATCAAGAATTGGAGGAGAGAGGAGCAGGGCGTGGTGGCGCGGGCCTGGAGTCCCAGCTACCCGGGAGGCTGGGGCGGGAGGATCGCTTGAGGCTGCAGTGAGCCGTGATTGCGCCACTGCACTCCAGTCTGGGCGACAAAGCGAGACCCTGCCTCAAAAAAAAGTGAAAAAAAAAAAAAATTAGAAGGGAGGGCACCAGAGGAGGGCTGGAGCAGGTTCACAGGCTGGGACTACGGAGGAGCCCAGCAACCGAGAATCACTCCTGAGGGTCTAATTTTCTTACTCTCCTGATGCCTCACGGGGCGAGGGACTAGAACGGGGCGCTGAGCTGGCTGTAGGCAAAAGCCAACCGACTCCATCCCCTACTCTCCCATCAGTCGCGCGTCCCCGCGCAGACGGGTGCGCGCTGGCCGTGGGCGGTGGGGACCTTCTCTTCTCGCCTCTGGCCACCCAATGCATCTGATTTAGTTGTATGAAAGTTACAAAATTCTCCAATATTTTCGTCTTGTAAATCACCTAGTATGAGAGAAACTCGAAAGGTCCTTTCTTTCCTCCTTTAATCCCTTTTTGGAAAAAAAAAAACATCAGAAAACGCAGGAGTCGGATAGGCAGCCCCGAAGCCAGCCCCGCCCTCAGGCCCCAGCGGCCCCGCCTTTTCTCCCCCCGCCCCCCCCCCGCACTCCCCACCTTTCCTCCCCTTTGGCTGAGGCTTTTTCCCCCGTCGCTGGCTCTGCCCGAAGTTTCTAGAGTTTTCTGACCTTCAAGGCGAGAACTGCTGTGTCATTCTTAGGGACACTCCCCAACAAACTGCGCCACCCGAGTCTCTCCCTCCTCTCGCCAGCCGGCCCTAAAACATCAAGGTTAGTCAGGACTCTATATTTAACGTCCGGAAGATTCTGTGAACTATATGCCAACCTTGCCCTAGTAACGGGGCTCCCCCCTCCTTTCCCCTCTTTCTGCTTGAGCAATCTGTTCTATCGGAAAGGAGAGGCAGGGCTGGGAGAGCTGGAAGGTGGGGAAGGCAAGAGCTTGTAGGGGCCATGGTCTTGAGTCCGAAGAGCAGAGCAGCAGCCAGGACGGGAGTCCCTGGCTGATCACATACCCGTGGTGCCCTTAATGCTCGCAGAGGCCAACACTGTATTCATTTGTTTTCCTCTTTAGAGAATAAAACAATTAGGTCTAACCACAAAATTAAAAGCAAACAAAACCCAGTTAGGTTGATGAGCCAATGTGGGAAGGAGTACAAAATGAGTGTCAGAACCCGTGGGTCCAATCACCGGTTCTGTAACCTGTCATCTGGGTAACCAGATCAAGCCACTGAACTTCTTTGATCCTTGGTGCTGTCTTTGAAAATGAAAAGGTTTGACTGAATGGCCTGTGCCCGCAGATCTTAGGACAGTTTTTACATTAAGCTGAAAGCAGCTGTAGTCCTAATAATGGTCCCCAACTTTTAAACACCTAAATAAGAATGACTACGAGTCATATCCGAGAGTATGGGATCCCCAATAAAAGGAGGGAGAAGATCATATTCTCTTTGATCATGTAGGGAAAAAAAATTTTTTTATTCGAGACAGGATCTCTGTCTCCCAGGCTGGAATGCAGTGGCGTGATCATAGCTCACTGCAGCCTTGACCTCTTGTGCTCAAGCGATCCTCCTGCCTCAGCCTCCCAAGTAGCTGGGACTACAGGCACCTGCCACCACGCCCAGCTAACTTGTAAAGTTTTTAGTAGAGATGGTGTCCCACTATGTTGCCCAGGCTGATCTTGGACTTCTGAGTTCAAGTGCCTGCCTTGGCTTCCTAAAGCACTGGGATTACCGACCTGAGTCACCACACGCAGTTCAGTTATTGTTAATTATGTTTTAGAGATGAACACGTCGAAACTTGTGTTATTTAGTCAATGTACAAGTACTTCCTTGTTGAAAAGAAAAACAGCCTCACCAAAGAAGTAGAGCGCAGATGCAAATCCAGGATTTTCCCTTCCCAGATTTTTTCTTTCCATGCTGCTAGAAATGGCCAGGGTTCTCTTTGTCATTGAAGCATTTGTCATTCATTCAGTTAAGAATGCCTGCCTCTAGATTTCATATCAATTAACTCTTTTGCTTTCATTTAAGTTCATTTGGATAAACTTAAAATTATAACAGCTTTTTTTTTTAATTTATTATTTTTTTGAGACAGAGTCTTGCTCTGTCACCCAGACTGGAGTGTAGTGGTGCGATCTCAGCTCACTGCAACCTCCACCTCCCAGGTTCAAGTGATTCTCCTGCCTCAGCTCCTGAGTAGCTGGGATTACAGATGTGCACCACCACGTCCGGCTAATTTTTGTGTTTTTAGGAGAGAAGGGGTTTTGCCATGTTTGCCGGGCTGGTCTTGAACTCCTGATCTCAGGTGATCCACCCATCTCGGCCTCCCAAAGTGCTGGGATTACATGCATGAGCCATCGCGCCCGGCCTATACCATCTTTTAAAATGAACAAAATTAAGAAAACTACTGTTTGAGGAACTATAAAAAGGAGAGGGAGAAGGAAGGAAAAGACCCTGCAGCGTCAGCCTGAAGAAGGCTGTCTTACCCCACACTGCTGTAGCAATTATGTTCTTGGCACTCCCTCTTCAGTTCTCTTGTCCCTTTGAAAGCATCTAACCTGGCTTTCACTTTGGGGACTCTGAGCTCTGATCCTTCCAAACACAGAATCCAATAAAAACCTAATTCTGAAATTAATCACATTAAAGTTCTGAAAAATCTCCTGGGGTTCTTATATATTCACCTTAGACAGCAATTAAACTTGTGACTGGATTTCTGCCTTGGGAAGCATCCAGTCTGAAAGGAAAGAAAAGGCCGGCGTGGTGCTTCATGCCTGTAATTCCAGCACTTTGGGCGGC
Organism: Homo sapiens; assembly: GCF_000001405.40. Lineage (NCBI taxonomy): Eukaryota > Metazoa > Chordata > Mammalia > Primates > Hominidae > Homo > Homo sapiens. The sequence goes on from NT_113891.3 coordinate 3,301,574, forward strand.
CCAGACGGGCGGATCACTTGAGGTCAGGAGTTCGAGACCAGACTGGCCAACATGACGAAACCCCCTCTCTACTAAAAATACAAAAATTAGCCAGGCGTGGTGGTGTGCACCTGTAATCCCAGCCACTCAGGAGGCTGAGGCAGGAGAATCGCTTGAACCTGGGAGGTGGAGGTTGCAGTGAGCCAAGACTGTGCCATTGCACTCCAGCCTGGGCGACAGAGCAAGACTCTGTCTCAAAAAAAAAAAAAAGAAAAAAAAAAGAAAATTCAGGTGACCCTCTCCTTGTCAGGAAATGGACAAGGAATATGTATGTGTGGGTTTCCAGTCTAGTCCACAGAGGCTTCACTTAAAAGCTAGGTCAACTATAGCACTGTAGACTCTGACTAGTGTGACTGATTGAAGAAAAACAGCATTTATATTGGATTTTTCTGCTATCCAGAGAGCACCCAAGATTTGGGGTCCCAACACCACATCTACTTGCTAGGCAGTTGAGACAGTGATGCCCTTTGCTTCATGCCAATAGAGAGGTTTTTTCTCCCCCTCTCCCACCCCCCACTCCCCACTTTTTATGTTTCTCAGCAGAATCAGAGAAGTATTTTATTTTTGAGAAGGAGTTTCGCTCTTGTTGCCCAGGCTGGAGTGCAGTGGCGCGATCTCGGCTCACCGCAACCTCCGCCTCCTGGGTTCAAATGATTCTCCTGCCTCAGACTCCCAAGTAGCTGGGATTACAGGCATGCGCCACCATGCCCAGGTAATTTTTTTTTTTTTTTTTTTTGGTATTTTTAGTAGAGACCGGCTTTCTCCATGTTGGTCAGGCTGGTCTCGAATTTCTGACCTCAGGTGATCTGCTGCTTCGGCCTCCCAAAGTGCTGGGATTACAGGTGTGAGCCACTGTGCTGGCCTTTTAAATTGTGGATTTGGAAGGAGGGAAGGAATGAATCCAGACCTGCCAGTAGTAGCAGTTGATGGTGAGGAAGTTTCCAGAGGGAGGGGTGAGGTTAAGGGTCTCTGGAAGTGTTGATACACTGTGCAGCTAAGATGAACATAGTTTGGGAGAATCTCCAGCCAGACATTTCATAGAGAAATGTTTGGGAAAATTCCTGAAGTTTGACCGGTTTGACTAGTTTAGAGAGGTGATTCATTAGGGAGCTAAAGCTGAATGTGAAAGTTATCACCTACCTGCACATACAGACACACACATATTGTTAAAGCAATTTATTTGCAACATGAGTTTAGATCAGTGAATTATAAACAAATGAATACCCTTAAATTCCAGGAAGAGGTGTTTTGATAGTGGACAGGTGTGTGTGTGCAGGTGTGCATATGAAAAGTGCCAATTGAGCAAAGTGTTTAAAAACAGGATTATTCCTTCATCAGTAACTTCTTCCTTTCATTTGTGCTCAAGGAATATCGCCATGGCAATGAGGCTATTTTTTTTTCTTTTCTTTTTTTTTTTTGTGGTAGGTTGTAAACACAGTACTATTGCTTCAACCCCCTCACATTTTCCTTTCAGACGCCTAACAAAGGGTCTTGCATTCACACTAAGAATGAAGGAAAAAAACAAAGGGAAAGTAAATTACTAAATGCAACCGTATTTAAAACAGGAGGAAGGAGAATCCGCAGGAAGTTGGAATCTAGGATAAAAACTTAGACACATTCAGCCTGGCCAACATGGCGAAACCCTGTCTCTATTAAAAATACAAAAATTAGCCCGGCGTGGTGGCACATCCTGTAATTCCAGCTATTGGGGAGGCTGAGGCAGCAGAATTGTTTGAACCCCAGGGGCAGAGGTTGCAATGAGCAGAGATCTCACCACTGCACTCCAGCCTGGGCGACAGAGTGAGACTCAGTCTCAAAACAAACAAACAAAAACAACAGGCCGGGAATGGTGGCTCACGCCTGTAATCCCAGCACTTTGGGAGCCCGAGGTGGGCGGATCACGAGGTCAGGAGTTCGAGACCAGCCTGACCAACATGGGCGGATCACGAGGTCAGGAGTTCGAGACCAGCCTGACCAACATGGGGAAACCCTGTCTCTACTAAAAATACAAAAATTAGCCAGGCGTGGTGGCGCACGCCTGTAATCCTAGCTACTCAGGAGGCTGAGGTAGGAGAATTGCTTAAACCCGGGAGGCGGAGGTTGCAGTGAGCCGAGATCACGCCACTGCACTCCAGCTTGGGCGACAGAGCGAGACTGTCTCAAAACGAAAACAACAAACTTAAGACACATAACCTGAGGTGTTAAGAGGAGCTAGTAACTAGAACCTGGGTCCCAACCCCTCCTGCTTTCCAGCATCACTCCACACAGTTTGCTTAAAGAGGGCCACCTGCCAAACAGCTGTAGTATGTGATGTTAAAGAGAGCTAAACACCCCCCGCACCTCCCTCCCAGGGTCACCATCTTGTTAAATTTGACCTAAAAACGGTAACAGCCTAGGGGTTTCAGGGACAGACAGAAAATCTTACTCGGGACTGTGAGGTCCTACTTCTACACACTGTCCAGGAGTGAACCAGGAATTGAGAAAGTAGGAAGGAGGTGTCCCAGACCCCAAGCTAGGAATGGGGAGGGAAATGGAGGAATCCCAAATGCCTTAAGGACGGCCTACATACTAAGGAAAATTTTTTTCTAACTCCTGGTTGCAGCTGAGGGGAGCGGCTGAGGGCGGGGACAGGGGTGCGGCGGACCCACTGCTCCCATTACCCGACCAGCGCCTCCCTTCCTCCTTGGATGGGTGCCCCTGTCTTGCTAAGAACTGCCTGTTTACACAACTGCTTTCCTTGTGAAAATTTAAAGGCTCCTATTCCCAGTTGTTCTATCCTTGTAGGTTAAAGATTATGTCAAAAACTATATTGCATTATCTCTTTCCTTCTCCTTCCCATTAAGACGGAAAAAACATCCGGGAGAGCCGGTCCGTTTCTCAGGCAGACTAGGCCATTAGGTGCCTCGGAGAAAGGACCCAAGGCTGCTCCGTCCTTCACAGACACAGTCCAATCAGAGTTTCCCAGGCACATCGATGCACCGCCTCCTTCGAGAAACAAGGTAACTTTCGGGTTCTGGTTGTCTCCAAAGTCATCCGACCAATCTCGCACCGCCCAGAGCGGGCCCTTCCTGTCAATTACCTACTGAAGGGCAGGCGGCCAGCATCGCCATGGAGACCAACACCCTTCCCACCACCACTCCCCCTTTCTCTCAGGGCCCCTGTCCCCTCCAGTGAATCCCAGAAGACTCTGGAGAGTTCTGAGCAGAGGGCGGCACCCTGCCCTCTGATTGGTCCAAGGAAGGCTGGGGGGCAGGACGGGAGGCGAAACCCCTGGAATATTCCCGACCTGGCAGCCTCATCGAGCTTGGTGATTGGCTCAGAAGGGGAAAGGCGGGTCTCCACGACGACTTATAAAAGCCGAGGGGCGCGCGGTCCGGAAAACGGCCAGCCTGAGGAGCTGCTGCGAGGGTCCGCTTCGTCTTTCGAGAGTGACTCCCGCGGTCCCAAGGCTTTCCAGAGCGAACCTGTGCGGCTGCAGGCACCGGCGTGTTGAGTTTCCGGCGTTCCGAAGGACTGAGCTCTTGTCGCGGATCCCGTCCGCCGTTTCCAGCCCCCAGTCTCAGAGCGGAGCCCACAGAGCAGGGCACCGGCATGGCCAAAGCCGCGGCGATCGGCATCGACCTGGGCACCACCTACTCCTGCGTGGGGGTGTTCCAACACGGCAAGGTGGAGATCATCGCCAACGACCAGGGCAACCGCACCACCCCCAGCTACGTGGCCTTCACGGACACCGAGCGGCTCATCGGGGATGCGGCCAAGAACCAGGTGGCGCTGAACCCGCAGAACACCGTGTTTGACGCGAAGCGGCTGATCGGCCGCAAGTTCGGCGACCCGGTGGTGCAGTCGGACATGAAGCACTGGCCTTTCCAGGTGATCAACGACGGAGACAAGCCCAAGGTGCAGGTGAGCTACAAGGGGGAGACCAAGGCATTCTACCCCGAGGAGATCTCGTCCATGGTGCTGACCAAGATGAAGGAGATCGCCGAGGCGTACCTGGGCTACCCGGTGACCAACGCGGTGATCACCGTGCCGGCCTACTTCAACGACTCGCAGCGCCAGGCCACCAAGGATGCGGGTGTGATCGCGGGGCTCAACGTGCTGCGGATCATCAACGAGCCCACGGCCGCCGCCATCGCCTACGGCCTGGACAGAACGGGCAAGGGGGAGCGCAACGTGCTCATCTTTGACCTGGGCGGGGGCACCTTCGACGTGTCCATCCTGACGATCGACGACGGCATCTTCGAGGTGAAGGCCACGGCCGGGGACACCCACCTGGGTGGGGAGGACTTTGACAACAGGCTGGTGAACCACTTCGTGGAGGAGTTCAAGAGAAAACACAAGAAGGACATCAGCCAGAACAAGCGAGCCGTGAGGCGGCTGCGCACCGCCTGCGAGAGGGCCAAGAGGACCCTGTCGTCCAGCACCCAGGCCAGCCTGGAGATCGACTCCCTGTTTGAGGGCATCGACTTCTACACGTCCATCACCAGGGCGAGGTTCGAGGAGCTGTGCTCCGACCTGTTCCGAAGCACCCTGGAGCCCGTGGAGAAGGCTCTGCGCGACGCCAAGCTGGACAAGGCCCAGATTCACGACCTGGTCCTGGTCGGGGGCTCCACCCGCATCCCCAAGGTGCAGAAGCTGCTGCAGGACTTCTTCAACGGGCGCGACCTGAACAAGAGCATCAACCCCGACGAGGCTGTGGCCTACGGGGCGGCGGTGCAGGCGGCCATCCTGATGGGGGACAAGTCCGAGAACGTGCAGGACCTGCTGCTGCTGGACGTGGCTCCCCTGTCGCTGGGGCTGGAGACGGCCGGAGGCGTGATGACTGCCCTGATCAAGCGCAACTCCACCATCCCCACCAAGCAGACGCAGATCTTCACCACCTACTCCGACAACCAACCCGGGGTGCTGATCCAGGTGTACGAGGGCGAGAGGGCCATGACGAAAGACAACAATCTGTTGGGGCGCTTCGAGCTGAGCGGCATCCCTCCGGCCCCCAGGGGCGTGCCCCAGATCGAGGTGACCTTCGACATCGATGCCAACGGCATCCTGAACGTCACGGCCACGGACAAGAGCACCGGCAAGGCCAACAAGATCACCATCACCAACGACAAGGGCCGCCTGAGCAAGGAGGAGATCGAGCGCATGGTGCAGGAGGCGGAGAAGTACAAAGCGGAGGACGAGGTGCAGCGCGAGAGGGTGTCAGCCAAGAACGCCCTGGAGTCCTACGCCTTCAACATGAAGAGCGCCGTGGAGGATGAGGGGCTCAAGGGCAAGATCAGCGAGGCGGACAAGAAGAAGGTTCTGGACAAGTGTCAAGAGGTCATCTCGTGGCTGGACGCCAACACCTTGGCCGAGAAGGACGAGTTTGAGCACAAGAGGAAGGAGCTGGAGCAGGTGTGTAACCCCATCATCAGCGGACTGTACCAGGGTGCCGGTGGTCCCGGGCCTGGCGGCTTCGGGGCTCAGGGTCCCAAGGGAGGGTCTGGGTCAGGCCCTACCATTGAGGAGGTGGATTAGGGGCCTTTGTTCTTTAGTATGTTTGTCTTTGAGGTGGACTGTTGGGACTCAAGGACTTTGCTGCTGTTTTCCTATGTCATTTCTGCTTCAGCTCTTTGCTGCTTCACTTCTTTGTAAAGTTAAGTTGTAACCTGATGGTAATTAGCTGGCTTCATTATTTTTGTAGTACAACCGATATGTTCATTAGAATTCTTTGCATTTAATGTTGATACTGTAAGGGTGTTTCGTTCCCTTTAAATGAATCAACACTGCCACCTTCTGTACGAGTTTGTTTGTTTTTTTTTTTTTTTTTTTTTTGCTTGGCGAAAACACTACAAAGGCTGGGAATGTATGTTTTTATAATTTGTTTATTTAAATATGAAAAATAAAATGTTAAACTTTTTCTTGTCTGTTAATATGTGAAGATAATGGATATTTGCGGAGGGATAGTGTCTGAATACCATCTATCTTTATAGTCTGAAAAGAACAGTACTGCTGAAGAGTTTACGTGTAGGAGTTAGAGCTACACATATTTTTGTTTGGGCTTAATTGTGGGCCTTAAGAGAAATTGCAGGTGCCCGTCTTGATTAGAGTGGGGCTTGTTTCAGGGAAAAGTCGGATGGCAGCTGCAAAACGGTATTGGAGGGGTGGTTGAGGTGGGTTCACTGGGGCGGGGAGGGGAGGGGTGGTGCTGAGATGGGATTATGGTGGTTTTCTCTCCCTCTTCTACTTAGTGAGCGGAGTCCACAAAAAAATGCTGACTTTTTTTTTTTTTTTTTTTGAGACGGAGTCTCACTCTCACTCTTGTCGCCCAGGCTGGAGTGCAGTGGCGCAATCTCAGCTCACGGTAACTTCCGCCTCCCGGGTTCAAGCGATTCTCCTGCCTCAGCCTCCTGAGTAACTGGGACTACAGGCGCCTGCCACCACGCCTGGCTAATTTTTTGTATTTTTGGTAGAGACAGGGTTTTACCGTGTTAGCCAGGATGGTCTCAATCTCCTGACCTCGGCTCATATTCATTTATATGTGGAATCTAAACAGTAGAACTCAGAAGCAGAGAAGTGGTGGTCACCAAGGGCTGTGGGATGGGGGAATGGGGAGACGTGCAAGGGAAACAAAGCCTTAGTCAGGAGAAATAAATTGTATTTTTTTTTTTTTGAAACGGGATATTGCTCTGTCACCCAGGCTGGAGCACAGTAGAGCTCACTGTAGTCTCAAACTCCTGGGTTCAAGCAATCCTCCCACCTTAGCCTCCTGAGTACTGGGTCTACAGGTATGTGCCATCATGCTCAGCTAATTTTTTGTATTTTGTAGAGACGAAGTCTTGCTGTGTTGCCCAGGTTGGTCTCGAACTCTTCAGCTCAAGCGATCCCCTTGTCTAGTCCTCCCAAAGTGCTGGGATTATAGGCGTGAGCCACTGTGCCCTGCCAGTTTTTGTGTTTTTTTTGGGGGGGGTGGTGGGTGGAGGGTATATATTGCATGGCATGGTGAAAATAGTTAATAGTGTATTGTATATTTCAAAATTTCAAATGTTCTTGTCACAAAAATATTTGAGGTGATATGTTAATTAGCTTGATTTAATTACTCCATATTGTGTTAATAACTACTTTGTACCAATATATGCAACTAAAGTTTGTCAATTTACAAAAAGAATTTAAAAATCAAATAAAATGGGCCAGGTGCGATGGCTCATGCCTATAATCCCAGAATTTAGGGAGGGTGAGGTGGGCGGATCACTTGAGGTCCGGAGTTCAAAACCAGCCTGGCCAACATAGCGAAAACCCATCTCTACAAAAAACAATAGAATTAGCTGGCCGGGCGTGGGGGCTCACGCCTGTAATCCCAGCACTTTGGGAGACCGAGGTGGGACGGTTGGATCACCTAAGGTCAGGAGTTCCAGACCAGCCTGGTCAACATGGTGAAACCCTGTCTCTACTAGGTGGGCACGGTGGGGCATGTCTATAATCCCAGCTACATGGAAGGCTGAGGAAGGAGAATCACTTGAACCCTGGAGGCGGAGGTTGTAGTGAGTTGAGATTGCGCCACTGTACTCCACCCTGGGTGACAGAGCAATACTTCATCTCAAAAAAACATAAATAAAACGGTTAAAGTCCTGTGTTGCACCTTTGTGTAAATCCTTACCCTCTAGGGTTTTAAAATGTTTTAAATCCTTAAAACGTTTTAAGGATTACATAATACTGGAAATCCTCCTTGAAAGTGTATAAAAGAAAAGGAATATAGTAAGTTTCTTTGGTTTTGGGGCCAAGTTTTTTTTTTTTTTTTTTTTTTTTGAGACAGAGTTTCACTTTTGTTGCCCAGGCTGGAGTACAGTGGAGCAATCTCGGCTCACTGCAACCTCTACCTCCCAGGTTCAAACGATTCTCCTGCCTCAGCCTCCCAAGTAGCTGGGATTACAGGCACCGGCCACTATGCTCAGCTAATTTTTTGTATTTTTAGTACAGACGAGGTTTCCGCCATGTTGGGCAGGCTGGTCTCGAACTCCTGACCTCAGGTGATCTGCCTGCCTTGGCCTCCCAAAGTGCTGGGATTATAGGCGTGAGCCACTATGCCCGGCCCTTGGGCCAATTCTTAAAGGCCTGTTTTATTAATGAAAGAGATGAACTAGGCCAGGCGCGGTGGCTCACACCTATAATCCCAGCACTTTGGGAGGCCGAGGCGGGCGGATCACCTGAGGTCTGGAGTTCGAGACCAGCCTGACCAACATGGAGAAACCCCATCTCTACTAAAAATACAAAATTAGCCGGGTGTGGTGGCGCATGCCTGTAATCCCAGCTACCCTGGAGGCTGAGGCAGGAGAATGGCTTGAACCTGGGAGGCGGAGGTTGCTGTGAGCCGAGATCGCGCCATTGCACTCCAGCCTGGGCAACAAGAGCGAAACTCTGTCTCAAAAAAAAAAAAAGAGGAACTAAAGCCTCTGACCATAGCACTTAGTAAAGGCAGCTTAACTGCCAAAACAGCAGGAATTAGGGCTTTCTGTATATATATATATTTTTTTTAAGGCAGGGTCTCACTCTGTTGCCCAGGCTAGAGTGCAGTGGTATGATCACGGTTCATGGCAGCCTCGACCTCCTGGGCTCAATTGATCCTTAGCCTCCTGATTAGCTGGGACTACACGTGTATGCCACCACCCATAGCTAATCTTTTTTTTATATACTTGCCAGGCAGTAGAGGGAACAAATACTTTAGCTTTGAGCCATGGCTCTCCACCCTAATGGAACAATAAAACGATTAAGGGATGCTAAAAAAATACAGATGCCAGGCCTCTCTCAGGCCAATTCAGAATCTCAAAGAGGGCAGTGTAGACATTTAAAGCTGCCCAGGTGTTTGTAATTTGCAGCCAATGTGGAGAAAACCACTGAACTGGGCTGGCCACGGTGGCTCACGCCTGTAATCCCAGCACTTTGGGAGGCCGAGGTGGGAGGATCACTGAGGTTCACCAGTTCAAAACCAGCCTGGGCCAACATGGTGAAAACCCCTGTCTCTACTAAAAATATATAAAATTAACTGGGTGTGGTGGCAGATGCCTGTAATCTCAGCTACTCAGGAGGCTGAGGCAAGAGAATCACTTGAACCCGGGAGGCAGAGGTTGTAGTAAGCCGAGATCATGCCACTGCACTCCAATCTGGGTAACAGAGCAAGACCCTATCTCAAAAAAAAAAAAAAAGAAAAAGAAAAAAAAAAAAAAAGGAAGAGGCCAGGCTCGGTGGCTCACACCTATAATCCTGGCACTTTGTGGAGGCCTAGGCAGGCAAATCACCTGAAGTCAGGAGTTCGAGACCAGCCTGGCTTACATGGTGAAACCCTGACTCTACTAAAAATATAAAAATTAGCCAGGCATGGTTGTGTGCACCTGTAATCCTTGCTACTTCGGAGGCTGAGGCAGGAAAATCGCTTGAACCGAGGAAGCGGAGGTTGCAGTGAGCCGAGATCCCGCCACTGCTCTCCAGCCTGGGCAACAGAGTCAGACTCCGTCTCAAAAAAGAAAAAGATACCAACACACACAACACACATCACCAAACATCATACGCGTTTATAAATGGGGGCGATAGGAAAGGGTCCAGAAAGGATTTGAAATGACTTATGAGTTTCAATAATTTTTTTTTTTTTGAGACAGAGTCTCGCCCTGTCGCCCAGGCTGGAGTGCAGTGGCGCAATCTCGGCTCACTGCAAGCTCGGCGTCCTGGGTTCACGCCATTTTCCTGCCTCAGCCTCCCGAGTAGCTGGGACTACAGGCGCCGCCACCACACTCTGCTAATTTTTTTTTAGTAGAGACGGGGTTTCACCGTGTTAGCCAGGATGGTCTCGATCTCCTGACCTCGTGATCCACCTGCCTCGGCCTCTCAAAGTGCTGGGATTACAGGCGTGAGCCACCGCGCCCGGCCTAATTTTTAAATAAATAGAGACGGGGGTTGGGTGTCACTATTTGCCCAGGCTGGTCCCGAATTCCGGGCCTCAAATGATCCTCTGCCTGGGCCTGTCCAAAGTGTTGAGATTACAGGCGTGACCTATTACGTCCGACCTGCCTTTTGGGTTTTTGGTTTTTGTTTTGTTTTGTTTAATTGAAGGTTAGGGTGCCTGACAGTCTGCGGGATCGAACTGGGAGGCAAATTCAGATTTCGCTGGGGGAACGGAGTGCGAAGTGTCAGGGTAGCTGGACGCTAAACTGGCGCAGCTGCGCGCGCCCGCGCGCGCGCGGGAAGAGTCCCAGGGTCATTAACGGACCATGGGCTGCTGGGAAACGGCTTAGGAGCAGCACCCGGCTGGCGCTGGCCGGCCGGCGCCGGGGACTTTCTTCCGCCTGGCCAGACAGATCCCTGTTTTTTGTTTTTCAAAATTCAGAAAGCATCTCCGAATATTTGCCCAGAGGAGTGTGAAACATACTTTCCTGGTCTTTCTTTCACTTTGTTTTATTTCTGTGTGGACAAACAATGGGGAAAATGCCGCGCGTCTAGCCAGGCAGATAAGAAAACAACTATACCCGTCAGGCCCCCAACCCGGCGCCGCCATAAATGGCCCCGGCCTCGCCATTTTAGTTCTTTTTGCGAAGTGGGCTCGTGGGTTGGCAGTATGAGAGTTGTAATGGCCCGACTGTTGAGTGAGGGGGAGCAGGGGATCCCAACGGCTTGCGCTGCCTTTGCGCAGCAGCCGGCGGGCGGCCACGTCGCGGCCTGGCTGGGGTAGGAGAGGGCGGTCCCCAGTGCAGTTGGGTGAACTACCGTTGCACACTGGAGTTTCTGGTGTCTTTGCTTGGAACTGACCTAGCTCGTGGCAGGGGGAACTCGGCTAGCGGCCCCACAGCCCCTGCTGACTCAAAACAACTGTGAGTGGGGTTGGGCGAGTGATTGCAAAATGGGGGTGGCGGTCGCCCGGGGATAGGAAGGGAGTGATGATGACCCCAGGTAACTCTGAGTGTGTCGCTGATGCCATCACCGCAGCGCTCTGACCGCCCCCTCGGTCCAGCATTTCTCAGGCTCAACGAGTTCATGGCCAAGATTCCTAATCTTTTGTTCTGTTTCATTTCCCCGTTAGGAGTTGTAAGACGTTCATCGCCGTGTTATCCTTGAGTAAAGGTGAGTATTAGGTGCGAGAGCCTTTTGAATGCCTCTTCGGAAAGCTTTGTTCCCAAGCAAGCTTTCGTTCATGGGCATTATGCGCCTCCCTGCCCTTTTTTTTTTTTTTTTTTTTGAGACAGTCTCGCCTTGTCACCCAGGCTGAAGTGCGGTGGCACGATCTCACTGCAACCTGCGCCTTCTGGGATCAAGCGATTCTCCTGCCTCAGCCTCCCGATTAGCTGGGATTACAGGCGCATGCCACCAAGCCTGGCTAATTTTTTGTATTTTTTAATAGATAAGGGGTTTCACTGTGTTAGCCAGGATGGTCTCGATCTGCTGACCTCGTGATCCGCCCCTCTCGGCCTCCCAAAGTGCTGGGATTACAGGCGTGAGCCACCGCGCCCGGCCTTTTTTTTTTTTTTTTTTTTAAGACAGCCTCCCTGTCACCCTGGCTGGAATGCAGTGGCAAGAACACAATTCAGTGCGGCCTTCAACTCCCGGGTTTAACCGATTCTCCCACCTTAGCCAATTTTTTCCTTTTTTTTTTTTTTTTTGAGATGGAGTCTTGATCTTGTTGCCCGGGCTGGCAATGGTACGATCTCCCTGCAACCTCTGCCTCCCGGGTTCAATCGATTGTCCTGCCTCAGCCTGCCGATTAGCTGGGACTACAGGCCCGCGCCACCACACTCGGCTAATTTTTCTGTTTTTAGTAGAAGGGGTTTCACCATGTTGGCCAGGATGGTCTCCATCTCCTGACCTCGTGAGCCGCTGTGCCCGGCCACTTTTTCTTTTTTGAGCTATAATCCATGTACCACAGGTGGTGACTTCCATTTGTTTGTTTTTGCTATTTTGTTTTTGAGACAGGGCGCAATGCCAGGATCTCCCTGCAACATCCACCGTCAGGGCTCAAGTGGTCTTTCCACCTCAGCTTCCTGGGACTGCAGGCACGTGCTACCACCACGCCTGGCTAATTTTTAGTTTTTTTACAGAAGCGGGCTTTTGCCATGTTGTCCAGGCTGGTCTCTACTCCTGGGCTCAAGCAGTCCTCCTGCCTCAGTCTCCCAAAGTGCTGGAATTACAGGGGTGAGTTGCTGCGTCTGGTGTTGGTGACTTTCTAGAGATTACTTTTTGGTTTACATCATTTTCCTTGTGACTATTTTTACTTTTTTGGGGGGCGGGGGGACAGTCTTACTCTTTTTAGTTTACATCATTTTCCTTGTGACTATTCTATTTTTACTTTTTTAGGGGGCGGGGGGACATGAGTCTCACTCATGTTGGTCAGGCTGGTCTCAAACTCCTGACCTCAGTTGATCCACGCCCTTCGGCCTCCCAAAGTGCCGGGATTACAGGCGTGAGCCACTTTGCCCGGCCTGTATTTTTACGTTTTAATAAATCCCCGTATTTTTGTTAAAGGCTGGGTAACCTGACTCCTCCCCTCATTTCTACTGCAAAATAGGAGTACACTGGGGCCTCCCAGTGGAGCTGTTCTCTGCTGTTTTAAATTACTTTCTACTCCTCCCTTTCTAACGTCCACTCCTGGACTCATTTGTTAGATCAATATATACTGGGACTGTTGTGTTTTCTTTGAGTGTACTAGATCTCTTTCCAGAAGAGCTTCCCTTGATCCAGATCTCCCTAATTGGGAATGATGATTTCACAGACTAGAGTCTCCGATGCTGGTCATGATGTCAAAACTAAGTTCTGACTCATTTAGGGAACTGGATACTTGGGTCTCCAGAAGGGCCAATGGGAGGGCCATAATTCTGTTTATTTTCAAATTGTCTTGTTTTCACCTTGTTAGAATGAACTCTGGAAGCCCAGCCAGGGACAATGCACCTTCACAGAGATTCTGCACTAATCTGAGTGAAGGTCTAAGGTTTGGAATCTCCCCCTCATGGAGAGAAGCTTTGTATGGCTGTCATGCTTAGACAGTGATTCCTGCAACTTGACCTTCAGGCTGGGAGAGGTGGAGAGCCATGCCTGTTCTCCTTCCTTGCTATGGTGAGTATCTTTTGTTTTGGCTCTCAGTGGGAGTGGTAATGATGATCTGGTTGGACAAGAGTCTCTGAGCTTTTCTCTGAGGATCTTTGAACCCACCTGATCCACCTTCATCCTGCCGGCAATCTCCTGTAATTCATGTTTTTATGGCCAGTTACTTACATGATGAGGTTTAATTGGCTATGGTTCTGCAGGATGTACAGGAAGCATGGTGTTGGCATCTGCTCAGCCTCTGGTGGGGGCCTCAGGAAACTATATTGCATAAGGTACAGAGGGAAGCAGGGATGTAGCATGGCCAGAGCAGCAGCAAAGGCAGGGAGGTGCCACACATTTTTAATAAATTGATCTCTAGAGAACTGACTGTCATGAGCACAGCATCAAGGAGGATGGTGCTTAAGCCATTCATGAGGAATCCACCCCAGTGATCCATTACAATTCAATATGAGATTTGGTGGGGAGACAGATCTAAACTGTATTACAGGGTCTCACTTTGTGCACAGGCTGGTCTTCAACTCCTGCCTCAGTGAGCCACTGTGCCCCACCCCAACATGTTTTGTGTGTTTTTTGAGACTGTCTTGCTCTGTCATCCAGGCTGGAGTGCAGTGGTACACTCTTGGCTTACTGCAGCCTCTGCCTCCCAGGTTCAAGCAATTCTGCCTCAGCCTCCCAAGTAGCTGGGATTACAGGCATGCGCCACCAGTCCTGGCTAATTTTTGTATTTTTAGTAGAGGGTTTCACCATGTTGGCCGGGCTGGTCTTGAACTCCTGACCAAGAGATCTGCCCACCTTGACCTCCCAAAGTGCTCAGATTACAGGTATTAGCCACCGAGCCCAGCCCGCAACATGTATTTTTATTTATTTTTTGTTTGAGATGGAGTTTCACTTTGTCGCCCAGGCTGGAGTGCAGTGGCACATTCTCAGCTCATTGTAACCTCAGCCTCCCGAGTACTTGGGATTACAGGCATGCGCCACCATGCCCAGCTAATTTTGTATTTTTAGTAGAGATGGGAGTTTTCACCATGTTGGTCTTGAACTCCTGATCTCAGGTGATTTGCCCGCCCTAGCCTCCCAAAGTGCTGGGATTACAGGTGTGAGCCATAGCATCTGACAATTTTATTCTATTTTTTGAGACAGTCTTGCTCTGTCACCCAGGCTGGAGTGCAGTGGTGCAGTCACAGCTCACTGCAGCCTCAACCTCCTGGGTGGAAGCTCACCTCTCACCTCACCCTTGGAGTAGCTAATGACTTACAGGCATGCACCACTATCCCCGGCTAATTTTTTTTTTTTTAAATTTGAGGATGGGTGTGGTGGCTCATGCCTGTAATCTCAGCTCTTTGGGAGGCCAAGGTGGGTGGATCACCTGAGGTCAGGAGTTGAAGACCAGCCTGGCCAACACCGTGAAACCCTGTCTACTAAAAATACAAAAATTAGCTGGGCATGGGTGGCGGGCGCCTGTAATTCCAGCTACTTGGGAGGCTGAGGCAGAAGAATCGCTTGAACCTGGGAGGTGGAGGTTGCAGTGAGCTGATATGGCGCCATTGCACTGCGCCATTGCACTTCACCCTGGGCAACAGAGCAAGACTCCATCTCAAAAAAAAAAAGCTGTAGATAATGGGGTCCCACTATGGTGCTCAAGCTGGTCTGAAACTCCTGGGCTCAAGTGATTGTCTTGCCTTGGCCTCCGAACACTTCTGCCTTGGCCTCCCAAAGTGTTGGAATTGACAGGCGTGAGCTGCCATGCCCAGCCTCAGCTTTTATTGTAGATTTAGGGGGTATATGTGCAGTTTTGTTACTTGGGTTCATTGTATGATGCTGAGGTTTGGGGTAGGATTATCCCCATCACCCAGGTAGTGGGCATAGTACCCAATAGTTATTAAACCTTTGCCCCATTTCCTCTCCCCAGTGTCTGTTGCCATCTTTATGTCCATGTATACTCAACATTTAGCTCCCACTTACAAGTAAGAACATATGGTATCTGGTTTTCTGTTCTGTATTGATTCACTGAGGATCATGGCCTGTGGTTGCATCCATGTTGCTGCAAAGGATATGAAATCGTTTTTTTATTGGTGCATCTCATATGGTTCTAATGTTCTTTTTATTATTTTTCAGGAATTTGCTGACACAATATCTTCCGCCTGGTGCTGGGCATATCCTAAGAACTTACAACTTTCCTGTATTATCCTGTGTGAGCAGCTGTCACCTTATTGGGGGAAAAATGCCTGAAAATTAGGGGGCACTTCAAGTAGATAGCTTCTATTTCCTATATTTGTCTTATATACAAGTATTTGCTTTTATCAAAATAATTCCAATAAAGCATTTTAAAGTAAAGGAGACGTGGTTTGGTCTCAGAACAATGGTACAAAAAGATTAAGGGGGCTGGGCGCAAGTTGCTCATGCCTATAATCCCAGCACTTTGGGAGGCCGAGGTGGGTGGATCACAAGGTCAGGAGATTGAGATTATCCTGGCCAACATGGTGAAACCCTGTCTCTACTAAAACAAAAAAAGGACAAAAATTAGCTGGGTGTGGTGATACATACCTGTAATCCCAACTACTCGGGAGGCTGAGGCAGGAGAATGGCTTTGAACCAGGGAGTCCAAGGTTGCAGTGAGCCGAGATCGTGCCACTGCACTTCCAGCCTGGCGACAGGCTCCGTCTTAAAAAAAAAGAAAGATGAAGCCCCGTGAGCTAGTTAATGCTGAGTTAGGCTTAACTCTTAAGCCTAATATTAGAGATTCTTGGTTGGGTGACATAGTATTATGTATAATACACTAGACTTTTGACAATCATTTGAGATGGTTTTTCTGGCAGGGGAGGAGGTGGAGTTTCGCCCTTGTTGCCCATGCTGGAGTGCAATGGCAAAATCTCGCCTCACTGCAACCTCTGCATCTTGAGTTCAAGTGATTCTCCTGCCTCACAGCCTCCTGAGTAGCTGGGATTACAGGCGCCTGGCACCTCCCCTAGCTATTTTTTGTACTTTTAGTAGAGACAAGGTTTCACCATGTTGGCCAGGCTGGTCTCGAACTCCTGACCTCAGGTGATCCACCCACCTCAAGCCATCCGCCTGCCTCAGCCTCCCAAAGTGTTGGGATTACAGGTGTGAGCCACTGTGCCTGGCCGAATTTGAGTTTTTTTTAATGATTGTAAAGTGTCCACGGCTACCCAATTAGCCATCTTTTTTTTTTTGAGACAGTTGCACCTTGTCACCTGGGCTGGAATATAGTGGTGCAGTTTGGGTTCACTGCAGCCTCTCCCCGGGTTCAAGTGATTTTCGTGCCTCAGCGTTCCCAGTAGCTGGGGCTACAGCTGCACACCTTATTTTTGTATTTTTTGAAGAGATAGGGGTTTCACCATATTGGCCAGGGTGGTTTCGAACTCCTGACCTCAAATGATGTGCCTGGCCAGAACATTACCAATAACTTTGAAACAAACCTGTCTGATTCAATTTCTCTTTTTCTTCTTCCTACTTGGAGAATTAACTGGGTATATCATCCTCTGGCTTTTCTTAATAGTTTTACTGAGTGCATTGCTAAACAATATCATTTTAATTTTGCGTATCTTTTGAACTTTGTAAAAATGGAATGATTCACCAGACACGAGACAACATTTTTCTTTTTTGGGGGGATGGAGTCTTGCACTGTCGCCCAGGCTAGAGTGCAGTGGCGTGATCTCGACTCATACTGCAATCTCTGCCTCCCAGGTTCACCCCATTATTCTGCCTGGGCCTCCCAAATCACTGGGACTACAGGTGCCCGCCACCATGCCCCGCTAATTTTTTGTATTTCTAGTAGAGATGGGGGTTTCACCATGTTGGCCAGGCTGGTCTCGAACTCCCGACCTTGTGATTTGCCCACCTTGGACTCCCAAAGTGCTGGCATTACAAACAGCCACCATGCTGGCCCATTTTTCATTTTTCAAAAAGAATAAATCTTCATGTGTTCTACTGCAACTTTCTGCTTTTCTGGGGGGCGGGGGGGACAGAGTCTTGCTCTGTCGCCAGGCTGGAGTGCAGTGGCGCGATAGCTCACTGCAACCTCCACCTCCCAGGTTCAAGCGATTTCTCCTCCCTCAGCCTCCCGAGTAGCTGGGACCACAGGCGCGCACCACTATGCCCAGCTAATTTTTGTATTTTTACTAGAGACGGGGTTTCACCACATTGGCCAGGGTGGTCTCCAACTCCTAGCCTCACCGTCCGCCCGCCTCGGCCTCCTGAAATGCTGGGATTACAGGCGTGAGCCACCACGCCTGACATTTACTTATTTCATTTATCTTTGAGATGGAGTCTCGCTCTGTCGCCCAGGCAGCATGTAGTGGCGCGATCTCGGCTCACTGCAAGCTCTGCCTCCCAGGTTCAAGCCATTCTCCTGCCTCAGCCTCCGGAGTAGCTGGGACTACAGGTGCCCGGCTAATTTTTTTGTATTTTTAGTAGAGACGGGTTTCATTGTGTTAGCCAGGATGGTCTTGGATCTCCTGACCTCGTGATCCGCCCGCCTTGGCCTCCCAAAGTGCAGGGATTACAGGCGTGAGCCATCGCGCCCAGCCTTTTTTGTTTTTTGAGACATAGTTTTGCTCTTGTTCCCCAGGCTGGAGTGCAGTGGCACTATCTTGGCTCACCACAACCTCTGCCTCCTGGGTTCAAGCGATTCTCCTGCCTTAGCCTGCCAAGTAGCTGGGATTATATGCCACCACGCCCGGCTAATTTTGTATTTTTATTAGAGATGGGGTTTCTCCATGTTGGTCGGGCTGGTCTCCCGAACTTAGGTGATCCGCCAGCCTCAGCCTCTGAAAGTGAAAGTGCTGTGATTCTAGGCCAGAGCCACCACACCTGGCCTGCAACTTTTGTTGTTGTTCATGTATTTTCCTGTAGTTCATTTGGAGTCCACCCTTCCATACACATTTGTGGACATAAAAAACTTCAGGGCCTGGCATGGTGGCTCATGCCCGTAATCGCAGCTGAGGCGGACAGATCACCTGAGGTCAGGGGTTAGGGACCAGCCTGGCCAACATGGTGAAACCCCATCTCTACTAAAAAAAATATAAAAAAGGGCCAGGCTCACGCCTGTAATCCCAGCACTTTAGGAGGCCGAGGCGGGCAGATCACGAGGTCAGGAGATCAAGACCATCCTGTCTAACACGGTGAAACCCCGTCTCTACTAAAAATACAAAAATCAGCCGGGCGTGGTGGCGGGCGCCTGTAGTCCCAGCTCCTCGGGAGGCTGAGGCAGGAGAATGGCGTGAACCCGGGAGGTGGAGCTTGCAGTGAGTCAAGATCCCGCCACTGCACTCCAGCCTGCGCGACAGAGTGAGACTCCATCTCAATTAGGGCCAGGCATGGTGGCTCACGCCTGTAATCCCAGCACTTTGGGAGGCCGAGGCAGGTGGATCACCTAAGGTCAGGAGTTTGAGACCAGCCTGGCCAACATGGCAAAACCCTGTCTCTACTAAAAATACAAAAATAAATTAGCCAGGTGTGGTGGCACACGCCTGTAATCCCAGCGACTCGGGAGGCTGACGCAGGAGAATCACTTGAACCTGGCAGGCGGAGGTTGCAGTGAGCTGAGATCATGCCATTATGCTCTAGCCTGGGCAACAAGAATGAAACTACATCTCAAAATACATACATACATACATACAGTTAACCGAGCATGGTGGCATGCGCCTGTAAGCCCAGCTACTTGGGAGGCTGAGGCATGAGAATCGCTTGAACCTGAGAGGTGGAGGTTGCAGTGAACCAAGATGGCACCACTGCACTCCAGCCTGGGTGACAGAGTGAGACTGTTTCAAAAAGATTCAGGAGCCAGACTGAACACTTACTGCTAGGTTAACTTTGGCTAAGTTCCTCAGTGATTCCCATAACAATTTCCTTGTTTGTAAATAGATAACAGAGTTCCTACCCACCCTCTTTTTTTTTTTTTTCTTCAGTAGTAGAGATAGGGTTTCACCATGTTGGCCAGGCTGGTCTCAAACTCCTGACTCCAGGTGATTCACCCACCTCCCAAAGTGTTGGGATTACAGGTGTGAGCCACTGCACCGGGCCTACCCTCTCTTTTTTTTGAGACAGGGTGTCACTGTTGCCCAGGCTCGAGTACAGTGGCAAGATTACAGCTCACTACAGCCTTGACCTCCTGGGCTCAAGTGATCCTCCCACCTCAGCCTCTGAAGTAGCTGGAACTACAGGTGCTCCATCATGCCCAGCTAATTTTTTTTTCTTTTTGAAAGAGAATCTTGCTTTGTCGCCCAAGTTGGAGTGCAGTGGTGCAATCTCGGCTCACTGCAAGCTCCACCTCCTGGGTTCACACCATTCTCCTGCCTCAGCCTCCCGACTAGCTGGGACTACAGGCACCCACCACCACGGCCAGCTAATTTTTTGTATTTTTAGTAAAGATGGGGTTTCACCGTGTTAGCCAGGATGGTTTCGATCTCCTGACCTCGTGATCCACCTGCCTTGGCCTCCCAAAGTGCTGGGATTACAGGCGTGAGCTACCGTACCTGACCTTTTTTTTTTTTTTTTGAGACGGAGTCTTGCTCTGTCACCCAGGCTGGAGTGCAGTGGCGCGATCTTGGCTCACTGCAAGCTCTGCCTCTCAGGTTCACGCCATTCTCCTGCCTCAGCCTCCCGAGTAGCAGGAACTACAGGTGCCAGCCACCACGCCTGGCTAATTTTTTTGTATTTTAGGTAGAGACGAGGTTTCACCGTGTTAGCCAGGATGGTCTCGATCTCCTGACCTCATGATCTACCTGCCTCGGCCTCCCAAAGTGCTGGGATTACAGGTGAGCCACCGCGCCCAGCCATGCCCAGCTAATTTTTAAATTTTTTATACAGTGAAGGTTTCACTATATTGCCTGACTGGTGTCTAACTCCTGAAATCAAATGATCTACCTGCTTTGGCCTCCCCAAATGCTGAGATTACAAGCTTGAGCCACCAAGCCCGGCCTATCCCGTCTCTAACAAAAAAGAAGCATAGTGCGGTGGCTCACACCTGCAACCCCAGCACTGTGGGAGGCCATGGTGGGCAGATCTCTTGAACCCAGGAGTTTGAGACCAGTCTGCCTGGGCAACACGGTGAAATCCAGTTCCTACAAAAAATTTTAAAAATTAGCCGGTTGTGATGGCATGCCGTGGTTCAGCTACTTGGGAGGCTGAGATGGGAGAATTGCTTGAGCCCTGGAAGTTGAGGCTGCAGTGAGCCATGATTGTGCCACTGCACTCCAATCTGGGCAACAGAGTGAGCCTTATCTCTAAATAAATAAATGAAGAGGTAGAGTCATGCTCTGTTGCCCAGGTCTGACTTGAACTCCTGGGCTGAAGTGATCCTCCCGCCTCAGCTTCCTCAGTAGCTGGGGCAACAGGCATATGCCACCATACTCAGCTTTGTTGGTTTCATTTCTTGTCCCCAAGGGTCTCTTCTGCATTCCCCTGCCCTTTGTATGGTTCAAGTCCTCCCCTGTGTGGTGGGTGCTAATCCCAGGTTTGGGGTATAAGACTGAGCTACAGCCATGGTAAGATGGTCACGTGAACTTCTTTTCTCACACAGTGGTGATGCTGAAAGACCTCAACCCCAAAATGCTATTTTCCTCATTTCTTTTTTTTTTTTTTTGAGACGGAGTCTCGCTCTGTCGCCCAGGCTGGAGTGCAGTGGCGCGATCTCGGCTCACTGCAAGCTCCGCCTCCCGGGTTCACGCCATTCTCCTGCCTCAGCCTCCCGATTAGCTGGGAATACAGGCGTCCACCACTACACCCGGCTAATTTTTTGTATATTTAGTAGAGACGGGGTTTCACCGTGTTAGCCAGGATGGTCTCGATCTCCTGACCTCGTGATCCACCCGCCTTGGCCTCCCAAAGTGCTGGGATTACAGGCGTGAGCCACCGCCGGCCTATTTTCCTCATTTCTTTAGGCCCCATTTCCATACCAGGAGTGGAGCAACTTCAGTAATAAACAGTCCTCCTTCCCATCCTCCCAGGCTGAACTCCCCAGCTTGCAGTTACTCTAATAGCGGCTAGCCTGCTACTTCAGCTACTGTAGGCAGTGAGCCTCCTAAGGCTTGGCCTCAGCCTGTCTCCCCACAGAAATGGGAGACAAGAATCCTTGGAATCCTTACCCACTGGCCAGTGTGCTGGCCCTCCAGGTGACACCTCTACCTGCCAGTTGCTTAGGCTAGACCCTTGGAATCTGCCTGACTGCTCTCCTGTTCTCACATGCTACATCTAATTTGTCAGCAAATCATACTGTCTGTATCTTAGAAATGACACGAGGATCTGTGTCTCACACCTTTACTGCTGCTCCATCCTGGTGGGAGCCACCATTGGCTCTCACCTAGACAACTGCAACTGTCTCCTACCTGGTCTCCTGGCTTCCACTTTTGCCCGTTACAGGCTCTCTCCACACAGCAGCCAGAAGGTTCCTTCCAAATCAGGAGTCAGGTCATGTCTCCCCTCTTCTGAAGATCCTGTAACAGCTGCCATTTCACTCAGAGTAAAAGTCTCCATCTTACAAGGGCCACCCAACAAGGTCCTCCCAGTCTAGCTCTGTCAACTTTCTGACCTCATCTTCTACACCTGAGGTCAGGGGTTGGGGACCAGCCTGGCCAACATGGTGAAACCCCATTTCCACTCTGCTTCAGCCATGCTACAGAAACCCAGGAGCTGCTTGGAGCTCTTTTGTCAGTGTTCGAGGAGTAAAATTTCTACCCATTGGCCAGAGTCACAGCCGCAGGCTTTGTGGGGTACACCCAAACCTGCACCAACAGAACTCATGGATGAAATTTGCATCTTTTGGGTTGTGAGGAAATTCTAGAGCCCAGAAATAACCTTAAAAACTTTTGGGGCTGGGTGCAGTGTCTCATGCCTGTAATTCCAGCGCTTTGGGAGGCCGAAGCAGGTGGATCACTTGAGGCCAGGAGTTTGAGACCAACCTGGTCAACATGGCGAAACCCTGTCTCTACTAAAAATACAAAAATTAGCCAAGTGTGGTGGTGCACACCTGTAATCCCAGATACTCTGATGGCTGAGGCATGAGAATTGCTTGAACCCAGGAGGTGGAGGTTGCAGTGAGCCAAGATTGAACCCCTGCACTCCAGCCTGGGCAAAAGCATGAGACTCTGTCTCAAAAAAAACAAAACCAACAACTAGTGGTACGTAATGTTTACATATTAGTTGTATGTAACATTAATATATGTTTACATACTGGTAGTATGTAAGCATATGTAATGTGCCTGGCCTCTCATTTCTTATTTTTGCATGTCTGAAATATTTCTTAGTATCTTAAAAACATAGCTTGGGGGCTGGGTATGGTGACTCATGCCTGTAATCCCAGCACTTTGGGAGGCCAAGGTGGGAGGATCACCTGAGCCCAGGAGTTCGAGACCAGCCTGGGTAATATTGCAAGACACCATCTCTAAAAATAAAAACCAAAAAAAACAACAAAGATACACAATAAACAAGATAAACAGCAGACCAACTAAATGAAGAATTAGTGAGTTGGAGGGAGAAATAATCCATAATGTGGAGCAGAGAAATCAGAGGTGATATGAAAAGGAAGTTTTGAAACATGAAGGATGGAATGAGATACTCCAACTCCAGAGCTGCTTTGTTTTTGTTTTTGAGATGGGAGTCTTGCTCTGTTGCCCAGGCTGGAGTGCAGTGGCATGATCTCAGCTCACTGCAACCTACGCCTCCCAGGTTCAAGCGATGCTCCTGACTCAGCCTCCTGAGTAGCTGGGATTACAGGTGGTGCCACCACGTCTGGATAATTTTTGTATTTTTAGTAGAGACAAGGTTTCACCGTGTTGGTCAGGTTGGTCTTGAACTCCTGACCTTGTGATTCACCTGCCTCGCCCTCCCAAAGTGCTGGGATTACAGGCGTGAGCCACTGCACCCAGCCTACTTTGTTTGTTACATGGATTTGTTACCTGCAGCCAGAACAGCCACAGAGCCATCATGAGCTCTGCTGCCCAATGGCGTACAGGGGTACCTGGTTTTTAGCATCTCAGGCCCATCTGTTAGTTTGTTGATTGTAGTACTTTCTTTTCATTAGCATTCTACTTTCCCATGACTTTTTTTGGGGGGGAGTGGGGTGGACAGGGTCTCACTGTGTTGTCCAGGCTGTAGTGCACTGGAGCCATCTTGGCTCACTGCAGCCTCTGCCTCCTGAGCCACCAAGCCTGGCTGTTTTTTTTTTTTTTTTTTTAATTCTTGTGTTATTTTCCAAAGACTATATAAAGAAACAAATTATCCTAAGGGTTAAAGTACCTGCTGACTCTTGAAATGTTAAACTTTATTGCCTCCAGTCAGGTGAACCTCAGGTGGAAGTGGGTCACATTCTAGGCTGGCTGTTGCCTGTCTTAAATTCTAAAGAATGTAGTGAAGATAAAGGTGTCAGCTGATAATCCCCAGTTATTTACTGATGGCAGATAATAAACTGGGAAGGGGGAGCCTTCTTCAAAGGGCCTTGCAGCATTAGCTGGTACCACCTTGAAACAGGGAGCAAGTCCCATCTCCTAGTGCCACCCAGGGAATACCTGTGCTCCACACTGGGTTGATTGCCTCTAAAAGAGGCAGAGGAACTGTTATAAAACAAAAAAAAAACTTTTAAAAGTTTTGGTTGGGCGTGGTGGCTAATGTCTGTAATCCCAGTACTTTGGGAGGTCAAGGCAGGAGGATTGCTGGAGTGCAGGAGTTTGAGGCCAGCCTGGGCGGAGACCACTTCTCTACAAAATTAAAAAATTAGGTGTACTCCCAAGCACCTGTAGTCCCAGCTACTTGGGAGGCTGAGATGGAAGGATCACTTGAGCCCAGAAGGTCGAGGCTACAGAGCCATGATTGTTCCACTCACTGCTCTCCGGCCTGTGCGACAGACCAAGACCCTGTATCTAAAAGGAAGAAAAAAGAAAATTGGCAAAAACAATGATATTAGCATCTGTATGTACTTATATTTGGTAGGATCATTTCAAAGTATATTAAAGAGATTATGACATTTTATCCCTTTGTATTTGAGTATGCATCTCCAAAAAATAAGGATGTTCATCTGCATATTCACAATACTATTATACCTGAGAAAAGCAAATTTAATTCCCTAATAGCACTTAATATTCAGGCCAGTTACCATGGCTCACACCTGTAGTCCCAGCACTTTGGAAGGCCGAGGTTGGTGGATTGCTTGAGCCCAGGAGTTCAAGACCAGCCTGGGCAACATGTCGAGACCTCGTGTCTTCAAAAAATACAAAAATTAGCAGGTGTGGTGGCACACACCTGTGGTTCCAACCACTCATGGGGCTGAGGTGGGAGGATTGCTTGAGCCTGGGAGGTCAAGGCTGAAGTGAGCTATGATTGCAGTACTGCACTCCAGGCTGGGTGACAGAGTGAGACCCTGTCTTTAAAAGAAGTGTGTTGTTGAGCACAGTGGCTCACGGCTGTAATCCCAGCACTTTGGGAGGCGGAGGCAGGTGGATCACCTGAGGTCAGGAGTTTGAGACCAGCCTGGCCAACATGGAGAAACCCCATCGCTACTAAAAATACAAAAATTAGCCGGGTGTGGTGGTGAACACCTGTAATCCCAGCTACTCTTGAGAATCTGAGGCAGGAGAATTACTTGAATCTGGGAGTCGGAGGTTGCAGTGAGCCGAGATCATGCCACTGCACTCTAGCCTGGGTGACAGAGCGAGACTCTGTCTCAAAAAAAAAAAAAAAAAAAGTGTGTGTGTGAGTGTGGCTGGGGGGAGAGAGTGAGAGAGTAGAGGAGGAAAAAGTTTAAAACAGTTTGGGAGTTTGGAGAGTTTTTCGTGAAACACAGACTCATCAACCTTTTTATTTTTTCACTCTAATTTTTTTTTTCTTCAGACAGAGTCTTGCTCTGTTTCCCAGGCTGGAGTGCAGTGGCACCATCTCAGCTCACTGCAAGCTCTGCCTTCCAGGTTCACTCCATTCTCCTGCTTCAGCTTCCCAAGTAGCTGGGACTACAGGCTCCCGCCACCACGCCCGGCTAATATTTTGTATTTTTAGTAGAGACAGTGTTTCACCGTGTTAGCCAGGAGGTCTGGATCTCCTGACCTTGTGATCCGCCCGCCTTGGCCTCCCAAAGTGCTGGGATTACAGGCATGAGCCACCGTGCCCGGCCTAAAAAAATTTTTTATAAAAGTATTTGACCTAATGTGCTGTGGGTTTCTTATTTGTTTGTTTTTGAGACAAGTTTCTTGCCCTGTCGCCCAGGTTTGAGGGCAGTGGTGCGGTCTTGGTGCACTACAGCCTCTACCTCCTGGGCTCAAGTGACCCTCTCACCTCAGCTTCCCATGTAGCTGAAACTACAGGTGTGGGCCACTGCCCCAGCTAATTTTTAAATTTTTTGTAGAGATGAGGTCTTGCCATGTTGCCCAGGCTGGTCTCAAACTCCTGGGCTCAAATGATCTGCCCGTCTTGGCCTTCCAAAGTACTGGGACTGGGATTACAGGCATGTAATTACCGCCTCTGGCCAGCTTTTTTTTTTTTTTTTTTTTTTTGAGACAGAGTCTCGCTCTTGTTGCCGAGGCTGGAGTGCAGTGGCGTGATCTCGGCTCACTTCAGCCTTCCCCTCTCGGGTTCAAGCGATTCTCCTGCCTCAGCCTCCTCAGTAGCTGGCATTACAGGCATGCACTACCACGCCTGGCTAATTTTTGTATTTTTAGTAGAGACGGGGGTTTCACCATGTTGGCCAGGCTGGTCTTGAACTCCTGACCTCAGGTGATCCGCCCGCCTTGGCCTCCCCAAAGTGCTGGGTGGCGTGAGCCACTGTGCCCAGCCTAATTTTGTATTTTTAGTAGAGACTGGGTTTCTCCATGTTGGTGAGGCTGGTCTTGAACTCCTGACCTCAGGTGATTCGCCTGCCTTGGCCTCCCAAAATGCTGGGATTACAGACATGAGCCACTGCGCCCGGCCTCTTTTTTTTTTTTTTTTGGGACAGAGTCTCACTGTGTCACCAGGCTGGAGTGCAGTGGCATGATCTCGGCTTACTGCAACCTCTGCCTCCCAGGTTCAAGCGATTCTTCTGCCTCAGCCTCCCGAGTAGCTGAGACTACAGGGGCATGCCACCACACCCAGCTAATTTTTGTATTTTTAGTAGAGACCAGCCTGGTCAACATGGTGAAAACCCATCTCTACTAAAAATACAAAAAATTAGCCAGGTGTGGTGGTGGGCACCTATAATCCCAAATACTCAGGAGGCTGAGGCAGGAGAATCACTTGAACCTGGGACACGGAGGTTGCAGTGAGTTGAGATCACGCCACTGCACTCCAGCCTGCCTGGGCAACAGAGCAAGACTCTGTCTCAAAAAAAAAAAAAAATCCCAGAGTATTAGGAAAAGGAAGACCTATACTTCTACTATGGTAATTTGAGTCTGTTGTGGTTTTGTTGTTGTTGTTGTTGTTGGAAAGATGTCCAAGCCATTGCTTTGATCTTCCTTCCCAATCCTTTCTTGGGCAAAAATTATTAGATGGCTATGGGTGGGCAGGCCTGTAACTCTAGCACTTTGGGAGGCCGAGCGGGTGGGGTGGTCAAGGATCACTTGAGCCCAGGAGTTTAAGACCAGCCTGGGCAACATAGTGGGACCCTGTTTCTACAAAAATGAAAATATTAGCTGGGCTTGGTGGCAAGTGCCTGTAGTCCCAGCTACTCAGGAGGCTGAGGTGGGAAGATTGCTTGAACCCAGGTGGTCAAGGTTGCAGTGAGCTGTGATCATGCTACTGCACTCCAGCCTGGGTGACAGAGTAAGACCCTGTCTCAAAAAAAAAAAAAAATACTTTTTCCTATTCCCTCCTTGTCATGACTTTTGGTTGGAAGGATTACATTAGCAAAAAAGTATCCATGGTCCCTGGTCCCTGGTATTTGCTGTTCAGGTCAGTGTTCATTGTTACTGTCTCTTTCCCTTATTTAAGGGACAGCTGAGAAGACAGAGAGAGCTTGAGCTGGTTTGATCCTAAGCAAAGGGGCTGGGAGTGGGGATCAATGTGTGAAGGGAAGGAGGGCCATGCAAGGTGAAAGGGGATGTTGGGGAAAGGGTTTCATGCTAGAATTTGGCTGCTGATCCAGCGGGCACTCACCAGGCAATGATGTGCAAAGTCCACCGTAAAAAGAAAACAAAACTTCAGGACTCTAAGTTTATGCCAAGATGGAAGTTAAGCCTTGGAGACTGAGTCATGTAGCATGTTTGCAATTCTGCTTCTTACAGACTCTCCTCCTCATTGCTCTTGTTCTGTAATGAGACCTCCTTTCCAATCACTGATCTTTGTTGTAGATTAACTGCCTCCTTTATTGTCCTGTACCTGACTCAGACCAGATGGCACCCAAGACCCCATGACTATTGCATCTTCAGTGTGGAATGTAAAAAACACCTTCCCCCACCCCCCAAAAAAGAAAAAAAAAATTGACTAATCAGATCATTGTAACTATGCAATAAGCCTTACCATAGAACTGAGAGTTGACAGCGTGCTGACAGCCCTCGCAGCCCTTGCTGGCTCTCGGCGCCTCCTCGGCCTTGGCGCCCATTCTGGCCGCGCTTGAGGAGCCCTTCAGCCCGCCACTGCACCGTGGGAGCCTTCTCTGGGCTGGCCGAGGCCGGAGCCGGCTCCCTCGGCTTGCGGGGAGGTGTGGAGGGAGAGGCGCGGGCGGGAACCGGGGCTGCACGCAGCGCTTGTGGGCCAGCGCAAGTTCCGGGTGGGCGTGGGCTCGGCTGCCCCGCTCTTGGAGCGGCAGGCTGGCCCACAAGCCCCGGGCAGGGCAGTGAGGGGTTTAGCACCTGGGCCAGCAGCTTGCTGTGCTCGATTTCTCACGGGGCCTTAGCTGCCTCACCACAGGACAGGACTCAGGACCTGCAGCCCGCCATGCCTGAGCCCCAACCCCGCCGTGGGCTCCTGTGCTGCAGAGCCTCCCCGACGAGCGCCACCCCCTGCTCCACGGCCCCCAGTCCCATCAACCTCCCAAGGGCTGAAGAGTGCAGGCGCATGGGGCAGGACTGGCAAGCAGCTCCACCTGCGGCCCCAGTGCGGGATCCACTGGGTGAAGCCAGCTGGGCTCCTGAGTGTGGTGGGGACTTGGAGAACCTTTATGTCTAGCTAAGGGATTGTAAATACACCAATCGGCACTCTGTATCTAGCTCAAGGTTTGTAAATATACCAATCAGCATCCTGTGTCTAGCTCAGGGTTTGTAAATGCACCAATCGACACTGTATCTAGCTAATCTAGTGAGGACATGGAGAACTTTTGTGTCTAGCTCAGGGATTGTAAACGCACCAATCAGCACCCTGTCAAAATGGACCAATCAGCTCTCTGTAAAACGGACCAATCAGCTCTCTGTAAAATGGACCAATCAGCAGGATGTGGGTGGGGCCAGATAAGGGAATAAAAGCAGGCTGCCTGAGTGAGTAGTGACATCCCGCTCTGGTCATTTTCCATAGAGTGGAAGGTTTGTTATTTCCGTCTTTGCAATAAATTTTATTGCTATTTGTTCTTTGGGTCCACACTACTTTTATGAGGTGTAACACTCACCGCAGGGGTATGCAGTTTCACTCCTGACGCTAGCGAGAGCACGAACCCCCCGGGAGGAACAAACAACTCCAGAGGCGCCGCATTTAAGAACTGTAACACTCCCCGTGAGGGTCTGCGGCCTCATTCTTTAAATCAATGAGACCAAGAACCCACCAATTGTGAACACAGAACAATGTTGAAATTCTAAGTTTCCATAAACTTTCTGTTTATATAAGCGATTCCAAACTTCTACACTTTTGGAACATAGACTAATATTCTTTGGAATCTTCAGCTCTAGACGGGCCACTTCCTCAACATTTGCAGTTGGATAAACTCTTTTTTTTTTTTTTTTTTTTTTTTAAATTTATTTTTTTATTGATAATTCTTGGGTGTTTCTCACAGAGGGGGATTTGGCAGGGTCATGGGACAATAGTGGAGGGAAGGTCAGCAGATAAACAAGTGAACAAAGGTCTCTGGTTTTCCTAGGCAGAGGACCCTGCGGCCTTCCGCAGTGTTTGTGTCCCTGATTACTTGAGATTAGGGATTGGTGATGACTCCCAACGAGCACCCTGCCTTCAAGCATCTGTTTAACAAAGCACATCTTGCACCGCCCTTAATCCATTTAACCCTGAGTGGACACAGCACATGTTTCAGAGAGCACAGGGTTGGGGGTAAGGTCACAGATCAACAGGATCCCAAGGCAGAGGAATTTTTCTTAGTGCAGAACAAAATGAAAAGTCTCCCATGTCTACTTCTTTCTACACAGACACGGCAACCATCCGATTTCTCAATCTTTTCCCCACCTTTCCTGCCTTTCTATTCCACAAAGCCGCCATTGTCATCCTGGCCCGTTCTCAATGAGCTGTTGGGCACACCTCCCAGACGGGGTGGTGGCCGCGCAGAGGGGCTCCTCACTTCCCAGTAGGGGCGGCCGGGCAGAGGCGCCCCTCACCTCCCGGACGGGGCGGCTGGCCGGGCGGGGGGGCTGACCCCCCCACCTCCCTCCCGGACGGGGCGGCTGGCCGGGCGGGGGGCTGACACCCCCACCTCCCTCCCGGACGGGGCGGCTGGCCGGGCAGAGGGGCTCCTCACTTCCCAGTAGGGGCGGCCGGGCAGAGGCGCCCCTCACCTCCCGGACGGGGCGGCTGGCCGGGCGGGGGGGCTGACCCCCCCCACCTCCCTCCCGGACGGGGCGGCTGGCCGGGCGGGGGGCTGACACCCCCACCTCCCTCCCGGACGGGGCGGCTGGCCGGGCAGAGGGGCTCCTCACTTCCCAGTAGGGGCGGCCGGGCAGAGGCGCCCCTCACCTCCCAGACGGGGCGGCTGGCCGGGCGGAGGGCTGACCCCCCCACCTCCCTCCCGGACAGGGCGGCTGGCCAGGCGGGGGGCTGACCCCCCCACCTCCCTCCCGGACCGGGCGGCTGGCCGGGTGGGGGGGCTGACCCCCCCATCTCCCTCCCGGACGGGGTGGCTGGCCGGGCTGAGGGGCTCCTCACTTCCCAGTAGGGGTGGCCGGGCAGAGGCACCCCTCACCTCCCGGACGGGGCGGCTGGCCGGGCGGGGGGCTGACCCCCCCACCTCCCTCCTGGACGGCACGGCTGGCCAGGTGGGGGGCTGACCCCCCCACCTCCCTCCCGGATGGCACGGCTGGCCGGTTGGGGGGGCTGACCCCCCACCTCCCTCCCAGATGGGGCGGCTGGCCGGGCGGGGGGTTGACCCCCCCCACCTCCCTCCCGGACGGGGTGGCTGCCGGGCGGAGATGCTCCTCACTTCCCAGATGGGGTGGCTGCGGGGCGGAGAGGCTCCTCACTTCTCAGACGGGGCAGCTGCCGGGCGGAGGGGCTCCTCACTTCTCAGACGGGGTGGTTGCCAGGCAGAGGGTCTCCTCACTTCTCAGACGGGGCGGCCGGGCAGAGACGCTCCTCACCTCCCAGACGGGGTCTCGGCCGGGCAGAGGCACTCCTCACATCCCAGATGGGGCGGCGGGGCAGAGGCGCTCCCCACATCTCAGACGATGGGCGGCCGGGCAGAGACGCTCCTCACTTCCTAGATGTGATGGCGGCTGGGAAGAGGCGCTCCTCACTTCCTAGATGGGATGGCGGCCGGGCGGAGACGCTCCTCACTTTCCAGACTGGGCAGCCAGGCAGAGGGGCTCCTCACATCCCAGACGATGGGCGGCCAGGCAGAGACGCTCCTCACTTCCCAGACGGGGTGGCGGCCGGGCAGAGGCTGCAATCTCGGCACTTTGGGAGGCCAAGGCAGGCGGCTGGGAGGTGTAGGTTGTAGTGAGCCGAGATCACGCCACTGCACTCCAGCCTGGGCACCATTGAGCACTGAGTGAACGAGACTCCGTCTGCAATCCCGGCACCTCGGGAGGCTGAGGTTGGCGGGATCACTCGCGGTTAGGGGCTGGAGACCTGCCCGGCCAACACAGCGAAACCCCGTCTCCACCAAAACCAGTCAGGCATGGCGGCGCGTGCCTGCAATGGCAGGCACTGGGCAGGCTGAGGCAGGAGAATCAGGCAGGGAGGTTGCAGTGAGCCGAGATGGCAGCAGTACAGTCCAGCTTCGGCTCCGCATGAGAGGGAGACCGTGGGGAGAGGGAGACAGAGGGAGAGGGAGGGAGAGCCGGTGGATAAACTCTTTAAACTAGATTCTAAGCCTGGTACAGTGGTATGTGCCTGCAGTCCCAACTCTATCTACTCTAGGAGGCTGAGGCAGGAGGATCCCTTGAACTTCAGTCTGAATCTAACCTGGGCAACATGGCAAGACTCCATCTGTAAAAAGCAACAACACTAGATTCTCAGCTTTTGTTCGTTTGTTTAAGACAGTCTCGCTGTGTCTCCCAGACTGGAATGCAATGGTATGATCTTGGCCCACTGTAACCTCTCGCTCCCGGGTTCAAGCGATTCTCCTTCCTCAGTCTCCTGAATAGCTGGGACTACAGGCGCGACCCACAACACCCAGCTAATTTTTGTATTTTTGGTAGAGACGGGGTTTCGTCATGTTGACCAGGATGGTCTTGAACTCCTGACTTCAGGTGATTCGCTTGCCTCTGCCTCCCAAAGTGCTGGGATTATAGGTGTGAGCCACAGCGCCTGGCCTAGATTCTGAACTTTTTAATTATTATTTTTTAGATTGATAACACTTACCCCGATTTTTTTTTTTTTGAGGGAGAGTCTCGCTCCATAGCCCAGGCTGGAGTGCAGTGGCATGATTTCAACTCACTGCAATCTCCGTCTCCCAGGTTCAAGCGATTCTCCTGCCTTAGTCTCCTGAGTAGCTGGGATTGTAGGTGCCTGCCACAATGCCTGGCTAATTTTTTGAATTTTTAGTAGAGACAGTGTTTCACCATGTTGGCCAGACTGGTCTTGAACTCCTGACCTCAAGTGATCCCCCTTCCTCAGCCTCCCAAAGTGCTAGGATTACAGGCGTGAGCCACCGTGCCCAGCCAACTTGCCCCAATTTTTAAATAACTTATTTTATTTTATTTTTTAAATATTTCCTTGGCCGGGTGGGGTGGCTCACACCTGTAATCCCGGCACTTTGGGAGGCCGAGGCGGGCGTATTGCCTGAGGTCAGGAGTTCGAGACCAGTCTGGCCAACATGGTGAAACCGGGTCTCTACTAAAAATACCAAAAAATTAGCCGAGCGTGGTGGCAGGCGCCTGTAATCCCAGCTACTTAGGAGGCTGAGGCAGGGGAATTGCTTGAACCAGCGAGGCAGAGGTTGCGGGGAGCCAAGATTGCGCCACTGCACTCCAGCCTGGGCAACAGAGCAAGACTCCGTCTCAAAAAAAAAAAAAAAATTTCCTCACAGAGTAGAGCTAACTCATAAGCAGTGTGCCCAGAGTCGGCCCACTTTGTCCCATTAGTACAAACAAGCTCTTTCCCCTTTCAGTCTCCTGCCACTTGTCCCAATCTTTCCTGTGTATTTTTTTTTTTTTTTAAGATGAAGTCTTGCTCTGTCGCCCAGGCTGGAGGGCAGTGGCATAATCTCGGCTCACTGCAACCTCTGCCTCCCAGGTTCAAGTGAGTCTCCTGCCTCAGGCTCCCGAGTAGCTGGGACTACAGGCGTGTGCCACCACATATGGCTAATATTTGTATTTTTAGTAGAGATGGGGTTTTACCATGTTGGCCAGGCTGGTCTAGAACCCCTGACCTTGTGATCCGCCCACCTCGGCCTCCCAAAGTGCTGGGATTACAGGCGTGAGCCACTGCACCTGACCCTTCCCTGTGTATTAAAAGAAAAAAAAAAAGCTGGAAAAAAAAGGTTCTTTAACTATTTCTGCAACTTTGACGTACATATAATTCATTTTAGCTGGACACTTGCACTTGTTTAAAAGTTCTGACCCTGGTTTTCAAACTTAAACGTATTACGAATCACCCAGAAGGCTTGTTAATGCCTGGTGGCTCCAACACCAGAGCTTCAGATTCCATGGGTCTGTAAAGAGTGAGGGAGGGAAGGTCAAGCTTTTTTTCTTTCTTGAAGGTTTTTTGTTTTGGTTTGGTTTTTTGGAGATGAGGTCTCACTCTGTCACCTAGGTTGGTGTGCAGTGGTGCAATCATAGCTCACTACTGCCTCGAACTCCTGGGGTCAAAGAGATCAAGCCATCCTCCCATGTAGCTAGGACTATAGGTGTGCGTTACCATGCTTGGCTAATTTTTAAATTTTTTAGACATGGGGTATTGCCATGTTGCCCAGGATGCCCTTTAATTTGATCATCCTGCCTTGGTCTCCCGAAGTGCTAGCATTACAGATCTGAGCCACCACACCTAGCCAGGAAGGTAGTGTCTGTCTCTCAAGCCTCCCAGCACTTCTGTTTCTAACAGGTAGTAGTTCATGGGTCAGACATTCATAGTGTCCTTTCCTTTTTGTCTTCCACTATTTCTTTTTCTTTTTTTTTTTGAGCAAGGGCTCTCCCACTTACCTGCAGGCTGAACAGATTCTTTTCATAAGCATCTGCCTGGGGAATATTTTCTTACATAATTTGCCATAGGAAGTGCTCACTTCTCTGTCAGGCTAGCTGGGACAGGATTCCCATCTGCATTTCACACACTTGCACCCTATTTCATGGAGGATGGTATCCTACCCCATGTTAGAAATATAAAACAGCGTGGATTTTTTTTTTTTCAGACGGAGTCTCACTCTGTTGCCGAGGCTGGTGTGCAGTGCTGTGATCTCAGCTCACTGCAAACTCCGCCTCCTGGTTCAAGTGATTCTCCTGCCTCAGCCACCTGAGTAGCTGGGACTATAAGTGTAAGCCAACACGCCTGGCTAGTTTTTGTATTTTTAGTAGAGATGGGATTTCACCATATTGGCCAGGCTGGTCTCGAACTCCTGACCTTGTGATCCGCCCACCTTGGCCTCCCAAAGTGCTGGGATTATATGTGTGAGCCACCACGCTTGGCCAAGTGTGGATTTTAAAATATCTTACAGGCTGGGTGCAGGGGCTCAAGCCTGTAATCCCAGCACTTTGAGAGAACATGGCCGGCAGATTGCTTGAGCTCAGCAGTTTGAGACCAACCTAGGCAATATAGTGAGACTTTGTCTCTACTAAAAATTAAAAAAATCAGCCCGCCGGCACCATGGCTCATGCTTGTAATCACAACACTTTGGGAGGCCGAGGCGGGTGGATCACCTGAGGCCAGGAGTTTGAGACCAGCCTGGCCAACATGGTGAAACTCCGTCTCTACTAAAAATACAAAAATTAGCCGGGTGTGGTGGTGGGCACCTGTAATCCCAGCTATTCGGGAAGCTGAGGCAGAAGAATCGCTTGAACCTGGGAGGCAGAGGTTGCAGTGAGCCGAGATCGCACCACTGCACTCTAGCCTGGGTGCCAGAGCAAGACTCCATCTCAAAAAAAAAAAAAATTAAATTAAAAAATAAATAAATAAAAAATAAAAAATATCTTATGGCACTCCCTTCATACTCATTACACCTGTGAAGATCAACCTGTTTCTCGGTGATAAGAAGGAATGTAGGCTGGGTGCGGTGGCTCATAGCTGTAACCTCAGCACTTTGGGAAGCTGAGGCATGAGGATTGCTTAAGCACAGGAGTTCCATACCAGCCTGGGCAACATAGCGCAACCTTGTCTCTACTGAAAATAAAAATTAAAAAAATTAACCAGGCATGGTGTCACTGACCTGTAGTCCCAACTACTCCGGAGGCTGAGACATGAGGATCACTTGAGCCCAGGAGGTTGAGGCTTCAGTGAGCCGTGATTGTGCAACTGCACTCCAGCCTGGGTGACAGAGCGAGCCCTGTCTCAAAAAAAGCAACAACAAAAAAAGAGGGCATGTCAAAAGGAAAAGAGGATTTGATTTGCCAAAGTCAGATTTTCACAGGCAGTACGCACATCAGGTCTCTCCCCAGAACTCACCCAGGCTCACAAGGATACATGAGGAAAACAGACACGAAGATGTGCATTGACAGAACCATAGAGACTCTACAAATATTCATTATCCTTCATTAAAAATTTTAAGTTACAAACATTTTGATTGATAGTCAGTCATGGTGGTGCACCTAGTCCTTACTCTGAAACCAAATATCCTGCCATCTGGGGACTTTCACCAGCCCTGTCGGTTATCTTACCGCAACACCAAAGAGGAGGCTCAGCCTTCCCCAGTTCCCTGAGTTCACATTGATTCAATTCTACAGCTCACTAGACCTGCCCAAGACAGGACCAATCAATGTCCCGGGAGGGCAGAGAGGGTGGTGGGGCCACACTTAGCCATATGGAAAGACAGTATTCTCAGATGAGGGCAGGACTTTTTTGTGGGAGAGGACGCCTAGCTTTCAGTCCTAAAGGAAGTGATTTCCCTGGTAAAGGGAAGGTGATTTTGCCAAGGCTGGAGTCTAAAGGAAGATGGAACTGTCTTTCAGGCGTCTCCAGCAGACCCTCTACAGACCTGTGTTCCTGAAGGCAGAGTCCTGAAGGCAGAATACCCCTGTGGCAGTGGCACAGCTCAGAGTGTCCCATAGACACTGATTTTGGCCACGGAGATGCTCTCTGTGTAGTGGTTCCGGCCTTTCTCATACAGGACGTAGAGCTGGGGGGCCTGCTCCTCTCCATCCATGCTGCCCTCCAGGGTTGCCAGGGATGAATAGCCACTGGGGCCTGGCCATAGCTGGACTGTCTCTTTCCGCCATGAGGTACCATTGCTGAAGCTCCATCGCAGGGTCAGGTTCACTCCTGGGGAGAGCAGGAGAGTCAGGGAGAGAGGGTCTCTGCCCAGGCCTTGTCTAGACACAGGGCTCTCCCTGCTGACCCCACCCATGAGGCACTCACGGAACTCTGGATGTGCTGGGTTGGAGAAGAAGACAATGCCGGAGCTGGTGACTACAGCTCCTGCAGCTACCACAGGGTCCACGAGCTCAGGGTCGAAGGTCACATCACGGGGCCTTAGTGTATCACAGGCATCATAGCTGCGGAGGACAATTCGGCAGTGGCAGTGGTAGTTGTTCTGGTTTCGGGCATTGATGACGACTGAGCCATCTGGGAGCTCATAGGGCTGAGGGGAGAGGACAGGACCTCAGGGAGGGAACAGGGAAAATGCCCTGTCCCCGAGGGGAGCAAGGGTGTGTGGCACTGAGTGGAGCAGTCAGACCCTGGGTCTGTGCGTGAAATGATGTTCTGGAGGGCAGGGAGGGTCAAATGGGTAGGGAACATCTCATGGACTCCTGACCTGGCATTCATCAGGATTGAAATCATTTTCCTGCTTGGGCTGACCGTAGGGGATGCCGCTGACCCCACTTCCGTAGCGCCAGGAGGCACCATGATCATCGCTGAGGAGACAGAAGACTCCGTCCCGCTCCAGCGTCCCATGGCCACACACGATGAGGCGGCCCTTCCGTGGCTCCCGCTGTTTCTGTGGGAAAGGGAACTGGGTGTCACAGAAGGAGACTCTAGGGGCTCAGAGGCAGGGACAGAGAACCCACCACTTCCCAAATGCAATCACATGTATGGTCCCCTTGAGTTCAGCCCTTGCTCACTGAGGGTTCCAGTCAGATCCCATAAATACACACCCTGTTTGAATTAAGAAGCTCTCCCAGGGTGTACAGCTGGACATGTGCACCAGGGGCCCAGCCACAGGGTGCATGAGAGCTTAAACCCAACCTGTGCTCACTCGCCAAGCTGTGCACCCTGGCACAGGCTTGTGTCTGTCCAAAGAGGCAGTGCCTTTTTCTACTTTGCATGAGGGTATTGCATGGACTAACGCAGTCCTGTTGACAATGCCAAATGGGAAGCCAATGGCAGAGTTCCCTCTTCTCCTGATAATGTGTTCCTACCAGGATGCCCTGTCTTTCAAGGAATCCCACCCAAGCCAGAAAATCTGACTTCAGAGAATCTTCCCCTTGGAAAGGAGTCCATTTGGGGGTATCCCTCAGACTCTCCACAAGGCAGCCCCCTCCACCTATCTCCTAGGACAGAGACCTGAATACCAGAGCCCGGTCCAGGGGCAAACACTTCAGTGCCAATATCCAGGGAGAGATTCCGGGGTGTGCTCCAGGAAACACCATCATCCTTGCTCCATACCAACATGGTAGAGGCCACCTGGCAGCCGGCCTTGTGAGCACAAAGGGAGTAGAAAAGAAATACTACTCCTGTCTCAACATCGCTCACTACTGCCCCAAGGTTCAGCCCATCGGGGACATCCCCATCATTGACAATGAACGCTGTAGGAGACCATGTGCTGCCTGAAAAAAATTGGAGGAAGAAACCCAGAGTGAGCACTCTGCAGGTACCCTTTCTACCACTTCCCGTTAATTTCCCACCTTCTGCTAGGGACCTCAGGCCTTCCGATGGTCCCAGGGTGCAATCCAACACTTGCACTATCTATACCTCTTGTCCTGTTTTATTTTTCTCCATTGCATTTATCACCTTGCAACAGACAAAAAAGTTTACTTGTTTATTATGCTTGTCTGTCTCCTTCCAGTACAATTTAAATCCTGAGGGCAGAGATTTTTGATCTGTTTTGTTCGTGGCTATATTCATGAAACCTAAAATAGTGCCTGGTATAGGTATATAGTACCCAATAAATGTTTGCTAAGTGAATGTCCAACTCCTTGGTGATCCCAATTTCCAGATCACTGTCCTAGACACTTGCCCTTCTCGGGTTCCCTCTACCCCTCAGGGACTCAGGCAACCAACCCTCTAAGTTCCCCTATCCTCAGGGCCCTTGGGCTCATTGGGCTGCCCACCCATCCAACCTAGCACCGGCTCTTTCACCCAGACATCTTTATACCCTGGTCCATGGACCTCCGCAGGGCGATGAACTTGGCCCCCTCATCGGATGAGGACATTTTCCTCGCCTCAGCAAAGGCGAGAAGAGTGCCCCGCGGAGTGGCTGTGATGAGCGGGATGCGGAAGGTGTCCACTGAGCCGATCTGTCTCCCGCTCACCCACAGCAGTTGCTCCATGGTCACCAGCGGCTGCACCTGTCATGGGAGGAGGAAGGGTCAACAAAGACAAACTTGTCTTGGGGGTTTTAGGAACCCACGTTCCGATGGGAGAGGGAGGATCTAATGGGGATCCCGAGTAGGGGATGGGGTCCCAGAACAAGAAAGAGGAACACGAAGGGGAGTTTGGAGCGAAGCTGGAGGCTCGGAGCAGGGGAGGGTCTACGAAAGGAGAAGGCGCCTTCAGGGAGGGAAGGGGACCCCAAAAGAGGAAGGGGCTCGAATGAGGAGAAGGACGGGGACCCGGAGAGGGAGAGGGGCTGGGAGCGGTAGGAGGAAACGGGGTCTGGGAGAAAGAAAAGGGTCCTGTCGCGGAAAGTCGGCTCAGCCGCCCGCGTTCCGGGGGACACTAGGTGTCGATCACCTGCGCGGGTCGGGGATGGGGCTATGCAAAGGGTGACTCACCAGACCGAAGTCGTTCTCAGCCTTGGACCAGGAGGCTGCCAGAGACAGCAGCAGGAAGATCGCGGCAAACACCCAAACCCTACAGCCTCCCCAGAAGCCCAGAATCCGCGGCCCCCAGCGTCTGTCCGGGAGCGCCGTGCTGGGTCGCTCCCCAGTCATCTCTCCCCGCAGCTGCCGCGACCCTGGCAGCTAGACTCCACAGAGTCGGGAGTCAGCTGACCCGGACCCTTTAAAGCGCAGATGTCACCCTTAAGCCCGCCCCGGTCTGGAGGCCCCGCCGCGCTTCCCGGACTCTAATTGGTCTTCAAGTAGCTCATCTCCTCCCACGTGATCACGCAGCATCTCGAAGCTTGCCCTTCCGATTGGCCCTCTTGGAGGCCCTCTTGGAGGCCCGGAGCGCGTGACCCGAACGGGAAGCGGACTGGCTGGGGTGAAGAAGGGACTGGCACCATCCTTATTGGGCTTTTTGATTGGCCGCGGCACCAGGACACGTCACAGGGGCGGGGCCGATTTTAAAGAGCCGGGCGCGGAAAAAAAAAGGCCGCCTGTCGTCGTGGAGAGAATGAGTCACAGATTTACTGAGTTAACAAAATATCTTTAATAAAATCTTTTTGTTTGTTTGTTTTGTTTTGGAGACAGAGTCTGTCACCCAGGTTGGAGTGCAGTGGCGCGATCTCGGCTCACTGCAACCTCTGCCTCCCGGGTTCAAGCGATTCTCCTGCCTCAGCCTCCCGAGTAGCTGGGATGACAGGTGCATGCCACCACTCTCGGCTAATTTTTGTATTTTTAATAGAGACGGAGGTTTCACCATGTTGGCCAGGCTGGTCTCGAACTCCTGACTCAGGTGATCCGCCCGCCTCAGCCTCTCAAAGTGTTGGATTACAGGCGTGAGCCACGGCGCCTGGCCTAAAACCTTTTTTTACCACAAAATGGAGACCTGTAAGGCGAAGTGAGGTTGGATGGCTGGACGGTGGGGGTGGGGTGCAGTCCTGGATCAGGGCCGGAGCTGTCACTTCTTCCTCTTCTTGTTGTCCGGGGGCGCCTCGTTCTTCTTGCCCAGAATCTTTAGAAGGCTCTTGGACATGTAGTAGGGCCGGTCCAGGGAGCCGTTGTTCCGCTCCAGGTCTTCCACTGAGCCGCAACAGAGACCGGTTAGAGCGGACCCTGGGGCCAGGAAATCGGGGACTGGGAGGCAAGCTGCCTGCGGGATTTGGAATCCAAGCTGCACCACCACCCTTACCCCCGGGCAGGTTATGTAATCTCAGTTTCCTCCTGTGAAGTGGGGTCGGGAATATTATGTTGCATAGAGCGATGATAAGAATTAGCGGAAAAAATGCATGTCAGTCGCTTAGGAGGAGACTGGCAAACCCTGAATGGATGCATGCTGTAGAGTAAGAAAATCCCCTGCCGCTACAGCCACCTGCTGGGAAGTCTCTCTAATGGCTCTTTTTTTTTTTTAATCTTTTTTCTTTGTTTTGAGACGGAGTCTTGCTGTCGCCCAAGCTGAAGTGCAGTAGCGCAATCTCGGCTCGCTGCAACCTCCGCCTCCTGAGTTCAAGCGATTCTCCTGCTTCAGCCTCCCAAGTGGCTGGGATTACAGGCGCCCGCCACCGCGCCCAGCTAATTTTTTGTATTTTTAGTAGGGAGGGGTTTCACCATGTGGGCCAGGCTGGTCTCGAACTCCTGACCTCAGGGTGATCT
This sequence comes from Homo sapiens, assembly GCF_000001405.40. Classification (NCBI taxonomy): domain Eukaryota; kingdom Metazoa; phylum Chordata; class Mammalia; order Primates; family Hominidae; genus Homo; species Homo sapiens. Next base: position 3,341,737 of record NT_113891.3, read on the forward strand.
GCCCACCTCGGTCCCCCAAAGTGCTGGCATGACAGGCGTGAGCCACCATGCCTGGCCTCTAATGGCTAACTTCTACCCGAGATTTCTTAGGGAAGATAGCAGAGACCTCTCCATCAGAATGCTCCTTCTTTGGAGAGCCTACCGGCCTGGGGGCTCACTCTCTTCCTTCTTCCCTAAACGCCTGGCCTCAGGATGTCACAAGAAGCTCCCTCTGGTTCGTTTAGCTCACAAAGGCATTGTTTCTAGAAGCACCAAATCTCCAAAAAAAAAAAAAAATGCTTGAACGGCTCAGTACTTTAAGGTTGGGGACAGGTGGCTGGGGGTGTCACTCACGGAAGCAGAGGAAGAGCGTGTCCACACACATGCCGAAAACGCTGAAGAAGCCGCTGGCGATGACATAGGCCCCCAGGATGGAGGTCTGGAAGACATGACCCGTTGGGGTTATTGGGTTCCTCTGGGGAGTTGGGGGTGGAGCAGCAGAGAGGGGAGTCACTCACCATGATGGGCAGCCAGTAATAGTTGAGGTGGGGGCTCTTAAAGTCTTTACCCAGCCCCGGGATGCGACCGGAGAAAAAAAAGAAGGACAGGACCCCTGTGGAATAATTCTGGGGGTTAGTGCTGCACCTCTGAGGCCACCTCTTCAGCTGCCCAGCACCCCTACCCTCTGTCCCCACAGCTTCTGGTCCCTTACCCACGCCTCCGACCACCAGCAGCTTCCCAAAGAACAGCAGCAGGTCTGTGACTTTGTCCAGGACGACCACCCTGTGCCAGAAGTTAGGGCAGGTTGAGGGTGAGAGGCCTGGCAATGCTGAGAGTGAAATTGGCTTCGTAATTTGTGGGGACTGGTGCAAAATGAAAATTGTTCACGTTTCAAGATGGCAAGAGCAGAGCACTAAACTAAGTCTAGGGCCCGACTGAGCACAGCACACCCACGAAGCCAGCCTTGGGTGGGAGATCAGAGGAGGGAGCCACAAAGCGGGGGGGGAGCAGCCTAACCTGACAATGTTTCGCATGAGTAGCATGAACGCATTTTTGGCTGAGACACAGAAATTCTTCCCGTAGATGGCGATCTGAGGGAGGTGGAAAGGTCAGAGTTACCAAGGCGAGCTGCCTGGACCAGGATGGGGGTGTCTAGACCAAAGGGCACCAGAACAAAGGGTTGCTTGCAGTGTAGCTCACCATGATGTATGCATTGCGGTTTAGGAACTTGATAAATTTTTCCAGACACCAGAGGCAGCACTTGAAACAGCACATGATGCAGCGGGCTACAGGGTTCTGCACTCCTGGGAGCGAGGAAGGCTCATGTTTGGTCACTGCCCCTCCCTAATGGCCTTCCCCAGCTCCTGACTCCTACTCCGACTCCAGACTCACCTCTGAGCTTGTGGTCAATATACTCCAAGATGACCCGGGCTATCTGCACAAGGGTCAGGATGAGGGCTCCAAATGCCAATGACCCAGTGTGGTAACTGCAGAGGGTGTTATGCAGTCAGAGACAGCTCCAGGACCCCTGGGGCCCCCGTGCCTACAATGACCAGGCCCCTGCCCCATCCTTACCGGAGTGTGCGGATGAAGGCAGAGATTAAGGGGAAGGTAGGGATGTCCTGGGGCTTGTGGAAGGCCCAGTAGAAGGAGGCAAAGGCTCCAGCGAGGACGCATTGGCCCAGGGCCAGTACCCAGTTAAGGGTCCAGAAGAGCCCCAGGACCCCATAGATTTGCAGATTGAAGACAGAACGTTGGATTAGGCCTTTGGATGAGTAGCCCTGGAAGACGCACATCAGCCCTGGGCACGAGGAGTTCACAAGGTGGGCCTGGGAGGGTAGACGGGGATAGAGTAGGCTCAGGCATCGGGGGCCTCAGTATGGAGCCTGGGCGTCCCATTCCCAGTAGCTCCTGCCCCTCCCAGAGTTGACAGGTGGGAAGTAGCTTCTCTGGACTGCGGGAATCAAGTTCTGTCGGAGAGTTCCATCTCCAGGCTCAAACTCAGTTTGGTCTGCCTATAGCATAAGCATAATCAGCTCCCTCAGTCTCAATCAGAGGGGAAGGCACTCACTCAGCATTCCCATTCCAGAGCAGCCTCTGCAACGTCTACCAAAACCCTTTCCGGCAAATTGAACAGGCTGGGTATTTGATGATATTAAGGAATTATTGTTAATTTTGTGAGATGTGATAATGATATAGTGGCTATGCTTTTAAACAGTTCTTATCTGTTGAGATCCATCTCGATGCATGTACAGGTGAAATGGCATGATGTCCAGAATTTGCCTTAAAAGTCTCCAGAAAAAAAAATTTATGAGGCGGGTGCGGTGGCTTATGCCTGTAATCTCAGCACTTTGGGAGGCCGAGGTGGGCGGATCGCCTGAGGTCAGGAGTTCAAGACTAGCTTGGCCAACATGGTGAAATCCCATCTCTACTGAAAATACAAAAAATTAGCCGGGCGTGGTGGCAGACGCCTATTATCCCAGCTATTCAGGAGGCTGAGGCAGGATAATTGCTTGAACCCAGGAGGCAGAGGTTGCAGTGGGCCGAGATCGCGCCACTGCACTCCAGCCTGGGAGACAAGAGCAAAACTCCATCTCAAAAAAAAAAAAAATTATAGGTGAGGATATAGATGAAATAAGAATAGCAAAAAGTTGAGGGTTGTGGAATCTGGGTACAGGGAACTCACTGTGCTATCATCTCTACTTTTGCATATGTTTAAAAATTCCCATAATAAAAAGTAAAAAGTCACAAATTAAAAAGCAACCCTTTCTAGCAAATATAACCAAAAAAATTTTTTTTTGACACAGGGTCTCGCTCTGTTGCCCAGGCTGGAGTACAGTGGCTCAATCTCAGCTCACTGCAACCTCTGCCTCCCGTGTTCAAGCAATCCTCCTGCTTCAACCTCCCAAGTAGCTGGGACTGCAGGTGTGTGCCACCATGCCTGGCTAATCAAAAAATCTTTTTTTTTTTTTTGAGATGGAGTCTCACTCTGTCACCATATTGGCCAGGTTGGTCTCGAACTCTGGACCTCATGATTCACCTGCCTCGGCCTCCCAAAGTGCTGGGATTACAGGTGTGAGCCACTGCGCCCGGCCTTCTGTCAGTCTTTACTGCTAGATCACAAGCAAGTTGAAAACAACACTCACGTCATACCCAGCACAGTTGCTCATGTGTATAATCCCAACACTTTTGGAGGCTGAAGCAGGCAAATTGCTTGAGCCCATTTGTTTGAGACCAGCCTGGGCAACATAGTGAAACGCCATCTCTTAAAAAAAAAAATTAGCCGGGCATGGTGGCACTTGTTTGTAGTCCCAGCTACTTGGGAGACTGAGGTGAGAAGATCACTTGAGCCTGGGAGATCAAGGCTTCAGTGAGCCATGATCGCATCACTGCACTCCAGCCTGTGTAACAGCCTTTTTTTCATTAAAAAAGAAAAAAAAAAGAAAAAGAAAAAGAACCACATCATTTTGGGCTTTGTATACCCAGTGCCTGGCACATAGTGGGTCCTCTGTACATGTAAATAAACCTTTTTTTTTTTTTTTGAGACGGAGTCTCGCCGCCCAGGCTGCAGTGCAATGGCGCGATCTCAGCTCACTGCAACCTCCGCCTCCCGAGTTCAAGCAATTCTCCTGCCTCAGCCTCCTGAGTAGCTGGGATTACAGGCACCTGCTACCATGCCTGGCTAATTTTTGTACTTTTAGTGGAGACAGGTTTTTGTCATGTTGGCCAGGCTGGTCTCAAACTCCTGACCTCAGGTGATCTGCCCACCTCGGCCTCCTAAGTGCTGGGATTACAGGCATGAGCCACCGCGCCTGCCAAACCTCCCCTTTTTAATAGGGGTGGGGCTAATGCCTGCAGCACAGCTCATGTTCCCAGCTCAGACGAGGTGAAGATATGACAGGTTTGAGAAGAGTAAATTCCCAGCAGCCCAGCGCCACTCCCGGGGAACCTCACAGGGGAATTTTGGAAGCAGCTTCTCTCTCGGGTCCCCCGCAGGGAGTCCCACCTGGCTACTACCTAGGGCTCTGTGTTCCAAGGGAGTAAGACTTAACAATATAATACAATTCAACCTGTTGTTGAGCTCTTATCAGGTGCCAGGCATTGTACTAAGCACTTTATGTGCCCAAAGTCATTTCATCTTCTCAGCCACCCCAGGGATGGGTATTATAATTATCCTCATTTTACAGAGGAATGGAGCTGCATGTGGTGGCTCACTCCTATAATCCCAGTACTTTGGGAGGTTAAGCCAGAGGATTGCTTGGGTACCTGACTACATCGGGGCAACCCCAGGAGTTCAAGACCAGCCCGGGTAACACAGCAAGACCTTGCCTCTACAAAAAGCTTAAAATTAGCCTGGCGTGGTGTCGTACGCTAGTAGTTCCAGCTGCTCAGGAGGCTGAGGTGGGAAGATTGCTTGAGCCTGGGGGATGGAGGTTGCAGTGAGCTGAGATTGCACTGCTGCACTCCAGCCTGGGCAACAGAGCAAGACCCTGTCTCAAAACAAACAAACAAACAAACAAACAAACAAACAAACAAACAAACAGGAGTAGGCTGAGACTCAGAGGGTGAAGTGGTTGATGGTCCTCAAGTCAGAGCAATGTCCTGGGGAGGGGTGGAGTAAGTCCTGGTATCCAGGGCTGTCTCTCCCAGCCTCAGTTTCCCTCCCCACATGATGGATGGCTCAACAGGAGTACCAGGTATTCTGGGAACTGGTTTCTTCTAGCTCTGCTGGGGGTTGAGTGTGTGACCTTGCACAAGTTTCTTGCCCTCTGTGGCCTCAGTCTTCTCTGCACAATGAGGAATGTGGCCCCTACAGCCCCTCACCCCTACTAGTCCCGCCTCCATGTCCCCTGCTTCCTCTTACCGTGGGGTTGCATGATGTATTTATTGGCACTTTCTCACAGCCGGGGGAGCTGATGTTGGATGCCCAGAGCACATACTGGGGTTGCCCCGATGTAGCCAGGTACCCAGAGGGGAGTCAAGGAAAGCATGATCACACGAGGTCTCCACAGGTCACTCGCTCCTTAGGGACCTGTTCCTAGGTGCTTGTGCAGATCGTTTGCTGCACAGAGAGGGCTGAAATTCAGCCTGTGTGCACCCTTTCAACTCTGTTCAGGCACAGTGCTGGTGTGTCTGCCCAGAGAAAGGGGCACCTCTTCCAGTGACACCAAGGCACTCTACAGGGCAAGTATTGCTTTGTTTTCCATCACCCCCCAGGACTCCAAGAGTGGCTGGCTGCGTGGGCAGAGGATACAGAGCAGTCATGGCCCAGTAGGCAATGCAGATGAGGAGGAGGACAAAGGTGACCAGTGGGTAGAACATGGTAGACATCATCTGTCCCACAGCCCTGCAGGGAGACAAAGCTGTTAACCGGCACCGCCCCAGCTGTCCATCTTCTCAAGGGGCTGACCCCGGCCGGGCGCAGTGGCTCACGCCTGTAATCCCAGCACTTTGGGAGGCTGAGGCGGGCGGATCACGAGGTCAGGAGATCGAGACCATGCTGGCTAACACGGTGAAACCCCATCTCTACTAAAAATACAAAAAATTAGCCGGGCATGGTGGCGGGCGCCTGTAGTGCCAGCTACTCCGGAGGCTGAGGCAGGAGAATGGCGTGAACCCGGGAGGCGGAGTTTGCAGTGAGCTGACATCGCACCACTGCACTCCAGCCTGGTCGACAGAGCGAGACTCCGTCTCAAAAAAAAAAAAAGGGGGGGGCTGACCCCTCTGCCCTCACTGGGGCCTGCCCCACTCCCCCAGGGTGGGACCAACAGGGTTAGTGACATTGTCTTTCATATCTGTGTCCTCAGGGCCTGGTGCAGGGCTAGGCATACTGTAGGTGCTCACTGGATAAACAGAACTGAATAAATCAGGCTCACAGGACCCTTAGAGGAAACTGGGGTCACAGAGAAGCCACCTGGGGCAGCTTCGGGTGGAGTAAGGGAAGATCACCCCCAAGCGTGATCCCTTGGCAGGTGTGTGTGGCAGTTCCTGATCGGGAGCAAGCTGCTGCCCCTCCTGGCCCGGATTCCTGCCGTTCCACTCAGCCACCACCACTCCCACCAACCCCTCTAGAAGGCCTATGTCATATTCCAGGCACTCATTGAATCCTCAAGACAACCCTAGAAGGCAGGAATTATTGTTACCCCCATTTTACAGATGGGGAAGCAAAGCCACAGCAGTGTTCACCACTGTGCTATATTCCTCCCTTCTCCTCTGAGGCTCCCTGCCACCTCTCTAGCACCCCCTAGGTCCCCTAGCACTCCTGGGTCCACGCTGTCCTCAACCCCATCTCCCTCCCAGGCAGGCCCTAACTTGCTGGCCTCCTTCAGGAGGGCGATGGCAATACGAATCCGCTGCCGCAGGAAGATGAGCATCAGCAGCAGGATGGCTTCAAGCACCGCCAACACGATCACTGCAGAGGACGGGGCAGACAGACCTAGGTCAGGGCCAGGGCTGGGGCCGGGCATGGCCCAGGGCGGTCCTTGGGCAGCTGGTGGCTTGGGGGTGGGCAGGACACTCACGGGCGGCCAGCCAGGTCTCCTGCACGCTCTGGTAGGCACTGAGGTTGGTGGTGAAACCCAGCTGGGAGATGGAGGCGCCCTTGTCCCGCAGCACTCGGTACTCCTCCCAGCAGTAGTAGATGCCGTATGCCAGCACGCCCAGCACTCCCAGGATCAGCACCAGCACCAGGGGCCCAGCCACCAGGCGCAGAAGCAAGATAAACAGTAGGCTCAAGACCAGAGCCACCCCCAGGGCACTGTAGGCAGGGTGAGGACAGTGAGGTTCAGCCCTAGCCCCTCAAATCTTTCCCCTTACAGAGGCCCTCCCTGCCTTTCCACACACCACCCAATGTCCCCAGATTAGGCCTCTTTCCCTTATAAATCCTGTTGGTCTTGGAATCCATTCGGAGCTCTGGCTCCTCCTCCTCTGTCCAAAGCCTGTGTTTCAGACATTGGGCGAGGGGGTAGAGGATCAGGGAGGAAGAAGGCAAGGACACAAGAGGAGGGGAATCTGGTGACTCACACAAGAATCCAATACCAGGACTGGGCAAAATCTTCAAAGATCTTAACACTGATGTCTCGGGCATTGAGGCTGTCAATAAGACCGCTGTTGGGGAGACAGAGTCAGATGGGGCTGTGGGTGGAAGGGGTGTGGCCAGGATGTGGGGGAGGGAGGTGCCTACCTGATCCCCTGCTGTATGGTGGTGTCATTGGTGATCCCTGGGAGCGCCGGTGGAGTAACGTTGGTCCATGGAAAGCAGCGCCCCAGAGCTGGAAGGGAGAGCCGGGCTGCTGGGTTGGGGGCCAGGAGCTCTGCCTGGAGGGTCTCTGGCCCCCTCCCAGTCCACAGTGCCCTTAGGGGAGGGAAGGGTGATGGGCCTTGCATCCCTCAGTGGGCTGCTTTTGATTTCACAAATGGGCTTCTGCCCTGTGGAGCCCAGTCTATCCCCTGCCTCCCCTCCCTGTCGTGCCTTGGTTTGGACCCTCCTCTCCGCTGGCCTCAACTCTTAGAACACCCTGTCACCCTTCCATCCACCCTCCACCCGAGTGGAGTGCCAGGGAGACCGTGGCACTGCCTGGACTTCATCACTCCAGGGTTCTGGGTCCCTTTGTGACTCAGACATCTCCAGAGGCTCTGCCCCAGAGACAGCATCCACACTCCCTGGCCAGGCTTCCAGGCTCTCCTGTGCAAATCCAGCCCATGTTCCCTTCTACTCTGTACCTTTGCTCTTACTGTGCCTCTCTCTCAGGGCTCTCTTTCCACCAGAAATCCCATCCATGACTCCCTGTTCAAATCCAGCTCCATCTCACCTCCTCCAGGAAGCCTTCTGACCTTATCCCCACCTCCTTTGGCAACTGTTATGTGCCTACAGAGCCACTTACTGCCATCCTTGCAACAACTTTGCCAGGCAGCCTTGCTTTGTCATTTATTTATCTATTTATTTATTTATTTTCTTATTTTTGAGTCAAGGTCTTGCTCTGTCACCCAGGCTAGAGTGCAGCTGCATGATCATAGCTTACTGCAACATTGAACTTCTGGGCTCAAGCGATCCTCCCCACTTAGCCTCCCAAGCAACTGGGACTATAGATGTGCACCACCACACTTGGCTAATTTTTAAATTTTTTGTACAGATGGGGTTTTGCTGTGTTGCCCAGGCTGGCCTCAAACTCCTGGGCTCAAGCAATCCTCCCACCTCAGCCCCCCAAAGTGTTGGGATTACAGGTGTGAGTCACCTCACCTAGCTTATTTATTTTTTAGAGGCAGGGTTTCTCACTCTATTGCCCAGGCTGGAGTGCAGTGGCACAATCATAGCTCACTGTAACCTCCAACTCCAGGACTCAAGTGACCCTCCCGCCTTAGCCTCCTGAGCAGTTGGGACTACAGGCATGAGCCACTGCACCTCACTGTTATTTACATTCTAAAGATGAGGAAACAAGGTTCAGAGAGGTTGCATAGTTGGGTCAAGACCATAGGGCTGGAAAGTGCTAGAATTTATATTCAGATCTACTTGACTTTGAAGTATTCACTTGAGATACTCCTTACTGTACTTAAATTGATAACTGGATATCTCATCTTATGCTATAAATTGTCTAATTTTTTTTTTTTGAGATGGAGTCTCACTGTTGCCCAGGCTGGAGTGCAGTGGCACCATCTCGGCTCACCGTAAACTCCGCCTCTGGGCTCAAGCAATTCTCCTACTTCAGCCTCCCGAGTAGCTGGGATTTCAGGTGCCCACCACCACACCTGGCTAATTTTTGTATTTTTAGTAGAGACGGGGTTTCACCATGTTGGCCAGACTAGTCTCGAACTCCTGACCTTGTGATCCGCCCGCCTCGGCCTCCCAAAGTGCTGGGATTACAGGTGTGAGCCACTGCTCCCGGCCTAAAATTTTTGTTTGAGACGGAGTCTCGCTCTGTCAGCAAGGCTAGAGTACAGTGGCGCGATCTTGGCTCACTGCAAAGCTCACTGCAACCTCTGCCACCCGGGTTCAAGCAATTCTCCTGCCTCAGCCTCCTGAGTAGCTGGGATAAGAGGTGCATGCCACCACGCCCAGCTAAGTTTTGTATTTTTAGTAGAGATAGGGTTTCGCCATGTTGGCCAGGCTGGTCTCGAACTCCTGATCTCAGGTGATCTGCCTGCCTCAGCCTCCCAAAGTGCTAGGATTACAAGCATGAGCCACCATGCCTGGCCTAAAAATTGTTTTATATTAAAAATGACATTTGCAACTGGGTGTCGGGGCTCATGTCTGTAATCCCAGCACTTTGAGAGGCTGAGGTGGGAAGATTGCTTGAATCGAGGAGTTCAAGACCAGCCTGGGCAACATAGCAAGACTTCATCTCTTAAAAAAAAAAAAAGACATTTGCTACTGGAAGGAAGAGCACACTGTAAAAGAAAAAAAGTTCAACTGTGATCCTACCACCCAGCCACGTTCACTTATAACATTTGAACAAATATCCTTCTAGCCTTTTCCCTGTGCATATATAAAAATGATATGTGTGCAGGCTGGGCGTGGTGGCTCATGTCTGTAATCCCAGCACTTTGGGAGGCCAAGGTGGGTGGATCACGAAGTTAGGAGTTCAAGACCAGCTTGGCCAAGATAGTGAAACCCCGTCTCTACTAAAAATACAAATTTAATAAATAAATTTAATAAATAAAATAAAAATAAAAATTAGCCGGGCGTGGTGGCGGGCACCATGTGCTGTAATTCCAGCTACTCGGGAGGCTGAAGCAGAGAAGCGCTTGAACCCGGGAGGCGGGGGTTGCAGTGAGCCGAGATCACGCCACTGCACTCCAGCCTGGGCAACAGAGGAAGACTCCGTCAAAAAAAAAAAAATGTGTGTGTAGATTCACCCATGTATGTTTTCATGAGATTTTCATACAGTCTCTTTGTGAACAACTCTAATCTCTTCACCTAGAATGTAGCTGAAGCAGGGAGCAGTTGTTATCCCTGCCTCTGTCCCCAGCACCTGGCACATAGTAGGTCCCCAAAACACTGATGGTCTGACTGCAAGGCCACATAACAAAGAGCAAAATGAAGACCTGATGCTAATTCCAATTTTGCCACCAACAAGCTATGTGACTTCACTCTCTCTGGGCCTGATTTCTTCATTCAAGCAATGAAAACACTGGACTAGATGACGTCTGAGGAAGGAATCTGTGCTTCTCACCTGGAGCAGAGGGGAGGAGGAAACTGGGGCAGAGTTCCTGTTGCAGGCTTGTGATCACCGTCTGTGGCAGGAGTGAAAGGACAGACACACAGACACAGAGCAGGATGAAGAAGCAGGTCCCCTCACCACCACCATGGGGCTCAGCCTGTCCCACACTCCCCAGGAGAGCCAACCTGGTGATGATCTACCCAACTCCCCCTCCCTCTCGTGCCCACCCTGGCCCTTCTGGGCGACAGTGATGAGGTTAGGGGCAATATTCACCATATTCCAGGGTACCCCTGGCAGACAAAAGTTCCTGTTTTTTGTATAGAAGACTTCCCCAACAGTCTGTGAGAACTCGTTTTTTCCCACAGTCCATGGGTCCTCCGGGCAGGAGGACACACACACCTGGGTGCAGAGAGAACACTAAGGGGCTGGAACCTGAGACCCTGGGTGAGATCTGGGGTAGAGGCAGGTCCCAGGCTCTGACCTGGGGTGTGGGGCACTGTAGGCCGTTCTCAGCAACTGAGATGATGTTGCTGGACAGGATGCAGCTGAAGATGTTGAAGTACAGGAGATACGGCTTATCTCTGTGGGAGGGGAGGGACCATGTGCATCAGGGCCTGGTCAGGTGTTGGGGGAGGGGAGGGACCACTAGGGTGGCTTCTCAAGAATACAGTGGGCCCAGCCCAGCGTGGCCCATACCAGTCACCTCCCAGCTCCTGGCCCTAGCTCAGCTGGGGAGGTAGGGAGATGCCTAGAAGATCTCTCAGAGTAAGTCACCATTGCAGCAGCTGACAAATAGCTCAGAGCATGAACTTGGAGCTCCACAACTTCATATCATCTTTATGATCTTGAGCAAGTCACCTGTTCTCGGTCTTAGTTCTACTCCATATAAAACAGTAGTGCCTACCTCATGAGATTTCAATGCGCTTGTGTGTGTAAAGTTTACTGCCTGCCTGGAACATAGTAAATGCTATATAAATATTTGAGGTTTTATTATTTATTGGACATCTGTATGTGAGGACTGTTGGCATTGCTTCTGGAATTCCCCTTGAATTTCAAATAAGGAAATCAAAGCTCAGAGAGCTTGAGTAACTTGTCCAAGGCCACACAACCAAAACTTGGTCCAGTTGGGGATCCAAACACCAATCTCTGAACTGTAAAACTCATACACTTAACACGACTCTCCACTGCCTCCCATTTCTGGGGGGACTCAAGAAGCTAACTGTCCAGCAATGGTTCTTAACGTGGCCTGGAGTTGTCAGATTCAGGGAGGCTGAGGTGGGGTGGGGACAGCAGGGAAAGGCTGTGGAAGAGCACGGACAGGTCTGGAGCCTGAGTTGGGGGGGTGTCTCCTGCCCACCCTACCTCGCCTCGCTCCTGCACTCCTCTTCTCGCCTTTGTACTCACTTGTTCTCCCCCATGCCACAGTAGGCCCCAGTAGAGTTCCTGGGGTAGAGGACTTGCCGGGGGTCTCCATACAACCAGGCTGCAGACAGAGGCACAGATGAGTCATTGGAGGGCAGGGACTTAGTGGGGCAGTTATGGGAATGGTCCCTCCCTGGGTTCCTGTCCCTCACCCACTGCCCTGGCTCTGAGCAGCTGGAAACTCACCCACAATCCCCACCACGATGTAACCTAGAATGAAGAGCAGGAAGAGGACGCAGCAGATGACATCTGTGCAGCTTCTGAGAGAGAAACGAAACGGGAGGCTGAGCTAAGGAGACTTGGGGAGGTAGGGCTTATGGTCTGGAGGGGTTAAGGGTTAGAGAGTTGGGTGATGCTGCAGCATGGGCATCAGTAGGCTTTATTTTTATTTTTTTATTGCTTTTACTTTTTTATTTTGAGACAGGGTCTCACTCTGTCACACAGACTGGAGTGCAGTGGTGCAATCTTGGCTCACTGCAGCCTCTGCCTCCTGGGTTCAAGCAATTCTCCTGCCTTAGCCTCCCGAGTAGCTGGGATTACAGGCGCGTGCCACTACTGCCCGGCTAATTTTTTTTAAATATTTTATTTAGAAAACCTAGCCAGGCACAGTGGCTCACGACTGTAATACTAGCTACTTGGGAGGCTGAGGCAGGGCAATCCCTTGAGGCCAGGAGTTTGAGACCAGCCTGGGCAACATAGTGAGATCCCATCTCAAAGAAATTAGCCTGGTGTGATGGTGCATGCCTGTAGTCCCAGCTACTCGGAAGGCTAGGGCAGGAGGATCACTTGAGCACAGGAGTTCGAGCCTGCAGTGAACCCCCATCTCCAAAACACAAAAAGAAAGAAAACCTTTTTCTGGGTGGGTAAACTTTCTTCTGAAGTAAAAGACAGAAAAGCACACAACTCGCAAGGGCTCAGCTGGGTGAGTTCTCTCGCTTGTGAAGCCGGCACTTAAGTCAAGAAACAGAACATCCCCCCAGAACTGGGAAGCCCTCGATGCCTGCTCCAGACACAACAATCCCCCCAGGGCACCACCCATCTGGGGCAGGAGTTTCTCTTTTTCACAAGTTTCCTACTAATATTTTAGCAAATACAAAGCAAATACTGGATTCCACACTGCACCCACCACCCCCGCCAGCCCCCGGAGCAGTGCCCAGAGCTCACCTGTTCTTGATGGGGCCTCGAAAGGAGGGGTCGTATTTGACTGGCTTCCCTGAGGGACATGAGAAGAGGTGTGGAGGATGAGTCTCTCTCTGCATATCTTGTCCTGCTGAGTCCTCCTAGCCCCAGGATCCTACCCAGGCCTCAGGTGTTTGGAGGGAGATGGGCTAGGGCAGGACTGGCAGGAGGGGAAAACTGGGGAGCAGGAAAGGTAGGATCCAGGCCTGGTCAGCAGCTCAGCAGCTCCCTGGGAGCTCCACCCAGGCTGCCATGGGGAGGGGAAGGAAGGCCTTTATAGTTTCCGGCTCACATCTCAAGGCAGTCAGTCTGGGAAATGGCCTTGGTCCCCTGCCCTACCCTGGCACGGTTCTCCTGAGTCTCCCTTTAGCTGGGATGTGGGACTCCCAGTGGCTCTCACTCCCTCATTCTCATCCCTGCCTCCTCCCTAATCCCTCCCCAGGGACCACACAGACCCACAGCCCCTCAGGGAGGTCATGGCCTCTTCCCCTATCTGCCCCAGGCCCTACCTTACCCTCTGGTTCAAGGCTATGGGGAAAGAAACTGGAGACAAAGGTGTCAACCCCAGCAGGGCCTGGGGAGGGAAGCGGCCCTGTACATCCTCACTCTGGTGGGACCTCAGTCCCCTGGCCACAGTGTGCTCCGGGCTCTGGGCCAGCAGTCAGAGTGACACCTGAGCCCAGCCATAGAGATTGCAGGCACGTTGAGTTCCTGGTCCTCCCTGAGTACACACACAGGGAGGAGGAGGGCTGGGCAGTCAGGGTTCCTTGTGGGCACTGAGGAGGGAGAGCCGAGGGCTGGGCAGGAGTCTGGGAAGGAGCGGGTGGGGTCCACTTTCCCCAGGTGCGCTGGACTCTGTCCCTCCATGGCTCATGGACAATGATTGACCTGAAGCCGCTCCAGGAAGTCTACTCGGGAGTCCTCACTGCCTGCTCCCCTATGGCCCTAAGGGACTCAAGCCTCTCCTCGAGAAGGTCCCTCATAGGGGTTCCTTCCCCTTCAGACCAGAAGACCAGGGGGGCCTCCGCAGGTGAGTCCCCAGCCTTCACTGCTCGTGGGGATCTGGAGGCCAGTCCCCAGCTCCCTCTCTCCTCAGAACCCCAGCCCCTTTTCCTTGCAGATTCTGGAAACAGGCTCCCTGCTGTTTCTCCCCTCAGGCCTCACCCTTCACAGGAACCCCAGGGGCCCTGTCCCTATTCCTCAGAGTACCCCAAGACCAGCTCCTGCTCCTAGCTCCTCACAGAGACCCCTAGGCAGGACCCCAGCCCCCTTTCCACAAAGACCCTCAGCCCCAACTCCTCACAGGGACCCCCAGCAGAACCCACTCCCTCTGCCACTTCTCCCAGAGACCCTGGCAGGCAGAGGCCAGCCCACTCAGGGTCCCCTCACTCCTCAAGGGAGCCGGCAGGCCACAAGCAGCTTTCGCCCTCAGAGACCCAGACTCCAGGCTGAACCTCCTCCTCCTTACAGGGACCCTGGCCTCACTGGTTGCAGGCTCTGCAGCACAGGACACTCCCAGCATCCAGCCCTATTCTGCTCAGGGCCCCAACCTGCCACCTTCCATCTCGGCTTTGTTTCCTAGGGCCCTGCCCTTAGGGACCCAGAGTCCAGGCCTGAAATACCCCCCTCCTCCCAAGGACCTCAGCCCCAACTCTTCAGAGGCACCCAGCTTCACTCCCCATGGGCTCCCCAGCAACAGCCCCAGCCCCCGGGCCCCATCCTCCTCCCAGGACCCTGACTCCCTCCCTCCATGGCTCCCGGTTCCCGGGCCCTCCCCTCAGGGACACAGTACTCTCCTTAGTTCCTCTCCCTGGAGCCAGCCCCAGACACCATTCCCAAAGTACCCGTCCTCCCCTCCCTCCACAGGGTCCCGGGCCTCGCCCCAGTCTCACCGTAGGCCTCGTCATCCTCGTCCCGCTGCTTTCCCCCCATGGCTCAGTCTCCGGAGTGATTGGAGCCCTGGAGACCTGGCGTCTCACCTGCTGCCCGCCCCGCCCTCCCACACGTCACAGCCCCACCCCCGCCTGTGGTCCCCGACACACTCTAGTTCCTTCTTCTCAACTTTGTGCCCAGCGGGCTGGGGAGCTGGAGCCTGGGACGGGGGCTCAGGGCTATTTCCTGGGGGCACTACGGACCACAGTGAACGACCTGGCATGCTCTGATAAGAAAACGCTTTATAATCTCGCCAACTACCTTAACTGCCGTACACTCCCAACACGCTCCCGCCAAAGATTAAAGTGTGGAAATTGGACCTGTTTTTTCCTTTTTGAGATGGAGTTTCGCTCTTGTTGCCCAGGCTGGTGTGCAGTGACTCAATCTTGGCTCACTGCAACCTCCGCCTCCTGGCTTCAAGCGGTTCTCCTGCCTCAGTCTCTGGAGTAGCCAGGATTACAGGTGCCTGCCACCACGCCCAGCAAATTTTTTCTATTTTGAAAGATGGGGTTTCACCAAGTTGGCCAGGCTGGTCTTGAACTCCTGATCTCAGGTGATTCGCCTGCCTTGGCCTCCCAAAGTGCTGGGATTATAGGTGTCAGCCACCGTGCCTGTGAAACTGGATCTTCATAGTGGCCCCCCACCTCCCTGCCCCGCACTGGGCGGCCATCACACCAGCCACACCTGTCCAGCCTGCTTCCCATCCTATTCTGGCCCTTGGACCCACATTCCCTCTAGCCAAGTATGCTTTCTCCCCACCCCAACACAAAAATCGCAGTTTATTACCAAACCCAACATTTATTGAGAACAAAAGGAACCAGTTGGCATAGAGGCCCGACTTCAATTCATCAAACTTCAACTGAGGATGGGGAACACGGGGGGTGGCCAGCCCTGAAGTTGCCCTCCCAGGGAGGAACCAGCTCTGGGAGGGAGGGGCTGTCAGACCTCCAGGGCCTGGCTGGGATCTCTGGTCAGGAATGTGTGAAAGGGTGGTGGGGAGAGAAGATGGCAGCACCCCCAGGCATGGGCTGCGAGCAGCTGGTGGCAGAGGAGGCGGCTGAGCTGTGGCCATCCATGCTGGGGAGAGAGGGTGTGGTCCGTTCTCATGTGTTGACAGGGGGCAGGGAGCCGAGCTCGGGCAGCAGCTCAGGGTGTGGGTCCAGGCGGGCCAGACGGCTCTGCTCCAGGGCAATGGCTTCGGCTGAGTGCTTGCACTTCTCAGAGCCACATTGGCAGGTGAAATATTTGCTTTTGATGTCCCAGAAGCGGTCGCCATAGTCAAACCTGTCAGAGGAAAACAGGAGCTTGTGGGACCTGGACCCAGCCACCAAGAGCCCACCCCGAAGACCCTGTGGATCCTGCTCCCTGAGAGGGACCCGACACCCAACCTATCTTCTCCAGATGGGATCTGAGCCCCTTGTATGTTCTATGGACTTTCAGCATCAGCATTGCCTGGGGACTTTTTAGAAATGCAGAATCCTGGGCCCCATCCCAAGCCTACTGATTCAAAATCTCTCTGGGAGGCACAGGACTGTTTCCCCAAGTCCTCCAGGAAATACTTATGTACACTGAAATCTGAGAAGCTCTGCACTACTCCATGCCTGGACACCAGGTACATGCCAGCCTTCAGGTCCCAGGTTTGCTGCATCTCCCACCCCCTGGCAGAGCCCCTAGAGACCCCTAGAGTCTCACCCTAGCTCCTCCCCAGTCCGGATGTCTCGGGAACTGAAGAAGGCGATGCGTGGAAATCGCAGGTCTTGGTGCAGCATGAAGACCCGGACGGGAATGATGTTGGGGTCACACAGGTGGTTGATGAAGCGGCTGATGTTGCCATAGTAACGGGCATCTATGCAGTACACCTCTCCATCCTGGGGCAGGGGGATGGCACTCTTCACATCTCCCCCGACCCTGCTTGCCCTCCCCACCCACTGACTCCCCAGTCCCTCCTCCCCAGGTTTCCATTTGCTGACTTCCCAGAGGCTCCTGAAAGCCAGCCCTGGGGAGCAGCAGGGTAAGGAGGGTCTCCTGCTCACCTTGTTGTCTAAGTCGAAGAGGTAAGAATCATCCTCTCTCACATCAGCCTCAGCATCAGAGATCAGCTCCCCGACATACCTGTGGGACAGGAATCCATGGTTCTGAAGGTGAGTGTGGGCTATTAGGAGGTGGCTCCAGGCCCCATCTCTCTTCACAAGCCTGTGGAATCTGGAATGGGCAGGGCTGGCAGGTGTGGGGAAGGGAAGGCCTGGAGCAGCAGTGGTGGGCAAGTGAAAGGGCAGCATTCCAGCCTTGACAGAGGAAGCCTTCAGTCAGCACAGAGACAGACAACAAGCTCTGTGGTTAAGGGGATTAATGTGTAGGGGCAGTTGGCCTGGGTGGGGAAGTTCGGGTTTGGACACAGAGAGGTTTGTGTTCCAGGAGCCACCCGGCAGGAATGGGCGATATGGAACAGGAGAGGGGCCAGGACTGCAGGAAGAGCCAGAGGTACAGGAGTGGCAAGGAACTCAAGGCATGATTCGGGGCAAGAGCACCCACACATATCTGGACACCAGAGGGAGGAGAGGAGCCAGCTATCTAAGGAGGGTGAGCAGACATGGGAGATTCAGACACACGGAGAGGACGTGGGTGGGAAGTGACTGTCAAGAGACAGCTTCAGCAGAGTGGGAAGGGCAAAGGCCGATTTTGGCAGGGACAGGCAGTGAGTGGATGGTGGGGAAACTGAGGCCCAGCAGGAAGGGGCTGCTTGCCAGAGAAGTTGAGAGATGACATGATGGAAAGAAACTGGATGGTCTGTTGAACAGGCAAGTATGGTTAGAGGACTATCTTTTTTAAAGGCCAAAGAATGGTCAGGCACGGTGGCTCACGCCTGTAATCCCAGCACTTTGGGAGGCCGAGGTGGGCGGATCATCTGAGGTCAGGAGTTGGAGACCAGCCTGGCTAACATGGTGAAACTCCGTTTCTACTAAAAATACAAAAAATTAGCCGGGTGTGGTGGTGCGCACCTGTAATCCCAGCTACTTGGGAGGCTGAGGCAGGAGAATCGCTTGAACCTGGGAGGTGGAGACTGCAGTGAGCCAAGATTGTGCCATTGCACTCCAGCTTGGGCAACAAGAGTGAAACTCCGTCTCAAAAAATAAATTAAAAAAAAAAAAAAAAAAGAGCCAAAGGAGACTAAAGTAAGATTGAGGGTTGTGGGATGGCAGCCAAGAGAAAGGGGGAGATTACAGATGCTGGGCAGAGAAAGAACTGATGGAGAGGGACAGGCCCCTGAGGAGGTGGACAGATAGGTAGCTGTTATCACCTCCACTCTACAGACAAGAAAAATAAGGCTCAAAGAGGTTAAGTAACTTGGCCAAGAACATCCAGAAGCAGAGAGGGGCTCAAACCCAAGTCTGTTTGTCTCCCAAACTGGCACTTTCTCCAGCTAGGAAGGGCGAGGAGGGGGTGGAGGGGAAGGTAGAGGGTGGAGGTGGAGGGGAGGGAAGACAAGCTCTGTGGTCTGGGCAGAGTGGAGGCAGGTGCCATTCTCAGCTGGGGGGATGGGGGTCAGAGGCGGCTGGCTGCTCAGCTGCAGGAATAGGGGTCAGAGGAGGCTGGCTGGAGAGTGGCCAGATGGAGACATGTGACTCATCAGGGCAGATGGCTGAGAGGGAGGCCTGGCAGTCAGCAGTGGCCATGTATCCCCTTCCCACCAGGTGTTAAGGTGCTCCCGGTGACTTACTCGCAGATGAAGGTCCCCTGTGGGATGGTCTGCAGGGCGCGGACCCCCCAGCCCATCTTGGCTGTTCGGTAGAGCTGTAGCCGCACCCTGGGGGTAGGAGAGATGGCGCTGTTGGGTGGAGGCCCTGGAAAAGCCCCAGGGGCAGGGAGGAAAGGGTGAGGTGGGGAGAGGGTGGGCTGTGGAGCAGGGCCTCACTTGATGCCACTCTGTACGACCCGGTTCTTGCAGTTTCTCCAGCATGAGCACGCCTGGTTACACTCGAAAATCAGCGGAGGCTCAATCTTGTTAAATTCCTGGAGCAATCGCCCATCCTAGGGTGCGGAGGGGAGGATAGTGGTTTCTCTGTGGGGCCCACCTCAGCTGCCCACCCAGGAACCCCAAGACTCTACAGAGACAGGGAAGTTGGGGTTGGGGAGGTCACACAGGCTCTGAGATCCGAGAGCACGAAATGCAGGAGCATCATCCCTGGTTTGCATAGACCTGGGCACACGCCCATCGCTGTCCCAGCCACATCCCAGGATTCCCAGGCCTTGCCCAGTCCTCTCAGTCACTTCCCCCACAGGGTAGGAGGTGAGGGACATGGTCCCAGGGAGCTGGTTTATTGGAGGCTGGCTCCTCTGAAGGAGGGGCCGGGTGTCTGTGGCCAAGGCAAGGGGCACGCACCTTGTCATACCAGCACCGGATGCTGAGCTGGCCGCACAGGCAGTTGGAGCTAGAGCAGTCGTCCACACACGTGCAGTGCTGGGGCGAGGAGGCAGGGGTCAGCTCAACCCCATGATCGGTCTGGGCCCCTCTACTCTTGATGCCCCCTGACCCCCTAACCACTGTCCTTTCTTTGGGGTCCATGTGTTACAACAGTGGGTGGTGATGGTCCTAGGGTGACGGGTAATCAGTATGGTGGTGTCCCCAGGGCTACTGGGAGCTCATATGATACCTTGCTGTGACCTAGGAAAAGGATCCCTCCCCTGGTGGGGATGCGACCCCACACCAGGGCTCCCTTTCAGCCAACCCTTCCTTGGCCAGGTGCCTTTGCTGGTTTGAAGCTTGTCCAACTGTACTTGGCAGCTCTCGGTGTCCTTTTGGGGAGGCCCCGGGCCCCCTACTCACCTGCAGGTGGGTGATGTTGCGATCGATGTTCATGGTGGACGTCTCGCAGTTCTCTGAGATGTACTTGTAATCCTCAGGGCAGG
Organism: Homo sapiens; assembly: GCF_000001405.40. Classification (NCBI taxonomy): domain Eukaryota; kingdom Metazoa; phylum Chordata; class Mammalia; order Primates; family Hominidae; genus Homo; species Homo sapiens. The sequence continues at coordinate 3,361,314 of NT_113891.3, forward strand.
GCTCCCCATCCACACCGTTGACACAGGGAATGGGCACGTTCTCATAGCCCCGAGCCACGTCCCTGCAGAAGACGGGAAGAAGGGGCTGGGAAGCTGGAAAAGGGGGTGAGGAGCTACTCCAGGTATAAGGAAGAGAGTTGGGGAGGTTCCTGGGGCTGGGGGCAGGGGAGTAAGGTTGCCAGGTAAGATGCAGGACAGCGAGTTAACATAGAATTTTAGATAAACAAGAAATAGCTTTTTAGTATGTCCCAAAAATTACACAGGACATTCTCACACTAAAAAAGTATGCATCTGTGCATCTGAAATTCCAGTTTAACTGGGTGTCTTCTATTTTTATTTGCTGTATCTGGCAACCCTAGTGGGGAGGGGGCCTGTGGGTGGTTCTGGGGATTCAGTGGTGCATGGGGAGGGGTTGGGGAATGTTGTGAGGATGCAATGGAGCCTGGGGAGGGTATGGGTGGGGAGGAGGTGGTCTTGGGTGCAGAGAGGGGCCCAGGGCTCACCGGCAGATGATCTTCTCTGTGCGGATGGCCCGATTTCCCACCCCAAGTCGGAGCTTGCGGTTGAGTTGAAGCGCAAACCACACGTCGGAGCGCTCGGGAGTCAGGTCCCATGCTGTGTCCCCCTCTTTGTTCCGCAGCTCAGGGTTGGCCCCACGTGACAGGAATAACCTGAAGAGGGGACAGGATGCCCAATGCAGGGTCTGAGGCTGCAAGAAGTGGGGGCAGGGGCATCAAGGGCGGGGCAGGGGCTCACAGCACGCAGTCATGGTAGCTCTCCCGAGCTGCGATGTGCAGGGGGGTGTCCCCATGGTAGTTGACAGCATGGAGGTCACAGCGCGCATTCAGAAGGACTTCGGCGATGGCGGCGCTGCCCGTGAAGGAGGCCCAGTGCAGGCAGATGTTCTCCTCCTGTGGAGGTAGGAGGGGAACAGATGAGGTGCAGGCAGCTGGGCCCTTGAATCCAGCCTCCACCTTGCTCAGGGGCCTGGGGCTGCCCTACCTCAACCAAACGCTCACTCACGTTGTCAGTGAGGGTGACGTCGGCGCCCCGCGTCAGTAGCATGCGGATCACCTCGATGTGCTTGTGCTCTGCAGCCCAGATGATGGGCGTCCACCCCCCACTGTCCTGTGGGTGGGAAGGGAGTGAGGGTGGGGGCAGCTGGCCCTGCTCACCAAAGCAGCAAATGGTCAAGATTGGCTGTGTGTGTGAATCCCAGCTCCACCATTCACAAGCTGTGGGACCCTGGGTAAGTCACTTAACGTCTCTGGGTCGCAGTTTCTTCATCTAAAAAATGGGACTAGTAGGGTCGGGCGCGGTGGCTCATGCCTGTAATCCCAGCACTTTGGGAGGCCGAGGCGGGCGGATCACGAGGTCAGGAGATGGAGGCCATTGTGGCCAACACGGTGAAACCCTGTCTCTACTAAAAAATAGAAAAAATTAGCTGGGCGTGGTGGCAGGCGCCTGTAGTCCCAGCTACTAGGGAGGCTGAGGCAGAATGGCGTGAACCCGGGAGGCGGAGCTTGCAGTGAGCCAAGATCGTGCCACTGCACTCCAGCCTGGGCGACAGAGCAAGACTCCGTCTCAAAAAACAAACAAACAAAAATGGGACTAGTAGCGTCTACCATCTGATGCCAGAGAGAAAATAAAGTAATTGTTCTCTTTCCAAAAAATACAGCCAGGAGCTGGTCATGGAGGTGCATGCCTGTAGTCCCAGCTACTCATGTGACTGAGATGGGAGGGTTGCTTGAGCCCAGGATTTCGAGGCTGCAGAGAGCTATGACTGTCTGTGAACTGCTACTGTACTTCAGCCTGGGTGACATAGCAAGACCCTGTCTCTTAAAAGAAAAAACGAACAAAAATTTCCTAAGTCTGCCCACTCAAAAGTCCTAGAAGCAGCGACAACCCAATAACAATAAACACTCCTAGGAACATAGATTGTATTCTCTAAAAAATGCTTCTGGCCGGGCGCTGTGGCTCACGAGGTCAGGAGTTCAAGATCAGCCTGGCCAATATGGTGAAACCCCGTCTCTACTAAAAATACAAAAATTAGCCGGGCATGGTGGTGGGCGCCTGTAATCCCAGCTACTCGGGAGGCTGAGGCAGGAGAATGGCGTGAACCTGGGAGGCGGAGCTTGCAGTAAGCTGTGATCACGCCATTGCACTCCAGCCTGGGCAACAGAGTGAGACTCCGTCTCAAAAAAAAAAAAAAAAGTTTCCCATAAAGGAAGCAGAGTTTCTTAGAGAAATGGTGGATTCTGAGTTGGGGGCAGGAAATGTGCTGAAAGGTCAGGAGGCTCTCAAAGGCCACTGGGCCACTGGGTCATGTCACAGCCACAGAGGCCTCTTAAAGGGGCTTCTTCTGGACAATGATGGAATAATTCAAAGACTGAGAAGAATGCCAATAAATGACTAAAACACATCCAATGTATGACAACCCAAGAGTTAATAAAAAGCCTCACTGGACACTTTCAGAGATTAAGACAGGAACTGATTATTCTGAAACTTGATAAAGAGAAAGAAACGAGAAAGAAAAGAATGAAGAGAAATACAAATGAGGAAGAAGAAAGCAATGAGGACAGACACGAGCAGTGTGAGGTCAGATGTAGGAAAGGCGGCCCAAAGCCTGAGGCCAAGCCAAGGAACCCAGGCACCAGGGACCCAGAGGGGCTGGGCTGGGTGGGCCGCTGACCTGGGCGTTGACGTCCACCTGTCCTGTGCTCAGCAGCAGGCTGACCATCTCCAAGTTCCCGATTTTGGCTGCGTGGTGGAGGCAGGTGGAACCGTCCTCCTCCTGAGGGAGACACGGGCAAATGAGCCTTTGGGCTGGCACCCCAAACCTGGTCCCTGACTCCGGGGGCCACGCCCTGCTGCCTGCGCGCACACCTTGCTATAGACACAGCCACCACGCTGCACCATGTAACGGGCTACCTCCAGGTGGTTGTTCACCACGGCCTCCATCAGTGGCGTCCGCTGCTGTTTGTCCACTGCATTTATGTTGGCTCCAGCCTGTGAGGGGGCAGGAGGGCTGGCACCAGGGAGGCATGGGGCAGGGGAGGGGCCTAAGGGCCTGGTGAATGAGGCATGGGGCCGGGCCCGTGCTGACCTGCAGCAGCACATGGCAGATCTCCACGGAGCCCTTCTGGGCGGCTGCATGCAGGGGCGTGCGCTTGCTCTGCTGGTCGCTCTGGAAGTTGGGGTCCAGGTTGTCCACTGCGGGGAGAGCCCGCCACACCGGGAGAGGGAGGGACAAGTGGTAAGCAAGCTAGGGGGCAGGTGGCACTTCTTTCAGGAAGGCTTCTCAGGGCCCCAAGCTGGATCAGGGCCCCTCCTGGCATTCTCCGAGCTTGCCTCCACCACAGCATTTATCAGAATAAGGAGTCAAAGGCATCAGCTCTGCCTGAATTCAAACCCTGCCTTGCTTCTCAGTACCACTGTGCACTGTGCAAGGTCCCTAACCTCTCTGTGCAAGCCAAGGCTAACAGGTATAAGCACTCAGAACAGGACCCAGCACCTATGAGTCACCACATCCCCATCGTTATGGGTTACATGTGTCTTTTCCCCACCACACTAAGTCCTTCAGGGCAAGGACTGTGTCCTTCACGACTGTACTCCTGGCCCTGTACCCAGTGCCTGGTATATACATGAAGCTTGGTCAAGGTCTGCTGAAGGAATGGGTGGCACTCACACAGCATCAGGATCACCTTCTGCAGCTCGCCCTGCTTCACGGACAGGTACAACTGCCGAGGGTGGAAACGGAGCTTCTTCCGCCTGCCAAGGGAGCACGGGAGCGGGGAGAGAAGGGGAGCTCCTCAGATTCCAGCATCAGCCTCGACACCACTCCTCTGGCCTCAGCCCCAGTTGCTGTGCCTGAGCAACTCCCCACTCACCTCTCTGACTCCTGGATGACCAGGGCCTTTTCCAGGGCCTCCCGGCCTGGCCCCAGTGGCAGCCCCACGGCTGAAAGGCAGCCCCCATTGGGCAGGGTCAGGGAGGGCCCTGAGCTGTCAATGGTGTCAGCCAGGGGATCGCAGGGCGGGCGCCGGGGTTCCCCATGCCCTCGCATCCGGGCACTGTGGAAGAAGGAGCTCATGTCCAGGAGCAATAGGGGTGGGGGAGGGAACAGACAGTACAGAAGGGGGAGGCCAGTACCTGGGCTGAGAAGTGTCTGCTCTCCCGGGGACATCCTGGGACAGGGGTGGGGGTGCAGGAGCTGCAGTGCCGGCCGGTGGGGTCACCCCGTCACCCCGGGGGATGGTCACCTCTTGAGCTTCAGAAGCATCCTCCCCACAGTGGGGACAGAAGACCATCCCATTCAGCTGAGACACACAGGCCTTGTGGAAGCGGTGGGCCACACGGAAGTCAGGGTGGCACTCCAGGAAGGTGCCCTGGGAGCAGGGAAACGACATGGTCAGGTTACTGGGGCCCCCTCTGCCACAGGGCATGCTACCTGTCTGCCCCACTGGTCACTCACCGCCGTGCAGAAGTAGCCGCAGCCCGGGCAGCAGTGGTGTTTGACCATGCGGGCGCGGTGGGTCTCACAGAGCACCATCAGGGCCACACGGCTGGATGGCCTCATGGTCTCCCGCTTGAGGATGGCGGCATTGCAGCCTGACAGCTGTGCGCAGTGAGGATGGGTGAGAAGAGAGCGTGAGGCTGGGGCCGGGGACTGGACGCCCTGGCACCTCTCCCACCAGCCCACGGCCCCACCTCTCCGTCCACACTCTCAGTGGCCATGCACTTGTGCCCCGCCCTCTCGCTGATGCGGTCAATCTTGGGTGCCTCCATGCGGCAGCTGCACAGGGGCAACTCCTCAAACCCTCGCTCTGTCTCCAGCGAAGATGTGTCATTGGACACCCCTTGGATGGAGGAAAAGAGGAGCTGAGGGAGGCTCTGCACCTCACCTACTGGGACCCCTGGCGGGTCCTCTCACTCCCTCCCTACCCCACCCCGCCATGCCCCAGAACCCCTAAAGCCTGGCCATGGACACCCCGGCTCTGGCGTGGTTCCCCTCCTTCCCTTTCCCTCCTGCCCTGAGGTCGCCCCCTAGTGGCTCCCTGTCCCGGCAATTGGCAATTACCAGCGTGGTTGGGGGAGAGGGTCCCCTCGCTGGGCAGCTCCAGGGACCCCAGAGGGACCTCCATGTACTCACTGGGGCCTGAGGAGCCCACACCATTCACTCCTGACACAGAGACAGAGAGAGTGAGAGTGCGAGCTCACAGGTGCCTGGACGCGTGGGTACATGCAGGTGGACATGCGAGAGCGTGTGTGTGCGTGCACACACTCTGGGGGGCCGGGCGGGGGCTGGAGGGCACCCAAAAGCAGCAGAGCCTCCTCACCTCGTGGCTCCTTGGCCCGCGGAGGCTCCCGCTTGCGCCGTTTCCGAGACGGCTTCACCCATGGGCTGTCTTTTCGCCATTTCTTCTTGGCCTTGCGCCGGCCACTGGAACCACTCTGGGAAGGGGGAGGAGGAGGAGTTAGGAACCCTCACCCCCAGGGGCCCCCCCAACACCTTCAGGACCAGACCTCCAGCCCCATAGTCTCCCACTCCTCTGGAGATATCAGCCTCCGTCTCTTACCCTATCTGACTGATTCCCTGACTCCTCATCTTCCTCTTCTTCTTCCTCTTCCTCCTCCTCTTCCTCTTCTTCTTCTTCCTCCTCTTCCTCCTCCTCCTCTTCACTTAGTTGTTCAGTTAGAGCTTCAACTTCAGACTGGGAGAGAGGCAGAACAGACATATCCAACCCCCAGGACTCAGACAATGAGGTGAGTAAAGAAAACCACCACCACCATTGCCCCCCGCCACTACCCACGGATGGCTGCTGGGGATAAGTGTGGGTAGCAGAGGAGACAAAGGGCCACATAAAGAGAGGGTGCATGGAATATTACACAGCAGTGAAAAAGTTACAGACAGCAATGTGCACAGATCTTGGTAATGTGATATTAAGTTAAAAAACAAAAAGCAAGTACCAGAAGATAAACATACTTTGATACCCCTTTTATGATGTTCATAAACAGGCAAGACCACCAATGGTTGCTAAAAACACTAGACACAAAGCTCATGAGAAACTTTATATGAAAGGTTCAGGCTGACATCACCTGAACCCACTGGTCAATCTTATCACTAACAAGAAAAATGACCAGATTAGATGTTCCATGCATCCTGATGTGATGTGGCCAGAAGCACTTGCACCCACTGTCAAGTCTTCTTGGCACCTGAAGCTGATTCCGCCTCTAGATCTATCAGTTTACAAGAAATATGGGCAGAGAGGATGTGTCAATCTCCACCCAATCAGCCAACTCCTAAATGTGAAAAATTCTGTAGGACAACTGAGCTGGTTTCTTTGACAAATAAATGGCAAAAAAAAAAAATCTTTCTTATTTATTTATTGAGTTTTGCTCTTGTTGCCCAGGCTGCATTGCAATGGTGTGATCTCAGCTCACTGCAACCTCCACCTCCTGGATTCAAGCAATTCTCTTGCCTCAGCCTCCTGAGTAGCTGGGATTATAGGCACCCGCCACCACACCCAGCTAATTTTCGTATTTTTATTAGAGATGTGTTTTCACCATGTTGGCTAGGCTGGTCTCAAACTCCTGACCTCAGGTGATCCACCTGCCTCCCAAAGTGCTGGGATTACAGGCGTGAGCCACCACGCCTGGGCCAAAAAATTTTTTTTTAGAAGATGAGGAAATCAGGCCAGGTGTGGTGGCTCACGCCTGTAATCCCAGCGCTTTGGGAGGCCGAGGTGGGCAGATCACGAGATCAGGAGTTTGAGACCAGCCTGGCCAACATAGTGAAACCCTGCCTCTACTAAAAATACAAAAAATTAGCTGGGCATGGTGGTGGGTGCCTGTAATCCCAGCTACTTGGGAGACTGAGGCAGGAGAATTGCTTGAACTCAGGAGGTGGAGCTTGCAGTGAGCCAAGATCACGCCACTGCACTCCAGCCTGGGTGACAGTGTGAGACTCCATCTCAAAAAACAAAAACAAACAAACAAACAAACACAAAGAAGATGGGGAAACCTAAATACTGAGAGAGACCTAAGACAAAAAAAAATTTTTTTTTTTTTGAGACGGAGTTTCGCTCTTGTTGCCGAGGCTGGAGTGCAATGGTACGATCTTGGCTCACTGCAACCTCCACCTCCCAGGTTCAAGCGATTCTCCTGCCTCAGCCTCCCGAGTAGCTGGAATTACAGGCACGTACCACTACGTCCAGCTAATTTTGTATTTTTTTCAGTAGAGACGGGGTTTCTCCATGTTGATCAGGCTGGTCTCGAACTCCCAACCTCACGTGATCTGCCCGCCTTGGCCTCCCAAAGTATTGGGATTACAGGCGTGAGCCACTGTGCCTGGCTGACCTAAGACAAATGTTAATCAAATCAAGGTGTGGGCCTCATTTGGATCTTGACAAAAACCATTTGTGAGAGCTGAGGAAATGTGAAGACTGACAGGATATTTGATGGTATTAAGAAATCGGTAAGTTTTTTTAGGTGTGAAAACAGTAGTGTAATGATGTTGAACGACAAAAAGAGGCCTTATATTTACAAATCTATATGGATATATGTTTAGGTAAAATGATATGAGGTCTGGGATTTGCTTTAAAATAACCTAGTAGGTGTGTGTGCTGGGAGATGTACAGATGGGTCAAGATGGACTGTGTACTGATAATGGCTGGAGCTGTGTATTGGGTACATGGGGGCTCCCTATTCTACTCTTTTGATTATGCTTGCAAGTTTTCATGATAAAATGTTAAATAAAAGGCAAAATCAGAGAGACTAAACATTCTACTGTGTAGGCAAACATATAAGATAAAACCAGACAAAGAGCAACGAAATAAGCAAATAAATGACAATGCAATGCTTTTGAATTTTATATAAACAGCATAACGTATGTTTTAAAAAAGTGCTTTCTGGTCATTTCTTTTTTTGTTTTCTTTTTTTAAACAGTACATGTCTGTTAAATGGTCATTTCATTAGCTGATTAAAAAAAAAAGAATACTAAATCCCATGTGCAGGGTGGTGGCCACCTTTGTGGATGAAACGGGCAGAATACACATTGAAAATGAGTTACAGCTGGGCGCGGTGGCTCACAGCTGTAATCCCAGCACTTTGGGAGGCCAAGGTGGGTGGATCAACTAAGGTCAGGAGTTAGAGACCAGCCTGGCCAACACAGGGAAACCCCGTCTCTACTAAAAATACAAAAATTAGCCGGGCGTGGTGGCAGGTGCCTGTAATCCCAGCTACTCGGGAGGCTGAGGCAGGAGAATTGCTTTAACCCTGGAGACAGAGGTTGCAGTGAGCCCAGATCGTGATATTGCGCTCCAGCCTGGGCGACAGAATGAGATTCCGTCTCCCCCCACAAAAAAAAGGAGTTATAGACAGCATGGGGCAATGACTTAGTGGATATTCAGAAGATAAAAAGGACAGAAAGCAGAAAAACAGGGAACAAGGAGGACTGGACAGTGAGCCCCAGCCCTGGGGGAGCACCGGCGGGGAGGGCAGACCAGCTCTGTCTCACCTTGCTGTCGGAGTCCACGCGCTCATCCACAGAGTAGGAATCATAGTAGAGACTGAAGTCATCACCCACCACCGTCTCCCACTCCTCCAGGGACCCGGGGTCCCCTTTCGTCAGGGTCACTTCTCCTGAACGCCGGGCAGAACCTAACTCCTCTGACTAGAAAAAGATCAGAAAAATTGAGGCCACTGACACCCTGCGCATTTCTACTGAGGATGGGATGCAGCCCCACCTCTGACCCTCCCTCAGAGCAGCCCCCGAGGGGTAGAGGCTCTGCCTCTGCTGCTTACCAGGCCACCTCCTGAGTTCAGCTTCCTCCTTTTGGCCAGATCTGGAAGAAGAGAGAGAATGGTGTGGGGCCTATCACCGAAACCTTCAGAACAGACCACATCAAGCCACCGGGGGTGGGGGATGGGACTGACCTGAGGTCACCTTTCCCAGTGAGTGGACATCATCACTCATGCGGAAATGCTGTATTTCAGGGGGCCGCTTCTCAGGGACCGGGGGCTGTGGGCCGAGAGGGAGCACACTGAGGGTCAGAGAGCACCTACAGTTTTGCCTGGGTTAGCCTGGAGCCCCAGGCGGGGGTGGGGTAGTGAGCCACACCTCCAAATGCCATGTGAGGCTCCAGTAGCCACAAACTGGCAACCACGGGTGCTATTTCCTCAGAGGAAGAGTGTCAAGCACACTAACACTCACTCATCTCTGCAACCATGCAGAGCAGGCCCTTTTCCATTTTACAGATGAGAAAACAAAGCTTAATAAAGTTAAAAGACCTTTTATATGTGGCCATATACACAGCAGGACTGTTTACAACAGCTGAGGTGCGGAAGCAACTCAAGTGCCACTGACAGATGAATGGATAAGCAAAATGTGGCATTTATACACAATGGAATAACATTCAGCCATAAAAAGGAAAGATATACTTTTTTTAAGAGATAAGGTCTCATTCTGTTACCCAGGATGGAGTGCAGTGGCATGACTATGGCTCACTTCAGCCTCGAACTGGACTCAAGCCATTCTCCTGCCTCAGCTTCCTGGGAAGCTGGGATTACAGGCACATGTCACAATGCCTAACTAATGTCTTCTTAATTTTTTTTTTTGGTAGAGAAGAGGTCTTGCCATGTTGCCCAGGCTGGTCTTGAACTCCTGGTGTCAAGTGATCCTCCCCAGAAAGTACGGGATTACAGGCGTGAGTCACTGGGCCTGGCCTTTGAAACATTCTTTTAAACTTCTTTTAGAGATGGGGTCTTGGTATGCTGCCCAGGTGAAAGGAAAGAAATTCTGACATGGTACAACATAGATGAACCTTGAGGACATTATGCTAAGTGAAATAAGCCAGTCACAAAAGGATAAATACTGTATGATTACACTTAGATAAAGTACTTACTCAAATTTATAGAGAAAGAAAGGACAGTGGTCCTTGCCAGGGGCTAGGGGGTGGAGGGAATGGAGAGTTATGTTTTAATGGGTACAGAGTTTCAGTTTTACAAGATGAGTTATGGTGACTGATGATTGCACATGATGAAAGTATTTAATACCATTAAATTATATACTTAAAAATGTTTTTTATTTTATTTTTAAATTTTTAGATGGAGTCTCACTCTGTTGCCCAAGCTGGAGTGCAGTGGCGCGATCTCAGTTCACTGCAGCCTCTACCTCCCAGGTTCAAGCGTTTCTCTCACCTCTGCCTCCTGAGTAGCTGGAACTACAGGCACATGCCACCACGCCCGGCTAATTTTTGTTTTGTTTTTTTTTTTGAGACAGAGTTTTGCTCTTGTTGTCCAGGCTGGAGTGCAATGGCAGGATCTCGGCTAACTACAACCTCTGCCTCCTGGATTCAAGCGATTCTCCTGCCTCAGCCTCCCAAGTAGCGGACTGTTACAGGCATGTACCACCATGCCCGGCTAATTTTGTATTTTTAATAGAGATGGGGTTTCACCATGTTCGTCCGGCTGGTCTCGAACTCCTGACCTCAGGTGATCCACCTGCCTTGGCCTCCCAAAGTGCTGGGATTACATGCGTGAGGCACCCCGCCTGGCCTAATTTTTGTATTTTTAGTAGAGACAGGGTTTCACTATGTTGGCCAGGCTGGTCTCAAACTCCTGACCTCAGGTGATCCTCCCGCCTCGGCCTCCAAAGTGCTGAGATTACAGGCGTGAGCCACTGCGCCTGGCCTAAAATTGTTTTTTAGATGGTAAATTTTACGTGACACTAGTCCCCTCTTATCCAGTTCATCAGCAGTGATGGTGGCATATTGTTAGAATTGTGCTATTTTTTTTGAGTCTCGCTCTGTTGCCCAGGCTGAACCGCAGTGGCGCGATCTTGGCTCACTGCAAGTGATTCTCCTGCCTCAGCCTCTCGACTAGCTGGGATTACAGGCGCACGCCACCACACCTGGCTAATTTATTATTATTATTATTATTTTAGTTAGAGACGGGGTTTGGACATGTTTACCAGGCTGGTCTCGAACTCCTGACCTCAAGTGATTGCCGGCCTTGGCCTCTGAAAGTGTTGAGATTATAGGCAAGCCACGCCTGGCCTACTGTTAGGATTACGCTATTATGTTATTATTGTTGTTAATCTCTCACTGTACCTAATTTATAAATTCAATTTTCCTTTTCTTCCCTATTCTTTACAAAATGAATTGCAACTATAAAAATTAATGTTTATCATAGTGAGAAAGGAAAGGTAGCTCATAGCAACCTGTGCTATGTGAAGCAGGCAAAATTGATCAGGCTCAGCGAGAAGTCAGCATGGAACGGTTAGGGCCCATGCCTGGAGGCAACTGCTTAAAGGCATTTTGTACCTGACTAGGGTGCTGCTTCACCCATTATCTTCATGTGCCTAATATCTGTGAGACAAAGAACAATGTATAGCAGATCAATAGCTTGTTATTCTAATGTAAACTGGTAAACAATTTAGGAACTGCCTCTTCTTTTCCTTTGTTATTTCTTCAATCTTTTAAAAAATTTTTATCTTTTTTTTTTTCTTTTTGCGGCTCCTTCCAGAGCAGGGCTAACTCCTACGCAGTGTGCCCAGAGTCAGCCTGTTTTTTTTCAATATCTTCACGTCATCCAATCTTCTTTTCCTTTAAAAACCTACTTGTGGGCTGGTTGTGGTGGCTTGCACCTGTAATCCCAGCACTTTGCGAGGTCAAGGCAGGAAGATTGCTGAAGCCCAGCAGTTTGAGACCAGCCTGGGCAACATAGTGAAACTGTCTTCAAAAACAAAACAAAACAAACAAAAAAACCCCTACTTATAACTGCTGCTAATCAGAGTGTATTTTCACGGCAACTTGAATCTTTGCTCCTAAAGGCTGTCCTCAAAACCTGACCAAATATACTTTACTTAATGTTAAGTTTGCCTCAGTTTTTTCCTTTAGGTCAACAATAGGTATGACCCAAGAACCCTAGAACTTGGTCATAAAGCTTCTGGTGCCCTTGTCACTTCCCTCCTCTATTATTTCTGTGGCCCTCATCTCCTTTCCCACTGGGATTCCCAGGAAAAACTTTACAAATAGAGCAGTGACAGATGAGTTCCCCAAGGGCTTGCTTTGAGGTAGAAAGGAAGAGTGGTTTGAAATTCCCTTACCTTGTCATTATCATAAGAGTAATTAAGACATTAACTATATAATTGACTCTTTAACATCAAACTTTCACCACCCAAGAATGTAAACTGCAGGAAGAGAGGAACCTGTCTGTTGGTTCACAGATCAAGCACAGCCTAATATTTGACACACAGCAGCCCCTTGCTTAAATATGTGAATGAGTAAATGGAGTAGAAGCCTTAAGTGAAACTGTAAAAGAGCTCACCAAAGGTTTATGGTTGATTATCCCATCTCTCCCATCCCACTCACCTGTCCATTTCCTGGTTTGGACATGGTTTTGCGGGCTCGGTGGACCTTGGGCTGTCCCTCTGGGCTCGTGGTGGCTGGAGGGGGTTCAGACCCTGCTGCTGCAGCTCCCTGGGCTCCTGGCATACTCAGTAGCCTCATAGCCAAACTCTGGACAGATGGAGGTGATTTTCCCGCCCCTGTCATTGACATCTTGGCCCGGCTAGGACAGGAACCCCCCTTGCTGGGGGAAGAGGGGAATGACTTTGTGGCATGGCCTAGAAAACAGGCAAGCAAAAGGCAAGATAAGAAAGAAGGCAAGAGTCAGAAATTTCCCACCAACCCCCCAGGCTACCCAGCCTCTCACCCAGCAGGATCCGGCCCCCACGGAGGTCCCCATCTCCCTCAAGATTCTCAGATTCATCCCCAATGAGTGGTGTAGCCCCTACAGGGGTGTCAGCCCCCTCATCACCAACAGTGACAGTGACAGAGGCTGGAGATGAGGGGCCAGCAGGCTCCAGGGAGTCGGGGGTGGCCTTGGGCAGGGTTTCTTCACTACGAGGGGTGTCCCCCAAAGAGCCATGAACTGTAGAGGAAGAGAAAAAGTTCAGAGCTAAGGGCTCAGGAGATCCTGTGTTTAGGGAAGGTGACGGTCCAATTGGGGCCCGTTTTAGCTGCACTCACCTCTCTCGGTGGCTCCTCTGGTTTCCTTCTCCAGCAGCAGCGCCCCCATCTCAGCGGGGGCCTCCCCCTGGGAGGGGAGACAAGGGACAGGAGGGCTGGTCAGCCCAGTAGAGAGTTGGGGGGTCCAGGATGCCTGGGCCCTGGGAAGAGAGAGTAGGCTCCGGGGCCTACCTCTTCCTCTGTGGGGCCCCCCCCTTCCGCGGCCTCGGCTGCCCGGAGGGGCCGCACGACCCCTCCCCCGGGCCCGCATCAACCCCCTCCCTCTCGGTAGACCCCGCATCTCTGGGGCCGAGAGAAGAGGAGGGGGAGGGGGCGGGGCCTCCGCGCCCCGGCCCCGCCCCCTCCTCCCGGCTGCACGCGCCGCTCCCCCTTTGTCCCCCAGGCCGCGGGGACCCCGGGCACCAACCCCTCCAGCACCCGCTGCCCCCCAGCCCGGTGGACGGCCCCTCGTGCCCCTCACGCGTGCTCCTGGGGCCCCGGCGCCCGTCGCCCACTCAGGGGCAGCCGGCGGCTGCACGCGCGCCTCCGTGCCCACTCCCCCCACCTCCCACACCCTGGTCCCCTCATCCGCCCCCGGTGCTGGCCCCCTGGATTGCTGCAAGTCCCGCCCGGGCCCCCCGGCCCCGTTGCACCCCCGGAGCATTGCACGGGCGCGCGCTTCCCCCGGGCGCGCGCGCGGGCATGCACCCGCCTCTCCCCCTCCCCTTCCGCACCTCGGCGGCCGCCGCCGCTGCAGCTCCCGCCGCCGCCGCCATCGCCGCTTGCGCTGGGGGCCGAGCCGGCGCGCGGCCGCCCCGGGTCACGTGGGCGAGGGAGGGAGGGCGAGGAGGAGCCTTAAAGGAGCCGCTACATGCTTTTTGGCCATTTTCCCCTGAGAGCGGCCTCGGAGATGGCTGTGACTGTCCTAAGCTGGGAGCTGCAAGGGAGAATTCCTGTCATTCCTGGCCTCAGTTCTGCAGGGACCGAGGGCGAGACACGCCTGGGCCCAGGTGTGGCGTCTCTGTCCCCATCTGGTTTTAGGTAACAAGCGGAGCTTCTGAACTTCTCGGCTCTCGGCAGCGGCTGTATTTCCTCTGGCCTGGTTGGGCTTTTCCCGCCTCTGGTTGCTTTTCTGCCTTTCTAGTTTTTGGGTTACCAGATAGAAGGCTTGGCCTCAGTTTTGGCCTCGCCTTTTTGCTCTTTCTAACGAGCACGAAGGGGCGATAGGGACGCGGAGGACACCTTTATTCTTGGCTGGTTCTAGCATGCTGCTTCATGTCCCCTGGAGCAGCGTGCCCTTCTGAAAACCTGTGGCTAAATGTCTCTTCTGTTTATATCAGGCGTGTTACACCTTCACACGCACTAGGGATCCAGGTAAGCCCAGCGGCCCGAACGTCATTACTGACTGGTGACACTGCAGTAAGTAAACCTTTTTTGCCGAACACTTCATAAGCACAGTCAGGTACTCCGTGGGTCATAGCCCAGCGGACAATTTAAGTATAAATGATATACACCAAGATAGACAATCTCGATAGCTGTATTTAGGGTACCATCCCTTTAGGTATTACGTTTTGGTCGAGTTTGGAAAAGATCTGTATGATTTCACACGCAGTATTTGACACAGGCAGGTGGGGCACCTGAGGCCAATTAAAGGCCTTCTGGGAACTGTAGTTCTCTTTGGTTAACTATTCCAGAGCTTTCTGGGAATTGTAGTTTTCCCTGCACCTTAATCCAAACTTAGCTTTTTTTTTTTTTTTTTAGCTTTCCTGAAGACATGACCTATTTACCCCAGACAAAATATGACCAAACAGACTCCTGCTTACAATTTCCGTGGGCAGGTTGGCCACCTGTAGCTCATCCCTAGCACTGATCCTAAGTCCCTCAAATAGAGTTCATGTGCATCCCCACGACTGCCAATCACTTGTACTGTGAGGTACCTGGCTAAGTGTTGAGATTGCAGAACTGGTGGAGGGCTGGGGGTGGGGACTTGGGGGAGTCCCTGACCAGAGGAGCTCACTTGTCACACTCCTCTCCCATGTTTAGGGCTGGGCTCCTTCAGGCAAGGGATATGCAGAGTTGTGACCTCTAGGTATTAAGAACGCAGCATCACAGGGAGAGGCTGTCTAGGGCAGGATAGTCATGTACACGCAGTTGCCAGAGTGTAAAGGAAAAAAAAAAGTTTTTTTTTGTTTTTTATTTTGTGGAAAACAAAAGCAGAAAAACTAAAACCCCAAACTCCAGAAAAAATCCTAAAAAATATGTTTTTTCTTAAAAAATACTGTATGTCTCTACTCCTCTCCCTCCCTCCCAACAGCCCTTCTTGTGTTCTTTCTTTTCTAAGTGCCCTATCCCCCCCACCCCCATGACTATCCATTGTTTCTTGCTATTGTACCCCCACTTCCCAATATCTACCCAGGATGCGCACCCCACGTTCTCTTACCTGGCGTCTTACTTTGTTCTCCCTCAAATTTCAGCAAGCCTCATACTCGCAGTCTCATTTCCCCAGCATGCAAGAACTGTCTCCCACTTCCTTTTCTGGGACTCAGTAATCTTTTCCCCTTACCACTCCCTCACCCCAGGTCTATTCTAAGCAGGAGCATGTCCTCCTGCCAAATTCCCTCCCTGTTCCCACCCACCCCCCAACCCTTCTTATCTCGAGAAATGTCAGAACCTTCCCCTGGGCAGCCTTAGCCAGGAATAAAACATTTTTGTCTTCCCTCATTCTATAGGACCCTTTTCCCTCCCTCCACATATACATGCACTTCTAAGAGAAGGAAATCTTTCTCTGGGACCCCGTATTCCCCTGGCCTCCAAGAACCCTTTTCCCAGCTCCAGATTCTTGCACTCTCAAGAGCAAGTCTCTCCAAGGAATCATCTTCCCTCTCTCAGGATGTGTGCATCTGCTCAGCCTCCCACTCTTACCTTTCTGCCCCAGACCCCCCACCCCCCAATTCTCCTGGGCCAAAGAGCCCTTTTTCCACGCAGCCCAGGGGCCCCAGCCTCCTGGCCTCCACGCCTGCGCGGCTAGCGGATGAGGACGTTAATCTCGGCCACACTGGCCTCCAGCACGTTCTCGGCCGTGGTCTTGCCGTGTTGCTCCTTGAGGTGCCGCCTAATGGCAGGCTTGTGGGCGAAGCGCACGTCGCAGTAGGAGCAGCGGTAGGGCCGCGCTCCCGAGTGCAGGTTGAGGTGGTCGTGAAGGGTGGACTTCTGTGTGAAGCACTTGCCGCAGATGCCGCACGAGTGTGACTTGACACCACGATGCACGTTCATGTGGCGGTTGAGGTTGCTGCTGTGGTTGAACTGCTTGCCACAGCGAGGGCACATGAAGATGAAGTGCTGCGCCCGCATGTGGAAGACCAGCTTCTCCACGCCCTGGAACACTTCCGGGCACTTGGTGCACTTGATGTTCTTTAAGGGGTTTCCACCTGAGAAGCCCCCAGGCAGGGGTCCCCGGCTGCCCCCCGCCCCCAGGCTGCCCCCCGCCCCCCGGGCAGCCATGGCCACCGCTGCTGCTTCCACCAGGCCCGAGGTGGCCCCCACGCTGGCCCGGCCTCCGGGAATCAACAGCAGGCCCTCCCCTTCTGCATCTTCCGACAGGCTATAGCAGGCCTTCACCACACCCTGCGGTGGGGCTACAGTGCTGGGGGGAACGCTGCTCTGGGCCAGCTCCCCAAGGTGGCCACCCACGGAGCCTCCAATGCCCAGACCCCCTCCCAGGCCTCCAGGGGGTTTGAGCCGGTGTGCCACCTCCAGGGCCGACTCCACCTTGACGATGCAGATGTCAGACACGTCCTCATCCTCATCCTCATCCTCTTCCTCGGCTTTCAGCTCCAAGTCTTCATCCAGTGGGAACTCCAGCTTCACTGGCCGCAGGAGTGGAGGGGGTAGAGGAGGTGGGGGTGGGGGCTTCGGGGCTGGCTTTGGGGTCCTGGCTGGAGGGAGGAGGGACTTGGTGGCGCTGATGCTGCTCACAAGGCTAGCCTCACTGACCCCATCCTCTTTGAGGCCTATTTTGGGCTCAATGAACTGGCTGAGGGCATTCCGGCATTTCTCCACCACGTGCTCCATCTGCAGGTAGGAGGCGGCTGTAAGGTAGTTGACGATGTCCCTAACAGCGAATTCCAAGGCGCCCGTGTAGCAGGAGAGGAGCAAGTCGGCCACGATGCGTGCACTGTGCATCAGGGAGACCTGCAGCTCCGAGCTGGGGTTCAGCAGGAACTGGTCCCGCAGGAAGGGTGAGCAGGCGGCCAAGATGACCTTGTGGCCTCGAAACTTGAGGCTGTCGGCCACAATGGTCACGTCGCAGAACCGCTCCTCTGCCCGGAGCTGGTTCATGTTCCGTAGCGTTGCGGCCTCGTGGCCGGGCAGCTGGAAGCGCAGGACTTCCACCCCAGAGGCCATTGTGGCGGGGGTGGGCAACCCTGGTTGGGAAGGAAACCGGTCAGAGACAAAGGTCTCTGGCTCTCCGAAGCCAAGGCTCCAGGACCCTCGCCCCCATTCTTGCCCAGCCCCCCGGCATCCGATCTCCCGGTCTTCAGATTTCTTCCTCAGTTTCCCCAACCCTGGGGAGGTGCTGTCCCTCTGAGAGGAGGGAGGCGTGGTTCTCGGGGGCGGGGCAGCGGCGTCCACACCCCCCAGCCCAGCAGCCCGCTAGGATGGGGCGAGCCCGCGCGCCCACGGTGGAAGGACGGAGAAAAAGGGGGGCCAGAGGCCTGGGGCTCTGGACTCCAAGGTGGCCCCGGTTGCAGGCTCTTCTCACCCCGCCCCCTTTACCGGCTGCCTCATTCCTCCGCCCCCCCCTTACACGTTTGCACGCGCTTTTCACGTCCTCCCCCCCGCCGCCAGCACGCACCGTGCACGCCCTGCCCCCACGCTCAGAGCTCCGTGGCACGCCCCCCCAGCCCCACGACCCTGAGTGCACGCTCCTCTCACCTGGCCCGGTTCCGCGCGCTGTTTTTTTAATCCCTTATTTTCCCCACCCCCCCCCGGGGCCGGCAGCGACCCCCACACACGGGCAGGGCCTGGGCAGCGCGCAGGCGCGGGGATGCACGGGACGCGCGCGCGCGCGGGGCCGGCTCCGCGTGGGCGTAAGGGGGGAGGGGCGGGGGCGGCTCGTGCCGTGTGTTCCAGGCCCCGCGCGCGCGGCGGCGGCGGCGTCGGCTAGGACTCGGGGAGGAGGAAGAGGGGAGGGAATTAAAGGAGCAGGATCCCCCCTTCCCGACCCCCCTTTCTTCACCAGCACCCCCACGCGGTTAAAGGGCCGGACGGCCTTGCCTCCTCTTTGGCCGGGATTATTTGTCCGCCAGAGCGGAAATACGTTCCACACCCCCCTCTTTCTCGCTCCCCCTCCTCTGTACCTCCAAGCCCCGCGGCCAGTTTGCGCGTGCGTGCCAAGTGCCGCGCGGAGGCCCGCTCACTCGGGCCCGCCCCCCAATCCCGGCTGCCCATGGCGCTACTCGCTCCGCGTCCCCGCGCCCCGCCCGCGCCGCATCCCGCAGCGCGCGCGCGCACCCGTTCTCTCGGCTGCGGGCGCTGCCACCTGCTCCCAGGGGTGGTGCGTCTCCGGTCCAGCTGTGCCGAGCGCTGCCCTGGGTGCATCCGTGGCACCTCTCAGGGCCCCATCCGCCCCGTGGCTAACAGAGCTATTGGTAGCTATTACCCACGCCTGCCTCCTCTGCTGAGTGTGCTCACAGTTGCTCCAGACACATTCCCAGGCTTTTCCAACTCTTGTAAAGCTAGTAACCGCCTCAGCCCTTCAGGCCTGAAATATGATTTCACTTTCCACAAAGCCAGACGATCCAGTGCCCTCAACTTTCCTCCACTCCATGTCAGTCCTTTAAAATCACACCCGCCCTCCCCTCCATTCTCAGGATTGATCCCAACTTCTTGCCAAGGCAGTCGCCCTCCGCTTGTGCTATCGATGACCTTGCCCATTTCACCTTTAGTATATAATTAACCCTAGGACTAATTTTAATGATGTGATTTATTATGTTAGTATGATTCTACTCTAATCTTCCACCGCTCCGTCCCCCTTATTCCTCACCTCTCCTCCAGACTGACAAGGTCCAGCTCTAAACAAAACTTCCCTTCAACACTGCGCCCGGGCCTTCTCTTTCTCTTGTCTCTCTCAGACTAAGTTATAGTCTCCACAGCTTCAGCGACAGCACTTAGGAGCGTCTTGAAGGCTGGTGCCTTCCCTTCCACTTCCTCGTACCTACACCCACTTCCCCACCTATCCAAGTCCGCGTGAAGATGCCACTGTTTCCTGCCAATTGGATTTCTTTTTTACGTCCTTCAGGAGACTAGTGCGTTTTCCTTACATTTCAATTCTGATGAAGTTTCTTATTATGTGTTCAATATCTGGTTTCCCCATTAGACTATAAACTTCTTGGTTGCAGGAATTATGTTGTGGGTTTTGTTTTGCAAATAAAAATCATGCAATAGGGAGGGTGTGGTGGCTCACGCCTGTAATCCCAGCACTGTGGGAGGCCGAGGCAGGTGGATCACCTGAGGTCAGGAGTTCGAGACCAGCCTGGCCAACATGGTGAAACCCTGACTCTACTAAATATACAAAAATTAGCTGGACGTGGTGGCAGGTGCCTGTAATCCCAGCTACTGGGGAGGCTGAGGCAGGAGAATCGCTTGAACCTGGGAGGTGAAGGTTGCAGTGAGCCTAGATTGCGCCATTGCACTCCAGCCTGGGCGACAGAGCAAGACTCCTTCTCAAAACAAAACACCAAAAAAGGTCATGCAACAAATGATTGTTGAAGTAATTCCTCTTTGGCTCAGCCAGCATCCACCCATAAAAAGTTTGTTCTTGAGCTGAAACTGAATTCTTGAACTCAAGGGATGCTGTTTGGCAGGAGGGTGGAGGCAGCGTAGACAGTGTTTAGGTGGTACCTTGACTTTTTGCCTTTTTCTTTTAAATTCTCTGATTTGTATGCCCGCACCCAGTTCCCTCTGTTGAATCTAAGAGTCTGTTCTAAACTGCTCTCTTTGTATTTAGGCCTTGTAGATTTGAGGAAGAACACCTGATTTTGTGTCAGACGCACCTAGGCTTAAAGCCACATTCCTAGGAGTTTCTGAGCCTACTCTGGCTCAGAAGGCTGCCAGATTCGCAAATCATTAAAAAAATAAAATAAAAGCCCTATTCCTGTACCAAATGAGGCCCACTGGGCAAGTTACTTAATTCTCTGAATCACAGTGTCCTTATCTTTGTCTCCCCCGCCCATCCTTAGCTCATCTGAAAGCATTTTTATCTTGAAGGCCCTGATCTCTCACAGGGCTAATGTGAGGTTTAAATGAGCCTGGCATGCAGTAGTTGCTGAGTAAACAATAGCTCTGTTCTCCTTTTCCTAATCTGGGAAACGGACTATGAAATTTTCAAAAGAATTTTATTTTATTTTAATTAATTAATTAATTTATTTAGCTGGAGTTTTGCTCTTGTCACCCAGGCTGGAGTGCAATAGCACGATCTTGGCTCACTGCAACCTCCGCTTCCCAGGTTCAAGTGATTCTCCTGCCTCAACCTCCCAAGTAGCTGGGATTACAGGTGCCCGCCACCATGCCTAGCTAATTTTCGCATTTTTAGTAGAGACGGGGTTTCACCATGTTGGCCAGGCTGGTCTCGAACTCCTGACCTCGGGTGATCCACCTTGCTCAGCCTCCCAAAGTGTTGGGATTACAGGCGTGAGCCACTGCGCCTGACCCAAAAGAACTTTAAAAATTCTGTTTTTCTATCTCATCTCTTCTTTTCCGCATTGCCAAACTTCTCAGAAGAATAGTTCACATTCCAGTGAGAGCAGAAATACAAAAAGCTGTCAAGTTAAGAATTAGAGTTTGTAAAATTTTGTTTCTTGTCCCTTTCTTGCTACTTTTCCTTTCTAGGAATGTAGATGGGACAGGGGGCCTAATCTCAGCCCATGGCTCAAGACAGGTAGTCCTTGGTGGCAGGTGGAGTTGACAGCCAATGAATCCTTCAAGTGTCCAGCCCACCCAGTTACAACTCTGCGTAAAAACAAGCAGAGGTGCACAAACTCTTTTCCATGTAGTCTGGTGGAGAGATGATGTGGAGCCATTTCCCATGCATCCCATCCAGGGGGTTTACAATCATCTAGATCCTTGTCCCTTCTTCCCCAACTTCTGCCAGTATAAAACCAGGGGCTTTCCTGTCCTTAGCTTGCAGTACCAAATGCCTTGGTGTGGTGTCAAGAACAGATAAATTTAGGAGATACTTTTAGGATTTTTGGGTCAGGCTCAATGGTTCATTCCTGTAATCCCAGCACTTTGGGAGGCCGAGGCAGGAGGATCCCTTGAGCCCAGCAGTTTGAGACCAGTCTGGGCAACATAGCAAGACCCCATCTCTACAAATAATAAGAAAATTAGCAGGGCATGATGGTGTGTATGTGCTTGGGATCCCAGTTACATGAGAGGCTGAGGTGGGAGGACTGCTTAAGCCCAGGCAGTTGAGGCTGCAGTGAACCATGATAGTGCCACTGTACTCCAGCCTGGGCAACAGAATGAGACCCTGTCTTTTAAAAAAAAAATTAGGATTCTTAGTGAGCTTTAGAAATAAAATCTGGGCTGGGCACTGTGGCTTATGCCTGTAATCCCAGCACTTTGGGAAGCTGAGGTGGGAGGATCACTTAAGGCCGGGAGTTTGAGACCAGCCTGGGCAACAAAGCGAGACACCTGTCTCAAAAATAATAAAATAATAAATAAAAGTAAATACATTTTTTAAAGGAAATAAAATTTGACTAGGGATGCAAGGAATAACTAGGAGACAAAAGGTCCAGGTTCCAGTCCATCTTGAAGTCATCAAGGCTCCCCAGGTTTCAGTATTCTCTTTAATAAAATGGAGGGATTACTCTCTGAAGTATTTTCCAGTCCTATGAGTCCATAGCAGCTTACTTTGAAAAGGGGTGTTTATGTTTGTGGGCATCTCTGAGAGAAGCTAGCTCACAGCTTAGAGCACTACCCTTGGCTACTCATAGAGGTAAGGAGTGGCCTTGATAATCCAAAACCGTAGCAAACATTGGACATTTGTCTAAGACATTCAAAGTATTTTAGGCTGTGGGCTTACTTTTTACAACGATGCTTAGCACGTACTAGAATAACCATATTTCCTGAGCAATCTATAGGAAAGGAAGAGGTAAGTCAGCCTGGACTTTTAAATCCATAGGCTGATGAAACTGTCTTACATTACAACAAAACCTCCAACTTCTTTCTCTTTCTCCTTTGATCTGCACTCAGCTCTGCCCTCAGCGCAGGAACCCTGGTAAAAACTGCAGGATGTTTTGGCAATGTTGGAAGGGGCTTACTGCTTGGGGAAAGAAGCCATGTGAAAACAAAGTGCCTGCACCACTCCCATCCATCTGCAAAACCACCTTTTCTGAACTCCCATCCATCCCCCTTGACTGCTCCTCAATGCTGGCTCCTCCTCCTTCTTCAGAGCTCCTTATCCCTAGCTCTTCGGAGCCCTCTCCCAGCCTCAACCTGCCTCCAGACAAACTCTTCCCTCCCCCTCCTACCTCGGAGGGAATTTACTCCCTGCAGCCCACCACCTTTGCCATCGTCCAAGTCCTCCACACACCCTTGCTGACTCTGCCCAGATCCAGGTCTATCTGGGGAAATGGAGGCAGATTCTCCCAGCACCTTGTGAATTCCAGACAGAAAAAGACTCTTCCACTTCTCGACAAATATTCTATCCTCTGAGCCTCACCAAGTCTGCTCTGCTACCCTATGTCATCCTTGCTGCTTGAGCAACTGACTTTCGGGCCTGTGATACCTGCCTGGATCAGGTTGTCCTCCCCAGGCCTGCCTGTGTCCCTGCAAATGACCTAATCCATATCCCAAGTTTAAAAAAAAAATTGTTCATTTTATTTTTTTCATGGAGTCATTCGTGAGAGCAGAAATACAAAAAGCTGTCAAGTTAAGAATTAGAGTTTGTAGGGCCGGGTGCAGTGGCTCACACCTGTAATCGCAGCACTTTGGGAGGCTGAGGTGGCCGGATCATTTGAGGTCAGAAGTTTGAGAACAGCCTGGCCAACATGGTGAAACCTCGTTTCTACTGAAAATGCAAAAAAAATTAGCTGGGCGTGGTGGTGCATGCCTGTAATCCCAGCTACTCAGGAGGCTGACGCAGGAGAATTGCTTGAACCTGGGAGGCAGAGGTTGCAGTGAGTTGAGATCACGCCACTGCACTCCAGCCTGGGTGACAAGAGTGAAACTCTGTCTTAAAAAAAAAAAAAGCAAAATAAAAGCATTAGAGTTTGTAAAATTTTGTTTACAAACTCAAAATTCAAAGTTCAAAATTCAAAATGTAGTTTTGTTCAAAATTCAAAATGTGTAAGTACAATTCCAAATTCAAATTGTAAAGTTTTGTTCAAAATTTAAAAAATATAAGAGGGTACAAGGCTGGGTGTGGTGGCTTACGCCTGTAAACTCAGCACTTTTGGGAAGCCAAGGGAAGAGGATCACTTGAAACCAGCCTGGGCAACAAGGCAAAACCCAGTCTCAGAAAAAAAAAAAATAGCTGTGGGAGGTGGTGTTGCCTGTGGTCGCAGCTATTCAACAGGCTGAAGTGGGAGGATTGATTCAGCCCAGGGAGGAGAAGGCTGCAGTGAGCCTTGTTCGCACTGCTGCACTCCAGCTTGGGTGATGGCGCAAGACCCTGTCAAAAAAAAAAAAAAAAAAAAAAAAAGTGGTTTCTTTTGCTCAGGCTGGAGTACAGTGGTGCAAAGAAGGCTCACTGCAGCCTCGACCTTCCTGGACTAATTTATTTATTTATTTTTTAGACAGAGTCTTGCTCTGTCGCCAGGCTGGGGTGCAGTGGCACAATCTCGGCTTACTGCAACCTCCACCTACCAGGTTCAAGTGATTCTCCTGCCTCAGCCTCTGGAGTAGCTGGGACTACAGGCGTGCGCTACCACTTCTGGCTTTTTTTTTTTTTTTTTTTTTTGAGATGGAGTTTCGCCCTTGTTGCCCAGGCTGGAGTGCAATGGTACAATCTCAGCTCACTGCAACCTCTGCTTCCCAGGTTCAAGCAATTCTCCTGCCTCAGCCTCCTGAGTAGCTAGGATTACGGACGTCTGCCACCACGCCCAGCTAATGTTTTGTATTTTTAGTAGAGATGGGGTTTCACCATGTTGGCCAGGCTGGTCTTGAACTCCTGACCTCATGATCCGCCCACCTCAGCCTCCCAAAGTGCTGGGATTACAGGCATGAGCCGCAGCACCCGGCCATTTTTTTTTTTTTTTTAATTAAAAGTGGCAAGACTGGGTCTTCCCGTGTTGCCCAGTCATTGATCTTGAATTCTTGGGTTCAAGTGATACTCCTGCCTTGGCCTCCCAAAGTGTTGAGTCTACAGGCATGAGCCACCGTGCTCGGCCCAGATAAATCTTTTTATAAAAGTTAGAGTCAGTAGATACAGCAAATTTCATTGTTGTCTTATTTTAAGAAATTGTTGGCTGGGTGGGGTGACTCACTCCTGTAATCCCAGCACTTTGGGAGGCTGAGGTGGGCGGATCACCTGAGGTCAGGAGTTCGAGGCCAGCCTGGGCCAACATGGTGAAACCCAATCTCTACTAAAAACACAAAAATTAGCTGGGTGTGGTGGGGGTGCCTGTAGTCCCAGCCACTTGGGAGGCTGAGGCAGGAGAATTGCTTGAACCCAGGAGATGGAGGTTGTAATGAGCCGAGATTGCACCACTCCACTCCAGCCTGGGTGACAGCATGAGACTTCATCTCAAAAAAAAAAAAAAGAAAAAAAGAAATTGTCAAAGCCATCCCAACCTTCAGCAACCACCACCCTAATCAGTCAGCAGCTATCGATATCAAGATAAAATCCTCCACCAGCAAAAATGTTACAACTCACTAAAGACTCAGATGACTGTTAGCATTTTTTAGCAATACAGTATTTTAAAATTAAGGTTACATACATTGTTTTTAGACGTATGCTATTGCACACTGAATAGACTACAGTACAGTGTAAACATAACTTGTGTGCACTGGGAAACCAAAAAGTTGTTGATATGACTGGCTTTATTGAGGGGATCTGGAACGAAGCCCAAAATATCTCTGAGGTATGACCGTGTATACTTCATTTGCTTATTGTAATAGTTTCAGTATCTATGCAGTTGTAGGTTTTCCCGGACAGTTTAGTTTTGTCTGTTTGACCATCACACAGATGAATCATACTGTACATGTTCTGGGGCTGGCCTTTTCACTCAACATTATGGTTTTGTTGACTTGTGTAGCTGTAATTCATTCATTGTCTTTTAATTGGATGCTTATACTAGAATTTGTTTGTATACCTATTTACAGTTCTTTTGGATATATACCTAGGAGTGGAACTGTTGGATTATATGGCAATTATATGTTAAATTTTTAACGTATTATTATTATTATTTTTTTTTAGACAGGATCTCTGTTGACCAGACTGGAATGCAGTGGTGTGATCTTGGCTCACTGCAACCTCCACCTCCCAGGCTTAGCCTCCCGCCTTAGCCTCCCGAGTAGCTAGGACTACAGGTATGCACCACCATGCCTGGCTAATTTTTGCATTTTTGTAGAAACAGGGTTTCACCATGTTGCTCAGGCTGGTCTGGAACTCCTGAGCTCAAGGGATCCGCCTGCCTTGGCCTCCCAAATTGTTGAGATTATAGGCGTGAGCCATGGCATTTGCTCCCCCGCCCACCTCTTTTTTTTTTTTTGTAGAGATGAAGTCTTGCTGTGTTTCCCAGGCTGGTCTCGAACTGCTAGGCTCAAGCGATCCTCCAGCCTTAGCTTCCCAAATTCCTCTCAGCCTGGGATCACAGGCGTGAGCCACTGTGCCCACCCTATATGTTAAACCTTTTGAGGAACTGCCAAACTGTTTTCCACAGCAGCTGCACCATTTTATGTTCCCACCAGGAGATTGTACACAAGCTTCAATTTCTCCATATCCTTGCCAACAGTTGTTATTTTCTGTTTTTTTTTGTTTTTTGTTTTTTTTTGAGACAGCGTCTCACTCTGTTGCCCCGGCTAGAGTACAGTGGTGCGATCTTGGCTCACTGCAACCTCTGCCTCCCGGGTTCAAGGGATTCTCCTGCCTCAGCCTCCTGAGTAGCTGGGACTACAGTCACGCGCCACCACGCCTGGCTAATTTTTGTATTTATAGTAGAGATGGGGTTTCACCATATTGGCCAGGCTGGTCTCGAACTCCTGACCTTGTGATCCGCCCACCTCAGCCTCCCAAAGTGCTGGGATTACAGACGTGAGCCACCGCGCCTGGCTTGTTTTTTTTTTTAAATAGACATTCTAGTTGATATGAAGTTGTACTCATTATAGTTTTATTTTCATTTACTTAATGACTAATGATGTTGAGCATCTTTTCATGTCCTTGTTGGCCATTTGTGTGTCTTCTCTGGAGAAATATCTATTCAAGTCCTTTGCTCATTTTTTTTTTTTTGACAAGGTCTCACTCTGTTGCCCAGGCTGGAATGCACAATCATGACTCACTGCAGGCTTGACCTCCCCAGGAACAGGTGATCCTCCCACCTCAGCCTCCAGAGTAGCTAGGACTACAGGCACACGCCACCACACCCAGCTAATTTTTGTTATTTGTTGTAGAGACAGGGTTTTGCCATGTTGCTCAGGCTTAGAAGGCTTTCAAGCACAAAATGTATTACATTAGGATAATGTCTTGGGGGTAGAAATAGAACTATGAAAATAAGAATTCAGAAGAAATAGAACAATGTGAAATTTCTGACTATTAAAGAAGATTATAATCATGTACTTTAAAAATGAATCATGAGCCCAGCACGGTGGCCCACACCTGTAATCCCAGCACTTTGGGAGGCTGAGGCAGATGAATCACTTGAGGTCAGGAGTTCAAGACCAGCCTGGCCAACATGATGAAACCCCATCTCTACTAAAAATACAAAAATTAGCCAGGCGTGGTGGCGCATGCCTGTAATCCCAGCTACTCGGGAGGCTGAGGCAGGATAATCTCTTGAACCCGGGAGGCAGAGGTTGCAGTGAGCCGAGATCGTGCCACTGCACTCCAGCCTGGGTGACAGAGCAAGCTTCCATCTTAAAAATAAAATAAAAAATAAATAAATAAAATGAATTGGGCTGGGTGTGGTGGCTCATGCCTGTAATCCCAGCACTTTGGGAGACCAAAGCGGGTGGATCACCTGAAGTCAGGAGTTCGAGACCAGCCTGAGCAACAAGGTGAAACCCCGTCTCTACTAAAAATACGAAAATTAGCCAGACGTGGTGGCAGGCACCTGTAGTCCCAGCTACTCGAGAGGTGGAGGCAGGAGAATTGCTGGAACCTGGGAGGCGGAGGTTGCAGTGAGCCGAGATGGCGCCACTGCACTCCAGCCTAGGAGACAGAGGGAGACTCTTGTCTCAAAAAATAAACAAATAAATACATAAAAAAAAAAATAAAATGAATCATGAAGGGAATGGTTAAAAAGTGAAATAAGACTTTTTAAAAAAGATCCATGTTTACAACACACTGGAATGGCATTCTTTTGCAACTAAACATTTGGGGAAAGTTTTAGATAGCAGCATAAAAACATGCAAGGGGTACATAATTTGCAAAATTCTTTTAATGTGAGCAAAAGGGTTTGAAGATTACATGCTTCTTGAAATCAGCATGCACATGAGTCATCTGGAGTTTTAATTCGGAGTCTGAGTCAGTAGGTCTGGGTGGGGCCTGAGATTCTGTGTTTCTTTCTTTTTTTTTTTTTCTCTCTCTTTTTTTTTTGAGACAGAGTCTCGCTCTGTTGCCCAGGCTGGAGTGCAGTGGCACACTGCAGCCTCCGCCTCCCGGGTTCAAGCAATTCTCCTGCCTCAGCCTCCCAAGTAGCTGGGACTACAGGCACATGCCACCACGCCTGGCTAATTTTTGTATTTTTAGTAGAAATGGGGTTTCACCATGTTGGCCAAGCTGGTCTCGCACTCCTGACCTCAGGTGATTTGCCCGCCTCAGCC
Source organism: Homo sapiens (assembly GCF_000001405.40). Classification (NCBI taxonomy): domain Eukaryota; kingdom Metazoa; phylum Chordata; class Mammalia; order Primates; family Hominidae; genus Homo; species Homo sapiens. The sequence continues at coordinate 3,389,312 of NT_113891.3, forward strand.
TCCCAAAGTGCTGAGATTACAGGCATGAGCCACCATGTCTGGCCCTTTTTTTTTTTTTTTTTTTCCAATTTGAGACCGGGTCACTACGTTGCCAAGGCTGGTCTCTAACTCCTGGGCTCAAGCGATCCGCCCACTGCAGTCTCCCAAAGTGCTGGGATTACAGGCGTTGAGCCACCGTGCCTGGCCAGATTCTGCATTTCTACAAGTTCCTGCTGATGCTGATGCTGTCTGTCTGTGGACCACAGTCTGAGTAGCAAGCATCCACATATTCGTAAGAGTGGAGTTGCTGGATGTTGAGGTCTGCACCTGTTCAGCTTCCCTGCTAATGCTAAACTATTTTCTGAAGCAGTTGTACACCAGCCATGAGACTGTTGCTTCTTGGGAAAAAAGATATAAAGGCTTCAAATTTAATGGATATTATTCAGTGCTCCTCTTACTTGAGCTTTCTGCAGTCTGTGACATACTTGACCACACTGTTTGATCCACTGCTTTTCCCTGGTTTCCATGACACCCCTGTATCCAGGCTCCCTTCCTTCTATAATTTCAGTCTGTTCTATAAACCCTCACTCCTTTCCTGTCTTGACCTTTTCCTCTGTTGATGCCTTTGGCCTTCTAGGCCTTTATCTCATTCTCTCTGGGTGGTACCATGTGCTCTTTAGAGATTGGTTACCAGGCCGGGCACGGTGGCTCACACCTGTAATCCGAGCACTTTGGGAGGCTGAGGCAGGTGGATCACCTGAGGTCAGGAGTTCGAGACCAGTCTGGCCAACATGGTGAAACCCTGTCTCTACTGAAAATACAAAAAATTAACCAGGGTGATGGTGTGTGCCTGTAATCCCAGCTACTCAGGAGGCTGAGGCAGGAGAATCGCTTGAACCTGGGAGGCAGAGGCTGCAGTGAGCTGAGATCATATCACTACACTCCAGCCTGAGTGACAGAGCGGGACTCCATCTCAAAAAAGAAAAAAAAAAAAAAAGAGAGATTGGTTACCACATTGATGACTCTGTGATGGTTAATTTTATGTGTCAGGCCAAGCGCAGTGGCTCACGCCTGTAATCCCAGCACTTTAGGAGGGCAAGGTGGGAGGATTACTTGAGCCCAGGATTTCAAGACCACTCTGGGTAAGATGGTGAAACCCTGTTTCCACAAAAAAAAAAAAAAAAAAAAAAAGATGTGTCAATTTGGCAAGGCTATGGTGCCCTTGGGCACTGTATATATACACATTTGCATTATTATTTATCTTAATGAGATAGACTCTCACTATGTTCTCCAGGCTGAACTTGAACTCCCAGTCTCAAGTGATTCTCCTGCCTCAGCCTCCTGGGTATCTGGGACTACAAGCATGCCACCATGCCTGACTGTAGTCTGGATACTTCAGTGAGGGCATTTTGTAGATAACACTGACATCTTGGCTGGGCACAGTGGCTCACGCCAGTAATTGGAGCACTTTGGGAGGCCAAGGTGGGCAGATCACCTGAGGTGAGGAGTTCGCGACCAGCCTGGCCAACATGGTGAACCGCTATCTCTACTAAAAATACAAAAATTAGCTGGGTGTGGTGGCAGGCACCTGTAATCCCAGCTAGTTGGGAGGCTGAGGCACAAGAATCATTTGAACCTGGAAGGCAGAGGTTACAGTGAGCTGAGACCGCGCCATTGCACTCCAGTCTGGGCAAGTCTGGGCAACAAAAGCGAAACTCCATCTCAAAAAAATAAAACGAAGCAAAGACATTGCCATCTATACTCAGCTGACGTTAAGTAAAGGAGTTTACTCTTTTTTTTTTGAGATGGAGTCTCATTCTGTCACCCTGGCTGGAGTGTAGTGGCGTGATCTCGGCTCACTGCAACCTCCGCCTCCTGGGTGTAAGCAATTCTCCCGCCTCAGGCTCCCGTGTAGCTGGGACTACAGGCACCACACCCGGCTAATTTTTGTATTTTTAGTAGAGACAGGATTTCACTATGTTGGCCAGGCTGGTCTTGAACTCATGACCTCGTGATCTGCCCGCCTTGGCCTCCAGAAGTGCTGGGATTACAGGCATGAGCCACCGTGCCTGGCCCTTTTTTTTTTAAGACGGAATCTCGCTCTGTCACCCAGGCGCGATCTTGGCTCACTGCAACCTGCGATCCGACTCCCTGGTTCAAGTGATTGTCCTGCCTCAGCCTCCCAAGTAGCTGAGATTACAGGCACATGCCAACACGCCCAGTTAAGTTTTGTATTCACCGTGTTTCACTATGTTGGCCAGGATGGTCTCAATCTCATGACCTTGTGATCCGCCTGCCTCGGCCTCTCAAAGTGCTGGGATTTCAGGTGTGAGCCACCACGCCCAGCCAGGAGATTACTCTTGATATTGTGGCCTAAAGAGCAAAGACTTAGGTTTCCCAGAGAAGGAATTCTGCCTCAAGACTGTCACATAGAAATCCTGCCTGAGTGGCCGGGCGCGGTGGCTCACTCCTGTAATCCCAGCACTTTGGGAGGCCGAGGTGGGCGGATCATGAGGTCAGGAGTTCGAGACCAGCCTGGCCAATATGGTGAAACCCCATCTCTACTAAAAATACAAAAATTAGCTGGGCGTAGTGGTGTATGCCTGTAGTCCCAGCTACTTGGGAGGCTGAGGCAGAAGAATCGCTTGAACCTAGGAGGCAGAGGTTGCAGTGAGCCGAGATCGTGCCACTGCACTCCAGCCTGGGCAACAGAGTGAGACTCCGTCTCAAAAAAAAAAAAGAAGACTATAGTTAATGAACAAGCAATCGGCCGGGCGCGGTGGTTCACGCCTGTAATCCCAGCACTGTGGGAGGCCGAGACGGGTGGATCACGAGGTCAGGAGATGGAGACCATCCTGGCTAACACGGTGAAACCCCGTCTCTACTAAAAATACAAAAAAATTAGCCAGGCGTGGTGGCAGGCGCCTGTAGTCCCAGCTACTTGGGAGGCTGAGGCAGGAGAATGGCGTGAACCCGGGAGGCGGAGCTTGCAGTGAGCCAAGATCACACCACTGCACTCCAGCCTGGGCGACAGAGCAAGACTCCATCACAACAACAACAACAACAACAAAAACAATGAACAAGCAGTCATGGTGCAATGTGATAAGACACCCAGGTGTTCTGAGAGTCAGAGGAGGGCTCAGGGGCCCCGTGGTCTATGCCTCAACGTTGGTGCTGGCTTTCCCTTCCTCATTTCTGTGCTTGCTTTTAGCCCCTGTTGTCTTGCCAGGACTCTAAATGTCTCTTAACTGGTCTTCCAGCCCCTACATACTGATTCCAGAATAATATTTCTGAAATGCAAATCAAATCATATCACTTCCTTATCTAAAATTCCATATAGCAAATCGCCTTACAAGCTGTAAATGCTGTTTCTTCCATAAGGCATTCTCTCCTTCCTCCCTGGTCTAGTGTCATTGTGGCCTTCCTTCCCTCCCCAGCCCTGAAAGGTCCTGAACTTGCAGTTCCTTTAATGCGCTCTGGGGTTTCATTGCTCACCTGGATGCTTGCATCTCTTCCTTGTCAGGTAAACACTCATCTTTTAAGGCTATCTCAAGTTCATTGATGAAACCTTTCTGATCTTCTAGAGAGACCTAATATTCCCCTGTTTGTGTCCCTGTGAACTTTATATGGACTCCTATCTCAGCTTGTATCAGTCAGGATGGCTACATCATGCTGCAGTAACAAACAACCCTGGAATCTCAGTAGCTTAACACAACAGTTTTATTTCTCACTATTGCTCTCTGTTGGGTCAGTAGGAGTGTTAGAGTCTCTGATCATCATAGTCACTCAGGCATCCAGATCAAAGGAGGCTCCATCAAAAGAGGGTGCTGGAGTGTCTTGTGTTACATTGGCAGTTAAATACTTGTGCCTGACAGTAACAACACATGTGACTTCTGCTCTTATTTCACTGGCCAAAGCAAGCCAGTTAGGCCTCTTGCAGTGGCCTAACTTCAGGAGGGCTGAGGAATTCCATCCTATCATGTGCCTGGAAGGCAGAAAACGGGAAAATTCATGAAGAGCCTCAATGGCTGCCTCAACTCGGTGTAGCGCTGACTGGCTCACATATCTCTCTCCCACTGGACAGTGGGGGAACCAAACGTGTCACAGCGTTCCTACCCTTTAGCAGTTTGTGCTCCAGGAATGTGGAGAGACCAGTATATGGATGGATTATAACTCTGTGTTAATGTTACAGTCTGGGTTTGCTGGCGTGGAAGGAGTTTGTGGAAGAAGGGCAGTAGTTTATAGGGAGAGGAGGATGGAAAGGGATGATCTTAATTTTGGTGACCCTGACAGCAGAGCTTGAGACAGGACTTGGCCATAGGTAGTTAATTTAGGTGATCCCAGAAAGCAGAAGCGAGGCTATAGGGAGTGTGAGATCCTGAAGGAGGAAAGGCCAGTTTAAGAGAATGATGTTGGCCGGGTATGGTGGCTCACGCCTGTAATCCCAGCACTTTGGGAGGCTGAGGTGGGTGGATCACCTGAGGTCAGGAGTTCGAGACCAGCCTGGCCAACACGACGAAACCCTGTCTCTACTAAAATTGCAAAAATTAGCCTGGCGTGGTGGCATGTGCCTGTCATCCCAGCTATTTGGGAGGCTGAGGCAGGAGAATTGCTTGAACCTGGGAGGCGGAGGTTGCGGTGAGCAGAGATTGCACCATTGCACTCCAGCCTGGGCAACAGAGTGAGACTCCGTCTCAAAAAAAAAAAAAAAAAAAAGAGTGATGTCACTGTTGTGTGCAGTGGAGTTCGATTCCCCCAGGCCCTCCTGAGGAGAGAGCTGAATGTCTCCAGACGCTTTCCACCTGAAGGACAGGAGGCAGGAGCATCTGTCTACTGCTTCCCACTCTGCAATAATTGCAGGTTGACTCTGGGCATTAGTTCTCTGCCCTTTTTTTTTTTTTTTTTGAGACAGAGTTTTGCTCCTTTTGCCCAGGCTGGAGTTGTAGTGAGCTGAGATAGCGCCACTGTACTCCAGCCTGGGTGACAGGGCGAGACTCCATCTCAACAAAAAAAAAAAAAAAAAAAAGGCTGGCTGTGGTGGCTCATGTCTGTAATCTGAGCACTTTGGGAGGCCGAGGCGGGTGGATTACCTGAGATCATGAATTTGAGACCAGCCTGGCAAACATGGTGAAACCTCGTCTCTACTAAAAATACAAAAATTAGCCGGCGTGCTGGTGGGCACCTGTAATCCGAGCTACTTGGGAGGCTGAGGCAGGAGAATCGCTTGAACCCAGGAGGCGGAGGTTGCAGTGAGCCAAGACGGCACCACTGCACTCCAGCCTGGGTGACAGAGTGAGACTCTGTCTCAGAAAAAAAAAAAAAAAGAAAAAAATTATGATACAGAGAACAATGAGATGTTTTATAAATTTATAGTTCAAAAGAAACATTTTATTTTGGTAAAAGCCAAGAAGTGAAAGATAAATAGTTTTGCAGCCATAAAAAAAAAAAATTAAATCATGTCCTTTGCAGCAACATGGATGGAGCTGGAGGACAGAATCCTAAATGAATTAGCGTAGGAACAGAAAACCAAATGCCTAATGTTCTCACTTATAACGGAACTAAATATTGAGCACATATGGACATAAATATAGGAACAATAGACACTGAAGACTACTAGAAGGGGAGAGAGGGAGGGAGTGTGGGTTAAAAAATTACCTAATTGGTTCTATGACTACCTAGTGCAATATACCCATGTAACAAACCTGCACCTGTACCCCCTGTATCTAAAATAAAAGTTGGAATTTTAAAAAAAGAAAAAAAGGCCAGGCGCGGTGGCTCATGCCTGTAATCCCAGCACTTTGGGAGGCTGAGGTAGGCGGATCACCTGAGGCCAGGAGTTGGAGACCAGCCTGGCCAACATGGTGAAACCCCGTCTCTACTAAAAATGCAAAAATTAGCTGGGCGTGGTGTCAGCCGTTTGTAATCCCAGCTACTTGGGAGGCTGAGGCAGGAGAATTGCTTGAACCCGGGAGGCGGAGGTTGCAGTGAGCCGAGATCACGCCATTGCACTCCAGCCTGGGTGACACAAAGAGACTCTATCTGAAAAAAAGAGAAAGAAAATGTGCTCTTATGTAAGTGAGAAATGTTCTGAAAAAAGAAAAAAGAGAAATATTTTAAAATGAAAAATTTGAGCTTTTCCGTAAAAAAATTTTTAATGAATTCCCAGCACTTTGGGAGGCCTAGGTTGGAGGATTGCTTGAGGCTAGTTCAAGACCAGCCTGGAAAACATAGCAAGACCTCATCTCTAATTAAAGTAAACAATTAAAAAAAACTTAGCCTGGTATGATGGCATATGCCTGTAATCTCAGCTACTCAGGAGGCTGAGGTGGGAGGATTGTGGAAGCCCAGGAGTTTGAGGCTGCCGTGAGCTATGATCAGGTCTCTGCACTCCAGCCTGGGCAACAAAGCAAGACCCCATCTCAAAAAAAAAATATTCCTCGAGGCCAGGCACAGTGGCTCACACTTGTAATCCTAACACTTTGGGAGACTGAGGCAGGAGGATCACTTGAAGCTAGGAGTTTGAGGCCAGTCCGGGCAACATACTGAGACCCCTGTCTTTACAAAAGTAAATAAATGAATAAATTAGCTGGGCATGGTGATGCATGCTTCTTGTCCCAGCTTCTTGGAAGGCTGAGGTGGGAGGATCATGTGAGCCCAGGAGTTTGTGGTTACAGTGAGCTGTGATTGCACCACTAAACTCCAGCCTGGGTGACAGTGAGACCCTGTCTTTAACTTAAAAAAAAAAAAAAATCCTGGCTGGGAGCGGTGGCTCACGCCTGTAATTCCAGCACTTTGGGAGGCCGAGGTGGGCGGATCACGAGGTCAGGAGTTCAAGACCAGCCTGGCCAAGTTGGTGAAACCCCATCTCTACTAAAAATACAAAAAAATTAGCTGGGTGTAGTGGCGGGCACCTGTAATCCCAGCTACTCAGGAGGCTTGAACCTGGGAGGCAGAGGTTGCAGTGGGCCGAGATTGCATCACTGCACTCCAGCCTGGGTGACAGAGCAAGACTCTGTCTCAAAAAAAAAAAAAAAAAAAAAATTCCTGGAAGGAATGGTTGGTGGGTGGTATATAGACATGAACCCAGACCGTCTATGAACCGAGACCGTCTATGAACTGAAGCTAGATGATGGATACATACATGAAAGTTCATTTTACTATTCTCTCTACTTTACAATATGTTTGAAATTTTACAAAATAAAACTTAATCTGCAGAGAGATTGTATCAGGGTCTCTTGTTAATAGTCCAGTAGGGTATTTCTTTTCTTTTCTTTTCTTTTCTTTTTTTTTTTTTTCTGGAGACGGAGTTTTGTTCTTGTTGCCCAGGTTGGAGTGCAGTGGTGCAATCTCAGCTCACAGCAACCTCTGCCTCCCAGGTTCAAGCAATTCTCCTGCCTCAGCCTCCTGAGTAGGTGGGGTGACAAGTGCCTGCCAACACACCCGGCTAATTTTTGTATTTTTAGTAGAGACGGGATTTCACCATGTTGGTCAGGCTGGTCTCAAACTCCTGACCTCAGGTGATCCACCTGCCTTGGCCACCCAAAGTGCTGGGATTACAGGCGTGAGCCACTGGGCCTGGCCTTGAATAGGTATCATATGTACCCAGTGAAAACTACAAGGAGTAATAAAGGGGATTTGGTGAAAATTAAGTTGCCTTCTTTACCTCCCACCTCATTTTCCAGCCCCCAGTTCTCCCCAGAGGCAACTCTCCTATCCAGTTTTTTGTAAACTTTTCCAGTGAAATTATATACACACAGAGAGCATATGTGGCTACTATCCTCTTTCCCTCCTTTTTTTGCATAAATGGTGGCATCCCATACATACAGTTCTGAATGTCTATCTAGTTTAAAAGTGTATATTATATAACATATATATCTGGAGACATTCAGCTCTGTACACACAGATAAGCCTTAAGCTTGCAGAGACTGCGTAGTATTCAGTTGTCCCCATACCACAATGTGCTGTGTCTGTCCCCTATTAATGGACGTGGGAGTTTCCAAACATTTCCTCTTGGTAACAGTGAATGCTAAAGCAAATATCCTGGTACCTTTTATACCTGTAGGGTAGCCGATCTTCTCCTTTTGATGGTCCTAATTCTCAAAGGTAACCTTAAGGGGAGTGTATTTTGCTGTTGGTTCTGTGGATGACAGGTGACAAAACAGGGTGAGTAAGGCTACGAAATAGCTAATGAATTTGCCAAGCCAAACCTGAGGTTCCAGGCTGTCTTAAGTCAAAGCCTGAATTCCTCATACCACACTGGGGCTGGGGCCAGAGACGGGGCAGGAGGAGCTCTTCTCAGGTATAACCTTTCATTTGTGTTGGGCAGGAAAGCAAGGCATGAACGTATGTCTTTCTACTGGGCAAGTTCCCTCTTCACCCCTTGGCAGCACTGGAGGAGTGAGGGCAGGAGGATTCTCCCATGTGAGCCCCAGGCTATCCTTTTGTCAAGAGGGTACTGGTACCCAGAACTGGGAAGGGGATGAATATCTCCCCACTCCCCAGGATAAAGGAAAACATTAGAGAGGAATTTTCAATGAAAGGGCAGAGGAGGCTAGTGAGGCCCCCACTGCCACCAATGCTAAGCCCAGAGCTGGGGTTGGGGTGGTGAGGACCGGAGCCAGGGCAATTCAGCCATAGGCCACCCCTCCCCCTGGCCCATCCTCAGCTGACCCCTGAGCACCTGAGTTGTGTTTACCACCCTCTTACCTGGGTTACCCAGGGCAGCTTCCCTGATGGGTAGCAAGAAGTGGGTGATAACATGCACCATGCCCCCCACCAGCCCAAGGACAGTGGAGACCTCAGAGGGCTGAGGTAAGAGCTGCGGTGTGGGCAGATGGACACCCTGGTACACCCCAGGCCTGTGAGTCTTTAGAGGTTGAGTTTTTGTCTGAAAGAGATATGGCGCCTACAGGAGGTCAGGGACAGGCCTTCTGTTTCTTGGGAGGCCCTACCCCACCCCTTAGTTCCTCGTTCCATTCTCAGGAATTGTTTGTGCAATGGATGGACAAGGACAGGAGGTTCAGTGTCTAACCCAGTGTCTGGGCCTGCAGGGTGGCCTCTGAGGCCCAGGGCCCTGGAAGAGCCTGGGCATGGGGAGGAGCCCCATGGGGCAGGGCAAAACCCTTTCTGAGGCTCTAAGGGTGATGTATGTGGAGATTCCTCAAGATCATAGTTGGGCAATCACTTCAAAGTTAGTAGGCAGTGCCTGCTAGGATGGGGGATGGTGTGTGTACCGAGGAACTTAGCAGAGGCCTTTGTGTGGAAATGGGTGGGGTCTGACCCAATGTAAATATTTTTATTAAAAAAGAAATGGATGAGAAACCAAAGCCAATTCTGTTGCTGACCTGAAAGATGCTATTTACTTGGGGTGGAAATAGGATGGGGGAGGGCATTGGCTTGACCTTACTTGGATAGCTCATTGTTTAAAAAAAAAACTCCTGGATCCTTCCTCTGGGGAGCTTGAGACAAGTGCACAAGTAGCTAGAAGGTGGGAAATGGCGTGGACAGGTCTTGTAGGAGTCTGGAAGATGAGGGATTTGAGAAGGATGGAAAAGAAGGTGTTATGGGAGAGGGGGTGCCAAGAGGAAAGAGCCTAGGGGAGAGAGGGCTTGGAAATGCAAGGGGCTGGGGTAGACTTCAGGGATGCGCAAGGAGCTCCCAGCAGTCACTAAAGAGAAGACGTGAGGAAGAGGCACTACCACTTGGTGGCTATGAGTGTGGACCCAGGAGCCATGCTGCCTGGGTTTGAATCCCGGCTCTGCTGCTTAGTACCTGTATGAACCTGGGGCAGCTCACTTAACCTTTGTGTGCCTCAGTTCCCTCATCTGTAAAGTGGGAGTAACAACAGAACCTGTGTCATAAGCTTGCTGTGAGGATTAAGTGAGCACCTACATTTAAGACTTAAAAATACTGTCTGGCACTATGTCCTGCTAATATGAAGTCTTCCTCCCCCAGAAGCAGACCTGGAGACAAGGGTTCCAGTGCAGACAGTGCATTCTGGAGGTGATCGCAAGAAACATGGGTAGTGGAGTGTGATAGAGAAGGAAGGCAGTCAATGAAGGGTGTGTTATCAGGCAAATTTACCATTGTGGGTGAGTGGAGGTCAATCCCACTCAGGAACCCTGGAGTGGTGCAGAGTTATCCCATGGTCCAGGGTGAGGGAGCCCAGTATTTATACCAATCAGTCATTGGTTGAAGGCCTTAATTCTCTGTCATTTCCAGCTTTCTGTGCACAGATGGTGCAGGACACCAAAAACAATCCTTGGGTAGAGACAGAGATGCTGCAGCTGGAAGTCAGTGGAGCACCCCAGTGATAAGGCCCAAGGGATATGGTGGGGCAAGGACAGATCCACTAAAACCACCAAGAGGCTTGCAGAGCAATGCTGAATCCCCATCTAAAGTCACACATTAAGGCTGTGAACCAGGCCAAGCCAGACTAGTTTTCCAATTTGGGGGTTGACCTGCAGTTGCCATAGAAGGTTGAGGGGTGGCAGATCCTAGGATGACCGCGAAGTCCATGCCCAAGTGGCCAGACTGGATAAGGAGTAGACTGGCCACTAGAGTGGGGTCGGCCTCTGCTATATGCCACGTTTCCTCAGAAATTTTCAGCTGCAAGGTGCTGAGCTCTCCAGGGGAGAATAAGGCATCCTGAGAGGCCATCAGAGCATCATTTCTGATTTTTAAACTCTGATTAGGGGGCCTGGCACAGTGGCTCACACCTGTAATCCCAGCACTTTGGGAGGCAGAGGCAGGTGGATCACCTGAGGTCAGGAGTTTGAGACCAGCCTGACCAGCATGGTGAAACCCCATCTCTACTAAAAATACAAAAATTAGCTGGGCATGGTAGCACATGCCTGTAATCCCAGCTACTTGGGAGTCTGAGGCAGGAGAATCCCTTGAACCCAGGAGGTGGAGGTTGCAGTGAGCCGAGATCGTACTGCTTCACTCCAGCCTGGGCAACAAAGCAAGACTTTGTCTCAAAAACAAAAAACCAAAAAAACCAAAAGCAAAAATCCAACTCTGACTAGGAGATGAAGTACAGAATTGGGGTATTGGTTTTTTCTCTTTGGAATTGTACCCTTGGAAGCAGATATTAGAAGCCTAGAATTGATAAGAAGAAATTTGGACAAGATGGAAGAAGCTGGCAGGAGAGGCATGTCTGTTTTTTAGATATTATTCACCTGCTTCCCTCTACCTGGAGTGAAAACACGGTTACATTTGCTGGGCTTTTGAATGGTACAAGAAATAGAGAAGCCAAGGTCGCCCTCATCTGGTGGGGTCTACTGAAAAGCTAATCGGGAGTGCCGAGGGGAATAAAGGTCTGGCATCTTTAGCCCCACAGGTCAGGTCATGGTCCTTCCACATTCGACTGGGCCTCCTGGAGAGCTGACAGTGGACTATAACTGACTTTTTGCCAATGGAATATGAATGGAAGAGTGGGGTGGGAGGCAGACTTGATGGAGACCCTGTTTCAACCATGCAGACAAGGACAATTTCCAAAGGCATGAACCACAGATGGAAGGAAGCTGGAGGCCTGAAGGAGGCTGATGAGCAGCTCTGCCAGCCAGGGCCACACACGCCATCTCAGCCTTGTCTGCTTACCCTGAGCCTCTTATTTTGTTTTTATTTTTTTTTTGTTGAGATGGAGTCTTGCTCTGTCACCCAGGCTGGAGTGCAGTGGCACGATCTCCGCTCACTGCAAGCTCCATCTCCCGGGTTCACGCCATTCGCCTGCCTCAGCCTCCCGAGTAGCTGGGACTACAGGCGCCGCCACCACACCCAGCTAATTTTTTTTTTTTTGTAGTTTTAGTAGAGACAGGGTTTCACCATGTTAGCCAGGATGGTCTCGATCTCCTGACCTCGTGATCCGCCCGCCTCGGCCTCCCAAAGTGCTGGGATTACAGGCGTAAGCCACCGCACCCGGCCTCTGAGGCTCTTATTTATTTATTTTTTTTGAGATGGAGTCTCGCTCTGTCTCCCAGGCTGGAGTGCAGTAGCGCGATCTCAGCTCACTGCAAACTCTGCCTCCCGGGTTCCTGCCATTCTCCTGCCTCAGCCTCCCGAGTAGCTGGGACTACAGGCGCCTGCCACCGCGCCCGGCTAATTATTTGTATTTTTTAGTAGAGACGGGGTTTCACCGTGTTAGCCAGGATTGTCTCGATCTCCTGACCTTGTGATCCACCCGCCTCGGCCTCCCAAAGTGCTGGGATTACAGGCGTGAACCACCGCGCCCGGCCTCTGAGGCTCTTATTTGAAAGTGCAGCAAAATTCTATCTTATTTAAGTTACTGTATTTTAGGGTCTCTTTATTACAGAAGTTTAACGTGTATCCTAATAAACACACTTCTCTGAGTGTTGCCTTTGGCTCTCACATTGATTTCTTGCTAGGTATATCAGTTAGACATGGTTTGGCTTTGTTATAACCAAGCTAGAATAACAGCAGCTTAAATGGTCTGAGCATAAGTGGTCCAGGTCAATCCTATTAGCTCTACAGGATTGGAGAGCAGGGCCTCTTTAATTTTGTTTCTTTATCATCATCCACATGTGACTTCCATTTTGTGATCTAGGTGGCTGTTCCAGAGTCCACCATTCTGTCCACATTCCAGCTGGTGGGAAGGGAAGAAGTTTTATACATTGAGGAGTAAACACTTCTCCTTAAGAACATACTCTGTGGGCCCAGAAAACTTGGGAGTTTTATTACTTAAGCAGGAAGAGAGAATGAATTCTGCCACACTGTGCCAAGTTGATGTAGCTCAACAAATACTGGGAAAAACTCATGAAAGAAAGGCCCTTTCTTTTGAAGGCAGCTGTTACATATTAGTTTGATGGCTTTAAAAGGCACCCACAGTTTAGTGATTTGAATGTTCAGTCAGGTTAGGCTTCATTACGTTCTGGTAACCAACAACCTAGAAATATTTGTTGCCATAGGAGGGCTTACAAAATATAGCCATCAGTCTCTCCTATTCTGATGTGCCTGCCCCTTTGCCGTGTGACTTTGCCATTCCTCCTATCAAGAGGTAAATTCTATGCCTCCAGTCTTAAATCTGGGCTGACCTTGTGATTTGCTTTGACCAATAGAATGTGGCAGAAGTGATGTTATGTGACTTTTGGGGCTAGGCCTCGAGAGACCTTGCAGCTTATGTTTTGGATTCCTCAGAAGTTGTCCTGAGACTGCCATGCTATGAGGGCTAGGGAGGAAGGACCTGCTGTCCTACTGTTAACTGAACTCAGCCCCTAGCTGACTGCCGCTGCATGGAAGATCAGCAGAAGAACCTTCTGGCCAATATGAGAAAGAATAAATCATTTTTAAATTTCCTACATATTGGGTGGGTACTTTTTTTCCTGCATTAGTAGAAATGCAATGAATTAAAATAACAAAGGTTTATTTTTTGGTCATATTACTTATCCACTGAGAGTCAGCCGAGTATTGCGCTTTTTTTTTCTTTTTTGAGACAGAGTCTCCCTATGTCACCCAGGCTGAAGTGCAGTGGTGTGATCTCGGCTCACTGCAATCTCTGCCTCCCGGGTTCAAGCGATTCTCCTACCTCAACCTCCTGAGCAGCTGGGATTACAGGCGTATGCCACCACGCCCAGCTAATTTTTGTATTTTTAGTAGAGATGGGGTTTCACCATGTTGGTCAGGCTGGTCTCTAACTCCTGAACTCAGGTGATCCCCCTGCCTCGGCCTCCCAAAGTGCTGGGATTACAGGTGTGAGCCACTGTGCCCGGCTGGTACTGTGCTTTCGATATCACCCAGGGATCTTGGCTGGTGGAGCAGCCACCATCTCAGACGTTACCATACAGAGGGGAAGAGCAGGGTGAAGACTACATTGAGCTTCCATCAGGAAGTGATACATATCACTTGTACTCACATCTTATTGGCTAAAACAAGTGGCTGGGGAAATCCTATCCTACCATGTGATTGAAAGAAGACAAGGCTACAGTATTTGTGAACATCCTTAAATACCCCCCACCTTTACGATAGTTTATTTCTCTCTTGTAACAATCTAAGTGGCTGTGCAGGGCTGGTATGACATCAACACTGTGTCAGACACCCAGGCTCCTCTGTCTGTTTGCTCTGTCATCCCCAGCATGTTGCCCTCATCCTCCTGGTGGAAGACGGATCTCCGCTAGGTTTATATTCCAGCCCATGAAAAGAAAAGGCACACTGCCTTTTTATTTTAGGGACATAACTTGGAAATGACATACATAAGTTCTACTAACATCCCATTAGCCAGAACCAAGTCACCTGGCTACCTAGCTGCAAGGGAAGCTAGGAAATATGGTCTTTAGCTGGGTGACTGTGTGTTCCCCTAACCATCTCTTACTGTGGAAGGAGGGAGAAAAGATACTTGAGGGGCAGGGGAGGCACTAGCAGCTCTGCCACAGCAGCCACTTTGGAGTCCCTAACACCAGGATGTCCTGATTTTCATGCACTTAGCCCTGTCCAAGGGGAGTCTCAATTTGTGTACTCTTTTTTTTTTTTTTGAGACAGAGTCTTGCTCTTGTCACCCAGGCTGGAATGCAGTGGCATGATCTTGGCTCACTGCAACCTCTGCCTCCCGGGTTCAAGTGATTCTCCTGCCTCAGCCTCCCGAGTAGCTGGGATTACAGGCCCCTGCCACCACACCCGGCTAATTTTTTGTAATTTTAGTAGAGACGGGGTTTCACCATGTTGGCCGGGCTGGTCTCAAATTCCTGACCTCATGATCCACCCGCCTCAGCCTCCCAAAATGCTGGGATTACAGGCGTGAGTCACTGTGCCCGGTCTTATTTTTTTTTTTTCTTTTTGAGATGTAGTCTTACTCTGTTGCCCAGGCTGGAGTGCAGTGGCACAATCTTGGCTCACTGCAACCTCCATCTTCTAGGTTCAATCAGTTCTCTAAGGACTCACTTATAAATCAAAAGGGTTTTTACGAACCTAAATGATCACTTCAGAGAGGTTTCATGTTCATTTTTTTATTGGTCTTATTTATTTTTACCCTACATTGTTCAAAAAGGTATTGAAAAGACTTCTGTGGGTCAGGGAGACTAACACACTAGCTTCAAGTTTCTTTGCTTCCTGCATTTCATACAAGTGTAGGTTATGATTTAAAGGCATATCCCAGCCCCCGCAAAAGTTTTATTCCTTTGAGTAACCAACCCCAAATGTATTTACTTTGCCAGTTGGGAATTTCATCTACTAGACTTTCCGTAAAAATGTTGTAAACATTTTTCCTGTCTCCAAAACTAAGTGTTGATTTCATTTTTTCCACCTAGATTATCTCTAGGGAAGGATTGTAGGGAATAAAAAAGTATTGTCAATCTTCCTATTTATCAAGAAGTTCTAAAAAAATTAGTTTCACCCCCCTCGGAAGTTTATCTTCAAGAAGACAGAACTGTTCTAGGCTCTCAGGAAGTAAAACCCACTTGGTACAACCCAAAAGAACACTAAAACTTTACTTAAATGAAATATTTTGCAATATCTTGGATGGTTTGTGGGTTTGTGTGCTTTAGACTATTGACTATTCACACAAGAGCAAGGTGCATGTGTGCACACACGAGCCCAAATATGTGTTTGCCTGCGTGTTTGTGAGCATGCGTGTATGGTGCACATGTGCACGCATGGGTGGGTGGAGCGTGGGGGCAGTACACAAAGCCTGTGGGGGAGATCTATTGACCCTATAGATATATTAGCATCAGGGAGACAGGGCAAAGGTTTCACCCTTCAGTTCAGTCCCCAATCCCTGCTTATTATTTCCCTAACAGAAGACCATCCCCCTTGCCACTCCCTGGTTTTTCTTCTCTGGCAGCAATGAAGCAGCTGCTGACCCAGCTCTAGTTTTCGGGAAGTCAGATGACCTTTTCCCTCCCGCGGCTCTCTACCTCTCGCCGCCCCTAGGGAGGACACCATGGGCCCACTGATGGTTCTTTTTTGCCTGCTGTTCCTGTACCCAGGTAGGAGGCAGGGAAGGGGGAACGTCAGGGTCCTGTGTGTGAGGTTGGTGCTCCCAGCTTGAATTCCCATGTGTGAAACAGTCTCTTTTGCTTTCCTTTTCTCATCTGTGTCTTCCTTCTTTCTCCATTGCTGTCTCCTTGTTCCCACGGCTCTAGGTCTGGCAGACTCGGCTCCCTCCTGCCCTCAGAACGTGAATATCTCGGGTGGCACCTTCACCCTCAGCCATGGCTGGGCTCCTGGGAGCCTTCTCACCTACTCCTGCCCCCAGGGCCTGTACCCATCCCCAGCATCACGGCTGTGCAAGAGCAGCGGACAGTGGCAGACCCCAGGAGCCACCCGGTCTCTGTCTAAGGCGGTCTGCAAACGTGAGGCTCCCTGTGGGCTTTGCTCAGGGTGCTACACCAGGGGCCACCCCAGAACTTTTGTTTAGGAGTTGCTCAGGGTGGGACTTAACCTGACTAGATGGCAAAGTTGCTTTTGCAGAGGGCTTTTCAAAATATCCAGAAAATGTCAATTGCCAGTAGCAAGGAATTGGGAACAGGTCTTGATGGAGACTGTGGGGTACTAAAGCCAGGGATGACTTTTTATGTACAATTGACTGCCTAGTAGTGACCATTCAGAACAGATGCTGAATGGTCCTGGAGTCCTCTAGACATCTGAGGATCCCAAGGGGAGTGTCTGGGGAGGCCACGGCCCTCAGGAGACTGAGGGAAGTGGCTATTTATCAATCAGTTCGCTTAGACTCTGTGAAATTGGCAATATTCAATCAGTTGCCAAAAACAGCAATTTCACATGTTGCAACCTAATATTTCAGTGTTTTGACAGCCAGTTGACCATTCCCATGCATTCCAGCATAAAATCACCTGCTTAATCCCCAGCCCAGGTGTTATCCATCCAGTCCTATATTCCCCACCCACTTCCTCTCTCTCCAGCTGTGCGCTGTCCAGCCCCTGTCTCCTTTGAGAATGGCATTTATACCCCACGGCTGGGGTCCTATCCCGTGGGTGGCAATGTGAGCTTCGAGTGTGAGGATGGCTTCATATTGCGGGGCTCGCCTGTGCGTCAGTGTCGCCCCAACGGCATGTGGGATGGAGAAACAGCTGTGTGTGATAATGGGGGTGAGTTCTCTGGCTGATGGGCTACACAGGGGGCTGGGGTCTCCTGGGGAACCCTGGGGCCCAATGTGCATCCAGGAAGCCTCTGTGGGGATAGGAGTCTGTTGTTCAGTGTGCCATAATAATATTCCTGGATTTTGGTAAATTGAGGTCTACAGGTCACACATCACAAGTCTGCAAGGGCCAGGCCCCAGGCAGCTGGTGCTAAGCTTCAGATGTAGCATAAAGCCTCCACACACTCTGCCTGGCTTTTCTAAGTGCCTCAAAGCAAGACTTCATATTCAGGCCCCACAGATTGTTGTAGGGAAGATATGCTGGGAGAGAGTCAAGTACTGTGCTTTAATGCCTTGCCTTTAAAGCCAGGTTTGGGTTCCAAGCCCTACTCTGACTTTGACAGACTTTGGGAAGGCTATTTAACCTTTCTAGCCCTCAGTTTTCCCATCTGTAAGACAAGGATAGTGAGTGCTGACCTGAGATTGCCATCTGGATTAAATGAGTTGACATTAGTAAGCATATACAACAGCCCTGGAGTGCGGTGGCTCACGCCTGTAATCCCAGCACTTTGGGAGGCCAAGGGGGGTGGATCACAAGGTCAGGAGTTTGAGACCAGCTTGGCCAACATGGTGAAACCCCGTCTCTAGTAAAAATACAAAAATTAGCCGGGTGCGGTGGCGCATGCCTGTAATACCAGCTATTCAGGAGGCTGAGGCAGGAGAATCATTTGAACCAGGAAGTGGAGATTGCAGTGAGCCGAGATTGCATCATTGCACTCCAGCCTGAGTGACAGAGTAAGACTCTGTCTCAAAAAAAAAAAAAAAAAAAAAAAATGCCAGCCTCGGTGCCTCACGCCTGTAATCCCAGCACTTTGGGAGGCTGAGGTGGGTGGATCACCTGAGGTCAGGAGATTGAGACCAGCCTGGTCAACGTGGTGAAACCTCGTCTATACTAAAAATACAAAAATTAGCTGGGCGTGGTTAATCCCAGCTACTCAGGAGGCTGAGGCAGGAGAATCACTTGAACCTGGGAGGCAGAGGTTGCAGTGAGCCGAGATCGTGCCACTGCACTCCAGCCTGGGTGACAGAGTGAGACTCTGTCTCAAAACAAACAAACAAACAAACAAACAAAAAACAAAAAAAACAGCCCCTGGAATCTGATAAATGCCATGTACACTTTTTTTTTTTTTTGAGACGGAGTCTAGCTCTTGTTGCCCAGGCTGGAGTGCAATGGCGCAATCTCAGCTCACCGCAACATCTGCCTCCCGGGTTCAAGTGACTCTCCTGCCTCAGCCTCCCAAGAAGCTGGGATTACAGGCATGCGCCACCATGCCTCGGTAATTTTCTATTCTTAGTAGGGACAGGGTTTCTCCATGTTGGCCAGGCTGGTCTCAAACTCCTGACCTCAGGGGATTCTGCCCACCTTGGCCTCCCAAAGTGCTGGGATTACAGGCGTGAGCCACGGCATCCGGCCTTGTTTTTGTTTCTTTAAGAGACAGGATCTCGCTGTGTTGCCAAGGCTGGCTTCAAACTCCTGAGCTCAAGTGATCTTCCTACCTCAGCCTCCTCAGTAGCTGGGAATGCAGGCATGTGCCACCACACCTGGCCATAAGCACTTTTGTCATAGTTATTGCTGCCCCTGTGAATGGTGAGGGGCTCTGCTTGGCAGAAGTAGGGCTCCTAGGATTCCCTGGAGCTGCATTTGCCTGTGGGTTTGGGAGCTTCTTGGATCATGGTTCTTAGCACATCATACAGAAGACACGGAGTCCACAAGATGGCAGGACCACCTTCACCTAGTGGCCCAGACCATGGATCCCCACTCATGCCCTTGGGTTTTGGCAAATGGCCATTTATTCTGTAGGAGGGTGAAGTAGATGCCTGGTAAGACTGTGATAAGTAATGCTTGAATTATTAGACGTGACTCTAACTTATTTTAAAATTGAGGCATAATTTACCTATTGTAAAATGTACAAATCTTAACTATTCAGCTCAATGATTTGTTACAATGCATCCACTCATCTAATCACCACCCAAGACAGAATGAGGTTCCCTCTTGTCCCCTCCCACAAGGTAACTGCTCTTCTGACCTCTGTCTCCATGGACTAGGTACCTTGTGCTTACATTTCCTGTAAATGGAATCATGCGGGATGTGGTCTGTTGCTTCTGGCATCCTTTGTTCTATATTCTGCCTGTGAGATTTATCCATGCTGTTGTGTGTATCAGTACTTTGTTCTTTTTTATTGCTGTGTAGTATTCCATTATATGGGTATATTACAATTTATCCATTCCCCTCCTGATGGACATTTGGATTATTTCCAGTTTGGGGCCATTAGGAGTAAAGCTCTAGGAACATTCTTTTTTTTTTTTTTTTTTTAATTGATCATTCTTGGGTGTTTCTCACAGAGGGGGATTTGGCAGGGTCACAGGACAATAGTGGAGGGAAGGTCAGCAGATAAACAAGTGAACAAAGGTCTCTGGTTTTCCTAGGCAGAGGACCCTGCGGCCTTCCGCAGTGTTTGTGTCCCTGGGTACTTGAGATTAGGGAGTGGTGATGACTCTTAAGGAGCATGCTGCCTTCAAGCATCTGTTTAACAAAGCACATCTTGCACCGCTCTTAATCCATTCAACCCTGAGTGGATACAGCACATGTTTCAGAGAGCACAGGGTTGGGGGTAAGGTCACCGATCAACAGGATCCCAAGGCAGAAGAATTTTTCTTAGTACAGAACAAAATGAAAAGTCTCCCAGGTCTACCTCTTTCTACACAGACACGGCAACCATCCGATTTCTCAATCTTTTCCCCACCTTTCCCCCCTTTCTATTCCACAAAACCGTCATTGTCATCATGGCCCCTTCTCAATGAGCTGTTGGGTACACCTCCCAGACGGGGTGGTGGCCGGGCAGAGGGGCTCCTCACTTTCCAGTAGGCGCGGCCGGGCAGAGGCGCCCCTCACCTCCCGGACAGGGCGGCTGGCCGGGCGGGGGGCTGACCCCCCCACCTCCCTCCCGGACGGCGCGGCTGGCCGGGCGGGGGGCTGATCCCCCCACCTCCCTCCCGGACGGGGCGGCTGGCCGGGCGGGGGGCTGACCCCCCCACCTCCCTCCCGGACAGAGTGGCTGGCCGGGCAGAGGGGCTCCTCACTTCCCAGCAGGGGCGGCCGGGCAGAGGCGCCCCTCACTTCCCGGATGGGGCGGCTGGCCGGGCGAGGGGCTGACCCCCCCACCTCCCTCCCGGACGGGGCGGCTGGCCGGGCAGAGTGGCTCCTCACTTCCCAGTAGGGGCGGCCGGGCAGAGGCGCCCCTCACTTCCCGGACGGGGCGGCTGGCCGGGCTGGGGGCTGACCCCCCCACCTCCCTCCCGGACGGGGCGGCTGGCCGGGCGGGGGGCTGACCCCCCCACCTCCCTCCCGGACCAGGTGGCTGCTGGGCGGAGGGGCTCCTCACTTCTCAGACAGGGCGGCTGCCGGGCGGAGGGGCTCCTCACTTCTCAGATGGAGCGGTTGCCAGGCAGAGGGTCTCCTCACTTCTCAGACGGGGCGGCCGGGCAGAGACGCTCCTCACATCCCGGATGGGGCGGCCGGGCAGAGGTGCTCCCCACATCTCAGACGATGGGCGGCAGGGCAGAGACGCTCCTCACTTCCCAGATGTGATGGCGGCCGGGAAGAGGCGCTCCTCACTTCCTAGATGGGATGGCGGCCGGGCAGAGACGCTCCTCACTTTCCAGACTGGGCAGCCAGGCAGAGGGGCTCCTCACATCCCAGACGATGGGTGGCCAGGCGGAGACGCTCCTCACTTCCCAGACGGGGTGGCGGCCGGGCAGAGGCTGCAATCTCGGCACTTTGGGAGGCCAAGGCAGGCTGCTGGGAGGTGGAGGTTGTAGCGAGCCAAGATCACGCCACTGCACTCCAGCCTGGGCATCATTGAGCACTGAGTGAACGAGACTCCGTCTGCAATCCCAGCACCTCGGGAGGCCGAGGCTGGTGGATCACTCGCGGTTAGGAGCTGGAGACCAGCCCGGCCAACACAGCGAAACCCCGTCTCCACTAACAAAATACGAAAACCAGTCAGGCGTGGCGGCGCGCGCCTGCAATCGCAGGCACTCGGCAAGCTGAGGCAGGAGAATCAGGCAGGGAGGTTGCAGTGAGCCGAGATGGCAGCAGTACCGTCCAGCTTCGGCTCGGCATCAGAGGGAGACCGTGGAAAGAGAGGGAGAGGGAGACCATGGGGAGAGGGTGAGGGAGAGGGAGCTCTAGGAACATTCTTGCATGTGATTTTGGTACATGTATGCACTTGCTTCTCTTGAGTAAATGATCTAAATGTGGAATTGTCACATCACAGGCTGGCATATGTTTAGTTGTAGTAGAGGCTGAGAAAGTTTCACCCACGTACATGCCAGCAAGGTAACAGAGTGCCAGTCGCTCTGCATCCTCTCCAACACTTGGAATTACCTGTTGTTTCAGTGTTAGCCGTTTTGATGGGTGTGTAGGGATGCCTCACTGTGGTTTATGAAATATAAATGTTCTCTGAAGGAGTGGAGGGACCATCAGCTGACTTCTTCCCTGGGTCTCTGGGGGCTCTGGGACAGACATGGGTGCATCCCTGGGTTGGAACTGGGAAGCTTCTGCTGGCAACTGAGGCCGCTGAGGAGGCAGAGCCTGATGGGAGGGGGCTACTCACCTCTGCCTTCCTTTGTTCACTCGCAGCTGGCCACTGCCCCAACCCAGGCATTTCACTGGGCGCAGTGCGGACAGGCTTCCGCTTTGGTCATGGGGACAAGGTCCGCTATCGCTGCTCCTCGAATCTTGTGCTCACGGGGTCTTCGGAGCGGGAGTGCCAGGGCAACGGGGTCTGGAGTGGAACGGAGCCCATCTGCCGCCGTGAGTAGCTGCCCTGCCCTCCTGAGATTCCTCGGCACACCCGGCCACTGCCCCGGCTGACTCCTGTGTGGCTCTCCCCACAGAACCCTACTCTTATGACTTCCCTGAGGACGTGGCCCCTGCCCTGGGCACTTCCTTCTCCCACATGCTTGGGGCCACCAATCCCACCCAGAAGACAAAGGGTGAGTGTTTGAGGTGGGGTTTCTGGTTGAGCAGGGTGCTGGATCTGGGCCGGAGCAAGGGAGGATGCAACCTTCCTGGAGGCCAGGAGCCTTGGTGGGCTCAGCCACTGAAAGGGAGGGAGGCAGAGAAGCTGGACCTGCTTGGCGAGAGCGCAGGAAGGAGGTGGGGATCTGAATCCTCCCCTTCCACATTTCTCCAGAAAGCCTGGGCCGTAAAATCCAAATCCAGCGCTCTGGTCATCTGAACCTCTACCTGCTCCTGGACTGTTCGCAGAGTGTGTCGGAAAATGACTTTCTCATCTTCAAGGAGAGCGCCTCCCTCATGGTGGACAGGGTCAGGAATCAGGAGTCTGCCTGCAGCAGAGGCCTTCCTGTGCTCACTATCTCTCTCTGTCTCCTTCCCCTCCTCAGAACCCCACTCACAGCCCACCTCCTCCAAGAAGTCTTCTCAGATTATACTCATGCCATGTAGGAATCATGAATTCAATTTATACAATCATAATTTTTATTCCACAAGCACTGTTGGGACACTGTGCTGGGGCTGGGCGACAGCAAAGATGGAAAGGCTGAGGTCTTACTTTCCAGGAATTCATCATCTAGAACAGTGGTCTCCACAGAAAGGTAGTGAGATAACCCACAGGAGTGAAGCAGAAAAATACTGGTGCCCCTGTGGAATAATTTAAATCAGATTAATAATTTAATATTTAATAATTTCCTTTTAAAACTTCAACATTTTGTGCAGGCTTTAAAATGTGTGTGATAGACTGGGCATGGTGGCTAGTGCCTGTAATCCCAACACTTTGGGAGGCCGAGGCAGGTGGATCACTTGAGGTCAGGAGTTTGAGACCAGCCTGACCAACATGATGAAACCCTGTCTATACTAAAAATACAAAATTAGCCACATGTGATGGCGCACGCCTGTAACCCAGCTACTTGGGAGGATGAGGCAGGAGAATCGCTTGGATCCGGGAGGTGGAGGTTGCAGTGGGCTGAGATCACGCCATTGCACTCCAGCCTGGGCAACTAGAGCAAAACTCTGTCTCAAAAAAATAAATAAAATAAAATAAAATAAAATAAAATATGTGTGATAGAAGTTTGGAAGCCACTGGTTTAAGTTCCTCGCCAGAACTTTGTTTTGTAATTGTGCTTTTCACAATACTTCATGTAACATTATAGATGGTTTTCCCTCCCAGCTACATTTTAAAGAGGGCAGTTTCTGTGCTCTCTTGGGACTCAAAATTAAGTAACTCATTGCACTGCGAGGCGGCAACACACACCAGTTGGAGCAGTGATTGAGAATCATGTGACACATTCAGATCCCACTTCCACCTCCTCCTCATGGTGTGATGGGGGAAGGGGGACAAGGCAACATACCTCAGTTTCCTTATCCATAAAATAGGGGTCATCATGCCCCTCACAGGGTGGAGTGAAGAGAGTCTGTCAAAGAGAAAGATGTTCAACAAAGGTTTCTTCCTTAGCTGCTGCTGTTCCTTATTTTTATTATTATTATTATTATTATTATTTTTGAGATAGAGTCTCTGTCACCCAGGCTGGAGTACAGTGGTGCGATCTCAGCTCACTGCAAACTTTGCCTCCTGGGTTCAAGTGATTCTTCTGCCTCAGCCTCCTGAGTAGCTGGGATTATAGGTGCTTGCCACCATACCAGGCTAATTTTTGTATTTTTAGTAGAGATGGGTTTTGCCATGTTGGTCAGGCTGGTCTCGAACTCCTGACCTCAGGTGATCCACCTGCCTAAAGTGTTGGGATTCAGGCATGAGCCACCGCGCCCAGCCCCTAGCTTCTTCCTAACAGCCATTTCCTAGTGTCTCCCCTGGTCCTTGCCTCTGTCGGTCTCACTCCAGTTTCTCTGCCTCCTCCAGGGCCCTTTGTTTGCTCTCTTACCATCTCCCCTTTGGCTTCAGGGCCCTTTACGCTGCCTCTCACTTGCCCCGCACAGATCTTCAGCTTTGAGATCAATGTGAGCGTTGCCATTATCACCTTTGCCTCAGAGCCCAAAGTCCTCATGTCTGTCCTGAACGACAACTCCCGGGATATGACTGAGGTGATCAGCAGCCTGGAAAATGCCAACTATAAAGGTACGGGTGTCATCACGTGATGGTGATGAGAGAGGAGAAGATGGACCCTCTCAGGGCCTGCAAACAAATTCTGGATGAGTTAAAAAGAGAGTGAGGCCTCTTGGTGGCACCTGAGTCCCACGAGTCTGGGGTAGTTTCAACGTCCAGGGTTATGGTGGGGGAGTCCAGCTGCCCCCAGCTCATAGCTCATTCTGAGATGCTGCAGGTCCAAAGACACTGTGCAGGTCTTCAATTCCTTCCAGTTGCCAAAACCACACTGTCTGGTTTGCATGGCTGCACACTGCCATCTCCCCATGTCATTAGCCACCCATACACCATGTAAAGTGCCTGGTTGGCACTTAGCAAATGGCTGAAGCCACTCAAGGTTTTGGAAACCTCATCTTTGAATCTTGGGACTTTAGTGTGGTCTTGGATTGGGGTTATGCAATGAACATTTCTTTTTTCTTCTTCTTTTTTTTTTTTTTGAGGTGGAGTCTCGCACTGTCACCCAGGCTTGAGTGCAGTGGCACGATCTTGGCTCACTGCAACCTCTGCCTCCAGGGTTCAGGCAATTCTCCTGCCTCAGCTTCCCGAGTAGCTGAGATTTCGGGCACCTGCCACCATGCCTGGCTAATTTTTTATATTTTTAGTTGAGATGGGGTTTCACTATGTTGGTCAGGCTGGTCTCGTGATCCTGACTTTGTGATCCGCCCACCTCAGCCTCCCAAAGTGCTGGGATTACAGGCGTGAACCACCTTGCCCGGCCCTATGCAATGAACATTTCTAAGGTGGAAAGGCTTTTAAAGTTTGAACAAGCAATGATGCCACATCTCTATCTGAATGGCAAATGTCTGAGTTTATCAAAACAATCGATAAATTGCATTTCCAGGCCGGGTGCAGTGGCTCATGCCTGTAGTAATCCCAGCACTTTGGGAGGCTGAGATGGGCGGATCACTTGAGGTCAGGAAACCAGCTTGGCCAACATGGTGAAACCCCATCTCTACTAAAAATACAAAAAATTAGCTGGGCATGGTGGCTGGCACCTGTAATCCCAGCTACTTGGGAGACTGAGGCATGAGAATCACTTGAACTGGGGAGGTGGAGGTTGCAGTCAGCCAAGATCACGCCACTATACTCTAGCCTGGGTGGCAGAGCGAGACTCTCTCAAAAAAAAAAAAAAAATTGCATTTCCAATAATTGGGGGAATAGAGTGATTCCCTACCCCTAGGTGGTAGGTGGGAAGTTTCTAAGAGAGTCCTTCCTTTTGGCATATTCCAGATCATGAAAATGGAACTGGGACTAACACCTATGCGGCCTTAAACAGTGTCTATCTCATGATGAACAACCAAATGCGACTCCTCGGCATGGAAACGATGGCCTGGCAGGAAATCCGACATGCCATCATCCTTCTGACAGATGGTGGGTATCATGGTCTCTGAGTGTGTCTGGAATAGTGGAAGGGGCACCAATATGGGGTCAGAAGCCCTGAATTCTGATTCTCCCTCTGCCTGCCACTTTGGGCCCCAGTTTTGTTTTTGTTTTTAGAGATGGGGCCTTGCTATGTTGCCCAGCTGATCTCAAACTCCTGGCTTCAAGCAATCCTCCTGCCTCAGCCTCCCAAAGTGCTGGGATTACAGGCATGAGCCACCACACCTGGCCCAGTTTCTTATTTATAAAATAGGGCCAGTGTGGTGGCTTATGCCTGTAGTCCCAGCACTTTGGGAGGCCAAAGCGGGTGGATCACTTGAGGTTAGGAGTTTGAGATCAGACTGGCTAACATGGTGAAACCCCGTCTCTACTAAAAATACAAAACCATTAGCTGGGTGTGGTGGCAGGCGCCTGTAATCCCAGCTACTTGGGAGGCTGAGGCAGGAGAATTGCTTGAACCTGGGAGGCAGAGGTTGCAGTGAGCCAAGATCATGCCACTGCACTCCAGCCTGGGTGACAGACCAAGATCCTACCTTGTCTCAAAATAAAATAAATAAATAAATAGAATTAGTGTTGATGATGATGACCGTAACCACAATGACAGCAATGATGATCATGATGGCTGTCCTCCTTTCCTTACACAATTTTTATGGAAAGCTATTTAAGTTGCCTGTGTGAAAGTGCTCTGTGTTAGCTCTTGTTACCATCTGGGAGGTAACTTGGAGATAGATGAGGAAACGTGGCTCTTGAGCAGGAATGTCGAAGGGCACGGATGCAAGGAACAGTCTGTAGTGGATCTGGCCTTGTCATTTGCCTCTTGCTATTGTCCAAATTACACAGTTCCTCCAGGACTTAGTATATAAAATGAGGATACCCACTCTACCTGGGGTTTCATGAGAATTAAATGAGTTAAAGTATAGGAAGCACCTGGCCTGGTGCCTGGAATGTAGAACATTTCAGTAAAAGTGTGTATATATATATATGTATGTATATATATATATATGTATACATACATATATATATATATATATTTATTTTTTTGAGACAGGGTCTCACTCTATTGCCCAGGCTGGACTACAGTGGTGCGATCTCGGCTCACTGCAACCTCTGCCTCCCAGGCTGAAGCAATTCTCGTGCCTCAGCCTCCAGAGTAGCTGGGACTACAGGCATGTGTCACCATGCCTGGCTAATTTTTATTTTTATTTTTTGAGATGGAGTTTCACTCTTGTTGCCCAGGCTGGAGTGCAATGGCGCGATTTCGGCTCACCGCAACCTCCGCCTCCCAGGTTCAAGCGATTCTCCTGCCTCCTGAGTAGCTGGGATTACAGGCATGTGCCACCACACCCGGCTAATTTTGTATATTTAGTAGAGGTGCGGTTTCTCCATGTTGGTCAAGCTGGTCTCAAACTCCCAACCTCAGGTGATCCACCTGCCTTGGCCTCCCAAAGTGCTGGGATTACAGGCATGAGCCACCATGCCCGGCCACACCTGGCTAATTTTTTGTGGTTTTAGTAGAGACAGGGTTTCACCATGTTGCCCAGGCTGGTCTGGAACTCCTGAGCTCAGGCAATCCGCCTTCTTCGGTCTCCCAAAGTGCTAGGATTACAGGTGTGAGCCACCATGCCCAGCCTAAAAGTATATTTTGAAGCTCTCACAGGCAATGTAAATGTTGAGGTTCCCAGGCTAAATGCTTTCCTACTCTTCCAGGGCCTGGGGAAATCCTGATATTACCTAGAAGAATTCTTTATTCTCTTTGTTCTAGGAAAGTCCAATATGGGTGGCTCTCCCAAGACAGCTGTTGACCATATCAGAGAGATCCTGAACATCAACCAGAAGAGGAATGACTATCTGGGTGAGCCCCTGCCACTGCCACCACATTTGTTCTGCTCCTGCAGAGGTCATGAGATCTTCAGCCAGGGATCCCAGCATCTTAGCTATGGTCCAGAGCCAC
The DNA here is from genome assembly GCF_000001405.40 of Homo sapiens. Classification (NCBI taxonomy): domain Eukaryota; kingdom Metazoa; phylum Chordata; class Mammalia; order Primates; family Hominidae; genus Homo; species Homo sapiens. The sequence continues at coordinate 3,416,847 of NT_113891.3, forward strand.
ATGGTTTTATTTCTGCGTTGTTCTGTACAAAGGCAACTCATGTTGAAGAGCCTGGGGTCAAACTACTGCCCATGGTCTCAACCTTACCTTCTTTTTTTTTTTTTTTTTTTTTAAGACAGTGTCTCACTGACACTCAGAGTATATTCCTGGAAAGATGTCCACCCATGCCGGCCCAGAAGCTGGTCCAGAAAGTAACGATGTCCACCATGCCACCATGAAGTGCAGTGGTGCAATCATAGCTTACTGCAGCCTCAAATTCCTGGTTTCAAGTGATCCCCTCAACTCAGCTTCCCAAAGTGGTAGGATTACAGGTATGAGCCACTATGCTCAGCCCGTCTTCACAAATTTTTTAAAATTAATTTTTAAATTTTTTTTGAGACAGAATCTTGCCGTGTTGCCCAGGCTGGAGTGCAGTGACTCGATCTCAACTCACTGCAACCTCCACGTCCTGGCTTCAAATGATTCTCCTGCCTCAGCCTCCAGAGTAGCTGGGATTACAGGTGTGTGCCACCATGCCCGGCTCATTTTTGCATTTTTAATAGAGACAGAGTTTCACCATGTTGGCAGTCTGGTGTCAAACCCCTGGCCTCAAGTGATCCGCCTGCCTTGGTCTCCCAAGGTGCTGGGATTACAGATAGGCGTGAGCCACTGTGCCTGGCCAATTTTTAATTTTTTAATTATTATTTTTAATCAACAGCTTTAGACAGAGAACCTTGGTTTCATCTTCAGTGGGCTGTGGCCATGGGCAGTTTCTTCATCTGCAAAAGGGGAGTAGTACTAGGACCCAGCTCACAAGCTGACAGGGGAAGATGCTCAGACAAACACTGCCTGCCTGGCATAGAAAAATGCCCAGCATATGTTAGCCATGACCACGACCGTCGTCGTTATCATCATCATCATCATCATAGCATCTCATGTTTCAGGAAACTTTCCAGGAAGAAGGGACCTCGATTCCCTCTGGGGAATGTCCCTGGTGGTTGCTCTTTCAGCAGCACAGCTGGCTAACTAAGGCTTTGGCAGTTGCAGCCTCTAAAGGAAAAATTCCTCAGGTTCAGACTAAACACAAATTGCACTGACCTTTGATCAGAAAGTAATTTCAGAGAGAGAGATGCTCAGACAGGGAGGGCAGCTGGTTTTGAGCCCCAACCTTTCATCTTCCCCTTAGCTCCTCTCCTTTCCATTCACACTGCCCCCTCCCCCATCACCTGGCCCTCGGGGGTAAGCTGATTCCTCTTTAAAACTCTGGCCCAAGGAAGACAAAATTTAAAGCCCACTCCCTTCCTCCTTAGCATCACTGGACCAAGGTCAAATGCTACAAAAACATTTTATTGAAAATAAGCAGGAAACCAAACGAAAATAGTCAAAGAAAACGCACAAGGCACGATCGTTGTCTAGCTCCAACTGTAACTGTTTCTATCTGGGCCATTGCCAGATTGCCTCCTGGCTGAAGATCTCTTGGTCCACCTAAGCACCTTGCTTTTTACACACAACGCGGGGCTCTCTGAGAACAAAAATGGGCCACAAGGGGTGCAAAGGCTGGGAGAGGAGTAGACTCTGTGGTCTGTCTGAGGGCAGTTCTGACTGGCACCACAGTCGGAGGACAGGCGCGGCCTGTTGTGTGGGTCCAGGGCCTCCAGTGGGAAAACGTGGCTTTAGGCCCTTCTCCCAGATGCTACCTTTTACAGAGGAAGACCAGATCTGAGGTTTAGTTTCCATGTTGTGTTCTGAGTTCTTTCTATTCATTCAGTCATTTAAAAGTACTTACCAAACTACCACAAACCTGGGTGGCTTAGAACACAGAATTTCTTTTTCTTACAGTTCTGGAGGTTAGAAGTCTGAAATCAAGGTGTTGGCAGGGCCGTGCTTCCTCAGAAGGCTCTTGGGAAGAATTCTTTCCTGCCTTTTCCGGCTGCCGGCAGCTCCAACCTTGGCTTGCGGCAGCATAAACCCATTCTCTGCCTCTGTCTTCAACTCGCCTTCTTTTCTGTGTGTGCCTCTGTGTCATTACATGCTGTTCTCTTATATAGATAGGAGACCCACTACCTGTGTCTTTGTGTCCAAATTCCTTTCTTCTTTTTCTGTTCATTTGTTTGAGACAGAGTCTCGCTCTGTCACCCAGAAGCCCAGGCTGCAGTGCAGTGGCGGGATCCCGGCTCACTGTAACCTCTGCCTCCTGGGTTCAGGTGATTCTCGTGCCTCAGTCTCCCAAGAAGCTGGGATTACAGGCATGTGCCACCATGCCCGGCAAATTTTTGTATTTTTAGTAGAGACATGGTCTCGCCATGTTGGCTAGGCTGGTCTTAAACTCCTGGCCTCAAGGCGATCTGCCTGCCTTCGCCTCAAAAAAACTGCCGGGATTACAGGCATGAGTCACCACCATGCCCAGCCAGTTCACTTTTTTTTTTTTTTTTTTTTTTGAGATGGAGTCTTGCTCTGTTGCCCAGGCTGGAGTGCAGTGGTGCAATCTCGGCTCACTGCAACATCCGCCTCCCGGTTCAAGCGATTCTCCTGCCTCAGCCTCCTGAGTAGCTGGGATTACAGGTGTGTGCCAGCATGTCTGGCTAATTTTTGTATTTTTAGTAGAGACAGGGTTTCACCATGTTGGTCAGGCTGGTCTTGAATTCCTGACCTCGTGATCTGCCCGCCTCAGCCTCCCAGAGTGCTGGGATTACAGGTGTGAGCCACCGTGCCCGGCTCACCTCTTCTTTTTTTTTTTTTGAGACGGGGTTTTGCTCTTGTTGCCCGGGCTGGAGTGCAATGGCGCGATCTTGGCTCACCACAACCACCGCCTCCTGGTGATTACAGGTGTGAGCCACCACGCCTGGCTCTGGCTTACCTCTTCTTATAAGGACCTCAGTCATTGGATTAGAGCTCACCCTAATCTAGTATGACTTAATCTTAACTTGATTACATCTGCAAAGACCCTTTTTCCAAATAAAGTCACAGATACTGGGGATTAGGACTCGAACACATCTTTCTGGGGGACACAATTCCACCATTACAGGGAATAAACAGGATAAGAAAACCATAGAACCCAGCAGGTGGTAGGTGACACAAGCTAAGGGGTGTTGCCATGTTGCCCAGGCTGGTCTCAAACTTCTGGCTTCAAGGGATCCTCCCACCTTGCCTCCCAAAGTGGGGATGAAAGTTTGTCTGGGGCATTGCAGTTTTAGACAGGAAGACCAGGGAAGGCCTCACTGAGAAGGTGACATTTGAGCCAAGACTTAAAAAGGTACGAAAGTGAGCCATGTGGAAGTCTGGGGGGGAGGAGTGAACTAGGCAGAGGCACAGCTGGGCAAAGGGCCTGAGGTGTGACCATGCCTATGGATTTGAGGAACTTCAAAGAGGCTGTGTGCTGCAGGAGAGTGAAGGGCAGGGAGTGGCAGGAAATGAAGGCAGACAGGTAGCAGTGGGGAGGACGCAGGGGTCCAGCTCATGTAGGTCTTGATTGGACACAGTGAGTTTCAGATGACAGCCTCCTGTCTCATGGGGTAGCCCCAAAGCCACAGGAGTCTGGTGATTTCCCTCTTCCCCACCAGACATCTATGCCATCGGGGTGGGCAAGCTGGATGTGGACTGGAGAGAACTGAATGAGCTAGGGTCCAAGAAGGATGGTGAGAGGCATGCCTTCATTCTGCAGGACACAAAGGCTCTGCACCAGGTCTTTGAACATATGCTGGGTGAGTGAGCTTTGCCCTCCTTGGTGTGGGGAGGATGGTGAGGAGCCCGCCAGAGGCCCGTGTTGGGAACCTGGACACAGTGCCCCTCACTTGCCTCCTTCCCCATCTGATCCTCACACCCACAGATGTCTCCAAGCTCACAGACACCATCTGCGGGGTGGGGAACATGTCAGCAAACGCCTCTGACCAGGAGAGGACACCCTGGCATGTCACTATTAAGGTACCAGGAAGGAGGGGCAGGGCTTGGATTCCAGAGGTAAAAGCGGCCATGGGCCAGACATACTGCAATCTCTGAAAATCACCTGTTCCCCTGCAGCCCAAGAGCCAAGAGACCTGCCGGGGGGCCCTCATCTCCGACCAATGGGTCCTGACAGCAGCTCATTGCTTCCGCGATGGCAACGACCACTCCCTGTGGAGGGTCAATGTGGGTAAGGCAGGGGATGCACCAGCCTCCTGATCCTGAAGCCACAGATCCTACCACCTCACCCAGCCTCTGGCCCCTGCAGGAGCCCTGGTCTAGCCTAATCTAGTGTATCATTTCCAGGAGACCCCAAATCCCAGTGGGGCAAAGAATTCCTTATTGAGAAGGCGGTGATCTCCCCAGGGTTTGATGTCTTTGCCAAAAAGAACCAGGGAATCCTGGAGTTCTATGGTGATGACATAGCTCTGCTGAAGCTGGCCCAGAAAGTAAAGATGTCCACCCATGCCAGGTGCCTGGAGTCTGGGATGGGAGGGTGCCCTGCAGGGAAGAGTGCTCTGGAGATCCCTGGAAGAGATACTGGGGACAGGCTGGTGTGACCCTTGCTCTTCTCCCCAGGCCCATCTGCCTTCCCTGCACGATGGAGGCCAATCTGGCTCTGCGGAGACCTCAAGGCAGCACCTGTAGGGACCATGGTGAGTGCTGGGACTTATGGTGCTTGAGAGCTGGGGCCGGGGTTTGGGGGTGATAACAAGGACTAGGCTGCAGTCCCCAAGCCAGGAACCTGGATTCTGGGTAAAAGGACCAGCACCAACATCCCCTTCTCTTGACTATAGAGAATGAACTGCTGAACAAACAGAGTGTTCCTGCTCATTTTGTCGCCTTGAATGGGAGCAAACTGAACATTAACCTTAAGATGGGAGTGGAGGTGAGGGTCTCAGGTTGGGGATGCTGGGATCCCCCTGTGACAGCTCCCAGAATGTCTCTCTTCCTTCTCCAGGTCTGGCTGCTTTCTCTCTCTGACGCGGGTCACCCCTCCTCCCAAGCCTCACAAACCTGCTAGGTGTCCCTGGGTCTGCTTATTCTTTTTTTGTTGTTATTGAGATGGAGTCTTGCTCTGTCTCCCAGGCTGGAGTGCAGTGGCACGACCTCAGCTCACTGCAACTTCTGCCTCCTGGGTTCAAGCGATTCTCCTACTTCAGCCTCCCGAGTAGCTGAGATTACAGGTGCCCACCACCACACCAGCTAATTTTTGTATTTTTAGTAGAGACGGGATTTCGCCATGTTGGCCAGGATGGTCTTGAACTCCTGACCTCAAGTGATCTGCCTGCCTCAACCTCCCAAAGTGCTGAGATTACAGGCGTGAGCCACTGCACCCACCCGGGTCTGCTTATTCTACCCTTCTCTCTGGTTCCACCCCTGCTGCAGTGGACAAGCTGTGCCGAGGTTGTCTCCCAAGAAAAAACCATGTTCCCCAACTTGACAGATGTCAGGGAGGTGGTGACAGACCAGTTCCTATGCAGTGGGACCCAGGAGGATGAGAGTCCCTGCAAGGGTGAGTCCCTCACCATGCCTGGATTCCCAAGGGGAAGGCCACCTGTGTCTCTGTGGCCAGCATGCATGCCAGAACACCAGTCCACTGCCCTAGATGACACTGTCTCCTGTCACCCTTTGCTGGCAGGAGAATCTGGGGGAGCAGTTTTCCTTGAGCGGAGATTCAGGTTTTTTCAGGTGAGAAGGTAGAAGCTTGCAGGACCCAGGGGTTACAGGATCTCAGCCTTGTTGGGGGGATGAGGGAGGCCTTTGAGGGATCTAGGGAGGTTGGGGCTTACAGTTGGGGCTGTGGCAGCCTCCCAGCCAGTTCTCTCCTTTTCTCCAGGTGGGTCTGGTGAGCTGGGGTCTTTACAACCCCTGCCTTGGCTCTGCTGACAAAAACTCCCGCAAAAGGGCCCCTCGTAGCAAGGTCCCGCCGCCACGAGACTTTCACATCAATCTCTTCCGCATGCAGCCCTGGCTGAGGCAGCACCTGGGGGATGTCCTGAATTTTTTACCCCTCTAGCCATGGCCACTGAGCCCTCTGCTGCCCTGCCAGAATCTGCCGCCCCTCCATCTTCTACCTCTGAATGGCCACCCTTAGACCCTGTGATCCATCCTCTCTCCTAGCTGAGTAAATCCGGGTCTCTAGGATGCCAGAGGCAGCGCACACAAGCTGGGAAATCCTCAGGGCTCCTACCAGCAGGACTGCCTCGCTGCCCCACCTCCCGCTCCTTGGCCTGTCCCCAGATTCCTTCCCTGGTTGACTTGACTCATGCTTGTTTCACTTTCACATGGAATTTCCCAGTTATGAAATTAATAAAAATCAATGGTTTCCACATCTCTCAGTGCCTCTATCTGGAGGCCAGGTAGGGCTGGCCTTGGGGGAGGGGGAGGCCAGAATGACTCCAAGAGCTACAGGAAGGCAGGTCAGAGACCCCACTGGACAAACAGTGGCTGGACTCTGCACCATAACACACAATCAACAGGGGAGTGAGCTGGATCCTTATTTCTGGTCCCTAAGTGGGTGGTTTGGGCTTACTGGGGAGGAGCTAAGGCCGGAGAGGAGGTACTGAAGGGGAGAGTCCTGGACCTTTGGCAGCAAAGGGTGGGACTTCTGCAGTTTCTGTTTCCTTGACTGGCAGCTCAGCGGGGCCCTCCCGCTTGGATGTTCCGGGAAAGTGATGTGGGTAGGACAGGCGGGGCGAGCCGCAGGTGCCAGAACACAGATTGTATAAAAGGCTGGGGGCTGGTGGGGAGCAGGGGAAGGGAATGTGACCAGGTCTAGGTCTGGAGTTTCAGCTTGGACACTGAGCCAAGCAGACAAGCAAAGCAAGCCAGGACACACCATCCTGCCCCAGGCCCAGCTTCTCTCCTGCCTTCCAACGCCATGGGGAGCAATCTCAGCCCCCAACTCTGCCTGATGCCCTTTATCTTGGGCCTCTTGTCTGGAGGTAAGCGAGGGTAACCTTCCCTTCCTGCTGTCTCCAGCATCCCTCCTTGGCCTTTTGGGGCCAGGCTTCATCAGCCTTTCTCTTCAGGTGTGACCACCACTCCATGGTCTTTGGCCCGGCCCCAGGGATCCTGCTCTCTGGAGGGGGTAGAGATCAAAGGCGGCTCCTTCCGACTTCTCCAAGAGGGCCAGGCACTGGAGTACGTGTGTCCTTCTGGCTTCTACCCGTACCCTGTGCAGACACGTACCTGCAGATCTACGGGGTCCTGGAGCACCCTGAAGACTCAAGACCAAAAGACTGTCAGGAAGGCAGAGTGCAGAGGTTTGAGGGCAATGAGTGTGGGCAGTGGCCTAAGGCAGAAACAGGGCAGGCGGCAGCAAGGTCAGGACTAGGATGAGACTAGGCAGGGTGACAAGGTGGGCTGACCGGGAGTAGGAGCAGTTTTAGGGTGGCAGGCGGAAAGGGGGCAAGAAAAAGCGGAGTTAACCCTTACTAAGCATTTACCCTGGGCTTCCAGGCAGCCCTGGAAGTCAAGAGAACACTCAGAAATGGGGAGGGAGAAGCAGTGGAAATCCATATGGGTTGAGGAGTAGGTAAGATGCTGCTTCTGCGGGACTGGGAATGCGCTGTTTCTCAGTGACATGGTCTCCGAGACCAGGAGGGATACACCTAAGGCAGCCTTTCCCTCTTGATGACTTCTACTTGTCCCCCCTTCTCAAAGCAATCCACTGTCCAAGACCACACGACTTCGAGAACGGGGAATACTGGCCCCGGTCTCCCTACTACAATGTGAGTGATGAGATCTCTTTCCACTGCTATGACGGTTACACTCTCCGGGGCTCTGCCAATCGCACCTGCCAAGTGAATGGCCGGTGGAGTGGGCAGACAGCGATCTGTGACAACGGAGGTGAGAAGCATCCCCTCCCCCTACATTGCTGTCTCCCTGACGGCGCCCAGCCCGAGGAGTGGGCACTCGGCTCCGGACACTGTAACTCTTGCTCTCTACCTTGCTCACGGGGCCTCAGGCTTCAGTGCTTACCTCGATGTCTCATACCTCTGCAGCGGGGTACTGCTCCAACCCGGGCATCCCCATTGGCACAAGGAAGGTGGGCAGCCAGTACCGCCTTGAAGACAGCGTCACCTACCACTGCAGCCGGGGGCTTACCCTGCGTGGCTCCCAGCGGCGAACGTGTCAGGAAGGTGGCTCTTGGAGCGGGACGGAGCCTTCCTGCCAAGGTGACCTTTGACCTGTACCCCCAGGTCAGATCCTGGTCTTCCATCCTACTGTCTTCTCTCCCCACCTCAACCCTGCTCTTTCCTCACTTTGTTTAAACCTCCCTGTACAACTATCTCACTTCTGAGCCTTTTATACCCTGGAAACCCATGATCCCCCGTCTCTTTGGTCACTGTATCCCTGACACTCCCAGACATTTGACCTCATTTCTGACTCTCCCAGACTCCTTCATGTACGACACCCCTCAAGAGGTGGCCGAAGCTTTCCTGTCTTCCCTGACAGAGACCATAGAAGGAGTCGATGCTGAGGATGGGCACGGCCCAGGTTTGAAGACAGAGAAGGGAGGCAGGGCAGGGAACTGGGGGAAAATGGAGAAGGGACAGAACTGTTAATGCTGGAGCCTGAGCCACTCTCCTGGCACCCAGGGGAACAACAGAAGCGGAAGATCGTCCTGGACCCTTCAGGCTCCATGAACATCTACCTGGTGCTAGATGGATCAGACAGCATTGGGGCCAGCAACTTCACAGGAGCCAAAAAGTGTCTAGTCAACTTAATTGAGAAGGTGGAATCCTCCTATCCCTGAACTCGGGGGAATGGAATCTCGCTGATCTTCCAGGACTAGCTCCCTGATCATTCCAGCCCCTCTGAACAACAGGGCCCCAGGAAAATCTCCAGGTCCTATTCTGTCCTCCTTCCCTTTTACTTGAAGCAGTTTCTTGACTGGTAATTCCTCCATGAACCTCAGCCCTTGAGCCTCTTACTGAGAGCCTCCCTGTCCCAGCAAAGTCGCTGAAATCTCCCAATCACAGTATTCTATTTTCAATGCCATGGCGCCTTGTTCTCCTCACCCACAGGTGGCAAGTTATGGTGTGAAGCCAAGATATGGTCTAGTGACATATGCCACATACCCCAAAATTTGGGTCAAAGTGTCTGAAGCAGACAGCAGTAATGCAGACTGGGTCACGAAGCAGCTCAATGAAATCAATTATGAAGGTCAGAGGTTAGGGAATGGTGGGAGGTTCACTTTGGGGTCAGGAGGTTCAGGGTGGAGGGGGTCATGAGACTACCTTGAGGGCGACAGGGAGGACCACTTTGTAGTCAAAAGTTGAACAGCAGGATCGTTGGGCAATGGAGGTTAGTGGGAACCTGTTGGGGGCTGGAAGGGCCACTTTGTGGTCAAAGGGAAGTCCGTGTAATGATGATTAACTTAAAAAGTTGAAAGATGTGGGATTTCAGTTGCAGATTGGTCTCTGGGGTTAAAAGATGGCTTGGAAGACCAGGTGAGGTGATGGTCTCTTCCCTCTCCACAGACCACAAGTTGAAGTCAGGGACTAACACCAAGAAGGCCCTCCAGGCAGTGTACAGCATGATGAGCTGGCCAGATGACGTCCCTCCTGAAGGCTGGAACCGCACCCGCCATGTCATCATCCTCATGACTGATGGTCAGAAGGGACCTCTCTCCTGTCCCAGCCTCCCCACCTTCTCAGACCAGCATGTGGCCCTTAAGTCCACTTGTAACACTATACCCATGGTTGGGGCCCTGAATGTGACTCATAGCTGGCTGTTCATCTCTCCTGTGACCCTTCATAAGGAATTCTTCCTAAGCCCTGTGATCAACTATCTCTAACCCTTCCTCAACTTGCTCACCCTGCCATGTGTATCCCTGCCTTTAGCCAGTTTATCTTCCTTATCTCCTACCCTCATGGTCCTGTCTCTTCTGCAGGATTGCACAACATGGGCGGGGACCCAATTACTGTCATTGATGAGATCCGGGACTTGCTATACATTGGCAAGGATCGCAAAAACCCAAGGGAGGATTATCTGGGTGAGTAACCTGCCTAGGACCCAGCACCCCACTTCCTCAGGGCTTGGACCCTCATCCTTCCTTTTTATCCCTCAGATGTCTATGTGTTTGGGGTCGGGCCTTTGGTGAACCAAGTGAACATCAATGCTTTGGCTTCCAAGAAAGACAATGAGCAACATGTGTTCAAAGTCAAGGATATGGAAAACCTGGAAGATGTTTTCTACCAAATGATCGGTAGGGAGATACAAGGGAATAAAGAACACAACTCTCCTCAGGTTCCCCTGAAGTAATTCATTCTTCCTCTACACCTGAAGCTCTAGTTGCCTGGAAAGCCTTCTTCATTCCTCCTTCTCTACCTCAGTGTCACTATTCTTGTTTCCTGGCACTGTTCACTTAACCTTAGAATCACAGAGCTCTGAGCACTTCAGAGATCTTTCTATAGTCCTACATTTGACACGTGGAAACAGAAGCCAAAGGAGGTCAAGGGACAGCAAGTTAGCAACAAGGGTGGGCTTGAAAACAGCCAGGCCTCTGACAGCTTGATCCCAAGTTCTTTCCCTTTTCAGTCCACCATAGCAGTTTTCTCCTAACACGAGGAAACAAATACCCGTGGTCTTTCCCTTTCTCCTTTTGGGCCTTTGCTCCCCATAGACTCCTACCCAAAAGGCTGCTGCCATTTGGGAATGAAGTGTTCCGAGTTTTCAGCACATTCTCCTTCTCTGCCAGATGAAAGCCAGTCTCTGAGTCTCTGTGGCATGGTTTGGGAACACAGGAAGGGTACCGATTACCACAAGCAACCATGGCAGGCCAAGATCTCAGTCATTGTAAGCACAGAATCCCAGTAGTGGGGACTTGGGGGAGGTGAGGTCAAGGTGAAATGGGAGTAGGGGAAGGAAAAAATGGCCATAAGAGATGGTGGTTTGTGAAAGTTGAGCTTTCCCTCTCTACTGTTGTGTCCCCAGCGCCCTTCAAAGGGACACGAGAGCTGTATGGGGGCTGTGGTGTCTGAGTACTTTGTGCTGACAGCAGCACATTGTTTCACTGTGGATGACAAGGAACACTCAATCAAGGTCAGCGTAGGTAAGGATGCAACTGAAGGTCCTGGGCTGCACCTATGCTCTCCAGGCAACACCTCCCACTTTCTACAGATCCTACACTCCACCCATCCTCAATGCAGCCCCATTCCTTGCACCCCAGACCAGTCAGGGATGGGGGAAGACGTGAAGTTAGGAATGACACGGGGCCAGAGGCAGGAAGCTGCCCACAAAGAGGTGGTACCTACTCTCCTACTTCAGGAGGGGAGAAGCGGGACCTGGAGATAGAAGTAGTCCTATTTCACCCCAACTACAACATTAATGGGAAAAAAGAAGCAGGAATTCCTGAATTTTATGACTATGACGTTGCCCTGATCAAGCTCAAGAATAAGCTGAAATATGGCCAGACTATCAGGTGAGAGCGTCCAGATCCCTGAGGAAAGGCTGGGAAAGGCTGGAGGACTGGGGTGAGGAGCAGGCCTGGTTTGCTGTTCTCCTTGTCCTTTATAGGCCCATTTGTCTCCCCTGCACCGAGGGAACAACTCGAGCTTTGAGGCTTCCTCCAACTACCACTTGCCAGCAACAAAGTAAGACATACTTGGCAAGAGGATAAGGATGAGATCCCAAGAGACAAGTGGGGCATGAGAGGGAGGTGCAATAGGAAGAGATGATGCCTGGCCCAGAACCTAGCTCTAGAAGGGCTTAGGGGACATCTACTGAGTGACGAAGGCAATGGGGAGATGACAGTGGTGGGAGCAGCTGAAGTGACGCAGTCTATTCGTCCAGAGGAAGAGCTGCTCCCTGCACAGGATATCAAAGCTCTGTTTGTGTCTGAGGAGGAGAAAAAGCTGACTCGGAAGGAGGTCTACATCAAGAATGGGGATAAGGTGAGAAACGGGCATCCTAAGGAGGCACTCTAGGCCCCAATCCTTCCTAAGCCACTTCTGTTCATTACTTCTCCATGCTTCCCACCTCCCCTACAGAAAGGCAGCTGTGAGAGAGATGCTCAATATGCCCCAGGCTATGACAAAGTCAAGGACATCTCAGAGGTGGTCACCCCTCGGTTCCTTTGTACTGGAGGAGTGAGTCCCTATGCTGACCCCAATACTTGCAGAGGTGAGAGAATGCTCTTTGGTTGTGCTACAAGTGCCCAAGGCCCAACAGTCCTTTTCTCTACAGCTTCTCCTCTCCTTGCAGGTGATTCTGGCGGCCCCTTGATAGTTCACAAGAGAAGTCGTTTCATTCAAGTGAGTCCTCCCTTTCCTATCTGGGGAGATGCCAAGTGGTCAGCATGGGCCCCAAAGCAGGAAAGCTCAATGCATGTGGCTAGTAATTCGAGGTAGGCAGAGCCTGCCTCACCTTAGGACCGCATGTCTTGCCTGCGTGTGTCAAGAACGAGGCTGAGCTGGGTCCCTAGTCTGATTCCTTTAGGTCAGCTAAGACACAAGCAGGAACAGCCATGCTTCCAGGATTAGGAATTCTACTGAATGATCCATGGCACCCCACTGCCTCTGCAGGTTGGTGTAATCAGCTGGGGAGTAGTGGATGTCTGCAAAAACCAGAAGCGGCAAAAGCAGGTACCTGCTCACGCCCGAGACTTTCACATCAACCTCTTTCAAGTGCTGCCCTGGCTGAAGGAGAAACTCCAAGATGAGGATTTGGGTTTTCTATAAGGGGTTTCCTGCTGGACAGGGGCGTGGGATTGAATTAAAACAGCTGCGACAACACCTGTGTTCCAGATCCTTTTGGGGCAAGGGAGTGGGGAACAGGCACTGGCCATGTTGTTACACTGAGATCAAACCTGACAGCCGTTTTTAAAGGTTTAACCCCAATCCCAAGTGCTGAAAAACCAGAGGCTGAGGGAGATGTGTAAGCTTCCACCTCAGTGTTTTACTGAGACCAGCATTGGGGCATATGAGGCACAAGGAATCCAGCTCTGTTCCCTAGAAGCCATCCACAAGGTTTTCCTTGTAGACGTCATCACTGTAGACAATCTGGGTCCTCTTGTCCCGGTGGCAACCCTTAGGGCTGTTCTGGACAGCTAGGGAGGGAGGAGAGGAACAGTTAAGGTCTAAAGGAGATCATAGAACAGACCCTGAGGCTGACTCCTGACCACCTCACTCCTGGCCACTGGCCCCTGGAAGCCCAGTTTCCACGCTGCCCTCTGGTGGCCAGGATGGCCTGTCTTCCTTAGCTCCTTTGTGCCAACCCATGGCCAAGAAAAGTATAAGTGGACATTTTGATGAATGTTTTGTTCTTAGAAAAATCCCAAATGTCATTGTTGAGACACGTGAATGATATTAACCCACTACTTACAGTCAGTATGTCAGAAGCTAAAAACTAGAAAACCTCTGTAGCCCTTTTTTGACATGCTGGTCAATTCTAGTTCCTTTCTTTTGCCTGAAGGGCCACTGTAGCTGAGCCCTTCTTTCTGCTCACTCCTTTCCCAGGAAAATCTACTTTCAGGGAAAATGGATTATTCACACTAAGAAATGCTACTAGCTCCACCAGAACTCATTCAGGGTGTAGCTTTGGCCCTCACCATTCTCTCTCAAGCCTCTAGCTGTTTCTTCCCCTTCCTCTTTCCTCCCTCCACCAGACATGTTACTCTCTTCACCCCATCCAATGGTTCCATCCCCACCACCCTTGAGCTACAGAGAATCTCTCTCACCCACTCCCATCCTGTGATCTCTGTGCCTCAACACTGCTGGCTACTCCCTCTTTCTCAAAGTGTGTGTCCTTTTGCTTCAGTGGCCCAGGCCCCTGCGGTGCTGCTCCCAGCCCTCCGACCCCTCCTCCTGTCTCCTTTGCTAACGTTAGGCTCAACGTTAGCCTAACATGTCAGGACAGCTGGGGACATGTGGGGTGTGAGGTGAACAGTCCTGTTTCCTAACATAGTCCCAGAGTACTCCTCAAACTGAGTCCTGGGTCGTTTTTTTTTCTCTGAAATCAGAGTCTCCCTGATGATCCTATTGTTTGGCAGCCACCCTGTGATGTGGATGACTTAATCTATGTTTTCCTTCCTTACCTCACACCTGAGTTCCAGATCCCTGATTTCGAATACTTATGAAACTCACTCTACTCCATCTCAAAATGAACAAGCCCCATGAGACACTCATCTTCCTCACCAATCTCACTCCAGCTCCCACTTTCTTCCCTGTTCCAGTCACTGCTTTGGAAGCTGTTTTCAATCCTTTTCTCTCCTTTCTTTACCTCTAACTGACAGAGGATCTGAAATTTTCCTTCCCATTCCCATAGCCTCCGCACACACTCTGACCTCGATCATCTCTAGGAAACCCAAGGATGTGTGGGGGAACCAAAAGGAATGGCCTGTGGGGGAGAGGATGGGAAAGGAAGAATCCCATTCTTACCGAGGGAGCCCCAGACAGACTTGCCAGTAGCGGCATCCAGCATGGGCTGTTTTCGGGCTATGTTGACTTTGAGCTGTACAGACTCCACCTGGGTCCCGTTGAGCTGAAGCAGAAGAGGGGAGGCAGAGGATGGGGAGGAAAACATTACAGATAAACCAAAGAAGTTATTCCAGGAGTTGCTATCCTAGGAGGAGACTGAATAAGGAATCTGAGAATGTGAGTTTTTCTGTGTGAATAGGGAGAGGCTTTCTTTATCAAGAGGAACCAACTTCTTCCTGGCATCTAGTATTTTGAGGAGAACACATGAGAACAGCAGAAGCGATGGGAAGAACAGATTTGGGAAGTTCCAACCTCAGCAACGGCCTGATCTGCTGACTCCATCTTTTCATAGGTGACGAAGGCACAGCTGGGATAAGAGAAAACACGGTCAGTGGAGAGCCAAGGGGCTCTTCTGGACCCAACCAAACCCAGTGATAATAGGCGGCTGCAGGGAGGGCAGCTTCTTCCCTCAGGTCTCACACCCCAGGATTCTCCCAGGACTTCTCATCATGCCCTGTTGTCATCCTTACTTTCTGGGTGGGTCCATGGAGAGGTCAATGATGTTTCCAAAAGGAGAGAAGGCCCCACGGAGAAGGGTGGGTGTCATGTCTTCTCCATATACATAGAGAGTATTCCCTTTCCTAGGGGCTCGCCGTTCAGGGAATGAATCCGACCCTTTGGGAGCACAAATCATAGTCACAAGACATAGACCATGCCACATTTCACTTAGTAGGACCCACATAAACCTCAGTTAAGGTCACCTTGACCTCCAGCCAAAATCACTCACTGCGGAAAGGACCCTCTCGGTCTCGGTCTCGATCCCGCTCCCGATCCCTGTCCCGTTCCCGGTCTCGATCTCGATCCCGATCCCGATCCCTGTCCCGCTCTCTGTCTCTGTCTCGATCCCGGTCTCGATCCCGCTCCCGATCTCGGTCTCTGTCCCGGTTCCTCTCATGGCTGCGGTCCCGGCTGCGGCTTCGGGGAGGGGAGGCTGAGGAGTGGGCACCACTGCGTTCTTCATAGCCCCAGTCAAAGCTTCGAGGGGGACCATCACCAGCCCCTGGGCCCTCTGCCTCTTCTCCATCTGGTCCTAGTTCTCGAAGTCGATCACTAGAAGACACAAAGCTGGGGAGATGCAGACTGAAGATCAAAGGGGGGTTTTACCTTCTCCCCTCAGACCCTGTGGAGACTCAATATTCCCTCTATAGCCCAGCTCCTACAGCCCAAACCTCCCAAGGACTCAGGCAATCAACTCCACCAAATGGGCCCAGCCTTATCTCTACTCTCTAACCTCTCATACAGAGATTTCCTCTGGGGACGTCTGGATGACTGTAAAAGAGACCAAGAACAGTTAAGATGATTTCCAGTTGCTGACATGTGGTCCAAAATATATTTGTCTCTCATATTCCTCCATCCCCAACCCCTCAGGGACAGAAATTAGGAGCCTTTACCTCTTGCAGGTCATCATCAGCAGATATGCTCCTCTGGAACGGCTGGAAAGTGGGGACTGGTCCCTTCTCGGGGTCCTGGAGTGGTGAGAGACCTACCTCAGTGTGGAGCAGGAGGTTGCCCAACCATGGACCAGAGGTGTTCCTCTTCCCTCACCCTCTTCTAGGTTTCCTCTGATCTTTTCTTCCCTTTTAATTCTACATACATTTCTTATTTGACGTGGTTTTACTTATTTTTTTTTTTTTTTTTTGAGACACGGTCCTGCTCTGTTGTCCAGGCTGGAGTGCAATAGAGCAATCGTAGCTTGCTGCAGCCTTGACCTCCCATGCTCAAGCAATCCTCCTACCTCAGCCTCCCTAGTAGCTGGGACTAGAGATGTGCTCTACCATGCTTGGCTAATTTCTGTATTTTTTTTTTTTTTTGTAGAGATAGGGTTTCACTATGTTGCCAGGGCTGGTCTCAAACTCCTGGGCTCAAGCAATCCTCCTACCTCGGCCTCCTAAAGTGCTGAAATTAACCAGGAATGAGCCATTGCCGCACCTGCCATTGTGGCTTGTTTTGTTTTGTTTTTGAGACAGAATCTTGCTCTGTCGTCCAGGCTGGAGTGCAGTGGTGTGATCTCCACTCACTGCAACCTCTGCCTCCTGGGTTCAAGTGATTCTCTGGCCTCAGCCTCCTCAGTAACTGGGACTATAAGTGTGCACCACCACATTCTGCTAATTTTTTTTTTTTTTGAGACGGAGTCTCGCTGTCACCCAGGCTGGAGTGCAGTGGCACAATCTCGACTCACTGCAAGCTCCGCCTCCTGGGTTCAAGCAATTCTCCTGCCTCAGCCTCCCAAGTAGCTGGGACTACAGGCGCCCGCCACCACGCCCGGCTAATTTTTGTATTTTTAGTAGAGATGGGGTTTCACCTTGTTAGCCAGGATGGTCTCGATCTCCTGACCTCGTGATCCGCCTGCCTCGGCCTCCCAAAGTGCTGGGATTACAGGTGTGAGCCACCGCGCCCGGCCTCACACCCTGCTGATTTTTGTATTTTTAGTAGAGACGGGGTTTTACCATGTTGGCCAGGTTGGTCTTAAACTCCTAATCTCAAGTGATCTGCCCACCTCAGCCTCCCAAAGTGCTGGGATTACAGGCATGAGCCACCACGCCCAGCTGGTATTTTTTATAAGTGACTCGATATATTATGTATTCAGTTTATTTGAACCTCTCTTGAACCTGATAACATTTTCAGCCCTTTCCATCCCTTAGGGCAACATATTCCAAGAGCTCCAATCCAAGGTGGATTAGAACCACAGAATTTGTAAAATGGAGAATTCAGGAGTCGTCTAGTTTTTTCATTTTATACATGAGAGGTGAAACTCAGAATGGTACAGCAATTTGCCAGTGCTTGAGTATGCATATTTTTCCCCAAACCCATCTACATTCCAACTTGGAGGGATGCCCTTTAAACAATCTTTCTGCTTGTGCTCACCTTTAACTTCCCCTCAAGGGTTCGAGAACGCTTGAAGCCTGAGTTCTTGGTCTCAGCCTTGATGGCACTGATGGCTCCTGACTTCACCAGCTGCTTTGCCTGCTCTGTTGCTGTGGCTGTGTCCATGACAGGCTGCTCTGATAGTGCTGGAGAGACAAGGGGAAGAGGCATTATGTTGGCCAAGCCATGATGAAGGTCAGCTCCATGCTGCCCACTTCCAGTCCATCCCCATTTCCCCTGTCACTCACAGCGTTTGACACCACCTTGGCTGGTTGTGCTGCTGCTACTTTGCTTCTTCAGAGCCAGCAATGCCTTTTTCTGGGAACAAGGGTGAGAAGAGAGAGGTAAGTGAGGGCCAGCCCCTAGCCGGTTCCTCTCCTAAGGCCCCTGGGCACATCACTCCAGGGACCGTCTTTCTTGATGCCCTCAGAGTGGTACACTGATGTGCTCTGCCTCTTGCCTCTGGTCCCCTAGATCATGTATGATGCTGGAAATTCCTAATCTAACCAAACCACGGAACCCAGAGGTTTTCCAGAGTGTTACATTTTTGAAGTTGAAGACAAATAACTCAATCATGGACTAGAATCCTAGGATATAAGCTGCAAGTAAGTATAAGTTTATGTGCCTTTCCTGGAAGCTTCATCCATCTATTTCCTGCATATTGAATGAGGCCCAGCCATGACTTCGTAACAGGGATATCCAGGAGGCTAATGCATTGTTCCTACCCTCAAGAAGCTTACAGTCTGAGAAATAAAATACATTGAGTTAGCAATACAATTATAAGAGGTGCAGATTATTCATAGCTGAAAGCTAGTAAGATTTTCTGATGTTTAATGGCTATTAAACTAGGCCCTCTCCCGTATCTCTGCACAACACAGAGAGGAGAAGGGTATTTTAGAAAAAGAAAACAGGGTGGCAAAGATGCAGAGATAAGAAGGCTTTGGGAATGCATCTTTTGGAAGTAGTGAATAGTTCTACTTTACTAGACAAGGCTGCCAAACTAAGGTTTTGAGGCTTTTTTATAGACAATGTGAAGCCATTTATGGTTTTTGAGAAACAGAGGGAGCAGAATTTTGTGTTTTCAATGGATCATTTGAACAGGAGTGAAGAAGTCTGTTCAAAAAAAAAGACTGAGAAATTTGTTGAGAGACCATTACAATGGCCCACATGAATGTCAATAAAGCCCTGCTCGGGGGAATGCACAGTGAAGAATAAACAGGAAAAATTACTTCAAAAGAAGAAACAATAAGACTTGGCAAAGGTTTGACTATGCAAATAGTGGGGAAGTCAGAGTTTTGAGTCCAAACATGTGGCAGAATTGGTGTAGTCAATCTTATTTGGAAGATCAAGAATAGAAAGATGATAGCTTCAACACTGAGTATCTGAAGTTTTTCAGTATAACACTGGATAGAACTGGAAAAAACAAACTTGGGGATCATCAGCTCTTAAGCGGTACTAAAAGCCATGGGAAAGGAAGACAATCCATGGCAAATTGCATAGAAAAGACAGAAGGTCCACACCAAGGCTTGGGAAAGCCCACCTCTCGAAGCTACACTGTGAGGTGATATGTCTCTAGGTATGGGCCAGAAAAACTTCCCCATTCGCTCACACTCACCCCATATCTTCTCAGAGTGCAGAGTCTGTGAAAGGTTAGGCCATGTCCACACACAGTCCCTCACCTTTTTCTTGAGCTTGTTGAATTTCTTCTGCAGAGCCTCCTCTTCCTCGCTCAGTCCGGGGGGTATCACCAACATGGTGGCTCCTAGTTCAGGGGCAGGGCCCAAGACATCTTTCTCCACTGTTACCACCCGGGGTTCACACGCCGTCCACACTGTACCCAACCCCACCCCTTCAGGTCTGCCTACTCTTGTCTTTGGCTTTCCCTACCCCTTGCTTAAACCAGGCTGCTGTCCAAGCTCCCGCTGGTCGGGATCATCCAGCATTCCCTCCTGTCTCCAGGGATCACAGACACCAGCACCTTTAGGTACCATGTGGTTCAAGGAGGGACAAATATCCACTCCGTCGGAAAGACGATGGCACCCGACCCCCCTACCCTCGCTAGGGTAAGGACAACCGCGGGGTTTGAACGGCAGAGAAGGCGGTGGAGCCAGCGTAGCGCCCGCAGAGCAACGCAAAGAGGAAGAACAGAGAAACGGCTATGAGAAAAAGGGCCGAAGAGTGAGAAGCAGAGGGCCTTACCCGAGGGGGCGGCAACCGGGGGCCCCACGGTCTCCGGCCGCGCCCGCGCTGGCCGCTGATAGCGGGCTCACAACGATGACGTAGCGAGGAGCGGAAAACGCGGTAACCAAGGCGGCCCCAGGCGCGCACTTCCGCCCGGCCTTCCACCGGTCCAGGTCTGCCCCTCCGCAGCGATAGTTCACGCTCTCGGCGGGGCTGTACCGGAAGTTGCCTCTACTTCCGCCCGTTCCGGGGCGGGGCTTACTTCGCAGCGACTACTTGCCGCACTTCCGGGCTGCCAGGCAGCTGCTGTGGCTCCAGGATGATGGAGACAGAGCGACTTGGTGAGGGGGAGGGGAGGGAAATGGAACGGAGTAGCCGATATGGAATGAACTTTGACCCCTGACTTTTGACCTTTCCCCGTAGTGCTACCCCCTCCAGATCCCCTGGACCTACCCCTTCGGGCCGTGGAGCTCGGATGCACGGGGCACTGGGAGCTGCTGAACTTGCCTGGAGCTCCAGAGAGTAGCGTGAGTGACTTTTGACCCTAACCTTTGACCCGCATTGAGTCCAAACCTCCTTCACCCTCCTCACAGTAGGATCTAGCTTAACCTTGTTCATCTGTGCCTGTACTCCTGTCCATCCCAGCCTGAAGGGGTGCTGGACAGATTACAGCCCAGTGTACCTGCAGTACATGTGAGGACAGAGCAGAAAGGGCTGGGGATATTTTTGCTTTGAGAGCTGCTCTTTCAAATGTGGCATTTCTCCGTGGAGCTCCCTTCTGTATCCAAGCACCAGGGCACTTGGTGACTGAGATGATAGGCTTTGAGCCTCCAACCTTTCATCCTTAGGTCTGGGACCCCTTTTTCTAAAATCAGTGAGTCTCCAATTTCAGTGTGCTTCATGATTAGCCAGGGAGCTTTTTAAAAATGCACATTCCTAGGTCCAGCCTCCATGTTTCTGAAATCCAAAATCTGCCCCAGGTAATTCAGTAGCAGGTAGTTTTTGGCCAAGCCTGATTGTCCTAGTCTGTTTGACACATCTGCCATTTCTGATCTGAACACAAGTCCCATCATCTCTTTTGTCTGCATTTTATCCTCTTTCCTTACCTAATGCCTCTCATCTTGCCCTTGTTTCAGCTTCCCCATGGCCTCCCTCCTTGTGCCCCAGATCTGCAGCAAGAAGCAGAACAGTTGTTTCTGTCATCCCCAGCCTGGCTGCCTCTGCATGGTGTGGAGCACTCAGCCCGGTGAGGAGTCTGGAGGGGCTTAGACTAGGGTGATGGGTTCCTGAAGGAAGCTGGGACAGAGGAAGAAAGAAGACCCAAAAGTTACTATTTTTCTCTCCAGAAAATGGCAGAGGAAGACGGATCCCTGGTCTCTTTTGGCTGTCCTGGGAGCCCCAGTCCCATCCGACCTACAGGCCCAAAGACACCCAACCACAGGCCAGATACTGGGTTACAAAGAGGTAGGAGGTCAGGGGTCATGAGAAACAGTTGGGGAGAAGGGGAGGTGGTCAGAGACAAGCTCAGCCTCATTGGGGCTCTGATCTCTTGCCTTAGGTCTTGCTGGAGAACACAAATCTCTCGGCTACAACCTCCTTGTCTCTTCGCCGGCCTCCAGGGCCAGCCTCCCAGTCCTTATGGGGAAATCCAACTCAGTATCCCTTCTGGCCAGGTGACTCTTGTGGAGATGGGATGGTAGAAGAGGGTGTCTTTAATCTCCAGGGAAGGGTTCCCCACCTATCTCGTATTACCCTCATCCCATGAATCCCTGTCTGTCCTGTCTCTTCCCAGGGGGGATGGATGAACCCACCATAACAGATCTGAACACACGGGAGGAGGCTGAGGAGGAGATAGACTTTGAGAAAGGTAAGGTGGGGCTCTGAGTCTGAGCCTTGAGGAGGAAGAGCCCAGGCTATCACTGGGCTACTGCTAGCCCTCCCATGTTTTTGAGAAAATTAGAAAAAGATATTCTGTCCATAACAACCTTTACTGTCATCTGCTGGGAAATTTCTACAACAACCTTTACTGTCATCTGTTGGGAAAGTGTCATAGCAAACATCCCTATCTACAGCATCTGTCCTGTAAATGGTATCTTTTAGGTTTATATAATGTACACAATTTGTTCACCAGTGTGCAGTGACCTGATTTCATGTCCCTATCCTACAGATCTTCTTACTATTCCACCTGGTTTCAAGAAAGGCATGGACTTTGCACCAAAAGGTTAGTTTTAGTTTTTGAGTGGGGTGTAGGAGAAGTCATGTCCTTCTCCTAAGGAACAGAGATGGACATGACAAGGTTGACCTTGTTGGCTTGCTCCTCAGATTGTCCAACTCCAGCTCCTGGACTACTAAGCCTTAGCTGTATGTTGGAGCCTCTGGATTTGGGTGGGGGTGACGAGGATGAGAATGAGGCAGTGGGACAGCCAGGAGGTCCCAGAGGGGACACTGTTTCAGCCTCTCCCTGCAGTGCTCCCCTGGCCCGAGCAAGCAGCTTGGAAGACCTAGTGTTGAAGGTTGGTGGTTCTGTGTAGTGGAGGCAAGAAAGAGCCTTGCCACCAGGATGTGGGCTGGCTAGGATGGGTCTGAGGGGAAGAAAGGGACATCTTTTGGGAGGAGTGCTAATTGAGAGCCCTCTGGTTGTATCTTTATCACTGCTACCCCTGACTCTTCCAGGAAGCGTCCACAGCTGTATCCACCCCAGAGGCCCCAGAGCCTCCATCTCAGGAGCAGTGGGCCATCCCTGTGGACGCCACCTCCCCTGTTGGTGATTTCTATCGCCTCATTCCCCAGCCAGCCTTCCAGGTACTTTGGCCCCATCTTCACACGCTCCTCTACCTCTTTCTGGGTCACACTCCCAGCCGACCCCTTGTCTCCTCTATTGGCCAGAGGTCAGATCCATCCCAGGCCAGTCTTGGTACTCAGTCCCAGCCTCGGCTGGCTCCGGCCTTCATCCGCCCGCCCTGCGTGCTCCATGAGCAGGAGGCAGCAAGGCCCCGCTCCTTTCTTCAGCTCCTGTCTATTTCTCTCTCCCATAGTGGGCATTTGAGCCAGATGTGTTTCAGAAACAGGCCATCCTGCACTTGGAACGGCATGACTCTGTCTTTGTCGCAGCTCACACATCTGCAGGAAAAACAGTTGTGGCTGAATATGCCATTGCCCTGGCCCAGAAACACATGACACGGTATGAGTTCCTTTGCCAACCTCCCCCTTCACCAGCCAGCCCCATTTTCTCCTGCATCCTTTGAAAATCTCATCTCTTCCCCCACCTCTCTAGCTCATCCTTTAAGTGAGAGGTTCAGGGCTAAGACTGAGACAAGAGCCCAGAGAGAAATGAAAAGACATGGTGGGGAGAAAGTTTAGAAGAATGACCTGGGTTAGTTTAGGAAGGGGTTGGGGACAGAATTTTTCTGGGGTTATATCATGCAGGAGAATGTAAGGGCAGTTTGGGTGAAGAAGAGGAGCACCTGAGCTTCTGGGGCATGCTTCCACGAGGGCTCCATGTGGGAGAGGAAGTGCGGGCCATGAGTCTGCGGAGGGACTGGCTAACTTCATGCTCTCTTCCCAGCACCATCTACACTTCGCCCATCAAGGCCCTGAGCAACCAGAAGTTCCGGGACTTCCGAAACACATTCGGGGATGTGGGGCTGCTCACCGGGGATGTACAGCTGCATCCGGAGGCCTCCTGCCTCATCATGACCACAGAGATCCTTCGGTGAGAGATGGACACTCAATACAGGGGAGTTTTGGCTGGGAAGATGTGGCCGTTGTGGAGAGTGTGCTGTCTGAGGAGGGGGTGGAGACGAGCCACTGGGGAGTCAATCCTTGGCCTCTTCTCCCCAGCTCCATGCTGTACAGTGGCTCAGATGTTATTCGGGACCTGGAGTGGGTCATCTTTGATGAGGTTCACTATATCAACGATGTCGAGGTAAGGGCCATGGGCTCCCCAGAACCCGGCAGTCCTCTCCTTTGGGACCAGTTGAGCGTCTCCCTTATTCCACACACTCAGGGCCCCTTACTGCTTTCTTTACCCCCATATGGAATCCTGTGCCTCTTTATGGGCAGAAGGGCGGCCCCTGCCCTCATGTGACCTCCCTTCCCTCTCTGTGCCCAGCGTGGGGTCGTGTGGGAGGAGGTGCTTATCATGCTACCTGACCACGTTTCTATCATCCTTCTGAGTGCCACCGTCCCCAACGCCCTTGAGTTTGCTGACTGGATTGGGTGAGACGTGTGTCCCGGGTTGCCTGGGTGAAGGGGGCTACAGTACTCCTTGATTCGGGTGGGGGACTAAGTCTACCACAGCAAGGAGAGCGGTCAGGCCTTAGGGGTGATGCTGGGGAACATGTCCCACCTGGTGGCTGTGGGATCCCCTTTGGGTCCAGATTACTTTGCATGTTGAAATGGGATGAGATGTTGGGGGATAGCCTTCCATTCTGGGTCTCAGAAAAGACTGGGTAAAGTTGGAGGGGTAGGGAAGGGGGTGGGGATGTGGGTTCCTTCCCACGTTCCCACCCCTGACCTGCTTCCCTCTCCTTTCTTCAGGCGGCTGAAGCGTCGTCAGATCTATGTGATTAGCACTGTAACCCGCCCCGTGCCCCTGGAGCACTATCTTTTCACAGGGAACAGCTCCAAGACCCAGGGGGAGCTCTTTTTGTTGCTGGACTCCCGAGGAGCCTTCCATACAAAAGGGTAAGCCTCGAGATGGGGGAAAGAGTTAGGGCTGGGCCCCCAGCTGGACATTGTGGCTACCCCTCCCTGTGCCCCAGGTACTATGCAGCTGTGGAGGCCAAGAAGGAGAGAATGAGCAAACACGCCCAGACCTTTGGGGCCAAGCAGCCCACACATCAGGGGGGCCCTGCACAGGTGAGAACTGGGAGGGTTTTGTACCTGCCAGCACCTGTTTTTCCTCCTATCTTTTTTTTCCCCTTGTCCCCCAGGGGTTTTGACTTGAGCTTTGAGCACTGCCCCAGTTAACACTAGCTCACCTCTCATTGGTTCAGGAACTCAACCTCTGCTCCTTCCCCTTCCCCTTCCTTCTCCAGGACCGCGGAGTGTACCTGTCCCTCCTGGCCTCCCTCCGCACACGTGCCCAGTTGCCCGTGGTGGTGTTCACCTTCTCCCGGGGCCGCTGTGATGAGCAGGCCTCAGGCCTCACCTCCCTTGACCTCACCACCAGTTCGGAGAAGAGCGAGATCCACCTCTTCCTGCAGCGCTGCCTTGCTCGCCTCCGTGGCTCTGACCGCCAGCTGCCCCAGGTGCGTCTGTGTGCGTCTGTGTGCGTGCATGCACACATTTGGCAGACTGGTGGGGATAGGGTGTTCCGAGACTCCATCCCTGACCATGGGCCTCCTCCCACCAAAGGTCCTGCACATGTCAGAGCTCCTGAATCGCGGCCTGGGTGTGCACCATAGCGGCATCCTGCCCATCCTCAAGGAGATCGTGGAGATGCTCTTCAGCCGTGGCCTGGTCAAGGTGCATGTGGTGGTGGAAAGGGACTCCTCAGGGTGCTTGTTGCCCACTTAGGGGCTGCCCAGAGGGCAGAGGGGCAGAGGTTTAGGCAGGCCAGTGCTGTGGTTAAGAATCTGGGCTCTGGATTCAGACTACCTGGGTTTGAATCCCAGGTACACCATGTATTCACAGTATCATCCTGGACCAATTATTTAACCTTCCTGAACTTTAGGTTTCCCATCTTAAAATGGGGATGCATAAGATATGAATACGTAGGTCTCAGAAAAGAAACCCAGGAAGCTAGCAAGCATTCGAAAAGTTATTAGTAATCAGAAATATACAAATTGAAGTACTCACAAGATACGACTTTACAGCTATTAGACTGGTAAAATTTAGGAAACTAGTTCATGCCGAGTGTTGCCAGAGATATAGGAGGTTGTAGGGTTCTGGGAATCCTTTACGGGATGCCTAGCCAGTTTGGAATGCACGCTGGCACTATTTAGACAAAATAACTATATTGGCCGGGCATGGTGGCTCACACCTGTAATCCCAGCACTTTGGGAGGCTGAGGTGGGTGGATCACAAGGTCAAGAGATCGAGACCATCCTGGCCAACATGGTGAAACCCTGTCTCTACTAAAAATACAAAAATTAGCTGGGCATGGTGGCAGGTGCCTGTAGTCCCAGCTACTTGGGAGGCTGAGGCAGGAGAATTGCTTGAACCCAGGAGGCAGAGATTGCAGTGAGCCAAGATAGCACCGCTGCACTCCAGCCTGGGCAACAGAGGGAGACTCCATCTCAAAACAAAAACAAACAAAGAAACAAACAAAAACTATATCATACTCTGAGCTTATATTTCATTCCTGGGTATATATCACAAAGAAATTCTCACCCTGGTCTGTGAGAGAACATGTACACCCATCCTTTGTTTGTGGTGGCATGGTGTTGGTAGTACCAGGGTGCCCTTCACTGGGAGAGAGGGAAGGTTAGTGTGGGGGATGCACCCATAGAGTGTTCTGCAGCAGTTGGAAGCAGTGGGTTAGATGTGGCCACAGGAACATGGACAGATGTTGAAACACTAGGTGGAGAAAAAGAAGCAAAAAAAAATCAGATATATAACCACTTTTTATATGAATTATAAACTACAAGCTCACAAAAGAAGACATGTTCTATAAGATCATATTTATATAAAAAGATATTTGTTGGATACATTGGAATGATTGCAGTCAGGGATGGGAATGGGATATGAAGGTAAAAGTTAAGAAATAGAAATAAGTAGCTACATAAGTAAAATGAGGAAAACAATAATACCTGCCCTATAGATTTGCCTGGAGAGTTCAGTGAGATCCCATAAGTAACAACTGGGATGGTGCCTTATGCCTACAAAGTAAGGTGGGCTTGGCCAGGGCTGGGGGTGTGTGTATGTAGAGCCTTTGCTGATCCTTTCTGTTCTCCTCTGTCCCAGGTCTTGTTTGCCACAGAGACCTTTGCCATGGGAGTAAACATGCCTGCTCGTACAGTAGTGTTTGACTCCATGCGCAAACACGATGGCTCCACCTTCCGGGACCTGCTCCCTGGGGAGTATGTGCAGATGGCAGGCCGGGCAGGGCGGAGGGGCCTGGACCCCACAGGCACCGTTATCCTGCTCTGCAAGGGCCGAGTGCCCGAGATGGCAGACCTGCACCGCATGATGATGGTGAGCGGGCCAGCATGCTCGGCAGGGCCCCAGCTCCAGGACCTTGCTGGATTCTGTCTTCGATTCTCCTCTCTTCTTTTTCTTCTTCCTTTTTTTTTTGGAGACAGGGTCTTGCTCTGTTACCTAGGCTGGAGTGCAGTGGCACAATCTCGGGTCACCGCAACCTCTGCCTTCCAGGCTCAAGGGATCCTCCCACCTCAGCCTCCCAAGTAGGTGGGATTCCAGGCACATGCCACACAGGCCTGGCTAATTTTTTTTTTTTTTTTATGCTTTGTAGAGATGAGGTTTTGCTATGTTGCACAGGTTGGTCTTGAACTTCTGGGCTCAAGCAGTCTGTCTGCCTCAGCTTCCCAAAGTACTGGGATTATAGGTGTGGGCCACAGCGCCCAACTTCCTCCGACTTTTTTGTTTTGCCTGGGAGAAGCTGAGGTAGGAGTGAGTGAATCCAAGGATGAGATTGGAGCCCATCTCTTCCAGTTTTCTCCCATGTGAATATGGAGCTAGATGGGGCCTTTGAGTCCATTTATTTCAGTTTGCTCCCTTATGTTACAGAAGAGGTGAGCAAGTGGTTTGTCCAAGGCCCCATGGTTGCAGAGCTAGGACCGGATCTGACGGGAGTAGGCCCAGTCCAGAAGACTGGCTGGGGTTCAGTAGGTCCCACCCTGATCTCAGTGACTTCTGTGACCTGACTCCAGGGGAAGCCGTCCCAGCTGCAGTCCCAGTTCCGCCTCACGTACACTATGATCCTCAACTTGCTGCGAGTGGATGCCCTCAGGGTGGAGGACATGATGAAGAGGAGCTTCTCTGAGTTTCCCTCCCGCAAAGACAGCAAGGTAAGGAGCCTGGGGTAACCAGTGTGTGGAGCAGGAGGTTGGCCAAAGACAGGCTGGGAATAGGTAGGCATCCAGAGGCCAGTGTGTTGAGGGTGGGGAGTGTGACAGATTGGGCCTGGAGACTCCCCTTTCACAGCTTCCCCTGCTCCCACCCAAGGCCCATGAACAGGCCCTGGCTGAACTGACCAAGAGGCTGGGAGCTTTGGAGGAGCCTGACATGACTGGCCAACTGGTCGACCTGCCTGAATATTACAGCTGGGGGGAGGAACTGACAGAGACCCAGCACATGATCCAGGTGAGCAAGTGTGAGTGCTGAGGAGGTGATAGGAGAAGGGAAGAGAAGATCGTGTTACTCTAGGTGCTACTAAACTTAGTCCAAGTGTCTGTCCCTGTGATGCCTCCTCCCATCTGTCCTTTGCTCTTCAGCGACGCATCATGGAGTCTGTGAACGGGCTGAAGTCTCTCTCAGCAGGAAGGGTGGTGGTTGTGAAGAATCAGGAGCATCACAACGCATTGGGAGTGATCCTACAGGTGAGGGTGATGGGAATTTGGACTCCAGAGGGTGGGAGGGAGCAAGCCCTCTCTCCATTTTCCCCACTTGGCCAGGGCAGGTTGCGTCATCATAGGGCCCTCATTTTCCCCTCTTGCCCTCCTTTTCACCCTCTCCCTTCCCATCACCACATCATGCTCACTCCTTCCTCCCACCACCCCAAGAAGTCTGCTCTGATCGCTTGACTTGGTTGCCCCTCTCTACTGGTGAGCTCTGCATGGTTGCTTCCTGATTCCTGCCCAAGGGTGGGTATCTGGTCTCTGCCTTTGATGTCTACTCATCACACCCCCCTCTCCTGGCCTCTCTGACCACCCCCAGGTCTCCTCGAACTCCACCAGCAGAGTATTCACAACCCTGGTCTTGTGTGATAAGCCCTTGTCCCAGGACCCACAGGACAGGGGGCCAGCCACTGCAGAGGTGCCCTATCCAGATGACCTCGTGGGATTCAAGCTGTTCCTGCCTGAAGGTGAGAGTGTGGCAGATGTCTGTTTTCTGCCAGCAGTATAAGCAGGATGCCTGGGTCCATGGCAATGTCTGCCCTGCTCTCCCCTTTTCACAGGGCCTTGTGACCACACCGTGGTCAAGCTCCAGCCAGGAGATATGGCTGCCATCACCACCAAGGTGCTCCGGGTGAATGGGGAGAAGATCTTGGAGGACTTCAGCAAGAGGCAGCAGCCAAAATTCAAGTCAGAGATGCTAGGGAGGCCCTTCTCCTCCAGAGGGGCACGTAGAGGCAGGGAGGGGCAGTGGTCTGGGAGTTTCCTCCAGCCTGAGGGAGACCATGAAGTGGTGGGGTTGTAGTGAGGGGGCTCCCCCAGCCTAAGGGAGACTGTGAAGTGGAGGTTGTAGTAAGAGGGCTTCCACAGCCTGAGGGAGGCTTCTGGGGGAGAGAAGATCTTACCCCAGATCTTAAGATCTGCTCCCTCTTCAGGAAGGATCCTCCCCTTGCAGCCGTGACCACTGCTGTCCAGGAACTGCTGCGTCTGGCTCAGGCCCACCCAGCCGGACCTCCCACCCTCGACCCTGTCAATGACCTGCAGCTCAAAGATATGTCAGTTGTAGAGGGTGGGCTCCGGGCCCGGAAGCTGGAGGAGCTGATCCAGGGGGCTCAGTGTGTACACAGCCCCCGTTTTCCTGCCCAGGTAGGACCCTGGGTGGTAACTCCCAAGCTGGGAGTAGGGGCTTTTCCTCTGTGGTCCCCTGTAGACTGACCGCCCCCATCTCAGCCCTTGTCCTCAGTGCACCCCTGCTAAGGGGCAAGGAGAAGGCTGACGGGTGGCTCTCTGCAGTACCTGAAGCTGCGGGAGCGAATGCAGATACAGAAGGAGATGGAGCGGCTGCGCTTCCTACTGTCGGATCAGTCATTGCTGCTGCTTCCTGAGTACCATCAGCGAGTAGAGGTGGGTGGGGCAGTGGTTGGGGCAGGGGGGCTAGGGGACAGCAGTGTGTCCAATGCCCACCCTTTTTCTTGCAGGTGCTCCGAACCCTGGGTTATGTGGACGAGGCGGGCACTGTGAAGCTGGCAGGGCGGGTGGCTTGTGCCATGAGCAGCCATGAGTTGCTCCTCACTGAGCTCATGTTTGACAATGCACTGAGCACCCTGCGGCCTGAGGAGATTGCTGCCTTGCTCTCTGGCCTGGTCTGCCAGAGCCCTGGGGACGCTGGGGATCAGCTCCCAAACACCCTCAAGCAGGTAGGGGACACCACCCCTTTCTCCCTGCCAGGGCTGTGGCATTCCTGACCTTCACCTTCAGGTAGTCCCCCAGGTGACCCCCTCCAGCCCTGTAAGTGCCCCAAGGATGGAAAATGGCTGCCTTCTTGATCTGGTCCTTCCCTGTCCTGGAGCAGGAAGGCAGGCCTTAACCTCTCCTTCTTTCCTGCAGGGAATAGAACGTGTCCGGGCTGTGGCCAAGCGGATTGGTGAGGTCCAGGTGGCTTGTGGCCTGAACCAGACGGTGGAGGAATTTGTGGGGGAGCTGAATTTTGGGCTGGTTGAGGTTGTATATGAGTGGGCCCGGGGCATGGTGAGTACCTGAGGTTTGGGATTTTGCAGACGGCTGGCTGGGGAGAACCTGCCCAGGCTGAGTGCATCCAGTCCTCACCCTACTTTCCCCACAGCCCTTCTCCGAGTTGGCAGGGCTCTCAGGGACCCCTGAGGGCCTGGTGGTCCGCTGCATTCAGCGCCTGGCTGAGATGTGTCGCTCACTGCGGGGGGCAGCCCGCCTGGTAGGAGAGCCTGTGCTGGGTGCCAAGATGGAGACAGCGGCTACCTTGCTACGGCGGGACATCGTATTTGCGGCCAGCCTCTACACCCAGTGAATGCCCCATGTAAAAACATGATGATAAAACAGCAAAGCACTGTTGTGTGCTTGAGTTGCTGGACAGGGATGACTCAGCTAAGAAGACAGCGAGAGAACCTCTTAGAAATATGCTTTTATTATCTGCACACAGAGATATGACTGCCTCCCTCTAAAGCATTACTATTTGGGAGAGGGAGTCTTGGGGGGTGATGGGAGGTCCTGAGTCATAGCTTCCACATACCATATGGGCAGGAAGGCGTAAGGTGCATCTTGGTGTACAGACACGGTGACTGGGCCGCCAGGCTCCCAAGAGAAGAGATGAACGAGCCTGGGGGGCAGATGGAGGC
This sequence comes from Homo sapiens, assembly GCF_000001405.40. Classification (NCBI taxonomy): domain Eukaryota; kingdom Metazoa; phylum Chordata; class Mammalia; order Primates; family Hominidae; genus Homo; species Homo sapiens. The sequence continues at coordinate 3,447,471 of NT_113891.3, forward strand.
ATCAGTTGAGGGCCAGAGGCTGGATCCTGGGATCCAGAGGGGAGGGACAGAGCTGAATGCCTCACCTGGGGTCATCCTGGACAACCGTGCTCTGGGCAAAGCTAAGGAAGGCGGCACAGAAGTTCATGCACACAGAGGGATTCCAGCCGTCACGGTCATTCTGGAGCAGGCAGAGGAGGAGGCAGAAGATGGGCAGTGGGGGTGGTGGGAGGAGAGAAGGCAGGCTGTTGCCCTGGATGCTAGACCTGTGGTCTTGGTGTTTGGGGATACGGGTGGGAGCTGCAACATCGTTCCCTTACCCTGACATATTCAAACATCTTCATGGTAGGAAAGGTCTTGAGGGAAGAGACAAAACCGTCTGGGTTACGGAAGCCAGCAACAACATTCGGGACCCCTGGGAGGAATGACTGAGCCCACCATTTCAGGAGCTTGTGTCTGACAGGAAAAGCAAGGGATCAGTGGGACCCCTCGTGCACCCTCCATTCTGCCTTCACCCTCCTCCCCAAGTCCCTTTCCCAGCCTTCAAGCCTAAGCTCTCGCCCTGCCCACCCCGATCCTGAACCTGTAGAAACTCCTCCATTGGCCAGGGCTGTGCATCTCCTTGGAGGTCTTGAGCTCCACATAGCAGGTTGGGGGCTGTGTGGATGGGGCTTGGGGGTCTGTGCAGTCTACCTCCCCTGAGAAGAGCAGAGGGTGGCTTCCCAGGCGGCTGCGTAGCACAGAGCAGAAGGCCACGTTGGTGTTAACCTCCCCAGAGGGGTCTGGGGAGCTTCCAGGTTTGTCTGCACAAGGAGAGAAGCAGCAGCAGGCGTGGGGGGCTCTCAACCTCTGGGAAGGGGAAGGGGGCTATGAAGCAGGGGCAACTCACCTGCACACATGTACTGCTCAAATTTGTATCCCATGTACATAAGCTCCCGGAGGAGCGGTGGCCGAGCAAGCCTCTGGGCCCGAGCGTTCGGTGTCTCCACTTCACTCAGGTATAGTGTTCCCTGGAACCGGGAGGCTGCCAGCTGCCAGCCCTCCTGCCGCTCATACGGTGTCGTCAGCAGTTTTGTCAGGTGCCCCCGCCACGTCACTATGGCCTCTGCCAGCCAGCCTGGACCCCTGAGAGGCAGGAGTTACAGGCTGAAGGTCTGACACAAGCATTAGTGAGATGCTCCCCTCGAAGAATAGTCTTGTTTCTTCTAAGGACTGATTCTCACCCCGGCTTTGGCTCTCCTAATTTTAGAGGGTAGGTACGGGTCTCCAGATATACTGCCTACCACGCTTTGCTCACCCCTCCAACCGGCCTCGGTGTTCCAGGAGCCAGCACAGCAGGTGGTCCAGCCTTTCCTGGACCTCCTCGTCCCGGGGCTGGTATCGATCCGGGTATCCGTCTCTGAGGTCAAAGTTGGGGCCTGGACCGTTAGTGGGGGGTGGGCTATAGTAGCGCAGGGCTCGGGCATCTCCATGGTACTGGCGTTGAGCATCCAGGGAGAAGCAGCCCAGTTCCGAAGGGCGCCGGTAGAAAGGAAAGGGCCCAGAGTAGAGGGCAGGGTCTGTGGGCAGAGAAGGTGCTGGACGAGGTAGTTTGTTCCGAGGCTCAGCTACCTCTGTCTTCTCAGCTCCTCTCTTGGTCCCCCTGGGATCCATGAGGTCCTAAGACAAGCAGGGGTACAGAGTTTCCATTCTACAGAGGAGGCCTGGAGAAGGATGACTGGTTTAGGACTAAGCGAGCCACCTGATCGCCAGGCTCTGGCCTTGAAACATTCAGGCCCCTCAGACGCCACCGCGGCCAAGCTCTCATCCTGCCTCTTTCCTTGCCCTTCACCCACCCTCCCTCCAGGTCCTCCAAATGCAGTGAGGTTAGGAAGGACGTCTGCGCTCAGATCAAGAATCCAGTTACCTCAAAGCTCCCCAACTTCCACCTCCGCAGAGCTATGACGTCATGGCAGGCACGCCAGAGGCCGAAGGATGCAAAAGTGGTTTTCTGCTTTCGATGATGCAATCATTCAGCGACAGTGGCGGGCAAACCCCTCCCGGGGCGGGGGAGGTGTGAGCTTCACGAAGGAGGTTGACACCAACGTGGCCACCGGCGCCCCTCCACGCCGCCAACGAGTCCCCGGGCGTGCGTGCCCTTGGAGGGAGCCAATCCGCGGCCGGCGTGGGGCCCGGCCTGGCGGAGGTGATGCTGGTATGTGCGTCGCCACCGCCCCTCCCAGCACTGACGGGCCTGAGGGACGACAAGTTGACGCTCCTTTCGTCATCACCTGGTCTAGGAGGGACGCCCGGGGAGACCGTACGTCACTGCTCTGCGCCGGAAGACCCTATTTTCAGGTTCTCTTCCCTCCATTCCTACCCCTTCCCCGGTACCATAAAATCCCGGGATATGAGCTGGAAGAGGCATCACCTGATCCCGGAGACCTTTGGAGTTAAGAGGCGGCGGAAGCGAGGGCCTGTGGAGTCGGATCCTCTTCGGGGTGAGCCAGGTAACCATGGCAACCCCGGGGGTGGGGCCTCGCTTCCGGTAGCCGAGAGTTTTGTTAGAACCGCGTCCCCGCCCCAGTTCCCTGTCCGTGAGCCGATTTATCTGCCCAGGGTCGGCGCGCGCGGCTGTCTCAGAACTCATGCAGCTGTTCCCGCGAGGCCTGTTTGAGGACGCGCTGCCGCCCATCGTGCTGAGGAGCCAGGTGTACAGCCTTGTGCCTGACAGGACCGTGGCCGACCGGCAGCTGGTGAGGGGCGTCGGTGCGACCGCCGGAAGCCCCTTTCCTAACTCCTGGAATTCCCTGTCACTCAGTCACTCCGCCAGCCGTTCAGCAAGCATTAGGCCTTTCAGGCGAGGGCACTGTGCCAGGCACTGGGGTGCCACAGAGACCCTGTTAAAAGTCCCGCAGGTAGTACAGGGCATTTCAAATCATGGAGGTAGAAGAACGAGGCTTTTGGGGAAACCGAGTCATGGGGCATGGTTCGAACATACAGCGCTGGGAGTGCAGTCAGACGTCAGATCATGACAGGCCTTGTACATCAGTGTTGTTTCCATCTTACACTGAGGCGATGGGCTGGTAGAGAATATCATAGAGAGAGGGAATGGTGTGTTGGAGATAGTGGATGAGGCAGGGAGGTCAGCTAAGAAGATACTGCATCTGAGAAGTGGTGAAGGCCTAAATTAGGTCAGTGCAGTAGGGAGGGAGAGGAGAGTGAGGAAGAGGGAGGAGTCCAGGACAACTCAGACTTTCCAGATGACTGCGTGGCTGGTGGTATTAGGAGCACATTTAGTTGTTGGACTACAGATAATGTGTTTAATTTTATACAAGTTGAGTTGATGGTGCATGTGGAGCATCCAAAGACAAAGGTATTAGACAGTTGGATATGAGAGTTGGAGAGAATTCTGGGCCAGTGATAATAGAATTACAAGTCATGGAGGTGTGAATAGCAAGTGGTTAATTCTGTGATGTGGTGAGATCCAGTAGGAAGAGTGGGTAGAGGAGTGATTTCTAACCTTTTTGTAATCTTTAGAAGGTGATAAAAGCTATGGCTATCTCTCTCCAGAAAAATGCACGTTTGCCACATATACATAGGGTGTATGTATAGTTAGGGGGGAAATATTTTACTAATCCTGCGAGGTCCGTGGTTAAGGACTCCAGGTTTAGAGTGGAAGTTAATAGGGTCAAATCCACAATGCTGGGAAACACCATCATTTAAGGCAGTGTTACTGAATATATGAGCTGAGTTATTATGCCTGTGTCAAAATTACGTGGGCTGCTTGTTAAAAAAAATACAGGTTCCTGGGACTCATCCAAGGTTAATGAATTACGCTCTCTTGGGGCGGGATTTGGGACTCTACATTTTTGAACTGCCTCAAGTGCTTTTTAAGTGTGCCTTAAAATTTGAGATCCACTGACATAAAGGGAAAGCAGAAGAAGAGGAATCTGTGACAGAGGCAGAGAGGGACTTGCCTGAGTTAAGAGGAACCCAGAGGCCGGCGCGGTGGCTCACACCTGTAATCCCAGCACTTTGGGAGGCCGAGGTGGGTGGATCTCTTGAGCTCATGAGTTTGATACCAGCATGGGCAACATGACATAACCCCATCTCTACAAAAAATACAAAAATTAGCCAGGCGTGGTGGTACGCGCCTATAGAGCTACTGGGGAGGCTGAGGTGGGAGGATTGCTTGAGCTGGGGAGGCGGAGGTTGCAGTGAGCTGAGATAGCACCGCTGCACCCCACCCTGGGTGATAGAGCTAGACTTTGTCTCAAAAAAAAAAAAAAAAAAAGTAACCCAGGAAGAGGCCTACTGTGAAAGTAAAGAGATTTTTGAGAAAGTGAAGTAGTTGGCAGTATTAGAACCTGTGATTCAAGACAGTGGTCTAAGAAGAGGGAAGAGGTAAAGTAAAATATAAACTGAAATCTAGGCTGAGTGTGGTGGCTCATGCCTGTACTCCCACCACTTTGGGAGACTGAGGCAGGAGTATAGCTTGAAACCAAAAGTTTGAGACCAGCCTGGGCAACAAAGTGAGACCCCATCTTTACTAAATAACTGAGATCCCATCTCTACTAAATAAATAAATTAAAACACAAAAATTCTTAGCTGGGCATGGTGGTGTGCACCTATTGTTCTAGCTGTTTGGGAAGTTGAGGCAGAAGGAGTGCTTGAGCCCAGGAATTTGAGGCTGCAGTGAGCTATGATTGCACGACTGCACTCCAGGCTGGGTAACAGAGGGAGACCCTGTCTCTAAAAAAATGAAAACAACAACAAAAAAACCCAGAACTGAAATCTGTCCATTGGATTTAGCAGGTAGAAGGTTAATAGTGATCTTTCAAGAAAAGAGGAAAGAAAAGGAAGGCAGTCTAGCACTCACTTGAGGTGAGCTAGTCTCCCTGACTAGGTCTCCCGTGAGGAAGCATGCCAGATGGAACCACTCCTTAAGGAGTATTTGTTGATTTTAATGTATTGGTGTTAGCTTTTGTTTTTAAAAACCTTTAAAAGTTGCAGAATGAAAATATAAACATATATAATTTAAATGATGTTTATAAAGCAGATACCTATCTAGCCACTCCCTAGGTCAAACTATAGAATATGACCAGTATCCCACATATATCCCTCTCTGATCAAAATGTCTCTGATCAGAATGTCCCTGGGAGGTGACTGCTGTGGTCATTGTTGCCTTAGTTTTCCCTTTTTTTTTTTTTTTTTTGAGGTGGAGTGTCGCTCTGTTGCCCAGGCTGGAGTGCAGTGGTGTGATCTCAACTCACTGCAACCTCTGCCTCCTGGGTTCAAGCAATTCTCCTGCCTCACTGTCCTGATTAGCTGAGACTACAGGCACGCGCCACCATGCCCAGCTAATTTTGGTATTTTTAGTAGAGATGGGGGTTTCATCATGTTGGCCATAATGGTCTTGATCTCCTGACCTCGTGATCTGCCCTCCTCGGCCTCCCAAAGTGCTGGGATTACAGGCATGATCCACCGCACCCGGCCTAATTTTGTATTTTTATAGGGATGGGGTTTCACCCTGTTGGCCAGGCTGGTCTCAAACTCCTGACTCAGATGATCTGCCTGCCTCGGCCTCCCAAAGTGCTGTTTTTTTTTTTTTTAATTGTCTTTTTGATAATTCCACTATTTTTTTTTTTTTTTGAAAAGTCTCCCATGTCTACCTCTTTCCACACAGACACGGCAACCATCCGATTTCTCAATCTTTTCCCCACCTTTTCCCGCTTTCTAGTCCACAAAACCACCATTGTCATCGTGGCCCGTTCTCAATGAGCTGTTGGGCACACCTCCCAGATGGGGTGGTGGCCGGGCAGAGGGGCTCCTCACTTCCCAGCAGGGGCGGCCGGGCAGAGGCGCCCCTCACCTCCCGGACAGGGCGGCTGGCCGGGCGGGGGGCTGACCCCCCCACCTCCCTCCCGGACGGGGCGGCTGGCCGGGCAGAGGGGCTCCTCACTTCCCAGTAGGGGCGGCCGGGCAGAGGCGCCCCTCACCTCCCGGACGAGGCGGCTGGCCGGGCGGGGGGGGCTGACCCCACCACCTCCCTCCCAGACGGGGCGGCTGGCCGGGTGGGGGGCTGACCCCCCACCTCCCTCCCGGACGGGGCGGCTGGCTGCGTGGGGGGCTGACCCCCCCACCTCCCTCCCGGACAGGGCGGCTGGCCGGGCAGAGGGGCTCCTCACTTCCCAGTAGGGGTGGCTGGGCAGGGGCGCCCCTCACCTCCCGGACGGGGTGGCTGGCCGGGCAGGGGGCTGACCCCCCCACCTCCCTCCTGGAGGGGGCGGCTGCCGGGCGGAGATGCTCCTCACTTCTCAGACGGGGCGGCTGCCGGGCGGAGGGTCTCCTCCCTTCTCAGACGGGGAGGCTGGGCAGAGACCCTCCTCACCTCCCAGACGGGGTCGCGGCCGGGCAGAGGCGCTCCTCACATCCCAGACGGGGCGGCGGGGCAAAGGCGCTCCCCACATCTCAGACGATGAGCGGCCGGGCAGAGACGCTCCTCACTTCCTAGATGGGATGGCGGCCGGGCAGAGACACTCCTCACTTTCCAGACTGGGCAGCCAGGCAGAGGGGCTCCTCACATCCCAGACGATGGGCGGCCAGGCAGAGACGCCCCTCACTTCCCAGACGGGGTGGCGGCCGGGCAGAGGCTGCACTCTGGGCACTTTGGGAGGCCAAGGCAGGCGGCTGGGAGGTGGAGGTTGTAGCAAGCCGAGATCCCGCCACTGCACTCCAGCCTGGGCACCATTGAGCACTGAGTGAACCAGACACCGTCTGCAATCGCGGCACCTCCGGAGGCCGAGGCTGGCGGATCACTCGCGGTTAGGAGCTGGAGACCAGCCCGGCCAACACAGCGAAACCCCGTCTCCACTAACAAAATACGAAAACCAGTCAGGCGTGGCGGCGCGCGCCTGCAATCGCAGGCACTCGGCAGGCTGAGGCAGGAGAGTCAGGCAGGGAGGTTGCAGTGAGCTGAGATGGCAGCAGTACAGTCCAGCTTCGGCTCGGCATCAGAGGGAGACCGTGGAAAGGATAATTCCACTATTACTTGTCTTTTGGGGTTTGTTTTTATTCTCTCTTTGAGTTTTGTTTCCTTATGCGCCCAGTTACTTTTGAAAATGTTCTGGGCAGATTTGCCTAGATTAATAAATGCCCTCCATGTTCCAATTACTTTTTTTTTTTTGAGACAGTGTCTTACCCTGTCACCAAGCTGGAGTGCAGTGGTATGATCTTGGCTCACTGCAACCTCTGCCTCCTGAGTTCAAGTGATTCTCCTGCCTCAGCCTCCCAAGTAGCTGGCATTACAGGCACCTGACACCACGCCCAGCTAATTTTTTTTTTTTTTTTTTTTTTGAGACGGAGTCTCGCTCTGTCACCCAGGCTGGAGTTCAGTGGCATGATCTTGGCTTACTGCAAGCTCTGCCTCCTGGGTTCACCCATTCTCCCGCCTCAGCCTCCCGAGTAGCTGGGACTACAGGTGCCCGCCACTATGCCTGGCTAATTGTTTTTTTTTTTGTATTTTTAGTAGAGATGGGGTTTCACCGTGTTAGCCAGGATGGTCTTGATCTCCGGACCTCGTGATCCACCCGTCTCAGCCTGCCAAAGTGCTGGGATTACAGGCATGAGCCACCGCATCTGGCCTATTTTTGTATTTTTAATGGAGACCGGGTTTCATCATGTTGGCCAGGCTGGTCTTGAACTTGAACTTCTGACCTCAAGTGATCCACCCTTAGCGTCCCAAAGTGCTGGGATTACAGGCATGAGCCACCGTGCCCGGCCCCAGTTATTTTTATTTTTATTTTTTGAGTTAGAGTCTCACTCTGTCACCCAGGCTGGAGCGCAGTGGCATGATCTCGGCTCACAGCAACTTTCTGGGTTCAAGCAGTTCTCCTGTGTCAGCCTCCTGAGTAGCTGGGACTACAGGCACACATCACCACGCCCGGCTAATTTTTGTAGTTTTAGTAGAGACGGGGTTTTACCATATTGGTCAGGCTGATATTGAACTCCTGACCTCAGGTGATCCACCCACGTCAGCCTCCCAAAGTGCCGGGATTACAGGCTTGAGCCATCTCGCCCGGCCTACTTAGATGTTATATTAGTGGTAATTCCTGTTATCCTGTGAGCTCTTTAGTGTCTAAACAATTTTTTTTAAGAGATGGGGTCTCACTGTGTTGCCCAGTTGCAATCATATCTTACTGCAGCCTCAAACTCCTGGGTCAAGTGATCCTCTTGCCTTAGTCTCCCAAGTAGCTAGGACCATAGGTGTCTGCCCCCACGCCTGGCTGTTTTTACATTTTTTGTAGAGATGTGGCGGGTGGGGGGGTCTCACTGTGTTGCCCAGACTGGTCTCGAACTCCTGTCCTCAATTGATCCTGCTACCTCAGCCTCCCAAAATGCTGAATTACAGGCATGAGCCACTGTACCTGGTCTTAAACAATTTTAAAATAACATTTTTATCCAGGATTTTAGTTAATTTTCAACAGGTGGATTAGTTCTTGCTGTATTCTCGTAAACAGAAGTCCTGGTTTATTTTTATTTGTTTTAAACATTGAATCCCATACTCCTCCCCACCTTACCCTACCCAGAATTTAGACTGTTAATGTTTTGAAGCCACAGCCTGCATCTTAATCACTATTTTATCTTAGTGCCTGGTCTTAGAAATTATATTGACTCTTTGATAGACCATATATAAGGCAGGTGGATGAGAATGTGGGTAGCTAGTTGGAAAAGGCTGCTTGGTCATTTGCTTGATTATTTTCTCACACAGTTTTTCCTTTACTAAGAGAAAATGCCCCCATATTGGCAAACAAAATCTCCCTGCCTGAGAGCGCCCAGAGTATAGCAGAGCATCTTACCCTGATACGCCTCTTTTCACTCTCTTCTCTGTGGAGACAGAAGGAGCTTCAAGAGCAGGGGGAGATCAGAATCGTCCAGCTGGGCTTCGACTTGGATGCCCATGGAATTATCTTCACTGAGGACTACAGGACCAGAGTATGTGACTGTGTGCGTCAGGGGTGCTGGGGGGAGGGCACAGGTTGGGGGAGACAGGGAACTTGGGAAACAGAAATAAAAACAAAAGAAAGAATTTCCCTGCCCCCACATCCCATGGAGAGGGCACAGGGCCCTGGTAAATAGTAATATGAGGGAGAGAGACAGGAGGGAAAGAGGGAGGAGTGAGAGGGTAAAGAGGGGGGGAGAGGAGGGGGAGGAGGAGGAAGGAAGGAGGGGGAGGAGGAGGGGGGGAGGAAGAGGGGGAGGAGGATGAAGAGGAGGAGGAAGAAGAAGGGTATGAGAGGTGGAAGGATCTGAGCAAGAGGTAAGACAGGAAGAGAAATGCTGTCCTGGGGGTGGAGGTTGGTAGAGAGTGAGGGTGGGGATGGACCATGTCTCTCATCTCTGCTTGTAGGTCCTCAAGGCCTGTGATGGCCGACCGTATGCTGGGGCAGTGCAGAAATTTCTAGCTTCAGTACTTCCAGCCTGTGGGGACCTTAGTTTCCAGCAGGACCAAATGACACAGACCTTTGGCTTCAGGGACTCAGAAATCACGTGAGACTTGTGGAACCAACCAAAGTCAGGCATCTGGTGCTTCCCTGCCTCCCTCCAGTTCCATCCAGCCTGTCCTCCTGTTTTTTTGGTGAACCTGCCAGAAAAGCTGCCAAAAAGCTGACTCTTCTTGTTAATAAAATGACCCAAGTTTGTATTCCTCCCCACAAGAGAGGAGGCCTATCTTACCTGGGCCTTAGAAAGAGCCCTGAAATAGAATTCAGTTCTTGGTGGCTTATCAAAAGCACACAGGGGCCTGGCAGGAAGTGTAAAAGCTTGATGTTAATCATACTGGGACTAAGAGGATAGAGAATGGTAGGAGCTGGGATACCCCTAAACATTCACATTAAAACAAAAAAAACCCAAAGCTAAAAAACAACTGGGCAGGAGCTAAATAAAAATCTAATTTTGAGAGGCTGTATCTGGCTCAGGCCTCCTACTTTGTAACCCATGGAATATGTGAAAGCATTTGAAAAACTATAGCACTGATCTCACATGGGCAGACACACTCTCAGAGAGATGTGGTGGGAGCCATGGCGCAGTCTGCCTAGGCAGTGGCAGGAGCGCAGAAGACTCTGATTCCTCTCCTCGGTCCTAAGACCGAATGTGTGTCAGGACATGTGGTCAGGGAAGAGAAGCTATTTAACTGAACCAGTAATAGTAGCAGGAAAAGAAAAAGTGGAGGGAGGGCAGTCCAGGTAGGGGGCCTGGAACAAGCAACTGCACCAACAGAGGCAGTTGGTGCGAGCACAGAACCACCCCAGGCTGGGATTTTGTTATCCAGTCTCTCTTGCATGGTTGCCCGTGTTTCTGGAGACTTGTGTAAACATTAATGGATGAGGAGGAGAGATGGTTCTCAGAGCCCAGCCCTCATCTCTGCTGGCTTCCCACTGCCCTCAGGCATCTGGTGAATGCTGGAGTCCTCACCGTCCGAGATGCTGGGAGCTGGTGGCTAGCTGTGCCTGGAGCTGGGAGATTCATCAAGTACTTTGTTAAAGGTATCCCATCTGCAGCTCAAGCCTGCAGCCCCTCACCTTTTGGTGGCTCCTCAGGCCTCTAGGCCTTATTCACCTTTCCCCTTTCCTGTGCCACTTCTCCTCTAGGGCGCCAGGCTGTCCTTAGCATGGTCCGGAAGGCAAAGTACCGGGAACTGCTCCTATCAGAGCTCCTGGGCCGGCGGGCGCCTGTCGTGGTGCGGCTTGGCCTCACCTACCATGTGCACGACCTCATTGGGGCCCAGCTAGTGGACTGGTGAGTCTTTCCCTGGCCTCTGGCAGATTATGGAGCAATGACCCAAAGTGGGATTTCCTCCCAGCTCATGCTTAGTTTCCTAGTGAAGGCCAGTGGCTCTCATTCTTCTCTGGAACCCGGGAGCACCCCTTCCCAAGTTCTAAGTTCTCCTCACAGCTTGAGCCTAGGCGTCTGGCTCCAGCCTTGTCTTTCTCCTGCACAGCATCTCTACCACTTCAGGAACCCTCCTCCGCCTGCCAGAGACATGAAGATTCTGCTCATCATTGCTCAGCTCCTCAGAGTGGGCCGGGAGGGGACTAGAAGAGCTGCATGATGGTGGCTGAGACAGGGTCACCTTGGGAAGGCTTGGGAGCCAGGATGAGTGTCGGGCTCTCGTGTGTGCAAAAGGTCAGATGTGACTGCTGCTGTTTGCCTGGTTTCTGACCCAGTGGTGGGGTTTGAGCAATGCTTCTCTGCCCTTCCATGGAAAGTGGAACCAGAAATGGTGCCAAGGCTGTGGCTGTTCCCTTTCGTGTAAAATGGTGCTGTTATTACTCTGTCTTGAAATAGGAAGGTGGGATTTCTGGGGAGGCTGGTGAAGGAGGGCAGGGTTCTTTTCTCTACGTGTCATGTTAAAATTGCCAAATAAAGTACCTCTGCCTGTGATATTTTCTGGATGTCCTTTATTTACTGTGACGTGTGTTTGGGTGCCTTGTTTAGGGGTAGAGGTGAAGTCTGAGCTTTGCCTCATTCAGAGAGGAAAGGGGTCAGGGGTTCACTCTGACGTTCAGGCCATTCTCCCTGTGGAGTGGTGAGGGTGTACCTAATCTCCTAAACCACGGAATTTCTGTTAGGGCCTAAAAAAGCAAAAGCCTAGTATAGTTCAATTTGTGTTGGAATGAAAGTAAGAGACAAGTGTCTTAGAAGCCTGTCATTGTTTTGTGAGGGCCTTTAAATATCCTGTACTCGTGGGCCATGTTGGGCCCTTGTACGCCCAGGTATACATGAGCTTGTGTGCACCTATACCCTGATACAGATATACCTGGTAGGGGGAGGTGCTCAGGCACTGGAATGAGAGGAGTTAACGGGGAAGGACAGGGTTATTTCTGGGCCAAGATTCAGAGTTTCCCATGGACACCCAGGTGTCCGGGGTGCCCCCACAACTCTGGGCCTGAGGCCAGTTGCACTTCTTGGCTGTCACGTGGTTTCCCAGCTTAGCTGGGCTGGGGGAGGAGCAAGGTCCAGAGTCAACTCTGCCCCGAGGCCTAGCTTGGCCAGAAGGTAGCAGACAGACAGACGGATCTAACCTCTCTTGGATCCTCCAGCCATGAGGCTGCTCTGGGGGCTGATCTGGGCATCCAGCTTCTTCACCTTATCTCTGCAGAAGCCCAGGTCCTGGAGGCGGGATGCTGGGTGCTTGGATTGGGGCAGGGCTGGCATCGGGACCCGATTCAGGAGTGAGGGAGAGCAGGGGTGGAGGTGTCAGAGCGAAGTCTGACTGCTGATCCTGTCTGTTCTCCCCAGGTTGCTCTTGTTCTCTCCTTCTGTGGTTCATCTGGGGGTCCCCCTATCGGTGGGGGTGCAGCTCCAGGATGTGCCCCGAGGACAGGTAGTGAAAGGATCAGTGTTCCTGAGAAACCCATCTCGTAATAATGTCCCCTGCTCCCCAAAGGTGGACTTCACCCTTAGCTCAGAAAGAGACTTCGCACTCCTCAGTCTCCAGGTAACCAGACCCCATGCCCTCCTGCTGCTTGTGGGGGCCTCCTGCCCTGTTCCCATCTGTCTTGTAAGTGTCATCATCTTCCCACTGGCCTCCTCCCCTCCTGTCTTCCCACCCTGGCATTCTCCTTCCACGTTTCTCCCTTGGTCTCTGTCCTTTTTGGTCAGCTGTCTCTTGCTCTGTGACCCGCTCCCTCTCCCTCTCCCTCTCCTGACAGGTGCCCTTGAAAGATGCGAAGAGCTGTGGCCTCCATCAACTCCTCAGAGGCCCTGAGGTCCAGCTGGTGGCCCATTCGCCATGGCTAAAGGACTCTCTGTCCAGAACGACAAACATCCAGGGTATCAACCTGCTCTTCTCCTCTCGCCGGGGGCACCTCTTTTTGCAGACGGACCAGCCCATTTACAACCCTGGCCAGCGGGGTGAGTCTCAGCCCCAGGGCCTCAACCTTTAACCCCCTCCGAGCCCTCTCAGGATGAGTTTGGTGCCCCCTAAGTGAGATAACCTGAAAGAAAGTGCCACACAGAAGGGGTGCTTAGGAAACATTTGTCCCCTGCTCCCTCTGTGGAGTTTGACCCACCCTCCCCTTGCACATGGACCCCTGCTCACCTCTCTCCTCCTCCACTCCCAGTTCGGTACCGGGTCTTTGCTCTGGATCAGAAGATGCGCCCGAGCACTGACACCATCACAGTCATGGTGGAGGTGAGTCCCCGACCTCTGGCCTTCCTGATCCTGGCCACTGATGTGACCTCCTGCCTGTGAGCACTTCTCCCCTTGCAGAACTCTCACGGCCTCCGCGTGCGGAAGAAGGAGGTGTACATGCCCTCGTCCATCTTCCAGGATGACTTTGTGATCCCAGACATCTCAGAGTGAGCGCTCCCAATGTGGGGGCTGCCCCCAAGCTACACCACCCCAATTCCTGTTAGGCTCTCCACCTCCCACACAGAGGCACGTCCCCAGATGCCCTGACCCTCAGCCTCCTGAGCCTCTGGTTAACCCCCACAGTCCTCTTCCCAGGGAAGCAGGCTGCTGGCTCTCCGTGCCCCACTGTACAGATGGGCTGAGCCCCTTCCTTGTCCATTCTCAGGCCAGGGACCTGGAAGATCTCAGCCCGATTCTCAGATGGCCTGGAATCCAACAGCAGCACCCAGTTTGAGGTGAAGAAATATGGTGAGAGCTGGAAACTGGAGGGACAGGCAGCTGCTTTCCTGAAGGAAATAAGGGTGGAAGGAGAGGTACTGGGAGCAGCTCAGGGCAGGGAGATATGGGTGCCACAGCCCTGAGCAGAGGGGAGTCTTTGAGCTGGAGTCTGACCTGCCTATCCCTTCACCCTGGGTCAGTCCTTCCCAACTTTGAGGTGAAGATCACCCCTGGAAAGCCCTACATCCTGACGGTGCCAGGCCATCTTGATGAAATGCAGTTAGACATCCAGGCCAGGTAATACCTCCCTCCCCACCTCTGCCCACCAGCACCGGGTCCTGCTCCCTACTCAGTATGAATGGGCTCCTGCTTCCCTGCCCTCGGGCCATTATTCCCCCCAGCCCTTGGCCCACCCTCTTCTCTCTGCCACGACAGGTACATCTATGGGAAGCCAGTGCAGGGGGTGGCATATGTGCGCTTTGGGCTCCTAGATGAGGATGGTAAGAAGACTTTCTTTCGGGGGCTGGAGAGTCAGACCAAGGTAGGAAGGAGAATAGGGGCTGGGGAGGGGAAGGGGCAAGGGAGGTGAGGTGGGAGACTCAGTCTCACCCTATGTCCTGTTTCTTTCTATGCCCCAGCTGGTGAATGGACAGAGCCACATTTCCCTCTCAAAGGCAGAGTTCCAGGACGCCCTGGAGAAGCTGAATATGGGCATTACTGACCTCCAGGGGCTGCGCCTCTACGTTGCTGCAGCCATCATTGAGTCTCCAGGTGGGTGACTTTCCCTTATTGTAACCCCAGACCCTTGCCTCTGACCTCTGAGCTAACCCTCTGTCCTCCGGCACCAACACCACCCCACTTCTCACATCTCATCTCAGACTCAAAACCAGGAAACACCCAGGAGACCTGGTTTCTCTCCAACTCTGTCTCTGTGACTCGGCCCTTTTCCCTGGCTGAGTTTATTTATTTCTTTGCTCGTTCTGCTCATTCCTTCACTCCTCCAGTGGACATGTGTTGTTCAATGCCCTGTGCTGGGCCTCAGCATGTACAGACAGGAATACAGCAGCCTGCGCCCTGGGAGCTCACTGTCTTGTGGGAGGGAACCACTCAAGCCACTCCCTACTTGTCCTCCTGTCCCTCTCTTCTTGGGCTCTGTCCCCCACCTCTCTCTGTCCTTTGTCTTGCAGGTGGGGAGATGGAGGAGGCAGAGCTCACATCCTGGTATTTTGTGTCATCTCCCTTCTCCTTGGATCTTAGCAAGACCAAGCGACACCTTGTGCCTGGGGCCCCCTTCCTGCTGCAGGTTTCTTCCAGAGGGGAAGGATGAGTAGGGAGGATGTGGTAGTTAGGAGGGCTCAGGGTCTGACCACTCTCTTTTGCCTGCCCTCCTTTACCTGCCTAGGCCTTGGTCCGTGAGATGTCAGGCTCCCCAGCTTCTGGCATTCCTGTCAAAGTTTCTGCCACGGTGTCTTCTCCTGGGTCTGTTCCTGAAGTCCAGGACATTCAGCAAAACACAGACGGGAGCGGCCAAGTCAGCATTCCAATAATTATCCCTCAGACCATCTCAGAGCTGCAGCTCTCAGTAGGACTCCTCGGACCCCTGGGAGATGGTGGGGGAAGGGGAGGAGGGTGAGCTGGGGTCCCAAGGATCCATGGCCTGACTTGGGGGGAAGGTGGGGTACTTGGCTCTGAGCTACTACCCTATTCGCACCTGACCCCCTCTCCAGGTATCTGCAGGCTCCCCACATCCAGCGATAGCCAGGCTCACTGTGGCAGCCCCACCTTCAGGAGGCCCCGGGTTTCTGTCTATTGAGCGGCCGGATTCTCGACCTCCTCGTGTTGGGGACACTCTGAACCTGAACTTGCGAGCCGTGGGCAGTGGGGCCACCTTTTCTCATTACTACTACATGGTGTGCATGAGCTGGGGAGTCACGGAGGGCTGGGGTGCAGGGAAGAGCCCTCTGGGTGGGGCTGGGGGGGTTCAAGGCTGAGGCTGTCCCATGAAGAGGCAACCACTCTTGTCCCTCCCATTCTTGGCCCAGATCCTATCCCGAGGGCAGATCGTGTTCATGAATCGAGAGCCCAAGAGGACCCTGACCTCGGTCTCGGTGTTTGTGGACCATCACCTGGCACCCTCCTTCTACTTTGTGGCCTTCTACTACCATGGAGACCACCCAGTGGCCAACTCCCTGCGAGTGGATGTCCAGGCTGGGGCCTGCGAGGGCAAGGTGACCGGGGTCAGGAGAGATGGCACTTGTGCCGAGGGGGTTGAGGACAGGGTGATTGCCAACAGGGCATGGATTTAGCTTGGGGGCAGTGAGGATACCGGGACTGAAGGAAGCTCTCCCACTCTGACCGCCCCCACCTGCCGCCCCTGCCAGCTGGAGCTCAGCGTGGACGGTGCCAAGCAGTACCGGAACGGGGAGTCCGTGAAGCTCCACTTAGAAACCGACTCCCTAGCCCTGGTGGCGCTGGGAGCCTTGGACACAGCTCTGTATGCTGCAGGCAGCAAGTCCCACAAGCCCCTCAACATGGGCAAGGTTTGTCCAGACCCTCTCCACAGCTCTCTCACCCCTCCATGGCTCATCCCCCTGCTTCCCTGAGCCTTGGGCGCAGCCCCTGGATCCCACTGAGGCTCCCCACAGTCTCTTCCCCACTTGGCCCTGTGGTCTCCATCTCCTGGCTCTGTATCCTTTCCTATCCCCCCATGTGCTGCCCTCTCACCTGTGCCGAGTGCTCAGTCCTGCCCCTCAGCCACACTTGGCTCCTAGCATTCCTGCCTTTCTTGCAGGTCTTTGAAGCTATGAACAGCTATGACCTCGGCTGTGGTCCTGGGGGTGGGGACAGTGCCCTTCAGGTGTTCCAGGCAGCGGGCCTGGCCTTTTCTGATGGAGACCAGTGGACCTTATCCAGAAAGAGTGAGAACAGAGAAGGAAGGGGAGTGGGTGGCGGGAAGATAAGGAAGGAGGAAGGGCCTGAGGGGACCAGCTGGAAGAGTCCGGGCAGGAAGGGCTGGGCAGGGGAAGGGGAGGAGGGGAGGAGGCCGAGTGCCTGACGGCTGGACTGCAGCCTTTCTCTCTACCAGGACTAAGCTGTCCCAAGGAGAAGACAACCCGGAAAAAGAGAAACGTGAACTTCCAAAAGGCGATTAATGAGAAATGTGAGTTGCGGGTGCCTAGGCAGTAGCTTGGGCTCTCCACCTGGGATCCGGGTTGGGGGTCTGCCTCTCTGCCCCTCGGCTCCTTGCTGAACCCACGTGTGGTATTTGGGGCCAGAGATCCGAATTCCGGGATTACGAGTGGAAGGTGGGCAGCTCTCTCCAGCAGCCTCTCTTATGTTGCTGGTCTCAAGGGGTCGGGGCGGGGGCTGAGGTGTATGTCCTTTTTGTCCTCTCATGCTCACCCCCACCTGGCCCTGCAGTGGGTCAGTATGCTTCCCCGACAGCCAAGCGCTGCTGCCAGGATGGGGTGACACGTCTGCCCATGATGCGTTCCTGCGAGCAGCGGGCAGCCCGCGTGCAGCAGCCGGACTGCCGGGAGCCCTTCCTGTCCTGCTGCCAATTTGCTGAGAGTCTGCGCAAGAAGAGCAGGGACAAGGGCCAGGCGGGCCTCCAACGAGGTGAGGGGCTGGGTGGGGCTAGGGCACAGGTGGCGGCGCTTGGAAAGGCAGAACGGTCCCCTCCTCACTCCCGTCCACCGTGGTCCCCCAGCCCTGGAGATCCTGCAGGAGGAGGACCTGATTGATGAGGATGACATTCCCGTGCGCAGCTTCTTCCCAGAGAACTGGCTCTGGAGAGTGGAAACAGTGGACCGCTTTCAAATGTGAGAGTGTGTGCCGGCCCGGCCTTTTCTCTGTGCTGTGTCTCGGGGCCAGCCGGGGTAGACGGGCCTTCTCTGCCTTTCCCTACACAGATTGACACTGTGGCTCCCCGACTCTCTGACCACGTGGGAGATCCATGGCCTGAGCCTGTCCAAAACCAAAGGTGATGTCACCCTGTCTGGGCCTCAGGTGACCCTGCTTCCATTTCCCTGTACCCCAGCTCCCTGTTCCCTTTGCTCTTAGTGTAGGAAGAGGGTCCAGTGATCTGGGGAGGTCTGTGCCAGCGTGCAGCTGGCGTGGGCCAGAGGGCAGAGGCGGACTGAGACAGAGCTGGGTCACCCCCACCCCTCCCTCCTGTGGCCCTGAAGCTTTGATGGCCCCTCTGATCTCTGCCCCTGTGCCCACGCTTCCTTTCCCTCAGGCCTATGTGTGGCCACCCCAGTTCAGCTCCGGGTGTTCCGCGAGTTCCACCTGCACCTCCGCCTGCCCATGTCTGTCCGCCGCTTTGAGCAGCTGGAGCTGCGGCCTGTCCTCTATAACTACCTGGATAAAAACCTGACTGTGAGGCCCCATGGGAGCCTGAGCATACAGGAGTTGGGGGAGCCAGGGCCCAGTGAGGGGTGGGGAGGCTAACCGGGCCAGGACTCTGGCCATCCTCGTTTTCCTGCCCTCAGGTGAGCGTCCACGTGTCCCCAGTGGAGGGGCTGTGCCTGGCTGGGGGCGGAGGGCTGGCCCAGCAGGTGCTGGTGCCTGCGGGCTCTGCCCGGCCTGTTGCCTTCTCTGTGGTGCCCACGGCAGCCACCGCTGTGTCTCTGAAGGTGGTGGCTCGAGGGTCCTTCGAATTCCCTGTGGGAGATGCGGTGTCCAAGGTTCTGCAGATTGAGGTGAATGGAGCACCCCTGAATATAAGTCCCCGGGCCCCCAGCTTTGTCCTCCACCCTCAGCACTCTCTCTGCTGGCCAGGCCAGGGGCCCAACACCCAAACCAATGCCTTGGTCTGTTCCCATCTTCTACAATTCTGATCCAACTCTGTCCCTGGAGTTGAAACTCAAAGTTCTGGGGGAGTCTGTGCTAGCAGGGCAGGCTGTAGTCCTGTGTGACCTCACAACCATGTTTTCCCTGAGACAGAAGGAAGGGGCCATCCATAGAGAGGAGCTGGTCTATGAACTCAACCCCTTGGGTGAGTGACCCTCTACCTCCAGCCATTGGTTTCCTAAGTGGGTACAGGTGGTGGGGGATGTGGACAGCAGGACAGGCTGCCAACTTCCCCCATTTCCCCAGACCACCGAGGCCGGACCTTGGAAATACCTGGCAACTCTGATCCCAATATGATCCCTGATGGGGACTTTAACAGCTACGTCAGGGTTACAGGTGGGAGTGCCCTTTAGTCCCTTCCCAGTGGCCACCTTCGGATTCATGTGGGACCTGTGGATCCCTGCTTGGTCCCACTCCCCGTGAGCCTCTGACACAGAGTCCTCAGACCTCCACCCTCTCCCTCCCATGTAGCCTCAGATCCATTGGACACTTTAGGCTCTGAGGGGGCCTTGTCACCAGGAGGCGTGGCCTCCCTCTTGAGGCTTCCTCGAGGCTGTGGGGAGCAAACCATGATCTACTTGGCTCCGACACTGGCTGCTTCCCGCTACCTGGACAAGACAGAGCAGTGGAGCACACTGCCTCCCGAGACCAAGGACCACGCCGTGGATCTGATCCAGAAAGGTTCTGGGTGCAAGGGCAAGCAGGAGGGGGGCCAGGAAAGGACAGTTACTGGAAGATGGACAGCCCAGGAGGCTACAGAGGGAAAGAAAGGGGGCCCCTGATGAGGATGGGGAGCATGGCCTTGGGCTCAAACAGCAGAAGGGTGAGTGTCACCTGAGCGGCCACCTCTCCTCTCCAAGGCTACATGCGGATCCAGCAGTTTCGGAAGGCGGATGGTTCCTATGCGGCTTGGTTGTCACGGGGCAGCAGCACCTGGTGAGCTTGGGAGAGTGGTTCCAGGGTTCTGAGGGGGTCAGGGCTGGGGCAGGGGTGGGACAGAGCTGGTATGATGGGAGGGTGGATAACCAGGCACCTGGGGGCGTGGGCATAATGAGAAGCAAGTCCTTATCCCCAACCCTCCTTTCCTGCCCTCCAGGCTCACAGCCTTTGTGTTGAAGGTCCTGAGTTTGGCCCAGGAGCAGGTAGGAGGCTCGCCTGAGAAACTGCAGGAGACATCTAACTGGCTTCTGTCCCAGCAGCAGGCTGACGGCTCGTTCCAGGACCTCTCTCCAGTGATACATAGGAGCATGCAGGTGCGGGCATGCTGGGGCTGGCCCGAGAAGCGCCTGTCGGAGGACTCTCTTTGCCCCTTCCCCCTCCTGTTTGACATCTTTTCTCCCCTTACTAGGGGGGTTTGGTGGGCAATGATGAGACTGTGGCACTCACAGCCTTTGTGACCATCGCCCTTCATCATGGGCTGGCCGTCTTCCAGGATGAGGGTGCAGAGCCATTGAAGCAGAGAGTGGTAAGTTCAGTGGCGTTTCTGCCCTCTGCTGGCCCCCAGCTCTCTCCCTTTTTCCTCAGGAACCCAGGGGTCCAGGCCCAAGACCCTCCTCCCGTTTTCTTCCAGGAAGCCTCCATCTCAAAGGCAAGCTCATTTTTGGGGGAGAAAGCAAGTGCTGGGCTCCTGGGTGCCCACGCAGCTGCCATCACGGCCTATGCCCTGACACTGACCAAGGCCCCTGCGGACCTGCGGGGTGTTGCCCACAACAACCTCATGGCAATGGCCCAGGAGACTGGAGGTGAGGGGTGAGGGGCTCTGGCAGTGAGCCTGAGGCCCAGGGGACCTTAGGATCCCTGAGTGTGCCCAGAGGGAGAGGCTGGATGAAGACTCAGAGGAGGAATGAAGTTATAAGCAGGGGTGGGTTGGGGGAGACTCAGGAGAGCCCAGCAGGGGGTGGCTAAGGGCCAGGGGACCAGGCTCTTCTCCCTGCCTTCCTGTTTACTCGTGGTCTCCCTTCACTTTCAGATAACCTGTACTGGGGCTCAGTCACTGGTTCTCAGAGCAATGCCGTGTCGCCCACCCCGGCTCCTCGCAACCCATCCGACCCCATGCCCCAGGCCCCAGCCCTGTGGATTGAAACCACAGCCTACGCCCTGCTGCACCTCCTGCTTCACGAGGGCAAAGCAGAGATGGCAGACCAGGCTGCGGCCTGGCTCACCCGTCAGGGCAGCTTCCAAGGGGGATTCCGCAGTACCCAAGTAGGGGCCGTCCCCGGGCTCTGGCGGGGGTGGGTAGTCCTCAGACCAAGGGCTTGCTTGAGTCCTGGCTCAACCTCCCTAGGACACGGTGATTGCCCTGGATGCCCTGTCTGCCTACTGGATTGCCTCCCACACCACTGAGGAGAGGGGTCTCAATGTGACTCTCAGCTCCACAGGCCGGAATGGGTTCAAGTCCCACGCGCTGCAGCTGAACAACCGCCAGATTCGCGGCCTGGAGGAGGAGCTGCAGGTGAACCACTCCCTGGTGAACCACTCCCTCGCCTGGGTAGCCAGGACACCTGGGCCTCGTGGCCAGGCCAGAAGCCGTCCCCACCCTCCCACCCGTGGAATCCCCGCAGCACTTCTTCCTGGGGTCTTCGGGGGAAGACTGACTTCCTGGCTGCGTGACCTGGAGCTCTGAGCTTCAGTTTTCTCACTTGTAGAGTAACATACACAGAGTTCACCCTACAGGGTCGTTAGAAGGCTGAAGTGAGATAATTCATGTGCTGGTATAAACTTTGTGGAAATGTGAGGTGGGGAGAGGAGGTGGGGCTGTTTTGAGGAAGGAGATAAGTTATTGGAGCCGCAAAAACAGGTTTGCTTGTGCCCTTCTAACATCGCCTTCCCTTTTCTGTTGCTGAAGTTTTCCTTGGGCAGCAAGATCAATGTGAAGGTGGGAGGAAACAGCAAAGGAACCCTGAAGGTGAGGGCCAGGGAAGGGGTGGGGCCAGGCACTGGTGGAGGAGAGGGTGTGGAGTGAGAGGCCTGTGGGCAGAGGCACATGGTCCGGGGAAGGAGGCAGACACCTCAGGGTTGGTGTCCCGTGCTTCCGTCCTGGGTGTTTTTCCCCCTGCTTGCTTTCGCTTGCTCTCCCCATCTCTGGGTACCTGTTGTTTCCTTTACCCGCCTCAGTGCTGGTGGCTCCGAATCCCACTCCTCAGCCCAGGCCTCTTCCCTGAACCATGGGCCCCACTCGTCCCACTCCCACAGCACCTCAGACGAGGCATGTCCCAAAGCCCTTCTTCATTCTGTGTCTCTTGTCTGGCTGGTGGGAGCCCCTCCCAGCCAGGAGCCCAGCCACTACTCTAGAGGCCGTGTTAGTGGCCCCTCTCCCAAGCCTGTCCTTATGTCCCTAGTGACTCCTCCTCTGCTCCCCTGCTGCCTGTGGCCCTTGGTGCTGCATCCTAGATTCTGTGCTGAGACGGCCTTCTCCCTACCTGGAACTTCTCTCTACCTCCTGTCTCCCCTGTCTGATCCACTGTCCACACGGCAGTGACACTGACCTTCCAAAAGCCCCAGCCAGATCAGCCTTGGGGAAAAGTCACTCCCCGCTGCCCACGGCTCAGATGGCTGGGCCTCTGCCCACCCCTCCGGCCAGACAGCTCTCCTTGTCTACACAGATCCCCTTGCCTTTCCTGTCCTTCCCTGCTTCTTGGCCCACAGGACAAGCTCTTTCTTCTCCTTCAAGCCTTGGCCAGAAGCCTTTCCTGAGCTTTTCAGTCCAGCCTCTTCCCAGCACAGTCTGGAGTGTTGGCCTCTGGGGGCAGGCCCCTGCTTCTTTACCTCTCTGTCTCGCCTGACGCCTGTGGCGAATGTGGTGCCACTCGTGTGTGTGGACTGTGCAGTGACGGGGAGGAAAAGGGGCTGAAGGCCTCAAATCCTGTAGCCCAGGGAGATGCCCTTAGGTATGGCACCAGAGAGGTCTGTGGCCTCACATGTCCCACGTCCTCTCCCTGCCCCTTGCTGAGCCAGGTCCTTCGTACCTACAATGTCCTGGACATGAAGAACACGACCTGCCAGGACCTACAGATAGAAGTGACAGTCAAAGGCCACGTCGAGTACACGAGTGAGTGTGGGGGTTGGGAGGCCTTGGGGCCAGGCAGGGGCTGGCGCAGGGAGCCGGGTGGCCATCCCAGCCCTCCTCACAATGCTTCCCTGTGCAGTGGAAGCAAACGAGGACTATGAGGACTATGAGTACGATGAGCTTCCAGCCAAGGATGACCCAGATGCCCCTCTGCAGCCCGTGACACCCCTGCAGCTGTTTGAGGGTCGGAGGAACCGCCGCAGGAGGGAGGCGCCCAAGGTGGTGGAGGAGCAGGAGTCCAGGGTGCACTACACCGTGTGCATCTGGTGGGCGCCGGGAGCTGCCCTGGGCCAGGGGAGGGAGGGCAGGACCCAGGCTGGGGCTGGGCTTCTGGAGCCCGCGCAGGCAGAACCTGGACGACAGCTCACACGTCTCCACAGGCGGAACGGCAAGGTGGGGCTGTCTGGCATGGCCATCGCGGACGTCACCCTCCTGAGTGGATTCCACGCCCTGCGTGCTGACCTGGAGAAGGTGTGGTCAGCCACCCAGGGCAACCCCCTCTGTCCCAGGTACTGAGCCCTGTCATGTGCAGGGCCTGTGACCAACTCCCCTTTTCCACAGCTGACCTCCCTCTCTGACCGTTACGTGAGTCACTTTGAGACCGAGGGGCCCCACGTCCTGCTGTATTTTGACTCGGTGAGTGGGGAGAGATGAGGCAGGAAGGGACTCGATGGCACCGGGTTTACTGAGTATGCGTTAGGAGGTTTCTCAGGAGACAGCTGTGTCAGCGGCTGGTGCTCTTGAGAACTTGTGATGTCATCAGAGAGAAGGACAAGAATGTGAGCCCGTGAGACACAGCAGAGTAAGGGGCAGACCTGCAGGCGGCAGGGACCGATGCCAGTCAGCAGGGACCCTCAGGGTTTGAGAGGGAGTCTTTCCTAATGCTGGTTTTATTCAGCTTGAGGGGCTGCCTTTGTTTTTTTGTTGAACTTCCTATCTTTTTTTTAATATTAAAGCGTATTTTCCTTTACAAAGTGATGGTGGCCATAGATGATAGTTGTATTTGTCTTTTCACGACCTTATTTGGCTAAAATAGTTATCAACCCTCTTACGGCTCTCAAAACATTTTTATTTATTTATTTAGTAAAGACAGGGTCTCGCTCTGTTGCCCAGGCTGGTCTTGAACTCCCGGCCTCAAGCGATCCTCTGGCCTAGGCCTTTCAAAGTACCGGATTTACAGGCCAGAGCCACCATGCCCGGCCTTCAAAAAAAGTTTTGGAACATTTACTGTAACCTCTGGGAGAAAATGTGAGAAAGGTGTGGTGGCTGTCATTAGCCAGCTGTTTGTAGGTCAGGGAGACCCCTACCCAGTGTGTGCAGAGGGGCCAGCCCCCATCAGCTGGGGAAGCCTGGCTGACACATCTGGGTTGAACACAATAGAAAACACAGAGCCAACAAGATTCCCGGATAGGGAGCTGACGGTGCAGCAGCCTAGCTCAGGAGGGACACTGGCACGGCACCGTGTGGACTGGGCCCGCGTGGGCACGAGGAGGGGTCAGGCCTGGGACCTGAGTCGGGGGGTCAGGCAGGATGACAGAACCTGCAGTTAGGTTGTGGCAAATAAAGGAGGACCCAGTTGTATCCATGACAAAGATGAGGCCGCGAGGAGGGCGAGTGGGTTTGGGGGCAGGCAGAGTGCCTTGGAGAACTTACAGGTCCTGCCACAATCCTAATGCAAGGATGGAGCTGCAAGTTCAGTTTGGGAATCATCAGCCTGGATTGGTTTGGTGGAAGCCAGGGAGTGGTTGAGACCCCCACAGGGGAGCTCTGAGGAAGGAAGTTCCGAAGGAGGGAACGTAAGAAATGACCAGGTCAGAACCAAGGGTGGTCCAGAAGCTAACCCTTAGCTTAGGGACAGTTTCACAGAGAACACGTCCATGATGCAAGACTCTGCTGAGGGCCTGGAGCAGTGAAGACTGGGGCAAGGTCACCCTCTGGGAAGTGAAGTCACCAGAGACCTTGCGGAGCAGCTTTGAGAGTTCTCTGAGTAGGAAGGTAACAGAATGTGAAGGACACTGGAGAGAAGGCCAATAGGAAGCAAACAAAAACAGGCCAAGGAAACCCAGTACAGGGGGCTGCAGGGCCCAGGGAGTGGGTCCCTCATCTCTCCTCCCCACGCTTGGCCAGGTCCCCACCTCCCGGGAGTGCGTGGGCTTTGAGGCTGTGCAGGAAGTGCCGGTGGGGCTGGTGCAGCCGGCCAGCGCAACCCTGTACGACTACTACAACCCCGGTGAGCACTGCAGGACACCCTGAAATTCAGGAGAACTTTGGCATAGGTGCCCTCCTATGGGACAATGGACACCGGGGTAGTGAGGGGGCAGAGAGCCCTGGGGCTCCCTGGGACTGAGGAGGCAGAATGGAGGGGCCTGTGCCCTAACTCCTCTCTGTTCTCCAGAGCGCAGATGTTCTGTGTTTTACGGGGCACCAAGTAAGAGCAGACTCTTGGCCACCTTGTGTTCTGCTGAAGTCTGCCAGTGTGCTGAGGGTGAGACTGAGGGCCTGGGGCGGGGCAGTGGAGGCGGGATGGCCGGGGCCCCCCCCACACTGTCTGATGGGTTCCCCAACTTCAGGGAAGTGCCCTCGCCAGCGTCGCGCCCTGGAGCGGGGTCTGCAGGACGAGGATGGCTACAGGATGAAGTTTGCCTGCTACTACCCCCGTGTGGAGTACGGTCAGTCTTCCCACCGAGGCCCTGGCCTGACCCTCCCTCGGGGACCGGCTGTTTTGGT
The DNA here is from genome assembly GCF_000001405.40 of Homo sapiens. Classification (NCBI taxonomy): domain Eukaryota; kingdom Metazoa; phylum Chordata; class Mammalia; order Primates; family Hominidae; genus Homo; species Homo sapiens. The sequence continues at coordinate 3,472,712 of NT_113891.3, forward strand.
CTCTCTGGGTGTAGCCTGCTCCTCTTACAGGTCATGCACGCAGCCTGTTTGCTCTGACACCAACTTCCTACCCTCTCAGCCTCAAAGTAACTCACCTTTCCCCCTTCTCCTCACCCCCTCTTAGGCTTCCAGGTTAAGGTTCTCCGAGAAGACAGCAGAGCTGCTTTCCGCCTCTTTGAGACCAAGATCACCCAAGTCCTGCACTTCAGTATGAAGCAAACCGGAGAGGCGGGCAGGGCTGGGGGGAGACAGGGAGGCTGAGGTGTGGCCGAGGACCTGACCATCTGGAAGTGTGAAAATCCCCTTGGGCTGTCAGAAGCCTTGGGCTTGGCCATAAATAGGGAGGCAGTGGCACCTCTCCATGGGGGTGGCGAAGGTGGAATGAGAGGATCTACACAGAGTCCCCAGCCTGGGCTCACCCTGCACCTTCTCTTCCCCTCTGACCACTTTTGCGCACGTCATCCCCGCAGCCAAGGATGTCAAGGCCGCTGCTAATCAGATGCGCAACTTCCTGGTTCGAGCCTCCTGCCGCCTTCGCTTGGAACCTGGGAAAGAATATTTGATCATGGGTCTGGATGGGGCCACCTATGACCTCGAGGGACAGTGAGTCATCTGGTCCCCTCAGTCTCTTGTCCTCCCCATGCCTCGCCACCTAGGCCTTGCCCCTCAGAAGCCAGATGCCTGTGCTCTCCGTTTCCACCTGCCATCCTCCCGAGCCCTGCTGACTGCCCCTTTGCCCCCTGCAGCCCCCAGTACCTGCTGGACTCGAATAGCTGGATCGAGGAGATGCCCTCTGAACGCCTGTGCCGGAGCACCCGCCAGCGGGCAGCCTGTGCCCAGCTCAACGACTTCCTCCAGGAGTATGGCACTCAGGGGTGCCAGGTGTGAGGGCTGCCCTCCCACCTCCGCTGGGAGGAACCTGAACCTGGGAACCATGAAGCTGGAAGCACTGCTGTGTCCGCTTTCATGAACACAGCCTGGGACCAGGGCATATTAAAGGCTTTTGGCAGCAAAGTGTCAGTGTTGGCAGCGAAGTGTCAGTGTGTGTTGCTAGGGCTGAGAGCAGTGCCCCTGCCCGATGCAGTTCTGGGCAGGCCAGGTTGACATAACCTTAGACTCTCTGAGCCCTGATGACCCTTGGGCTGTTCAGCTCTGCTAGAACCTCCCAGATGACCCGCTAGGAGTCTAGTGCTTCACAGGACCACCCCGAGCAGAACTGGGACCCAAGAGCCTGCACCCCAAGGACCAGAGTCCATGCCAAGACCACCCTTCAGCTTCCAAGGCCCTCCACTGCCCGGCTGTCGCCAGTCACCACGGCCTCAGACAGGGCTTGTGCTCAGCTGACACCTGTGACACAGCTCTTCTGCCTCATGAGCTGTTGTCCAGCTACACCTCCCCGACTCTGTCCTCGTGCTGCTGGCGGTTCTGAGGTCTGCAGATTTTAGCTGAGTTCCGGGCTGTTGAAAGCCTGCTGACGCTTGGTTCTGTTATCAGTGGAATGAGGTGACTTTCCCGGAGTTGTGCAATCCTCAGGTCCGGCAGTGTCTTCTTCCAGTTACTGGTTTCAAACAAGCCAAAAGTCTGACTTTGGTGTGTTTGTGAATCCTCTGAGGAAGCCGCTGTTCTCCTGGGGTCTCCCCTTCCCACCGGACCTGCCTAACTTTCCCCCATTTAGTGGCACACCTGGGGTCTTCAGAGATGACTCCGCGTCTGTCCAAAGAAGTTTGGTGAGATCAGTTTCCGTAGAGGTCATGACAGTTCAGCAGCCTGCCATCCAGTCATTCGACAGAAATTCGGGAATCTTTCACTTCATGCCATGCCCTGTGCCAGGTGCCAGAGATACAGCTGCTCACTCCAGGGCTCATCGCTGGGGAGACAGATAAGAGGACGGGCAGTCCCCACCCTCTGTGAAAGATGTGATGTCAGGGAGCAGTGTGGTCCTGTGGGGCATCTAACCAAGTCAGGGGCATTGCCAGGCAGGGACAGGGAAGGCTTCCTGGAGCAGGTGGCCTCCAAGTGGGGCTCTGAAGACTGAGAAGGAGCCAGGCAAAGAGCAGGGGTAGATGAGGGCATCTGGGGCAGAAGGAGAATATACAAAGGCCCAGAGGCCGGGGGCAGGACAGGGTACCTTTGGGGACATTGCATGTAATTGACCACATTCGGAGTTTGGATTTGGAAGTGGTGGAAGAGATGGAGATGGTGAGACAAGTAGTAAGCACGTCAGCCTTCCAGGTGCGCTCCTTTCCGATGAGCACTGTCTTATCCCATGTAACTTTGAGAAGTTTGGGCCTTTCCCACTGTGGCAGAGGTTTCCTGAGGCTCTTGCATACATGGCCCTATGGTTGCTCATCAGATCTTTCTCCCAGTAGCTGCTCAGCATGGTGGTGGCATAAGCCCATTTTCCGGAGCCAGGGATTCAGTTGCAGCAAGACATGGCCCGGTCTGGGAGGTCAACCATGAAGAAGGCAGTAGCTGTCATTGCCCAACCCCAGAAATCCCAATCCTGTTTTCTCCCTCTCAGTCCTGATCATGGATTCAGCAGCAGCGAACTCGCCAATGTAGTGGGTGGCACAGCCAGGGTCTTGACTCTGGCTCTGCAGTAGCACAGTCTGGAAAAGCTCTGAGGGGAGAGAGACCCCCACTGGTCCGAGGGTCTGGCACAGAGCCAGAAATGGGGGGGAAGGTATGAGGCTGGGTCGCCTCTGACCTCTCAGGTACCATCCAGGAGGCCCTGGCCTCTCACTGAACCCGGCCACTCCTCTTTGGCATGGCCTCTTCCCAAATCCCCAAACTGCCTCCTTACCCACAAAAGTGGTCTCTGAGTGTCAGTCCAGTGGGACCCCCACCCCTTATGGCTTCAGTTCCCCAAATAGGGCTGGACCCTTGATCCTGATCCAGCTGTGGCTATCCAGCCCCTTCCTGGGGACTTTGGACTTTGAGGGGGGCATGCCCAGTTGTGCTGGGAATCCATACTTTCCCTGGCTGGAGTAGAACCTGTGGACTGTAGTCCTGAGGGCAGTCATGTTCTGCCTGTGCCTGGAAACACAAGAAACTTGACTGCAGAGAGAAGAAAGAGGAGAGAGGAACAGAGCGAGGAAACTGCCCGTCTCCGGGGCTTTTTCTGTTCCCTATCCTTGACTTTCTAAGACCAGTGGGGTCCCCTCCTCTGCTTCTTTTTCCTGAGTTCTGTGAAATTCCCCAATTCTTATTTTTTATCTCAAACCAGCTCAAGGTGGGCTGTTTTCCTTTCAACCAAAGAAAGGTGCTCCTGGTGGCTAAAGGTACATATTCGACAGCTAGATTTCCAGGCTGGAATCCTGCCCTCCACAACATGCGAACAATACCCGTGTTGCATATAGAGCATGGCTGTGAAGAGTTGAGTGAGTGCCCACAAAGCACTTAGAGCAGTGTCTGGTACATGCTATTACTCCGCAGCGGGAAACCACTTCCTCCTTTGTCTTCTGGGCACTTTTGTGAGTGAAAGGAGGCACTAATAACAATCACACTGGGATACCTGTATATACTGGAATGCCCCAGGCAAACCAGGCTTAAACTGTATTACTCTATCTGTAGCTTAAACTAACAAACAACCCACACAAATCACATTTTGTTCTTCAGGCGATTCAGGAAGGCCTATTAGGCAGGGACTGCCATTTTCTCTCTGAGACAAACATCATGCCAGTAAACTGGCCCACGGTGGGGTGGCAGAGGGAGAGGGCCCAGGTGGGGGCGGACACTATTGCCTGCACAGTTGATGTGGAACCAGAAAGCTGACTCTGGATGCAGGAAAAAGGTCAGGGTTGCATTTCCCTTCCTTGCTTCTTGATGGGTGATCAATTTTTTTGAAATACGGACGTCCCAAGGCCAATGAGACTGGTGTCATTCCAGAAAAGGGCCACTCTGTGGGCGGGTCGGTGGGAGGGTACCTGAAGGTGGGGTCAAGGGAGGCCCCAAAACAGTCTACACAGCAGGAGGGATGGCTGGGGCTCTTGAGCTATAAGTGGCACCTCAGGGCCCTGACGGGCGTCTCGCCATGCTGCTCCTGGGCCTGCTGCTGCTGCTGCCCCTGCTGGCTGGCGCCCGCCTGCTGTGGAACTGGTGGAAGCTCCGGAGCCTCCACCTCCCGCCTCTTGCCCCGGGCTTCTTGCACTTGCTGCAGCCCGACCTCCCAATCTATCTGCTTGGCCTGACTCAGAAATTCGGGCCCATCTACAGGCTCCACCTTGGGCTGCAAGGTGAGAGGCTGATCTCGCTCTGGCCCTCACCATAGGAGGGGGCGGAGGTGACGGAGAGGGTCCTCTCTCCGCTGACGCTGCTTTGGCTGTCTCCCAGATGTGGTGGTGCTGAACTCCAAGAGGACCATTGAGGAAGCCATGGTCAAAAAGTGGGCAGACTTTGCTGGCAGACCTGAGCCACTTACCTGTAAGGGCTGGGGGCATTTTTTCTTTCTTAAAAAAATTTTTTTTTAAGAGATGGGTTCTTGCTATGCTGCCCAGGCTGGTCTTAAATTCCTAGTCTCAAATGATCCTCCCACCTCAGCCTCAAGTGTGAGCCACCTTTGGGGCATCCCCAATCCAGGTCCCTGGAAGCTCTTGGGGGGGCATATCTGGTGGGGAGAAAGCAGGGGTTGGGGAGGCCGAAGAAGGTCAGGCCCTCAGCTGCCTTCATCAGTTCCCACCCTCCAGCCCCCACCTCCTCCTGCAGACAAGCTGGTGTCTAGGAACTACCCGGACCTGTCCTTGGGAGACTACTCCCTGCTCTGGAAAGCCCACAAGAAGCTCACCCGCTCAGCCCTGCTGCTGGGCATCCGTGACTCCATGGAGCCAGTGGTGGAGCAGCTGACCCAGGAGTTCTGTGAGGTAAGGCTGGGCTCCTGAGGCCACCTCGGGTCAGCCTTGCCTCTCACAGTAGCCCCCGCCCTGCCCGCTGCACAGCGGCCTGCTGAACTCACACTGTTTCTCCACAGCGCATGAGAGCCCAGCCCGGCACCCCTGTGGCCATTGAGGAGGAATTCTCTCTCCTCACCTGCAGCATCATCTGTTACCTCACCTTCGGAGACAAGATCAAGGTGCCTCACAGCCCCTCAGGCCCACCCCCAGCCCCTCCCTGAGCCTCTCCTTGTCCTGAACTGAAAGTACTCCCTCCTTTTCTGGCAGGACGACAACTTAATGCCTGCCTATTACAAATGTATCCAGGAGGTGTTAAAAACCTGGAGCCACTGGTCCATCCAAATTGTGGACGTGATTCCCTTTCTCAGGGTGAGGACCTGGAGCCTAGACACCCCTGGGTTGTAGGGGAGAGGCTGGGGTGGAGGGAGAGGCTCCTTCCCACAGCTGCATTCTCATGCTTCCTGCCGCAGTTCTTCCCCAATCCAGGTCTCCGGAGGCTGAAGCAGGCCATAGAGAAGAGGGATCACATCGTGGAGATGCAGCTGAGGCAGCACAAGGTGGGGACTGTACGTGGACGGCCTCCCCTCGGCCCACAGCCAGTGATGCTACCGGCCTCAGCATTGCTATGAGGCGGGTTCTTTTGCATACCCCAGTTATGGGCCTGTTGCCACTCTGTACTCCTCTCCCCAGGCCAGCCGCTCAGCCCGCTCCTTTCACCCTCTGCAGGAGAGCCTCGTGGCAGGCCAGTGGAGGGACATGATGGACTACATGCTCCAAGGGGTGGCGCAGCCGAGCATGGAAGAGGGCTCTGGACAGCTCCTGGAAGGGCACGTGCACATGGCTGCAGTGGACCTCCTGATCGGTGGCACTGAGACCACAGCAAACACCCTCTCCTGGGCCGTGGTTTTTTTGCTTCACCACCCTGAGGTGCGTCCTGGGGACAAGCAAAAGGCTCCTTCCCAGCAACCTGGCCAGGGCGGTGGGCACCCTCACTCAGCTCTGAGCACTGTGCGGCTGGGGCTGTGCTTGCCTCACCGGCACTCAGGCTCACTGGGTTGCTGAGGGAGCGGCTGGAGGCTGGGCAGCTGTGGGCTGCTGGGGCAGGACTCCACCCGATCATTCCCCAGATTCAGCAGCGACTGCAGGAGGAGCTAGACCACGAACTGGGCCCTGGTGCCTCCAGCTCCCGGGTCCCCTACAAGGACCGTGCACGGCTGCCCTTGCTCAATGCCACCATCGCCGAGGTGCTGCGCCTGCGGCCCGTTGTGCCCTTAGCCTTGCCCCACCGCACCACACGGCCCAGCAGGTGACTCCCGAGGGTTGGGGATGAGTGAGGAAAGCCCGAGCCCAGGGAGGTCCTGGCCAGCCTCTAACTCCAGCCCCCTTCAGCATCTCCGGCTACGACATCCCTGAGGGCACAGTCATCATTCCGAACCTCCAAGGCGCCCACCTGGATGAGACGGTCTGGGAGAGGCCACATGAGTTCTGGCCTGGTATGTGGGGGGCCGGGGGCCTGCCGTGAAAATGTGGTGGAGGCTGGTCCCCGCTGCCGCTGAACGCCTCCCCACCCACCTGTCCACCCGCCCGCAGATCGCTTCCTGGAGCCAGGCAAGAACTCCAGAGCTCTGGCCTTCGGCTGCGGTGCCCGCGTGTGCCTGGGCGAGCCGCTGGCGCGCCTGGAGCTCTTCGTGGTGCTGACCCGACTGCTGCAGGCCTTCACGCTGCTGCCCTCCGGGGACGCCCTGCCCTCCCTGCAGCCCCTGCCCCACTGCAGTGTCATCCTCAAGATGCAGCCTTTCCAAGTGCGGCTGCAGCCCCGGGGGATGGGGGCCCACAGCCCGGGCCAGAGCCAGTGATGGGGCAGGACCGATGCCAGCCGGGTACCTCAGTTTCTCCTTTATTGCTCCTGTACGAACCCCTCCCCTCCCCCCTGTAAACACAGTGCTGCGAGATCGCTGGCAGAGAAGGCTTCCTCCAGCGGCTGGGTGGTGAAGGACCCTGGCTCTTCTCTCGGGGCGACCCCTCAGTGCTCGGCAGTCATACTGGGGTGCGAGAGAGGTGGGCAGCAGCTCAGCCTCCCCCCGCTGGGGAGCGAAAGTTTCTTGGTCTCAGCTTCATTTCCGTGAAGGGCACCGAGAACTCGAAGCCCTTCCAGTGGTACCAGCTCACTCCCTGGGAAAGGGGTTGTCAAGAGAGAGTCAAAGCCGGATGTCCCATCTGCTCTTCCCGTTCCCCTTAAGGAGGTAGCTCCCAGCACTCAACCAACCTCCCCGCAGAGCTCCCTTCCTGACCCTCCGCTGCAGAGGATTGAGGCTTAATTCTGAGCTGGCCCTTTCCAGCCAATAAATCAACTCCAGCTCCCTCTGCGAGGCTGGCATGATTGTTCCATTTCACCCAGCCACTCAGTCCCTTGCCTGTTACACTGTGGGGCTGAAACCTAGGCAGGCCGAGCCCCAGCCACCCCAGCTCTGAGCCGCCTCCCCACCCCTCACCTGATGGTCCACTGTGCTCCCGTAGAGCCCGTTGAGGTTGGCGTAGTGGCAGTTCCTGTACCACCAGGCCCCTCGGTAGGAGACAGCGCAGGAGATGAGCAAGCTGTTGGGGTCCCGATCACGGGCAGAGAAGACACTGCCGCTGTGGTAGCTCATGGAGTCCCCTGGGCAGGGTGGAGGAAGGAGCCATGAGGGCCTCCCCTCCCAGCCTCACCCTCCCAGCCTCACAGCCTCTGCTTACCTGCGGTGCCGTGGTAGCCCTCCAAGTGGAGGCGGTAGTACTCCGCAGCCGAGTCTACGTGGAAGGAGTCGTACTGGGCGAACACAGCCTCGTCCCCAGCCCGCAGGTCCACGCGCATGGAGTAGTCACCTGCCTGTGTCAGGCTGTGCAGGGCCTCATTGCCTGGGGGTGGGATACGTGCCCTCATCAGGGTCCTGGTGTCCACAGGGCCCCCATCCCCATCCGTAGTTCCCCAGTCCCTGTGAGGCACTGACCCAGCCAGAACTCTCCAGAGATGTTCCCAAAACCATGGGCATAGTCCTCCCAGTCCCTCCAGAAGTCTGTCTGTCCATCCATGCGGCGCTGGAACACCTGGGAAGCAAGTGGGGGCACCATCAGCCTCTGGCTCCCGGGGCAACAGACCCTGCCCTGCACAGACCCCTGGGCTTCCCAATGCCACCCACCAGCCAGCCGCCCCCATCAGTCTCCATGTCGCAAAACACGTTCAGGGGCCGCTCGCGGTTGCCGTTGAGGAAGATGGTGCTGGTCCTGGAGGCACCGGCTCCGTTCTGCATCTCCTCCCCGCAGTCCCTGGGGAAGGGGATCCGCAGCCCACCTGGGAGAGGAGAGCAGGGGCCAGTCCTTTTCCAAGCCTTAGGCCCTGGCTGCCCACCCAGCCCCCGGCCCCGGGCCCGTGCGTCCAGGTACCCGTGGTGAAAGAGGTGGACACGGGCGGCAGGAGGCTCTGGCCCCACATGGCCTGGAGCCGTGCATTGTAGGAGGTGGAGGGAAAGAGGCCAAGGAGCTGGTGAGATGTGATCCCTCCTGGGAGCAGGATCTCCTGTGGGACAGACAAGGGGGGGTCAGGGGAGAGGGAGGTGGAGACCCTCCGGGAGGGCCAGAGGCAGCACCTCCTGGAATCACCCAGGGAGGGGAGTTGGGTCAGTGGGGCCGGGGCACCTGGTTCTGTCCACCAGGGGTGTGGAAGCTGAGCAGGTAGCCTGCGGGCCGGACTGGGGGCTCAGTCCAAGTGAGCAGGGCGGTGCGGGGGGTCACTTCCTTGGCCTCCAAGTCCCGAGGGGCCTCTAGCCCTAGGAGGGAAAGCAGGAAGAGGAGATGGGGATGAGGCCCAACCTGGCTCCCTCTACCTCCTCTCCCTGTCCCACACACCCCACAGACCCTACCTGTGGTGAAGGTGATGCTGGCTGGGGAAGTGAGGTTGGGGCCCCGCAGGCCACGCACTGTGGCGGTGTAGTTGGTGTGGAGGACAAGGTCATGCAGGGGGTAGTCCACCGCGCTGCCTGGGGTCTCCGCCTGCAGAGGCGGGGCTGGGAGTGTAGAGAGGGGCATCAAGGCCTGCCCCCTCCATCCTCGGCCAGAGTCCAGCCTCCCCCCTGCAATCCCCACCCTGAACAAGTCCCCTCCAGAGGCCTCAGGCCTGCTCACCCCCAGGGGCTGTGACCTGGACGTCATAGGTGTCCACAGGATTCTGGGGGGGCTTCCAGTGCAGCACGGCGAATCCCTCGGTCAAGTTCAGTGCACGCAACTGTGTGGGACCGTCAGGAACTGGGGGAAGGGGAGGGGCTCAGAAGGGTCCCCGCGGCTCTCTCTACTCCGTGCCTCCCCAGACTCCACTGGCCTCCCGTCCGCAATCGGAGCCTCCACCACCTCCCTTTCACCCTCCTCGTTCTCTCTCAACTCCCACCCATGCCGTTTTCTTGGCTCCCACCTCTTGCCCCGGGTCCCAGTCCATCTCACCCGTGGTGAGGAAGCCTGTGAGAGGCTCACTCTCCTCAAAGCCTCGGACCGAGACCACGGTCACCTCATAGCGAGCGCCTGGGATCAGCCCCTGGAGTTTCTGGGTCCGGGCCTGGCCATCCACCTGCACACTCTGAGGCTCCCCTGAAAACATTGGGGATCGAGGGTTACCCAGGGAACCCCAGGGCAGCTGGAGGGTGGGCAGAGTGCAGGGGGGAGAGGAAATGCGAGGCGATGAGCACATGGCAAAGGCACCACCTCCGTCCGCCAGCTGGTAGGAGACTTTGAAGCTGTCCGCCCGGGATGGTGGGGGCATCCAGTTGACCTTGGCTGAGGTCTCCCTGATTTCACTGAATTGGAGGTCACGGGGGCTCTCCAGAACTGCAGAGGGGTCAAGGAACAATGACGCAGGCAGGGGCAGGGAGGCTTCTCCCTACGAGTCCCCCCCTCGCCTCTGCTCCAGCACAGGCTCACCACCCCTTTTCCTCTAGTCCCCAGGAATGGAAGTCGCTCTGCAGATTCCTCCAGGCCCACCACCAACTCGCCCACCCCCACCGCTGGCTGAGGCACTAGGTCCCCCCCGTGAAGTACAAAGACCCCCACTTTGGGGCAGAGTGTGTGTGGGTCCTTACCTGGGCTGAGGGTGCGGGCGGTTCCCTGGATGCTGTCGGCCTTGTGGGGTCCTCGCAGCCCATACAGTGTCAGGCTGTACAGAGTCCCGGAACGCAGGTCCCGGAGCACGGCCGAGTGCCGCGTCCCCGGCACCATCAGCTCGCGCTGCAGCAGTGGACGCGGATGCGGCTCCAGAGTGCTTGGTGATGGAACCCCAAAGCGGAGCAGGAAGGAGTCGAAGGCCCCCGGTGGGGCCTCCCAGTTGAGCCTCAGTGAACTGGTGGTCACGTCAGTCACAGACAGCTGGGACAGGCGGGGCCTTGACTCCTCTGAGGTCTGACCAGCAGGAGCCAGCCCTGCACGGAGTGGGTGGGGGAGAAGGGATTGGAGACAGAAGCACACCAGCTTGGTGACCCAGAGCACGTCCCTTCCACCCCCCTCCCTGCCCCCGTTTCTCTATCTGTAACCAGGGACTTGCAGCCACAGGGGGGTCCTGTGGGGCAGAGCTAAAGGCCACTCGCATCCAGCCCATCCATCCTCTCTCCCTGGTACCCGCCTCACGCTCTTTCCCTGCGACCACCCCTTCTGAGCCCCCGTTTCTCCCTTCTGAGTCCTAGGCTAGAGGCCGGAGACGCCTGGTGGTACCTGTGGTGCCCTCAGCTGAGAGGGGCCCCAGGCGCTTCCCTTCATGGAGGCCATAGAGGAGGAACCTGTAGGGGGTGCTGGGCTCCAGGCCTGAGATGAGGATCTTGCTCTGGTCGCCGTCCACGAGCAAGGCCTGGGGCTGCCCGTTCGTGTCCTCATACTGGACCACGAAGGAATCAAAGGGGCCCTGGGCCACGCTCCACGAGAGGCGCATGGAGTCTGGGGTTGTGTCGGTCACGGTCAGCACTCCTAGGCGGGGCTCTTCAGGAGGCTCAGGGGCCTCTGGGGCTAACTCTGGGGCTGGTGTGTCCTCTTCTGGGGCTGCGTGGGAGAAGCCCAGGGGAGAATCTGAGTGAGGGGCGCCATGGGGTGCTCCATTTTTATCTTCCAGGCTTGGCCCAAGGCTGAGGTGGGAAGTTTATAGGTCCAGGCCCAGTCAGACAATGAAGTCGCTGTGGCCTCGTGACTCCTGCGAGCTCCCGCGCTGTCTGAGTCAGGTGCTCGCTTCCCCCTTCCACACCCCGGTGTCCTGCCGAGCCCACCTCGAGATATCACAGGCTCTGGCCCCACCCATGCCGGGATACATTCACTGAGCTTGAGGAGTGTGGTGCTCCCTTCTGAGAGAAGCTGAGGGTGGAACTGGCTGGTTGAGGTGACTGGCAAATCCCACCAGCCGTGCCGTGGTCAGGCCTGTCTGAGGTGGGCATCAGCGAGCTCTGGAAGAGGAGCCTGTACCACAAATGCAGCCACTGCTGTTGGTTTCTGTGTCCCCGCTCATTTTGTTTTCCAGTGATGTTCCTCTTAAGAAAATGCTCCTGACTCATCCACGGCAGGGAGGTTTGCCGCTATCTGGACAAGGCCACCCTTCGGGGAGGCGACAGCAGCCCCAGCGAGTAATGAGGAGCAGTGGCAGTGACGGGGCAGAGTCGGGGCTGGGAGATTAGAGAGCCCCTCCCAGGGCCTTTCCCTCCCGCCTGGCCTGGCTCCTGCTCTGGACTCCTTGATGGATGTTGAAGCCCACAGGGCTGCAGACTCCTCCTCCTTCCTGGGGACAGGCCAGGGCGCCCCACTCCGGCCTGCCCACTCCTGCAGTCATCTTTGTCTTCAGCCCAAATGCACAAGGAAACCCACACAAGCTGGCTTGCTATAGCCAGGCACAGCAGCCTCACCTGTCATTCCCAGGGCAGAGACCGGGCCCAGGCGCTTTCCCCCAAGGAGCCCGTAGAGCAGAAACTTGTATTTCTTGCCAGGCTCCAGGTCCTCTACGGTGACTGTGCGCTGGTCTGCGGCCACAGGCACTGCCCTGGGCTGCCCGTCCGTGTCCCTGTACTGGACCACGAAGGAGTCAAAGGGGCCCTGGGCTACCGTCCAGGACAGGCGCAGAGAGCTGGAGGTCTCCTCAGCCACGGTCAGTTCCCCCAGGTGGGGAGGTAGCTCCTTCTCCAGGGGAGCTGTGCAGAGGGAGGAGGGAAAGCTCTTAGTCACATGCTGCCTTTGCCTAAGCCCTGGCAGCCTCCCGGAGGTGTGAGGTTCTGGGAAATGGTCCCTCCAGTGTAGCCCCAGGGACAGCTCCTTGAGGAGACACACAGGCCTGCTCCCGCCATGCCCCACAGGAATGAGGGAGAACAGCCCCCTCCTCCTCTGGAGGCTGCTGCCCAAACTCCTTCCTGCCCCGCCCCTTCCCTGCTGTGATCGAGGATGCGCCAAATTCATTACAGATCATCTCCCGAGGGATGGGTGGCTGGGGGTGCAGAGAGGGCCTTTGTTTACCCTGACCCCCAGCCCCTGAGCAAGAATGAGGCCAGAGCTGAGAGAGACTCCCCGGAGGTCTCTGGGTTGTCACGGAGACACCCCAAACATCGAGAGCTGGTCTGGGCAGCCGGCCAATGCACGGCTCCCATCACTGCCAGGCTGTGATCTCCCCCTTGTCCCCTTGTGGCCATCAGCCTGAACATCCGTGCCTCCTGCTTCCCCAGCCCCACACTGACCCCACTGGGCCGGGGCAGCCAGGGTGGGGCAGGGAGAAGACAGGGGATTAGCTGGGAAAACAGAGGGCAGAGCAGAGGCTTGCCCGGGTGGGGCTGGGGCCGATGGGTGGGGATCTGTACCCCGTCCCCACAGTGAGGGTTTGGGAAGAGAATTACGGAGTCCCAGGGACCCAGGCCCAGACTGGCCGGCTGCTCTGTCCTCCTCTGGGCATAGTGACTCATGGTCCTGGGAGTGGGGTGAGGGTCGGTGACCCACCACACCCCTTCCTCAGGGAGCTGAGTCATAGGCATAGTGACACCAGGTTTTTCCATCGTCTTTCCATAGCCAAGCCCTCCCTTTTCTTCCACCCCTCGGCTCCGAGTCAGGGAGGAGGGAGGAGGATGGGAACCACTACTGAGTCCAGCGCCATTCCCAGCATTATGCAGGTGAGGACACTGAGGTCCCGGGGATGAAGCGGCTTGTCCATGGTCACCCTGGCAAAGGCTAGGACTGGAACTGGAACACAGATCTGCTGGCCCCAAAGCCCGTGTCCCTTTTATTTCCTCAGCAGTCAGCGAATGAAAGGAAGTAATGCATATGCTTCAGAACTGTGCCTGACACACAGAGGGACTCACTTTCGGAGTTAAGATGGTTGTGTCAGGGCTGATAGAGGGAATCTCACGGGAAGGCTGCAGGGCCAGCTCTGAGGGCTCGGATGAGAGGCAGCTCTGGAAAAGGTGGAGGCTGGACTGGGACTCACCTGTGGTGCTGTCAGCAGAGATGGGGCCCAGTCGTTTCCTGCCTGACAGACCATAGAGCAGGAACCTGTATTTCCTACTGGGCTCCAGGCCCTGGACTGTGACCTCCCGCTGGTTGGCTGCCACCGGCACCACCTGGAGCCGACCATCCTTATCCTTGTACTGGACCACGAAGGAGTCGAATTCGCCCTCAGGGACCGTCCACGAGAGGCCCACGGAGTCAGGGGTCGCATCTGTCACAGTCAGCTCCCCCAGGCGGGGAGACGGTTTGGTGTCTGGGGCTGGAAAAGACAGTGAGGTGCATGGAGAGTGGGATGGAGGCAAAGGGGCCACGGAGCTTCCTGGGCTGCTATGGCTCTGTGAGCCGGTCCCAGGAACGGGAGGGTGACTGGGCCAGGAGTAGGAATAAAAGAGGAGCCAGACAAGAAAGCAAGTGTCCCCTGGGGTGCAGGGAAAGTAGGGAGAGGGATGAGTGTGAGTGGGAGAGGAGAGCTCAGGGCCTGGGTTTTCCTGGACCCAATAAATCAGTGGGTGCTGAGGACTGGAGTGTGGGGCACAGAACGTGAAATTCCAACAGGTGCCACAAGGGGGCGAAGGCTCTGGCCGCGGGAGGCCTCCAGCCCTCACTCACCGGTCCTGGCCTCCACAGGGACTGGGCCGTGGCGTTTCCCATTCTGGAGTCCAAAGAGCAGGAACTTGTACTTGCGGGCCGGGTCCAGCCCCGAGACGGCGACCGCTCGGAGGTCTCCGCTCACAGGCACTGCCTGGGGCTGCCCCTGCGCGTCCCTGTACTGTACCAGGAAGGAGTCAAAGGGGCCCTGGGCCACCGTCCATGAGAGGCCCACTGAGTCCGAGGTCACGGCCGCCACCGCCAGCTCCCCCAGGCGGGGCTCCACCGGCAGTGGTGTGGGCAGGGGCGCTGAAAAGAGCAGAGCAGGCCCATGGGTCAGGAGGCAGGACCCTGCGCAAGGGAGGCAGTGCTCTCCCAGGACTGGAGTGAGCATTTCTTAGCGGCCTCCTCTAAAACGCTTGTTTTAGAATCTGTGCCCTGCATTGCTGTAAGCAGCTCACAAACAGTGGTGCATTTAACCCTCGCACAACATATGAAGTGGGTGCCATTATTATCATCACCCCAACTTTGCAGGAATCTGAAGCACAAGGTTAGGAAACGCCTGCAAAGTCGCACAATCACTACATTCGAAGGCACATGCAGATCTGGGCAGCTGGATCTGAAGCACTTTCTGAGCCACTAAAATACTCCTTAAGGGAGCCTGAAGACTAACAAATGAGCACACGAGCAACATGGAGGTTCCAGATCACAATGGGAGAAGGAAGCTACAACAAACAGGGCATGGACTACCTGCCCATCTGACTCCACACAGTCTCCATGAATCCAAGGATGAGGCAGGATCATTAGCAACATGGGAGAAAAGACAGAAACCTAGAGGCCCAGTCAAAAGAGGTGCCAAGATCCAAAGGAGAAACACAAGGGGGCTGCAGAGGTAAACCTGGGGACGAGGGCCTGTCCCCCCACTCACCCGTGATGCCCACGGTGGACACTGGGCCCACGCGCTGCCCCTCGTGGAGGCCGTACAGATGCATCTTGTATTTGCGCCCGGGCTCCAGGCCCCCCACGGTGACCTCGCTCTCCTCGCCCCTGACACGCACCACCTGGGGCTGCCCGTCCCTGTCCTTGTACTGCACGGTGAAGGAGTCGAAGCGGCCCTGGGGGACGGTCCAGGAGAGGCTCAGCGAGTCAGGGGAGGATCCTGTCACTGTCAACTCCCCCAGGAGCGGCTCCTCAGGGGCCTCCGGGGCCTCAGTGCTGGGTTCTGTGGGGCTGGGGGTCTCTTCCTCTGCAGTGGAGAAGGAGGGAGAGAGAGTGAGGGGGATGTCCTTGGGTCCTGGGGAAAAGGAGGGAGAAGCCAAGGCTATGACTGGGGGACCTGAGGTCATTTCAGAGAAGTCCATTCTTGGGGCTGGGTGGTCCTGCTCAGCTGACAGCTAACACACGTAACAAGTTCCAGGGTCAGCTGTGGGGGACCTGGCACAGCCACCAGCACAGCAAAACTCCTGATGGCCCCTCCCTGCTCAGGGGGAGCCAGGGGTCAACCACATAGGAAGGCCCAAGGGGAGTCCCAGCCCCAGCCACAAGCAGTTCTGTGGTGCTGACCAGACCCCTGTCCCATTCCCCACCAGTCATCACCAAAGAGCAAGAGGTGGCCCTCCCACAGCTCCCACCCTGGGGCTCCCATCATTCACTCACCCGTCACCCCAATGGCAGACACAGGGCCTACGCGCTGGCCACCGTGGAAGCCGTACAGGTTCATCTTGTATTTATGGTCTGGCTCCAGGCCTGAGATGGTGACCCCGTCCTCGTGCCCCGGCACCCGCACCGCCTTGGGCTGCCCATCCCCATTCCTGTACTGGACCAGGAAGTGGTCAAACTGGCCCTCGGGAACCATCCAGGACAGGCTGAGGGAGTCGGGGGTGGCATCTGTCACGGTCAGCTCCCCCAGGCGAGGCTTGATGGGGGGCTCAGGGGTCATGGTAGGCACTGCTTGGGTGGTCTCGGCTTCATCCTTTGGAGCTGGACAGACACGTGTGGGGACAGTGAGGACCCTGGGTTCTCAGTTCAGCATAGAAAGGATGTGTCACAAAACACAAAGTGCCCAAGAACAGGACGATGCTGCCCACAGCGCCTCCAGCACAGCTCTTCATCCTCTCCTCCCCTGCGGCCTTTCCTATCCCTCACCCTGACCCCCCTGCCCTCGGCCCCCACCTCACCCCCACCTCCCAACACCCAGGCCACCTCTCCCTGTCCCTCCAGCACCGCCTCTCTTTTGAGCACAGCTCCACTTGGCCTCTGCACCCTTACCCTCCCTGCACTGGGGTCTCCTCGCCATCTTTTGTTCACTGGGCTTCTGTCTTTGCTCTGCAACAAGCTCAGCACACTCCTCCCGAGGCCAGAGCCTGGGGTGTGTTCCTGGACCCAGCCCCTCACCAGCTGCCAGCAGCCTCAGAGTTACCTCTCCCCCGAGTTTCCCTGGATACCTTCCTCCCCAACCTCCAGTCCCCGATCCTAGTTTGAGCCACTGTCACCTCTCACCAGGGCCACCAACTGCCTATTGGCTTCCCTGCCTCTAGGCTCCCTGCCACCCCATCCCCATCTTTAGCCCCCACAGATGAGCTTCACACAGGCACAGCTGCTGGGGCCATCTCAGCACAGACCTGGGCAATCACATCCTCATCCCTGGGAGACCCCAGGCCTCCTCTGCTCCCACACTTCAGGACTATCTATTCACTGCAAAGGACACCCCACTCAATCCTCAGTACTTCTCACACACCATGCTCTTTCTAGCCTCCTGGCCTTTGCACCACCTGTGCTGATCTGACACGCTTCACCTTCTCTCTAAAGCTGTCACCAAGCTAAGGCCTGCCTGGCCTCAGATCCTGACTGTCCCCTGAGTATCCACAGGTAGGGTGGTTTAGGTATTCCTGCCTGGCTCTGGGCTTCTTGTCACATGCTCACCCGCCTTTGCTTTCTTACTGGTCCACAGCCTGTCCCCCATGACGTTAGCCCCATTAGGACAGGAACTTTTCCCATTAGGACAGGAACCCTAACTCTGAGCCTAACCTCTGTGAGGATTCATGAATGCAAGAAAAATTCGCTTCAACAAATTCTAAGAGAGTTTCCAAATCTGTTACTGGGAGGAGCTTTGCTACAAAGGTGTTCTGTGATTTGCACACAAATATTCATAGCAGCATTATTCTTGATAGCTAAGAGGTGGAAGCAACCCAGATGTCCATCAATGGATGAAAGGATGAGCAAAGTGTGGTCTGTATGTGTAAAACGAAACATTATTCAGCCTGAAAAGGAAGGAAGTTCTGGCCAGGTGCAGTGGCTCTTGCCTATAATCCCAGCACTTTGGGAGGTCAAGGTGGGAGACTCGCTTGAGGCCAGGAGTTTGAGACCAGCCTGGGCAACATACCGAGACCCCCATTGCCACAGAAAATAAAATAAAAAGGAAATTCTGACTGATGCTACGACATAGATGAACCTTAAAGACATTGTATTTAATGAAATGAACCATTCAAAAAAGACAAATATTGTATGATTGCACTTATATGAGGTACCTAGAGTCAAATTCATAGAGACAGAGAGTAGAATGGTGTTGCCAGGGGCTGGGGCAAGGGGAGAATGGGAGTTCGTGTCTAGTGGGTAGGAAGTTTCAGTGTGGGAAGAGGAGTTCTGGAAGTGGAGGGTGACAGTCCACAGCAATGTGAGTGGACTTCATGCTGGACTGCAAACTAGAAAGCGATTAGAATGGCGAATTATGTCAAGTGTACTTTACTACAATAAAAAACAACAAAAAAAGTGTGTTCCTTGGACCAGTGGCATCAAGATAGATGAGAATCTTGTTAGAAATGGATGGTTGGCTGGGCGCCGTGGCTCACGCCTATGATCCCAGCACTTTGGGAGGCCGAGGAGGGCAGATCACGAGGTCAGGAGATTGAGACCATCCTGGCTAACACGGTGAAACCCATCTCTACTAAAAATATGAAAAAATTAGCTGGGCGTGGTGGCGCACGCCTGTAGTCCCAGTTACTCAGGAGGCTGAGGTAGGAGAATCACTTGAACCCAGGAGGCGGAGGTTCCAGTGAGCCGAGATTGAGCCACTGTACTCCAGCCTGGGTGACAAAGCGAGACTCTATCTCAAAAAAAAAAGAAAGAAAGAAAGAAAAAGAAAGAAATGCATGGTCTCTTGCCCTAGGCCAAGCCTGCTGAATCCAAATCTGCTTTTTAACAAAAATCTCCAGGCATTTGGATACACAAAGGAAGGAATACTCTTCAGAGTATGTTTTCACGAAGACTGGAGAGACAGCAGTGTCTTCCAGGGCCATCTTCCCCACCTCGCCTCACTCACACTTACTCACCTGTCACACCCACAGCGGACACTGGGCCCACGCGCTGCCCCTCGTGGAGGCCGTACAGGTGCATCTTGTATTTGCACCCGGGCTCCAGGCCCCCCACGGTGACCTCGCTCTCCTCGCCCCTGACACGCACCACCTGGGGCCGCCCGTCCCTGTCCTTGTACTGCACAGTGAAGGAGTCGAAGCGGCCCTGGGGGATGGTCCAGGAGAGGCTCAGCGAGTCAGGGGAGGATCCTGTCACTGTCAGCTCCCCCAGGAGCGGCTCCTCAGGGGGCTCCGGGGCCTCCGTGCTGGGTTCTGTGGGGGCGGGAGTTTCTTCCTCTGCAGCTGAGAAGAGGGGACAGAGAAGGTGAGGCAGCTTCCCTGGGGGATGTCCTTGGGTCTTGTGAGGAAGGAGAGCGAAGCTGTGGCCATGAGTGGGGGTCCTGGGGTCAGCTTGGAGAGGCCCATCTTTGGAGCTGGGTGGTCTTGCTCAGTTTACAGTCAACACACATGACAAGCTCTGAGGTCAGTGCTGGGGAACTTGGGACAGCCACCAACAGAGCTCACAGGGCCCTTCTCCACCCAGGAAGATCTGTCAGTCCTCAGGGAAGTGGGGAAAGACAAAAAAGTACCATGGCTCAGCCAAGAGCAGAGGGGCTTCCTGGGCCAGTTCACCCATCACCAGAGAAAGGGAGACCCTCCCACAGGCCCCACTCTGGGGCTCCCATCGTACACTCACCTGTCACCCCAATGACAGAGATGGGGCCCACGCGCTGGCCACCGTGGAAGCCGTACAGGTTCATCTTGTACTTGTGGTCTGGCTCCAGGCCTGAGATGGTGACCCCGTCCTCGTGCCCCGGCACCCGCACCACCTTGGGCTGCCCATCCCCATTCCTGTACTGGACCAGGAAGTGGTCAAACTGGCCCTCGGGGACCATCCAGGACAGGCTGAGGGAGTCAGGGGTGGCATCTGTCACGGTCAGCTCCCCGAGGCGAGGCTTGTTGGGGGGCTCAGGGGTTGTGGTGGGCACTGCTTGGGTGGTCTCTGCTTCATCCTCTGGAGCTGGACAGACACGTGTGGGGAGAGTGAGGTCCCTGGGTTCTCAGTTCAGCATAGAAAGGATGTGTCACAAAACACAAAGTGCCCAAGAGCAGGACGATGCTGCCCACAGCGCCTCCAGCACAGCTCTTCATCCTCTCCTCTCCTGCGGCCTTTCCTATCCCTCACCCTGACCCCCCTGCCCTCAGCCCCCACCTCACCCCCACCTCCCAACACCCAGGCCACCTCTCCCTGTCCCTCCAGCACCGCCTCTCTTTTGAGCACAGCCCCACTCGGCCTCTGCACCCTTAGCCTCCCTGCACTGGTGTCTCCTCGCCATCTTTTGTTCACTGGGCTTCTGTCTTTGCTCCGCAACAAGCTCAGCACACTCCTCCCGAGGCCAGAGCTTGGGGTGTGTTCCTGGACCCAGCCCCTCACCAGCTGCCAGCAGCCTCAGAGTACCTCTCCCCCGAGTTTCCCTGGATACCTTCCTCCCCCACCTCCAGTCCCCAATCCTAGTTTGAGCCACTGTCACCTCTCACCAGGGCCACCAACTGCCTACTGGCCTCCCTGCCTCCAGGCTCCCTGCCACCCCATCCCCATCTTTAGCTCCCACGGATGAACTTCACACAGGCACAGCTGCTGGGGCCATCTCAGCACAGACCTGGGCAACCACATCCTCATCCCTGGGAGACCCCAGGCCTGGTGAGTGGTCCCCTCCTCTGCTCCCACACTTCAGGATGATCCACCAACTGCAAAGGACACCCCACTCAATCCTCAGTGTCTCTCACACACCATGCTCTTTCTAGCCTCCTGGCCTTTGCACTAGCTGTGATGATTTGACATGCTTCACTTCCTCTCCAAAGCTGTCATCAAGCTAAGGCCTGCCTGGCCTCAGGTCCTGGCTGTCCCCTGGGTACTTGTGGGCAGAGTGACTTCACTGTCCCTTCCCAATCCTGGCTTGGCTCCTGGGCTCCACATGCTCATCCTTCTTTGCTTACTTTCCGGTTTTCTGCTTGTGCCCACAATTGTGAGCCCCATGAAAACATGAACTTGTGTGTGTCACTTTCCAGCTTCCGCCTATGAAAGAAAAAGGCAGCCCTGACACCCGTGAGCTGCCCTTTCCCTCTGCCAGGCCACGGCTGCTTGGGGCTGGCCTGGCACAGTCTGGTCTTGGCGTGGTCCAGTTGAACAGACAATTTCATGGAACATCAACATCAGACTAGGCCATTTGTCAGTAGGATGGATCAAGACAAGAACAAGGCCAGTCTGTGATCATGTCTCAGTAAGGATGAACTCTAACATTTTCCAAAGCACAAAAATAACCAAACATCACCCATCCAGCTAATCTGAGTGATAGCTGCTTCTTTACCAATGGCAGCTTTGGCCTTGCTCTAGTTGACCTCCCCAAAGATAAGACTTAGTGAGACGCCCGGTAATAGGGTTATCCCTTCTTCCTGACAGCGTCTAATAAAGAGCAAAACCTTGCTTCCTTAAATGCTTTCCTAAAACACCAAACACAAGCCCAGTTCCTTAACAATCTCTTTCTAAAGCCTCTTCCTAAGTCACCCCACAGTCCTCCTGCACTGCATGGAGCATAATTCCATCCATTCAATTTTAGGTGAGTTTCTGGAGGTCGTTGGCCAGAGGACATTGATACCCTAAAATTACAGTGTCCGGATCAGGGCAAGGAATTCTTTGCTGAATGAACAAATTGGCCCATTGGTGAGAAAGGTCTGTTCCTATTCCTATTCCAATAGTGGGCTTCCAGAGTGTGCAGTCGACGCGCTGCCCCTCACTGCCTTCTGTCTTCCTTCACGGCCCCTAGTCAACTCCACAGAGAAAGCACACTACCAGGAATCAGGGACGCAGAAAAATTCTCTTCAACAGATTTCAAAAGAGGGTCCAATTCCTTTGTCGTGAAGAACTTTGCTACTCAAGGGGCGTGATCATGGGCCAGCAGCATCCGCATCATTTCTTGTTGGAAATGCAGAATCTCTGGCCCTAGCCCAAACCTGTTGAACCCCAATCTGCCTCTTAGCAAGATCCCCAAGCATGGAAACGTGCAAAAGAAGCCCGGCTGGTGAGAATATTTTTGTTTTCATGAAGTTGCAGAGAAAGCAACATCTTCTAGGGCCATCTTCCTCACTCACAAACACTCACCTGTCACACCCACGGTGGACACCGGGCCCACACGCCGCCCCTCGTGGAGGCCGTACAGGTGCATCTTGTATTTGCGCCCGGGCTCCAGGCCCCCCACGGTGACCTCGCTCTCCTCGCCCCTGACACGCATCACCTGGGGCCGCCCGTCCCTGTCCTTGTACTGCACGGTGAAGGAGTCGAAGTGGCCCTGGGGGATGGTCCAGGAGAGGCTCAGCGAGTCAGGGGAGGATCCTGTCACTGTCAGCTCCCCCAGGAGCGGCTCCTCAGGGGGCTCCGGGGCCTCAGTGCTGAGTTCCGTGGGGCTGGGGGTCTCTTCCTCTGCAGCTGAGAAAAGGAGATATAGAGAGGATGCCAGGTGCCTGGGGGATGTGCTCAGGTCTTCAAGGGAAGGAGGGAGAAACCATGGCCACTACTGGGTATGTGAGGTCATTTCAGAAAAGCCCATTCTTGGGGCTGGGTGGTCCTGCTCAACTGACAGCTAACACACATGACAAGTTCCAGGGTCAGCTGTGGGGGACCTGGGACAGTCACCAGCACAGCAGAACTCCTGATGGCCCCTCCCTGCTCAGGAGGAGCCAGGGGTCAGCCTCAGAGGAAGGCCCAAGGGGAGCCCCAGCCACAAGCAGGTCTGTGGTGCTGACCGGACCCCTGGCCCATTCCCCACCAGTCATCACCAAAGAGCAAGAGGGTGACCCTCCCACGGCTCCCACCCTGGGGCTGCCATCATCCACTCACCCGTCACCCCAATGACAGAGATGGGGCCCACGCGCTGGCCACCGTGGAAGCCGTACAGGTTCATCTTGTATTTATGGTCTGGCTCCAGGCCTGAGATGGTGACCCCGTCCTCGTGCCCCGGCACCCGCACCGCCTTGGGCTGCCCATCCCCATTCCTGTACTGGACCAGGAAGTGGTCAAACTGGCCCTCGGGAACCGTCCAGGACAGGCTGAGGGAGTCAGGGGTGGCATCTGTCATGGTCAGCTCCCCCAGGCGAGGCTTGATGGGGGGCTCAGGGGTCATGGTAGGCACTGCTTGGGTGGTCTCGGCTTCATCCTCTGGAGTTGGACAGACACGTGTGGGGACAGTGAGGTCCCTGGCTCCTCAGTTCAGCATAGAAAGGATGTGTCACAAAACACAAAGTGCCCAAGAGCAGGACGATGCTGCCCACAGCCCCTCCAGCACAGCTCTTCATCCTCTCCTCTCCTGTGGCCTTTCCTATCCCTCACCCTGACCCTCCTGCCCTCAGCCCCCACCTCACCCCCACCTCCCAACACCCAGGCCACCTCTCCCTGTCCCTCCAGCACCGCCTCTCTTTTGAGCACAGCCCCACTCGGCCTCTGCACCCCTGGCCTCCCAGCACTGGGGTCTCTTCGCCATCTTTTGTTCACTGGGCTTCTGTCTTTGCTCCGCAACAAGCTCAGCACACTCCTCCCGAGGCCAGAGCCTGGGGTGTGTTCCTGGATCCAGCTCCTCACCAGCTGCCAGCAGCCTCAGAGCATCTTTACCCTGA
Organism: Homo sapiens; assembly: GCF_000001405.40. NCBI lineage: Eukaryota > Metazoa > Chordata > Mammalia > Primates > Hominidae > Homo > Homo sapiens. The sequence continues at coordinate 3,495,681 of NT_113891.3, forward strand.
ATTCCCCTGGATACCTTCCTACCCCACCTCCAGTCCCCGATCCTAGTTTGAGCCACTGTCACCTCTCACCAGGGCCACCAACTGCCTACTGGCCTCGCTGCCTCCAGGCTCCCTGCCACCCCATCCCCATCTTCAGCCCCCACGGATGAGCTTCACACAGGCACAGCTGCTGGGGCCATCTCAGCACAGACCTGGGCAACCACATCCTCATCCCTGGGAGACCCCAGGCCTGGTGAGTGGTCCCCTCCTCTGCTCCCACACTTCAGGATGAGATACTCACCGTAAAGGACACCCCACTCAATCCTCAGTGCCTCTCACGTGCCATGCTCTTTCTAGCCTCCTGGCCTTTGCACCAGCTGTGATTATCTGACACACTTCACCTTCTCTCTAAAGCTGTCACCAAGCTAAGGCATGCCTGGACTCAGGTCCTGGCTGTCCCCTGGGTACCCATGGGCAGGGTGACTTAGGCGTCCCTGTCTGGTCCTGACCTGAGCCCTGGGCCTCCCTATCACATGCTCACCCGCCTTTGCTTCATTTGCTGGATTGCAGCCTGTCTCTCCATGACATGTCTTTCCATAATGTTGCTATATTCCTTTCACTGTGAGCCCCATCAAGACAGAAATATGTATAGGAAAATGGTAGAGAAGGGCACATTTTCTAGGGCTGTCTTCCAACCCTGCCCCACCCACACTCACTCACCTGTGACGCCCACGGCAGACACCGGGCCTAGGCGCCGCCCCTCGTGGAGGCCGTACAGGTGCATCTTGTACTTGCGCCCAGGCTCCAGGCCCCTCACAGTGACCTTGCTCTCCTGGCCCCCAACACGCACCGCCTGGGGCCGCCCGTCCCTGTCCTTGTACTGCACGGTGAAGGAGTCAAAGCGGCCCTGGGGGACGGTCCAGGAAAGGCTCAGCGAGTCAGGGGAGGATCCTGTCACTGTCAGCTCCCCCAGGAGAGGCTCCTCGGGGGGCTCTGGGGCCTCTGTGCCTGGTTCTGTAGGGCTGGGGGTCTCGTCCACATCCTCTTGTGGGGCTGAAAGGTAATATAGGGGGATACAGAGTTTAAGGGTTTAAGGGCAACTTGCTTTGCTGGTGCTGTCAACAGAGGTCATACATCAAATGCGCCCCTCCAGAGCAGGCTGAGGGCTGGGGCAGCTTTGTGTTCGCCGTTCAGTGACTCTTGGAATAAGAGCCGGTGAGGTATCCCCGAGCCCCCGGCCTGTACTGCTGGCAGAGCTGCACTGTTAGAAACCTCCAGAAGGCAACTGAGACATAGTGTCAGGAGCCAAAGTAATTCTCATTTCCTTTGACCCAATAATCCCAGTTCTGGGCATCTGTCCTAAGAAAATTATTAAAGCAGGAAAAAGTTATAGCATGGAAGAACTCACGATGGGGTTATTCATGACAGCAGATGTGTCAGGAACACAAATGACCCGTAGAAGATGATTAATTTTGTTATAGTGCTTTCACCGCAACGCATCAAATAACCATTGAAACGATGATGAATGCTGGTTGTGTAGCCGTGAGGTGAATGATTACAATGTACTTGTGTACAAAAAAGGAAGTGCCAAGAACTTTATGAACACTGATTGCAACTTTAAAACACGCTCTGCATGCAAAATACAGGAAGGGAATGTGCACTACACACATTGTTATTAATGCCGGCAGCTGGGGGAGAAAGTAGGACTATGAGATTCTTGTTTTCTGTTTTTCAAGCTTTCCACATAATGTTGCTGTATTATTTTCACTAGAAAAACGTGGGCTAAAAAAGAAATTCTGGGCTGGGAGCAGTGGTTCACGCCTGTAATCCTAGCATTTTGGGAGGCCGAGGCGGGTGGATCACCTGAGGTTGGGAATTCGAGTCTAGCTTGGCCAATATCATGAAACCCGGTCTCTACTGAAAATACAAAAATTAGCCAGGCGTGGTGGCATGCACCTGTAATCCCAGCTACTCAGGAGGCTGAGGCAGGACAATCACTTGAACCTGGGAGGCAGAGGTTGCAGTGAGCTGAGATCACACCACTGCACTCCAGCCTGGGCAACAGAGTGAGACTCAGTCTCAAAAAAAAAAAAAAAAAAGAAAAAGAAAGAAAGAAATTCTGGGCTACAACAATTAATAATAGAGTGTGGGGTGGGGGTGGGGCAGCAATACACATAGAACAGGAGGGGCAGGGGTGGGTCCCTCAGCCTGTCCTCTGTCAGTTCTGTGGTTCCCCACAGTGGAGACAGGAACACAAAACTGAACGTGGACCAGGACAGCTTACCCCCGGAATGTGAATTTTTCTAATGTTCATTTTCCAATAATTTCCCTATTCCCCCTGTTTCCCAACACTCAGATGGTCCTCTGAACATGCATATGGAAATGAGGCCTCTCCCCCAGGAATCGGGGATGCCGATTGAGAGTGCTTCCTCTGTCTGGATGGCCTTTGGGAGATGAGCTCGCACCTCACTTGGTGCCACAGAGGTGGCGACCTGCCCTGCAAGAGACCGCCTCTCAGCAGGGCTGATTCTTCCCCATCGGTAGGAATTCTCGAAAAATACTCTAAGCCAGGCATAACAACCTGGCTGAGGATGACTTAGAAAAGGCAGCCTGACTGAGCATTTGGAATTCAATTAACCTCATGATCTCCACCCCTCCAATTTCTTATGGACTAGAAATTTTGAACTTCCTCATAATTAGAAATGAAATAAGTCTGGCTGGGCGCGGTGGCTCATGCCTGTAATCCCAGCACTTTGGGAGGCCGAGGCGGGCAGATCACCTGAGGTCAGGAGTTTGAGCAGCCTGACCAACATGGAGAAACTCCCTCTCTACTAAAAATACAAAATTAGCCAGATGTGGTGGCGCATGCCTGTAATCCCAGCTACTCGGGAGGCTGAGGCAGGAGAATCGCTTGAATCCAGGAGGCAGAGGTTGTAGTGAGCCGAGATCATGCCATTGCACTCCAGCCTGGGCGACAAGAGCGAAACTTCATCTCAAAAAAAAAAAAGAAGGAAATAAATGAAATAAGCCACAACAGCGATAGAGGAGTAGGACAGATGGAGTGTAAAGAAGGAGAAGACATTATATATTTTCTCTTTTCCCTTTCCCTGATTGTAAAAGAAATGTTTGCCATTTAAGAAAATTTGGACTATGCAGAATAGAATAATACAGAAAAAAATGTGCTGGAATATTCTATTCTATCTAACAAATCAGGCAACCCGTGGGATGTGTTTCTTTCCAGTCTTCTTGCCATGCCTGTTACTTTCAAATGGTTGTGATTAGCATCCTTACAAAAATTTGGGCTCCTTTTTCTTCTTTTTTGAGACTGAGTTTGGCTGTATCTGCCAGGCTGGAGTGCAGTGGTGATCTCGGCTCACTGCAACCTCTGCCTCCCGGGTTCAAGCAATTCTCGTGCCTCCACCTCCCAAGTAACTGGGATTACAGGCATGTGCCACCATGCTTGGCTAATTTTTGTATTTTTAGTAGAGATGGGGTTTCACCATGTTGGCTAGACTGGTCTGGAACTCCTGACCTCAGGCGATCAGCCCGCCTCGGCCTCCCAAAGTGCTGGGATTACAGGCGTAAGCCACTGTGCCCAGCCTAGGCTCTCTTTTTTCAATGTAACATTATAAAGTAAGGGTCTTATGTTAAAACATTTCAGTGGCGGCATAATAGCTCTTTTTATAGATGTTGCCTAAATTATTTAGTCATCCCAACGTGGTTTGACGTTGGATTGTTCCTCTTGTGTGCATTTGTGTATGTGGTTATAACAAAGAATGCTGTTATTAAGATGGAAAGAAAGGAAAATTCTCGTAAGTCAGGCTTGGTGTGCGCCTGACATATTTCACTCTTGGAGGTTATCAGTGGTTGACCATTAGAGGGAGGCCACGCCAAAGTGAACAAGCAAACCGCTAGCATAGGCCACAGCCACAGGGCACAGAGGGAGGGCAGGACACAGGAGACAAGTCTGGACCCACAGGGCTTGGTGAAAGGGCACAGCAGTAAACCAGGTACCCATGAGGGAAAGGTGGTTACCCCGAGACTCCAAGCACTACTCACCAGTCACGCCCACGGTGGACACCGGGCCCACACGCCGCCCCTCGTGGAGGCCGTACAGGTGCATCTTGTATTTGCGCCCAGGCTCCAGGCCCCCCACGGTGACCTCGCTCTCCTCGCCCCCAACACGCACCACCTGGGGCCGCCCGTCCCTGTCCTTGTACTGCACGGTGAAGGAGTCGAAGCGGCCCTGGGGGACGGTCCAGGAGAGGCTCAGCGAGTCAGGGGAGGATCCTGTCACTGTTAGCTCCCCCAGGAGCGGCTCCTCAGGGGGCTCCGGGGCCTCCATGCTGGGTTCTGTGGGGCTGGGGGTCTCTTCCTCTGCAGCTGAGAAAAAGGGACACAGAGAGGATGGCAGGGTCCCTGGGGGATGTGCTTACGTCGTGGGGAAAAGGAGGGAGAAGGCTATGACTAGGGGACATATGAAATAGCCAAGGCTATGACTAGGGGACCTGAGGTCAGTTCAGAGAGGCCCATTCTTGGGGTCCTGCTCAGCTGACAGCTAACACACATGACAAATTCCAGGGTCAGCTGTGGGGGACCTGGCACAGCCACCAGCACAGCAAAACTCCCAATGGCCCCTCCCTGCTCAGGGGGAGCCAGGGGTCAACCACACAAAAAGGTACAATGGGAGCCCCAGCCCCAGCCACAAGTAGGTCTGTGGTGCTGACCAGACCCGTCCCATTCCCCACCAGTCATCACCAAAGAGCAAGAGGGTGACCCTCCCATGGCTCCCACCCTGGGGCTCCCATCGTCCACTCACCTGTCACCCCGATGGCAGACACGGGGCCCACACGCTGGCCACCGTGGAAGCCGTACAGGTTCATCTTGTACTTGTTGTCTGGCTCCAGGCCGGAGATGGTGACCCTGTCCTCATGTCCTGGCACCCGTGTTGCCTTGGGCTGCCCATCCCCATTCTTGTACTGGACCAGGAAGTGGTCAAACTGTCCCTCGGGAACCGTCCAGGACAGGCTGAGGGAGTCAGGGGTCGCATCTGTCACGGTCAGCTCCTCCAGGCGAGGCTTGATGGGGGGTTCAGGGGTGGGAGGTTCTGTCGAGGCTGGGGCCATTTCTTCATCCTTTCCTGGGGCTGCATCAGAAAATAGAATGGGTGGGCATGCCTGGTGGGCCTCCTTTTAACCAAGGGACTCTGGGATTCTCTTAGACACACCAAGGGCCCACAGTCTGGATGCTGGTGCCCCAAGCTTAGAATATCATTTTTCTGCTTTGAATGTTCAGTTAACACCACACCTGTGGTGAAGTCATGATGCTCAGGTGGCATCCCTGTGATGCTCAGTGTGCAGGCCTGGGACCCTTAGGAGCTGCCAAGCAAATTTGTTTTGCAGGACAGAATTGATGCTTTATAAGAACACCAACCAGGGCCGGGTGTGGTGGCTCAGGCCTGTAATCTCAGCACTTTGGGAGGCCGAGGCGGGCGGATCATGAGGTCAGGAGATTGAGACCATCCTGGCTAACACTGTGAAACCCCGTCTTTACTAAAAATACAAAAAATTAGCCAGGCGTGTTGGCGGGCACCTGTAGTCCCAGCTACTCAGGAGGCTGAGGCAGGAGAATGGCATGAACCCAGGAGGCGGAGCTTGCGGTGAGCCAAGATCACGCCACTGCACTCCATCCTGGGAGACAGCGAGACTCCTTCTCAAGAAAAAAACAAACAAACAAAAACAAACAAACAAACAAAAAACAGCAATCAGGGCCAGGCGTGGTGGCTCAGGCCTGTAATCCCAGCACTTTGGGAGGCCGAGGCGGGAGGATCACCTGAGGTCAGGAGCTTGAGACCAGCCTGGCCAACATGGCGAAATCCTGTCTGTACTAAAAATACAAAAATTAGCCAGATGTGCTGGTGCATGCCTGTAATCCCAGCTACTCGGAAGGCTGAGGCAGGAGAACTGCTTGGACCTGGGAGGCAGAGGTTGCAATGAGCTGAGATCGCACCACGGCACTCCAGCCTGAGAGCCTGGGTGACAGAGTGAGACTCCATCTCAACATAAAGAAAAAAAAAAAAAAGAAAACAAAGAACACCAACCAAACACAACAGGCAAGTTGTATCAGGAGGTTCATCCACCTGGGCTTGGAAATTCCACCTAATCCTGAGCATTTTTAGAAACCAACTTAGATTTTATAGCTGAGGGTAGAGAGATGAGACCACATGAGGGCATCTTTGCAGCTGAGTTGTCTCTGGACCTGCAGTAGCTCTGCTAACTTACGGCAGAGAGAGCACCTCCAGTGATGCCAGTTCTTTTGGCCCGTGTGAAATCAATTGCTTTGTTTTCATTGATTTCTTTAATCTTTTCTGCTCTTCATAGGGTTTTATTCTGCCTTGATAGTGGTATTACAAATTCATCACATTTCATTTGTCTGTTCTTTTTGAGAACTGAGTCTTAAGCATCTAGGGGGTAACAGCTATAAAAGAGCTTACAAAAGCATCAAAGAGCCGAGTTACAGGGTAATGAAAGGAAAATGCCTTATTAAGTTGTGCACATGGCCAATATTTACAATTAAAGTAATAGTATCCATGTTAACAGGATTCAGTGTTGTTTTAAAAATAAATGGGTATTAATTTGGGAGCTTAGAGAACACATACAATTTTTCCCACTGAAATCAGTGATAATTATGAGAATTTGCCCTAAGCGGTTTTCAGGAACTACCTACCTTCCTCAGAAGGGAAAGACTGCAGTTATCTCTCATTGTGTGTGAGAGCCAAGCCACACTCCCGCCCACCCTTCACGACAGGTATGGTTATTCCTTCTTTACAGATGAGGAAAAGGATGTACAGAGAGGTCGTGTGTCTGTTTTTTGTTTGCTTGTTTTGTTTTTTTGAGACAGGGTCTCACTCTGTCACACAGGCTGGAGTGCAGTGGCTCGATCTCGGCTCACTGCAACCTCCGCCTCCTGGGTTCAAGCGATTCTCCCGCCTTAGCCTCCCGAGTAGCTGGGACTACAGGCATGTGCCACCACACCCAGCTAATTTTTGTATTTTTAGTAGAGATGGGGGTTTCATGATGTTGGCCAGGCTGGTCTCGAACTCCTGACCTCAAGTGATCTGCCCCCTTCGGCCTCCCAAAGTGCTGGGATTACAGGCATGAGCCACCGTGCCCAGACAGGTTGTGTGAGTCTCTTGAGGACACACAGCTCAAATGGGCTGAAGCTATGGTCAACCCCAGGTGTGCCTCAGTCTGTGTTATTTTCCTGGTCCCCCACCTCTTTGGGAACCCAAAAAGCCCATGTGTAACGGGCAGAAGACCTGGGGCAATACCAAAGTCTCGGAGTGAAGGCACCAGCAGAACCATTCCCAGGAGCTTGGGAGGCTTGGTCTCAGGGAAAGTAAAATAAAGCCACCAGATACTGACAATAAAAGGGAAACTGAGTCTAGTTCAGGGCAGGGCCCAGTGCCCTACTGCACACTCACCAGTTAAACCAACAGCAGACACGGGGCCCACGCGCTGGCCACCGTGGAAGCCGTACAGGTTCATCTTGTACTTGTGGTCTGGCTCCAGGCCCGAGATGGTGACCCCATCCTCGTGTCCCGGCACCCGCACCGCCTTGGGCTGCCCGTCCCCATTCTTAAACTGGACCAAGAAATGGTCAAACTGGCCCTCGGGGACTGTCCAGGAGAGGCTGAGGGAGTCGGAGGTGATGTCTCTCACTGTCATCTGCCCTAGGCGCAGCTTTGCAAGAGGAGCATCAGGGGACTCCTCTTCGGGGGCTAGGAAGAGATAGAAACAGAATCTTTTCTCTTGCTGCAAGGAGGTGTTGAGGCCCCAGCTGTCTTGAATTCAGGTCAGAAGGTGGGCCCAGTCTGGCCCTAACTTAAGATCGATTTCTGATTATAATCATAATCAGATTTTGTGGCTTCCTTATGGTCCCTCAACCATGCCAGGCAGCCTCCTACCTCAGTACTTTTACAATGACTGTTCCCTCTACCTAAATGTTCTTTCCCCAGATATCTTCATGGCTCATCCCCACACTTCCTTTAAGTCTTTGTTCAAAAGCCACCTTCTTCTGTGGGCCTTCCCTGATTACTCTATTTAAAATTTCAGTTTTCTCAATTGCAATGTATCCTCCTTCTATAGACCTGATTTCAGCAACAAATTGGGAAACAACAATTATGAGACACTCGGGAGACTGTAGCACTACCTGGATACTTGATATCAAGGCATGATTGTTCACTTATCAAGGTATGCTAATTGTATTGTGGAATTTTATTATTTATTTATTTATTTTTTGACACAGAGTCTCACTCTGTCACCCAGGCTGGAGTGCAGTGGCGCGATCTTGGCTCACTGCAACCTCCACCTCCTGGGTGCAAGCAATTTCTTGTGCCTCAACCCCCGCCAAGTAGCTGGGACTACAGGCACGTGCCACCACGCTCCGCTTTTTTGTACTTTTTAAAATTTATTATTATTATTATTATTTTTAGTAGAGACAGGGTTTCACCATGTTGGTCAGGCTGGTCTTGAACTCTTTACCTCAAGTGATCCACCTGCCTTGGCCTCCCAAAGTGCTGGGATTACAAGCGTGAACCACCTCACCTGGCCATATTGTGGATTTTTTAAAAATAATTTTTTTAAAAAGAGATATACCTTTAAATATTTAGTGATGAAAGCATAGGATGTCTGTGGTTCGTTTTTAAAATACTGCAGTAGTATAACCACACAATGCAATACTGTTTGGCAATAAAAAGCAGTGTAGTGGCTGAGAGAGAGCAGGTGGCTCATGCCTGCTATCCCAGCACTTTGTAAGGCCCAGGCAGGAGGATTCCTTGAAGCCAGGAGTTTGATATCAGCCTGGGTAACACTGTGAGACCCCATCTCTACAAAAAATTTTTTTAAATTAGCTGAGTGTGGTGGCGAGCACCTGTGGCCCCAGCTACCTGGGGGGCTGAGATGGGAGGATGGCTTGAGCCCAGGAGTCTGGGGCTGCAGTGAGCTATGATCATGCCACTGCACTATAGCCTGGGCAATAGAGTGGGAATTTGTCTCAAAAAAAATCAATCAATCAATCAATCAATCAATCAATAGCAATGTAGTAAGTATAGTACTTCTACATGCTACATTGATGAACCTCAAAAACATTATGCTCAGTGAAAGAAGCTAGACACAAAAGAATACATATTGTTTGAGTCCATTTATACGAAATGTTCTGGAACAGCAATCTACAGAGAAAAAAGTAGATTAGTTATAAACTAGGGCTGAGGTAGGAATGGGTCTGGACCCAAGATTTCTTTTGGGGGTGATGGAAAAGTTCTAAAATTAGATCGTGGTGATGGCTGCACAAGTAGGTAAAGATACTAAAATCAGTAAGTTGTACACTAAAAACAAGTGTATTTTATGCCACATGAATTATATCTCCATAAAGGTGTTAATAAAGAAAACATTCAGGCCGGGTGTGGCGGCTCACGCCTGGAATCCTATCACTTTGGCTGAGGTGGGAGGATAACTTGAGCCCAGGAGTTCGAGACTGGCCTGGGCAACATGGCTAAACCCTGTCTCTACAAAAAATACAAAAAATTAGCTGGGCATGGTGGAGTGCACTTGTAGTCCCAGCTATTCGGGAGGCTGAAGTGGGAGGATCCCTTAAGCCCAGGAGGTTGAGGCTGCAGTGCAGTGAATTGTGACTGTGCCAGTACACTCTAGCCCAGGCGACAGAGTGAGACCTTGTCTAAAAAGAAAGAAAGAAAAGAAAAGAATGAAAGAAAGAAAGAAAGAGAAAGAAAGAAAGGAAGGAAGAAAGAAAGAAAGAAAGAAAGAAAGAAAGAAAGAAAGAAAGAAAGAAAGAAAGAAAGAAAGAAAACATTCTAGTGATTCTAGTGGAGGAAGTGGGTGGGGCAGAGATGAGCCAGACTGGCCAGAAGTCGATATTTGATTGAAGGAGGATGGCAGGGTCTTTGTACTATTCTTTCTGTTTATACATTTGAAATTTTATTTAACAAATACTTATTAATTTAATTAATTTGTATTTCAAAAATGTGTTCCAATCTCACAAAAAGAGTTATGTATAGAGTTCCAAGGAAAAGCGGAGAGCCACAAACCAGCCAGTGAATCACCTCCCAAGAGGCCTCAGTCCCTGGGGGCCTTTCCCATATGGCTCCGACACTTCTCCTGGATTTGCTCTCTCTGTCCCCAGATCACACCTGTCCTGAGCCTTTAGTGAACAGGGTGTATTACAGGTTTGAGGTCTTGGGGTTCTGGGTCCCTAGTGGAGGAGATGCTGGAGGCTGTACTTTGCTAAGACCCAACCCAGAGGGCTCTGCAGTGCACACTCACCCGTGACGCCCACAGCAGACACTGGGCCCACGCGCCGCCCCTCGTGGAGGCCGTACAGGTGCATCTTGTACTTGCGCCCAGGCTCCAGGCCCCCCACGGTGACTTCACTCTCCTCGCCCCCAACACGCACCACCTGGGGCCGCCCGTCCCTGTCCTTGTACTGCACGGTGAAGGAGTCGAAGCGGCCCTGGGGGACGGTCCAGGAGAGGCTCAGCGAGTCAGGGGAGGATCCTGTCACTGTTAGCTCCCCCAGGAGTGGCTCCTCAGCGGGCTCCGGGGCCTCCATGCTGGGTTCTGTGGGGCTGGGGGTCTCTTCCTCTGCAGCTGAGAAGGAGGAAGAGAGAGTGAGGGGGATGTCCTTGGGTACTGGGGAAAAGGAGGGAGAAGCCAAGGCTATGACTGGGGGACCCGAGGTCAGTTCAGAGAGGCCTACTCTTGGGGCTGGGTGGTCCTGCTCAGCTGACAGCTAACACACATGACAAGTTCCAGGGTCAGCTGTGGGGGACCTGGGACAGCCACCAGCACAGCAAAATTCCCGATGGCCCCTCTCTGTTCAGGAGGAGCCAGTGGTCAACCTCACAGGAAGGCCCAAGGGGAGCCCCAGCCCCAGCCACAAGCAGGTCTGTGGTGCTGACCAGACCCTTGTCCCATTCCCCACCAGTCATCACCAAAGAGCAAGAGGGTGACCCTCCCATGGCTCCCACCCTGGGGCTCCCATCATCCACTCACCTGTCACCCCGACGACAGACACAGGGCCCATGCGCTGGCCACCGTGGAAGCCGTACAGGTTCATCTTGTATTTATGGTCTGGCTCCAGGCCCGAGATGGTGACCCCTTCCTCGTGCCCTGGCACCCTCACTGCCTTGGGCTGCCCATCTCCATTCCTGTACTGGACCAGGAAGTGGTCAAACTGTCCCTCGGGAACTGTCCAGGACAGGCTGAGGGAGTCAGGGGTGGCATCTGTCACGGTCAGCTCCCCCAGGCGAGGCTTGATGGGGGGCTCGGGGGTTGCGGTGGGAGGTTCTGAAGGCTTCTCCTCCTCCGGGACTGGACAGAGACATGGAAAGAGAGGACTGAGGTGGGCAGGGTATCCGCGGGACTCTGCTGTCCTCTGGACTCTCCCAGCCATCTGAAAGGAGGCATAGTGGGCAGAGTTCTCACCTGTCAGGGCCTCGACATGGACAGGACCTACATGCTTCCCATCACTGAAACCATACAGGGTCACCAGGTATCTGTGGTCGGATTCCAGGCCAGAGAGGGTGATGTCATTCCGGTCACCTCCTATGCGGACCATTTGGAGTTGCCCGTCTCTATCTGTGTACTGGATTTCGAAGGAGTCAAATTCTCCCTCAGTCACCATCCAGGAGAGATGCAGGGTGTGTGACGTGGCCTCCTCCACTGTCAACTCCCCGAGGTGGGGCTCAGGCGCTGGAGGGGTCGGGGCCGTGGTCTCAGTTTCCGTTTCTTCCCTGCCGGCTGGTTCACAGAGACAGGTAGAGACAGATGGCTGGTGTGTCGCTGCACCCAGACTCTCAGGAGGAGTGAGGGAGGAGAGGGAGTGAGGGCAAGCAGTCAGCAATCGAAAGACCAGCTTTTGCTGCACATGGGTGAATTTCAAAAGCATTGTGCTAATTGCAAGAAATGAAACACAAGAGACTGCGTATTGTGATTCCATTACATGGAGAGTCAAAATGCTGTCTCCAGGATGATCGAAAGCAGACAGTGGTTGCTGGAGGCTGGGACTGGGGCAACTGACTCTAAAGGGGCACAAGGAAACTTTCTGGATCAATGGAAATGATATAAAATGGGAAGCTCAGAGATCTTATGGCTCAGTCAGACCAGGAGAGCCAGGCGGGAAGGAGGCACAGGTGTTCCAGCTGCCGCACACTCACCAGTAATGGCGACGGCCGAGATGGGGCCCACACGCTTGCCGTGGTGCAGCCCGTAGAGCAGCAGCTTGTACCTGTGGGCAGGGTCCAGGCCCGGCACGCTGACCTCCCTGAGGCTGCCCTCCACGGGCACCACCTGGGGCTGCCCGTCCCTGTCTTTGTACTGGACCACAAAGGAGTCAAACTGGCCCTCAGGGACTGTCCAGGAGAGGCCCACGGAGTTCTGGGTCACGGTGGTCACCTGCAGCTCCTCCCCCAGACGGGGTTTTGGGGGACGCTTTGTTCCAGTATCATCCATAGCACTCCGGGCTTCTGAGATGGAGACACGGAGAGGAAACGGCTGAGCTGTTTCTGGAAGACTGGGTGACCTCGACGGGCAGGATTGAGAGGTCTGGAGACAGGGCTTTGCGTGGCTGAGTCCTGCCGGGCTGTGCTAGGGGCTTGTGCAGGGACGTGGGGAGCTGGATCTGAGCCGAGTGGCTGGGGCCAAATAATGGTAATGGCAGCCACCACAAGTGACCGTCTGCTGCTTGGCCTGAGGGGAGCAGAGCAGGGACCTGCAGGGAATGCCCCTCACCCGTGGTGCCGTCGGCAGTGAGAGGGCCATGGCGCTTCTTGCCCAGGAGGCCATAGAGGAGGAATCTGTACTTGCGGCCGGCATCCAGAGGGGTGACAGTGACAGAGCGCTCATGGCCCTCCACGGGCACCACCTGGGGCCCGTCTTTGTCCTTGAACTGGACCACAAAAGAGTCGAACTGGCCCTCAGGAACCGTCCAGGAGAGGCGCAGTGAGTCTGGGGTGGGGTCTGTCACCCACAGCTCCCCAAGGCGGGGTGGGGCCCCTGGGCTGGCGTCACCTCGGGCAACTGGAGAGGAAAGGTTCTTGTGTTTATTTTTTCCAAAACGACTCCTTGACTGCCTCCCTCTGGGGCTGGAAAAACCCAGAACTGCCCAAATGCTCAGTGCTTCCCCAAAATATTTCCATCACCTCCCATCCTCACCACCATCTCCGTCTGGTCCATGCCTCTCTCCCCTTGACCCAAGTGGGGAGGGTCACCTGTCCTGAGTCACCTCCAGGAAAAGAGATTCCCTAGCTCCCTGCCTCATCTTACTCCCCTTTCTGTCCAGCCTCTTTCCGCCTCTCACAGACTGCTTCCCCAGCAGGGTGCAGCTTCTTACAGACTGGGTCTCTATCTCCTCTTACCCAGGAGCACACGATTTGGCTGTGATTTGGCCGGCCCCTGAGGAAAGGGGTGATTTGGCCGGCCCCGAGGAGCGCAGGATCCCTGATGGGGGCACTCGGCAGGTCAGGGAGGCAGGATGTTACGACACAGGTAGTTCTCACCCTTCTCCGTTCCCTTTCTTATTCTGCACCGGCTGGCCCGGGAGAACTAAGGCTCCCACTGGGCCTGGTGAAGGAGCGTGGGCTGCCTGTGAGAATGTTGAGGGGGATGATGCCGGGGAGCTCAGGCAGGGAAGGGATCTGGTGTCTGCCTGAGGAGCCATCCCAGGGCTTGAGAAGGAGCTGGCCTGCTGCCTTCCTGGACGGTGAGGACGCTGACGACATTGTTATTGCAAGTTTTCTGGCAATAGGGAGCCCCCAGGGGCAGGGGAGGGCTTGGACTGAACCCTCGGAAAGGGGCACAGCTGGGCTGGGCTCCTCTGGTTCCCAATTTCTGAGACTTCAGGAGGAGGGCAGAGAAGGAAGGGCAGCCTCTGTAGGAGGCACATATGGGCCCAGACAGGCCTGAGCTAGGAGGGTGAGAACCTGGGTGAGAGTCACAGGGGAGACAACAAAGACTCTCAGGAGGTGATGGATTCGCAAGGCAGGAAGGGTTCCTGGCTCCCCTCGCCCCTTCTCCCAGCACCCCCAGGCTCCCACATCCACCCTGCAGGAAGAGGCCTGTAGGGGCTTCCCTCATCCAACAAAAGTGGAAATTACGAGAAGAGAGGCAGAGTCAGCAGGGGACAGCAGACCCAGGAACTGGCCCCACTCTCCTGGTCCTCATCTGCTTTGCGGCTTTTCTTTCTTTTTTTTTTTTTTTGGTCTTTTTTGAGACGGAGTCTGGCTCTATCACCCAGGCTGGAGTGCAGTGGCGCAATCTCAGCTCCCTGCAGCCTCCACCTCCTGGGTTCAAGTGATTCTTGTGCCTCAGACTCCCGAGTAGCTGGAATTACTAGCACCCATCACCACACCCAGCTAATTTTTGTCTTTTTAGTAGAGACAGGGTTTTGCCATGTTGGCCAGACTGGTCTCAAACTCCTGACCTGCCTTGGACTCCCAAAGTGCTGGGATTACAGGCATGAGTCACTGTGCTAGCCCCATGTGGCTTTTCAAATGAGACAGAGCAGGTGGACAAAGGGAAGACTCAGCAGAGGGAGTGAAGAGAAGGGTGGGAAGGCTGTGGCCTCAGGCTCAGCTGTGTAGGGGCCCATCTCACCCGTCTTTGCCTCCACAGAGACTGGGCTGCGTCGTTTCCCATCCTGGATCCCAAAGAGCAGGAACTTGTACTTGCGGGAGGGTTCCAGGTCAGGGATAGTGACCTCCCGCTGATCTGCAGCCACGGGCACCACCTGGGGCTGCCCGTCCCTGTCCTTGTACTGAACCACAAAGGAGTCGAATTCACCCTCAGGGACTGTCCATGAGAGGCCCACAGAGTCAGGGGTTATATCCGTCACTGTCAGCTCCCCTAGGCGTGGCTCCAGGGGAGGCTTGGAGGCCTCTGTGGCTGGGGCTGGTGGGAGGGGAGCTGGGATTTGGGAAGACAAAGAACATGGTTGAGATCTCTGAGGGGAGAACCCCTGGGCTTTGAGGGCCTCAGGGGGGCTGTGAACTGAGATGGGGAATAGTTACACCTTTACTTCCAGACCTCTAACTGAAATGCAGCATTTCTTTCCAAAACTAATATAGAAAACCCACCAGAGTAGAATTATTGTGACTTTGTTACCAATAGAAACCACAGATGTTTTCATGTCACCTTAGAGTTATTGCAGAAACTTTAAAATACCTTTTATATCCATCACTGCTTCTAAATTTTGTAGTTTAGTAAACGCGCCACCAAGTCCTGTTATTTAATGAACTAGTAAATAAGTCCAAGTATTACTAAATCGTAACTTTGGATTTTTAAGAAATATTTTGGGCCGGGTGCAGTGGCTCATGCCAGGCCGAGGCGGGTGGATCACCTGAGGTCAGGAGTTTGAGGCCAGCCTGGCCAACATGGCGAAACCCTGTTTCTACTAAAAATACAAAAAATTAGCTGGGTGTGGTGGCACGTGCCCGTAATCCCAGTTACTCGGGAGGCTGAGGCAGGAGAATTGCTTGAACTTGGGAAGCGGAGGTTGCAGTGAGCCGAGATCGCGCCATTGCACTCCAGCCTGGATGACAAGAGCAAAACTCCATCTCAAAAATAAAAAAGAAATATTTTGATAACTGTCTATAAATATAATGTTTCCTTTGTAATCCTATACAGCTTATTTTACAGATTTAAAAACATTGCCTTCAGGTGGGGTAGGGGTTTCACCAGATGCCACAGCACAACAATCATGGAGAACCTGTGCCCAGGAAGCCATGAGGGGCAGGAAGGAGCCCAGAGCAAGAGTGAGGCAGCCTCCTGGAGAGATGAAAACTCTCCAGGGCTGGGATGGAATGCAGTGCAGGCAGGTGGCAGAGGACTCCTGAGAAGGGACTCAGGATGTAAAGCACTTCGCCTCAACAAAAAAGGGCAGAAGCAGGAGGTGGCAGCTGTGTCCAAGTCACAGCAGGGTTGTAAAGAGAAGGGGTGGAAACAGCTGTGGGCAGTCGGAGAGGGGGAGAGAAAGTCTGTGGCTGGATTTAGGCCAAATGGAAATAAGACATTCCCCTGGGCGGGGGGCAGAGTGGAGATGGGGAAGGAGCTGGAGGGCTGAGAAGGCTCTAGCCCTGGGAGGAGTAAAGGGGTCAGGGAACAGAAAGACTGGCAGGGTCACCGAGCCAGGGCCTGAGGGGATCTAGCCCCTCAGTGAGGGTGCGGTGGTACCAAGGCAGGGCTGGAAGAAGGGCCATGGGGTGGGGGAGCTCTGGGTAACCAGAGATGAGGACTGAGTCCCCCCATTACTCACCCGTCACGATGACCACAGACAGGGGGCCCATGCGTTGCCCATCATGTAGTCCATACATGTTCATCTTATATTTTCTCTCAGGCTCCAGGTTGTAGACTGTGACCTCTCGCTGGTCTGCCGCCACCGGCACCACCTGGGGCTGCCCGTCCTTGTCCTTGTACTGGACTATGAAGGAGTCAAACTGGCCCTCGGGGACTGTCCAGGAGAGGCCCACAGAGTTGGGGGTCACATCTGTCACTGTCAGCTCTCCTAGGCGTGGCTCCAGCGGGGACTCAGTGGCTGGAGGGGTCTCTTCTTGTTGTGGGGCTGGGACAGAGATGGTAGGGGGCTGTTAGTAAAGAATCCCCCTTTTCTTATAGTAATGATGTCTAGTTATTTATTTTTTATTTTTTATTTTTGAGATGGAGTCTCGCTGTCACCCAGAGCAGTGGGCGACCTCGGCTCACTGCAGCCTCTGCCTCCCGGGTTCAAGCGATCCTCCTGCCTTAGCCTCCCAAGTAGCTGGGACTACAGGCGTGCGCCACCATGCCTGCCTAATTTTGTGTGTGTGTGTATTTTTAGTGGAGACGGCATTTGCCATGTTGGCCAGGCTGGTCTCAAACCCCTGACCTCAGGTGATCCACCTGCCTCAGCCCCCAAAGTGCTGGGATTACAGGTGTGAGCCACCACACCCAGCGATGTCTGTTGCATTTGTGGAACCCGCATGATGGTTTTGATGTAAAAGCGCATTGATCTGAACATCTGTCTGGTCAACAGTCCTTCACTAGGTCCCTGCTCGGTGTCTGAGGCTGCATTTGTTGGGGGAGAAGAGTATCAACCATCACTGACACCCTGGGAGAGCGCTGAAATTCCATCTATATGCCAATGACTCCAGATTTACACCCTCTGTCCAGACCTCCCCTGAACCCCAGACTAGTGTTCGTGCAACGTCTTCCTTGGAGGCCTACTTGTGTGTCAAACTCAACAAGTCCAAAACTGAGCCTCTGAGCTTCCTGACACCTGCTCCCGCCACAGCCTCCCCACCTCAGTAAGATTACAACTTTTTTTTTTTGAGACGGAGTTTCGCTGTTGTTGCTCAGGCTGGTGTGCGATGGCGCCCTCTCGGCTCACCGCAACCTACGCCTCCTGGGTTCAAGCGATTCTCCTGCCTTAGCCTCCTGAGTAGCTGGGATTACAGGCATGTGCCACCACGTCCGGCTAATTTTGTATTTTCAGTAGAGATGGGGTTTCTCCACGTTAGTCAGGTTGGTCTTGAACTCCCGACCTCAGGTGATCCGCCCGCCTCGGCCTCCCCAAGTGCTGGGATTACAGGCATGATCCTCCACGCCTGACCAGGATTACAACTTCATTCTTCCAGCTGCTCAGATCTAAACCGCCAGAGTCATCCCCGAGTCCTCTCTTAAACTCCACATCCGCCCTGTGGGTATCCGCCTGTTGTCACTACCTTCAGAGTCTGACCCCTCCTTGCCACCTCCAAGCACCACTGGCTCCTCCTGGATTATCACAACATTCTCTCAGGTCATCGCCTTCTGCCCTCACCCCCCTTTAGTCTGTTGGGTCTGCAGCCAGAAGGATCCTGTTAACACATTAGCCAGAGCTGGTTCCCGCAGTGGCTTCTACCTCACTCAGGGTGAAATCCAAGTCCTGCACTGGCCTCTGAGGTCCCATATTCATCTCTTAGATCATTCCCTATTGCCTGCCCTCCTCCAACTCCACCACAAAACATACTGCATTCCTCACTGTCTGCAGACATCTGGGGCTGCTTCTCGCCTGCCAGTCTCTGCATTTGCTCTTCCTTCTGTCTGGGATGCTCTTTCCCCAAAGGCCTAGGTGGCTGTCCTCTCACCTCCTTCAGGGCTTTCCTCAGACACTGCCCTCGCAGTGAGGCCCTTGCTGTCTCCCTACTAGGCTCTGCTTTTCCCCACCACTCATCACTGTCACATCCGGTGCCACTGACATATTTGTGCAATTTGTTGCCTGTCCCTCTCCACTAGAATGTGAGCTCCTCAGGCAGGAGCTCTGCTTTATTCACTGCTGTGTCCCAGTCCCTGGCACACAGTAGGTGCTCCACAGATGTCTGTAAAATAATGAGTGGTCTACAGGTCTGGGCTCAGGACCTGCAGATCCCCACCACTCCCGCATGAGGAAGCACTCATTAGTGAGCAAACTAGAAGGTGGTCCCAAGAGGCAAAATGGCAGAGAAGGTGGCTGGATGGGTGGGGCTCCCAAGAACTTGTTTCTCTGGCTTCCTCCGGAGGGCAAGACAAGGCTCCAAGCAAGTGACAACTGCTTAAAACAGGCTGGTGACCAGGCCTCGGGCAGACAGAAATGAGTCAGGCTGGGGAGGGCAGGCATGGAGGCAGCTGAGGTGGTGGGAGGGAGCAGAGTGACCACCAAGTATTGAACATCTACTATGTACAGGTACCAGGCTGGGCATTTTCTCTCATTTCATTTGCCTTCTAACCTTACTTGTTCCTGCAGCACCCATTCCCTGCTCCTTTTTGCCCTCTCTGCACTTCTTTCCATGAGGGAATGAAAATGTCCTTCACCATCAAGCTTTATTGCTGGTGGTTTGGATTAACTGGAAAGGTACAATTATAACGATTCATGACTCTGGCAGTCCCCATGCTGCATGTGGGACAGTCCTTTTCCAATTTAGAAGTGTGTCTAATGAGCTCCACGCACCTCTCCCCCTGGCAACTGCACTGTGTGTGCTGCCAGACACAGCCCCCAGCTTGGCGGACTCCAGCTGCTTCGTCCTTTTGCTGCTCTGATAATGCGCACTGATGCCCATTTCTTTCCTAAAGGGCCTCATCTATTTTATCCAGGACGTGTAAAATACATGTTTCAAAATATCCAGCATTAGAACATGGATATACAGGGATTCCCTCACGGGAAGGTCTGAGCAAAAGATGAATGAGCTGAGAAGATGCCAGACATGTTACATCACCACCTTTAACCGTGACAACAAGCTGGGCAGCGTTTACTCCCTCCTGAATATGAGGAAGCTGAGGTTCCAGGAGAGGAGGTAAGTTTTTCAAGATCATACAGCTGGCTGGGCACGGTGCCTCACGCCTGTAATCCCAGCACTTTGGGAGGCCAAGGCGGGTGGATCATCTGAGGTCAGAAGTTCGAGACCAGCCTGGCTAACATGGTGAAACCCTGTCTCTACTAAAAATACAAAAATTAGCCGGGTGTGGTGGTGGGCGCCTGTAATCCCAGCTACTTGGGGGGCTGAGGCAGGAGGACTGCTTGAACCTGGGAGCCAGAGGTTGCAGTGAGCTGAGATCATGCCACTGCACTCCAGCCTGGGTGACAAAGCAAGACTCTGTCTCAAAAAAATAATAATAAAATAAAAAAATAAAAATCATACAGCTGAGAACAGAGGAAGACAGGAAGGAACTCAGTTTGTCAGATTCCCAAACTCCATTTATCTCTACTGCACCGACTTGGTCAGTGCCTGACAGAGCCCATCCTTACCCCAGGGACCAGGCACAGGGCCTCACAGAGCCCAGTGTGGGTCCCTGGGACAGAGCGGCAGAGGGAGGGTCACTCCAGGAGCAGACTTGGCAGCATGTCTGGGCCTGGCACCAGCCTCCACCCTACAACCTCAGGCCCCAAGGACAGCCACTCAGGGTGGCTTTGCCGTCTCCCTCTTCTCAGGGCTGACTGAGGCAAAGAAAATAAATTGAGGGTGGAAGGTTCTGGAAATGAAATCAACCAAGTCATGATGAGGCTGAGCTTGGTGGAATTACAGAAACCATGTTCTGGAAAACTATCTATTTCTCTACTTTTAATTTTTTAATCTTTCCCCTTATAGTAAAAGTTATTTTTGAGAAAGGTGTGTCTTTGTTTCTGTGAGCAAAGGAAAAAAGAGATTCCCCTCACTGTGACTAAACCGGGCAGGTCAGCCCGAGGGTCCCAGAGGCACTGCTGTCCACTCAGCCTCTTGGGCTGAGGCCCTGGAGAGGAGGTGCCCAGGCTGGTCCTGTGTGGTGGTGGATGTGGCCCTGTAACCAGGCCTGAGAGAAAGGGTGGAAGGGATGTTCTTCTTTGCTGTAAAGTCACTCACTGGATGAGTATTAAAGAAAGCCTTGTGGCCGGGCGTGGTGGCTTATGCCTATAATCCCAGCACTTTGGAAGGCCAAGGCGGGTGGATCACTTGAGGTCAAGAGTTTGAGACCAGCCTGGCTGACATGGTAAAACCCCATCTCTATTAAAAATACAAAAATTAGCCAGGTGTGGTGGTGCATGCCTGTAATCCCAGCTACTCGGGAGGCTGAGGCAGGAGAATCACTTGAACCTGGGAGGCAAAGGTTGCAGTGAGCCAAGATTGCACCACTGCATTCCAGCCTGGGCAACAGAGCTCAAAAAACAGAAAGAAAGGAAAAAAAGAAAGAAAGAGAGAGAGAGAGACAGAAAGAAAGAGAAAGAAAGAAAGAAAGAAAGAAAGAAAGAAAGAAAGAAAGAAAGAAAGAAAGAAAGAAAAAGAGAGAAAGAAGAAAGAGAAAGCTTTGTGGTCAGGCGTGGTGGCTCACGCCTGTAATACCAGAACTTTGGGAGGCCGAGGCAGGTGGCTCACTTGAGGATCTGGAGTTTGAGACCAGCCTGGCCAACACGGTGAACCCCGTCTCTACTAAAAATACAAAAAAGTAACCAGGTGTGGTGGCACGCATCTGTAGTCCCAGCTATTTGGGAGGCTGAGGCAGGAGAATCACTTGAACTTGGGAGGCAGAGGTTGCAGTGAGCTGAGATCGCACCACTGCACTCCAGGCTGGGCAACAGAGTGAGACTCTGTCTCAAAAAAAAAAAAAAAAAAAAAAGACAAGAAAGAAAAGAAAGCTTGCTTCAAGCTGTACTGATGAAGAGGCCAATGTCTCACGCGCATTCTCCCATCCAAGTACTAACCAGACCTGACCCTGCTTAGCTTCTGAGATCAGAGGAGATGATAGGACACCTTCAGGGTGGTATGGCCTTAGATTCATGTGCATTCTGACCAAGTAACTGAACCAGCCAAAGGGGACAAAGCAGACCTCAGAGTAAGAATATTTATAACAATTCTCACAGCAGACACTGGCAGCATATTTACTTTTGCCAGGCCCATTCTTGATGCTTTACATCTGTTAACTCACTTAACCCTCACAATAACTCTGTGAGGTAGGTGTCCCCATTTTACGGACAAGGAAACAGAGGTGCAGAAAGTTTAAAACTTGCTCAGGGCCATGAAAGCTGGTGGTACGCCAGTCCCCAGTGACATGCTCTTTCTAGGTCTTCCCCTGGCAGGCAGCCTCAAGGTTCCACTGGAGCAAGGAGAGCAACTGGCTACAGGGAAGCTGGGAGCCAGCAGTGGGAGGGAACCAAAGCAGGCCCCTGCCCCTCACTCACCTGTCACGCCCACGGCGGACACCGGGCCCACGCGCTGCCCCTCGTGGAGGCCGTACAGGTGCATCTTGTACTTGTGCCCGGGCTCTAGGCCTCCCACGGTGACCTCACTCTCCTTGCCCCCAACACGCACCGCCCGGGGCCGCCCATCCCTGTCCTTGTACTGCACGGTGAAAGAGTCGAAGCTGCCCTGGGGGACGGTCCAGAAGAGGCTCAGCGAATCAGGGGAGGATCCTGTCACTGTCAGCTCCCCCAGGAGCGGCTCCTCGGGGGACTCCGGGGCCTCCGTGCCCAGTTCTGTGGGGCTGGGGGTCTCGTCCACATCCTCCTGAGGAGCTGAGAGAAGAGATAGAGGCATAAAGGGCTGCTGGCTTTGCTGCTGCTGCCCACAGATGACAGCCATGGAAATGCCCTTACGCTGTGGGCTCAGGGGCTCTGTAGCCTTTGTATTTGCCATTCGGTCACTCACGGATGGAGAAGGCTGAGACAGCCCTTGCCCCATCCTGCTCTGGTGGGTTCTGTGGGGGTGAGGGGTCTCCCTTCGTGTCTGAGAAAGGAGCTGAGATGGGAAGAGAGGAAGCCTCTGAGGGTTCTTCCAAACCACGTTCACTGACAGTGCTGACCTCAGACAGTGAGGAGGGCAGTGAGGCCTCTTCCTACCTGTGCCCTCCCCAGGGCACTCTGGCTGCCCCACCCCTCATATGAGGATCTGACCATGGAATGTGCTCTTGCTGTGGCCTCCCCAGGCAGCCCTGCCCCTCCCTCCCCTTTAACCCCAAGGAATGAATTGCTAAGGCAGGGCTCCAGGCATGAGTGGGAGAAAAATTCTGGGGTGAGTGGGATCCAAGGAGAGACATGTCCTTCCCTGGCTGGCTCTGGAATCACAGCCCTGTGGGCACCTACCCGCCCCCTACAGTTAGGTCTCTGCTGAGGCTCCATGGAGTGGGGAGACTGTGGCACAAGGGAAACCAGCCCTTCTGTGACCTGCTACATGGGGGACTACTTTGGGATAGCAGATTGAGGAAAGAATTGGCAAGAATGACAACCCAGAGGAAGGGAGGGAGGTGGGGAGCAAAAAAGATTACTGGGAAGTGAGAGAGTCAGGGAGAAATTGCAGCTCACTCTGAAAATGCTTTGCTGCTCCAAGCACTATTCTAAGTGTGTGGGCTTTTTTTGTTTTTGTTTTTGTTTTTTTTTTGAGATGGAGTCTCACTCTGTCGCCCAGGCTGGAATGCAGTGGCGCGATCTCGGCTCACTGCAAGCTCCGCCTCCCGGGTTCACGCCATTCTCCTGCCTCATCCTCTTGAGTAGCTGGGACTACAGGCACCTGCCACCATGCCTGGCTAATTTTTTGTATTTTTAGTGGAGACACGGTTTCACCGTGTTAGCCAGGATGGTCTCGATCTCCTGACCTCGTGATCCACCCGCCTTGGCCTCCCAAAATGCTGGGATTACAGGCATGAGCCACTGTGCCTGGCCTTTCTAAGTGTTATACATATATTAACTCATGTAATTCCAACAGCTCTGTGCAGAGGGACTGAAATCCAGCCACCTGACAGAAGGGAAAGCTGAGGCACAGAGAGGTTAAGCAATTTGCACAAGGTCCTACAGGAAGTAAGTTGCAAGGCTGGTAGTGAGACTCGGGCAGTTGGCTCCGGAGTCTTTGCTCCTAACCACTATCCACACTATCTCTCATCAAATAATTCACAGGCCAGGGGAATGGCACTGGACAGGGAAAGGCTGGGGACATGGAGGAACAGGCTGGGATGCTGGGCTGAACACAATCCCTTTGCCCTGTTCCAAGGGGGCTGGGAGTCAAGGAGTCGGGAGCTGAGAGGAGTCCTCTTCATGCTGCAAAAAGGCTAGAGAAACGTGGTGCTCTTGTCACTTGGATCTGCCACCTCTGAACACAGCAGAAATGGCAGGAGGTTGTGGGCAGCAGGTGACAGAAGCCCAGAAGTGACCATGGCCCAAACCAGACCATGAAGGAGCCCAGTAAAAACTGAGGGGTGAGAACACAGTGACCGAATGGTGAGGACATCTGTGGGGAGGACAGCCCCAGGTGGAAGGATGAGTCCAGGTGTTTGGAATGGGGGAAAATAGGACCTGCCCTTGGAGATGAAGAAGTGAGGCTGAGGAAGAGATGAGGAGGTGGAGGCTGGATGAGGGGGACCTGGCATGCAGAGGACAGGAGAGCAGTGCGGGAGGAAGTGGGTGGAGGCTTTGGCAAAATGAGCTGAGAAGGCGAAGATGGAGGGAGGCTGGAAGGAGCCCCAGCCAAGTCCCGCTCACAGGATGGGGCTAGCAGGGGAGGGAGGCCTGGCAGCCATGACTCACCAGTCTTGGCCACCACAGACTCGGGCCCCACACGCTGCCTGCCACGAAGCCCGTAGAGGTTCATCTTATACTTCCGGTCGGGATCCAGGCCGGGGACAGTAACCTCATTCTCATCCCCCGCAACAGGCACTGCCTGGGGCTGCCCCTGTGCATCCTTGTACTGGACCATGAATGAGTCGAAGGGGCCCTGGGCCACTGTCCATGAGAGACGCAAGGAGTCTGGGGTCACGCCGGTCACTGTCAGTTCCCCCAGGAGGGGCTGCTCCAGGAACTCAGGGCGGGGGGGCTCCTCTTTCCTCTCTGGAGCTGTAAACAAGGAGATCCAGCCAGGTGCTGAACTGGCAGCCTGGGACTGGGGCTTGGGGTTTCGACGGGATGTCACACCTATGGGGGGTGGGGGGTCACTAGTCCATTAATTCGAGTGCTAAACTTCTGGGAAGCCTGACACAGCCAGGGTATGACACACCTTCTGGGCCACGGGGAGCTGCTGCTTGGGATGGAAGGGGCCCAGCAGTGCGGGGGAGTCTGGCTGCCCCTCAGCCCTGGAGTGGGGCCGGGAAGCTGGAGTCAGCTGTCTTGCTGGGGGACCCCAGCTGGTTTTGGGCTGAAGGGAAGTGTGCATGGGGCTGAGAAGGGGTCACATGGGGGCTGAGGTGGCTGCTACTCACCAGTGGTGCCATCGGCCGTGAGGGGGCCATACCGCTTCTTGTTCGCAATTCCAAACAGAGTGAATCTGTACTTGTGGTCAGGGTCCAGTGAGGAGACAACAAATGAACGCTCGGGCCCTTCCACAGGTACCACCTGGGGCCGTCCATCCCTGTCCCTGTACTGGACCATGAAGGTGTCAAACTGGCCCTCAGGGACAGTCCAGGAGAGGTGCAGTGAATCTGGGGTAGGGTCTGTCACCCACAGGTTTCCCAGGTGGGGTGGAGTCCCTGGACTTGGGTCACTCTGAGGCACTAGGAAGAGTGGGTAGAGAGAAGGGAGAGACTTAGGTCCAAGGAGAATGGGGAAGCCAAATCCCACATAGGAATGCTGTGTGAGGCTGTGCAGGTTGTTCACTGCACAAAAGTGCATTTGCTGAGGGAGTACAGAGGGACTGAAATCCAGCCAGCACTCTGCTTGCCGAGCTGTGTGCCCTGGTGAGGAGTGGTGTCCACTTTAAGGAATGGGTGCCTTCTTTCAAACGGCATGGAAGCACTGCGTGGACTAGTGTGGCTCTGCCTCCAACCACAAACCAGAGCAGCAGGGAGCTTCAGAAAGAGGGGAGCCCAGCCAGGCCCTTTCACATCTCCATAGCCAGGGAAATCTTCCCAGTACAACCTCCACTGCTTCCAAGCCTAACTACTAGCTGGCTTCTTCTCCAAGAGAGGAGAGCACAATCCTTGAAGCGTTTTAATGTGGGACAGCCTCCCTCATCTATGCTGCAGGCCTCTCCTCCTCTTTGGGAACTTTGACCCATGGATGGACTCCCTCGCCTGCAGCACTGACCCTTCACTCCCCAGCAGCTGTGCCATCAGCATTTCAACAAGCTACTGTCACACCCCTCCTCACCCCCACTCTGTGTGCATCTCTCTCTAGCCTCCATCTTCCCTCTTTGCTCTCATTCCCAGTCCAGATTCCAGAAAGTGATGTCTACACTGATTGCAGCCATGTCCTCACCTCCACCACCCTCCCGATCCAGCTCCACCCCTCCACCAGGCAGCAGCTCTCATGCAGGCCAGGGGTGGCCTTGCCATTGCTAAATTCTGTGGACGCTCCGTAGCCCTTGAATCACTGTTCCGGAATCTGACAAGTCCAACCGCACCCTCCTTCCTGGAGTCCAGACAGCACCCTCCCTGGTTCTGCCCCTCCCTGCAAGTCACTCCGCAAGCTACCCTGTGGGCTCTTCTTCCTCTGCCTCCGCTGTGAGTGTAGGCTGTCGACAGGGTTCCAGTGGCCCTGTCTCTTCCCCAACCCCACACGACTACTCTGGTGCCTCAATTCTCCTGACCTATAAAGTAGGCATGCCTCCCAGGTGTGCTTTATGGGGTGTGATGATCCACTTAGAGAACATCTTGATCACAACTGACTCTCAATAAATGCACAAAAGGTATTTATGTAAGTGTCTCTTAGATATTGATCTAAGTTTATCTAAGGCGTTGTTCCCCACCTCTGCTGCTCCCTGCCTCAGGGAATGGGACTGTCTCATCCAGAACCCTGGGGGCTGCCTGGTACACCTTGCTTTCCTTCGCCTCCCCCATCCAGCCCCACTGCCACCATCCCAGCTGACCCATCATCATTTTTCTTTTTTTTGAGACAGGGTGTTGCTCTGTGCAGAGTGTGGATAGCACCCAGGCTGGAGTACAGTGGCACAATCATGGCTCTCTGCAGCCTCGGTCTCCTGGGCTCAAGCGATCCTCCCACCTCAAGCCTCTCAAGTAGCTGGGACTACAGGCACGCACCACCACGCCTGGCTAATATCTTTTGTTATAGTAGAGATGGGGGGTCTCACTATGTTGCCAGGTTGGTCTCAAACTCCTAGCCTCAAGCGATCCTCCTGCCTTGGCCTCCCAAGGTGCTGGGATTATAGGCAGGATCAACCCTGCTAGCCTTTACCAGCTCTTAACTCACTTCTCCAGCTAGTCTCAGCAGCCACCCGGTTATTTGCAAGATAAATATCTAGTCTCATCACTCTCCCACTTTACCCTTCAGAGGCCCTCTAGGGGCCTTCGAATGAGGCCCAAGCCCCTCAGCACAGCACAGGAAGCCCTGAGACCAGGCCCTTTGGCACCCCCCACATGCCCTGTTCTCCAGCCAGAGGAAACTGTAACAGTGATTCTCTTACTGGCCATGCTCTCCCCACCTTACTCACCGTGACTCCCTCAGGCTGCACTGAGCTTCTCAAACTCTTTGCCTGCCCCACCACTACTTTCCCTTCAGAATTCAGCTCATGCACCACTGCCTCCAGGAAGCCTTCCCGGAGCTCCCAAAGCAGGTTCCCAAAGCACTGAGAAAACCTCTTCAGGGCAGTACAGAGGGCAGGGTGTTACTGCTGTCACTCACAGATCTTGGCTTCAGCCACCAGCGGACCATGCCTCTTCTTGCCAACAAACCCATACAGGACAAATTTGTACTTGCGGCCAGGATCCAGGGAGGTGATGACGGCCGAGCGCTGGGGTCCTTCCACGGGCACCACCTGGGGCTGCCCGTCCCTGTCTTTGTACTGGATCACGAAGGAGTCAAACTCGCCCTCGGGGACCGTCCAGCGCAGGAGCAAGGAGTCGGAGGTCCTGTCTGTCACCGTCAGCTCACCCAGGCGTGGTGGGCCTGAGGACTTCCCAGGCTTCTCCTCATCCTTGTCTGGAGTTTGAGAGGCAAAAGCAAAGCATAGTGGACTCAACCGTTCTCTTGTCTGTGTCTCCTTCCCTCTCCCCTGCCCACCTCACTCCATCCTGGATAGATCCCTCCCCGGAAGACTCTATCTGCCCACCCCTCAGTGACTAGCTCTTCTGGAAGAGGGGCATTTCCCTCTCAATCTCTGCTTCTTCCCTTGTGACAGTTTCTCCATCCCTCACAAGGTCTTGGTCTCTCTGCACACCAGGATCTTTGCGGGGGTTTCAGGTCCCCCTGGTTCTGAATGAGAGTTTCAAGCCTCCCTGCTGCAGCATCAGAGCAGTCTGAAAGCTCCTCTGCCCACCTGAGCTGCTGTCTCTCTTACCACCCTCTCTTCCAGTGGTGAGCTTGACCTGGAGCTGGGGGATGAGTCAGCCACCCTGGTCCCACAGAGAGGAACAAAGAGGGGATGTGAAAGCCAGGTACCCCAGGACCTGTCTTTCACTGGTCCTGCAAACCTCATCCATGTCTGAAGTCCTGATGGCTGTGGAGCCCCCTGCCCCAAGGAGCCTTCACCCCCAGCAGAAACTGGCTGATGGGACCATGGACTGCTGTCCACTGCAAACCAGGCTCCCAGGGACGAGGTATTGGGGGCTGAGGGTCAGTGTCCAGAGGCCTTCCCATGCCCACCCTGAAAGATTTATAGGGCAGGGAAGGGCAGAGGAGCAACCGAAGAGTGGGGGCAGGGGACAGGGCAAGGAAAGCTGCAGGTGGAGGGCCAGGGACCTTCAGCCTCTCTCCTGGAATCTCTGTCCCACCCTCGGCCTTTTTACCTCTGCCTCTTTCCCCTCTCCCCACCCATCCTTATCATTGTTTTAAGATCCCCCTCGATCCATCTTCCTGCTGAACCTGCAATTCCTTTTCTCTCCTTTTCTCCTCTATCCAGCCCCAAACATCAGCCCTGCCCTTCACTGGCCCCTCAATATCCATCCTACCTCTGAAGTCCCAATAACCCCAGCTCCTCCCCCAATCTCAGGATATTGATCTGAGCAGAGTCCAAGATGTACCCATAATGCCTTGGTAGATGATGGGGTCAGAGGGCTTGCCCCCAGGAGGGACCCCATGAAGTGACAGCTCATACGGGGTTCCAGGAGGGGGTGGAGGCACCAGAGCCTGGCGGACGTCCCCTGGCAGCACTTCCTCATGTGCCCCCGGCCCCTCGGGCACCCGCATGCGCAGTTGGAAGTAGGCAAAGGTGTCAGGCTGGGCGGTCCAGACCACACGGAGGCGCCCTGTCTCATCTCTGCCCAGCACCCTCAACTCTCCCAGCTCCTGGGGGCGCTGCTGCAGGAGAGGAGCCTGGGCCCCTTGCGTCGTCGAGGGGCCTGAGGGAGGAGGCTCATCGGTAGTCCCCAAGAGGCCCAAGGGTGAGGACCCTGGGAAGGGGCAGGGTGAGAAAAAGAGGAGAGTCCAGTATGAGAACTAGAAAGGAATCCCCAGTCCCCAGGTTCTGCCCTCCAGCCTCTAAGAGCCTTGTTCTACTTCTACTTCTGGTTCCCTCACCTGGGCCACTCCCTCCTCCCAAAGGTCAGCCAATCCTCCAAACACCCCCATCTACCACATTCCTGAGCAGACGGGCCTGTGCTTCAGGCAGGTAATAGGTAAAATAAAGCCTGCTATCCTTCACCCCACAAGGCTTCCATGACCTCCAGCCCCCGGAGACTTCCATGTCCCTCCCCACATACATCCCCCCCACTGGGTGGTGGTCAGGTGGCTTCCATTAGTGCTGCAGTGAGAAGCCTGGAAGAAAGACAGTGGTGTTAGAGAGGGAGGATGCAAGAGGAGAGTGGGCAGTGGGAAGAGAGAGAGGGTGTGGGGGTGGACATCCAGGTCAGGTGGCATCTGGGCCCTATGGGGGAAGAAGAGGTCCACCACCCTCCCCACAGCAGCCACAGGGTGCCCTTTCCCCAAGCCCAGACATCGTTCCTGTGGGAGAGACCAGCATAAAGTGAGCCAGGGGGTCTGAAAAGCCAGCTTAAGAAGCAGTGGTTTCACCTCCCCAATATACAGTTGCTGCCTGATGGCACCCAGGCCACCCCCACGCAGTTCTGATGTGTCCCTTCAAGGTCAAGGCCAAATTGTGGAAAACAGTAACCACTAACCACAGTCTTCAGCCACTCTCACCACAGTGAGTCAGAACGGGAATCACTGTTTTCAATTCCCAGCCCACTCAAACTGCTCCAGTGAATCTTTGCAGGTGCCCCAACCACATCACCCTCTATTGCCTAAAATAACAATCCTGGAAGTGTCCCGGGAAACCCCAAAGAAGGCGCTGCCTTGACCTTAGGCATCCACAGGATGGATGCCAGGACCCTGGGGTGGGGACGTCTTCTAGGGACAATGGACTCGTGCTTTGTCCTGGGGGCCCCCTGGAGCCCCGGCCAGGTAGGGCCTGAAGGTAGAAGGGGGCAGTGGGGGGTGGCAGTGGGAGGAATTCATGAATGCAGGCTCCAACGGCAGGTGAGGCTGGACAAGGGATAGGTGTCCCGTGGCCCCAGCCCACACTACCTGTGGTGGTGATGAAGGCGTAGGACTTGGAGGTCTGCCCCGCCCGCACCCCGTGGACCTCCACGTGGTAGGTGGTGCCGGGCCTGAGGTCGGGCAGGCTGACGGTGCGCGTGGTGCCCGGCACAGTCAGCTCACCGCCGGGGCCCTCTGCAGGCGGCTGAGGCCGCCAGCGCAGCACCACGCGCTCGAACTGGCCGCGGAGCCCGTCGAGAGACACGAGAAGCGCGCCATCGGCGGAACTGCCCAGCACCTCTGGCTTGGGGTGGCGGGACGCAGCCACCCGGTCGACGCCTTCAGGCGAGAGGCCGTAGATTCCCTGGTTGGAGTCCCGTTTCCTGGTGCCGGGATCAGGGCTGGCGGTGGGGCGGGGGTGGCGGGGCGGGGGTGCGGGGGAGCCGGCTGGGGCGGCGGCCAACAGACGCCGCTGCAAGTATTCATGGATGTGGCGCGCCACCGACGTGTAAGTCTGGTTGGCCCGCAGTGGGTAGCCGTGAGCCCGCAGGTGGCGCTCCAGGTCCTGCACCGTGCCGCGGAAACGGCTCAGCTCGGCCGTCAGGTTGCCCCAAGGCCGCCGTGGGGGCTGGGACAGGCTTGGCCTGGGCGGGGACTCCTCCTCCCTTTCCTCTGCTGGCCTCGAGGGCCAAGGGGGCCGTGGGGGCCGCGGGGCTGGGGCTGGCCGGGGCCGGGACTTGGGGGGCGGGGCTGGGGGGCGCACCTCCGGGTAACTGTAGTGGCCTGGTGCTGCCAGGGGCAAAAAAGGGGAGAACAGGTCAGTGGCAGCTCCCTCCCGGCACTCCTTCCCGCGGCAGCCCCTCCCTCGATCCCTCCCACCAGAGCCAGAGGCCTCTTCCCTGTGCCCCAGCCCCACCTGGAAAGAGAACGGAGGGAAATCGGTCAGTGTCCCGCAGCCCCCCCATTCCCCTCCAAGCCCACCACTGTTGGTGCCCTAGAAAGAAGAGAGAAGCCCGTGGGTGGGGCCCTGTAGCTGAAGGAGAGAAAGGGGAGTCGGGGAAGAGAACATGAGCTACAGCGAGGTGGGTGTCCCCCTGTCACAGGAAAAGAAAAATATCCAGGTATCTGTTAAGAAACCTCGAGGTTTAGTGGAAAATCACTGCTGTGAGACCCACCTCCCAGCAATCCCAATCCAAAAGTCAACAGGACTGATGATCTCTAATCTGCCTAATTCCAGTCCCACAAGATCTATCAGCACAAGGCCTGTCCCGGTACCTAAATTTAAAAAAGAACCTCCCTTAACTGACTGGATCAGGCAGCATCTCCTATTCACTTCTCTCCCTGGGGCCATTCCTTTCATAGGCTAACCTGTAACCTTCCTACAGGACTCCAGGCATCTGAGGGCTCTGTCTCCCCAGTGGCCTCAGGACAGAGCAAGGCCCCCAGCAGGTGCCTCGAGACTGCCACACACCTGCCAGAAGCATTCAGAGGAGTCTGTGAGCCCTGAGCCTGGGCTCCTGAGGAGGAGGATCCAAGGCTGGGAAACCAGGGCCCTTCCCTAACCTCTGGCCAGCCATACCTGTGTTGGCCCTGACAGAAGCTGGGTAGCTGACTGCCCGGCCCCGCTCCGCTGTGACAGTCACCACATATTCTACGCCTGGCATCAGGTCAGTCAGCAGCGTCCCGTCTGCTTCAGGGGGCACTTCCAGCCTCACCCTCTGGTTGCCGGCACTGACGTAGGACACCACAAATCGGTCCACCTCAGCCTGGGGACGCAGCCAGCCAAGCTCCAGTGTTGTCGGTGTCACAGCCACCACTCGGAGGTCCTGGGGCCCATCGATCACTAGCCAGGTTAAAGAGGAGGACTCAGGTGGGTGTCTGGTTCTTCAATCATCATCTTTCCTTCCAAGAGCCTAGCCCCCATCCAGCCCCTTCCTTCTGCCCTCCCGGAGGGCAGATTCCCTCTCTAGTCCAGATCTCCACTCAGGACACCCCTCCCCACAGCCCCAGCTCTCACTGGTGGTGATGGTCTTGGAGGCAGGAAGGCCCCAGCTGGTCCCTCGAAGGGCTCGGACAGTGACCTGGTACTCCTGTCCAGGGGCCAGTCCTCTCTGGTCATAGGCTGAGGCAGAGCTTGGAACCCGTGCTGTGAATGGGGGGCTCGCCCCCTCTGTCTGTGAGAGAGAGCACCAGGTGGCTCAGGGGCTGGCACTCTTGCCTCTGCTGCTCAATCCCCCTTATCTCTTCTTTCTCCAATTCTAAACAGTGTCAGCATGGTACTGTGTGGAACTTGACCCTGTACAAGCTGGGGAGCAAACATGCTGAGAGCGCTAACTCCTTGTGAGCCACTGTTCTAGGCGAGGTACACACATGAACTCACTTAATTCTCACAACAACCCTACGAAACAGGTCCTATTAGTCCCATTTTACAGATAAGGAAACTGAGACACAGAAGGACAAGTATCTTGCCAACGTCACCAACACCAAGAAAATGGCAAGAATTTAGGCCCTAGCAGTGTGATCCCAGAGTCCCCTCTCATGGGCACCCCCTATTTATCTGTCAGAGTCCCCTCTCATGGGCACCCCGTGTTCATCTGCCAGAATTCCACCCAACATGCACCAGGACTCTCCCTCCAGCTTTGCCCTGGCAACTCTGACTACCTGGGCATGAGGAGCCTTTTCCTAAGCTTGGTCCTGTCAGAACAAATGAAGTAGATCAAGGATGCCCCTTCAAGTTGCACTTTCTCCTTAAAGGGTCTGCCTCACCCTGAACCTCCTCGTAGATGCCTGCTCATGGCTGTGTAACAGGAGTGGGACCCGCATCACAACCTTTCCCTTGAGGGACTTTTCTTGTCTCTTCACCCGGGTTGTAGGCTCCTCAAAACAAGAACCACCTGCTCAAAGTTCCACAAATATGTTTCCTGATTGTTGATTTTGTACCTGGCATCATGCTGGGCATTGGAGACACAAAAATAAAATATATGGTCCCTGTCCTCAGGTAGCTGAGACTCTAATAGCTAAATGTATGGCCACATCTTGAATATATGAGATACTTACAACAATCTCTATGCTTAGCAAATGCTTGTGAGAAAACAACACTCCTACAAGTGTACATTTAAGGAATTATGATTATGTGTGGTGCCTCCAAAGGGAATCTACTGGACCCTGCTCCAGGCAGGGTCTCCTGGAATGCCCACCACTGGGGAAACAGGAGGAACTGTACATCTGTGAGCATTCTAACAGCCCCACATTTTGCTGTGCTGTCCAGCTAGGACAGCCGCTAAGGATGCTGTGTTCTGCCTAGCTATGTTGGCTGTGATGGGGACACCTCCATTCAGCCAAGTAGGATTGGAAATTTCAAAAGGTACTCTCCTAAACCAAGAGAACTGTGGGGAAATCAACATAGTAAATACCGAAGTATAAAACCAGATGAGAAGGCCACGTAGAGATTTCTGGGTTGAGGATGAAGTAAAGCTTTGTCAGTTTTCTGGGTTGAAAAGTTTTCCTGGGCACATAGGACCTCCAGCCCTCTCCTATTCACCCTGCCTTAGAATACCCCAGCCTAGGAAGCCTTGGGTTGGCCTCAACTCAAGACCCATGAAATCCTTACCCTTCCCAGAATTTATTTGTTCATTTTCTCTGTGTGTGTGTATGTCTCTTTCTCTTTATCCACACCCACCCCATCCCCACAGCCGCAATACACACACCTTGGATGCTCCCTGATGATGTCTGGTTCTTTCAGTGAGGCAAGCCTATCCCCAGAGTTCTCCTTCTCCCTATATATATCCTTTAGACACTTCTTGGTTCCTCCTGAGATCCATCTGGGAACAGTCCCCTGAAAGTCCATCAACCTAACCCATGTCTCCTACGTCTCCTAGCACCATCTTACTGGTCTGAAGCAGGCTTTCTTTTTTCTTTTTTTGAGAGGGAGTTTTGCTCTTGTTGCCCAGGCTGGAGTGCAATGGCGCGATCTCAGCTCATCGCGAGCTCCGCCTCCCGGGTTCAAGCGATTCTCCTGCCTCAGCCTCCCGAGTAGCTGGGATTACAGGCATGCGCCACCATGTCCGGCTAATTTTGTATTTTTAGTAGAGACGGGGTTTCTCCATGTTGGTCAGGCTGGTCTCGAACTCCCGACCTCAGGTGATCCACCCACCTCAGCCTCCCAAAGTGCTGGGATTACAGGCGTGAGCCACCACACCTGGCCCTGAAGCAGTCTTTCTAAACAGATGCTGGCAGCTGGCTCTGCCCCTTGGTAAAGCTTGGCTGCTTCACTGATTTTTTTTTTTTTTGAGACGGAATTTCGCTCTTGTCTCCCAGGCTGGAGTGCAATGGCACGATCTCAGCTCACTACAACCTCCGCCTCCAAGATTCAAGGGATTCTTCCTTAGCCTCCCAAGTAGCTGGGATTACAGGCATACACCACCATGCTCAGCTAATTTTGTATTTTTAGTAGAGATGGGGTTTCACTATGTTGGTCAGGCTGTTCTCAAACTCCTGACCTCAGATGATCCACCCACTTTGGCCTCCCAAAGTGCTGGGATTACAGGCATGAGCCACTGCGCCTGGCCTGCTTCACTGATTTTGTTCTTGGGAAGTTTTAGAGTTTATCTCAATATTAACCTCGTGGCTCCAGATGAACTCTACCTTGGCTGGTCCTTGGAGCTTATCTCACCCTCATTGCTGTTTTTAGACTAGACCCAAGCAAAAACTTCTCTGAGGCTGTGAGGTTTTGAGTCCCAGTGAACACTTAGCCTAGCCCTGATTTCCAGGCTGCAGGACACACCCAGACAAGGAATATCTGAACCTCTTTCTCATTCAGGAACTCATCTCCCTCAGTTTCCCCATGCTTTCTCTCACATTCATAGTGGAGCTAGCACTTTGCAAGATAGCAACATTCCTTCACTTAGGGGGCCTCAGGCTGGAGGGGCATCAGAATCACCTGGAGGGCTTGTTGCAATACAGGTTACTGGGCTCTGTGCCCAGACTTTCTGACTCAGTAGATCTAGTGGGGGAGTCTGACAATTTGCATGCCTAACATACTCCCAGGTGATGCTGATGCTGCAGGTCCAGGGAACACACTTTGAGAACCACTGAGTCAGAGTAACAGTGCCACATATACAGGGAGAGGAGAAACTTTCTTCTTCTGCATTCTGAAAAATAATTCCAATAACTAGGTATGTCCCTTGATCTGGAATAGCAGAGTTTGGGCTTTGAGAGAGAAGTGCTTCTGGGAAGAGGGAAGGTAAGAGGTAGAGATAGGCTTCTAGGATGACAGCAGCAGCCAGAGGACAGACAGCTATTGAATATACTCTGTACCCACAGAAATGGACAAAGGGTAGCTGGGCATTGTGGCAGGTGTCTGTAATCCCAGCTACTTGGGAGGCTGAGGCAGGAGAATCGTTTGAACCTGGGAAGCAGAGGTTGCAGTGAGCCGAGATTGCGCCATTGCACTCCAGCCTGAGCAACAAGAGCAAAACTCTGTCTCAAAAAAAAAAAAAGAAAGAAAGAAAAGAAAAGAAATAGATGGCACTTGCCAAGGCAGAAGGTACGATGCCAGGGACCAGCTACAGACAGCAGAAAGCATGGTCTGAGGGTGGGTAGCCCAGGCCCAAGAGGAGTGTCTGGGGACCAATTTTACAGGAGTGTTTTCCACACCCAGGCTCAGAGAAGACCCAGAATGTGACAGATGCCCATACCGAGAGCAGAATGGATGAGCTAAGAACATGGCCAAGCCTGGCACAGGCCAACTTGGCACCACCATCCTGGCTCTGAGTGAGGGAGAAAGTCTAGGGCTTCAACTGGAAAGCGGCGCCCTTGACAACACCAAGGATCGGTTTGTATTTATTTACTCAGAGCAGGAGACAACTGCTGCCCTAAAAGCTCCTCTTATCTCAAGTGTTTATTTTAA
Organism: Homo sapiens; assembly: GCF_000001405.40. Taxonomy (NCBI): domain Eukaryota; kingdom Metazoa; phylum Chordata; class Mammalia; order Primates; family Hominidae; genus Homo; species Homo sapiens. The sequence goes on from NT_113891.3 coordinate 3,531,448, forward strand.
TTCTTCTTTCCCTGAAATTTCTTAAGAAACTTCCTTTTCGAAGTCCCACCCTTTCAAGATTAGAGCTATGTAAATAATATATACAGAGAAGAAGAGAGTGGGAGAAACACTTTAAAATGTTAGCAGTGCTTGTTTTAGTGAGGAGCAGCCAGGAATTGTTTTTCTTTTCTCTAGTTGCCAAATTCTTGTCTCGTGATTAAAGTATTTTTATAACAACAACAAAAAAAGATGTTTAAACAGAAGAAAAAATTCAAGCTATCTTGGTTGCGCCACGAAGTTGAGATTTCTGCTTCTGCTTTGGCTGGAGAGTGAGGAGAGGCAGAACATAGTAGGGGGCTGGCCTGAGGAGCATAATGACAAGACAAAGCAAAGTGGAGTGAGGATGACAGTTCCTCTGAGCTGTCCCCTTCTGTCCTAGTGCCTTCCGAGGCTTTAGGCCCAGGGAGTTGTTTATTTTTACAGAGTCCTGGCTAAGCTGATGAAGATGAGGATGACATGGCCCACACCCCATATGGCATTTGTGGGATGATGCAGGAAAACATGAGTTGGATGGTAGAAATGTCAGAAGATTTGCAGCTGGGGAAACGACCATATCTTAAAAGCCCAGTCTGCACAAAGGGAGGCCCCAAATAAGTGACCACAAGGCTTTGTCCTTAGGGTGTTCCCTCTAATGTTTTAAGAGCAAGTTGGATGGCCAGGAGTGGTGGCTCATGCCTGTAATCCCAGCACTTTGGGAGGCTGAGGCGGGCAGATCACTTGAGCCCAGGAGTTCAGGACCAGCCTGGGCATGCAACATGGAGAAACCCCGTCTCTACTAAAAATACAAACATTAGCAGGCTAAGGTGGTGCACACCTGTAGTCCCAGCTACTTGGGAGGCTGAGGTAAGAGGATGACCTAAGCCTGGGATGCAGAGGTTGCAGTGAGCTGAGATGGCACCACTGCACTCGAGCCTGGGCCACAGAGTGAGACTCTCTGTCTCAAAAAAAAAAAAAAAAAAAAAAAAAAAAAAAGAGCAAGTTGGAGGGAGACAGAGAAAAAACTGGTTTGCATGTACTGATGACAAGGAGGTGGGAGATGAAGTTCACAGACTCAAAATTATTGCAACAGCCTAGACAGCTTGGCCCAAACCAAAAAAGATAACATTGAACAGGGCCAAATGCAAAGGCCTATATTTAGGTGAAAAAAAAAAAAGTGTATATAGTTGAATGTTGTCTTCTTTCCTTCCATCTTTTTTCCCTGCTAATCTGTATTTTCTAAGTTTTCTGCACGGGGCCTATATTACTTTTATAATTAAAAGTTACTTAAAAAACCAAATATGACCAAAACAGCTGCCTGCTTGTGTGACTACAAATTGCTATACGCCAGCTCTGAGAAAAGTGTCCATAAATTCAGAGTAAGTCAGTGGGCCCCTCTCTGTCCCCACATTTTGGGGGCACATGAAAAAAGCAAGAATCACAGGAAGGTAAAGGATTCAGAGAATAAAGACTTAGGGAAAAGGGGCGAAGAAACTGGGAGGTTTTGCCTGAGGAATGAAGACATCAGGCTGGTGTCTCCAAATACCTGAAGGCCTGTGGTGTAGGACACAGGGAAAGCAAAAAACATTCCAGCTGCTGATGAATACCCAGCTAGGGCCAACGGACAGGTGCTAGAATAGGGGCAGACGGATTCTGCAACAATGATAACAGCTAACAGTGATGACCAACAATGGACTGGACAGCCTCAGGAAGTACTGAGCTCTCTGTTACCAGGTGTTCCAACTGTGTGGGACCAATGCTTGCTGGAGATGCTGCAGAGGCCTCAGTGCCCAGTGTCAAGCAGGCTAAGAAAGCCTTTACAGCAGCTTCAGGTACCCAGCCATCTGGACTCAACCAATGATCACCTGGAACTTCCTCCAGGAGGTGAGCCCTGCCCCCCTGTCCTGCCCACTCAGTCCCCTCCTGGAGCCTGGCATCTCTCTCACCGTGGGGATGAACTGAATTTCATAGGCATCCACGGGGCCAGGAGCCGGGGTCCACTCTGTCCGAACTGTTGTCTCCTCCAAGAGATGCATCCTCATGCCCTCAATGGTTGGCACCTCTGCCCAAGAGAATGGGTTAGGGAAAGCTGGTTAGCACAAGGCAACCACCCCCACCCACAGCCCCTTTTACTCAGGGACATCGAAGAGGCCCATCCTAACTCCCACTCCTCTCTGCTAGTGGAGAATAGCTGACAGAGGGCTGAACGGGGCTTGGATCGCCTTCACCTTCTCTCCATCTTCAGGAGCACAGAATCTCCCTAAATGCAACTAAATGGGCCCCAACCTGCTCCTCAGAGATCTGAAGGCCAGTCCTGCCCACTGGAAAGCCCCACCCCTGTGGTTCTGCTGCCCCTGGTGGGCACTGGCTCCTTGGAATGACATGCTCTCCCTCCACTCTTCCTCAGGCTCAGGTCTTCCCCATGGCTCCTGTTCACAGAATCACAGTCCCAGAGTACACTGGGGAAGGCTGCCTGCTCACCTTCTCCGCAGTCTTCGCCAGCATACCCATCTTTGCAGACACAGCTGCCATCGTGACACTCTCCTCGGCCACGGCAGTCCCCTGGGCATGTCTGGATGGCACAGTCAGGGCCTCGGAAGCCCTCTACACACACACACTGGCCTGCCCGGCACAGTTCCCGGGGCCCGCAGCCTCCAGGGCAGGCGCTGGCTGGAGGCTCTTCCTGCCCGCAGTCCTCACCGCCATAGCCCACGTGGCACAGGCACACTCCTTGCACACACCGCCCACGTCCCCGGCAGTCAGCCGGGCACATGCGGGTGGCACAGGTAGGGCCGGTGTAGCCTGGGTCGCACAGGCAGCGCCCTTCCTCACAGCGGCCCCTCCCGTGGCAGTTGGAGGGGCAGGTGCGGATGCTGCAGTCCTCACTCACGTAGCCTTCCCAACAGATGCACACACCGTCCTGGCACACGCCGTGCTGGCTGCAGTCATTCGGGCACTGCCTCACACCGCAATCCTCGCCAGAGTAGCCGTCCTCGCACACACACCGCCCATCTAGGCACTGGCCGCGGCCTCGGCAGCCCCCGGGGCAGCTGCGCGTGCTGCAGTCTTCCCCTGAGTAGCCTGCGTCACACACGCACACGCCATCCTCGCAAAGGCCGTGCCCACGGCAGTCCCCGGGACAGCGACGGCTCCCACAGTCCTCACCGGTGAAGCCCGGGTTGCACACGCAGCGGCCATCCACGCAGCGCCCGCGCCCGCGACAGTCGCCAGGACAGGCGCGCGTGCCGCAGTCCCGGCCTGTGTACCCCGGCCAACACATGCAGCGGCCACTCTCACAGCGGCCCCGGCCACGACAGTCCCCAGGACAGCTGCGCACACCGCAGTCCTCGCCGCTGTAGCCCGCATTGCAAACACACACGCCGTTCTCGCAGCGCCCGCGACCTCTACAGTCGCGTGGGCAGGCGCGCGAGCCGCAATCGGTTCCAGTGTACCCCGGCCAGCACACGCAGCGGCCGTCCTCGCAGCGGCCCCTTTGGTTGCAGTCGCCAGGGCAGCTGCGCACGCCGCAGTCGTCCCCGCTGTAGCCCGTGTCGCAAATGCATTCGCCGTCCTCGCAGCGCCCGCGGCCCCGGCAGTCCCTCGGACATGTCCGCGTGCTGCAGTCCTCGCCTGTGTACCCGGGCCAGCACACGCAGCGGCCGTCCACGCAGCGCCCGCCCTCGCCACAGTCCCAGGGGCAGCTCCGCGTACCACAGTCCTCGCCAGTGTAGCCGGGGTCACACACGCAGCGCCCGTCCTTGCAGCGTCCCCGCTGGCTGCAGCCCCGAGGGCAGCTCCTCACCCCACAGTCCTCGCCAGCGTAGCCGGGGTTACACACGCAGCGCCCATTCTCACAGCGCCCCCTCTGACTGCAACCGCGAGGGCAGCTCCTCATGCCACAGTCGTCACCAGTGTAGCCTGGGTCACACACGCAGCGCCCACCCTCACAGCGTCCCCTCTGGCTGCAACCTCGAGGGCAGGAGCGCTGGCTGCAGTCGGGGCCTGAGAAGCCTGCCCGGCACACACACACGCCCTGCACGCAGCGCCCACGGCCTTGGCAGTCCCCGGGACAGGATGGCCAGCCACAGCTGGGGCCAGTGTAGCCGGGAAAGCACACGCAACGACCACGGACACAGCGACCCTGATCATTGCAGTCATCTGGGCAGGACCCCGAGGCTGAGGGTGGGGAAGAGGGAGGGATCTCAGCATCTGTGGGGTCTGAGCAGGTGGGCCCACCCCAGCCTGGCTCACAGGAACAGGTGCAGCGGCTCAGATCAAACACACCATGGAGACTGCAGAGGGTCCGCACATCTGTCTGACCTGGAGTAGGAGGGGAGAGGCAAGTCTCAGTCTCTCTCCTGGGAGAGAGGCTGAGCCTATGTAGTGCTCCTATGTGCAGGCCCCTAGCCAGGCTAGCCTCATCTCATAAGGCCATGTCTGCTCCCAGTTGCTAGTATGTGTAATGTATGCAGCCTCTCAGGGCCCTCGCATATGCTTTGGTTGACATGTAGCCCAGCTCTGCTCTCCAAGTTGTGTTCTGGGCTGCATCCACACCCCTCATGGTGAGGAAGGAGTGCCTTCTTCTAATTCATACCAAGGACCTTTATGGACTAGCAATGCCCACCCCACCCCACCTCTCCACCCTCTTCTGTGATCACCTGCTCACCTGTGCCAGCTTGGGCAGAGGCAGGACAACATCCCCCAGTGCACTGTTCCTTGAGCCCCTTCACCAACTCCTCCAGGATCTCTAGACGGACCCTCAGGGCCTGTACCTCTGAAGCAAGGACTGGGGGCTCGGTGCCTGGGGGACAGCCACAGCCAGTGGAAGGGGGCAGGTTAATGCGGTGGGTGAATACCACCTGCTTCTCCCCTCCTTCCACTGTGTGCTCGTAAAGCTGAGAAGAGGGGCTTCCCACTCCAGCCCCCACTGTGTGGCCCCCTGGCTGGGGAGGGGGCCGGGGGGCTGGCAGTGTCACATTGGACCGTGAAGAGAAGGGGCCTGCTCTGGCTGTGCTCAGCAGCACCAGGAGAACCAGGCTGGAGGTTAGAGCATACTGGGCTGGCATCATTCAGGAGGCTGCAGGGAGAAAGGGTAGGTATGAGAGCAGCTTCAAAAAGGAGACAAAATGAATCCCCCCTTCTCCAGCACATACCCACGGTCCCACCACCCACAAGTAATCTACCCAACTCACATGCATGTAAAAATTCACATTCCGCCCAACCCTAAAGGATACCCTCCCTGGGCAAGTCTGTTCTCTACCTCTCTGATATCATTTATTTACCCTGCTCCTCACCCCCTTTTCTATTGTGTTCCCCTACACTGGTTTTTTTGTTTTGTTTTGTTTTGTTTTGTTTTGTTTGTTTGTTTGAGACGGAGTTTCACTCTTATTGCCCAGGCTGGAGTGCAGTGGTGCGATCTCAGCTCACCACAACCTCCGCCTCCCAGGTCCAAGCGATTCTCCTGCCTCAGCCTCCTGAGTAGCTGGGATTACAGGCATGCCCCACCATGCCTGGCTAATTTTGTACTTTTAGTAGAGACCAGGTTTCTCCATGTCGGTCAGGCTGGTCTCAGACTCCTAACCTCAGGTGATCTGCTCGCCTCAGCCTCCCAAAGTGCTGGGATTACAGGCATGAGCCACCGCACCCGGCTCTACACTGGTCTTTTGTTTTTCCCACGAGCACTACAAGCTCTCACTACTCCAAGGGCCTTTGCATTGTGTGTTCCCTATGTCTGGGATGCTCTTCACTCTGCTCATAAAGGCTGGCTCCATCTTCAAATCTTAACTCCCAGTTAGGGCAGTCTTCCATTACTCTCTATCACAATATCCTGTTCCTGTTCTTCATGGCATTTACTGCTGCCTGAGTTATCAGTTTACTTATTACCTTTCTCTCAATGCTACAATGGGAGCTCCATGAGAACAAGGACCTCATCTATCCCAGGACTGCTGTATACTTGTGTCTGGCACATAAATGTTCTATCTGACACATCAATGTTGAATGAATTAGTGGATGAGTACCTAGGGCCAATCCTTCCCCAAACACCTGGATCCCAGCTCCTACTGTCTTCTAAGAAAAGTGCAGATTATCTTCTCCCTCTCTCTCTCACTTTTTTTTTTTTTTTGAGATGGAATCTTACTCTGTCGCCCAGGCTGGAGTGCAGTGGTGCGATCTCGGCTCACTGCAACCTCTGTCTCCTAGCTCAAGTGATTTTCCTGCCTCGGCCTCCTGAGTAGCTGGGATTATAGGTGCCCACCTCCATGCCCAGCTAATTTTTGTATTTTTAGTAGAAATGAGGTTTCACCATGTAGGCAGGCTGGTCTCGAACTCCTGACCACAAGTGATGTGCCCGCCTTGGCCTCCCAAAGTGCTGGGATTACAGGCATGAGTCACCGCACGACCTCTTTCTAATATAGAGACAGGATCTTGCTCAACCCCCTGGTTGAAGCTGGACTTGAACTCCTGGGCTCAAGCCATCCTCCCACCTCAGCCTCCCAGGTAGCTGGGATTAAAAGCATGAGCCACCATGCTTGGCTTCTCTCTCTTTTTTATTCAACTCCTCACTCTCAACTGGATCCTTGCTCAAATATCTCCAATTGAAAAAAAAAAACAAAAATCCTCTTCCTCAGGACTTACATGATCAAATATCAAGACTTATTTTAAAGGTGCAAGGATAGACAGATGAAACAGAATAGGGCCCAGAAACAGGCCCACACATATGTGGTCAACTAATTAACGACAAAAGTGCCCCTGCAGTTAAGAGGAGAAAGGATGGTCTTTTTAGTTCCTGGTGCTGGGTCAATCCAACATCCCTAAGTAAAAAAAAAAAAAAAAAAAAAAAAACAGTCATTCTCCACCTTATGTCTGATATACCGAAATTAATTTGAGATGAACCCAGGACCTAAATAAGAAAAGTAAAGCAATATCTTTCATAGCAATATCTTACAGAAAATTTCTGACCTTGGAGTAAGCAAGATTTCTTTTTTTTTTTTTTTAAGACTGAGTCTTGCTCTGTCGCCCAGAGTGGAGTACACTGGTGCTATCTCGGCTCACTGCAACCTCCGTCTCCCAGGTTCAAGTGATTCTCCTACCTCAGCCTCCTGAGTAGCGGGGATTACAGGCATCTGCTCCCACACCCAGCTATTTTTTGTATTTTTAGTAGAGACGGGGCTTCACTATGTTGGCCAGGCTGGTCTCAAACTCCTGAACTCAGGCAATCCGCCCGCCTCGGCTTCCCAAAGTGCTAGGATTACAGGCTTGAGTCACTGCACCCAGCCGCAAGATTTCTTAAGTAAAACACACACAAAACCTAACCATAGGCCGGGTGCAGTGGCTCGTATCTGTAATCCCAGCACTTCAGGAGGCTTAAGTGTGAGGATTGCATGAGCCCAGGAGTTGGAGACCAGCCTGGGTAAGATAGTGAGACTCTGTCTCTACAAAAAACAAAAAGAATTCACTGGGCGTGGTGGTACACCTGTAGTCCCAGCTACTCAGGGGCTGAGGTGGGAGGATTACTTGAGTCTGGGAGGTCGAGGCTGTGGTGAGCTGTGATCATGCCACTGCACTCCAGCCTGGGCAACAGAGCTGATACTCTGTTTCAAAAAAAAGAAAAAGAAAAAAACAAAACAAAATTTCAGGTCATCAAATTACATCATTAAGAGAATAAGAAGGCAGCTGGGTGTGGTGGTTCACACCTGAAATCCCAGCACTTTGGGAGGCTGAAGTGGGCGGATCATGAGGTCAAGAGTTCAAGACCAGCCTGGCCAACATGGTGAAACCCCATCTCTACTAAAAATACAAAAATTAGCTGGGCGTGGTAGCGGGCACCTGTAGTCCCAGCTACTCGGGAGGCTGAGGAGGAGAATCGCTTGAAACTGGAGGCGGAGGTTGCAGTGAGCTGAGATCATGCCACTTCACTTCAGCCTGAGAGGAAGAGTGAAACTCCATCTCAAAAAAAAAAAAAAAAAAAAAAAAATCTCTGCAAAACAAAATAAGCCAAAATCAGGAAACCTAGTTTTTTAAATTGTCAAAAGACAAACAGGTACTCCAGAAAAGAATATAGCCAAAGAGCCAATAAACATTTTATTTATTTTACCTGGGCTCAAGTGATTCTCCTACCTCAGCCTCTGGAGTAGCTAGGATACAGGCATGCGCCACATGCCCAGCTCATTTTTTTTGTAGAGATGGAGTCTTGCTCTTTCGCCCAGGCTGGAGTGCAGTGGTGCGTCTTGGCTCACTGCAAGCTCTGCCTACCAGGTTCATGCCATTCTCCTGCCTCAGCCTCCTGAGTAGCTGGGACTACAGGCGCCCACCACCATACTTGGCTCATTTTTTTGTATTTTTAGTAGAGATGAGGTTTCACCGTGTTAGCCAGGATGGTCTCGATCTCCTGACCTCGTGATCCGCCCACCTTGGCCTCCCACAGTGCTGGGATTACAGGCGTGAGCCACCGCACCCAGCCTTTTTTTTTTTTTTTTTTTTAGTAGAGACAGGGTTTCACCAAGTTGGCCAGGCTGGTCTCAAACTCCTGACCTCAAGTGATCTGCCTTGGCCTCCCAAAGTTATTAGGATTACAGGCATGGGCCACCACACCCACCCTATTTCATTTTATTTTAAGATAAACTCTACCTCTGTCACCCAGGCTGAAGCACAGTGGCACAATCACAGCTCACTGCAGCCTCAAACTCCTGGGCTCAAGTGATCCTCCTGCCTCAGCCTCCAGAGTAGCTGGAACTACAGATGGGCATCACCATGCCTGGCTAATTTTTAAATTTTTTGTAGAGATGGGATCTTGCTGTGTTGCCCAGGCTGGCCTTGAACTCCTGGCCTCAAGCAATCCTCCTGCCTCACCCTCCACAGTAGTTGGGCTTACAGGTGTGAGCCACTGCACCCAGATCCAAGCAGCATTTTAAAAGATGCACAAAATCACTAGTTATCGGGTAAATGTACGTTAAAACCACAATAAGATGCCACTAAATATCCTCCAGAATGCTTGTCCCTCTTCAAAGAGGCTGTCATTGCTTGATATTGGCAAGAATGTGAAGCAGCTGGAATTGTCATCTGTTGCAAGTGGGAGCATATATTAATGCAAACACTGGAAAGTTGTTTGGTAGTATCTGCTAAAACATATAGTCTATAACCCAGATATCTATAACTAAATATCCGGTGGGAATGACTGCATAGTTCTTCCAAAAGACGTAGACCATAATGTTCATGAGATTTATTCCTATATTAGCTAAAACTGAAAGCAACTCAAGTGTCCATTCATAAAGTGGATAAATAAATTGTGCCAGAGTCATACAATGGAATACTATACAGCAATAAAAAACACCCTATTGCTACATGCAACATGGGTGAATTTCACACACATAGTGCTGAGTAAAAAATATCACACACAGAAAGAGAATGCTCTTATACTCTTATATACCCTTCCTGAGCTACCAAAAAAAGAAAAAAGAAAAAAGAAAACACTCTGAATAATGCCGTTTATATGAGGTTCAAAAACAGGCAGAGGCTGGGTGCAGTGGCTCATGCCTGTAATCCCGGCACTTTGGGAAGCCGAGGCGGGCGGATCACGAGGTCAAGAGATGGAGACCATCCTGGCCAACACGGTGAAACCCTGTCTCTACTAAAAATACAAAAATTAGCTGGGCATGGTGGCACACACCTGTAGTCCCAGCTACCTGGGAGGCTAAGGCAAAAGAATTGCTTGAATCCCAGAGGCGGAGGTTGCAGTGAACCAAGATAATGCCACTGCACTCCAGCCTGGCAACAGATCAAGACTCTATGTCAAAAAACAAACAAAAAAACAAACAAAAACAGGCAGAGTTAATCTTTGCTTTTAGAAGATAGGATCAGATTACTTGTAGGGATTATTGACCGGAAGGAGTCATATTTCTGGAAATATTTTGTATCTTAATCTGGGTGGTTACATAGATATATACATATTCAAAAACTCATTGAGCTGCACACTTAAGACTTTGGCATTTTGCTGTATAAAAATTGAACCATGGCTGGGTGTGGTGGCTCATGCCTGTAATCTCAGTACTTTGGGAGGCCAAGGTAGGCGGATCACTTGAGGTCAGGAGTTCAAAACCAGCCTGGCGATCATGGTGAAACCCCGTCTCTACTAAAAATAAAAAATAAAAAAAAATTAGCTGGGCATGGTGGCAGGTGCCTGTAATCCCAGCTACTTGGGAGGCTGAGGCGGGAGAATCGCTTGAACCTGGGAGGCAAAGGTTGCAGTGAGTTGAGATTGTGCCACTGCACTCCAGCCTGGGCAACAGAGCGAGACTCCATCTCAAAAAAAAAAAAAAAATGAAACCTTAAAAAACCTATCCCCAATCTCACACCCCCTCCAGCCACCACATATTTCTCTCCTCTACTTCATGGCCACAGTTGTCAAAATTTATTTGTATTTGATGTTTACATTTCCTTATAGCCTATGCATGCCTCAATCCACTCTACTCCCTCCAACCCACCAAACAGCTCCCTCTAGGGCTTCCCAATGACTTCGGTGCCACAAAATCTAAGGGACATTTGTCTTCATCTTGCTTGACCTTTGACTTCTCTCAAAATCACTAGACACAGTTCACCGCATCTTTTTTTTTTTTTTTTTTTTTGAGATGGAGTCTCACTCTGTCGCCCAGGCTGGAGTGCAGTGGCACGATCTTGGCTCAATGCAACCTCTGCCTCCTGGGGTTCAAGTGATTCTCCTGCCTCAGCCTCCCGAGTAGCTGGGACTACAGGCACCCGCTACCACACCTAGCTAATTTTTTATTTTTAGTAGAGACGAGGTTTCACCATCTTGACCAGGCTGGTCTTGAGCTCCTCAGCTCAGGTGATCTGCCCACCTCGGCCTCCCAAAGTGCTGGGGTTACAGGCATGAGCCACCACACCTGGCCCTTCTCTTTTAAAACATTCTGTATCCACGCTGACCAATATGGTAGCCAGGAGGGATATGAGGCTCTGCAACACTTGAGATGTGACTAGAACGACCAAGTAAGTGAATTTTACTCAGTATTTTTAAAAGCTCCCCAGATGATTGTAATGTGCAACAAATTTCTACTAAATTAATAGACCTACTGCTCTAGTCATCCACCTGGTACCTTCATCCAGACTTATAACTTCAATTTCCAAACTATACACCAATTTGTAAAACACCCCAGTCATCTTCCTCTCGCTCCACAGCAATATATCCACCTGCCTACTTGGCATCTCCACTTGGGCACCTCAAATTCACCATGCCTGTAACCTGAACTCACGGTCACCTTCCTGTATCCCATCCCCTCCCAGAATTCCCCATTGAAGCTCAGGACCCCACCATTCATCCAGCTTTACAAGCCAGAAACCTAATAGCCCATTCAAGGCTACCATATTTCCTTGTATCTACCTGTATTTTCTCATAAACATCTCTTTAATTCATTTCCTTCTCTCCCACTTACCTTCATTCTAATCCAAGCTTCCATCCGCCTCTTGCCTGACAACTGCAATTGCCTCCTGGCTGCTTTTTTTTTCTTTTTTTTTGAGACAGGGTCTCACTCTGTCACCTAGGCTGGTGTGCAGTGGTGCGATCATAGCTCGCTGCAGCATTGACCTCCTGTTGCTCAAGCAATCCTCCCACCTCAGCCTCCTGAGTAGTTGGGACTACAGGTGTGTGCCATCACGCTCAGCTAATTTTTAATTTTTTTTGCAAAGACAGGATCTTTCTATGTTGCTCGGGCTGGCCTTGAACTCTTGGACTCAAGCAATCCTCCCACCCTAGCCTCCCAATGTGCTGGGATTACAGGCGTGAGCCACTGTGTCCAGCCCTGACCCTTCCCTCTGCTTCCACTCTTGCCCTCTACAGTCTCACAAACGCAATCAGGATGTCCCTATCCTCAAAATGCTTCAGTGTCTCCCTTCCAAATTCTCTTAGAACACTGACAAACAGCCCTACCATCATGTATCCCCTGCTCCCACTTCACCACCCATAACATTTCCCTCCCTCCCTCCATTCCAGCTCCACTGACCTTCAAGTCCCTCATACTCTCTGTGCCCATCCCCAACCCCAGATCTTTGTATACTCTGTTCCATCCGTGTGGAACACTGTTCCCTTCTCTCTTGGCCTTCTCATCCTTCAGGTCTCAGCCCGCCATTTTTTTCACAGGGAAGTTTTCCTGACCAGGTCAGGTCCTCCTATCATGTGATATCACAGCATCATGCCATTCTCATGTGTAGCGTTTATAACAATTTGCAATCATATATAAACAAATATTTTTTTGAAGTCCAAAGTAATAATAAATATACTGTGAGATTATTTTATTACTTTCTTGCCCACTAGACTATAAAGTCCATGAGGGCAGGCATGGCACCTATTTTTTTTTCTTGGCTGCTGTATCCCTGCATCTGGCACATAACTGGTGCTCAATAAATATTTACCGACTATATGAATGAATGAAAAGTTCAATGTAAACGCAGGACTAGCATTAAGGCTGGAACCAAGGGCAGGACCAAGGTCAGGGCTAGGACCACGGACAGTGTCTGGGACTGGAAGTTGGTTAGACACAGCCACCAGGGCTGAGGCAGAATCAGAGGCCAGGCCAGGGAAGATCCTGGCAGGACCAGATGGTACAAGCACTTTGGAAAACTGTTTGACAGAATCTACTAAATGTACTAAAGGTGAACACATGCAAACCCTATGACCCCGCAATTCCACTCCTAGGAATATACCCAACATAGCTCATAATAGCCCCAAACTGGGAACTACTCAAACATTTCACATCAGTAGAATAAATAAATTGTGGTTTATTCACACCGTGGAATAAAATAAAGCAGGAATGAACTATAGTTATATGCAGTAGTGTGATGGATCTTACTAAGATGATGTTGAACAAAAGCCAGACACAGGAAAGAGCATGCTGCACAGTTCTATTTATGTGAAGTTTGAGGAGAGGCAACATTAATCTGTAGTGCTCCAAGTCAGAAGTGTGATACTCTTGAGGGGGTAGTGACTAGTAGGGGCATGGGGGGGGGGGCTTCTGGGGTGCTAAAGGTGTCTTGTTTCTTGATCTGGATGACGGTTACCCAGTTGTATGTGTTTGTGGAGTTTACTGAGGCAGGGATTGGGGAGCACACAGAGACAAGAGGTGGGAGGAAAGGTGGTAGGGGGGTCCCAGGATAAGACAGGAGACAGGGCTATGGCAAACCTGAGTGTGAGGGGGCCAGTCAGGATTCAGCTAGGGTGAAGAGTTGAGGAGAGATGTTGAAAGGTGCCCAGCTCTTCCAGACCAGAGGCTGGGGAAAGGAGGAGGGCAGGGTGGGTGTGGAAATGCTGACCGGTGAGGAGTGGGGGATGTGTCACTGGTAGGCGGAGGTGACTGTGACACACACACACCTCCACCCAACACGCACACATCTTCTGGCTTTCTACTCTTAAACTTTTCTCCTGGATCAGAGAAAAAGGAGTAATTGGGGCTACCAGCCATCACATTCTGCTACCAGCCAGCAAGAGACGGAAAGGGAGCTGAACAGGGACAGAGTGTTTCCACACCAAGAGGCTCCCCACCCAAGAAAGCCCAGGCCGAGAGGCCTGGCATACAGAGAGCTGCCCTTTCCTGTCTCCCCAGCCCTTCTCTCAGCCTGGAGTGTAGCCTTGGGTAAGAGATGGGCTCTGACCGACCCTCAAATCCTGTCACTTTGTGTCTAAGGCCATGCTAATCACTCCCACACCCTGGGAATGCTTGCACAAAGATGTGTACACATGTACACTTACAAATATATTAATGTGTGCTCATCCACAAGTACAAACATACCTGCACAGACACACAAATCCACCCCCAAAACCTGCATCCTTGTAGGTACACATATGGGTGCCCATGCACACACGTGCACACACACCCAATCTCCCCTTCAGGTTTCCTCCACACCTAGTCATTGGGTGATGCCTAAGAAGGCTGATTTCTTGTTGGCTCCGAGGGCAGCTCTGTGAGTGAAAGAACCTGGATGGTGTGAGAGGAACAAAGCAGGAGGCCCTTCCCAGTGGGAAGCAGCGGACACATGGCCTCCACCATACTTCCCCGTACCCCTGGAGGCCTCTGTGAGTTGTCCAGTGCCCCTCCCCAAATAAGTGGATTCCTCATCTTTCCCTGCACAGTGGGGGAAAGCAGAGAGGGTCTTTGCACCAGGAAGGAGTGAAGAGAGCTCACCAGCTTTTCTGGAAAGCTGGTGAGATTGGTCTAGAAGAGCAGAGCAGCCTCCATTGACCACACACCCAGAGGCTCCTTCCCAATCTCCCTCCCTGCCCTGTTGCCACCACCCAGCCCTCCAGCTCCCCATTCCAGCTCCTGGGATAATTCTGCTCTTCTCTCGGTACTGGGCAAGCAAAGAATTGGGTGTCTCTTGTGTCTCCCCTTCACCATTCCCCCTGCCACTATGTCTGGGGTGGTTCTCTGTAGTGTGTGTTTGGAGAGAGATATGGCCTCACCCTCTTGGCACCCTCCCCACAGTTGGAGGGCTGGCAGGGATGGGGGCATCTTCCCAAACTGTGACTCAGCTTCCTGGGTATTTTGTGTTGTAGCCAACTTTGACACTTTGCTCATTAGGGACTGTATAGGTCCCAAGGGGTGGGGAGAGGGGCTGGCTTCCATAAAAGATGTTCCACAGATGGGGGTTCTGGTCCTGCCCCCATGCCTCCCTCTGACCCTCCTGCTACACCCTCAGTTGAATCTGGCAATGAGAGGTGAAGGTAGAAGGATTCTAGGAGTGAGACTAAAAAGGGAATGTGGGGGTCTCAGATATTGGGCTGGAACCAGGTAGGAAGGAGGTGTCAGGGAGGGGTAGGTTGGGGAATCCAGATACCCCTTATTCTGGGGAGCTAATCGGCCTGGGAATGGAAAAATTAAGAGAAAGGATTTCCAGGCCCCAGCTGAAAATGGTTAGGGGTGCAATGAGAGACAGGAAGGCAGTTTCTGGTCCTGCACCTAGTGGCTAGGTCTGGAGTGAGCAAAGGAAGTTTGAGGAATTGAGGTGCTGGGTCCCCAGGGACTTGAAGGCAGGGTCAGGGAAAAGAGGAGGGGCTGGAGATGCGGGAAGCAGGGGCAGGGCAGGCAGCAGCTGTGGTGTTTCCGAGTTGCTTCCCAGTAGTTCCTCTCAGTTCCACTTCCAGTTGTTTCTATGCCATTAAATTCTTTCCAGGCGAGATAAGGGGCCCGCCCTTCCCACCCGGGGCGTGTCACGTGTACTGGTGGTGGGGGGCGGGGGCGGCGAGGTGAGGGAGAGTGCGGGTTCAGACAGACAGAGGCAAGGGGAGCCTGGAAGGGGCACAGAGTGAAGACGGAGCCCCTGTGCCCCCAGAGGCATCTCTCAGCCATCCCAGCCCTGCTGAACCGTGAGTCATGAGTGCAGAGCTCTGGCCAAGAACAAGTTTTAGGATCCTCTCTGCAGGCTCTGTGCACGTCCCAGACCCGAGTCCTGACTGTCCCATTTCAGTATTTCCTAAAGAGATCTCCCAGACCTCCCTCCCTGCAACTCTCACGCTGCCACCTAGGGAGTCCCCATTTGGATGCCCAAAGAAGCACCCTCTGGCACCTCCTGGAGCCTGGAGCCCCCAGAGCCTGGGCTCAGCTGCTCTAGCCCGACATTTGGGATTCCGCAAGCACTTTCCTTCCAAGGTTCAGCTGGCCACCAGTTCAGCCTAGTCCTATCTTCCCGCTAGCCCCAGCACCTCCAGGGCCCAGGGGCTCACCTCACCAATAACCACCTCTACCCTGGTTCCACCATCTGACTCCCGGAGTCCCTCGGTTTGTTCCCAGCCCCTCTCAGTTGTCTGCATCCCATCCAAACCCTGACACATACTGCCCACCCCAACACACACATACCACCCTCTCCTCCCAGACACTCCTTCACAGGGAGCCTGGTTCCCAGCGAATGCTCCTATGTCCTCTGTCCTGAACAGAAGTCCTTGCTCTGGAAGCACTGCTGAGAGCTCACCTGCCACACCTTCACCTGGGGCATGGGGATAGGCGAGAAATCCCTTGCCTCTCCTTCTGGGTCTCCCCAGAACTCTGTTCCTTACCTGGGCAACCGAGCAGCTGCAGTGCCTCTGCACCTGCTCTGTCCCCAACCCCGGGAGGGCGGCGTCTCAGGGCAGGACAGGGAAGTCTCCCTCACTTGTCCCCTGCAACAGGGGCTGAGCCACAACCGACTGTGGATCTCGGCAGCGACAGTGAGGAGGGAGTCTGCAGCGAGCAGGGGAGGAGAAGGGGAGGACCAGGATGAGGTCAGGGAGGGGAGCGGAGATAGGGCAGGTCCTCCCACCCCTCCCAGGCCCTCCCACATGCCACCCCTCCTCTTCTCCTGCCCCCACCCCAGCCCCCACTCCCTGTCTAGCATCACTGTCTCACCATACCCTCATCTCAACCCCCAGCCCCGGTCTTACCTCCCACGTCCTTTCCCTATGCCATTTTTAGCTCACCCTAATTTTTGCCCAACTTGACACCCCCCACCCTTCCTGCCATTTCTTTTTTCCCCACCATTTCTCCACCTGCTGCCCCTCCTCTCTGACCCCAGTGGTTTCCTCTCAGCCTATATCCTTCCTCATGGCCAGCCCCCTTCCCCTCCCTCCCCCATGCTCCTCTCCCATCTCTTCCCAGCCACTGCTCTAGCTTGGATCTCTGGATCGCACCCCATGTCTATCACCCAGTGCTGGCTCCCTCATCCTCTCACCAGTTCTCCCCTGGCAGTCTGGGGCAGGGAGCAGGGGCAGAGGGCAGGAGGCAAGAGGCAACCTCTTTCTCCAACTGGGACCGTCTCTGGGACCCCAAGTCCCCACCCTGCTCCAGTCCCACCATTTCTATCTTCTCGGCTTATCCCGTCCCCGAGCCACTCCTGCTGTCTGTTCTGTTCAGTCCCTCTCCTGTCACTGCCCCCTTTGCATTCTCCTACCTCAGCAAGTCCCTAGAGAAAGAGCAGGTGAGGCTTGGGCACTGGCAGGGCAAGGGCTTGGGTGAACACTGGGACATACAAGCCTTGGGGAGGAAGCTGGGGTTGGGGCGGACAAGGAAGGAAAGCCTGAAGGTTAGGAGGAAGGTTTAGGGTTGAAGAAAGGGCTAGAGACAGGAGGCAAATATAAGGGTGGGTCACCTGAATAGAGGGTGAAGTGGTGGAAAGCAGGGTGGGGGGCTGGTGCCTGGGTGCTGCGGGGGAGCAGGAACAGAGGCGGGGAGAGGTAGGGGCTGGAGGAAACGGACACGCTGTCTCTGGTCCCAGGCAGAAGACTGACAGCCAGAGGACAGGGGGGACAGGGAGACAGACACACCCCACATAAGTCTGTTGGGTGTTTCCCTAGCTTCATCTCCCCATGTGCTGCCCTGACAAGGAGCTGAAAAAGAGACTTTGCTACAGAGGAGAAATATCCCAGCTGAGTGGGAACCCACTACCCCCAGCTTCACAGTGAGGACTGGGTCTCTCTATCCTGCTACAGACCTCACCACTGAGGTGTAACTTGGCCAAGTCACGGGTGAAAGGTACGTGAGGGAGCCCATATGTGCTTGATTCTGCCACATGGGTGACGGCCCAGGTGTCTGCACACCAGGTCAGATCCCCATGGTGGCAGGTGTGTGGTGTTCCTGGGTCAGGGCGTGCCTGCACTGCATGTGGCTGTGGCCAGATGCCCAGTAAGCTCCATGTGGCCGAGGGCAAAGGCACACATGGGCTTTTGCGTGGGTGTCCCCGTGTGTGTCCGTGTGTCTGGGTGTGTGTGGCTGTTTTTTTCCTGGCTTTGATGGGGAGGATGAAGTCAGCATCTTGGACAGAGCCAGGCTCAGCTTCCTTCCTCTGCCTTGGCCTGAAGCCCCCAGAGCCAGCAGTAGGTAGCAGCTTCCCAAGGATCTCCTGGCAGGAGGTGGGGAGCCCTGCAGTGATAGGAAGAGGGAGGGTCTGGAGACAGTATCACACAGAGGGCAGAACACAGGGTATGAATTTCCTCTGACACCTTCAGATTTCTGTTCCATGGTCATATCCTTTAGTGTGTGTGTGCACGCGCGTGTGCCTATGCCCTATGTCCTGGCTTTATTATTTAGGAAGAATGGTCAACATAAGTACATTTGGCACAGAGAGTGGCCAGGGACCTCAGAGAAGACAGCAAGAAGGATGGTCCTGGGATGTTCTGGAAGCCCACTGTTGGGGTCTCAGAGAGAAATGTGGGATTCCAGATGTACACAAGCTTATAAGGCATTTGGGGAAGCCACTGGAAGCTTAGCAGATATAGTTTCAGGTTCTGAAATTATCTTTGTTTACCATTTGATTCACCCTTTGGTTTCCAGGCTCATGGAGAAGCTCATGTCTTGTATGTTCACATCTTGTAAGAAAAGCACCAAGCCTTGCACAGTGTAGGTGACCAATAAATGCAAGTCAACACTGAAATGTGAAAGGACTGGGAGAGAGGAGGGGGAAAGGGTAAGGAGCCCAGGCGTGAAGGCAGGGAAGCCCAGTGGTCAGAGCTGGGGTTGGCTTCACTGAGGTGTCTGGGTGGTGGTGGGTAGAAAGGTCAGTGTTGTCCAGAACTGTCCACAAGCTCCGGCTGTTCTCTGTAACCTCAGTCCCTGTGTCTTCAGCTCTGAGCCTCCCTCCTTGAATGATCCTCCAAGTTCCTGTCCTGACCTCAGGAGGAAAAGGGATGAAAGATAGAGAAAAGGAAAGGAAAGATAGGGAGGAGAGAAGGCAGACACATAAGAGTAAGGGCAATTGAGGGCAAGGACCTGAAGGATGAAGACAGGGGAACAAGAGATGCCAGGGGCTGCGGTCCAAGAAAGCAGTCCCAGAGAGGGGAAAGATAGAAAACACTTGTGCCGGGCTTCCGTTTACAAAACAGTTTCCTACACAGTGCGGGCATTAATCCCACTTTGTGGCTGAGGAAACGGAGGCTCATAGACATTAAGGGTCTTGTTCAAGGGGCTAAGTCAGTAGTGGTGAAGGTGGGTCTCACCCAGGTGTTCTCATTCCTAAGCCTGTATTCGCTCTTCTCCCCAAACAACTCCAGGAAAGGAAAGGATTGAAGACTTAGGGAACAAATGAAGTGGCTTCTTTGAAGCACTTGTACAAAGAAGGGTGGAGAATCCAGATTTTTGAAACTTTTCTGCATCCAGTTATTGTGTAGATTCACTTAGAAGAAATGGCATCAGATGGGGAAGGGGGTGGTCAACATTCCATTATTGAGAACTGGGGGTCGGGTGAGGATGGGGAACACAGAATGTAAAGACAGAGCGCAGGATGAAAGATGGGAGAGAACTAAGAGGCTACAGCTGAAAACGGGGCAAGGGAGCCTCAGAAGGAAGGGTTTGGACCCTTAAAACTTCCTTTGCCTAGAGACATGGGTGTGGGGAGAAGGGAGGAGGAAGGACATTTCTATCTCGTGACAAAAGAAAGTCACACAATTGTTTTGTTCTCTGCTCTGAGGCGGGTGGGCGCCTGTATTTACCAGAGGGACCCAGGTCGCTGTGGCAACCACACATCTGGGCCCCGGAATCCAGATGTGCTGTATCCAGAAGCCATAGCAGAACGATGAGGCAAACATCAGGCTCCCCAGTGCTGGCCCCCACAGCTGGGAAGAGGATGGAGAACTGGTGTGGGAAGTAAAGGGAGTGGGGGAAGGAAGGAGGAGGAGAGGACCAAAGTGGGGGAAAAGAGAGGACATAATGGAAAGGGGCAAGAAATGTGGACGAGGGAGCAGAATGGGAAATAGAAAGGGGGCGGCATGAGAAAGGGAGGAGACAAGCACAGGGTCAGCAGCAGCAGCAGATGAGAAGACCAAGAAAAACAAAGGAAAAAGACAGTGAATTTAAAAATATATATATATTTTTAAATAAGGCCAGCACGGTGGCTCATGCCTGTAATCCTAGCACTTTGGGAGGCCAACATGGGAGGACTGCTTGAGGCCAGGAGTTCAAGACCAGCCTGGGTAACATAGCGAGACCCCACTTCTATTTTTAAATTAAAAAAAAAATTTAAGACAGTGAAGCAGTGGATGGGGTGGGGAAGATACAAAAGAAGAAAAAAACAGTGATGAATAATGGTTCAAAAAGAGGTTGTGATAACTGCTAATGAGGTAGAGAGCAAAGAAAGGCAGGAAAGAAGTCTAGAAAGAGGAAGGGAGGGATGATGAGGTCAGGGATGAGAGAGAACAAAAGGTGGGATCCTGAGGAAGAAATGAAGGAGATGGTGGCACAAGGAAAGCAGAACAGAAAGACAAAGTGGGCATAGGGCAGGAGGGGCCAATGAGGTGCAGGAGTGACAGCGACCTGGCATGCTGAGTGGCCTTGGGGGTGTGGCCAGAGGAATGGAGATCCACATGGGCCTAGAAGGCAGCAGCCCAGAGCCTGCCCGGCTTTCACCCTGCATCAGGTACCCACTCACCGTCCTTCTCAATCCTTCCTGCCACCACAATCCCTCAGCCAAGAGAGGTCTGATGTCTCATCCACACCAAAGTGCCAGCTGTCCCTTGCCAATCAGCAGAGGAGCAGGATGTCCCACCCCAGGGTGACCCCTGAGATGCCAGCACTTCAAGTACTTTCCCGAACTGGGGGCAGGAAGGAGGAAGACAATGGGACAACGAAACAGTAATGAACCCAAATGGGATAAAAGTGGAAGAGAGAAGGACAACAGAGATGGGGACAGAAAGGGGCAAGGGATGAGGAAAAGGTGTATCTATTATGGACCAGGCACTGAGGACGTCGTCTTTCATCCTGTCATCAACCCTGATTAGGAGGTAGGAACATCCCATCTTACAGATAAGCAAACTAAGGCTCAGAATGTTTAAGGACATCTACTAACGAAAGGCAGGGTAGGGAATCCAGCTTAGGTGATGTGCTTCCAAAATCCTTGTTCTCACTGCACCCCCTCCAGAGATACGGTGGATAAGGCTCAAGGACTCTGGGATAGAAAGCATAGCTGAGAAGCTGGGCTGCCCTCTGGAGGGAGGAAAGGTCTAGTTCCTGGGATCCCTGGTTCCAGGTTGCCATAGTTACTTGGTCTGTTTTCACCCCAAACACAGTAATGGGTGAGGGCAGTGGGAGGGGTGTGGGGGTTGCCTGGCTGGACACATGAGGTTCTTCCTCCCTCCTTCAGGCCTGGGCTTATGGCCCAGGCAGCCCCTGTCCAGTCATCTGGGCATTGAGCCCAGGCCCAGCTCACACCCTCCAGCTGACCCAGGACACTCCTGCAGGGTCAGGCCTGAGGCACTGCTGAACAGGAGCAGCTGGAGGGGGATTCTTCCAGGTTGGCCTCAGACTCAATCCCTCACTTTGTCCTGCTCCCCTTCCTCCTAATTAGAATGCACAGCCTAGCCAGGCATGGTGGCTCACACCTGTAATCCCAGCACTTTGGGAGGCCGAAGTGGGCAGCCTGGCCAATATGGTGAAACCCTATCTCTATTAAAAATACAAAAATTAGCCGGGTGTGGTGGCGTGCACCTGTAGTCCCAGCTACTTGAGAGGCTGAGGCAGAAGAATCACTTGAACCCAAGAGGCGGAGGTTGCAGTGAGCCAAGATCGCGCCACTGCACTCCAGCCTGGGTGAGAGAGCAAGACTCCGTCTCAAAAAAAAAAAAAAAATTAAAAACATAAGAATGTACAGCTTTTTCTGCCTGCCCCACTCTTGTCTTTGTCTTTCATCTGGACTCTCAAGTCTCAGTCCCCTCCAGTTTAGGGCTTAGAGGATATCCTGCCACATCCCCCTTCCCTTCCAAATATCACCCCTTCTTCACCGAGACCCCCACTTCCTGGGCTCTGAGCCTCTGGCCCCAGCTCTTGTTGTTTGTTTGAGCTGCTCATCCTGGACAGCAAGAAGAGGGGGAGAACCTGCTCGAGAGCAGGAGACCCAGAGGCTGCTCACCCTGAAGGGCGTGGGGCCCCATCTTTCCTGTTGACTCACATTCCAGGGATGCGTATCCTCTAGTCTGTCACGCCATGAGACATCGTTGCTAGACACAGATATACCCCAGAGTTGCAGGGGTGGGGGCAAGGGGATGACATGCGGTCTGTGATCCCGCACCCACCCCACCTCAGAGCCAGCTATGTCTTCAGTGCTTGATTCTTTGATGCTGGCTCTGGAAAAGCCACTTTCCCCCAAACTCCCCATCACGAGCCAGGAAGGCAGCCACCATTCCTTCAACTCCCTCCAAGTTGTTTATTTAATAATAATAAAAAAGAAATGCACACACATAAACCTGAACTCCCCCCCACCCCACCCTCCCTTACTCCCAGTAACTAGCTCCAAAATGAAAAAACTTCCCTTGTCCCACCTGGGGACTAAATTCCCACCTCCACTGCCATAACACTAGAGAAACAAAATAAAAAATATGCAGCAGCTCACCACCCACCCCACAACTGAACCTCACACAATCCCCTCAAACAAAGAAGCCAGGACTGGGGGTTCACAGGAATGAGAGGAGCCCTATATTCTGAAAAGGGATGAGAAGAGAGGTGAACACCCCCACCTCAAATAAGTGCTTAACCCCCACACCTGCTCTTTCCTTTACCAATTGCCCCAAGCCTGGGGATCAGGGAAATTTGAAACAGTCCCACCTGGCCACCTGGTACCCCCTCCCCCCGTTCTAAGTCAGTGTGAATGGCAGAGGTCAGGGATGATTGAGGTAGAGGGGCTGGTGGGAGGCCTGGTGGGCCTGGCTGGCTGCAGAGACTGGCAAGGGGCCACCTGTGGCATTGCCTGGGGTTGGGGATGGCTGTTTTCGGAGCGAGGGGGGCACTGTGGAGGTCTTGATGTGAATCACCCTGGTGTCCATGACCTCACACTCGATCTGCATCATCTCCTCATAGTCCCCCGGGGCCCCACGGCCTGACAGGGTCTCTGTGAGAAGGGGAGAGTTAAGGAAGAGGAGATGGGGAGGCAAACAGGGATTGCAGGGAGGAGGGGAGGAGGTCAGAAAAGTAGAGGTGAGCAGAGAGAAAAAGAAAGGGCAATAGTGAGGAGGCAGATCCATAGCGGGAGTTAAACAGGATGGCAGGGACAGAGTTTGGTGCAGGGGCAAGGAGAGGGTAGGAAAAGAAAAGGGCATTGAGTGTGGGGTCACACAGGAGAGGACATCAAGAGAAAAAAGTAAGTGAGAGTCTAGCAGGTTCCCGGCCCCCCGCCTCTGCCCAGTCATCTACCCAAGCACCTTCACCAGGGAAGGACCCTCACCCTTGTCTCCCTCCCAAGTCTCCTGCATGGTGCTCTTCCCTCCACCTACTTCCTGCTGCTTCTCACCTGTGGGTCCAGCAGCTCTCTGGATGCCCTGCTCCTCTCCCCCTTCCCCCTCAGCTCCCAGGCTGGATCTCCCTGTTGGAACTGCCCCCATACCCAGCAGGGAAAGAGTTACCATTGGGGGCCATGGCAGGCATCACCAGGGACATCTTGGGCCGGGAGGTCTTGTTGTGGCTGATGGCTGGGAGCAGCAGGTGGTCCTGGGGAACAGATGGGCCAGGCCAGAAGGGTGGAGGCAAAGATGCCAACAAGCTCCCCAGCCCTACTCTACATCCCCCCACTGAAGACAGACTGCTGGGAACCTGGGGTGACAGAGATGGAAGGGCAGGAGAAACTCACCCTTCGGAAAGAGACAACATAAAATGTGTCTTCCCGTCGGTCAATTGCATCCAAGAATGCTGGCTGCGAACGGTCTGGGTGGCGATATAGTTGCAGCTGGCCCACAGAATCCCTAGGCAGGTGGGGAAACAGGATTTGAGGGGAACTAAGCCCAATGCTCAGTTTCTACCAGGGAAGCGGGTAGGATGAGAGAAAAAGACAGGAGACCCCCAGTGGAGGAGGGAGGTATAATCCCACTGGTGACAGTAATGACAGGCACAGGACAGCTACTGGGGGTACAGCTCTTGAAAGTGGAATTTCACTTAATAAGTAAGCACCCCACCCCACACTCACCTTTCTGGGGGTCCAGGGGGTTGGATGGGGACTGCCTTAACTGGAGGTGACTTCTTCCGTGGCTGAGACTTCTGGAAGGAGAAGTATCTAAGGACTTGGAGAGGGTGAAGGGAAAAGGGAAAGAGACAAACAGCCCCTGGAAGCTGATGCCACCTCCCACTCAACCCTCCACTTCCTTCAAACGATCCCTCAAACTTCCACAGCGAGATGCCCACTAGAAATCCCCAGACAAGGCCTTTAGCCCTTGTCTTCAAGTGGCCTTCCTTGAACCAGCCACCCGCCCTACCTGTCTCTCCTGGGCCCTCTGAGGGATCTTCCTCCGGCCTCTCTGGTGGCGCTGGACCCAGCCACTCAACTCGTCAGCAAGCCTGGGGAAATGGAGGAGCTCAGGACCTCCATGCCAGGCCAAGATTCCCACCCTCCTTGCCCACCCACAGGAGTGAGGAGAGGGCAGGGAGCACTGGCGCTTTAGTACACAGGCCAGCCAGGCTGACTGCAGAAGGCCTTGGGAGGCCGGGGGAGCTGGATGCCCCAGCAATGAATCCCACACCTCAGGGACTCAGTGCGGTTGAAGTGCCGGCAATCAGAGGAGAGGAAGAGCTGGTCTAGGTCTCTTAGTAGTAGCTCCTTGGCGCCCCCAGGGAAGGCTGTCAGGTTGCTGGAGTGAAGCAGGAAGGAGACAACACTTGGAGACTGCCCAGCACTCCCACAACAAAGAAGGCGATGACGGCAAGAGAAAGCTTTGGGTCCCCCTCACTGAAAGCGGGGAGAAGACCAACTCATACCCTCAAACGAGAGGGGGCCCTCTCTCTCTCTCCTCACCTGAAACTGGGCTGGTCTGTGGGGCTGGGCTGGGGCTCCTTAGGGCCCTGGGAGGACCCCTGGAGAGGTTCAACTCCCTGAACTGGCTCTTGCTCTGAGAACCCCAGCAAGTGTCTCCGGGGTTGAGGCTCCCCCTTGTTCATCCGAGGAGAGATGGGAGCTGAAGGAGGCTCACTGATGCTGTGGATAAAGAAGGACTGAGCACAATGAAGAATTTCAGCTGTATCAAGTATCTAGGTAAGAATAAAGACTCTGCAGATGGACTGCTTGAGTTGCAATCTGTTATACAAGCCTGAGTCTGCCTCTGTAAGATGGGAATAAGGATGGTCCCTACATACAAAAAAGACAGTGCATCACCTAGAGCCTAGAACTCAGTAAGCACTTAATAGTCACTATTTCTACCAGCATTATCACCATCATCTACTCTCCACTGGAAAAATAATGGAGCAGGAGGCCGGGCGAGGTGGCTCAAGCCTGTAATCCTAGCACTTTGGGAGGCTGAGGTGGGCAGACTGCCTGAGCTCAGGAGTTCGAGACCAGCCTGGGCAACAACAGTGAAACCCTGTCTCTACTAAAAAATACAAAAAATTAGCCGGGCATGGTGGCGTGCGCCTGTAGTCCCAGCTACTTGGGAGGTTGAGGCAGGAGAATCACTTGAACCCAGGAAGCAGAGGTTGCAGTGAGCCGAGATCGTGCCACTGCACTCCAGCCTGGGCAACAGAACAAGGCTCCATCTCCAAGAAAAAAAGACAAATAATGGAGCAGGAAGGGGCTGGCCAGACACATCATCGGTGCCAAGGACACCAGAACCATTTGTATATAAGCAGAAGGAAATGGCCTGGGCCAAAGCAGGCAGCTAGGAGGCTGTAACGTGGGCTCCACCTGGAAGGTTCTAGTGAAGCAAGGAAGGTCTCACCTGACAGGTCCAAAGTTGAAGGCAATGAAGAGAAGGAAGACCATGATGCAGACCACCTTCCTGTTTCCAGACCCTAACTTGAGCTCGCTGTTCTAAGGTACAAAGAAGGAGACAAGAAAAAGGGGAATCATTCCAAGGAGGCTGTATTCCTGTTGGTCTCCCAGGGACAGACTGGTCTTACTTCAGCCAGCAGGGCCTCCAGCCGCCGCCGGAGGGCAGCATTCTCTCGGCGGAGCTGCTGGTTGTCAGCCAGTACTGCTTGCAGCCGAGCCTCCAGTCCCTGCAGATACTCTTTCTTCTTTCTCCGGGACTGGCAGGCTGACTCCCGGTTCTTGATCATTCGCTGCTGCCGCTTCAGCAGCTTTGCCTAGGCACCCGGAAGGTCAAAAAAGAATGACAGATGAGTTGGCAGAAGGAGACTATGCTCTCAAACCCCAAGGAATGATTTACCCAAAGCTCACATGGCCATTCCCCTGCCTTCCTGACCCACCTACATAGCCAGAGAGGTTTTTCCTCTCTACTCAAACACGCTAGGGAAGGGGCCCTTCTTTCAAACATTCCCTGCTACTGCTCCTCAGAGGTGGGAAAGGTTAGAGTGTGGGAAGAACTTTCTCCATGCTGGTGGAAACTCTTTCCTTCGTAACTCTTTCTTCCTGTCAGCCCACATTTGTAGGGTTCAAAGTTTAACCTTGTTATACTGCTTATACAGTTTACCTGATTTTCCCCTAGGAGGCAGCCTCCCTCCCCAACTATGGCCATGACCGTAGTCGTATAGTACAGTACGACTTCCTTGCCTTTAATTTATGGAGACCAACCCCATTTCTCCATCTGCAGTGACAGCAAACCTAAAGGACCCTAAAACTACCTGGAGTTGATATTCATATAGAAACAGGAGTCCATTCTGACCCTCAGAATGATCTAATGGGTCCGTTTCCTCACTTTTTTCTCCTAGGTATCGACTCCCTCCTCATCCCACAGTTCTCTCTATGGCAAGACTTCCCTCTTCCCTTCCCATCACTCGCCCTACTTCTCTCCTCCCCAACACTTACATCCACTTCAGGCGGGCAGGAGTTTCCAGGCATAGGAGCGGGAACGATGCTCTTCCTCTCAGGCCGTGGTAGAGAGGGAGCCGGCCCTTCAGGCTGGACTCGAATAGCACCCTGGATGAGGACAACTGGGGACACTGGGGCAAGTGAGCAGAGGTCAGAGGGCTGTGCGCTGGGTGGGGTCCTTGTGTCCACACCCACACAAGAGCACCCAAGGATTGGGCAGCCTCAATGGCTGCAAGCTCTCTGACAGGGTCAATGCAGCCCGCCTCCTTTTCTCCTTTTTTTCTTTTTTGAGATGCAGTCTTGCTCTGTCGACCAGGCTGGAGTGCAGTGGTGCGATCTCGGCTCACTGCAAGCTCCGCCTCCCGGGTTCACGCCATTCTCCTGCCTCAGCCTCCCCAGCAGCTGGAACTACAGACGCACGCCACCACGCCTGGCTAATTTTTTTGTATTTTTAGTAGAGACGGGGTTTCACTGTGTTAGTCAGGATGGTCTCGATCTCCTGACCTTGTGATCCGCCTGCCTTGGCCTGCCAAAGTGCTGGGATTACAGGCGTGAGCCACTGTGCCTGGCCTTTTTTTTTTAATTAATTAATTAATTTTTATTTTTATTTTTTGGTTTTTCTTTTTTCTTTTTTTTTTTTTTGAGACAAAGTCTCGCTTTGTCGCCCAGGCTGGAGTGCAGTGGCATGATCTCGGCTCACTGCAACCTCCGCCTCCTGGGTTCAAGTGATTCTCCTGCCTCAGCCTCCCGAGGAGCTGGGATTACAGGCGCCTGCCACCACTCCACGCTAATTTTTGTATTTTTAGTAGAGACAAGGTTTCACCACGTTGGCCAGGCTGGTCTTAAACTTCTGACCTCAGGTGATTCGCCCGCCTCAGCCTCCCAAAGTGCTGGGATTACCGGCGTGAGCCACCATGCCCGGCCCTTTTCTCCTTCTTCAGTACCTGGGGGTGGCTGGACGAGGGACTGCAGAAGGACTGTGGTGCTGGGAGGCACAGCTCTGGATGGCATTGGGACAGTGGTTAGCACTACAGGTTTGGGCTGCAGTGGCGGCTTCCGGGTGGGCAGGGCTTTGCCTGAAGGAAGGTGAGAGAAAAGAACAAGAAATGTCAGGACCAAAGGCCTCTCACTAGGGATTCCAAGTGTCAGGAGACTCCATTACCTGAGGAGCCATCAAGGGATGGGCCCATGCTGATCTGGACAGCTCCAAGTGAGGGGGCTGGGACATCCCACAGGAGGCATCCTGAAGGGGACAGGGACTCTGTCTTCACTTCCAGGACCTCCTCTCCTATAAAAGCCTATGTGGGGCATTCCAGAGATACATTAGTCAGGAAGAGTGTCGAGGAGAAGGAGCTGAAGAAGGGAAAGCTCTCATACCTCTAGGTCAGGAGGAACTCACTGGAAAACCTGGAGGAAGGAAGGAAGGTGGTGCTCACCTGGCTGGAGGAGTCGGCTGAGAGCAGGGAGGCCTCAGAGTTGACGGAAGAACATGGAGAGACAGGTTCTATCTTGGTCTGGACATCTGTGGGAGGCAGGATGAGGCAAAAGCTGGATATCATGTAAACACTGAAGGGTTAAGAGGGTTAAGATGGGAGGCTGGGCATGGTGGCTCACGCCTGTAATCTCAGCACTTTGGGAGGCCAAGGCGGGCAGATCACCTGAGGTCAGGAGTTCAAGACCAGCCTGACCAACATGGAGAAACCCCGTCTCTACTAAAAATACAAAATTAGTCGGGCATGGTGGCGCATCCCTGTGTCCCAGATACTCAGGAGGCTGAGGCAGGAGAATCGCTTGAACCTGGGAGGCAAAGGTTGCAGTGAGCCAAGATCGCGCCATTGCACTCCAGCCTGGGCAAGAAGAGCAAAACTCCATCTCAAAAAAATAAAAAAGAGGGTTAAGATGGGGAAATGGGTCCTTTCTCTTTGAACCTGAAAATAAAACTCTTCTGGCCCTAGATTACAGGCCATCCAGGAGGGGCAGTCACAGAGCTGCTCACCTGCTGGCTCTCCGCCCCGCTTTTCGCCTAGTGCTTCCCTTTCTCCTTTAGTGGCTCCTCTGATTTTTCTCATCCCTGCTCCATGTTCCTCAAAGCTGTCTTTGCCCTTCTGCGTTTCCCTCTTTCTTGTTCACAGAACTTGTCTATTCACATAGAATAGGCCTGAGCAGGGGAAGTGGCAGGGGGGTCTCCAGCATTCACATGGCCCAAATTCCTATCTTGCTGGATTTCCACCTTATCCCTGCCCAATGCATCTCCATGCTGACAACCGCCAAGTGTGCATCTCCCCCTGGCTGCTCACCTGCACCAGATTCTGACTTCCAAGCTGCCTGCTGGTCCCTTCCATTCTCATGCCTCACCAGTCACCCAAATCTAACTGGCCATAAATGAGGCTTCCTGATTGCCCCGTCACACAAGTTTTCCTCCCAGGCACCAAACAGCAAAGCCTCAGTCACCTCTGAGCCTCCATGGCCTCCAATAAATCTGCCTTTATGACTTGTTGATCACTCCATGAAAGAAAATGCTAGGCCCCATGTCGGTGAAATAAAACCCTTCTGAGGGCCAGATTCAGCCCACAGGTCAACAGTCCACCACTACCTCTGGTCCATACCGTTCACTTTGGTACTTAATTATATGATCACTAAGATTGCTTTTTAAAACTTCAATTTATATTTTTGAATAGATAATACAGTCATGATACAAATCCAAACGAACAAAGGAAAATTAAGTCAAAAAAAAAATCTTGGCGGGGCACGGTGGCTCACGCCTGTAATCCCAGCACTTTGGGAGGCCGAGGCAGGTGGATCACGAGGTCAGGAGATCGAGACCATCCTGGCTAACACGGTGAAACCCCGTCTCTACTAAAAAAATAGAAAAATTAGCCAGGCGTGGTGGCGGACGCCTGTAGTCCCAGCAACTTGGGAGACTGAGGGAGGAGAATGGCATGAACCCAGGGGGCGGAGCTTGCAGTGAGCCGAGATTGCGCCACTGCACTCCAGCCTGGGTAGAGCGAGACTCTGTCTCAAAAAAAAAAAAAAAAAAAACTTCCCTTCCCGGTCCTCCAGTCACTCAGATTCCCTACACAGAGATAACCACTATCAGAACTATTTAACCATGGCTGGGCATGGTGGCTCACGCCTGTAATCCCAGCACTTTGGGAGGCCGACACCCAACGCAGGTGGATTGCTTGAAGCCAGGAGTTTGACACCAGCCTGAACAACATGGCAAAACCCTGTCTCTACCAAAAATACAAAAAAATAGCCGGACATGGTGGCACGTGCCTGTAGTCCTAGCTATTAGGGGGGCTGAGGCAGGACAATAGCTTAAACCCAGGAAACGGAGGTTGCAGTGAGTGGAGATCACGCCAATGCACTCTAGCCTGGGTGACAGGGCAAAACTCTGTCTCAAAAAAAAAAAAAAAAAAAAAAAAGGGAACTATTTAACCATGATGTATTATAACCCTCACAAAACTCTCCAAAAGCAAGAACTATGTCTCATGTCCATTGAGGGTAAAGTACAGGCCCTCAAAAAATACCTAAGTATGGAGGAGAATCTGACTCTAATAACACTATGCAATGCAAAGCCACCAACAATCCTTACAATCCTTTTGCTGCTAATAGCAGTGGGCGATCTCGGCTCACTGCAAGCTCCGCCTCCCGGGTTCACCCCATTCTCCTGCCTCAGCCTCCCGAGTAGCTGAGACTACAGGTGCCTGCCACCATGCCTGGCTAATTTTTTGTATTTTTAGTAGAGATGGCGCTTCACTGTGTTAGCCCGAATGGTCTTGATCTCCTGACCTCGTGATCTGCCCGCCTTGGCCTCCCAAAGTGCTGGGATTACAGGTGTGAACCACTGTGCCTGGCCTGCTAATGGTATTTCAATCCTTATTTTGTGTATCTTTTTTATAACATGTATTAATCTGCTAGATATAATCTGTTTGTCCCTCCAAATCCACTTTCCATCCCTCCCTGCTGTGCTCCCTGAGATCCAGGGAGAATCTGAATGGACTGCATCAGCGGGCTCCCTGGTTGGAGTTCAGCCAGTGAGAGATGGTGCCAGGAGATCCAGAAGGTACTTTGAAATCAACAATCAACATGTCAACTGGGCATGGTGGCTTACGCCTGTAATCCCAGCACTTTGGGAGCCAAAGTGGGTGGATCACCTGAGGTCGGGAATTCAAGACCAGCCTAACATGAAAGAAGCCCTGTCTCTACTAAAAATACAAAATTAGCCAGGCGTGGTGGAGCATGCCTGTAATCCCAGCTACTCAGGAGGCTGAGGCAGGAGAATCGCTTGAACCCAGGAGGCAGAGATTACAGTGAGCCAAGATCACACCACTATTGCACTCCAGCCTGGGCAACAAGAGTGAAGCTCCATAACAACAACAACAACAGAATCAACATGTCCAACGCTGAATTCATCATCTTCCCTGACCAGAAAGCCCCTGCTTTTGCAGTCTCCATCCAGTGAACAGTAACATCACCCACCCACAGCCATCCTAGCCACAAACCTCTTTGACTCCTACCTCTCTCCAATGTCCAGGAGGTCACAACTCATCTATTCCACTTCATTCTTTCTCAAGTCTGCTTTCTTCATGACATCCGAATATCTTACTTGATCAACTGCATAAGCTTCTTCCTTGGTTCTCTTGCCTCTGGCCCTGCCCCTCTGCAACCCATTCTCTACTTTGCCACTAGAATCATCTTCCTAATCATATTACTTCCCTGCTTAATTCTCCAAAGGCCCCCACCTATCCACAGGATAAAAGCTAAGAGCCCCTTAGCAGGGGCCCCACCTGGCCCTGTAGCCCCTGCAGTTCCACATCACTCCCCAAATCCTTCTTACATCCACTCTGAAGAAATGCAGGGTCCTCAGACACAAGTCAACCCCCACACTGTCCTCCTGGCTAATTTCTACGTGTCCTTTAAAACTCTCAGGAAACCCTTCTTCCAGGGGCACATCCCAGATTCAGCGCCAATGTGGATGAAATGTCCCCTCTTATGAGCTTTCATGGTACCCTCTAGTGATTTTTTTTTTTTTTCCAGACGGAGTCTTGCTCTTTTGCCCAGGATGGAGTGCAGTGGCGTGATCTCGGCTCACTGCAAGCTCCGCCTCCCGGGTTCATGCCATTCTCCTGCCTCAGCCTCCCAAGTAGCTGGGACTACAGGCTAATTTTTTGTATTTTTAGTAGACACGGGGTTTCACCATCTTAGCCAGGATGGTCTCAATCTCCTGACCTCGTGATCCGCCCACCTCGGCCTCCCAAAGTGCTGGGATTACAAGCATGAGCCACCACACCCAGCCCCACCTCTAGTGATTTCTATCCTAGAATGACCACACCTGTATTGACTGGTACTTGTCTTTCTCCCATTACCAAATCACAGGGTTTGAAAGTCAGCATGGTGGTCAGGTCTTGTTCATCTTTGCATTCCCAGCATGCTGCTCAGTATCTGGCATGGAGTAGGTGCTTAATAAATATTTCTTTTTTATAATTATTATACCTCAGATATGATCACATCAATAAACATTTACTAAATACACAGCTACGAGTAAATAAACTTGGGAACACTTTAAAAATAGAACAAATAATGTTAATTGTAGAATCTAGTTTAGTATATGGTGTTCTAGCCTTTCTGTATGTTTAAAAATGTTTATGGGCTGGGCGCGATGGCTCACGCCTGTAATCTCAGCACTTTGGGAGGCGGAGGTAGGCGACTCATGAGGTCAGGAGTTCAAGACCAGCCTGGCCAACATGGTGAAACCCCATCTCTACTAAAAATACAAAAAATTAGCTGGGCGTGGTGGTGGGTGCCTGTAATCCCAGCTACTTGGGAGGCTGAGACAGGAGAATCACTTGAACCTGGGAGGTGGAGGTTGCAGTGAGCTGAGACCACACCACTGCACTTCAGCCCGAGCGACAGTGTGAGACTCTGTCTCAACAACAACAAAAATGTTTATAATAAAATGTTGGGTGGAGGGGAATCACACAGATACATATGCCCTAAACTGCTCACAAGTTTTTAAAAAGTAAGTTGAATGGCATGACAGAATACTAGGAACAAGAAAAAGAGAGAAAAATAATATCCATCTCCTCAGCACTGCCCTTGCTGTGGTTCCCTGAAATGTTTCCTCTCCTTCCTGCCTTCCCTCCTGGTTTTCTGCCATTTCCCCTCCCCACCTTTTTCTCCCTGTCCTGCTGCCTGCACTTCCCCTCCATCTACACACATACACACACACACATAACACATTCTCCCGTAGTAGAGCCAAGGATTGGGGGCAGGCTGTTTTATTACCTGAGGAATCATCAGAGGTGGGGATAACGTTGATCTGGACGGTTTCAAATGAGGATGTTGGGTCATCTCCCAGGAGACACAGTGGGGGTGCCAAGGACTCTGTCTTCACATGGAGCACCTCCCCTACCCCAAGAGCCTGGGTGAGAGTTGGTGTGGGGCAGGGGGCAGAAAGAAGGGCAAAAAACAAGGGAGATGTTGACAGTAAGAGCGAGAACAAAAGCTTTAGAAGTTTAGGGCTTACAAGCCATCAATTATTTGACATTCTGGTCTGAATGGTACTGACCATCTTTCTAACCTGTTCATTCTTTCTACTTTATTTCTGGGAGAATTGATGAAGTCTCATGACTTCAAATATGGCCTCAGAGTGGACAACTTGGGCAAGAACAGTTCCAGAATTCTCAGCAGTCAATAACTCTCTTCTTCCCAGCCCCACATAACTCTTTATATTAAAAAGACCCAAGATCAGGCGTGGTGGCTTATACCTGTAATCCAAGCACTTTGGGATGCCAAGGTGGGAGGATCACTTGAGCCCAGGAGTTTAAGTCCACTCTGGGCAACATAGGAAGACCCCATTTTTACAAACAATAAAAAAAATTAGCCAGACATGGTGGCATGTGTCTGTGGTCCCAACTACTCAGGAGGCTGAGGCAGGAGGATCACCTGAGCTCAGGAGGTCAAGGCTACAGTGAGCTGTGACCCTGTCACTACACTGTAGTTTGGGTGACAGAGGGAGGCCCTATCTCAAAAAAAAGCAAAAAACAAAAAACAAACAAACAAAAAAATCTTCACTGCTAGATAACCAAAGGGGATGTGGAAAATGAAGATATTAAGGAAACGGCAAAGGTAGTGGAGAAGGCCCCCCACACCTCACACACCTCATGACTCATAGCACACAAATCATTTAAATCATTTCTTTGTCACCCACGGGTGAAGGGAATGAAGCAGAGTCCCCGTCACAGAGAGTAAGAGGGATATGGCTCTCTCACCTCGCTGGATGGCTCTGTGGAGAGACGCGATGACTCGGAGCTGAGGGAGGAGGAAGAGCAGGGGGAAGATGGCTCAGACTTCACCTGAAGATCTGGAGGAAAGGGAGTTAGAAATTATCAGGAAGCAGAGCTTAAGAAGAGTCCAAAAAGTACCCAAGGACATGTCGGTGGGGATTCCTGTACCGCAGCAAGGGAGAAGAAACAAAAATAGGGGATTGAAGGAGAGAGGATAGGCACTTATGTAGAAGCGTGAGGATATAGGAAGCTACGTAGTTTCTGGGAAACAGTGGGAAGATGAGGGTTTCTGGAAATCTGAGGGAACGACAAAGACTACCTTACCTGGGAAGATCGGCAGGAGTTCCCATGGGGGCTCAGAGGGGCTGACATCCATCCCCACGTCCAGGGAGCTGCCGTCAAACTAAATAAGGGAGGATACAAGAGGGCAGGAGTGTGAGAAAGGATGAGAAAGTAGGGGTGACTCCAGATGAGTTATGGCCTGTGAATGGGTCCAGGTTCTGGGCTCACTTTCCACCCACCAAGGGTTAGAGAAAGGCTGGGGACACAATACCGGGACATCCTGCTCCGGGCAACGGAAGAGCTGCGTCTGCTCCTCGGCCACTTCATCTAGGCCAGAATACAAGGTGCTGTCTGCAAGAAATGCTGAGCGTCGGGGGGTCGTTCGGTGGCCCCAGCCTACAGATCGCACACAAGCCCCCGCCCCATCCCTCATTGGCTCCGCTCGGCCAGACCCACCGCCCGCCCACTTGAAAAGTGATACAACCAGGGCGCTTCAGCCCCTCCTTCCCCGA
Organism: Homo sapiens; assembly: GCF_000001405.40. Taxonomy (NCBI): domain Eukaryota; kingdom Metazoa; phylum Chordata; class Mammalia; order Primates; family Hominidae; genus Homo; species Homo sapiens. The sequence goes on from NT_113891.3 coordinate 3,566,243, forward strand.
CCCCGGAACAACTCGACGTTCCAGCAGGGAGCAGAGTTCTTCCCTGACTTTTGTATCCCCCTTAATGCACAACGAGCCCCCTGCTCCGCTCTCCTTCAGATGGCGGATTCCGTATTTGCCCAGACTTCCTCTTTAGGCCCCCGCTTCTTTCCCGCGTGCCTCAGGGACAGTTTGCCACAGCCCTCTCCCCTCCCCGGTGCCTCACTCTGCAGACCCCAGTCCTCCGGGCTAAGCAGGTTGTCGGTGAAGAAACGCGTCGGGTCAGCAATCTCGCTGAGCAGCATCAGCTCCGCCATCTTTCCCCCCCACCCCACAACCAGGAGACGGTTCCCAAGGCCCGCCTCTCCCCATCACCAACTAATCAGTTGACTCTTTCAAAAAAGGGGGCGTCCCGGAAGCTCTACCGACCAGTAAGAGACCTGGGTGCTGAGCACGTGAATCAACAGATGCGGATGACTGTGTAGGCGGGCCCAATGGGAGCACAGCAGCAGGAAGTAACTTCCAGACAGTGCCATACCGCCAAGCGCATGCGCCAAACAGGCTCCAGTGATAAAGCGCCTGGGAGATGTAGTACCCAGTATTAAGGTCCACCATCTCCCCCAGCCACTACTAAGTTTAGTTTAGACAGCTTCTATGTGTCCTCGGAGATAGATAAGCCCCTCAAAAGGGGCGCACTGTGACCACTGCTACCTCCCCTAGGAAGCCAAAAGCTGAGAATGGGATATGGGCTGAAACCTTCCCTCTGGCCCCCCACCCCCAAATCTCACAGCACAGACCACAATTCACAAGTTCCTGTCTCTTTTAAGGTTTAACTTTTAATCAGCCAAACATCTTGCGCAGACCCTGAGCCAGCCCTGCATCCTGGTTCTTCCCCTGAATGACCACCTTCCCCAGTTCCTCCTGGGCTGCCCGGTTTTTGGGATCTATCGCCAGCACCTTCTTGAGGTCAGCAGTTGCTTTTTCCAGGTTCCCAAGGGCAGCCTGGGCAACCCCCCTTCGGTATAAGGCCTTTAAATGGCCAGGCTCCCGCTCCAACACCCGGTCACAGCTCTGGGCTGCCAACTGAGGCTGCCCTAGCAACAACTGACAGGCAGCCAGATTGGCATGAAGGACAGTTCGTTCTGGAGGGCCAGGTGGGGGTAAAGTCAGGAGCAGCCGAAGAGCCCGTCCATAGCATCGGGCAGCTCCTTCAGGGTTCCCAGCTCGAAATAGTTCTGTGCCCCTTGCACGTTCTTCCCTGGCCAGGGCTTCCTTCTCGCTAGTCTCCAGCTCCCAGGAGTCTCGGCCTTGAGTGAAGGATGCCAGTGTGAGCCTGACAGGAGGTCCAGAGTGCCCAGGCAGCTGAAGCTCTGCTTCCTCACCTTGACACATGGACTCCAAGCATTTCTCTATGAGCTCCCCCCAAGTTTCCTCCCTCCATGGCCCTACGCCCATAGTTAGCTCTGTCCAGCCCTCTGGCGGCCCTGATCCGAAAGGAAACCCCAAAGCCAGTACCCGGCAGCAGGAGCCTAGTTTGGGTTTGTCCAAGCCATGGCCACGGATTACGATCTTCTTGACAAAGCTCCCATCGGGGCAGTACCAGAGATCAGAAGCTTGAAGGGCCTCTGGCATCTGACTGGTTGATCCATGAGACTTATGAGAGTCTCCTTCAAGTTCAGCAACCAGTTTTTCAGCTCCTTGAGTATGCTCTAGAATTTGGCTGGCTGGATCTGGGCTTACTTCCAGCTCAAGCGTTTCGGTAGGAGGGTCTCGGGGCTGCTGCCTAATCTGAATAACTGAATCAAGGTTCTCCCGAAGGTTCTTTTCCCACTCTTGTTGCGGCTGAGAGGTGTCCTTTTCTCCAATTGTATTGACTGGTGGCGTCTCCATATGGATGCTTAGTCCCTTCCACGGTGAGTGAACAGTTTTGGTCAGAAAGGGATGAACCAGGTTCAGGTCAGCACCTGAAAAGAAAACCAAACAATGCTAATAGCAGGGTTCTTATTTAGACTCCTTTCTCGTCCTTTCCCATTCTTCTGAGACCCAGGCCCCTAGTCCTGAAAGTCCCCAGTTTTGCTTTCCTCCAAAAATCTGCTCCAGCTTCCCCGTTCCACCCACATATAATTTAGAACTATAAATTCCACAATTCCCTGCGGTTAAGGTAGCCGCGCCAACTACGGACACCCGGTCGGGTCAATAAGTACCTGCGCGGCCAAAGTGCCTAGCATGGTGACAGGAGGAGCCGGGCCATTCGAATCACCTCTCCTTCCAAAGCTAAATGGCTACTGAATGCTGCCCTCGGAGCCTTGCCCCACGCGGAGAGGGCAGCCGGAGAGGGGCGCGGTGCGGGAGGCGGGGGTAGGGGGCGGAACAACTGGGAAAGATACTGACAACTAACCCTGGAGCCCGCGAGACTCCGAATCTAGTCAAATTCCTGGCAGCCAATCGGGAGAAGGGAGGAATCTGGTTAGCCCGCCTATTGAACGTGACATCATTTCCTCCGCAACCATGAAGCTCCAGGCCTTAGCAACTGAACTAGGCCAGAGCAACCGAACTAGGCAGAATCGAACAGAATTTGGCGCGGTCGGGCTGGCCAGGCTGCTCAAGAGTCAAAGTGGGCCAACATGGTGAGACCCTGTCTCTACTAAAAATACAAAAATTAGTAGGTCATGGTGGCGCGCGCCTGTAATCCCAACTACTCGGAAGGCTGAAACAGGAGAATCGCTTGAACCCGGGAGACAGACGTTGCAGTGAGCCGAGATCACACCATTGCACTCCAGCCTGGGCGACAGAGCGAGACTAGAGACTCCGTCTCAAACAAAAAAAAAAAAAAAAAAAAAAAAAAAAAAGGTGGGCCGGGCGCGGTGGCTCACGCCTGTAATCCCAGCACTTTGGGAGGTTGAGGTCAGGAGTTCAAGACCAGCCTGGCCAACATGGTGAAACCCCGTCTCTACTAAAAATGCAAAAATAGCTCGGCGTGATGGCGGGCGCCTATATCCCAGCTACCCAGGAGGCTGAGGCAGGAGAATGGCTTACCTGGGAAGCGGAGGTTGCAGTGAGCCGAGATCGCGCCATTGCACTCCAGCTTTGGCAACTGAGACTCTGGGAGGCTGAGGTGGGCGGATCACGAGGTCAGGTGATCGAGACCATCCTGGCAACATGGTGAAATCTCGTCTCTACTAAAAATACAAAAAGTTAGCTGGGCATGGTGGCGTGTGCCTGTAATCCCAGCTACTTGGGAGGCTGAGGTGGGAGAATCGCTTGAACCAGGGAGTCGGAGGTTGCAGTGAGCCGAGATGGTGCCACTGCAATCCAGCCTGGCGACAGAGCAAGATTCCCGCCTCAAAAATAAATAAATAAATAAATAAAAAGCCGGGCATCGCGCACGCCTGTAATCCCAGCAATTTGGGAGGCCGAGGCGGCGGGGGGGGGCGGGGCGGGGGGGAGGGGGCGGGGCGGCGGGGGGATCACTTGAGGTCAGGGGTTCGAGACCAGCCTGGACAACATGGTGAAACCCCGTCTCTACTAAAAATACAAAAAATTAGCTGGGCGTGGTGGCGGGCACCTATAGTCCCAGCTACCCGGGAGGCTGAGGCAGGAGAATGGCATGAACCCGGAAGGCGGAGCTTGCGGTGAGCCAAGATCGTGCCACTGCGCTCCAGCCTGGGCGACAGCGCAAGACTCCGTCTCAAACAAACAAACAAACAAACAAAAAGTCAAAGTGTAGAGAAGTCCTGGAATGGAGACTGGGGGCGGATGACAATAGAGTGGAGAATGGCAGAGGTCGTGGTAAATGATAGTGGCAGCAGCCTTTTATCTGGAGACTTCAGGCCCTCCTATGCTAACTATCTTTATGTTCAGAGCTCATTCAGTACAGGGTGTTCTCCAGGATAAAACCTCGGGACTCTCTCTCCAACCGGCCCTGTCCCTTGGGTGACTACCTGAGGCTTCTCTTTACCTTTCCTTTCACATCCATCATTGCCTTTCAAGTCCTCCTTCATCAAGAAATCTTAGTGCTTTTCAAACATAAGTGTGCATACATATCACCTAGGGAACTTGTTAAGTTGCAGATTATGATTTAGGAAGTCTGTTGTGGGGCCTGTGATTCTGCATTTCAATAAGCTGGTTAATGCAGATGCTGCTGGTTCATAAACCGTATGTTTTTCTTTTTTTTTTTTTTTTTTTAGAGAGATGGGGTCTGCTGTGTTTACCAGGCTGGTCTCAAACTCCTGGCCTCAAGCCATCATCCCATCTCAGCCTCCCAAAGTGCTGGGATTATAGGTGTGAGCCACCACACCCAGCAATGAACCAATGGGATGAGATTCTAGAACAGTCTCATCCCATTGTCTTCTCCCCTGGCTCTGTGCCCCTTTAGTTTATCCTACATTTTACATGTATAACTGGTGTGACCTGCTCCACTGGATGTTGCAGGTTCTCCTCCTAATAGAAGATGTAGAGACCTATTGTGATTCAGTCTTGCTTGTCCAGCTACCTACACAGCCTGGGCTACCACAGTTCTCCAGGAAAGAAGGATCCCTCTCTTGAGTACCTCACTTTGGCTCCCTCTTAAGTTTGCTCTCACCATTGTGCCTCAGACTATAAAAACCATGCCAGGACAGCCAGGAAGGGAGACGGTTTCATCATTAGCCAAAGACTTGTGTCAAAACAATTCTCTCCCTGGTTTTGTTTGTTTGTTTTTGTTTTTTTGTTTTTTGTTTTTTTTGAGACGGAGTATCACTCTGTCACGCAGGCTGGAGTGCACTGGCGAGATCTCGGCTCATTACAACCTCTGCCTCCCAGGTTCAAGCGATTATCCTGCCTCAGCCTCCCAAGTAGCGGGGATGACAGGCACCTGCCACCATGCCTGGCTAATTTTTGTATTTTTAGTGAAGATGGGGTTTCACATGTCAGCCAGGCTGGTCTCAAACTCCCGACCAGAAGTGATCTGCCCACCTCGGCTTCCCAAAGTGTTGGGATTACAGGCGTGAGCCACGGCGCCAAGGCAGGCGGATCACTTTAGGTCAGGAGTTTGAGACCAGCCTGGCCAACATGGTGAAACCCCGTCTCTACTAAAAATACAAAAATTAGCTGGTGTGGCGCATGCCTGTAGTCCCAGCTACTCAGGAGACTGAGGCAGGAGAATCGCTTGAACCTGGGAGGCGGAGGTTGCAGTGAGCTGAGATCGCGCCACTGCACGGAGGCCGAGGCGAGCGGATCACAAGGTCAATATGGTGAAACTCCGTCTCTATTAAAAATTCAAAAATTAGCCTGGCGTGGTGGCACACGCCTATAGTCCCAGCTACTTGGGAGGCTGAGACAGAAGAATCGCTTGAACCCAGGAGGCGGAGGTTGCAGTGAGCCAAGATCACACCATTGCACTCCAGCCTGGGCGACACAGCAAGACTGTCTCAAAAAATAAATAAATAAATAAACACAAATACAAATATAGGCATTGAAACCCCTAAAAAAAACCTAATCCAAATCATCATGTATGAAAATATTTCTCTTTTTAAAAATATGGCCCATCAAGAGGTAAGCACAAACTTAAAGTTTTAGAAGAGTTCCCCAGAGAAGATAGCCATGGACCTGTAGATTCCCCCTAGTCTTAACTTGAGAAACACAGGACTAGGAAGGGACCAACAACCTGTGAAGATTCAGAAATAGGAAAGAGTGGCCAGGCGCAGTGGCTCATGCCTGTCATCCCAGCACTTTGGGAGGCCAAGGTGGGTGGATCACTCGAGGTCAGGAGTTTGAGACCAGTCGGGCCAACATGGTGAAACCCCGTCTTTACTAAAAATACAAAAATTAGGCTGGTGTGGAGGTGTGTGCCTGTAGTCTCAGCTACTTAGGAGGCTGAGGCAGGAGAATCGCTTGAACCCGGGAGGCAGAGGTTGCAGTGAGCCGAGATCACACCACTGCACTTCAGCCTGGCGACAAAGTCGCCTTATCCAATTTCCTTTCCTTTCCTGAGGTAGAAAGGAATTTGAGAAATTCTGTCTCAAAATAATAATTTGTAAAAAAAGAAATAAGAAAGAGTATAGGCTCTCCCCCAAAGTGTAGATACTACATGCTTGTTGACTGACTCACACTATCTCCCTCAAGTCTAATTGTGCCAGAGCTCAGCTCTTTGGAGGCAGTCATCAAGGAATCAAGACGAAAGAGAGCCACAAACCAGGAAGATTATATCCTTAAGCCTGGCTAGAGAACAAGACATTTGAGAAAGATACATAAAGAGGATGACAAGTGAAATTTGCTTATCTGTTGGGATAGATGCTTGGACTGGAAAGTGGGGAAACAGCAATGTCTCTCTCCTCTCCCTTTCCCCTAAAGATTTGAGAATGAAATGGAAGATGAGCAGGCATGAGAGGAAGAGATGAAAAGGAATCTTCTTCCCCAAGGGACTGGATCCAGTCTCTTCTTGTCACTACAAATTGTCCTCTGCTCCCTCTCTTCCTTTGGTGTTGCAGGGACCAACATCACCAATACCTCCAGAAATCGTGTGAATGCAAATGGGACATACTTACCCCGTCTTGCTACACAGAAACCTCTCGAAAAGTGAGACTCTGGGTTAAGAAGGTCAAAGAGGGCCAGGTGCAGTGGCTCACGCCTGTAATCCCAGCACTTTGGGAGGCCAAGGCGGGCAGATCACATGAGGTCAGGAGTTCGAGACCAGCCTGGTCAACATTGTAAAACCCCATCTCTACTAATAAAATATAAAAATTAGCCAGGTGTGGTAGCGGGCGCCTGTAATCCCAGCTACTTGGGAGGCTGAGGCAGGAGAATCGCTTGAACCTGGGAGGCAGAGGTTGCAGTGAGCCAGGATCACACCATTGCACTCCAACCTGGGCAATAGTGTGAAACTCCGTCTCAAAAAAAAAAAAAAAGGTCAAAGAGACATCTAGGAGAATGCAAGAACTTGGGAGGAGGGCAATAATTCTGCTCTCTATGATTGCAGAATGTTAACTCCATTTTGGAACAATTCTCCACTCCTTTAAGTGAAGAAAATTGGACTGAGGGAAACCATATTTGACAAGTTTCTGGGGATTTACCTGCAAATATATTTACATCTTACCTGGAGTCACTTCCCTCCTTCCTTTTTTCTGGGTCCTCCCCTTCTAAGATGGCTCAGAGAAACTGGCCATACTCTGTTATTCTCCTTGTTCTATCCCAGAAGGGCATTGTTTGCCTTCATTCAAGACCTAACCTGAAGCCTGGGCAACATAGAGACCCTGCCTCTACAAAATAAAAATTAGCTAGGCAGGGTGGTGCACCTGTAGTCCTAGCTATTCAGGAGGCTAAGGCGGAAGGATTACTTGAGCCCAGGAGTTGAGACTGCAGTGAGCTAGGATCACACCACTGTACCCCAGCCTGGGCAACAGAGTGAGACCCTGTCTTTTAAAAAAAAAAAAAAAAAAAAAAAAAAAAAAAGAGTTAACCTGAGGCAGAACCCAAGGAGAGGTTCAGGAGCTGGCTTGAGGTAGTTTGCCAGCTAGTGGTTGTTTCATCTTGTTCCTGCACACAGAGCATATGATGCTTGCCCTCTAAATGGATGAAGTAGAATTTTTTTCTTATTCATTCAGTAGCCCTTATTGAATACCCAGAATTTGCCAGTGAAATATGGAGACAAATACGGAGAATCCCCACCAGTAATCTAATGAGAGTGAAAAGTCAGATTAGCCAATGCTCCAGATGCAAAGGAAAAAGTGATAAGTGGCAGGGGAGTTATTTTCAACTGGGGTTGATCTGAAAATACCTCATGGATGGCTTCAGAGAGTTGAGACTTGAAAGAGGGCCGCAAATTTGATATGCAGAAATGGAAGAGACTGCCGGGCACGGTGGCTCATGCCTGTAATCCCAGCACTTTGGGAGGCTGAGGCGGGTGGATCACAAGGTCAAGAGATCGAGACTATCCTGGCTAACATGGTGAAACCCCGTCTCTACTAAAAATACAAAAATTATCTGGGCGTGGTCGCATGTGCCTGTAGTCCCAGCTACTTGGGAGGTTGAGGCAGGAGAATCGCTTGAACCCAGGGGGCGGAGGTTGCAGTGAGCCAAGATGGCGCCACTACACTCCAGCATGACGCCAGCGCAAGACTCCATCTCAAAAAACAAAACAAAACAAAACAAAACAGAAAAAAAGAAAAAGAAAAAGAAATGGAAGAGATTTATTGCAGGTGGAAGAAGCAGCACAAGGTAGGAGAAGTAAGGAAAGCCACTTAACACCCAGGATTATTCCTCTCCAGTCTGTGAGTCTCAGTTTTCCCAGGCTATTCCAATACTCCTTTGTGCTGCCCTGTCACCAGGCATTGAGCTGGTTGGAAGTTTTTACACTCTCACATTCCCCTGCGTTCTATACTCACCACATGGAACCATATGCTGCACTTATTCTCTTCCATTTATTATCTGCATGAGAGACAAAAATTCTAGCTTTCCAAAAGCTAAATAAATTTCCCCTTCTGTTTAGCTTTGGTGGTTTCTGTGGCTTTTAGTTTTGCTGGGATTTGTGTCAAAATCGTTCCTCCCTCCTTTTTGGTCCCAAAGCATTTTGCTGTGCTTCCCTTATAGTCAGGGTTTTCAAGCAGGAGGGAGGCAGCCTTTTTGGCAGTGAAGTGTTTAATGATAACAGCTTCACCTTACTAAACGCTGGCCATGCATTATGACCGTAATACTCAGCATTGTTCTAAATGTCTTGTATATATTAGCTATTTTTCTCTCACACAACTCTATGAACTACTTATTCATTCAGTGATTCAAAGAATTTTGTTTGTTTGGTTGGTTGGTTTTTGTTCTTGTTGCTGTTTTGAGATGACGTCTCGCTCTGTCACCCAGGCTGGAGTGCAGTAGCGTGATCTCGGCTCACTGCAACCTACGCCTCCTGGGTTCAAGTGATTCTCCTGCCTCAGCCTCCTGAGTAGCTGGGACTACAGGTGTGCACCCCCACGCCCGGCTAACTTTTGTATTTTTTTTAGTAGGGACAGGGTTTCACCATGTTGGTCAGGCTGGTCTCGGATTTGTGACCTCACGATCCGCCCACCTCAGCCTCCCAAAGTGCTGGGATTACAGGCGTGAGCCACTGCGCCCAGCCAAGAAATCTTTACTGAGGGCCTCCTTTGTACCAAGCACTGTGCTACATGCTGGGAATAAGGCAGTGGAAAAAGCCTTGGATCTCTGGTAACTTACATTGAATTGAAGATGACAGACGATAAAAAAATCAATAAAATTTAATACAATGTCAGGCACTAACAAGTGCTATGAACACCATGAAGCAGGGTGAGGGGTAAGGGAATGGGATAGAAAGTGCTCCCAGGTATGCATGGTGCTATATTTATTGATGATGATGATTATTATTATTTATAGAGTCTTGCTCTGTTGCCCAAGCTGGAGTGCAGTAGTGTGGTCATGGCTCACCGCAGCCTTGACCTCCTGGGCTTAAGTGATCCTCCCACCGCAGCCTCATGAGTAGCTGGGACTGCAGGTTCATGCCACCATGTCTGGCTAATTTTTTTTTTTTTTTTTAGAGACGAGGTTTCACTATGTTGCCTGGGCTGGTCTCAATCTCCAGGCCTCAAGCAATCCTCCTGCCTCTGCCTCCCAAAGTGCTGAGATTATAAGCAAGAGCCACTGTGCCTGGCCATGGTACTATATTTAATCAAGTGATGAGGGAAAGCCTCCTTGTGGAGGTGATGTTTGTGCAGATATAAATGACATAAAGGAGCAGTCATGCAAGTATCTGGAGGGAGAGTGTCCAGGAAAAGAAAAAGAGAGTGCAAAGGCCCTGAGGTAGAAAGGAATTGGATTTTTATGTTAAATTCAGAAAGGAGGTCAGAGTGAGTGGAGCAGAGTGAGCAAGGGAAAGAGTGGTAAGGGATGAAGACAGAGAGGTGGGGAGAAACAAGGCCAGGTAGGCTTCATAGGCCATGGGAAGGACTTTTTATTTTGTCCCACATGTGATCAGGAGGCATCAGAGGGTTTTGAGCAGGTAAATGATATCATCTGGTAATTTTAAAGATCACTCTGGTTTCTTCATAGAGGGTAGGCCACATCAGTAAAAAATAGAAGCAGAAAATCCAATTAAGGGACAAAGGAAGGGACAATGGAATCATGGGAGCTTGGATTAGGGTAGAGGAGAGGGCCAAGAATAGAGTCCAGAGGCTCTCTAATATTTAAAGGTCTGGAAAAGGAATAGGAGCTGTCAGTGAAGACTGAGAAGGAGCAGTAAATAAGGAACTAGGGAATGCTTTCTTTCTTTTTTGTTTTTGAGACAGCCTGTTGCCTAGGCTGGAGTGCAGTGGGGTTACCATGGCTCACTGCATCCTCGACTTCCCAGGTTCAAGTGATCCTCCTACCTCATCCTCCCAAATAGCTGGGACCACAGGTGTGTGCCATTATGCCCAGATAATTTTTTAATTTTTTGTAGAGATGGGGACTCCTTATGTTGTCCAGGCTGGTCTCAAACTCCTGAACTCAAGTGATCCATCTGCCTCAGCCTCCCAAAGTGCTGGGATTACAGATATGAACCACTGCACCTGGCAGGATAATTTTTTTCTTCTTTCTTTTCTTTTTTTTCCCCCACAATTTTAAACCCAAGCAGTACACCTGGTTGGTTGTTACATGATTACATTGCATCCTGGTGGGGATTGGGCTTCTAGTGGTGTACCTGTTACCCAAATAGTGAACATTGTACCCAATAGGTAAATTTTTTTTTTTTTTTGAGATGGAGCCTCACTCTGTTGCCCAGGCTGGAGTGCAGTGGCGCTATCTCTGCTCACTGCAACCTCCTCCTCGCCCCAGGTTCAAGTGATTCTCCTGCCTCAGCCTCCTGAGTAGCTGCAATTACAGGCTCACGCCACCATGTCAGGCTAATTTTCATGTTTTTAGTAGAGACGGGGTTTTGCCGTGTTGGCCAGGCTGGTCTCGAACTCCTGACCTCAGGTGATCTGCCCGCCTCTGTCTCCCAAAGTGCTGGGATTACAGGCGTGAGCCACTGTGCCCGACTTTTTTTTTTTTTTTTTTTTCCCGTGATGGGGTCTCACTCTGTAACCCAGGCTGGAGTGCAGTGGTGTGACTCCAGCTCACTGCAACCTCTGCCTCCCTGGTTCAAGTGATCCTCCCACTTCAGATTCCCAAGTAGCTGGGACCACAGGCACATACCACTATGCCCAGCTAATTTTTTGTGTTTTTGGTAGAGACTAGGCTTGTCTCGAACTGCTGAGCTCGAGTGATCCACCTGCCTCGGCCTCCCAAAGTGCTGGGATTACAGGCATGAGCCGTCACACCCAGCCAAATATTTGGTTTTCTATGTTTGAGTTAGTTCACTTAGGATAATGGCCTCCAGCTTCATCCACGTTGTTGCAAAGGACATGATTTCATTTTTTTTTTTTTTTTTTTTTGAGATGGAGTTTTTCTCTTGTCGCTCAGGCTGGAATGCAATGGCATGATCTTGGCTCACTGCAACCTCCGCCTCCCAGGTTCAAGCGATTCTCCTGCCTCAGCCTCCTGAGTAGCTGGGATTACAGGCACGTGCTACCATGCCTGGCTAATTTTGATATTTTTAGTAGAGACGGGGTTTCACCACATTGGCCAGGCTGGTCTCAAACTCCTGACCTCAGGTGATCTGCCCACCTCGGCCTCCCAAAGTGGTGGGATAACAGGCGTGAGCCACCGCGACCGGCCAATTTCATTCTTTACTATGGCTGTGAAATAATTATTTATTGTGTCCTCCAGTTGCAAGGAGTTTAACAGCATGCCTGGCCGCTGCTCACTAGACGCTAGGAGCACCTCCTCAGTTGTGATAACTGAAACAACTCTAGACATTGCCAAATGTTCCTGGGGGTGGGATGGGAGGATCACCCACTCTTGAAAACCACTGGTCAAGATGTCCCACAGGAGATACTTGGCAAGACAATGCACAGGTCAGACCCCCATGACAAAGAACTATCTGACCCAAAATGTCAATAATCCCTGAAACTGAGAAACCCTAGTTTAGACTCTAGTTGAGAACTTATTCCTGGAACTAAGCCAGGTTTGGCTGTGTTTTCTCGTGGCCCAATAACGAGAAGCAGACAAACTAGGAAAGAAGGGAATTTGTTGCTGTCACCGGATACAGGGAAAGGGTCGGAGATAATTCCACCAGACCAACTCAAAGTGTTACAATTTTCTTTTTTTCTTTTTTTTGAGACGGAGTCTCACTCTGTCGCCAGGCTAGAGTGTAGTGGTGCGATCTTGGCTCACCACAACCTCCGACTCCTGGGTTTAAATGATTCTCCTGCCTCAGGCTCCCGAGTAGCTGGGACTACAGACGCGTGCCACCACGCCCAGCTAATTTTTGTATTTTTAGTAGAGACAGGGTTTCACCATGTTGGCCAGGATGGTCTCGATCTCTTGACCTTGTGATCCACCCACCTCGGCCTCCCAAAGTGCTAGAATTACAGGTGTGAGCCACCACACCCGGCCAGTGTTACTATTTTCTTAGTGTTTATACAGGTTTAGGTTATATGCCTACATGCAGTATGGCATTCACCAAAGTCTATCAGTAACTAATTTTGTTTCAACTAGAGGGTCAGAGGCAAAAAAATTCTTGCTAAGTCTGATTAAGCTGTGAGGGCCCCAGTACCTTCAAGGCCTGTTTACTGTGGTACCAGAGTGATTATTTCTATCTTATCTCCTTTACAGCTTGGTGCGGAGAGCTGCCTTAGATTCTCCAATGAATCTATTCAAACAGCTGCCTCTGTTACCTTGACTTGTCTCAGATATCGTCGACCCGAGACGAGTCCTGGCACTAGGAATGTAAGGCTGTCTCTGTTATTTTGACTTGCTCCAGCAAGGGAGAAGCCCATGCAAGGCTCTTACTCACCATGTGTTTCATTTCTAGCTTTGATGTCTGTACACCAATTCCCCTAGGTTTAACTATTTGCTCAATGTTAAGGCAATGCTGTGGAAATCTGTCTGTGTAACTGGGGTGCTATGCAGGCCTGTCTGTGTGACTGTCAGGGAGAATTGGCCTGCCACAAACTGACCCTTGACCATTGGGTTTAGAAACTTGGAGGTCATTTGTGACTCTGACATGTGGTTTAAGTAAAGTGGTGGGGATGAGAGCCTGATTGAGAGAAATTCAAGAGTGAATGAGAGGTGAGAAAGTAGAGGCAGTGAGAAGTTTTGTTAAGTGGAGAGAGAAGTGGAACACTGAGGGAGTGAGCTGGGTCAGGGAAGAGTTTTTAAATTTAAAAATAAATGCATTATTTTATACATATAAAATTATAATTTATATGCATAAATATATATGTATTACAAAGAATAATTTTGTGAACATCAGGCAGCTTATGAAGTAAAATCTTCCCATCAGGGCAAGGTGGCTCACACCTGTAATCCCAGCACTTTGGGAGGCTGAGGTGGGCGGATCACCTGAGGTCAGGAGTTGGAGACCAGCCTGGCTAACATGGTGAAATCCTGTCTCTACTAAAACATTAGCCAGGTGTGGTGGTGCGTGCCTATAATCCCAGCTACTTGGGAGGCTGAGGCAGGAGAATCGCTTGAACCCGGGAGGCGGAGGTTGCAGTGAGCTGAGATCGTGCCATTGCACTCCAGCCTGGGTGACAGAGGGAGACTCCATCTCAAAAAAAAAAAAAAAAAAAAAAGAAAGCAAAAACAAGAGGTAAAATCTTCCCCAGTATAGTTAAGGCTCCCTGAATTTCCCTTTCCAGATTGCTTTTCTGCCAAAGGGTAAGCACCATTCTCTGAATGTTGTGCTTTTACTACCTAGGTGAGTAGCGAAACAGTTTTTTTCTTTCTTTTCAGAGATGAAGTATAATTTTATAGCATGTTTGCATAATGATGGGAGTGTTGCAGTACAGAGGGGTAAACTGATTAAGTGAGAGAGAGAGAGATAGGGGATAATTTCAGGAATAACATCTCTGAGCAGGTGAGAGGGAACAGGATCCCGGGGTACAGATGAGGTGGCAGGTGGGTGCATGTCAGCTTCTCTGCGGTAGAGTTGCAGGTAGACTGGTGAATTTGGGGTGGGAACATGAGGAAGTTCCCTTCTGAAAGTTTCTGTTTTCTCACTGAAATAGGAAGAAAAGTCATCATCTTGTGAAGTTGTGGTCTCAGATTTGGGGAATGTGAACTGAGTAGGGAAAGGCGAGCTGGCATGCCACACTGAGGGCCCGCAGGAAGCAAGACCAGTCAGTATGACTGTGTGTTTCTCCCCAGCTGTTGAATGCAGGTGTGGAGCAGGCAGAGTGGGATTTGACCAGGGATAAAATGTGCCAGAGGAAGGGGGGCCAGGAGTACAGGGTGAGGGCTGAGAGGCGATTACCGTGTTGAACCTTGGAATCTAAACTGGGTAATGAGGAAAGTGAAGAATTGAGATCAAACAATGAAAAGTAAGTTAGTGGATGGGAGGCCCAGATGGGGTTGAAGAATTTTTGGGATAGGGGTACTGGGGAGCAACATGAAAAGACTGAGGATGAGATTTTAGAAGGGCAGTAGGTATTGGTGGCAACCAAGTTGAAGGTATGACATAGGGCGAGAGGGAAGCAGGGAGAAATAAATCACTGCAAGAGAAGGGCAGGGTGCTAGAGAATCTGCATGAACATTGAAAACAAAAATAATAAAACGGGGCCAGGCACTGTAGCTCATGCCTATAATCCCGGCACTTTGGGAGGCTGAGGCAGGCAGATTGTGTGAATTCAGGAGTTCGAGACTGTCCTGGGCAACACAGTGTGACCTCATCTCTATTAAATATCAAAGGCCAGAGGCCAGGCGCAGTGGTTTATGCCTGTAATCCCAGCACTTTGGAAGGCCGAGGCGGGTGGATCACGAGGTCAAGAGTTTGAGACCAGCCTGACCAATATGGTGAAACCCCATTTCTACTAAAAATACAAAAAATTAGCCGGGCATGGTGGCACACGCCGGTAATCCCAGCTACTCAGGAGGCTGAGGCAGGAGAATCGCTTGAACCTGGGAGGCAGAGGTTGCAGTGAGCTGAGATGGCACCATTGCACTCCAGCTTGGGCAACAAGAGCAAAATTCCGTCCAAAAAAAACAAAAACAAACGAACAAAAAAACAGGCCAGGGGCGGTGCCTCAAGCCTGTAATCCTAGCACTTTGGGAGGGTGAGGAGGGCGGATCACCAGGTCAGGAGATTGAGACCATCCTGGCTAACACGGTGAAACCCCGTCTCTACTAAAAATACAAAAACAAAATTAACTGGGCATGGTGGCGGGTGCCTGTAGTCCCAGCTACTTGGGAGGCTGAGGTGGGAGGCGGGAGAATGGCATGAACCCGGGAGGCAGAGCTTGCAGTGAGCCGAGATCGCACCACTGCACTCCAGGCTAGGCGACAGGGTGAGACTCTGTCTCAAAAAAAAAAAAAAAAAAACCCAAAATTTATCCGGGCGTGGTGGCAGGCGCCTGTAATCCTAGCTACTCAGAGGCTGAGGCAGAGAATTGCTTGAATCCAGGAGGCAAGGTTGCAGTGAGCTGAGATTGTGCCACTGCACTCCAGTCTGGGCGACAGAGCCAGACTCCATCTCAAAAAAAAAAAATAAAATAAAAATAAAAAAAATTAGCTGGGAGGATCACTTGAGACCGGGAGATCGAAGCTCAGTGAGCTATGATCCTGCTGCTGCACTCCAGCCTGGGTGACAGAGCGAGACCCTGCCTCAGAAAAAAAAGAAAAAAGAAAAAGAGGCTGGGCTCGGTGGCTCACGTGTGTAATCCCAGCACTTTGGGAGGCCGAGGTAGGCAGATAACCTAAGATCAGGAGTTCAAGACCAGCCTGGCCAACATGGTGAAACCCTGTCTCTAGTAAAAATACAAAAATTAGCTGGGCGTGGTGGCAGATGCCTGTAATCACACCTACTAAGGCTGAGGCAGGAGAATCTATTGAACTCAGGAGGCGGAGGTTGCAGTGAGACGAGATTGCGCCACTGCACTCCAGCCTGGGCGAGAAGAGCAAAACTCCATCTCAAAAATAAATAAATAAATAATAAAAAGAAGAAAATGAAATGAGCGGTGGAAGTAGAGTGATCAGGTGCTGAATCTTCCATTGTAGAGGGGGAATGATGACCCAGAATCTAATCATGGTTTTCCCCCATCTGTATGAGAGCACCCATACAGATGTTATGGGAGGGCAGAGCCTCTCCTAGAGGATGGAGTCTCTGTCAGTAGAGGTGCCACAGCCAAGGGTATCACCTGCAGAGGGAGGTGAGTCAGATAGGAAGAGGATCACATTGTAACTTTTTTTTTTTTTTGAGACGGAGTCTCGCCCTGTTGCCCAGGCTGGAGTGCAGTGGCACAATCTCGGCTCACTGCAAGCTCTGCCTCCGGGATTCACACCATTCTCTTGCCTCAGCCTCCCAAGTGGCTGGGACTACAGGTGCCTGCCACCACACCCAGCTAATTTTTTGTATTTTTAGTGGAAATGGGGTTTCACCGTGTTAGCCAGGATGGTCCTGATCTCCTGACCTCGTGATCCGCCCATCTCGGCCTCCCAAAGTGCTAGGATTACAGGAGTGAGCCACCGCGCCCGGCCACACATTGTAACATTTTATTTCCTCATGAGGGAGGAGTCTGGGTGAGGTTAAGAGATCTGAGATTAAGAAACAAACATTCCTAAGGAAAAGCAAAAGAAAGCTAAGTCATTTTTTATTCATCTCTCCCTTTGCCTGATTCCTTTCAATTCAATTGAGTTCAAAGATTGGTAGAGGAGGTTTTATCTGATGAGGATCTGAAAAACAGAGATAAGCCAGATTTGACTCTTGCCTTCAAGTAGCTCACAAGGTAAACTGTGTATGTCAAGATATCAGGTGGGAAGAGATGAGAAAATATGCAGATAACATGAATCTTAGATCTAGATACTTTTCTCCTAAAGAAAATTGCCCGGGTTGAAGTCATTTTTTGGCCTTTCCATTCTCCCTGGGTGGTCCTTAAAGTGTCTGTAAACCTGTGATTCCCAACCTTGGCTGCCCTTTGGAATCACCTGGTTATGTCTTAAATACTGATGCCAGAGTTCCACCCCCAGAGATTCTTTTTTGTTTGTTTTGAGATAGGGTCTCACTCTGTTGCCCAGGCTGGAGCACCGTGTTCTGATCACTGAAGCCTCTGCCCCTCAGGCCCAAGCAATCCTCCCGTCTCACCCTCCCAAGTAGCTAAGACTACAGGTGAGCCATGGGGCTCGGCTAAATTTTTTTTTTCTTTTTCTTTTTGAGACTGAGTGCCTCTCTGCCACCCAGGCTGGAGTGCAGTGGTGCAATCTGGGCTCACTGCAACCTCCGCCTCCTAGGTTCAAGCGATTCTTCTGCCTCAGCCTCCTGAGTAGCTGGGATTACAGGCATGTGCCACCATACCCGGCTGATTTTTGCAGTTTTAGTGGAGACGGGGTTTCACCACGTTGGCCAGGCTGGTCTTGAACGCCTGACCTCAGGTGATCCACCCACCTCGGCCTCCCAAAGTGCTGAGATTATATGTGTGAGCCACCGCGCTCGGCCTAGGCTAATTTTTTTTTTTTTTTTTTTTTTTTGAGACGGAGTCTCGCTCTGTTGCCCAGGCTGGAGTGCATGGCACGATCTCGGCTCACTGCAAGCTCCACCTCCCGGGTTCATGCCGTTCTCCTGCCTCAGCCTCCTGAGTAGCTGGGACTACAGGCACCTGCCACCACACCCAGCTAATTTTTTTGTATTTTTAGTAGAGACGCGGTTTCACCATGTTAGCCAGGATGGTCTCGATCTGGCCTAGGCTAGTTTTTAAACTTTCTTGTAGAGATGGGGTCTCACCATATTGCCCAGGCTAGTCTCGAACTCCTGGGCTTAAACGATCCTCCTGCCTCGACTTCCCAGAGTGCTGAGATTACAGGTGTGAGCCACTGGCACTGAGCCCAGAGATTCTGATTTAATTGTTTTAGGATGCGACTTGGGCTTTCAGATTTTTCAGTGCTCCCCAGTGGATTCTAATGTGTAACCTGGGGTAAGAACCGTTGCTCCAAGGAATGCCTGAAGCTCTGTTTGGAAACCCACTGCTTTAATCTAACCCAGAGGAAAGAGAGACACCTTTTTGCTACAGTGAGGGATGAATTGATCCGGACTTTGAAAGATATTGTAAATAAAATTTGACCAAGTAGAGAGGCAGATGTCAAGAGGGGGAGAACATCATGAGCAAGAGCCTAGATGTGGTCTAAAGCCTCTGAAATTTGTGACAAGCTGCAAACAATTTGGTTTATAATAGGCAGAGATTTGGGAAGGAGGTCTAAGATTTGGGAACAGCTGGGCAAATACCTGGAGGTGGGAATGATGAGTAATTCAGTATGGTTAGAAATTAGAATGAACAGAGAAGCTGGATGATTTTAAATTATGGAAGGTGTTAAAGGCCAGATTAAAATTTTGTAAATAATTGAGTAGGCAATAGGGAACCTTGAAGGGCTTTTGAGCAGTGGAGTTATGAAAGTGTGTTTAGGGAGGCTGATCTGACAATAGTGTGGAGGGAGACTTGAGGTAGGGAGAAGTAGGAAGTAGGGAGACCTGTTGGGAAAGCTGATGCAATAATCCTAATGAGGTAATTTTTCCAGCAAGGGCTGGGGAAAAATTACAGATTCAAAAGACATTGTGGTGGCAGAACTGACTAGGCTTGAGAGCACACCAAAAATAAGGCAGGAGGGAGAGGGAGGAGGCGGCAAATTTCTAGATAAGGAAGAGTGATTGGGAAAATGGTCTATTAACAGAGACAGGGAAGCAGGTTTTCTGTGGCATTTCATCAGTTTGTTTTGGAATGTGTTGATTTTAGAGGACCAGCAAGCATCTTCCATGTGGCTATGATCTTCAGGCACTGGAAAAAACGTCTGCATGTAAAATACAGGTTGGAAAAGCATTTGATTAGCTGAGTTGAGTGAATGAGCTTTTCAAAGGAAAGTCTCAGAGAAGGAAAAAAAATCAGAGATGGACACTTAGGGGAAGGGAGGAGAAAAAGCAAGGAGGGAAGGCAGAGGCGGAATGGTTAGAGGTCTGTGTGTGTGTCGGGGGAAGGGAGGTAATACGTTCTTGAACCTGGGTATGTGGGGAATTCAGGGTCAAGGGACAAACATGGGAGGGCTTAGAGAGGCAGAATACTGTGAAAATGCCATTGATTTGGGATCTGGGTAATTGGTTGCCATTTGAGAGGGAGGTTTCAGGAGAATAGGGTGTGGATGCATATTCCAATAAGTCAAGAAATAGTGGGTATGAAAAAAAGACAGATACAGACATATCTCTGATAGCAATATTCCGCACCCCCCTGCCCCTTTTTTTTTGAGATGGAGTTTCGCTCTTGTTGCCCAGGCTGGAGTGCAATGACTTGATCTTGGCTCACTGCAACCTCCGCCTCCCAAGTTCAAGCGATTCTCCTGCCTCAGCCTTCCAAGTAGCTGGGACTGCAGGTGCCCGTCACCATGCCCGGCTAATTTATTATTTTTAGTACAGATGGGGTTTCACCATGTTGGCCAGGCTGGTCCCGAACTCCTGACCTCAAGTGATCCGCCTGCCTTGGCCTCCCAAAATGCTGGAATTACAGGTGTTAGCCACCGTGCCCAGCCGTGAATTCTGTTTTTCAAGAAGTTTGGTAAGGTAGGCACATTAAATGCGAAACATCCAAGGGCGAACCCATGATATTCACACCTCACCCCACCCTCCTCCCACATCTCCTATCACATTTCCTATCTCAGTGCATGGCTTCCCTTCTAGATTGTAAGCTCCATGAGGTCAGGGGTCACACCTGCTGTCTGGGTGGATGTCTCACCAGCATCCAGCATGGAGTCTGCATGTTGCATAAATGCATAAATTAGGTTAGGACCCTGTCCTGTGGGTGTACAACCAAAGACCCAAGCCCACTGCTGGCAGCATCCCCTAATCACCACTCCCCTCAGAAAAGAGGCCTATTGGTTGACCTCAGGATAGGAGAGGGCAACTAGTCCCAGGGAGACTTGAGAGGCCATTGACCTCCTCCCTGGGCTCCCACAGCAATCTGCTCTCTTTGCCTTTCCTATACCCCCTACAGTCCAGCATGTGGGGCTCTAATCCAAGTTATCTGCCACCCTCCAGCCCACAGTCAGGAACAGCTATGGGCAGCTGGCATCTCTTCTTGGCCCCCATCACTCTATCCTTGACCAGCTTCTTCACCATGGTCTGCCCTCTCTGTTCTCTTGTCTTCCTGGAGTTCTGGGGATAGTAGGGAATGGAAAAGGGGTACTGGGGAAATAAAGCCTCACTAAGAAAATAAAGCCTCACTGAGAATGGACCCCAAGGTCTTCCTTGGTGGATTCCCAGGGAGCTCCCCTCCGTCCCCCATATTCACGTGTCTCTCTGGCGATCTGGGAATCTGTGTCCCTCACGTTAGTCTCTGTCGGGTTTTCTTTTTTTTTCCTTGGAAGAGGAGATGAAGGGAAGTGAAAGGCGGAATCAAAAGTGGGGAGGGTCTTTGCGGGGCCGCAGTCTTTGGAATTGCGGGCGATAAATCAACTAAGTCTCTTTAATATTGTCTTTCAGAAGTTCACACACACTCACACACAGATCAGAACAAGGCGGGGCCGCCGAGGGGAGCGGGGAGCGGGGACTTGGGAGGTCCATAGCCTGGATTCCCTTCTGCCCGGCTGCCCAGGGGCTGGGATGGGTGGAAGGGAGTATTTACAGAGCGTTTACAGGCAGGTTTCTTATCCCAGGGAGAAGGGTCCTACACCAGGAACTTCCCAAATGTCCTTAAAAAAAGCAAAAGGAAAGGTTCTGGGATTAGCAAGAAAATAGGCAGATACCTGGGTGGAGGAGGGACAAAAATGTACTTGCAAAAAACAGGAGTGTGGGGGCCTTACTACCCCAGGGCTCGGTCCTTTTGCCGGAAGAAAGGGAGGGGTCTGTCCGTCTGTGGGCGAGGCCTGGAGCCACAAACCCAATCACTGGACTGAATCACCCCGCGGAGAAGAAAAGAAGGCGGAGCCTGCCGACCTGGAGGCGGGGTTTTGTCAGAGCTGGGGCGGTGCTTATAGAGGAGGCGGGGTTTTAGGGACCAAACCGAGGTTGCTCGGTTGGGGGCGCTACACTTTGAGGGTGAGGGGGCCTGGAGCGACTGAGGGTCCGGCGTTTGGCCGGGATCCCGGAAAGCGGCGTCCCTGGGGGTGTGGGTTTTGGAGGGGTTCCTGAGGAACTGGATTCCGAGCTTGCTCGCAAGGCGAGACGTTCCGTGGAGGCGGAGTTTACGATGTATCCAAGTCTGACGGCCCCAGAAACGGGTGTGCAGGGCGCCCATTGGGTCCGCGGTATGACTGCAGAAAGAGCCTGGGAGATCGAGGGGCGCAGAGTGGGGCCGGACCAGGGGCGTTTTTAGGGATCCCAGTAGTTCTCGTGGTGCTGCGCGGCGATGATGATGACTACGGTGAGGATGGTACAGAGCACCATGGCCGCGATGCCCACGGCCAGGGAGATGAAGGAGAAGTTCCGGGCCTCGCGTGAAGCGATCTCGGCCGACACCATGTCTCCGCGGGCCAAGGCCGTGCGCACCTACGGAGGAGGGGTGGGGGAAGGAGGTCAAAGAGCTGCGGCCTCGTTCGAACGCCTCAGCCTTTCTCTAAGATGGTCCCCAGAACGCCCAGAACTCCCTGTCCCCGCCCCCAAACCGAGTATGCCCCTGCCCCCTACCTGCACGGCCTTGAAGATGGCAATGATGCCAGTAGGCCAGAAGCAACAGATGGTGGTCAGCACCGCGATGGGCATGTAGTCGTGTGGCGGGCGCCTCGGCTCCAGTAGGGCCAGCCCTGGGCCCTGGGGCGGCGGGGGGAGAGTGGAGGTCACTCCTGTTCCCCCCGGGGTCCCGCCTGCATATGGCTGTGGAAGGAAATTTGGGGGGCAGGGGCATCACTCTGACCCTCTCCCAGCCTACCAGCGTTGGGCGGCTGGCAGAGTGGCTTTAAAAGCACAATTTTTACCTATGGCTTCTCAAAATAAAGCACCCATTACCCTTCCAGGACACCCATAAATTCCACCTAAGCCCCTCTCCTCCCTTCCTTGCTTCATTAACCACCATATTCTTGGGCTTTCTACATTCTCTCCCGCAAGGTATGGTCCCACTGGGGCTGTCCTGGCCTCAGGTCAGACCTTCTTTCTTCCCTCCAGACACCTACCAGGCCTCCCCTACCCCCTTAGTCCCAGGCTTCTCCCACATCCCTCTTGGTTCCCAGCTTCCATTCCCCCCGTCCCCCGCCAGGCGGTTTCCTACTTTCAGACCTCCTCTGAACCTCTAGGCTCCGATCCCCCTCCCAGGCCCTGACTCTGGGCACCAGTAGACTCCTACTCCCGGGTCTCTCCCTAGTCCTTCCTGTCTCAGGCTCCCTTCTTTCTAGGGCTTGTCCCGGGAACACTACCTGTTCCCTGCCCTTGTTCCTCTATCCTACCAGCCCCCAGCGTATCCCCAATTTCAAGTCCTGTATCGCGTCCCCCTCTTTCCCATGTCCCTGTCTGCCCGGCACTCACCGTGCCCACCGGGTAGACCGGCACGTAAGCAGTGCAAGGCTGCAGCTGCAGGGGGTATCCGGGCGCTACGTAGCCCCCCAGCGGCAGCGTGCCCACAGTCCCCGCGTGCGTGGGCACCACGAAGCCAGGGGCCTGGGCAGTCTGGGCTGGCGCCGGCGGGGGCGGGGCGGCGGCAGCGGGCGGCGGCGGGGGAAGTGGGCCCTCGAAGCGAGTCTCCTGCAGGTAAGGGTCGGGTGGCATGCGGGGCAAGGTAGCGCAGCCGGGTGGGGGTGCCCCGGCAGCAGGGCCGGGAGGGGCGTGGTGGGGGGGCCTCGGCAGCGTGGCAGAGGAGGAGGGACCGCGCTGAGCGGTGGCCGCGGAAGAGGCCAGGCCCCCTGCCCCTAAGCGCGGGAGGGTGGCGGTGCCAGACTGATGGTAGTGGTGGTGGTGGTGATGGTGTGAGGAAGGGGCTGCCTGTGGCGGTGGGGCTGGGGGTTCGGCTGGAGGCTGAGGGGCATTGTAGGGCGGCGGAGAAGTGTGAGGGACTGAGTCTGGGAGTCCTGGGGGAGGTGAGTGGAGGAGAGTATAAGAGGAAAGATGACACAGTGATGAGTTGAGGAGGGGGTAAGGGGAAACACAGCCGGTCAGGGATGGAGAAAGATAATGGGAGAGACACATAGAGAGAGACGGGTGAGAAACCATCTCTAATTTGAGGGGCAAGAGAGGGGCTGTATCTAGGCCATCTGCCCCCCTCCTTCTTCCTTCCAATCTAGTTTTGAGGTCACAACTCTGGTCTGCTTCTTTTCTGTCTTTTTCATCACCATGCACCCAGCTCTCACCTGCAGACCTAATCCCCTCTCCTTTGCTATAGCTGCCTTTGGGCTGGCCTATCCGAGCTAGTCCTGTGTGTGCGTATGCGTAGACATGCAACCCTGTGTTAATATGTGCTCAATTCAACAGTTGTATAAACACATGTGGGATGACATGTGTTCCACTCTGCTGTTCCTTCAGTGGGGGGAGGAGTGCCCCAGCCTCTGTGAGAATCTCGGGACCTCTTTTAGGGCAGATTAAGAAGAGCCCTCTGGATTTTGCTCCCTTGACAACCCCCATCTGGTCATGTCTCCATATTTCCTCACAGGATGTCTCCATGCCAGCCAGTGATTGTCCATCTGTCACTCCCAATGATGCCATCCCTGCAAAACCTGGCTGTACCTCCTTCACCCTCTCAACCTACCCCCCTGACCATGTTGTTGGCAAGGGGCAGAGGCTGCCACTGGAAAGAGGAAAGGAAGAGAAAGGGGGAGACAGAAAGAGGAGGGGGACTGGGGGAGTGTTGAGAGCTGGAGAGAAGGGGAATGAAATAGAACCACAGCTGAGGAGGGGTAAGGGAGGGGGTTGGGGCAAGGGGGACGGAGAGTCTGGAGACAGTGGAGGGGGTGGGAGGTTTTGTTATTGTTTTTACCTGACTTTTCGGATGACATGCCTGCGGTCTCGCTGGGACAGGGTCCCTGCAGCCGGAGTGGGGGTCCTCGGCCGGTGCTGGAGTCTGGGTGCTGGATGGCGCAGCCGGCAGCAGCGCAGAGATGGAGAGATGAAGGCAGCGGCGCGGGGGGGGGGGCGGGGGGGGCGGGCGGAGGGAGAGCGGGGAGGGGGGGAGCTTAAAGGGACCGAGGCGAGGGAGGGGGAGCGCTTCAGATGTTTCCCACTCGGTCTCTCTCTGCTCTCGGACCACCTCTCTCCTCCTCTTACCCCGGCATTCAAGCCCCCAGTTTGGGCTCCTTTGGAGTTGTCATGGAAACACGGAGGCTAGACCAGGCGAGGCGGGTGGGACTAAGGAAAGGAAGGAAGGAGAACTCTCTGGAGTCTCCCCCACCAAGACTCAGTGATTGTATTGTGGGAGGAAGTGAACAGGTTCTCAGTGGAGTTAATAACCCAGGTGCCTCCAGAGGCAGGTCGTCTCCCCCTCTTAGCTCCCTGCAAGGTGCCAGGGTCTTCTCCCAAATCCTTGGCCCCAGTTTCCTCCTCTTTAGAAGAGATAAATACTTGTGTGTGAGAGAGAATTGTGCAGAGTTCAGAACTGCGATGGTCTGAAAAGTTCCCAGGGTTTGGTGAACCTACCAACCTAGCAGTAAAGAGGGAGGCCCAGGTCTGTAAATCAGGGGGAGCTGGGCCTTGGAGGGAAAAGGGAGAGAGAGTTTGGGCGGTGTGCATACATACCTTCTTCGTCCAGGACTAAGGAGCTGAAGCTCTTTTGGAGGGGGTAGGGGGTATGACTTAACTGCTCATTTCTGGCAGCTCTGTTGGTAATGTGTGCTTGTTCCCCCACTTTCCCTTTGCTTTTGAGGCTGCTTAGAGTCTCTGGGCTGGTCAATGTTCAGATCCATTCCCTAAACCCCCCTACTCCCACCCACCACCTCCCACCAAGACGCATCTCCAGCTCCTGAGTCGACCTGCAGTACAGCGTTATTAGTCTTTTTATTTGCTTATTGCATCTTGGGAGCGCGTGGGTGGGTGAAGGGAGCGAGGATAGGAAGTCTATGGAGATTTACACCAGTTTTTTTTTTTTTTTTAAACAAAAACACAGCCAGATAATCATTATTCTTCCCTTACGTCCCCCCAGCCCCCACCTGGGGCAGTCGCTCTCCCGGCTGCGTCCCTTTTCGTCCATGTCCTAGCAGAGACTACAGAGCAGTACAGAGGCTCTCGCTGAAACCAGTCCCAGGCTCCACAGAGTCAGATCACGGCTTCACACCAGTCGTTCTGGTCACTTAGGCGTTCGCGTGAGCGCTCAACCCCTTACCGCCACCTCATCGTCACTCTACACCATTCTGAGCGCAAAAATGTTTTGATTGAGACAAATTTAGACCAAGCAATGACCTTGTAAACAGAGAGAGGGGCTCAGACATGCTGAGAAATCCTTATCTCTAGAGAAACGTCTTTAAATGCTAAGTAAAAGCCCTAGCAAGTAAAAGCCCTGAGGCACTAGGGTGTCGGTTAGGGGTCACAGGCGGAGAGGTGGGGCGCCTGGGGGTTTCGGTAGGGAGCCACCCACAGATAACTCAGACAGCCAGATTCTGGGGGTCGTTCAGGTTGAAAGACTGGTCGAAATTACGCGGGCATGAGTCAGCGCATCCCTACGCGCCCTCCGCCCCTTGAGGGTGGGTCGCTTATAGGGAGGGGAGTAGAGTAGGGCAGGAGAAACTGGGCCAGGCTGCACTTAGCTCAAGGGGCCTCGAGGACTCTCTGCGTCTCTGGAGACAAGGGCACTACACGCACTTCAGAATGAAGAGTTGTAAGTCGCTGACCTGGGGCGGACTGGAGGGTGGGGTGGGGTGGGTGTTGAGGGGCACGCCCGGGCTGGCATCAGCCCTCCAGGCCACCCTGCCACTCACCCAGCACACGGCAAAATGCAGAGGACTACCTTTCCCTGGTCCGCCCCCTGGCCGCCCCTTGGGGAATGCAAACTTCGTGTTCTGCTGCGGAGCCAGACGCCTGTATTGGGAAGTGGGGAGAATCAAGGCGGGGAAATCGGACTTTTGGGTCGCTGGGGGCAACGAAGCCTGGAGAGGCCTTCTTTCCATTCCCAGAATATGTTTGCTGCTTTTTCCTCTCCCCACTGGCCTAAATGGATCGCTCCGCCTGTTTCCTCCCCAGCACCTAGGGCGCAATGGAATATTCCATTGCCCCTCCTGTCCTGGGTCTGTGTTGCGGGGAACGCTCGCGCGGTTGCCAGAGAAAGCCCCGGACGTGACGGATTTGCGCGACCCCAAGCAGCCCGCCCTTCCCCCTCCCATCCGTCATTCCCCTGCGCTCTCTTTCCTCACCCTTCCCCCCGCCACCGTGGGTTCCAGACTTGGGATAAGTAAACAGCGGGTGGAGCGAGGCCTACGGACCCAGGCCAGGTGGGAGTCTGCACTCTTCAAGGGGCCTGGGCTGCTGCTCACGGGTATTAAAGAACTCCGCGTTGTTCATGGCTGAGGCGATGCATTAGGAAGATCCTGGACCTAGAGAACAAGTCCCCCGAACGCTGAGTTGGAGGCGGGACTTCGGGTGCGCGTTGGTGCGTCAACGTGGTGGGGGGGTGTGTTTGTAGGGAGAGGGCTGGAGTAAGTTAAAAGTAGGCTATTTTGTGACACGGACCTGGTGTGGGAGCGAGAGGAGGTGGCTTGATTGCCGGGCGTCTGTTCCGAGGGAGGAGGGTGTTGCCATCTCCCTCACATGCCCTTATCACCCCTTTCTCAGGCGGGAGCATGCTGGGGCTCTGGGGGCAGCGGCTCCCCGCGGCGTGGGTCCTGCTTCTGTTGCCTTTCCTGCCGCTGCTGCTGCTTGCAGCCCCCGCGCCCCACCGCGAGTCCTACAAGCCGGTCATCGTGGTGCATGGGCTCTTCGACAGCTCGTACAGCTTCCGCCACCTGCTGGAATACATCAATGAGGTCTGGCAGGGGACACCTGGGTGCAGGGCGTTAGAGGCGTCTACTGTGGCAGGGGAGGGAGAGCGGGGAACTGAAAGCCACCCCTCTGGGCCTGCCCAGTTCCTCAGGGAGCTGGTGCTGGCGTGGGGGAGAGTTGGGGGACGGGATCCCTGGTTCTAGCAGGGTACAATAGACCTGTGGACGCGGGCCAGGGGGTGGCGTGTGGGAGCTTCTTAGCCTATCCCCGGTGGCTGCATTGCCCCCTTCCCACAGACACACCCCGGGACTGTGGTGACAGTGCTCGATCTCTTCGATGGGAGAGAGAGCTTGCGACCCCTGTGGGAACAGGTGCAAGGGTTCCGAGAGGCTGTGGTCCCCATCATGGCAAAGGCCCCTCAAGGGGTGCATCTCATCTGCTACTCGCAGGGTAGGCGACTCCCCTGCCCCTAACTCCTAAGCCCTATCTGAGGCTTGATCCTTATCTGAGGGACACTTCCTAGCGTCCCTTTTTCTGAACCACATTGCTCCAGGCACAACCCTGGTACCTGAGCCCTTCCTTTCTGACTTCCCTCAGCACCTGGGTCTCATCTCTGTCTTGAATGGGAGGGAGGCTCCCTACACTGCTGCCCTTTTGCTTCCTGTTACCCATGGTTCTTGGACATAAGGGCTAATGGGGCAGGTAAAAACATCCTAGAACTAGAGGCAGGAGGCCCAGCATCTAATTCGGGCTCAGTCACTTATATGATGTGTGACCTTTTGGCACAGGGTGTGCCTGCCTTCTGTAAGCCTCAGTCTCCTTTGTGTACAGTGTGTGTCTGTGTGTGTCTCTGTGTGTGTGTGTGTGTGTGTGTGTGTGTGTGTGTGTGGTGGGGGTGGGGGGTGCTGCTGGCTTTGCTGTCCTTAAGTGCCTGCCCAATGTGGTGTTCTGCTTACAGGGGGCCTTGTGTGCCGGGCTCTGCTTTCTGTCATGGATGATCACAACGTGGATTCTTTCATCTCCCTCTCCTCTCCACAGATGGGACAGTATGGAGGTGAGTGGGCACTAGACTCCATAGAATGCCCTGAGTTTTGGGGGAACAGAGGTTTATGGTCACTTAGCATTGCCATTCGCTTGCCAGACACGGACTACTTGAAGTGGCTGTTCCCCACCTCCATGCGGTCTAACCTCTATCGGATCTGCTATAGCCCCTGGGGCCAGGAATTCTCCATCTGCAACTACTGGCATGGTGAGTGGGGATGCTGAACTGGGGCTTCCATGGATCAGGTCAGTTGCTTCCACCTCTGCTACAACCAATAGCAGTGATGACAATAAAGATAACTTACATTTATTGAGTTATTTGAACAGGCTCTGTTCAGAATTTTTTTTTTTTTTGAGACGGAGTCTTGTTCTGTTGCCCAGGCTGGAGTGCAGTGCACCATCTCGGCTCACTGCAACCTCCGCCTGCCAGGTTCAAGTGATCCTCCTGCCTCAGTCCCCCTAGTAGCTGGGATTACAGGCAGGCGCCATCATGCCCGGCTAAGTTTTGTATTTTAAGTAGAGATGGAGTTTCGCCATGTTGGCCAGGCTGGTCTCGAACTCCTGACCTCAGGTGATCCACTCGCCTCGGCCTCCCAAAGTGCTGGGATTACAGGTGTGAACCATTGCACCTGGCCCAGAATGTTTTAAGTGTGTCACCTTATTGCCTTAGAAGGTTTAGTCTGATGTGGGAGTCAGCAAACCTTGTCTATAAAGGGCCAGAGAGTAAATATTTTTGACTTTGTAGGACATATAGTCTGTTTCACAACTCCTCAATTCTGCTGTTGTAGTGTGAAAGCAGCCATGTACCATATGTGAATGAATGTGCCTGTGTTCCAGTAAAACTTCATTTACAAAAACAAGTAGCAGGCTGGATTTGGTCCTTTGGTCACAGTTTGCCAACCTCTAGACCAGACCATGGGGCCAGAATACTTGGGTTTGAATCTTGACCCTATTGGGTGCCTTTGGGCAAGTTACTTAACCATTCTGTTACTCAGTTTTCCTTATCTGTAAAATATTATAGCATGTACTTCACCAGGTGGTTGTAAGGATTAAATAAATAAATGAATGCAATGTACTTTGAATAGTACCTGGCTCATATAGTAGATACTAGATAGAAGTACTTGCTATTGCCAGGTGTGGTGGCTCACACCTGTAATCCCAATATCTTGGCAGGGGGAGGTGGGCGCATCACCTGAGGTCGGGTTCGAGACCAGCCTGGCCAACATGGTGAAACCCCATCTCTACTAAAAATACAAAAAAAATTTAGCTGAATGTGGGCACACGCTTGTAATCCCAGCTACTCAGGATGCTGAGTCAGGAGAATTGCTTGAACCCGGGAGGCAGATGTTGCAGTGAGCGGAGATCCTGCCACTGCACTTCAGCCTGGGTGACGGAGTGAGATTTCATCTAAAAAAAAAAAAGTACTTGTTACTATGTTTACGGTTGTTATCACTACTATTATTATTTTGAGATGGAGTCTCACTGTGTCTCCCAGGATGGAGTGCAGTGGTGCAGTCTCGGCTCACTGTAACCTCCACCTCCTGGGTTCAAGTGATTCCAGCGCCCCGAGTAACTGGGATTACAGGCATGCACCACCACGCCTGGCTAACTTTTGTATTTTTAGTAGAGACAGGGTTTCGCCATGTTAGCCAGGCTGGTCTCAAACTCCCGACTTCAAGTGATCCACCTGCCTCTACCTCCCAAAGTGCTGGGATTACAGGTGTGAGCCACCGCACCTGGCCTACATTATCACTACTATTTTATTACTATCCACCTTGACTATTGCTGCAGCTTCCTTATTGGGCTTTTCACCACCAGTCTTGCCTCCCTTTTCTGCTTCTTTTTCTAACTGCTGTTTGTACCCAGATCCCCACCACGATGACTTGTACCTCAATGCCAGCAGCTTCCTGGCCCTGATCAATGGGGAAAGAGACCATCCCAATGCCACAGGTGAGAATTCAGGCTCCTACCTGTGTTGCTTTTTCTGCTTCTTTGACTCCCTATGTCTCCCTCTCCAACCTGGCCTGACCCCTGTGGCTGACTCAGCCTCTCTTCTTCCCATCCTACAGTATGGCGGAAGAACTTTCTGCGTGTGGGCCACCTGGTGCTGATTGGGGGCCCTGATGATGGTGTTATTACTCCCTGGCAGTCCAGGTAATAAGGGATTTTGTGGCCTGAAGATTGGCTAAAGACATCCCCCAACCCCAGTTGGTCTTTATCTCATGCCTAAACTGGCCTGCTCCTTCCACTGTTCAGTTAGTGCTCCTCCCCCCATTCATCATGTCACCCAAGACCAAAACCTGGGAGTCATATCCCAACCCCTTGTATCAAGCCAGTCACTAAGTCCTGCTGACTCTTCTCCTCTCCATCCCTATCACCCCCTCCCCCACTTTATAAAAACTTTTAATTTTGAAATTCTTATAGATTCATAGGAAATTGCAAAGATAGTATAGCGAGGCCCTTCACCCAGCTTCCCCCAGTGGTTGCATCCTATGTAATTATAGCACAGTATCAAAACCAGGAAATTCACATTGGTTCAATGTGTGTGTGTAGTTTTATACCATTTTATCACATTTCCTACCACCTCTTTACTTACCTGGACTATTATAACAGCCTCCAGCTTTGTCCCCTCCATCCTATTCCTTAGAAAAAAATCCATGGCTCCATGGTACTATGTGCTTGCCTGTGTTATAGGTCACCATGTGTGATCTGTAATGTCACCTGAGCTACTTGAATTGCTCAACAAATATTTATTCAACATTATGGGCGCAGGCTTGTTCTGGGCCCTAGGGATGCAGTGGTAAATAAAAGAGAAGTCCCTAATGTTATGTAGCTTATATTCTAGTTTGTAAGATAGCTGATACATACATACAAATATATATGTCAGGTAATAAGGCAGGGGAAAGGATTAGAGGATGTCCGGGGCCTAGTTTCAATAGTGGCCGAAGAAGTCCTCCTGGAAAAGTCACCATTCAATTAGAGACTGAAGGAAGTGAAGGAGGGAGTTGTGCTCTGGGTGGAAGAACCCCCCAGGGAGAAGGTCTGGCACCTGCAGAGGCCCTGAAGCACGTGTGAGCAATAAGGAGGCCAGCATGGCTAGTGCACAAGGAGCTGGGGAGAGGACAGGAGAGGAGCTAAAAGTGGTAGCAGGGGACCAGGCATGTCAAACCTTAGCAGGTCAAGGTAAGGCCCTTGATATTTTTTTTTCTTTTTTTTGTGATAAAATATACATAACATAAAATTGCCATTTTAACCATTTAAAAATGTACAGTTTTGTGGCATTAAGTATACTCACATCATTGTAAAACCATCACCCATCAGCACCATCCATCTCCAGAACTTCTTTTTCCCCAAACTGAAACCGTATACCCATTAAAAAATAGACTGGGTGTGGTGGCTCACGCCTGTAATCCCAGCACTTTGGGAGGCCGAGGCAGTGGATCACCTGAGGTCGGGAGTTCGAGACTAGCCCGACCAACATGGAGAAACCCTGTCTGTACTAAAAATACAAAACTAGCTGGGTGTGGTGATGCATGCATGTAATCCCAGCTACTTGGGAGGCTGAGGCAGGAGAATCGCTTGAACCTGGGAGGCAGAGGTTGCAGTGAGCTGAGATTGCGCCATTGCACTCCAGCCTGGGCAACAAGAGCGAAACTCCATCTCAAAAAAAAAAAAAAAAAAAAAAAAAAAAATATATATATATATATATCTCCTCATCCCTATTTCCCGACAGTCCCGGTAACCAGGCTTTTGATTTTTTTTTTTAAATTCTGAGTGAGATGGGAAGGCACTGGACAGTTTTCAGTGAAGGCAGGACATCTCTTAAAATATTGTAATAATATAATAGTAAGTGATGAGTTTTATGTACATCATGTCATTTCACATCTACCACAACCCTATGAATGACAGTGATAGCTCATGGTTATATAACATTTTTAATGTTCCAAGTCACTGTTTCTTCCTTTTTTTTTTTTTTGAGACAGAGTTTTGTTCTTGTCGCCCAGGCTAGAGTGTAATAGCACAATCTCGGCTCACTGCAACCTCCGCCTCCTGGGTTCAAGCCATTCTCCTGCCTCACCTCCCAAGTGGCTGGGACTACAGGTGCCCACCACCATGCCTGGCTAATTTTTAGTATTTCTGGTAGAGACGGGGTTTCACTGTGTTAGCCAGGATGGTCTCGATCTCCTGACCTTGTGATCCGCCTGCTTCGGCCTCCCAAAGTGTTGGGATTACAGGCGTGAGCCACTGCGCCTGGCCAATATATATCTCTCTCTATATATAGATAGATATATATTTTTTGAGTTGGAGTCTTCGCTCGGTCGCCCAGGCTGGAGTGCAGTGGCGTGATCTCGGCTCACTGCAAGCTCTGCCTCCCAGGTTCACGCCATTCTCCTGCCTCAGCCTCCTGAGTCGCTGGGACTACAGGCACCCGCCACCACGCCCGGCTAATTTTTTTGTATTTTTAGTAGAGACGGGGTTTCACTGTGTTAGCCAGGATGGTTTCGATCTCCTGACCTCGTGATCCACCCGCCTCGGCCTCCCAAAGTGCTAGGATTATAGGCGTGAGCCCACGCACCCGGCTTGCCTGGCCAATATTTTTTAATTAAAAGATTTTAACTCCATCTGGCTGGGTGCGGTGGCTCACGCCTATAATCCCAGCACTTTGGGAAGCCGAGGCGGGTGGATCACCTGAGGTCAGGAGTTCGAGAACAGCTGGCTAACATTGAGAAACCCCATCTCTACTAAAAACACAAAAATTAGTGGGCCTGGTGGCGCACGCCTGTAGTTCCAGCTACTCAGGAGGCTGAGGCAGGAGAACTTGAAACCAGGAGGCGGAGGTTGCAATGAGCCGACAGGGTGCCACTGCACTCCAGCCTGGGTGACAGAGCAAGGCTCTGTCTCAAAAAAAAAAGAAAAAAAGGATTTTAAGACCTTTCTATTTTGAAATAATTTCATACTTAAGAAAAGTTTGCGCCTGTAATCCTAGCACTTTGGGAGGCCGAGGCATGAGCCCAGGGGTTTGAGACCAGCCTGGGCAACATGGCAAAACCCTGTCTTTACCTAAAATACAAAAATTAGCTGGGCGTGGTGGTGTGCCCTTGTAGTCCCAGCTACTTGGGAGGCTGAGGTACGAGAATTGCTTGAGCCTAGGAGGCCAAGGCTGCAGTGAGCCGAGATCTCACCATTGCACTCCTGCCTGGGTGACAGAGTAAGACCCTGTCTCAAAAAAAAAAAAAAAAAGTTACCAAAATAGCAAAAAGCAGTCATTTATACTCCTCACCTAGATTTCGCAAATGTTAACATTTTGTCATGTTTACATTAATATCTTTTTTCTCTAAATATATATACATTTATTTATATACGTTAATGTTATATTTAAATATAAACATAGATTCAAATTTTCCTGAATATGCGCTCACAGATTATTCAAATTTTTCCAACTGTCCTTACAGAAAAAAATATACAGTGGAAGATCCAAATCAGGATCTTGAGTTGCATGATCTTGTTACGTCTCTTTAGTATCTTTTTGTTTGTTTGTTTGTTTGAGTTGGAGTTTCACTCTTGTTGCCCAGGCTGGAGTGCAATGGCAAATCTCGGCCCACTGCAACCTCCGCCTGCCAGGTTCAAGTGATTCTCCTGTCTTAGCCTCCTGAGTAGCTGGGATTATAGGCGCCCACCACCATGCCCAACTAATTTTGTATTTTTAGTAGAGACGGGGTTTCTCCATGTTGGCCAGGCTGGTCTTGAACTCCTGACCTCAGGTGATCCACCCTCCTTGGTCTCCCAAAGTGCTGGGATTACAGGCATGAGCCACCACACCTGGCCTTTTTTTTTTTTTTTTTTTGAGACAAAGTCTCACTCTGTCGCCAGGCTGGAGTGCAGTGGC